>NC_000012.12:5668920-7083650 GCF_000001405.40 Homo sapiens | reverse complement strand
CACCACCAACACCATCATCCCCACTATGACCACTATCATCGTCATCATCACCACCAACAGTAACACCATCACCACTATCACCATTACCAACACCACTGTCGCCACTACCATGATCACCACCACCATTACCAACACCAATATCACCACCACCACCATTGCCAACACCAACACCACCATCACCTCCATCACCATCATCACTATCACCATTACAAACACCACCATCATCACTACCATTATCACCACCACTATTACTAACACCATTACCAACACCACTGTCACCACCATCATTACCAACACCAACACCACCATCACCACCAACACCATTACCACCATCACCATTACCAACACCATCATCACTACCAACACCATCACAGCAAATACTACCATCACCACTACCACCATTAACAACACCACCATTAACAACACCATCACCACCAACACCAACACCACAGTCTTCACCACCATCATGACCACTACAGCTAACTCAGTGAAACTCCCCTCTCCATTCTCCCCCTCAACCTAGTTGTGATTTTTGCACTTAGTTTTACTAAACGACTCTCACTCATTAGTGGGTATTTTTCTAACTTTTTTTAAATATTAGAAATCACATGCATTATAGGTTTGAAACACAGAAAAAAGGGAAAAAATCTGGATTATAAATGGTATTCATTAAGAGCTGGGCTTTGGAGTCAGAAAACCTCTTGCACCTTGGTTCTGGCACTTAGAAGTTATGTGACCCTGTGCAAATTATTTAAACTCAGTTTCCTCATCCACAAAATGAGGATAATAACACACACCTGCAAGTGTCACTATAGTGTTTAAATGAGATCGTGCAGATAAAGTGCTTAGCAACAAGCATGGCACATTTTCAGCAATCAGAAGATGTAGCTACAATTATCGTCTATGATTCCACGACCAAGATGCAATCACTGATAAGATTTTGATATATTCCTTCTGGTTTTTATGTCTACTTTCACAAGCAGGGATCACAGCAAACATATGTTAATAGTTAAGCATTCTGGCCAGGCGTGGTGGCTCACACCTGTAATCCCAGCACTTTGGGAGACCGAGGCAGGTGGATCACGAGGTCAGGAGATCGAGACCATCCTGGCTAACACGGTGAAACCCTGTCTCTACTAAAAATACAAAAAATTAGCCGGGCATGGTGGCGGGCACCTGTAGTCCCAGCTACTTGGGAGGCTGAGGCAGGAGAATGGCATGAACCTGGGAGACGGAGCTTGCAGTAAGCCGAGATTGCGCCACTGCACTCCAGCCTGGGCAACAGAGTGAGACTCCGTCCCAAAAAAAAAAATAGTTAAGCATTCTGATTTTTTTACTTGGCATTAAAACAAAATATAGGTCTAGAGCCTCTGAACACTTGACATTCTTTCCTTCTAGAGTTGAGCCTTTGACCTTTGGCCCTTGCCATGTTGGCTCCTCCCTGCCCCTCTCCCCATCAAGCACACTCAGTACTTGCTGGCCTCTGCAACCTAGTTTTCTTACCCATCACCCCCCAACTTGATTCTTGCCTCCTCTGCCCTCAGGGGTGTACACCTGCACAGCACAGGGCATTTGGAAGAATGAACAGAAGGGAGAGAAGATTCCTCGGTGCTTGCCAGGTGAGTGGAAACCCTCTGGGGCCATCATCAGGGTCTTTAGCAGCCTGCAGGGCCTCAAAAGCAGTGTGGCCCAGAAAAAGGAGAGAGAGGAGAGAAGAGGGGAACATCCCAGGAGAAAGGGAGAGAGGGACAGAGTGCTGAATTCAGTCCCGAAATGCTGCCATTTTCACTAAGCAGATGGGAAATCAGGGAATAAAAACAATGGGAGACCCCCTAGGAAGAAATAAACAAGAACAAGGGGCAAGACGTGGTGGCTCACACCTGTAATCCCAGCACTTTGGGAGGTCAAGGCAAGCGGATCACCTGAGGTCAGGAGTTCGAGACCAGCCTGGCCAACATGGCGAAACCCAGCCTCTGCTAAAAAGAGAAAAATTAGCCAAGCATGGTGGCACATGCCTGTAGTCCCAGCTACTTGAGTGGCTGAGGCACAAGAATTGCTTGAACCCAGGAGGCGGAGGTTGCAGTGAGCTGAAATCGCGCCACTGCATGCCAGCCTAGGCAACAGAGCAAGGAGTCTCAAAAAATAAAAATAATAATTTAAAAAAAAAAAAAAAACAAGAACAAGAAGAGCCTGTCAATAGGCCAATGACGGAGGTGTGGGGATGGGAGGAGAAAGAGAAAAGAGACAGAAGCCAAAAAGAGAGGGCAAACAGGGAGCTGGCTGGCTGCAGAAGGAAGAGATGTGGGACCTGGAACTGACTTGCCCTTGTCTTCCCTGTCTCTCCCTCAGTGTGTGGGAAGCCCGTGAACCCCG
This sequence comes from Homo sapiens, assembly GCF_000001405.40. Lineage (NCBI taxonomy): Eukaryota > Metazoa > Chordata > Mammalia > Primates > Hominidae > Homo > Homo sapiens. Next base: position 7,081,277 of record NC_000012.12, on the reverse strand, counting down.
TGGAACAGAGGCAGCGCATCATCGGAGGGCAAAAAGCCAAGATGGGCAACTTCCCCTGGCAGGTGTTCACCAACATCCACGGGCGCGGGGGCGGGGCCCTGCTGGGCGACCGCTGGATCCTCACAGCTGCCCACACCCTGTATCCCAAGGAACACGAAGCGCAAAGCAACGCCTCTTTGGATGTGTTCCTGGGCCACACAAATGTGGAAGAGCTCATGAAGCTAGGAAATCACCCCATCCGCAGGGTCAGCGTCCACCCGGACTACCGTCAGGATGAGTCCTACAATTTTGAGGGGGACATCGCCCTGCTGGAGCTGGAAAATAGTGTCACCCTGGGTCCCAACCTCCTCCCCATCTGCCTCCCTGACAACGATACCTTCTACGACCTGGGCTTGATGGGCTATGTCAGTGGCTTCGGGGTCATGGAGGAGAAGATTGCTCATGACCTCAGGTTTGTCCGTCTGCCCGTAGCTAATCCACAGGCCTGTGAGAACTGGCTCCGGGGAAAGAATAGGATGGATGTGTTCTCTCAAAACATGTTCTGTGCTGGACACCCATCTCTAAAGCAGGACGCCTGCCAGGGGGATAGTGGGGGCGTTTTTGCAGTAAGGGACCCGAACACTGATCGCTGGGTGGCCACGGGCATCGTGTCCTGGGGCATCGGGTGCAGCAGGGGCTATGGCTTCTACACCAAAGTGCTCAACTACGTGGACTGGATCAAGAAAGAGATGGAGGAGGAGGACTGAGCCCAGAATTCACTAGGTTCGAATCCAGAGAGCAGTGTGGAAAAAAAAAAACAAAAAACAACTGACCAGTTGTTGATAACCACTAAGAGTCTCTATTAAAATTACTGATGCAGAAAGACCGTGTGTGAAATTCTCTTTCCTGTAGTCCCATTGATGTACTTTACCTGAAACAACCCAAAGGGCCCCTTTCTTTCTTCTGAGGATTGCAGAGGATATAGTTATCAATCTCTAGTTGTCACTTTCCTCTTCCACTTTGATACCATTGGGTCATTGAATATAACTTTTTCCAAATAAAGTTTTATGAGAAATGCCAGTGTGCAAAATGAGTCAAAAGTTGTATTTAATTTATATAAAAATATTTTGTAAGGAAGGTCATATTTAAAATATTTACTCAGGAAGGCAACAAGAACAGTTAAGTTTATGCACACATTTACAATTAGGGTTATGGATAACAATAAATATCTGTGTTTTGTTTTGATTGTACAATATAAAGAAAATGCTGATTTTCCCACATGCATAGTTGTAAATATAACAGCTTTTTTTTTTTTTTTCAAGACAGACTCTCACTCTGTGACTCACACTGGAGTGTAGTAGTGCAGTCTTGGCTATCTGCAACCTCTGCCTCAGGGTTCAACTGATTCTTGTGCCTCAGCCACCTGAGTAGCTGGAATTACAGGCATCTGTCACCACTGCCCAGCTAAATTTTTTGTATTTTCAGTAAAGACGGAGTTTTGCCATGTTGGCCAGGCTAGTCTCGAACTCCTGACCTCAAGTGATCCGCCTGCCTCGGCCTCCAAAGTGCTGGGATTACAGGCAAGAGCCACTGCACCCAGCCTATAACAGCTTTTTTAACAGCTCATCTTCCAGTCTCTAAATATTCCTTAGGAGAGGAGTGCTATGAAATTTTTGTTTCCAAGCTGAATCACTAACAATATTGTTAAATCACTTGTATTCTTTAAGATCTCTAAAAATCAGAAAAGGACACAGAACTTGGATTAAGCATTATAAGTATTTGTAATAGAACAGTATCATGGTGTTATTGCACAATTGACTGTTCCAGACTTGTTTAAACAACTTTACATGACCCAGCACACACAGGCCTGAACTTCAGAAGACCAGCAGAGTTAAAACATTCCCAAGTGATGAGTTGTTTTTTTTTAACTTTTTTTAAACTTTTTTTTTTTTTTTTTTTTTGAGACAGAGTCTCATTCTATCACCCAGGCTGGATGCAGTGGCACAATCTCAGCTGACTGCAGCCTCCACCTCCCAGGTTCAAGAGATTCTCCTGCCTCAGCCTCCCGAGTAGCTGGGATTACAGGCGCCTGCCACTATGCCCAGCTAATTTTTGTACCTTTGGTAGAGATGGCATTTCACCATGTTGGCAAGGCTGGTCTCGAACTCCTGACTTCAAGTGATTCGCCCACCTCGGTCTCCCAAAGTGCTGGGATTACAGGCATGAGCCACCGTGCCCAGCCCTCTTCTTATTTTAATAATCGGAGGAGTTCCCAGGAAACTCAGATGACTCCTCTGACCTTCTAATTCCCATTCCCCCACCCCAAACTCATATGTGTCTTATTCTCAAAGTGCACTGGAATAGGAAAGTACAGGCAAAACCAATGATCTGTGAATAGATGGTTCACAGAAAAGAAAATATAAATTGCTTTGAGGCTTTGGGGCTTAATTTCACTCATAATAAGGAAAATATTTAAATAAAATGCCATCTTTTTACCTGTAAGATTGGCAAAAATAATATACCATGTTGTTGAAAATGTAAAGAAAAAGACACTCTCACACATTGCTTTTCGGAATGTATCCCTACAGAGAGCAATTTGGTAACAGGTAACCAAAATTACAAATACATATGCCTTTTCACTCACCAATTCAACTTCTAGGAATTCAGCCCACATTTTCTCACATATGAAATAAACCGCACATGTAGGTTAGTCATTGCAGCATTGTTTATAATAACAAAATATTGGAATCCTGCATTCTGAAAGGTATCTGGTACCAAAGTTTCAGGTAAATTATGGAATATCCAAATGATGAAATGCAATGTAACCATTCAATCCTTACTACAGACAGCATGGTAAGTGAAAACAAGTAAAATGCAGAATGTATAAAATATTATGTATAAAACGCTACCGTTTCCATTTGTAGCCAGGTGGTGGCACATGCCTGTAGTACCAGCTACTTGGGAGACTGAGGTGGGAGGATGGCTTGAGCCTGGGAGGTCGAAGCTGCAATGAACTATGATCACACCACTGTACTCCAGCCTGAGCGACACAGCAAGGCTCTGTCTCAAAAATAAATGAAATAAAATAATAAAATGCTACTATTTGTATACATAACAGGAGTAGGCATATATCACTTACATGTGTATAAAAGATCACTAGAAAGATATACAAGAAATATTGGTGGTCTCTGGGGGGACATAGGAGTGGAAGGAAAAGTTATCACTGTATGCTGTTTTGATCTTTCAAAGTTTTAACCATGTAGGTGTTTTACCTATTCAAAAAATAGATGGTGCTCTTTAAATAAAAAAAAAAATTAGGCTGGAAGCAGTGGCTCATGCCTATAATCCTAGCACTTTAGGAGGTCGAGGCTGGAGAATCATCTGAGCCCAGGAGTTCGAGACCAACCTGGTCAGAACCAACTGGTGACATCAGATGTTTAAAAAAAAAAAAAAACAAAAACCGTGAAAGAAGACTAACCCGGGCAACATAGTGAGATTCCATCATTATAAAAAATTAAAAATTAGCTGGACATGATGATGTGTGCCTGTGGTCCCAGCTACTCAGGAGGCTGAAACAGGAGGCACACTTGAGCGCAGGAATTCGAGGCTGTAGTGAGCAATGTTCTCACCACTGCACTCCAGCCTGGGCAACAGAGCAAGACTCTGTATTTAAAAAAATATAGAAAATAAGAATTTAAAAATTGTAAAGGAGTAGCCTCATTGAAAAAGTTGACATGTATCAAAGATCGGAGGAAGTTAGACATTCAGAGACCTAGGGAAAGAATATTCCAGGAAGAAGCCAAGGGCCCTGAAGTGAGCAGCTGCCTGATCCATCAGAGAATGCGCAGGCAGCCACGCCATGTTCTGGGCAGAGTGCTCCGTGTGCACACATTGAAAGGCTCATGCTGGCTGCTGAATTGAAGACATACTACAGCTGAAAAAGGGCATAAAAAGGACCAATTCGGTGGCAATTACAGTAATGCAGGCAAGAAGTGATGGTAGCTCAGAGCAGGGGTGCAGTGGAAGTGGTGAGAAGTGGTCAGATTATGGATAAAACTTAAAGAAGAACCAAAGGGTTTCCTGACGGAGTAGACACTGGAAGGGGAGGGGTGAGAAAATGGTGTCAGCTTGATGGGGATGAGTACGAGACGAGCAGGTCTGATAGGTTCTGTCTGGAACATGTTGATTTTCAGATGGCTACTAGTTTAGGGCCAAGAAGAAGGAGATTTACCGACCTCCTGAACCAAACAACAACAAAGAAGACTAAAATACATGAAACAACGGTTTTTGAGACACTGGACATTGGACAAAAAAAGACAACGATGCCTGAGAGACTGGGCCCATTTTACTGCCTTGAGAGAGTTTCCAAGCTGAGTTGCTAGAAGGAGAAATCCAGGTAGGACTCAGTCAGCTCCCTGACTTGAGGAGACACAGGCCCAGATCCAGGAAACCAAGGCCCCTGGAGGTCACAGAACTGAGGATCAGGGAGGAGAAAGGTACACAGAGAGATGGCCAGAAGTCTGCAGAGGATCCCACAAGTATTTAACTGAGTACTGCTCAGCACTCACATGTGAGAAAACTACCTGGGGATGGGGAGAATCCCAATAACATCAGCAGAGGGAACGCCACCCGGCAATCACCAGGCCTGGGAACAGTGCCTGATGCCACCAGCCAGCCTGGAAACCGTCATGCCCCACAGGGCATTGGGAAGAGAATGCAGGAGGCTCTCGCCTCTGTTGTAGGGCCCAGGCTGACCAGGACCATGACCACCAAGGTAGGAGGAAAACCTGGGGAGCTCAGTGCTCAGAAGCCAAGGAAAGAAAGTGCATCGAGGTGGAGATAAAGACTGAGCATCCATCCTTGGATGGAGCAATGTCAGAGTCATTGGTGACCCAGAAAAGCACAGTATGGTGGAATGATAGGGGGAAAAGCCAGAGCCAAGTTGGAGAGAGAGCGGGAGAGTAGGAACTGGAAACAGGGTATAATCAATTATTTTAAGGAATTTGCTGCAAACGGAAGCAAATAAATAGGGAAAGCTGTTGGAGGAATTGTGGTCAAGAGAAGTCTGTCTTAAGTTTAGAGGAATTACAACATGTTAACATACAGATAGGAATTACACAATAGGGAGGGAAATGGTGATGGGGTGGGTGGAGATGGAATCGAGTTGGAAGCATGGATAAGTCACCAACGGATAAGTTAACACACATGCCAGCTGAGTGTAAGGGAACAGATGCCAGTATTCCAGTAGATGTGGTGGTGGTAGAAGCTCTCTGCTAGGTTTCATGTGTCTTGGTGAGGTAGAAAATAAGGTCATCAGCTGAGAATGAGGATGGAGAATTTCAGGGGTGTGAGAAGAGAGAAGAAATGAAATAGTCATCTGGGACAGTGGGATTGAGAATGGATTAGGGAATTTTGATTGCCTGGGAGCATGAAGGGTTCATTTGAGATTCATGGCCAACAGTTAAAAGGGAGACAGTTGTTCTTTTGTGAGACATTCTCACCTTTTTTGAGACAGTTGTGTGAGCTTGTGTGTTTTCCCCTAGCCACTAGCAGCCGTACCATTCAGGCACACAGGAAGCAGGGTTTTATTACGTCAAGTGAGCATATTGAAACCAAAGAAGAGCCAGATGTGGTGGCTCATCCCTACAATCCCATCACTTTGGGAGACCATGGAGAGAAGATTGCTTGAGGCCAAGAGTTCAAGACCAGCCTGGGCAACATAGCGAGACCCTGTCTCTACAAAAAAATTAAAAATTAGCCAGGTGTGGTAGTGCATGACTGTAGTCTCAGTGTCTCAGGAGGCTGAGGTGGGAGGACTCCTTAAACCCAGGAGTTTGGGGCTACAGTAAGCTGTCATTATGCCACTGTACTCCAGCGTGGGCAACAGAGTGCGACCCCGTCTAAAAGAAAGAGAGAGAGAGAGAGAGGAAGGAACAGAAGGAGGGAGGGAAGAAGGGAAGGGAAGGAAGGAAGGAAGGAAAATAACAGGCATGCAGGAAAAAAAAATCATATTTTCAGAGGATAGATGATGACAGTGAGGACAACACAGGACACCAAAACGGAGGCAAGCCACCAAGGACCGGGAAAAGAGACCTGAAAGGCTTAGGGCCACTTAAGGCAAACTCGAGACAACTTCGTAAATTGCTGGAAAAAAATTCTACATAAATTGTATCACAATTATGTGGCAGAGCAGGTAAAGTTCATCTAGGTCCAACCTAGGTGTTCAGTGTTTTCCAAAACCTCTCCTCGGGGGTCTCTGTCAAGCCTTTTGGGGTCAGCCCTGCCCCACACAACCGGCCTCTGCTTGGCCCTATGAGAAGGCCAAATTCTCCCTTTTAGGTCTTCTTCAGTCCTACTCAGATCTGACACACTCACCTGCAGTGGCCCCAGGATTCTTCTCTGCTGTCCTGACTTCTCCCCCAACTAGGTGCTCAGGTGCTTTTTTTGCTTTCATCCCTGCTTCCGTGCATTTTTATTCTGTGAATTTTTATTTCTGTGATTTTTTTTTTTTTGAGACAGAGGCTCGCTCTGTCACGCAGGCTGGAGTGCGGTGGCGTGATCTAGGCTCACTGCAACCTCTGCCTCCCAGGTTCAAATGATTCTTCTGCCTCAGCTTGCTGAATAGCTGGGACTACAGGTGCCCGCCATGACGCCCGGCTAATTTTGTATTTTTAGTAGAGACGGGGTTTCACCGTGTTAGCCAAGATGATCTCAATCTCCCGACCTCATGATCCGCCCGCCTCGGCCTCCCAAAGTGCTGGGATTATAGGCATGAGCCATAGCGCCCGGCCCTATTTCTGTGGATTTTTATTCTAGCCATCCTCTTTTATTTTTTCTGTTAAAAACCTTAAGTTCTTCTTGCTTTCTGTCTAAGAGAGATCAAGAAACATTTTCATTTTATCCATGAATAGGCAGATGCCCAGAAAAACCTGAGCATATTATGCCAAAAATATTTCACACTCAGTCCTTAAGCAATGAAGACAAAAGAAATGATTTGTTTCCACATTAAACCTAAAGGGAGATAGATACACAATGCAAACAGCCCATTTGGAGATGAGGCAGAACACAATGGTTACAATCAGAATGAGCTCCTTCCTGGCAGCTGCAGGTCTTCTGTGTTCTTTGTAGTCCCTTATAGAGGAAGAGAGATTTTTTTTAAAACAGATGCTTCCATTCAGGAAACTAGGTCCATCAGAGACTTTCCCTGTAGGTTTTGCTCTGGGGGGGGGGGGTTCCCCCGTTGTGGTTCCTGTTACCACAACTTCATCTCCCTCAATATGTCCAGTCTCTGCTTTTCTCTGGTTCAAGGGTGGACATACCCAAAATCAATTTCCTCTTAGGACAAATGAGAGAAGCTGGATCTTTCCAATGTGTCTTTTTATGATTGTAAGAGAAAATAAAAAAGGATGTGAGTACAAAACGTAGCAAGAGGGAAATCTTGGTAGTGATGGAATTGTTTCGTATCTTGACTGCAGAGGTGCTCACATGAGTCTCCAATGTAGTAAAATAACACAAAACTGCCCTTGCACATTGTACCAACATGAGTTTCCTGGTTTAGATATTGTACTGTAGTTACCTAAGATGTAGCCATTAGGGGAAATAGCGCCTCTCTGTACTAACTTTGCAACTTCTTGTGAATATGTCAAAAGAAAAAGGGTTTTGTTAAATCATTATTTTAAAAACCATGGCAGAGTTTGTGGATCTGATCAAGATTAAATAAAGCTGTGTTGTGTCCGTGTGTGTGTGTGTGTGTGTGTGTGTGTGTGTGTGTGTGTGTGTGAGACGGAATCTCACTCTGCTGCCCAGGCTGGAATGCAGTGGTGCCATCTCGGCTCACTGCAATACCAGGTTCAAGCGATTCTCCTGCCTCAGCCTCCCGAGTAGCTGGGATTACAAGCACCTGCCACCACACCTGGCTAATTTTTGTATTTTTAGTAGAGACAAGGTTTCACTGTGTTGGTCAGGCTGCTCTCAAACTCCTGACCTCATGTGATCCATCCTCCCTGGCCTCCCAAAGTGCTGGGATTACAGGTGTGAGTCACCACGCCTCACATCATATTTTCAATTTTTAAAATAATAACCAATATGCAGGAAAAAAGTCACATTTCCACTGAATATGTTTCTGATTCTAGCAGTCACTGTAAAGGAAACTTTAGAGTCCCAGGATCCCTTCTAGCCCCTTCTGGGCTGGTCCAGTTTCAAGTAGGTTCAAGCCCTCTTGACCACCGGACATTGTCTTTCCTCCCTGGCATGAGTTGCTGACCCACCAGTCCATTTTCTTCTGACCAAAGAAAAGTGACAATTCACCTTCTTCAAAAAGCTAACTCTTTTCCTGAGTTTCAGATGAAGCGGACATATGTTCCCAAGTAACTTGCAAGGTACTACGATGGATACCCTTTAAACACAATGAATGACTTTCTAGCCCCTCTAGGACCTGATGACAAGCTCTTCCCAGCTCTGAAGTCTCTGATCATGATTCATTTAGGTCTTCTCCCTGCCATTCACCCAGAGAAATGACCTTGCAGCACAGTCAACGATGCAAAGCCCATTCCCGTCATGCCGTACAAGGTGGCAGCAAAGAGGGAAATTCTTCACCAATACCTCAGCCCATCAGCAAGGGCAGAACCCAAATAGACTGGTGATTCTCCGAGAGGGATGAACTTCCTTTTTCTGTTACTTGTCAGATTCCAGGTTAATTTTTTGCTATTGCCCCAAGTATAAAAAAAGAAGAACAATATCCCTTTCACAGACCATGTTTCTAAATCTTAATATTCCTCCAATGCCTTTTTATCTCTAGAAGAATCCTCCTCTCACGGAAACACTCTCACCCAGGGCACACTGTCAACTCCATTGCTCCTGCAATGACAGGAAGGGTGAGGAGGTGGCTATGAGGCATACAGTTCAGGAGTGACACAGTGACTTTATGCTGCTTGGTTGACCATATAATCCTCCCAGGGACTCCCTGTTGTAATTCCCTTCAATTCTTCAGGCCCTTCAATTAGAGTTCCTCTGGTTACCTCATCACGTTTACCCTGCGGTCTAAGGTCAACTGTTGAATTTAGCCCTCTTGGTCTATGGAATATCAAAGTCCATTCTTGATGGGCCCAAACCAACCTTTTTTGGCTTCTAGTAAAAACTGCCCTCCTGAAAGCCACGTGTCACATCAAATAGGTCAGATTCCCCCTCAGCTCTTCCTCTCAGACCTCCGCTTTCCTAAGACGCCCTGTTAGGGCAACCGCTGTCCTAAGATAGTTGTCCTGTCCTCAGTTTTTAAAATGCTAAGTCTCTATTCTGTAGTCATTTCTCATCACTAATCATTCTTTTGGAAGAGGAATCTTTTCTTTTCCTTCCCCTAGAAAATAGAAGGGAGAGTTTTGGGGTCCATCCTTACCGAGATTTTCTGCTATGTCATCTTGGTACAGAGTTCAGTCTAATGAAAACATTGTCACAAATTGATTAAAACCACCAGGAAAGCAGACAAGAGCATGCTCAATTTCTTTAGTTTTTCTTTTTTGTTGTCATAATATTGCATGATACAATGAGTATTAGAGGAAAATTAACTTTCCGTTCACATATTGAAACAATTTCTACTTAAAGAAGATCTTAAACAGCCAACTCAAACTATTGTACATGGATTTCTGAATGAGGTGGGGTTTTTTTATTTTGCTTTGTTCCAGATAATGTCTCACTCTGGTTGCCCAGGCTGGAGTACAGTGGCATGATCACTGCAACCTTGACCTCCTGGGCTCAAGCGATCCTCCCAACTCAGCCTCCTGAGTAGCTGGGACTAAGGCACGCACCATCATGCCTAGCTAATTTTTATTTTTTATTTTTGTAGAGACAGGGTCTCCCTATGTTGCTCACACTGGTCTTGAATCCCTGGGCTCAAGCAATCCTCCCACCCCTGCCTCCCAAAGTGTTGGGATCACAGGTGTGAGCCACGCACCACATGACATTTAATGAGCTTCTTTTTTTTCTTATTTTTCTTTTCTTCTTTTTTTTTTTTTTTTTTTTTTGGCCAGGTAAATATTAATGAGTTTCAAAAGCAGAATGTGATGCCTTACACTGGCGATCTTCATACTAACCCACAATATTCAGTAAATCTCATTTGGAAGAGAGAAGAAAAGCTGAATTCCCTGTTTTCGTGACAATTAAATTAAATATTAGTTGCTGGATGCCCAATTTCAGTGACATAACAGCCTTCTCATCCCATTCCCCTTCTATAATTCTGAGGGTTTGGTGTGGAATGAGGTAAGTCACACAAAATTTGCTTATAAACATCCTTTATTGTACATAGACAGTGGATACTGAGAATGATCAAGTAAATGGAATTTTGAACAGGTAAAGAGGAAACAAAGAATTAAGGTATCCCTGTGGAATAGTGCAAGAAAGGAGTGCCCCACCCATAGTGTTATCTACAATAGGTACTCCGGGGAAAGGACCCCAAGGAGTCAGACCACAAATGTATGACCAGCACAATTCTATGATCAAACTCTACCTCTAGCAAGGCGTCTCAACAATCAAGTTCTATTTAAATCATTCGCTCGTGTCTTCTTTCAGTCATGATGAAATAATGAGAATATCATAAGGAACAGAAGGTAATGCATTGGTCACCACCCTTGGAGAGGCTGGTGGGATGTATCTGGATTAGTCCTCACGGGGGGTGCTATTTTCCTGCATAGTCTTCATTATCCAGTCAACATAGTTCTTTACCCGTGTGTAGAGCCCATAGGTCCCACACTGGGGCCCCCAGGACACCAGGCCAGCTGCGTAGAATTTGGTCTTGTCATTGGGATCCTGTACAGCAAAGGCCCCACCACTGTCCCCTTTACAGCTATCCATGCCCTTCTCTCCTCCAGCACAGATCATGTTAGGAGTGAAAACATAGGCCTCTGCATCTGCTGTGGGTTTCTCCACTTTCACTTCTTTGCATTTTCTTAAAGGAGCTACAGGTAACCTTGCCGCCTTGAGGCGAACAGCACGATCTCTCTTCTCTGTTCGGCCCCAGCCTGAGATCAGTCCCAGGTCCCCATCCATGAGGTTGTAGTCGGAAGAGGTGCCTGGTAGGCAGATGGGAGAGACGGTGGGTCCCATTTTCACTGGGTCTTTCAGCCGCACCAGTGCAATGTCATTATCAAAATTGGTTCGTCCTTCTGGGACTTCCAGCAGCTTCCATCCCGGATGAATAAACACATGCTCAGGAGTGAGCATCTTGGATTTTGCCAGCCGTGAGGTCTGCACTGAGGTGGACCCAACATACATTGTTGGCTCCCTGTTTCCCTCCACAACATGAGCAGCCGTCAGCACCCAGTACTCATTAATGAGCGCTCCACCAGCCCATGGGTTGTCAAAGAAGACTTGCCAGGGGAAGTTTTTAATATCTGCATCGGATCCTCCAATTATCCTCTGTTTTTCTTCAAAGGGTTCTCTGGGGACTCCACAGACTAGGAAGGAATAAAACAACACAGGGAAGGAGGAAGAAATGATGCTGGCTTCCTGCAAATCCTCCAACCACTCACATAATGTTACCTGCTAGGTTGCAGGATTCTCTAGTACAAAATAGTCAACCCTATTTGGTCAACAATCTCAATACCTGACCCACTCTGGCCTTACCTAAACATCCCGCTTTGCCGATGTCATAAGCTGGCTCATGGGAGAGCTCAGTTAAACGGAGGCAGTGTGTGAATCACTGAGTCCAGATGCACTAATGCCTCACACTATCCACAGTGCGACCCACAGCCCCCCTGGAGGCAGGGGTCCCCTTTGCACCTCCCAACTCGGCACATGAGGCCGGTGCCCAATCAAGAGCCAGTGCTGGAAACCCTTTTCTCACACAGATGGTGGAGGAGGAAAGATTTCTGCCTTCTTCAGATGCCCAGATCAAACTTTAATCACCTTCTTTACTGGAGTCCTAGTTGCACCTGAGTCCCTCCTAGTAAACCACAGGTCAGCCTAGGAAGTAGAGAGGGGTCCCTTCTTTGGCCCTGACCTCTCACTCCCAGTGACTGGTGCCATTACCATTCAGTTATACTAATAACTGAATTCAAGTGAAGCTGCTTACTTAAATCCCTTACTAGACAGCCTGGAGGGACTCCAAGTTGAGCACAATGGGCTGTGAACTTAGACAGACCTGGGCTCAAAGCCTGCCTTTGCCACTTGCTAACTCTGTGAACTTGCACCCCACCCATTCACATTTGACATTGGTCAGATAAGACCAATGACACCTAGCTCACAGGGCTGTTATACGGACACGAATGAGATAATAAATGCAACAAATCAGCTCAGTCTTCAGCTTTCAGTACCACCCAGGATGGTTATTATCCTATTGGATTTGCCTCAGCCTTCTGCTACCCAACTCTTATCTTCCTCATTCTTTGAATTCCTCTATATCTTGCTGCCCTATAAACTTTTAATATAATAACTAGGCTATTTAGCTAGACTTGTTTCTGAGTGTTGATTACTCACACACTCTCAGCTTTCAGGCCCTGTTTTTAGCAGTTCTGTATCTTCTCACTGCAGCTACATTACCAGACACCAACTGTCGCTGGCTGACGTTTCTATTTCCTTCCAGTTGGCCTGGCTTCAGTGCGGCTGAGGAGGTTCCCCACGGCCCTGGCAGCCCACGGCACAGTGATACTGCCACCTCACTGAGCTGGACTCTGGCAGGTCACTGTTCAGTCCTTTCCCAAGAGGATTACAGTTGCTTTCAGAAGGTGACTCCCAGTCACCCATGGCTATCATCTCTCCCCAAGCCTCAGCCCTCCTTACCTGGAACACATTTCGGCAGCTCCGGGCCCAGCACCTCATTCACCCAGCTCCCGTTACCAGCACAGTGATACTCCCCTGGAATAGCACAGAGAACACAGGCCACACTCACCACCACATCTTCCTTCTTCCATTCCCCCCTCCGACCCCAACACCCTGCCCCGTTCCTTCAGAACCTCAGCTCGTCTAGGATTCAAGTAGTAAATCAGATTAAATCAGCCAGAAAAAAAATATCTTCCTCCAAACAATCCCTCAGGCCTCTAGCCTGCCAGGGAGACAAAGGGAACATCTCCAAAGCAGAAGGAAAGAAGGCATCGGGAAAGTGGCGAAATAAATACAGAGCAATGCAGAGAACGTATTAGGGTCTCATTCAGCCCTGCACCTAGCATGACCAAAGCCTCTACATCAAGAAAGCCAGTCAGTGTAGTTTGGTGGCTTAAAGCTGAAGGCATTGCTCCTGTGGGTTTTACATGAAATAACTGGTCAAAAGGTGGGTAATCCCATGAAATGGATGTTGTAGGGGAATTCCTGCTGCAGCTGTGAACTCAGTTGGTGACCTCTATGATTCCCTGAGGCTGATGCTCCCCTGAACTTGCCCTGCTCCAGATGAAAACTGTATCTTTGGACGAAGCCAAGGGGATGAACAATGTCTGTCCTATCGCCTTCATTTGTCTCCAAACTCTGTCTCTGGCACAGATTATGCTATCCACCCTCCAACACCTTCTCACTCTCTCTCTCTCTTCTCCAGTAGAAGAAACCTACCACCTCCTCCATTTTCCATGTAGTAATATGGCTCCTCACAAGTGTAGCGGATGACAGAACCAAACAAAGTGCTCTCTGGGTCTTCAACTTTACCATTCTCAATGGATTCAGGAATGCCACAGTCCACAGCTACCAGACGAAGGAAGGAGAGCGATGGTCAGGACAGCCACTTCCTCCAAGGAAGAGTCATGGGGCCAGGTTCATCCTCACTGCTTCCCCACCCCATATCCACAGGCACACCTGGGATGAACCTCCCCACACCAGCCTCTCTGTGGCCATCCTCCCCAACTGGCATCTCTCAGCTCTCTCACCCGCTGAGATGCCAATTCAGATGGCCCCATGAAAGCCGTAGTGAAGAGCCTGGTTCTCAGTGGTTGGTGAAGGCCCAGTGGAAGCCACAAATGCACCCACGTGGGGCTACTAACTCGACCTATCCCATAGCCCCTTTCTTGGAAAGAAACATGCCGATCTAGTTGGCCTGGGACCAGATGCGGGGCTGGGACTAGAAAAGCTTCCATGACTGGCTTCCCTTCAAAAACCCAACCCACTCCCTCACATGCCTAAGAGGAAACCATGCATTTGAATTTTGATGTGCTGATCTTTCCATTCTCTCTGAGAGAAAAAGAAAGACTTCCACTTTGAAGAGACACATACGTTGACATTTCAGTTTGGAATTACTCCACTTTCCATTGCTTTGACAAGTCGAATAGAAAGATGTTGCACCAACACGTCCCTGGAGAATAATAAACATCACCACTTATTTCTGAAGAGAGATATGGGAAACCAAAATCAAAACTGGAATTGATCTCTGGCCTTGGATCAATGAGGAGTCCTCACCACAAGAAGCTTGGGAACATCTTAGCAGACCTAAAGCACCCAGGAGATGAGGCTGACAGAAAGCTTTGCCCCAACGTGTCAACTCCCCTTCCTCAAGAAGACTGAAGGCAGAGAGAATGCCAAGCTGGCCAGGCAGCTCCATGACTCACAAGGGAGAACTACAGATCTTAAGCTGTTGTGTTTATGGGAAAGGTGTTATACCTTGATCACACACATACATTGGGTAAACAACTGGACAATTTCAGTCCGCTCATCCTGATCTGGGGCCAGGGACTGGGGAGAAGCCAAGGTGGTACTTTACCTCCACAACTTCAAACCCATCCAGACAGGTTATCTGCACCACATCTCTAAAGACATATTTTGCCTTCGCAGGCTCCCAAACAGAATTGGGAGTGTCTTCCTTAGGGCAGGGCATTGCTTGAAAGAACAGAAGTTGGGACAGGAGGAAAAAATTACTAAATAGTTGAAGACTCTCATTCTATTTACATCATTCTCACACTTTCTAAAATCGTCCAGTTGTCCTCAATCCTGATGCTTAACATTCCAATACAGCAGATGTCTAAAATCATATGGCATTACCAACTAACCACCCGCAAGCTGTCTGCAGTCTCAGGTCTAGTTAAAGGATTACTAGAGGTTGAGGCATTTCTAGCAACCGTTGACTGGTTTAGATTTTCCTGAAGAAGTGAAGTATCTCAGGATTCTATCAGAACAACAATCTATCTGTTTTTTAAATTATTGTTGCTTTGTTTTTGTTTTGTTTTAGAGACAAGGTTTTGCTCTGTTGCCCAGAGTGGACTCAAACTCCTACTTCCTGGGCTCAAGGGATCCTCCTGCCTCAGCCTCCCTCGGTAGCTGAGATCACAGGTGCTTCCAGTGTGCCTGGATCATCTACCTGCTTTGATCCCACATTGTTTGGGGACTTTGGTATCACCAACCAAAGAGGCACTTCTAAGTTACTCACGATCTCCATGATAGCGAAGTTTCCAGCCCTTTTTTTGCCCTGTTAGATCAGTTTGGAAGATGATATCAAGAGCATTACTCTTGGTTTCAATATTTAGAGGCCCAGGGAATCCATGACCACAGTAAGGACCAAATTGCCGATCTCCTGCAACAAACTGAACAAAATGATGAAATCAGAAGAGGGAAAGAACTAAAGGGAAGAGGTAAAATTGGGAAGTGGGAGATACAAATAAAAGAGGCATTAAATGTCACATAAAATAAGAAGAAAATAAGGGTCAGGAGAAAAGATAATTTTATCTTCAGGCTGAGTGCAGTGGCTCACACCTATAATCCCAGCACTTTGGGAGGCCGAGGTGGGAGCATTGCTTGAGGCTAGGAGTTTCAGGCTATCCTGAGCAACATAGCAAAACCCCATCTCTGTAAAAAAAAAAAGAATAACAATAAAAATATTAGCTGGGTTTGATGACACACGTCTGTGGGCCCAGCTACTCAGGAGGCTGAGGTGGGACGCTTGCTTGAGCCCAAGAGATCAAGGCTACAGTGAGCTGTGATTGCACCACTGCACTCCAGCTTGAGCAACAGAGAAAGATGCTGTATGAAAAAAAAATTTGTCTTCAGGGAGAGATCTCTCTGTGTAAGTTAAGGGTGGGGTATTAATCAACCATCACGCACAACTAAACTGTCAAGGCAGTTTCCCGCTGAGTCAGCTGCTTCCACATCAAAATCTTCTCTCCGCAAGGTCACCACCACTTGGAACCCTTTCTCCAACCGGATCTGGTATTCACACCTTGAGTTCTCTGGATATGGTTTGGGATAATTGGGACTTGCAATCTCCCCAATCAGTGCAGTGAATACATCCCCACTGCAATTAACTAACAGAGAAAAAGAGAAAGGGAGAATCAAATACAGGGTCAAGCAAAGGAATTCCTGCACTATTCTATGATTCCTTCTCTCAGAAACTGACAGTCCTGCATTCAAACTAACCTGAGATCCCTGCCCTAACTGGAGGGATAGAGCAATTACACGTGCAATACGTATCAGTAGGAATACCCAATCCCTATTAGGTTTCCATCACTTTGCTTAGGATGGAGCCTTTCTGGTTATGAACAGCCCCCAGTAGACCCTTTACAGGCATCTATCTCTCTTATCCAATTAACTAACTTTACCCTATAGTCTTATCTTCCTCCTTCTTGTGGCTTCATCTCAGCTTATGAGTAACTAAGAATAGATGCCAATACAGAGTGATATAATGGACTCTGGGGACTCAACGTGGGAGGAGGTTGAAACAGGGGCGAGAAAACTACACACTGGGTATAGTGTACACCGCTCAAGTAACAAGTGCACTAAAATCTCAGAATTGACCACTAAGGAACTCATCCATGTAACCAAAAACACCAGTACCCCCAAAACTATTGAAATTATTAAAAATAATACATAAATAAATAAATTCTAAAATAAAAAAGAAGTGCCAAATGAAGGCTTGGCCTAATCGAAGTTGGAAGGGTGGACAAAGCCCTTTCTGAGGCCTCAGCCATTCCAAATCCCAGGGAACATGCAACCCTCTTAACACCAAGCTCACCTCCGCAATTCTTCATGTCATCATGGAGGAAATATTCCGGGGGGCAGGAGCAGAAGTAACCACCAATGAAATTGTTGCAGAAGTGGCTACAAGGGACATCTACAAAATCTGTGCATTCATTTATGTCTACAAAGAGTAGAAAGAGGCTGAGGTCAAGAACAAACACCAAGAAGGGAGAATGAGGTTAAATCCAAAACCATAAGGGTAAGAAAAAGTAGGAAAGGCCTATTGCTTAAAGATCCGTCAAGGGATCACATTTCAGGCTACTATTATTCCATATTACTCTCCTGACATATGATTCCAGAGTTGAGCCCTACCACTACACAGCTATAAGGAAGCTCGGGGGTGTGTGTGTGTAAGTGACATAGCCTCACTCTGTCACCGAGGCTGGAGTGCAGTGGTGGGATCTTGGCTCACTGCAACCTCCACATTTTCAAGCAAGTTCAAACAAGTCTCACGCCTCTACCTCCCGAGGAGCTGGGAACACAAGCACGCACCACCACTATGCCTGGTTAATTTTTCATATTTTTAGTAGAGACAGGGTTTCACCATGTTGGCCAGGCTGGTCTTGAACTCCTGGGCTCCGGTAATCCACCTGCCTCAGCCTCCCAAAGTGCTGGGATTACAGGTGTGAGCTACCATGCCCGGCCTAGGCAGCTCTTAATGTCAGAGATCCTTGACTTTTCTCATGTACAGAGCATTTCAGCTCCAGGAATGACACTCTGCAAGGTAAACATCATGACGATGCCTTCTGCAGGGAGGAATCAGTACATTCATTGCTTTATATGATGTTGGTCCTTCTGTCAAATCTAAACAATAGTTTGGCTTTATGAGATGTCCTAGCTTCATTTTAACCTAGAGAGAGATACAGAAGTACCCAGAATTTGAAGGTTTGAATGCCATATATTGAATGGGTTTAAATACTACACATTCCTTGTGTGATTCTTGGCAAGTTATTAACTTTCCTAGTCCTTATTTTCTTCATCTTTATATGGAGCAAATAATACCTACCTTGAAGGATTAAAGTGACGATTGTGTTAAAATAGGAAAAATCCCCAATCCCCAATACATACCCAGTTTATAGTGGCTCTCAACAAATTGCTGTTTATTATGTACTATGTGTTATTACCATGATCATCATCACCACTAAGATATGATCATGCATTTGAATTTCACAAAAGTGATTTATGGAGCGACCCAGGCCAAGTCAACACTTTTTATAAGAATTACGAACAGAATCCTCATTCAATGTGTTGCTCAGTGGATTTCTCATTTCTAATCTTTTAGCTGGGTCAATAAGGCACATGCAGAAGGGTGAGCCTTACCTGTGGCAACATAGTATGCAGCAAACCCCGTAAAACGCTCTTCATTGGAAAAGTCTGACTTAAAGATCACCTGGAGTTTGTTGTATGGGACTTGGAACTCTTCCACAATTGGAGAGTGGGGATTGTTACTGCTCCTCTGTCCACAGAGCCTCCCTTCTTCAGTGTCTCCTGAGATTATCTAAGAGAAGAGTCACAAAAAAAAAATCTAGGAAAGGGTAATATTTTGGTATGGAGTTAAAAGAAGGGACAGAGAGAATAGAACATTTATGCCACTAGGACTTGACTCCAGTTCACTGTGAGTACAGGTGGCACTCCCTCCCACATCCTTATTCCGCTACCTTAGCCCTAGTCTTCCATCTCTATTCTTTTTGTGCTTATAACATACCTGCACTGAGTCATACGCACAGTTCTCTGACAGCTCAATGTCCAGATGGGTGAAGTAGAGGTGAATCCCATACCCTTCAGGAACTTCTATGTCCCAAGATTTCTCTACCTCACTGGGATATGCCTGAGGATAGTTAGGGGACAGGATCTCCCCATACATGGTAGGCTCAGCATAAACCCATGCCAAAAGTGAAAACAGGACAATGCACCTGAAAAAACAGAGGCATAGATTGGCGGGTGACCAGGCACCAGTAGCCTAGGACAGAACGCGCTATTTGCCAGAGGCAGAAGAAAGGGGGAAGAAGAGAGGCAGTCAATCGGCCATGGGGGAGAATCTTAGGTCGGAATAAAGAAAAGGCCCAGGTCAAACCAAAACCCAGGCTTCAGACAAGAGCCCTTTTTTTTTTTTTTTTGAGACAGGTTCTCACTCTGTCACCCAGGCTGGAGTGCAGTGGTGCGATCTCAGGTCACTGCAGCCTTGACCTCCCGCGCTCAAGTGATTCTACCACCTCAGCCTTTTGAGTAGCAGGGACCACAGGTGACACGCATGACGCTGGGCTAATTTTTTTTTTTTTTAATAGAGACAGGGTCTCCTTATGTTGCCCAGGCTGGTCTCAAAGTCCTGGGCTCAAGCAATCCTCCCGCCTCAGCCTCCCAAAGTGCTGGGGTTACAGGTGTGAGCCATCATGCCTGGCCCTTGAGCGCTTTTCTTGAGAAGATGAAGGGAATGGAGTCTGTGTCATCTCAGGGACCCTTGATCACTTACCACATCTCTGGCGATTTGTCCACCCTGGTGAGCTGCCTGTCTCTTGGTCCTGGCTTTCTGCACCTCCGGACTTTGGAGCCTAAGGGGTGGCAGGCCTGGCTGTATTTGTCTGACAAACACAAGCACCTTCTTTGGTGGTGCGGCGTCACCTGGGGCTCAGTGTCACCTTCAAAGGTATAACACACAGGGCCATATCACCAACATCCCCACATGGCACCGTGCCCCTCACACCCTCCCTAGTTAACTTCGACTAACTTTCTAGACTATAGCTAAATTGTATCCTTCCCTCATTGCTTCTCTAGACTTTCTCCTAATTTTTCTCCAAAGGAATCGAGTACTTTCTCCCAGTTTTCTTCTTCCTCTATTGTCCTCCACCAGCCCCACCCCCGCGGTATCAGTCTCTCTCCTGCCCTCAAGAACGATGCTCCCATTTCCACTCAGGTTTTCAACAGTCTTGGCGCATCATGATCATCCATGTAGGACAGCCCCTCTTCTTTAACCGTGATCACCTCATCTCCTCAAGCAGCCCTGTCTGCTGTTTATCATTGCGTGCATCTCCGCTGATGCTCCCAACGCCCACCGATGGAGGCAGGAGCTTCTTTCACTAGGGGAAGGCAGGGACCCTGGGACAAGCGGTCTGAGAAGGAAGTGCTGCCCCACTGATACAGGGTTGTGCGAGGAAGGAGAAAAGGGACAGCCAAATGACAAGGAACATAAAAACTTCCTACATTCGTTTTCCAGAGTTTGTTTGGAGTTTGTCCCTGCCCCCCACCGCCAACTTACTGAAAATACAAGCTATCTCCCCACAGTTCCTAGTAAAGGGTTGCTAAAATTGCTTTAACCCTGAAAACAGTGGTAGGTAAGGGGGTGAAGTAGGGGTGGATGGGGTGAGCCTAAGAGAAATAGGTTGTCTATATTCTGCCTTTTTTTATGCTGCCTTTGTCAGCCCTCTATCATTGCCCCAAGCCCTCCTACGTGAAGTTTTCTGCCTTTCCTTTTTCCTCCATCAAAGCTCTGCTCCTCGTTTGTAAGGATTTTACCTTCAGAAGCTGGTAGGAGCAAGTGGGTCAGTTCCCTCTCTCCTGCCAGTGGGCATGCTGGGCAACCCCTCTGGCCCCCAGGGACAGCAGCACAGGGCCTTGACGCTCCCTCTGCAGGAACCTCCGGCCAGCCTCCCTGTCCTGGTTCTGTTCATAAGATTCCCTACCCGAGTGTGCATGTCTGAAATTCCCTGATCTAAACAGAGGGGGCTGGGAGACCATGACTTAGGGAAACTCAGCCTTGATCTTGGAGCTCCCTCTGCTTTTGAAACAAGGACAGCGTCCTCCTCCCAGGCCAGAGAGCCCTCTATCCAGGGCTCCAGCGGGGAAAGGAGGAATGGGGAATTTCACCGATTGCTTAATGCTATTTTTCAGCCAAAGGGTGTGTTTCTGAGTTTTCGGGAAAGTCAAGTGATTTCTGGGAAAAGGCGGGGATTGGTACCAGGGGAAATAACCAAACCCAGAAAGTCCAGCCCTCCAAATGTGTGTGAATCATGAATTAAGGGAAAGTAGTTATCAGAAATGTAAGTCATCTCTGCTTTAAAGCAAATGTAATGGTTGATAATGACTTAACACCAAGACCCAAGGTGGTATGGCGTGAGGCTTCCTCTTCATAACATCCCTCCACATCCCTTCCAAACATCGAAATTCTACCCCACAACCAAGCCCCCTTTCAGATCCAACCCAGACTCCCTTATCCATAACCCTTGAAGCCAGGTGTGTTTTGAAATTTTATAGATTTTTTTAGGCTATGTAGTCCATGGACCCAATATTAGGTAACACCTCCTCCTCTCCCTCCCTTTATGGACCAGGATAACCCCCTATTAACAAACATTAAGATTTCTGCAGCTAAACACATTGATCTTACGGTAAATGGATAACTAAAGATTACAAATCACATCAGTTCGGGTCAGGTTTTGCTGCCAAATTGAGTTTTAGTCCCAAACTTGAAAACAAACAAACAAAAAACAATAGCCAGGTATTGTGACACACGCCTGTAGTCCCAGCTACTCAGGAGGCTGAGGCAAGAGGATCACTTGTGCCAGGGAGGTCGAGGCTGCAGAGGGCACCACTGCACTCCAGCCTGGGCAACAGAATGAGATCCCATTACAAAAAAAAGACAGAGACTTTGTTTTCAGAGTCCTTTGGATTTTAGAATTGCAGACAAGGGACTGAGGGGCAGTGCCACTCCACAGAGCCTTCCCTGATCTCAGCTCCCCTTTATGCCCCTTTAGTTGGCTTAGCACTGGGCCTGGAGTCAGAAGATAGGCTCATGTCCCAGCTCTGCTCCTCACCAGTGGTGATGTCTTAGGCTCATCACCTAACTTCCTAGTTTCTTTTTTTTTTTAAACCTGGCTCACTATTGACAGACCTAGTTTCTTCAAATATAAAACAGAAATCCTATCAGTTCTGCCTACCCTACATGACTATCAGATGGACCTAATGAAATAATTCGAGTGAACAAGCTTTGCACACTATGGTACCTAATAAATGTGCATGTTAAAAGGAAGAGAATCATGAGCCCGTAAGGTCTCGGAAGACAGGTGCTGGGTCTGATCCGTCTTGGTATTGTCCGCCATGTCTAGCAGTGTCATGCAGAACACAGATGTGTATGCAACCATCTGTGACTCCCCTGGCTGCCCAGCATTCAAACTGCTTTGCCACATTAGAGGAGTTCCCCATGATATCAGTCTTGGGAACAGAGCCGACCTCCCAAGAAAGAAGACACAGGCACAAGAAGTGTGTCACCCCCACCTCCAGCAGCTCTGGAGCAGGCTAATTTGTAATCACCCGAAGGGTTCTTCCTGCCTGCTGCGTAGACAAAACCAATTCACTGAGACCATGGTATTGCAGTAGAGAAAGAGTTTAACAACACAGAGCTAGCCAAGTGAAAGGATGGGAGTTTATTTCTCAAATCAGTCCCCACAAGAACTCAGAGGCTAGGGTTCTTAAGGAGAATTTGGTGGGCGGTAAGAGCAGAGAATGGGTGCTACTGATTCGTTGGGGATAAAATCATAGGAGTGTAGAAAACAGACCTTGTGCACTAAGTCCACCTCTGGGTGGGGGTCACAGGACCAGTTGAGTCATGAATCATTTCAGAATGCAAAAGTCTGAAAAATATCTCAGAAGACCAATATTTGGTTTTACAATAGTGATGTTATCTATAGGAGCAATTGGGGAAGTCACAGATCTTGTGACCTCTGGCCGCATGACTCCTGAGCAGCAAAGGATTATAGAAAGGCAAGCTAGGGGTCAATGGCTGGTCATCGGTTAGCTACACCCACATCTTAGCAAAATTCAAGCCCCTCCCATAATCCTAATCTTGTGGCCTTTCATTAGTTTTACAAAGGCAGGTCCCTGAGCTAGGAGGGGGTTCATTTTAGGGAGGGACTAATATCATCTTTGCTTCAGAGTTAAACTGTAAACTAAATTCCTCCCATGGTTAGCTTGGCCTATGCCCAGGAATGAGTGAGGACAGCCAGCCTGTGAGGGTAGAGGCAAGATGGAGTCACCCATGCTAGACTTCCCTCACTGTCATCATCTTTGCAAAGGCAGTTTCACATGCACACACGTTCCATTCATCAGAGGCCCAGGCTTTCAATCCAGAGCCAGTAATGCCAGGAAGCAGGGACCCTAGAGCCTGTAGGGACAGTGGTGGCCACAGCAAGATCACAGAGGAGGTAGAGTTCTCAGCAGCACCCAGCATCCAGCCCCAGTGGGTAAGCATTGCAAGCCGAAGCATCCAGGCCATGGTCAAAGAAGTGGCAGCAGCGGCAGCCAGGTTCTGACCATTGTCCCTGCTGGGAAGCTTCCACAATGGCTCTGTAGCTCCCCTGGAATTTCCATGAGCAATCCAGGGTCCCTTTAATAAATTCATCTTCTGCTAAACTCAGCCAGAGTTGGTTTCTACTGCTTGCAACTAAAAATAATGGCTGATACAACACGCTCAGTGAGTATCTGAGGATTGGTTGATTGAATGTGCCAAAGTGAATTCAAACCATTCATTACCTTTCATTTTAGCCGTGTGACCTTGAAAAAGTTACTATGCCTCTCTGAGCTCCAGCTTTATCAGGTGTAAAATGGGAATAATAGCACCTACTTCAGACACAGCTATCACTGTCAGGGCCCATTGTGGCCAAGATTAAACAAAATAACGTATGCTAAGCATTCAGCATATACCTGGTACTCAGTAAGCTTTTAACAAATAACAAACCATATTAACTTCTCCAAACACCAAACACGGCAGCAGTAGCAGCAGCTTCCTCCCCATCAAGAGCATGCTTCAGTTAATACCAAGGAAAAGAGGACGCCTTATCAATGTGTCCAGGGTTCCTTCTCCTTTTCCTTGGAGCTCAACACTGCCCGATCTTGCCAGAAAAGTTAGACTCTCCTATCCTCACCTGTGTTTTATGTTCATTTCTGCAATTTTGCCACGAAATTGAAATACATTGCCAGGAGCAGTGGCTCACACCTGTAATCCCAGCAACTCAGAAGGCTGAGGCGGGAGGATCGCTTGAGGCTGGGAGTTCAAGACCAGCCTAGGCAACATAGGGAGACCTCATCTCTACAAAAAAGTTTAAAAATTAGCCATCCTGTGGTCCCAGCTACTCAGGAGGCTGAGAGGCAGGAGGATTGCTTGAGCCCAGGAGTTCAAGCCTGCAGTGAGCTATGACCACAGCATTGCACTTCAGCCTGGGTGCTCCGTTTCCCACCTCAAATTTCATTGGTCAGGCATAGTGGCTCATGCCAAAGTGCTGTAATCCCAGCACTTTGGTAGACCAAAAAGAGAGGATCACTTGATGCCAGGAGTTCAAGACCAGCCTGGGGAACATAGCAAGATTTCATCTCTACAAAAAGTCAAAAAATTAGTCAGGCATAGTGGCACGCACTTGTAGTCCCAGCTACTCAGGAGGCCAAGGGAGGAGGATAACTTGAGCCCAGGATTTTGAGGCTGCAATGAGCTATGATCACACCACTGCACTCCAGCCTGGGCAACAGAGTGAGACCCTGTCTCAAAAATAAATAAAATAAAATTTCATGCAGCCATGTTATCTAAGTAGCTATCGGAGATCCACAATGAGATTAAATGATGGTATTAAGAAGCTCCAACAAGGGATTGCCAACAATAAAGGTTTTGAACAACAAATAACCCTCCCATTTTCAAATTTGAACAACAAATAACCCTCCCATTAATCAAACTCCAAAATTAAAGTTCAAATCCCATTGCAAACTGAAACTATGACATTAAAGTCAAAAGTAATTGAAGCCCAAAGTGTCTATGTTAAAGTCACAAAACTATCAGTTCCAATTTGTGTTCTGTTTAATCCCAGCTAGTGGGTTTCCAATCCCTGGGCAGAGCTGTGGTCCCTTCCGAAGCTGCGGCCTGGGCTGGAACAGGTTAGTTCCTCCAAGGCTTCAAAGACTGAGTTCTGAGGCAAACCTTCCATGAGTCTGTTTTTAAAATTCCAGAAAGTTAATGAGACACAAGAATATTGCAACACCAGCCCCACAACCACAAAATTTAGAAAATGAGCTATCCCCAGACCCCAAGACAATCATCCCAAGCAAAATTAAAATTGTATTTCCAGAAACCACCACTTAATGTCACCAAAATCTGAAGAAGAAATTCAGTGGTATCTGAGGGCAACAGAAAAGCTTAAGCTTAGTTTAAAACCTTACCTTGAGGCCAGTCGATTTATGCCAGTTGTTCAGAATCCATGTCCTGTGGGCCAGGTGTGGTGGCTCACACCTGTAATACCAATACTTTAGGAGGCCAAAGCAGGAGGGTTGCTTGAGTTCAGGAGTTTGAGATCAGCCTGGGCAACATGGTGAGACCCTATCTCCACAAAAAAAAGAAAGAATGCCAGGCATGCTAGAGCATGTCTGTAGTCCCAGCTACTCAGGAGGCTGAGGTGGGAGGATCACTTGAGCCCTGGAGGTCAAGGCTGCAATGAGCTGTGATCACACCACTGCACTCCAGCCTGGGCAATAGAGTGAGACCCTGTCAAAAAAAAAAGTCTATGTCCTGTGAACTTAAACACCATTGGAAGAAAACATGTAGAAAAAGGTTAATTGGGCATTTTGTACTTGCCATATCGGGATCCTCGTAGGTGGAACTTCTAAATTTGCATCCCCTCCCACCATCTCCTGACCTTGTCCCCATGAGCCCCAAGCTGTGGGCTCTTCAGTGCCTTGTTAGTTGGTGAGCTCTCCCTAGTTAGAACTCTAGCAGCCTCCATGATATTAAAAAGGACAGACATTTCCATCGTGTGCCTCTTTTATGACTTCTGCCACTCCTCTTTTTTGGACTCACTAAGACCTAAAAAGCCTTCTTCCTAAGGAGGGCTTTCCCCACACCCTCATGTTCATTTCAGCTGAAGGCAGCACCCTCAGCAGACTTTTGAACTGAGGTTGTTACTAGGTGTCACTCCCGGGTGGGTGGTCATCCTGTCTTGTTTTCTCTGTTCTCTGTGGGTCGAGTTGTTTTCTTGATGAATGCCAATGCATGTACCTTCTGCTCATTGGGAAGGGCTGTCTGGCCTGGGATTCCAGCACAACCACCACGCCCTTACCTGGCCCCTTTAATCAGAGGCAGCCCAACAGTTAAAGGAGCACCCACGCACAGAGAAAAGAAAGAACCAATGCAGGAACTCCAGCAACTCCAATGGCCAGACTGTCCTATGTCCACCAAACAACCTCACTAGTTCTCCAACAAGGGTTCTTAATGAGGCTGAGTTGGCTGAAATGACAGAAATAGAATTCGGAATATGGATAGGAATGAAGATCATTGAGATTCAGGAGAATGGCAAAACCCAATCCAAGGAAACTAAGAATCACAATAAAATGATGCAGGACCTGACAGATGAAATAACCAGTAAAAAAGAGAACCTAACTGATCTGATAGAGCTGAAAAACACACTACAAGAATTTTACAATGCAGCCGGGCACAGTGGCTCATGCCTGTAATCCCAGCACTTTGGGAGGCTGATGCAGGTGGACCACTTGAGGCCAGGAGTTCAAGACCAGCCTGGCCAAATAGTGAAACGCTTTTTCTACTAAAACTGCAAAAATTAGCTGGGCATGGTGGCATACGCCTGTAATCCCAGCTACTCAAGTGGCTGAGACATGCCAATCATTTGAACCTGGGAGGTAGAGGCTGCAGTGAGCCAAGATCATGCCACTGTACTCCAGTCTGGACAACAGAGTGAGATTTTGTCTCAAAAACAAAATAAAATAAAAAATAAAAGAATTTCACAATGCAATAACAAGTATTAACAGCAGAAGAGACCAAGCTGAGGAAAAAATCGCAGAACTTAAAAATTGGCACTCTGAAATAAGATAGCCAGACAAAAATAAAGAAAAAAGAAGGAAAAGGAATGACAAAACTCCTGAGAAATATGGGATTATGTAAAGAGGCCAAATCTACAAATCACTGGCATCCCCGAAAGGGATGGGGAGAAAGTGAACAACTTGGAAAACATATTTCAGGATATTGTCCATGAAAATTTCCCCGACCTCCCTAGAGAGGTCAACAGTCAAATTCAGGAAATACAGAGAACCCCTGCAATATTCTACACAACGAGATCATCCCCAAGACATATAATCATCAGATTTTCCAAGGTCAAAATGAAAGAATGTTAAAGGCAGCTAGAGAGAAAGGGCAGGTCACCTACAGAGGGAGCCCCATCAAGCTAATAGATTTCAGCAGAAACCCTACAAGCCAGAAGAGATTGGAGGCGTGTATTCAACATTCTTTTTTTTTTTTTTTTTTTTTTTTTTTGAGACGGAGTCTGGCTCTGTCGCCCAGGTTGGAGTGCAGTGGCGCGATCTCGGCTCACTGCAAGCTCCGCCTCCCGGGTTCATGCCATTCTCCTGCCTCAGCCTCCCGAGTAGCTGGGACTACAGGCGCCCACCACTACGCCCGGCTAATTTTTTGTATTTTTAGTAGAGACGGGGTTTCACCATGTTAGCCAGGATGGTCTTGATCTCCTGACCTCGTGATCTGCCCGCCTCGGCCTCCCAAAGTGCTGGGATTACAGGCACAAGCCACTGCGCCCGGCCTCAACATTCTTAAAGAAAAAAAATCTTCAACCAAGAATTTCATATCCAGCCAAACTAAGCTTCCTAAGCAAAGGATAAATAAGATCCTTTTCAGATCAGCAAATGCTGAGAGTTTGTTACCATCAGACCTGCCTTACAAGAGGTCCTGAAGGGAGCACTAAATATGCAAAGGAAAGGCCATTACCAGCCAATACAAAAAGACACTTAAGTATACAGACTAGTGACACTATAAAGCAACCACACAAATAAACCAGCATAATAACCAGCTAACAACACAGGATCAAATCCACACATATCAATAATAACCTTAAATGTAAATGGGCTAAATACCCCCATTTAAAAGGCACAAAGTGACAAGCTGGATAAAAAAGCAAGATCTCATGCTGTCTTCAAGAGATCCATCTCACACACAATGACACCTATAGGCTTGAAATAAAGGGATGCAGAAAAATCTATCAAGCAAATGGAAATCAGAAAAAAATCAGGGATTGTAATTCTAATTTCAGACAAAATATACTTTAAACCAACAACAATCAAAAAAGACCGGGGCATTACATAATGGTAAAGTGTTAAATTCAACCAGAAGATATAACTATCCTAAATATAAATGCACCCAACACAGGAGCACTCAGATTCATAAAGCGAGTTCTTAGAGACCTACAAAGAGACTTAGACTCCCACACAATAATAGTTGGAGGCTTCAACACTCCACTGACAGTATTAGACAGATCATCAAGGCAAGAAATTAACAAAGATATTCAGGACCTGAACTCAGCATTGGACCACATGGATATGATAGAGATCTACAGAACTCTCCACCCGAAAACAACAGACTATGCATTCTTCTCATTGCCACATAGCACATACTCTAAAATTGACCACACAATCAGACACAAAACAATTCTCAGCAAATGGCAAAAAACTGAAATCATAACAAACACACTGTCAGACCACAATGCAATAAAAATAGAAACCAAGACTTTAAAAAATCACTCAAAACCATGGAATCAAACAACCTGCTCCTGAATGACTTTTGGGTAAATAAATAATAAAATTAAGGGAGATGTTAAGAAGTTCTTTAAAACAAATGAGAACAAAGATACCACATACCAGCATCTCTGGGACACAGGTAAGGCAGTGTTAAGAGGGAAACTTACAACACTAAATGCCCACAACAAAATGTTAGAAAGATCTCAAATTAACAACCTAGCATCACAACCAAAAGAACTAGAAAAGAGCAAACCAACCCCAAAGCTAGCAGAGGACAAGAAATAACCAAAATCGAGCTTAACTGAAGGAGATTGAGATACAAAAAACCATTCAAAGATCAACGCATCCAGGAGGGTTTTTTTTTTAAAGTTAATAAGATAGATAGGCTACTAATAAAGAAGAAAAGAGAGAAGATTCAAATAAACACAATTAGAAATAACAAAGGGGATGTTACCATTGACACCGCAGAAATACAAACAACCAGCAAAAAACTACTACCAATATCTCTATACACACAAACTAGAAAACCTAGAAGAGATTAATAAATTCCTGGACACATACACCCTCCCAAGACTAAACCAGGAACAAACTGCCTGAACAGGCCAATAATGAGCTCCAAAATTGAATCAGTAATAAATAGCCTACCAACTACAAAAAAGCTCAGGTCCAGATGGATTTATTGCCAGTTTATACCAGATGTATGAAGACAAGCTAGTACCATTCCTACTGAAACTAACCCAAAAAACTGAGGAGGAGGGACTCCTCCCCAACTCATTCTATGCAATCAGCATCATCCTGATACCAAAACCTGACAGAGACACAAGAAAAAAAGGAAAACTTCAGGCCAATATCCTTGATGAATATCAATGCAAAATCCTCAACAAAATACTTGCAAACTGAATCCAGCAGCACATCAAAAAGCTTATCCACCATGATTAAGTGGGCTTTATCCCTGGGATGCAAGGTTGGTTCAACATACACAAATCAATAAATGTGATTCATCACATAAATAGAACTAAAGACAAAAACCACACGATTATCTCAAAAGATGTAGAAAAGGCTTTTGATAAAATTCAACATCACTTCATGTTAAAAAAAAATCTCTCAATAAACTAGGTATTGAAGGAACATACCTCAAAATAATTAGTCACCTATGACAAACCTACAATCAACAGCATACTGAATGGGCAAAAGTTGGAAGCATTCCCCTTAAAAACCAGCACAAGACAAGGATGCCCTCTATCACCATTCCTATTCAACATAGTATTGGAAGTACTGGCCAGAGCAATCAGGGAAGAGAAAGAAAGAAAGGCCAACCAAATAGGAAGAGAGGAAGTCAAACTATCCCTGTTTGCAGATGATATGATTCTATATCTAGAAAACCCCATAGTCTTGGCCCAAAACCCCTTAAGCTTATAAATAACTTCAGCAAAGTTTCAGGAT
This sequence comes from Homo sapiens, assembly GCF_000001405.40. Taxonomy (NCBI): domain Eukaryota; kingdom Metazoa; phylum Chordata; class Mammalia; order Primates; family Hominidae; genus Homo; species Homo sapiens. Next base: position 7,051,382 of record NC_000012.12, on the reverse strand, counting down.
ACACAATCAACATATAAAAATCACCAGCATTCCTATACAAAAACAACAACCTAGCTGAGAACCAAATCAGGAATGCAATCCCATTCATAATTGCCACAAAAAGAACATAATACCTAGGAATATATACAGCTAACCAGGAAGGTGAAAGATCTCTTCAATGAGTATTATAAAATACTGCTCTAAAAAATCAGAGATGACACAGACAAATTGAAAATCATTCCATTCTTGTGGATAGAAAGAATCAATATCATTAAAATGGCCAATACTGCCCAAACCAATTTACAGATTCAATGCTATTCCTGCCAAACTACCAATGACATTCTTCACAGAGTTAGAAAAAACTATTTTAAAATTCATATGGACCCAAAAACAAGCCCAAATAGCCAAGGCAATCCTAAGCAAAAAGAACAAAGCTGGAGGCACCATGTTACCCAACTTCAAACTATACTACAGGGCTACAGTAACCAAAGCAGCATGGTACTGCTACAAAAACAGTCACATAGACCAATGGAACAGAATATAAGGAGAGCCCAGAAATAAGGATGCAAACCTACAACCATCTGATCTTGGACAAAGCTGACAAAATCAAGAATGGCAAAATAACTCCCTATTCAATAAATGGTGCTGGGATAACTAGCTAGCCATATGAAGAAGATTAAAACTGGACCCCTTCCTCACACCATTTACGAAAATCAACTCAAGATGGATTAAAGACTTAAATGTAAAACCCAAAACTGTACAAACCCTGGAAGACAACCTAGGCAATACCATTCTGGACACATGAACTGGGAAAAATTTCATGACAAAGATGCCAAAGGCAATCACAACAAAAGCAAAAATTGACAAATGGGATCTAATTAAACTTAAGAGCTTCTATACAGCAAAAGACAACATCAATAGGGTAAACACATAATCTAAAGAATGGGACAAAAATTTTGCAAACCATGCATCTGACAAAGTTCTAATATCCAACATCTATAAGGAACTTAAATTTACAAGCAATAAACACAACTCCATTAAAAAGTGGGCAAAGGGACATGAACAGAAACTTTTCAAAAGAAGACACACACAGCCAAAGAACTTTAAAAAAAGCTCAATATCACTGATCTTTAGAGAAATGCAAAACAAAACCACAATGAGATACCATCTCACACCAGTCAGAATGGCTATTATTAAAAAGTAGGCCAGGCACAGTGGCTCACATCTGTAATCCTAGCACTTTGGGAAGTCAACATAGATGGATCACTTGAGGTCAGGAGTTTAAGACCAGCCTGGCCCACATGGTGAAACCCCATCTCTACTTAAAAAAAAAAAAAAAAAAAGCCAGGTGCGATGGCAAGGCCTGTAATCCCAGCTACTTGGGAGGCTGAGGCAAGAGAGTCGCTTGAACCCAGGACACGGAGGTTGCAGTGGGCAGAGGTCATGCCACTGCACTTCAGCCTGGGTGAAAGAGTGGCACTCTGTCTCAAAAAAAAAAGTCAAAAAAATAACAGATGCTGGCAAGTTCGCAGAAAAAAGAGAAGGCTTATACACTGTTGGTGGGAGTGTAAATTAGTTCAACTATTGTGGAAAGCAGTGTGGCAGTTCTTCAAAGAGCTAAAACAAGAACTACCAGCCAGGCACGGTGGCTCACGCCTGTAATCCTAGCACTTTAGGGGGCCAAGGCGGGTGGATCACCTGAAGTCAGGAGTTGGAGACCAGCCTGGCCAACGTGGCAAAACCCCATCTCTACTAAAAATACAAAATTAGCCAGGCGTGGGGATGTGCGCCAGTAATCCCAGCTACGCCAGAGGCTGAGGCAGGAGAATCTCTTAGAACCTGGGAGGCAGAGGTTGCAGTAAGCCGAGATCGCACCACTGCACTCCAGCCTGGGCAACAAAGGGAAACTCTGTCTCAAATAAAAGAGAACTACCATTCAACCCAGCAATCTCATTACTGGGTATATGCCCAGAGGAATATAAATAGTTCTACCATAAAGAGACATGCACACATATGTTCACTGCAGCACTATTCACAATAGCAAAGACATGGAATCAACCTAAATTGATGTAGCCATAAAAAAGAATGAGATCATGTCCTTTGCAGGAACATGGATAGAGTTAGAGACCATTATCCTTAGCAAACTAACACAGGAACAGAAAACCAAATACCACATATAAGTGGGAGCTAAATGAAGAGAACACATGGACTCCAAGAGGAGAACAACAGACAATGGGGCCCACTTGAGGGTGGAGGTGGGAGGAGGGAGAGCAGTAGAAAAAATAACTATTGGGTACTAGGCTTAGTACCTTGGTGATGAAATAATCTGTACAACAAACCCCCGTGACATAAGTTTACCTACATAACAAACCTGCACATGTACCCTTGAACCTAAACTAAAAGCTTTTTAAAAAATAAACATGTCCCAGCCGGGCGCGGGGGCTCACGCCTGTAATCCCAGCACTTTGGGAGGCCAAGGCGGGCGGATCACGAGGTCAGGAGATCGATACCATCCTGGCTAACATGGTGAAACCCCGTCTCTACTAAAAGAAAAATACAAAAAATTAGCCGGGCATGGTGGCTGGCGCCTGTAGTCCCAGCTACTCGGGAGGCTGAGGCAGGAGAATGTTGTGAACCCGGGAGGCGGAGCCTGCAGCGAACAGAGATCGCGCCACTGCACTCCAGCCTGGGCGACAGAGCAAGACTCTGCCTCAAAAAAAATAAAATAAAAAATAAACATGTCCCAAAATTATTTGACCCTCCTCCCATTGAGAGGTGGGGTCTATGTCACCTCTTCCCTTGAATGTGGCTTGGGAATTTGTGATTGCTACAACCAATAGAGAACACAGTGGAGTCTGTTTGACTTTCAAAGTTAGATTAGAAAAGGCAATCCTTAGACTTCCTAGCTTAATAGGTGAGGAGAGGAGAGGGGAGGAGAGGGGAGGGAAAAAAGAAAAGGTAATCCTGGCCAGGTGCGGTGGTTCACGCCTGTAATCCCAGCACTTTGGGAGGCTGAGGCAGGTGGATCACCTGAGGGCAGGAGTTCAAGACCAGCCTGGCCAACATGGCGAAACCCTGTCTCTACTAAAAATACAAAAAATTAACTCACATGGTGGTGGGTGCCTGAAATCCCAGCACTTTGGGAGGCTGAGGCGGGCAGATCACGAGGTCCGGAGATAGAAACCATCCTGGCTAACACAGTGAAACCCTGTCTCTACTAAAAATATAAAAAATTAGCCGGGTGTGGTGGTGGGCGCCTGTAGTCCCAGCTACTCCGGAGGCTGAGGCAGGAGAATGGCGTGAACCCAGGAGGTGGAGCTTGCAGTGAACCAAGATCACACCACTGCACTCCAGCCTGGGTGACAGAACGAGACTCTGAAAAAGAAAGGAAGGAAGGAAGAAAAGGAAAGGAAGGGGAGGGGAGGGAAGGGGAGGGAAGGTGGGGGCAATCCTGCATCTGTCCAGTCCTCTTGGGACACTCACCCTTAGAACCCAGATGCCATGCTGTGGGGAAGCCCAGACCATGTCCTGGGGTTCTGGTTGAGCCCCCACTGAGGTTGCAGCTGTCAATTAGCATGAATTCAGTACCAAACATCTGAGTGAAGACCTTTTCAAGATGACTCCAGCCCCTTTTGACTGCAGCTACAGAAGACGCTCTGAGAACCACCTCTCTGAGCCTTGTGAGCACCCAGAACCATGAGAGATAATTCTTCAAAATGAACGTTGTTGTTTTAAGCACTAAATTGTAGGGCAGTTTCATTATTCAGAAATAGATTGGACTGCTTCCTTGTCACACACTTTGCAACTCTTTCTCTAGGAAGAACTTCAGTATTTTTTGAATTCTGTGTCCAAATTAGAGGGCTTAAAGATCACTTTACAGGAAGCTGCATTTCCTGCTGCTATTCCTAGAAAGCTCTACAAGCTGCATTCATATTTCCTTCCCTTTTGAAAATCCTTCCAAGCACCCCACGCTGGCTCAGGGCATCGCTTCACCTTGTGCCTTGTCATAGCTGACGAGTATTCTCAAAATCTTCAGTGGCCTCTGAGCCTCCACTTCCACTCCTGAACGCCCATGTTGCAGATGTACCTAGTAGCAGGTGCTGAGTCCCTGGACTAGTCAGGCAGGCTCACTTCAATAACAAATACACCTAAAAACTATTTTGGCTCAAATATAATGGAAGTGTTTGTTTGTTTTTCCTTAATACAGACAGGGTCTCGCTATGTTGCCCAGGCTGGTGTCCAACTCCTGGGCTCCAGCGATGTCCCTGCTCCCACTTCCCCAAGTGCTGGGATTACAGGCATGAGCCATTGTGCCTGCCATGGAAGTGTATTGTTCCCCCCACACACAATGTCCAAAATGGTTCCGAATGGTCAGTGGGGCTCACCCCTCACAGACCCAGGAGGACAGCAAAGGCCCTGCCATCCTCAGCACATTCCTCCCAGGGTCAAGGAGAGAAAAGAACATGGACAGTCACACAGTAGGAGGTTTGTATGGGCCAGGCCTACATGTGGCACACATAACTTCTACTCATATTCTCTTGGCTGGAACCCAACCACAGGCCACACCTAACCACAGGATGTGTACCCAGAAACATGAGAAAATTAGGATTTGGTGAGCAGCTAGTGGCCTCTTCCACAAACTCCAAGTATAATGCATATTTTTCCATCCTGTGGGTGGACCTGGGGTCCTATTAACGTTTCTCTGGCTCTCTTCTTCCACCCACTTAGGCTCTCCAGCCCCGTGTTCATAAACACATCTGTCTGTTAGCACCCAGCACCTTCCACACTATACAGTGAGGACCAGAACACCCCAGCAGTGTCATCTCCTGGTGGGAGGCCCCCGCCATTACACAGAAGCCCACAAGGACTAAAGCTGCACAGCAGTGTAGAGTGAGGAAAGGAATGGAGAGGAGGAAAACACTTCCTTTTATTTTTTGGTTACTCTTTTTAGGGAGCACCAAGGCAGTGTGAAAGCATTCCCAATGCCTTTCTGAGTTTTCAGTGACACGATTCCTGCATTTTTTACATATGGCCTGTGGGATCCAGACATGAATTCATCAGGGTTGAGGTGAACATCAAATTAGGGGACATGCACAGGGCAGTAATATGAATTCAATCAGTCAGCCAATACTCATTGAGTATCTACAGTTGGGCCAGGCTCTATGCTTACCCTATACGGTGTAAACAAAATGGACACAGTCCTGGCCCTCCCAGAGTTACAGTACAATGCAGGAGAGCCACACGTCAACTCTGACCCTGAGATTTTTGTTACCGAGTTGAGCGTATCCTGCCACGTGCCTTCTTCTCTTTGGGTGAGTTATTTCCCAAGAGGCGCCTCATGCAAATAAATTACTCATAATCCCACCTCACCCCTTCACAAGGGAGAGCAGAAATACATGAATCCCAAGTCGCCACCCTCAGCCTCCCACCACACAAGTGAAGCCGTCAGAAAGGAAGGCCACTGAGATAAAACACGTCAAACCAGAGGCTCTAAATTTGTGGCCTATGGCCAAACCTGGCCAGCAAATCTATTTGGTTCGCCTTATGTCATATTGGCCTACACAGGATTTTTTTGAAGCGACTTACAATTATCTTTTTTTTAATAATTTCAATTTTTATTTTAGATTCGGGGGTAAACGTGCAGGTTTGTTACATAGGTATACTGAATGATGCTGAGGTTTGGGGATAATTGATCCCATCACCGAGGTAATGACCATAGTTCCCAAAAGGTAGTTTTTCAACCCTTGTCTGCCTCCCTCCCCTCTCTAGTAGACCCCTGATGTAGTTTGAATATATGTCCCCACCAAATCTCATGTTGAATTGTAATCTCCAATATTGGAAGTGGGGCCTGGTGGGAGGTGTTTGGATCATGACAGCGAATCCCTCATCAATGTCTTAGCACGATCCCTTTGGTGCTGATTGAGTTCTCTCAAGATCTGGTGTTTTAAAAGTGTGTGCCACTTCCCACTCTAACTCTCTTGCTTCTGCTCTGGTCATGTGACATGCCTGCTCCTCCTTCACCTTCTGCCACGAGTAAAAGCTCCCTAAGGCCTCCCCAGAAGCTAGGCAAATACCAGCACCATGCCTGTACAGCCTGTAGAGCCATAAGCCAATTAAACCTCTTTTCTTTATAAATTATCCAGTCTCAGGCATTATTTTAGAGCAACGCAAGAATAGCCTAACATAGCCGGGCGCGGTGGTTCATGCTTGTAATCCCAGCACTTTGGGAGGCCGAGGCAGGTGGATCACCTAAGGTCAGGGGTTTGAGACCAGCCTGGCCAACATAGTGAAATCCCATCTCTACTAAAAATACAAAAATTAGCCAGGCGTGGTGGCAGGCACCTGTAATCCCAGCTACTCAGGAGGCTGAGGCAGGAGAATCGCTTGAACCCAGGAGGCGAATGTTACAGTGAGCCAAGATCGTGCCACTGCACTCCAGCCTGGGTGACAGAGCGAGACTCCGTCTCAAAAAAAAAAAAAAAAAGTTGGAGAGAACCTATATCTTTATGGAAATAAAGAATATTCCTACAAGATTGTTATGAAAAAAGCTTCTATTGAAGACACCATATGAAAAAATAAATGACTCTGCCAAGGTCAATAGTGAGAAGAAAAAATAAATGATATTTCCCTTCACTTAATCACATTATCTGCCTGGCCTCTGTAGGCCCCAAAGTAGAGTAGGAGCTCGTTATAGAATAGGGGTGGGGTGGGTGGGGAGAGGGGCCAGTGAGAGAGTCCTGGGGAATAGCAGAATTTACAGGCAGGTGCAGGAGCCGGAAAAGGAGCCTGAGAAACAGCACAGCAGTAGGAGAAAAATCAAGAGCAAGTCACACCAGCAAAGCTGAAGAAGACAGAGATTAAGGATGAGCAGTTCCCATAAAAGATGGTACAGTAAAGGCATGTTTACTCATTCCTTTCCTGAATATACCAAAATTAACAGTAAAATGAGTAGTAGAAAAGAAGCTCTTATCTGCAATGAAAATAGAAAATGGCTACAGCCCAGATAATTGACCATAAGAAATATCTGCCAAGTGTAATGAAAATTGGAACCAAAACAAGGAAGGTCACCTGGAGCAGATCCCTTACAATTCTTAAAAGAATTAAGAATCCTTGAAAACTAGGGGCTTGGGAGGGTCATGGAAGAAGCAGAGAACACCCCTCAACAAGACCCCAGTGTGCACAGCAGCAGGGAGGCAGGGCTGATGACAGACCAGTGTGGATGCCTCCTTTATTTTCCCCATTCCAGAGTGGAGAGAATTGCCTGGAGGGAGGCAAAGGGAGGAGGGTGGGCCCACACAACCAATTTTATCGCTGTTGAGTCAGTGAAATACAAGTAATTAAACATGAAATATCTGAATGAAATCTACCTGTAAGCCCTGACAGCCACAGGGAGCTGAGGTGCTTTTCCAAAAGTGGCGTGGAGGAAGAGGGATGCAAAAAAGAGGGAGAGAGAAGTAATCGAGCAGAGGAAATGTCAACTTGGTTCTTGGTTAGATACAACATGAGGGAGTCAGAACTGCCAATTCCCTCTAAAAAAAAAAATCCCCTATCCCTTCCCTCAAATTATTTGAGAGCTAAGTTGCAAAATAAGCAAACAAATCTGAATTAATACATATGAACAAAAACCACTCCCCAATGAAAAGGGAAAAATAATAGCAAACAAAAGACAGATGATCAAAAACCACTTCAGAAAAAGTTACCCCAGCATTCTCTGTAGAATTCCAAATAAATTATGTAGCTGTCCCATCGTAAAGGACGGGGAGCAGAACTCCCCACTCCTTAAGCATGGGCTGCTTATAGTGACTTCCTTCCTAAGACTGCAGTATGGAAGGGACAGGGAGCAAATTTACAGGGGGGAAATCTGATAAACACTACCTTGGGCAGGTGATCAAAGTCAGCATCAACAGTCATAAATCATGCTAATATGGCCAGCTGCGGTGGCTCACACCTGTAATCCCAACACTTTGGGAGGCCTAGGAGGGTGGATCACGAGGTCAGGAGTTGGAGACCAGCCTGGCCAACCTGGTGAAACCCTGTCTCTACTAAAAACAATACAAAAAAAATTAGCTGGGTGTAGTGGCAGACACCTGTAATCCCAGCTGCTCAGGAGCCTGAGGCAGGAGAATCGTTTGAACCCAGGAGACAGGGGTTGCAGTGAGCCAAGATCGCACCATTGCACTCCAGCCTGGGCGACAGGGTGAGACTCCATTTCAAAAAATAAAAATTAAAAAATAAATAAATAATGGTAATACAATGAGACGAGAATGGCACTTACCTCTGAGATCTTCCTCCCCAAAAGCCATAATCCCTGTATAATCATGAGAAAAACATCTGACAAATTCCAGTAGGGGGCATCCTATAATACTCTTTCCCAGTACTCCTCAAAACTTCGAGGTCATCATAATCAAGGAAGGTCTGAGAAAGTGTAACAGCCAGGAGGAGCCTAGGAGACATGAAAACTAAACGTAATGTGGTATTCTGGAGGAGGCCCTGGAACAGGAAAACGACATTAGGTAAAAACTAAGGGAATCTGAATAAATTATGGACATTAGTTAATAGTAATGTATCAACATCACTTCCATGATTGTAACAAATGTTCCACCCTAATGTAGACATTAATAATGGGGAAACCGTGTAGGAGCTGTATGGGAATTCTCTGTACTATACGCTCAATTTTTCTGTAAATCTAAAACTGCCCTATAAAAATAAAGTCTATTTTTAGAAAGTTATTCCAGCAAGCAGAAGAAAGATGTCAGACATATTTTTTCTATACTCACAAAAGTTAAAGCATGGACTTTTTCAAAAAAAAGATACAAGGGAGAATAACAGATGCATATTTTTAGAGAGAAAAAAGTGATGTGGTAGAACTTAACTGAGAAATTGGAAATAACAGGAAAGCCACCACAAAAATGAAAAGTTCATTATAGAAACAGCAAGAAGTCAAATACATACTATGAAAACATAGATAGTACATGGAGGCCAGTCTTGAAAAAAATCACCCAAAACAAAATGGAAAAGTGCAAAGGGATAAAATCGCAGAGACGCTGATGAAAATGGATCAAGGAGATACATGATTGGTGTTTTGAGAAAAGAATATAACAACTGGAATGGGAAAGTATTCAAAGATATGGTTGAGTATGGGCATGGTGGCTCACGCCTGTAATCCCAGCTCTTTGGGAGGCCAAAGCAGGCAGATTACCTGAGGTCAGGAGTTCAAGATCAGCCTGGCCAACATGGTGAAACCCCATCTCTACTAAAAATACAAAAATTAGCCAGGTGTGGTGGTGCACACCTGTAATCCCAGCTACTCCAGAGGCTGAGACAGGAGAATCGCTTGAACTTGGGAGGCGGAGGTTGCAGTGAGCTGAGATCACGCCACTGCACTCCAGCCTGGGTGACAGAATGAGACTCTGTCACCAAAAAAAAGTATATATATATATTTATATATTTTTATATATATGGTTGAAGATTTCTGTCAAATAAATGAACTGAAATCTTTAGATAAAAGGGCACTCTTACAGGAAAATAATGACAAAGAATCATTAACACTGAAGCCAATCCTGGAGATCCTAAATGACAAGGATAATGTAAAGAATATGGGACAGTGGTTTCCTTCCCCAAGAGTGTGCAGATGCTTGGGTGCAAAGGCCTATTTCTCTTCAGCCCCAGTTCACCCCACAGACCGAGGGCGGGCCTCGCCATCAGGACCCAGTGGCCATGTCCTGATGCAAGCTGCGACGGTCATTGTCCTCCAGAACAGGGATGGAGAAAATACCAGCCCAGGAAGCAGCAGGCTCACCAAGGGTCCGATTTCAGTTTTTGGAGACCCAGTCTGAGAGTCTGACTCCAAAGCCTCATTTTGTGCAGGACACCGACATGGAACAGGGACTCACTAGGGTTCCACCTGTTCCCCAGGTGCCTGCCTTTCCCCATGAGGACAGCCCAGGAGATCAGGCAGCTGCGCTCCTGACAGCCAGGTATCAGCAGTTTGTGACATCTGAGGATGTGGCTGTGCACCTTACTCAAGAGGAATGGAGATACCTGGACCTTGTTCAGAGGGAACTCTACAGAGATGTGAGGTTAGAGAATTATGGGAATGTGGTCCCACCAGGCATACTTCTCCCCCTTCCACCAGATTCATAGTGTGAATTTTTGCCCGGCCCTGAGTCATACCCAGGCAAGTGCTTTCTCTGGAGAAACTTAGTCCTTACAGCAGGAATCTCCAAGAGATGGCCCAAGTATTACCTGCTCAGAAACTCCTTTTCCATGATTGCCAGATATTAAACTTAACTGATGCGATAGATGCCCCCTAGGATGCCACCACTATGTAAAATCGCAGCTCCTCGAATTACCTTTGTTAAATTTCTAGTATCAGAGTCCAAGGAAGCCCCCTGCTGCAACCAGATGCACTTTGAACTCAGTTTATTCAGAAACCATGGTTGGTGGTCATCTTCTACTTGTGTTCTGAGAAACCACAAAATTCAACTTCAGCTCTTCAGTTATGATATTGTCATATTATTTTAGAATGTGAAACATATGCCGTGTGCCCCTCCTTTTATGTAGTGAATACAACCTGCCCCTTATGGTGGTTAACTCCCTGTCACCCCTGGGCTTTCCTCACGTTTAACACTCTGGTTTTCTCCTTCCTGAAGTCCCTGTGGCCCTCTTCAGGGTCCTACCCTCCTCCCCTTTATTCTTTGCAGTTCTGTACAGATTGATGCACTTATATTGCCTTTTCTGATTAAATGTTCCTTAGTCTTTCCTTGATGGAGGGGAGAAGGGAGGACAAAGAAGTTAAATTTTATTTTGGGGCATCAAAACAAATGTCTACTTAGTAACTTTGTAAACTGTAAAGTGATATATATAATTGTGAAGTACTATTAATTTTACCTAATAATTACAGAGTGTTCAACAGTTTAAAAAAAAAAAAAAGAATGCTGGCCAGGTGCAGTGGGTCACGCCTGTAATCCCAGCACTTTGGGAGGCTGAGGCAGGAGGATGGCTTGAGACCAGGAATTCAAGACCAACCTGAGCAACATAATGAGACACTGTCTCTATAAAAAAAAAAGAATAATGTTATAGAAAACCAAACAGAGAAGCCAGGTGCGGTGGCTCAACGCCTGTAATCCCAGCACTTTGGGAGGCCGAGGCAGGCAGATCACGAGGTCAGGAGATCAAGACCATCCTGGCTAACACGGTGAAACCCTGTCTCTACTAAAAATACAAAAAAATTAGCCGGGTGTGGTGGCGGGCGCCTGTAGTCCCAGCTACTCAGGAGGCTGAGGCAGGAGAATGGCGTGAACCTGGGAGGCAGGGCTTGCAGTGAGCCGAGATCGTGCCACTGCACTGCAGCCTGGGCCGGGTGTGGTGGTGCACACCTGTAATCTCAGCTACTCCGGAGCCTGAGGCAGAATTGCTTGAACCAGGGAGGCAGAGATTGCAGGGAGTCAAGATCACGCCATTGCACTCCAGCCTGGGCAACAAGAGCAAGACTCCATCTAAAAAAAAAAAGAAAGAAAAAGAAAGGAAAGAAAGAAAGAGCAAAGAAAAGGTAGGAAAAATCTTTGGGACCTGGGAGTCATTGAGGAATTCTTAACCATGACACCAAAATCAGATCCTTAAAAAGGAAAATTGATAAATCAGACTTCACCAAATTTGAAAAGAAAAAAACCTTTTCTCTGCAAAACCCCCCTTAAGAGGATGTAAAAGATAAGCGATGGACTGGGACAAAATATTTACAAACCACACACACACAAAAGCCTTGCATCTAGAACATGTAAGAACAAGTCGCAGCTGGGAGCAAGACTAAGAGGATGAGCAATGGCAGACTTGCCCGGCTGCAACAATGCTCCACGAGTGAGGGGCCGCTGCTCGCTGGCCCCACACGTCCAAGGCAGCTCTCGTGGCCTCCAGCTAACAGTGCCACCCAGGGTCAAACCGAGGGCAGAAGGCTCAGCCTTATGCTGGAAACCCAACCTTGGCACCTCCCGTGTTCCTTGTGGGAACATCTGCTCCTGCAGAAGGCAGAAAAGGTTGAGGCAGGAAGCTGTGCGGATGGAATTGAGAAAGAAGTAACCGAGAGTGTGCAGTGAAGGGAGGGAGGGAGCCCCCTGCACGGCAAGGTGGTAGCCGAGTACTCCAGAGAAGAGGACCTGGGCTCTGCCCAGTCCTAGAGCGTCAGATGGTGACACTCTGATGCTAAGGCACACTCATTTTATTATTTCTAACGTCAGGGTGCGCCTTATAATCAACAAACCACAAAGGAGATCATAAGCCACACTCACGAGAATTAAGAAGTTAATTGAAAAATATTCCTTGTCCTTGCTCATTGTGGCTCAGCGGGTCAGACTCACCCTGCAAACACAATCACTAGAAAAGGTGCATCTCCAAGGGAAACGCCAACCTTTCCTATCACTCCACGGCCCCAGAGAAAGCCCAAATACAAACACAACCAGGCCCGCCAGGCCTCTCTCCAGTTCCTGACCAGCAACTCTAGATCCCCGGGCGGGGTTCAGCTGCCCTTCCCGACTGCCACTCAGAATAACGAACAAAGCCTGCCGACCCGCCTGAACATGGCAGGGGAACGGCGGTTCCGTCTGTGTAAGACACGCTGCTGCCTCGCAGTGTTTCCGGAATTGGTGAATTTTTGGTCTCACTAACTTCAAGAATGAAGCCGCAGACCGTCGCGGTGAGTGTTACAGCTTTTAAGGTGGTGCGTCTGGAGTCTGTCCCTTCAGATGTTCAGATGTGTTCGGAGTTTTTTCCTCTTGGTGGGTTCGTGGTCTCGCTGGCTCAGGAGTGAAGCTGCAGACCTTCGCGGTGAGTGTCACAGCTCTTAAGACAGCCCGTCTGTAATTACTCGTTTTTCCCTATGGGCTCGTGGTCTGGCTGGGCTCAGGACTGAAGCTACGGATCTTTGCGGTGAGTGTTACAGCTCATAAAAACAGCGTGGACCCAAACAGTAACAAAATTTATTGCGAAGAGCTAAAGAACAAAGCTTTCACAGCGCGGAAAGGAACCCGAGCGGGTTGTCCATACTGGTTTGGGCAGCCTGCTTTTATTCTCTTATCTGGCCCCACCCACATCCTGCTGATTGGTAGAGCCGAGTGGCCTGTTTTGTCAGGGCGCTGATTGGTGCGTTTACAATCCCTGAGCTAGATATGAAGGTTCTCCACGTCCCCATCAGATTAGTTAGATGCAGAGTTTCGACACACAGGTTCTCCAAGGCCCCACCAGAGCAGCTAGATAGAGAGTGTCGATTGGTGCATTCACAAACCTTGAGCTAAACACAGGGTGCTGATTGGTGTGTTTACAAACCTTGAGCTAGATACACAGTGCCGATTGGTGTATTTACAATCCCCGAGCTAGACATAAAGGTTCTCCAAGGCCCCACCAGAGCAGCTAGATACACAGTGTCGATTGGTGCACTCACAAACCTTGAGCTAAACACAGGGTGCTGATTGGTGTATTTACAATCCCTGAGCTAGACATAAAGGCTCTCCACGTCCCCACCAGACTCAGGAGCCCAGCTGGCTTCACCTAGTAGATCCCGCACCGGGGCTGCAGGTGAAGCTGCCTGCCAGTCCCGTGCAGTGCGCTTGCACTCCTCAGCCCTTGGGTGGTCGATGGGACTGGGCGCCGTGGAGCAGGGGGCGGCGCTCGTCGGGGAGGCTCGGGCAGCACAGGAGCCCATGGAGGGGGTGGGAGGCTCAGGCATGGCAGGCTGCAGGTCCCGAGCCCTGCCCCGCGGGAAGGCAGCTAAGGCTCGGTGAGAAATCAAGTGCAGCGCCGGTGGGCTGGCACTGCTGGGGGACCCAGTACACCCTCCGCAGCCACTGGCCCGGGTGCTAAGTCATTGCGCGGGGCCGGCAGGGCTGGCCGGCTGCTCCAAGTGCCGGCCCGCCAAGCCCACGCCCACCTGGAACTCCAGCTGGCCCGCAAGCGCCGCACGCAGTCCGGGTTCCGGCTCGCGCCTCTCCCTCCACACCTCCCTGCAAGCTGAGGGAGTGGGCTCCAGCCTTGGCCAGCCCAGAAAGGGGCTCCCACAGTGCAGTGGTGGGCTGAAGGGCTCCTCAAATGCCGCCAAAGTGGGAGCCCAGGCAGAGGAGGTGCCAAGAGCAAGCGAGGGCTCTGAGGACTGCCAGCACGCTGTCTCCTCTCAGCAGAAGCCTCGGCAGGGCGCTGGGCTGCAGAGTACCGTGCACAACTAGGGCACCTCCCTCCCTCCCCCGCCAACACACACACACACAGCCACAAAAGCACAGCCCCAGGCCAGGAGCACACAACTGCCCTCAAATGCCCTCACCAGCCTCTAAGGGGAGGCCACGTCCACGTGACTTCAAACAACACTAGACTAGGATGCAACCAGGAAGCTGAGTCAGGGCTACACACCTCCTACGCCCCCATCTGTGTCCTCCCCAAACCCAGTCAACACAGGGGCGCACAGGGGCTGGCCGGGACCTTTGGGTATACAGCTGCAACCTCTGGAGGGCGTTTACACCGTGAGCTACGAGTACTTATTGGGGTTCAGCTGGAAGGTGGCTCCCTCTGACCATCTCCCCAGGACACACACGAGCTTTCTGCCATTCTCTCTGACGGGGCAGGCCTGCTTGGCATGGGAAGTCTCTGCAGATAAGGCCTTCTGCAGTGACGTGAGAGCTCAGTGGCCTAGAGGAAGCTAACCTCCAGCACTACCCAGCCACAGAGCAAGGGGCTCTTTTCAAACTGATTTCTTACCCTTCCTAGTGCCTCAAACTAGATCCTGTTCAGACATGTTATAATAAAGTTAGTAAGAATTTATTTTGGGGCCAAAATTTTTTTAATCCATGCATAGTTTTTTTCATAATATGCATTTTTCATACACTTTTTAAGACCCTCTCGTATATGTCGGACTCTAGTCTGAGTCTGAAAGCCTTAGAACCAGGAGATCCAATGGTATAAGTTTTATTCTGACTCTATGGGTCCAAAACCAGAAGAATAATATCTTAGCTCAAAGACAGAGTGTAAATTTTCCCTTACTTGGCCTTTTACTCTAGTCAGCCCTTCCATGGATTGGATGAGCCCCACTCACCCTGGGGAGGACAATCGGCATTACTTAGTTTACCAATTCAAATGTTAATCTCATCCAAAAACACCTTCACAGGTATATCCAGAATAATGTTTAACCAAATATTTTGGCATTCCATGGCCCAGTCAAATTGGCACATAAAATTAACTGTCACAAGTCCACCCCTTGTCAACTTGACACCCAAATGTATCTTCTGAAACCATTCTTATTCTCCAAATAAAAACAATGACAAGGTCATAATTCCACCCAACGTGATACAATCATTCTACATACAACTGAAAAGGCACTACCTCTTCCCCAGAAGAGAAGGCGAAGTCCTTAAATAATGTTTGTTCTTCTCCTTGATATCTCATAACTTAAACACTATGATGTAAAATTTAAAATAGTTAAATACTATGATATAGAGTCAATACATTTTATGTTACAAAACAGGAAGTAAGAGAGGAAAGAAAACAAGGATATTTTATATATATTCATTACAAAACAAGGAGAGTACATCCGAGACCAGCCTGGGCAAAATGGTGATACACCATTTCTATTAATAACAATTAATTTAAAAATTAAAAATAAATTTTAAAAAAACGAGAAGTACTTATGATAATTACAGTCTTCATTTCTGTAAGTGATCATGTGGTCATAGCTGATATTTATAACTGCCTTTTTCCACTACCCATTCTGTATGTCCTTTGCCTTCAGCAAGCACCTCACTCAGCTGGTTGTGGTTCTTTATCTGGTAGAGTGAACCAAACCTTCATTCCTGCAGGGACTGGGCCATTAGTAGTCCTGCCTGGATTGGGCTGTTGTAGTTTTCCATTGACATTAATCACAGGCATGACAATACTAAGAGATGCTCTCAGGGGTCTCCTGTATTCCAGGCATGTTCCTCCTTACCTTCATTGTGAAGAGGCAGTCCAATTTCCCCTTGGTAGACAGGATCAATCACCAACCAGCCCAGTAATTCCCTTCTTTGCCTGTTGATTCAGAGGTATAAGGAGGGTGAAGTGACTGGGTGGCAGTCTTAAGATCCAGTTCAATTGAATCATTGCTGTCTCTTGGTGGGAGAATTATTCCCATTGGAACTAAGACCAGTAGACTGGCATAGCATAAGGTTTCAGAAACAGGAAGCAAAAATCCTGCTAGTGGGTCACTAGAGATAATAGTGAGTGGTGCTGCTCCCTTTTCCACCCCTTGATTCCTGAACCAGTGAATCTTGGCTATGGGAGAAACAGCACCATATGATGGATGCTGATTCAGAGCACATTTAGCCCCCTGGAGAACATATTGCTGCAGCCCTGCAATATATTGCCATCTAGCTGGTGCTGTAACTGCATCTTCAAATAATCCTATCATCTTATCAAGCCCATTGGTTCATGAAACATGGTAAGACCAGTGAATTCCATGAGGATGGGCTCACTGCTACACTTCTTTTGCTGAGAAGTGAGTTCCTAAATCAGAAGCAATGCTGAGTGGAATATCATGACAATGGATAAAGCATTCTATAAGTCCACAAATGGTAATTTTGGCAGAAGCTGTGTATGTAAGGATGGAAAATTGTTATCCAGAGTAAATTTCTGTTCCAATGAGAACAAAATACTGCTTCTTCCAAGATGAAAATAGTCTAATGTAATCAATCTGCCATCAGGTAGCTGGCTGATCATGCTGGGAAATGAGGCCATATCAGGGACTCTGTGTTGGTCTCTGCTGCTGGCAGATAGGGCATTCAGCAGTGGCTGTAGCCAGGTCAGCCTTGGTGAGTGGAAGTCCATGTTACTAAGCCCATGCATAATGTCCATCCTGGCCACCATGGCCACTTTATTCATGAGCCCACTGGGCAACGGCAGGGGTTCCTAGAGAATAAGGCTAACTGGTATCTACAGAATGGGTTATCCAATCAATTTATTATTTTAATAGATAACTTCTGAGATTACCCTCTAGTAAGCATTCACATGGGACACAAATATCTTTATTTTCCCATTCAAGATGTCTATCCATATACCTCTTCCCCAAATTTCCTTGTCACCAATTATCCAATCATGTTCCTTCCAAGTCCCTGATCATCCATCCAAACCATTGACCACAGAACATGAATCAGAATATACTTGCACATCTGGTGTCTATCTTTTCAAGAAAAGTGAACGGACTTAAACTGCTTAAACTTCTGCCCACTGGGCCACGTGCATGGTGCAAGCCTGTAATCCCAGCAACTCAGAACGGTGAGGCAGAGGATTGCTTGAGCCCAGGAGCTCAAGACCACCCTACGAACATAGCTGACACTGACCCTATAAATTTTATAAAAGTAACCAAGGAAGAAGATAGGGGATAAATGAAAATTAACCCAGCTTGCAGCACACTCAGCATTGATCAATAGGTCAGCCTGCTCCCTGATCTGCTTCTTCATGGTTGTTTGGTGCCTATTGTCCTAAAATCATGTAGACCTTAAATTATTCCCCTAAACTATCCTATAGATAACACCTAAATATTATGAAACATTAAGATTTCCCTTTGAGCTAGGTGAGGCGGTTTGTGCCTGTCATCCTAGCACTTTGGGAGGCTGAGGTGGAAGGATTGCTTGAGCCCTGGACTTTGAGACCAGCCTGAACAATATAGTGAGACCTTGTCTCTAAAATTAAAAAAATTAAAAAAATAAAAAAAATTCCCTTTGAGATGGTCCTTCAGGTCCTGCATTCTGAGGAAACTATTCAGCTGAGAACCCCATGGCCACCAGCTGATCTGAAAGATTCCACTGACTAACTTGGTCTGAAGGGTCCCACTAACTCAACTGGTCTGAAGAATGCCATTCATTCAACTGGTCTAAAGGACCCACTGACTCCAGTGGATCTGAAGGACCCTACTGATACTAGCTGATCTGAAGGATCCCACTGACACCAGCTGATCTGAAGGACCCCACTGACACCAACTGATCTGAAAGATCCCACCGACTAAGCTAGTCTGAAGGGACCCACTGACTCAGCTGATCTGAAGAACCCCACTGACTTAGCTGATCTGAAGAACCCCACTGACTTAGCTGATCTGAAGGACCCAATTGATACCAGCTGATCTGAAGGACGCCACTGACTTCAGCTGATCTGAAGAACCCCACTGACACCAGTTGATTGGAACGATCCCACTGACTCAGCTAGTCTGAAAGATCCCACTGACTCAGCTGATCTGAAGGACTCCTCTGACTCCAGCTGATCTGAAGGACTCCACTGACTCCAGCTGATCTGAAGGACCCCACAGACACCAGCTGATCTGAAGAACCCCACTGACTTGACTGGTCTAATAGACCCCAGTAACTGAGCTGGTCTGAAGGACCCAACTGACAGCAGCTGATCTAAAGGACCCCACTGACACCAGCTGATCTGAAGGACCCCAGCTGGTCTGACTCAGCTGGTCTGAAAGACCCAATTGATACCAGCTGATCTGAAGGACCCCACTGACTCAACTAATCTGAAGAACCCCATAATGCCAGCTGATCTGAAGGGACCCACTGACACTAGCTGGTCTAAAGGACCCCACCGACACCAGCTGGTCTGAAGGACCCCATGAGGAGCTGACTCACCAAAGAATGCAGTTTCCACGTCCTGATTATTTTATCTCTCTTGTGCTGCCCAATCAACGATCCCAATTCTCCAGCCTCTCATCCTCCACAATCCCCTTAAAAACCCCAGCTCAGAACTCCTAGAGGACATGAAGTTGAGAATCTCCTCCCAGCTCCGCATCTGGCTGCCCATGATAATTAAATGTTTTCTCTTCTGCATCCCTGCTGTCTCACTGTAATTGGTCTATTACTGTGCAGGAGGCATATGAACCTGTTGGTCATGTAACAAAGTGAGATCCCATCTCTTTTTATTTCTTTTTTAGATTTTGTTAAACCATGGCATTTATTGACAAATAATAATAGTGACAATAATAGTGAAAAATCATTGAAATTCTTCAGATAAACTAGTTGCTGCAATAGCTGCTCTCTTGGGTTTAGGTGGTGTTCCTCCACAGAATCCATGCTTGAATCTGTGGTATACAATTTTCAGGTGCTTCATGCAATCAGTCCTGGTGGTATTTTGTCTTTTAGCCTTTGCACTCCAGTTACACTTTCTCTTGCACTTGGCAGGGTAGTCATAGTTGTCACAAGTAGACTTCTGAAGGTGCTAGGCCTTAGAGCCATGGCAGTGGCACAACATGTGTGTCTTATTGCAATGCTTTCAAAACAATGACGTTCCCTTCATCATCTCACTTCTGCAGGCTAGACCAAAGAGACTGGAGACCTTGTCTCTTAATAAAAAATTTAAAAATATAAGTTATGTCCACTGAGAGTGCTTTCCTTCATCACTGTCCTTCAGGGATGTCACAGAAAGGGGCTGTAGTGCTGCAGCACTCTTGGGTGGTGCATATGTTCATGCAGAACCAGGCCTAAGTCTTCCCTTCTGTCAACTGATCACAGGCAACTCCCCATTAAGTCACAGGGGCAATCTAGGAGACAAATGTAGTGTAGCAGTGATGGTGGCATTGGCCTGTCTGGAGCAGCCACTGTGGGAATGCTAGCTGCAGTGGGAAAGGTGAGTCCAGGGCTGCGCACACTGTGAAGCCAGTGGGGGCTAGAAACATGCAGGAGCCCCGCCCCCTACTGAGTTGGCAGGGCAGGAGCCCTGGACTCCTGGGTGCAGCTACAGCCACCCAGCCATGGCTCTGGACCAGGGCATCCCTGTCCTCTCAGTGGGCCAGGAAGCCACTATGCTCCTTCAGGCTCAGAAGTGTCTGCTCTTGCTCCCTGGCCTCTCCCCTCTCCCAGCACACGCTCCAATTTTGGAGCAAAGTTGAAGCTGAGCCTGGTGTTGTCACAACCCTGTGGGTGTGCACATGATCAGGGCACCACCAACGTGCCAGCCCCTCCTGCTTCAGTTCTCTCCAGACTTTTGGGCACCAGTGAGCACAGGAGGGAGACCAAGGTGGGGGCGCCAAGGGAAGCTCGGTACAGGCCTCCGGGCACCCCTTGGTACAAATAGCCTGGGTGGCACGTTGATGGTGGCAGGAGGCAGACAGGCTCCTGGGTGAAAAGGGGTGGGTCTCTGATGAAACCCCACCTTCAGGCCAGGGATGTCCTGAAGCCAGGCTGCCAGTTCTGGGTGGAGTCCATGCCCTGGAGTGAGAACTTATGGTGCTTTTTCCAGGCCCACCCATAGCCACCCATGGACAAATCAGCACATATTTCCTCCCTTCTGAGCCCATAAAACCTGGACTCAGCCAGATGTGAATAGGTGTTGGGACTACCAGTTGCAGAAAGGGGCTACCCACTACAGGTCTCCTTTCTGCTGAGAGCTGGACAGCCATTGGGCCAACCTACCTGCAGAAAGGAGCTACCCACCATGGGTCTCCTCTCCACTGAGAGCTGGACACTCATCAGGATGACCCACCCACCTGTGGAAAGGAGCTACCCACTACAGGTCTCCTGAGAGCTGTTCTATCACTCAATGAAGCTCCTCTCCACCTTGCTCACCCTCCAGTTGTCTGCATACCTCATTTTTCCTGGATGCGGGACAAGAACTCAGGACCTGCTGAATGGTGGGACTGAAAGGGCTGTAACACAAAGAGGCCTGAAACATGGTCCCCTGCTTGCCACATTGTGGGTGACAAGAAGGAGAGAAGAGCTGTGGGGCCCTCCAGGGAGCCCAGACCTAGGGGCTCCATGAGCCAGGGCTGTGACACCCTCTTTGGGGCTCTACGGTTCCTGGCGTCTCCAAGCTTCTGGGCACCACCATGTTCCCCTTGTCCAGACACGTGTGGTATAGCTGGTCCAGCTGCAGCCTTGCATGGAGCCAGCATCTAAAGCTGCCACCTGCCCTGCCGCAGCAACCTGCATGCCTGACTGTGTGCAGTGGCTAGACCCCACACTCACTCGCTCACATACCCCTTGCCACTCTGCACCTGGCTCACCCTTGGCAGGTGTGGGATCCGGGCCAGTAGTGTGAGCTGACCACAACCTGCCAGGCCAAGTGGGCAGAACAAGCCCAGTGGGCATGAGCAGTACTCGGGCAGAAGGCACCACCAGCCACAGAGGTTTCCAGTGGGCAAAGTGACACCCCAAGGATCCCGTGACAACAGGAGGCGCGACAGTGGACATTTGGGCCACTTCTTTTTTTTTTTTTTTGAGACAGAGTTTCACTCTTGTTCCCCAGGCTGGGGTGCAATGGTGCGATCTCGGCTCACCAAAACCTCCGCCTCCCGGGTTCAAGCGATTCTCCTGCCTCAGTCTCTCGAGTAGCTGGGATTACAGGCATGCGCCACCACGCCCGGCTAATTTTGTATTTTTAGTAGAGATGGGGTTTCTCCATGTTGGTCAGGCTGGTCTCTAACTCCCAACCTCAGGTGATCCACCCACCTCGGCCTCCCAAAATGCTGGGATTACAGGCGTGAGCCACCGCGCCCGGCCTGCCACTTCTTCATGTAACTTACTTGTGCCTTCATAGCCTGCTCAGCCCAACTGAAGTATATACCACTTCCATTTGATGATGGAGTTCTGCTGTGTATGCCCAACTTTATGGTTTGGTGGGTCAGGCAACACTCAGCTCATGATGGGCAGCTCAGGTTGCATAGTAACTTGGCGGCCCATGGGTAAGTGTTCAGTCTCTATGGAGACTCAGTATCAGGCTGAGAGCTGTTTCTTTTTCTTTTTTTTTTTCCTGCAGTTTAAATTCAGTAAGAGGCCGGGTGCGGTGGCTCACGCCTGTAATCCCAGCACTTTGGGAGGCCGAGGTGGGCGGATCACAAGGTCAGGAGATCGAGACCATCCTGGCTAACACGGTGAAACCTCATCTCTACTGAAAATACAAAAAAAAAAAAAAAATTAGCTGGGCGTGGTGGCGGGCGCCTGTAGTCCCAGCTACTTGGGAGGCTGAGGCAGGAGAATGGCATGAACCCAAGAAGCAGAGCTTGCAGTGAGCCAAGATCGCACCACTGCACTCCAGCCTGGGTGATAGAGCGAGACTCCGTCTTAAAATAAAAATAAAATTAAATAAATAAATAAATAAATAAATTCAGTAAGAGTCGTGTCTTAAAAGCAGAGTAGGCTGGGTGCAGTGGCTCATGCCTGCAATCCCAGCACTTTGGATGGATGAGGCAGGTGGATTATTTGAGCCCAGGAGTTCAAGACCAGCCTGGGCAACATGGCAAAACCCCATCTCTACTAAAAAAAAAAAAAAAAAAAAAAAAAAAATTAACTTAGCATGATAGTGCACGCCTGTAGTCCCAGCTCCTCAATGGGGGGCTGAGGCAGGAGGATCACCTATACCTTGGGAGGTTGAGGCTGCAGTGAACTATGATCACACCACTGCACTCTAGCCTGGAGGACACAGTGAGACTCTGTCTCAAAAAAAAAAAAAAAAAAAAAAAAGCAGAGTAATTATCCACCAAGGCTGGCAGGGCTTTGCTCCAAATCCTAACGATTTGCATTGAGATTCACCTATAGGGGCCTGCCAAAGGCTCCAAACAATATCCCTTTCTCCACTGACACTTCAAGCATCACTGGGTCTGCTAGATCACACGGCCCAAGTGATACAGCAGCTTGCACAGCAGCCTGGACCTGTTGCAAAGCCTTCTCTTGTTCTGGGCTCCCCTAAAAGCTAGCAGCTTTTTGGGTCACTCAGTAAATGGGCTGGAGTGACACACCCAAATGAGGAATATGTTATCTCCAAGATCCAAAGATCACTAGGTGTTGTGCCTCTCTTGGTTGTTGGAGGGGCCAGATGCAACAACTTATCCTTCACTATAGAAGGGATCTCTCAACATGACCCACACCATTGGACCCCTACAAATTTCACTAAAGTAGAGATCCTTAATTTTTTGTCAGATTTATTTCCCACTCTCTGATACACAAATTTCTTATGAATAAGTCTAGAATAGGCTGGGCGTGGTGGCTCACGCCTGTAATCCCAGCACTTTGGGAGGCCAAGGTGGGCAGACCACAAGGTCAGGAGTTCAAGATCAGGCTGGCCAATATGGTGAAACCCCATCTCTACTAAAAATACAAAAATTAGCCGGGCGTGGTGGCGGGCGCCTGTAGTCCCAGTTACTCAGGAGGCTGAGGCAGAAGAATCGCTTGAACCCGGGAGCGGAGGTTGCAGTGAGCCAAGATCGCACCACTGCACTCCAGCCTGGGCGACAAAGCGAGCCACCATCTCAAAAAAAAAAAAAAAGTCTAGAATAGTTGCCACTTCTTGGTCTAGAATAGTTGCCACTTCTTGGTCTAGAATAGTTGCCACTTCTTGGTCTAGAATAGTTGCCACTTCTTGTTCACTAGGTCTGATCAGCATAATGTCATCAGTGTAATGGTGATTGCAATTGGCAATCAATGTGATATCTTGTGGAAGGGAAAGGTAATCAAGATCCCAGAAAACTAAATTATGACATAGAGCTGGGGAGTTGGACAGGCATGGTGGCTTATGCCTATACTCCTAGCACTTTGGGAGTCTGAGCCAGGAGGATCACTTGAGCCCAGGAGTTCAAGACCAGACTGGGCAATATAATGAGACCCCATCTCTACAAAAATAAAAATTAGCCAGGTGTGGTGGTGCATGGTAGTGTATGTCTATAGTCCCAGTTACTCAAGAGGCTGAGGTGGGAGGATCACTTGAGCCCAGGAGGTCAAGACTACAGTGAACCATGATTGTATCACTCCAGTCATGGAGAACCATGATTGTATCACTCCAGTCATGGAGAACCATGATTGTACTCCGGCCTGAGTGACAGAGCAAGACCCTGTCTCAAAAAAAAAAAAAATGAGCTGGAGAGTTGATATACCTCTAAGGTAGGACAGTGAAGGTTTATTTCTGGCTTTGCTGGCTGAACTGAAACTGCTTCCAGTAATTTTTGCTAACAAATATCAAGAAAAAAAGCGGCCAGACATGGTGGCTCACACCTGTAATCCCAGCATTTTGGGAGGCCGAGGCGAGTGGATCACCTGAGGTCAGGAGTTCGAGACCAGCCTGACCAACATGGAGGAACCCTGTCTCTACTAAAAATAGAAAATTAGCTAGGCATGGTGGCACATGCCTGTAATTCCAGCTACTCAGGAGGCTGAAGCAGGAAAATCACTTGAACCTGTGAGGCAGAGGTTGCAGTGAGCCGAGATGTGCCATTGCACTCCATCCTGGGCAACAAGAGGGAAACTCCATCTCAAAAAAAAAAAAAAAACAGACACCAAGTCCAGAAATTAAAGCTATTCAACTCCTCAGGTCCAGAGGCTATTGCAGAAGAGGTGGGCACATGAGATTGTAAGGGCTGCTTTTGAAAGATAAAACAAGTTCAGTTTCTCTATAAATTAATCATGAATGTCAAAGACACACTGATGCAAGACTAGCATATGGGCCCCTGTGTCAGATTAACAAGGTTTTCTTGAAGCATTAACTGACTCCTCAATAAATGTTATAAAGGTTGTAAAAGGCTCATGGAAGTTATATTTTATGGTCAAGATTAAAATTTTATAGATGGTTTATAAAATTTTGAAAACCAAATTTAATTGGCTTCATGCTGTTTTTATTAAGGCTTATCATTTGGAAAATTGTCTCCCCTCTCAAAGAATGAAGGTTTTTACCTTTTTTTTTTTTTTTAATCCTTCAGTTATCACTTTGGTTAAATGTATGACTTATTTTACAATGACCTGTGATCCTATTTTGATATCAAGTGTTGTAAAGCTTTGATATTTGACAAACTTTCCAAAATCAAATGATAAATTATGTCTTTTTCTGACCTAATTATTCCTTTAAGATATTAGTTTCCCTAAATTCTAAAAATGACATAATTTGGTTTATTTGTTACAAAAATGATACAAGAAGCATTGTCAAATATAAAATGGTGTTTGGTTTTCTTTGGACTGTATTTGTATAAATATGATATTGGTATGTGTTCCAAAATTATGGGAAACTCCTGTAATTCTGATATGACTTGGTGTACATTATCAGTAATAATCAAAATCATTATGTTAAAATTATTGTGTACCACAGAAGTAACAAATTTCCTTGTCAATGTGTCTTTGACTATGGCTGCCCTAAAACTTTTTGTCTTCTAGGGACAATTGTAATGTTTTGGTCCTCTTTAGAAGGTGGTTTTATAATCAGCTATAAAACTCTACAGGTGCTCTTGAATGCAGGTTTTTTTATAACTTTGGAGATTGTGACATTGGAATAGAGGAATAACTTTTGGGACTAATGGGGAGCTAAAATGTTCATGAATATCAAGCAGAACAGGAATTAACTGCATGGACTGAACTAATCTTTTTGACTTTTTGTTTAAAATATTGCTGAGGCCGGGCCGGTGGCTCACACCTATAATCCCAGCACTCTGGGAGGCTGAGGAGGGTGGATCACGAGGTCAGGAGATCGAGACCATCCTGGCTAACGCGGTGAAACCCCATCTCTACTAAAAATACAAAAAATTAGCCAGGCGTGGTGGCAGGCGCCTATAGTCCCAGCTACTCAGGAGGCTGCGGCAGGAGAATGGCGTGAACCCGGGAGGCAGAGCTTGCAGTGAGCGGAGATCGCGCCATTGCACTCCAGCCTGGGCGACAGAGCAAGACTCCATCTCAAAAAATAAATAAATAAATAAATAAATACATACATAAAACATTGCTGATCCTGGCCAGGCATGGTGGCTCATGCCCATAATCCCAGCACTTCAGGAGGCTGAGGCAGGTGGATCACCTGAGGTCAGTTGAAGACCAGCCTGGCCAACATGGTGAAATCCCATCTCTACTGAAAATGCAAAAATTAGCCAGGCATGGTGGCAGGTGCCTGTAATCCCAGCTACTTGGGAGGCTGAGGCAGGAGAATTGCTTGAATCCAGGACGCGGAGGATGCAGTGAGCTGAGATTGCACCACTGCACTCCAGCCTGGGTGACAGAGTGAGACTCTCTCAAAAAAAGAAAGAAAGAAAAGAAAAGGGGGTAAATGTGAAAGGAAAATCTTAGGGCCCCAAAATTACTAAGCTAATGAGAAAAGTCAAGTTGGGAACTGCTCAGGGCAAACCTGCCTCCCATTCTATTCAAAGTCATTCCTCTGCTCATGGAGATAGATGCGTATCTGATTGCCTCTTTTGGTAAGGCTTACCATAAACTCAAAAGAATGCAACCATTTGTCTCTTACCTATCTGTGACCTGGAAGCCCTCTCCCTGCTTTGAGCTATCCCCACGTTTCTGGACAGAACCAATGTACTTCTTATATATATTGGTTCTCATGTCTCCCTAAGATGTATAAAACCAAGCTGTGCCCTGACCACGTTGGGCACATGTCGTCAGGACTTCCTGAGGCTGTGTCACGGGTGCGCATCCTCAACCTTAGCAAAATAAATTTTCTAAATTAACTGAGACCATCTCAGATATGTGGGGTTCACACAGCCATGCCCAGCTGTTTTGTTTTTTTGTTTTTTGAGACGGAGTCTCACTCTGTCGCCCAGGCTGGAGTGCAATGGTGCGATCTCGGCTCACTGCAACCACCGCCTCCCGGATTCAAACAATTCTCCTGCCTCAGCCTCCCAAGTAGCTGGGACTACAGGTGACTGCCATCATGCCCGGCTAGTTTTGTTTTTGTTTTTGTTTTTTTGTATTTTTGTAGAGAAGGGGTTTCACCATGTTGGCCAGGCTGGTCTTGAACTCCTGACCTCAGGTGATCCACCCAACTCGGCCCCCCAAAGTGCCAATTACAGGCATGAGCCACTACACCCAGCCCTGTTTTGTTCTTTTAATTTTTGTAGAGAGAGGGTCTCACTATGCTCCCCAGGCTACTCTTGAACTCATGGCCTCAAGCTATTCTCCAACTGGACTTCACAAAGTGCTGGGATAACAAGCATCACCCTCCATGCCCAGCTACAAATTTATCTCTTACAATAATGGTGAAAGATATGTCTTCCGGATCCTTCCAGTGTGGGTGAATAGTTCTTAAATGACAATTCCTCTAAATTTTCAATCTTCCTAAGCCTTTGAGTATCTTCCTCTACATTAAACCAAGGCAGGTTTGGAATTTCTGATTTACTCATTATGACCCACCTTTGGTCCATGTCTCAGCCAAATAGCTAGACAAATTGTTAGAGCTCTTCCTAACTCTCTGAGCTGCAACATTAAATGTAGAACCTCTATTTAGTAAGCCCATATAAATTTGGCCAGATCTAGTTTTATGTTCCTTCCACCATTATCCCATGCCTTCAATATCCATTCCCATACGTGTTCCCAAAATTTCTGTCTGTATAAATTAGACATCTTAAGCCGTTCTTTTGGAGTGTTGCACACTTCCTCATGGGTCACACTTTGTCCCTCACCTTAGGGGCCTGCTGGGATTTCAGTCTAGTTACAGGTCTAGAAGCAAAGAGGGCAGGTGGGGAAGGGTCCTGAGGAGCATCTGCTTTGTCCTGCATGGCAACTTCCTCAGGGAGGCCATTACAGTTTCGTAGGCAATGCAGGGTTAGTCCTCTCAGGTGGGATGCCTCCACTGGGGATGGGGAGGCCTCTTTCACTAGCAAAGAAGATCAATCAGAATTTAGGGGCTCAATGTCCCCAGCTTCATCAGGTGATGAGGTTCATAAATCTAAAAAAGAGAGCTTTATTTCTCATAAAGGGTTGCAGCCTGCAGGGTGGCCATTCTGACGGGAGGGGAAGCACAGCCTCCAGCCACAAACCAGAAACAGATACTTCAAGGGAGGGCCAAAGGGAAGAGAAATTTATGCTGAGTGGGGTGGCCAAATGTACGTATTTAGTACATTATAGGAGTGATGAGTTTTATGAAAGGAGAAACATACTCATGTGCAATTGAGCTTCATGCTTCTCCACGGGCCCCATGTTCAAAAAATGGTGGCATTAAGATGATCTAAGGTAGAGTTTTTGGCCCTCTGGCATCAAAAGGTGAAGCAGAGAACATGAAAACCCTCACTGCATTCTCTGTAGACTGGTCAGAACCACTTCATATTCAAGAGTCTCTTATCAGGCATAAAAGGAGGAGCAATATCAGACAGTTGGTTGATATCACTGGTAGAGTCTTTTGAAAGGGCTAGTTTCTGTTTAGCCCTTAGGTTAGAAAGCCTAAACCGGTTAGGGAGGGAGGGGTGAGCATAAGGAGGCGTGCCTGACCTCATCCCATCATGACCAAGAACTCAGTTTTCAAGGTTACTCTGGGGTCTGCTTTGCCAGGAGAGGGTCCATTAGGTCAGTTAGTGGGGGCTTCGAATTTTACTTTTAGTTTACAAGGGTATAGCCTAGTACTCCTTGGCTAAAAACTTGCACAGCATGTTATTATAATGAATATTGTGAGCAATAATAATACAATTGTAATAACTATTTGTGTGTATCTAAACACATCTAAACATAGAAAAGGTACAGTACAAATATGGTATAAAAGATTAAAAAGGCTGGGCACGGTGGCTCATGCCTATAATCCCAGCACTTTGGGAGACCAAGGCAGGTGGATCACCTGAGGTCGGGAGTTCAAGACAAGCCTGAACAACATGGAGAAACCGTCTCTACTAAAAATACAAAATTAGCCAGGCGTGGTGGCACAGGCCTGTAATCCCAGCTACTTGGGAGGCTGAGGCAGGAGAATCACTTGAACCCGGGAGGTGGAGGTTGCAGTGAGCTGAGATCGTGCCATTGCACTCCAGCCTGGGCAACAAGAGCAAAACTCCATCTCAATAAAAATTTAAAAAAATTTAAAAATTTAAAAATGGTACAGCCGTATAGGCCATTTACCTGAATGGAGCTTGCAGGACTCGCAGTTGTTCTGGGTTAGTCAGTGAGTGTGAAGAGTGTGAGAGTGAATGTGAAGGCCTAGGACACTGCCATACACTACCATATGTAATTGCCCTGTGGGCTTCTTCCTGCCCGCTGCACAGACAAAATCAATTCACTGAGACCATGGCATTGCATTAGAGAAAGATCTTAATTGATGCAAGGCTGACCATGCCACATGGTACATGAAGCTATTACTCAAATCAATCTCCCTGAAAATTTGGAGGCTAGGATTTTTCAAAGACAGTTTGGTGGGCAGGGGCCTACGGTATAAGTGCTGCTGCTTTGTTGGGGATGCAATCATAGAGGTATGGCAAATGATCCTCATGCCCTGACTCCACCTCTGGGTGGGGTCCATAGGACTGGCTGAGTCACGAGTCCAGCTGGGGTTTGCAGAAATGCCAAAATCTGAAAAGACATCCTAAAAGGTCAATCTTAAGTTCTACAATATGATGTTATCTAGAGGCGTAATTGGGGAAGTTACAAATCTGGTGACCTCCTGAACAACGGTTGGTAATCACTTAATTATGCCTACATTTTAGCGGAATTCAGGGCCCTTTCATAAGCCTAACCTTGCAGCCTTTCATTAGTTTTATAAAGGTGGCTTAGTTTGGGAAAGGGCTATTATCCCTGCTTTAAGTTTAACTATAAACTAAATTTCTCTCAAAGTCAGTTTGGTTTATGCCCAGGAATGACCAAAGATAGCTTGGAGGTTAAAAGCATGAGGGAGGCTGGGCACAGTGGCTCACACCTGTTAATCCCAGCACTTGGGGAGGCTGAGGCGGGCAGATCACTTGAGGTCAGGAGTTCAAGACCAGCCTGACCAACATGGCTAAACCCCATCTCTACTAAAAATACAAAAATTAGCTGGGCATGGTGGTGCATGCCTGTAATCCCAGCTTCTTGGGAGGCTGAGGCACAAGAATTGCTTGAACCTGGGAGGCAGAGGTTGCAGTGAGCTAAGACCACGTGCTTGCACTCCAGCTTGGGTGACAGAGAAAGACTCTCAAAAAAAGCAAGATGAAGTCAACTATATCAGATTTCTCTTACTGTCATAATTTTGTAAAGGCAGTTTAATTGGACTGTATAAACACTATATGCTTAGGCTTCACTGAAGTTATAAATATATATATATAATTTTCTTTTTTTTTTTTCGAGACGGAGTCTTGCTCTGTCACACAGGCTAGAGTACAATGGCGCGATCTCAGCTCACTGCAACCTCTGCCTCCTGGGTTTAGGCAATTCTCCTGCCTCAGCCTTCCAAGTAGCTGGGATTACAGGCACCCACCACCATGCTCGGCTAATTTTTGTATTTTTAGTAGAGTCAGGGTTTCACCACGTTGGCCAGGCTGGTTTCGAACTCCTGACCTCAGGTGATCCGCCCGCCTCAGCCTCTCAAAATACTGGGATTACAGGGGTAAGCCACCATGCCCAGCTTTTTTTTTTTTTTTTTCTGAGACGGAGTTTTGTTCTTGTTGCCCAGGCTGGAGTGCAATGGCATGGTCTCGGCTCGCCGCAACCTCCATGTCAGGCCTCTGAGCCCAAGCCAAGCCATCGCATCCCCTGTGACTTGCACATATACAACCAGATGGCCTGAAGTAACTGAAGATCCACAAAAGAAGTAAAAATAGCCTTAACTGATGACATTCCACCATTGTGATTTGTTCCTGCCCTACCCTAACTGATCAATGTACTTTGTAATCTCCCCCACCCTTAAGAAGGTACTTTGTAATCCCCCCACCCTTAAGAAGGTTCTTTGTAATTCTCCCCACCCTTGAGAATGTACTTTGTGAGATCCACCCCTGCCCACAAAACATTGCTCTTAACTTCACCGCCTATCCCAAAACCTATAAGAACTAATGATAATCCACCACCCTTTGCTGACTCTCTTTTCGGACTCAGCCCGCCTGCACCCAGGGAAATAAACAGCCTTGTTGCTCACACAGAGCCTGTCTGGTGGTCTCTTCACACGGACGCACATGAAACTCCATCTCCCGGGTTCAAGTGATTCTCGTGCCTCAGCCTCCCAAGTAGCTGGGATTACAGGAGCCGGCCATCACGCCTGGCTAATTTTTTTGTATTTTTAGTAGAGACAGGGTTCCACCATGTTGGCCAGGCTGGTCTCTAACTCATGACCTCAGGTGATCCACCCGTCTCAGCCTCCCAAATTGCTGGGATTACAGGCCTATATATATAATTTTTGTTTTTTTTTGCAAGACAGAGTCTCGCTCTGTCTTTCAGGTTGGAGCGCAGTGTCATGATCACGACTCACTACAGCCTCAACCTCCCAGGCTCAAGTGATCCTCCCACCTTAGCTTCCTGAGTAGCTGGGACTACAGGCATGTTCCACCATGCTCATCTAAATTTTATTTTATTTTTTTTGTAGAGACAGGGTCTATGTTGCCCAGGCTGGTCTCCAACTCCTGGGCTCAAGCAATCTTCCCACCTCAACCTCCCTAAGTACTAGGATTACAGGCATGAACCACTGTGCCCGGCCAATATAAGGCATGCAAAACTATACTAATTTTCCTTTCTGGATATATGCTGTATGTAAAGTATTAAAATAGGCATGGGATTGATAAATACCAAAGTCAGCAAAGTGGTGACCTCTGAGAAAGGAAGGAGGGAAATGCCCTCAGGAAGGGATATACCGGCTTTTCAAATGTATAGGTGATGTTTGTTTCTTAACCTGGAGAAGTTATATTATCCTCTACTTTTCCGTGTGAATGAAATATTTTGTTTTTTAAAATCTTGCCCAAAATGGGAGTAGGGGTAGGGAATTTGACAGACCTAGGTTTAAATTCTGTCTGCCGCTTACTTGTAAAGGAACTTACCCAGTTTCTTAATTTCTCCAAGCCTCTGTGTCTGTAAGAGGACATCATCATAATAAATATTCTATTGCGCAGCCAAAGCAAGTGAAATAATACGGATGAAAGTGCTTTATAAAGTGCAAGTGCTACAGAAGTATAAGCTGTAATTTTACAAGAATGCGCCACAAATTATTGTAACTAAGAGTTATTGCAAGAAACTCTTAGCATTCCTTTGTTACATACTCTCACAGAACCTTGACCCTTTCCTTCAGAGCACTTACCTTCTCTTGCAATAACACGTTAATTGATGCTATTATTTGTGCATCCTCCCACTCCGTGGCTCTGGGCTCCTGATTCTATTCCCAAGCCCAGCACAGTCCCTGGCATATGGTAAGTGCTCGACAGATTTTTTTTTTTTTTTTTTTGGCGTAATCTTAACAGGATTACCTGTAGGAAGTGAGAATGAAAAGCAGGGAGGGGAAACAGGACTCTTCTGTTTTACATTTCTATACTGTTATAACTTTTATCATAAACATGTATTACTCAGTGCAAAATTATTTGAATTTTTAATTAAAATAATAAGTGTTAAATAGGCATATCTTAATTTCATCGCCTCTAGGGGGAAGGTCATGTTTTACTACAGGAAACTGCATGGAAAAGGGATCCATGAAATAAAAGGAGCAGACAATGTCTGTTCCTGGGGCACTGGGCTTTCCGCTGAACCTCCGGGAGTGAAGGCGACGAGTCTAACAACCTAAGAATTTAAGAACGGGCCGGGAGGCGCCGTTAGGGGGCGCGCGAAAGGCGGCGCGGGCGTTCCCGCCTCCCCGTTACATGCCCCAGTAACCCCAGCGCCGGCGACCGGGAGTAACCTCGCGCGCGGGCGGCCCCCCCGCGTCCAGACTCTCGCCTGCTCCCGCCTCAGCCAATGGGAAGGCAGCGAACCGGCCGGCCGGACGGTCGCCCCGGAGGGCTCCTCCTGGGAGCATTTCGAACGGAGTTGAACTGTCGCCGGGCCACGGGCTCAGACCTTTCCAATGGCAGCTCTGGGTCCCGACGCCAAGCCCCGCCCAGCCCTGAGCCTCCCCGTGTGCATTCTCGGCAGGAGTCACCTTTGCCTTACAAACCTTCAGACCCGCCCTCTTCCTACCTTGCCGCGCTAGGCCCCGCCCTCTGCGCAGGTCGGCCAATAACGGGGTGAGCTGGCGCCGCGGGGCGGGCCTCCAGCCAATGCGCACGCCGTGGGCGGGCCCCGAGCCGGAATTGGGGGTGAAGCGATAGCGTTTTGCCCGCATTCGGGGCGCGCGGAGCTGGGGGGTCCCTGTGGGGCTCCCGGAGTTAAGATGGCGTCCTCAGCGGAGGGGGACGAGGGGACTGTGGTGGCGCTGGCGGGGGTTCTGCAGTCGGGTTTCCAGGAGCTGAGCCTTAACAAGTTGGCGACGTCCCTGGGCGCGTCAGAACAGGCGCTGCGGCTGATCATCTCCATCTTCCTGGGTAAGGACCCTCCTGCCTCCCTCCGCCCCTCGCGGAGTCCCCGGGGAGTAGGGGAGGAATGGGGACAGGACCTCCCTCTCTTCCCGGAGCCACCCGGGAGGGCTGTGCCGGGTGCGGGTGTGAATCCTGAAGCACACCAACAGCTACTGAGGGAAGACAGAAGTCCTGTCTCGAGTCTGGGGCGCTGTGCCCTCTGAACCTCTTCATCTTTCTCTTCAACCCCTGCCATGCCCTCTGGCCTCTCAGTCGGGCCCCCGCCCTCTTGTGCCAGGCTCTACCCTTGCTCCCACGACCTGTCTTTATTTGTCGCTCTGTTGAGTTCCACTGTCTGGCCATGTGTCCTGCTCTGTCATTAATAACCACCCCGCACACGCGCGCATCTCATCGGTAGGCATAGGGCCCCTAACTTTAGCCCTTTCGGCCTTTTCAGCCCCATATTCCATATTTCATATTCTGAGCGCCTGTTTTGCTTATTGCCAGCTTATATTATACTTTCGTCTCTTTTCTGTCCCAGTCCTACTATTTTCTTTTTATACCATGTTGCTTTTTTTATTTTCCAAGCCACCTACCTGTCATTTACCCTGGAATATCATTTTAATGCTGGACTTGGGAAACAGGACTAACAACCTCCTTAAAATCGATCCATACTATTCCAAGCGTTTATTACACGTGTGGTTCAAAGGATGTGGTGTATCTGAATTTATGCCACAACAAGCTGTATTACAACTGGTTTATAGGCTTTTTTACCGCATCCTCACTCCATGGTTTAATACATGGAGGTAGCATAGTACAATGGAAAAAAGTATGGGTTTTGAAGGCAAACAAATCAGATCCAGCCTTGTTGCTGCTCACAAACTGAAGGACCCTACGCAGGCCGCAAAACCCTCTGGGCCTAATTTCCTTATCTATGAAATGAGGACAACAGTGCCTACCACATAGGATTGCCATAAAGTCCTGTAGAAGGGCCAAGATTGGGAAGTACCTGTACATATATATACATAAAATTTAAGCAGTTGGAACGTTTTATGAAGGTTATAGAACTTTAGGAGCGGGTGAGTGGGAAGGATTAAGCAAAAGCTGTAAGTGGTGATAAGGAAACAGGACTGGGGCTAGAGCAGAGGGTTAGAGGTCTGAACCATGAGAAGTTTGAGATAAAGTTGGGCAGGTGTGGAAAGCCTTAAATGCCAGAGAGAAGTTTGGCGTTTATCCAGTATTCAGTAGAAACACTGATATATAATATCACCAGAGGGTGTTAACCCAATCTAGATAATGGGATAGGCATTAATTCATATTTAAACAACCTTGCCTAATAGCATTGTTACTTTCCTATTACATATCAAACCAAGATCTTCCTTTCTTCCAAATAAAGATCACCTTTTTCTTCCTCTGTGGAATCGTAAGATTTTAAAGATGGAATGGAACTGGGGTTGTGCAGTTTGCTCAGTGTCACCCAGACATCATCCAAATTTATCAGCACCCTAGTCTAGGCTTATTTGCACTACACCAGCTTTGAACTTCCTACTCTTTCATCCTTGTTTCTGACCCAGTTATTTTTGACATTGTAATTAGCAATTAGTGTTTACATTTGACAGGACGCAGCGGCTTATGCTTATAATCGTAACACTTTGGGAGGCCAAGGTGGGAGGAACGCTTGAGGCCAGCCTGGGCAACATTTTATTTGTCTCTACAAAAAATTAGGCCAGGCGCAGGGGCACATGCCTGTAATCCTGGCATTTTGGGAGGCCAAGGTGGGCAGATCGCTTGAGGTCAGGAGTTTGAGACCAGCCTGGCCAACATGGTGAAACCCCATCTCTCCTAAAAGTATAAAAATTAGCTGGGCATGGTGGTGGGCACCTGTAATCCCAGCTACTTGGGAGGCTGAGGCAGGAGAATCACTTGAACCCTGGAGGTGAAGGTTGTAGTGAGCCAAGTTAGCTCTACTGCACTCCAGCCTGGGTGACAGAGCAAGACTCTGTCTCCAAAAAAAAAAAAAAAATTAATAAAAAAATGAGCTGGGCGTGGTGGCTCATGCCATGCCTGTGGTCCCAGCTACTCCCGAGATTGAGGTGGGAGGATCACTTGGGCCTGGAAGTTTGAGGCTACAGTGAGCCGTGGCACCACTGCACTCCAGCCTGAAGGATAGAGCAAGACCCTGTCTCAAAAAAAAAAAAAAATTGTATTACATTCATTAGTTAGGAAACTGTTGGTTTCTCAACAATAAATTCAGAATGTAACACAAGTAGCAACCAGTTATAAGGGGCAATCTGTTAAATGGAGTTAGGGCTGGAATTAGGACTTGGAATTCAACTTTTGTTTGTTGACATAAAGAATTCAACTTTTGTTTGTTGACATAATCACATATTGCCTGTGCACTCCTGCTGGGCTATTGCTGTGTACTGTCACGGGGCATACAGATGACTAGGAAATTGTTTTCTCCATATCCCACTCCTCTTCTCTCATCTTCTCTCATTACCACCAATCATCAAAGTAATAAACACTTGGTGTAATGCATCTACCACACTCCCGAGCCCCCTTGCTCATTCTACCATTTCCCACACCCTGCCTTCCTATCTCACATACCCTGTTGCCTTCAGTAATTCATAGTATTTCTCATTTTTAGATCAACTTGGGGCTTCAACTTGCCTCCTATCAGGTATAGCTCATCATGTGGACGGGTAGGATTGTATTCCTAGTAGGCACAGTTTAAATACATACATATAAATATAAATTGATTAAGCTTGATGTGTGCGTGGTAGGAGTGCATTTTGGTTGTAAATATGTTTCCCTTACAAAGGTTATTACCATTTCTGTGTATTGTAACCTAGAAACCAGTAGCCTTTCAGCAGTGGAGTTCCTGGTTCTTGAACCCAGCTCTCTCAGGGAACTGGGATACTGGAGGAAATCCTTGCTGGAGGTACCAAGAAAGCCTGTAGTCCAAAATGATTTCTGGTTCACTTTCCACTGATTAGATTAATTCAGGTTAAAAACACCTCCCTAAATGCAAATACCCCAAGGGAAGAGTTAGGTATATCATTCACATTTTCAAGTGTACGTTTTAATCAGATAGTCTAATTACTATTTTCTTAACATCTTACTTTTTTTACTTCAGTTCTGTGTGCTGATCTTGGGGTGGAATGCAGAGCATTAAAGCACTGGCTTTTAAACCTTTTTGACTAAGATCCATCGTAAGAAATATGTTTTACATTGTGACCCAGAACACACAGACTTGTATGTGTATACACGTATTTGAAACAAGTTTCAGGAAAGAATACTTGCCCTTAATAATAACTCACTAAGTTGATTTCATGACTTGTTAATGAGTTACAACAGTTTGAAAAATCTTGAGTTAGAGGCTGCAATTTTTTTTTTTTTTTTTTTTTTGAGACGGAGTCTCGCTCTGTCACCCACACTGGAGTGCAGTGGCTCGATGTCGGCTCATTGCAACCTCCGCCTCCCAGGTTCAAGCAGTTCTCCTCCTCAGCCTCCTGAGTAGCTAGGACTATGGTGCACGCCATCATACCCGGCTAATTTTTGTGTTTTTAGTAGAGACGGGGTTTCACCATGTTGGCTAGGATGGTCTCAATCTACTGACGTCGTGATCCACCTGCCTCGGCCTCCCAAAGTGCTGGAATTACAGGCGTGAAATTACAGGCATGAGCCACCGCGCCCAGCCGAGGCTGCAATTTTTAATATTCAATACTTCAAAGAAAAAGTAAGCTTATGTGGACTGCTGCACTGGAGTATTTTGAGCAGTCAGAAGACTGTAAAAGGAGTGTGTTTATGTTTGTGTGGTGTATGCTTGCAAGGAGTTTGATGGAAGGATGCTGAAGAGGAATTTTGCCATGAGCCCTGGTGCTGGCAAATACTACCAGAAAA
Organism: Homo sapiens; assembly: GCF_000001405.40. Lineage (NCBI taxonomy): Eukaryota > Metazoa > Chordata > Mammalia > Primates > Hominidae > Homo > Homo sapiens. The sequence continues at coordinate 7,014,397 of NC_000012.12, read as the reverse complement.
CATCTCCCCTTCAACAGCTTGGATCTCATCACTCCTTAATGTAACTAATACCATGAATTGCTCATATAAATTCAGTAACATGCACCTACTACAGGTAAAGCAGTATTCTTAACCCTGCAAGGGCAGGAGCAGTGGGTGTAGTATGAGTCAGGAGCCCTGCACTCAAAGGTATTATGGTCTGTTAGGGTATAGGAAATGGGCCTGAGATAAGTATACTAATAACCCCAATAAATTTTAAGCACCATAAGAGAGGTACAGAGCTTTGTGAGATTTAAAGATGGGACATTTCATTTAAAGATGAGTAAGGTTTCAGCATGCTGAGATGGTAAGACTTAAGGAATAGCATGAGCAGAGGCACTGAGGTGTGAATGTGGCAACACAGCCAAGGAACAGTCAGTAGTCTAGTGTGACTAAAACAGGACTTTAAAGAAGTGATGGAAAATCAGGCTGGAACTGTAGGTTAAAGAGCCTTTAAAGCCAAGGTAAAGAGTTAGTACTCACGTAGGTGATAGGGAACATTGGAGATTTTTGAGTGGGGAATAATATGGCTGGAGCTGTATTTAAAAAGATAATACAGCCTGGGGTGATTTGAAGTCAGCATAGACAAGTAGTAGGGAAACTAAGGAGAAAGAAGTGATCTAGAGAGGAAGTTATAATGACTTGGAGGCAGGGTGGCTGTGCTGAGAGGAGAAAGTGGGCATCTCCTGTGAGATGGTCTAGGAATACCGGAACCTTTTGAAAGGTAGATTCTGTAGACACAGTCATCTACACAGCTGCTCATGCCTGAAACCCAAGAATCAGCTTTGTTGCCTTTCTTCACTCACTCCCCACATCCCAGTCACCCAATCCTATCAATACAACCTCTGGATTGTGTCTCAGATCCATCTACTATTCTCCATCACCACAGCCACTAACCATCTGTCACCAGCACCACCCAAGTAGCCTCCTGACTAGTCTCTAATTCTGTTCTTGCCCCCTCAGTCCACTCTCCAAAAGCAGCCAGAGTGATCCGATCCTGTGCCTCTCCTGCTCAGAACCCTTCAGGGGCTTCCATACCTGGCTGGTAAGCCCCTGCCTGCTGCCCCAGCCTCGTCCCAAGCAAGCTGACAACCTTTTAGCCACATGGCCTTTGTTCAGTTCCTCAGGAAAGGCATGAAGGCTTCCCTACCTCAGAGCCTTTGCACACGCTTACCTGCTGCCTGGAGTGCCCTTCAGTCACCTGACAAACTCCTTTTCATCTTCCTCTGAGTTCTTTCCTGACTCTCATGTTCAATTATGTCCCCTGTTACACTTTCTCATACTGACCGGAATTTCCTTCCAAGTATATATTACACTTTGTAATTATATATTTGTAGATGAGGACAGAAACCATGGAAGTTTTGTTTACCACAGTGTACCCAGAGTTTAACACATTACTTGGCTTGTAGAAAAGGCTCGATAAATACTTGAATAGGTGAATGTATGAATGAATGACTTGGCAACTTATTAGCTGGAGGATAAAGTCGTAATTTTAAAAAGACTCCATCCTCCTGCCTGAGTAGCTGGAAAGATAAGGGTATCTTTGACCAATGCCAGAGATCAAGTGGAGGATCAGATACTCTTAAGTGCCAGGAAATGATCTGGTTTGGGGTTCACTTTAGGTTCCAAGGGCACTTCCAGGTATCTTGGGAGTTGTGAAGCCTGGTCTTGAGCTCAGGAAAGAAGCTGGGCTAAAGACAGAGTTTTAGGAGACAGTATTGGTATCATAACTGACTCAGGGAGGGAATGAAATGCCATGGAAAAGGTTATACAGAGAAGAGGATCTTATTCACGTTGATTGGGTATGTTAATGTTGCTACCCCTTGATAATAGTAATAGCTGGCATTTATTAAGGATTTTCTGTGTACCAGACATTGTCCTAAATGGTCAACAGGCAGTTCCCCACCTAAACCTGCCAGTTACCCGTGAGGTAATTATAGTGCTGTTAAGATCTCCTGGTACAGATAGGAAAGTCAGCCCTACAAAGATTGAGTAAGTCACACTGAGTTCTGCCTGACTCCAGAGTTCCTGCTCTTTACCGCTGAGATTGGGAGGAGCATGTGGGGCTGGAAAAGATAAATGCCCTTGGTGTCCTTTTCTCTTTTCACTCTCAGTGGTTAAACCAAGATGCAATCAGTATATGAGCCACCTCTCAGTGTCCAAAGCTAGAGCTGGCCAAATGGAGCAGATGGCCACCCTGCTTACTGTGAGTGTTCCCTAGTCTTGGCCATGATGGTGGCTTGGCTGTTAGACTGATCAAAAATTGCAGCTGGGGGTAACAATTCATCCCTCAGAGGTTCAGAATTAGCATCACTAAAGTTAGCGACCTTTAAAATCAAAGGAGGTCCTGCAGTTTAGTTCCCTTTGGACCAAAGTCAGGTCTGGCCCTTCAGAAAAAAATCCATTATTCAGTGCAGAAAGCTTTCTTCAGGTAGCACTGGAATCACAATATAAAGAGACCAAAGGTAAGCTAGATGAAAATTAAGCAGCATTAATGAAACAAAGAGACTTCTGACCATAATACAAAGCAGGGTCCAAAAATTCTACTGCTATAAAATAGGGAGACTGTCCTAAATGACTTTCAAGGACCCTTCCAATTTTAAAAGTCTAGGTATATTACTTCTACATGTTTAGACTTTATTCTAGTTCATAGCCACAAATTTCATCATAATCTAAACCTTCCCGTTTGGGAATTTCTTTTTCTTTCTTTCTTTTTTTTTTTTTTTTTTTTTGAGACATGGTGTTACTCTGTCATTCAGGCTGGAGTGCAGTGGTGCAATCTCAGCTCACTGCAACGTCTGCTTCCCAGATCAAGCAATTCTCTAGCCTCAGCCTCCTGAGTAGCTGGAACTACAGGCGTGAGCCACCATGCCTGGCTAATTTTTTCTGTATTTTTTGTAGAAACAGGGTTTTACCGTGTTGCCCAGGGTGGTCTCAAACTCCTGAGCTCAAGCAATCCACCAGCCTCAGCCTCCCAAAGTGCTGAGATTACAGGCATAAGCCATTGCCCCTGGCCAAGAATTTCTTTTAAATACAATTTTCCAGGTCAGGCACGGTGGCTTACGCCTGTAACCCCAGCACTTTGGGAGGCCAAAGCAAGAGGATCACTTGAGTCCGGGAGTTCAAGACCAGCCTGGGCAACATAGTGATACCTCATCTCTACAAAAAGTGAACAAAATTAACTGGGCTGGGTGGCATATGTCTGTAGTCCCTGCTGCTTGGGAGGCTGAGGTGGAAGGATCACTGGAGCCCGGGGTCCTCCGCTCAACTCAGGACGTTGAGGCTGCATTGAGCCAAGATCATACCTCTACACTCCAGCATGGGCAAAAGAGCAAGATTCTGTCTCAAAAATAAATAAATAAATTTTGTTTTTAATTAGCCAGGCATGATGGCATGCACCTGTAGTCCCAGCTATTCAGGAGACCAAGGTGGGAGGATCATTTGAGCCCAGGAATTTGAGACTGCAGTGAACTATGATGATGCCACTGCATTCCAACCTAGATGACAGAAGGAGACCTCATCTCTAAAAATAAATATATATATTTTTTCCAACCACTTTTTATCTATACCCCAATGTCTTACATTCCATAAAACATCATGTTTTGAATTCCAGTATAACTTTATCGTTAAACATGTTTCTTTGCAGAAGCATGTATAAGTTAGGGTCCACAAGATTATTTGCATAAGCTAATTTACAAAAAAAATTATATAATCACTGACATGAAAGCATGTCTGGGCAGCCATGGGAGCTCATATGAGGCGTCCAGTTCAGTCGCCTTTTAAAAATGATATTTGCATTAGCTGGGCATGGTAGCATGTGTCTGTAGTCCCAGCTACTCAGGGGACTGAAGTGAGAGGATGCACCAGAGCCCCAGAAGTCAAGGCTGCAGTGAGCCATGATCACATCACTGCACCAGCCTGGGCAACAGGAGTGAGGCCTTGTCTCAGTCAGTCAATCAATCAATCAATAATGGTATTTGGTCTTCTGAAAGAAAGTGACATTTTAGCTGGGCCTTAAAGGGGATGGTAAGATTCTAGTAAAGTAGAGATGAAAGCGGAGGAGCTTTCCAGCTACAAAGAGTAATCTGGAGATCAGGAAGAGTAAGACCCTGTCTGTCCCTGAATCTAAGGAAAAAGAAAAAAAAATTTTGAGAAAAATCTGAGGAACAGCAAGTAGTCCTCTTTAACCAGAACAATAGAAGATCGTAAAAGAGCAGTAGAGAAAAACATGATAGGCCTTTTATGTAGGTGGAGGTCAATGACAGAGTAAGGTAGTAACATGTGCATTGTCTTTAGAGATCTTCTGGCCTAGGTTCAAATGCTGGATCAAATAAATATGTACTAGCTGTTTCACCATAAGCTCATTACCAGAGTTCAACCACCCATTTCTTTATATTCCCACAGGCCAATTTTACTAAAGAATTGCAATGAAGAGTTAAGCAATTTATCTGATAAATATTTTTAGATTTATATTTCATTCATAACTAGCAGCAGTATTTTGAAACAGAATACAAAATTTATATGAATTTTTAAAGTAATACAGTCATCAAAGAAATTTTCTATTTCTAGAAGACTGCTTAGGCATACTCTTTTGTGATGTGTTCATTCTCCTTTGGCCTGGAAAAGTTTGAGAACTGTTGCTCATTGGGATGTTGTAAGGACTAAATAAGATAAACTATGTAAACACTTAACCATGCTTGACCCAAGATCATCTTAAATAATTGTTCTTCCCTTCCCTGTCAATAAATATTTATTTTCTCCCTTTCCAAGGAGACACAAAGTATGGTCTTGTGACCAACAGCATCTGTATCTTATGGGAGCCTGTTAGAAATGCAGATTCTTTGGTCTACTCCAAAACTACTGATTGAGAAACTCTGAGGATAGTGCCCAGTAATCTGTTCTAGCAAGCCAGGTTATACTTATTACTCTAGAGTTTGAGGATTACTAATTTAGCATATTTCTTCCGGTGCCTATTTTGTAGTACTTGATGTCCTGATAGTACCTTTTTGGAATGTCATTGGCCAGGCGCGGTGGCTCACGCCTGTAATCCCAGCACTTTGGGAGGCCGAGGCAGGCAGATCACCTGAGGTCAGGAGTTGGAGACTAGCCTGGCCAACATGGTGAAACCCATTTCTATTAAAAAGATAAAAATTAGCTGGGCATGGTGGCACATGCCTGTAGTCCCAGCTACTTGGGAAGCTGAGACAGGATAATCGCTGGAACCCAGGAGGCAGAGGTTGTAGTGAGCCGAGATTGCACCATGGCACTCCAGCCTGGGTGACAGAAAAAAAAAGAAAGGTCATTGTATCCTGTACTCTTTGGAATAAACAAAACTCTTAGATTCCTTATGGTTTAGTTTTTCCCATTTGTAGGCCTGACAGATAGGAAAGTTGGGCCTACAAAAATTGAGTAACTTGCTTAAAGTCACATTCAGTTCTGCCTGACTCCAGAGTTCCTGCTCTGGATGTTATCTGAGGAATAAAGAGATGTTGTTGTTATTATGTTCACATTGTTATTATGTTCACATTGTTATTATGTTCATTATCATGATCATCACATACACCATCTGTTTCACACTTTTGATAAGAAGGTTAGATACAGAGGAGTTGTGTTTTTTGTTTTTTTTTTGAGATGGAGTCTCACTTTGTTGCCCAGGCTGGAGTGCAGAGGTACAATCTCAGCTCACTGCAACCTCCACCTCCGAGGTTCCAGCAATTCTCCTGCCTCAGCCTCCGGAGTAGCTGGGATTACAGGCGTGAGCCACCACACCCAGAGGAGGAATTTTTTTAATAAGGTTATTGGACTAATGGCTCCATCTTTTTTGTGTTGCATCAACCACCTTAAGCAATATAGCATTCTCCTGATTGATCTCCTTACGTTTCTTAATATAAGTAATAAATTGTGACTTGTAGCTTTAACAAAAATTAGGTTCCCTAGTTGCAGCTGCCAGGGAAAGCTAGTCTAATATCAAAGCAAACCATCCTTCTTCTCAAGCACAGAGTTTTTAAGATAGGAGTGTGTGTGTATTGACATTTTCCTAGCAGTGGCTGAAGTCAAGGACCAGGAGATTTAGGGCCCACTTGGAGTTCTTATGGTGAAACAGTAGTAGCTTCCTAGAGACCTTTAAAGCTTATCTGTAATTTGTATAGTTCAGAAGATACTGTATACATCATTATTTCTCCCTGCTTTCAAAACAGGAAGGGGGTGTGGAGAGTAACACACTAAAAAAAGGATAAGTAATTAATTTCTGGGTAAGAATTTCCTTTTGGCTTAAAATGGACTGATGGTGTAAGTTCCTCCCTTTGCAAGCAGAAGCTTTGAAGATAGTGAGCTAGATGAAGCTCTGGACATCTTGAATGAAGTATTCTGTATAAGAACCAAGTGTATAATAACTGTTAGTAATAGAGGCTGCTCATAGAAATGTCATTGCATTATAATTGTAGGGACAGTTTGTCAGAGAGTAGGTAGAAGATTATCAGACCCAGGTTTTGTTCTTGGCTCACATGAAGTCATCAAGTAGGCTATTTAAATGCTTCACTTTAACCATAGGCTAAGATTAAATTAAAAATAAAAAGCTTTTGTCATGGCCGGGCACAGTGGCTCATGCCTGTAATCCCAGCACTTTGGGAGGCTGAGGTGGGTGGATCACCTGAGGTCAGGAATTTGAGACTGGTCTGACCAACATGGTGAAACCCTGTCTCTACTAAAAATACAAAAATTAGCCGGGCACGGTGGTGCACGCCTGTAATCCCAGCTACTCGGGAGGCTGAGGCAGGAGAATCGCTTGAACCTGGGAGGGGGAGGTTGCAGTGAGCCGAGATCGTACCATTGCACTCCAGCCTGGGGGACAGAGTGAGACTCCGTCTCAAAAAAAAAAAAAAAAAAAGCTTTTGTCAATTAAAGATGCTTGTCAGTACTGAGTATTCATGTTGCTATGGCACTTTTATAAGAAAACTGTACACGGTCATATCTGCTTCCGAAAATAATACATAGTGAGATAGTAATTTTACAGGCAATTAAGAATTTGCTGGCCAGGCGCGGTGGCTTACACCTGTAATCCCAGCACTTTGGAAAGCCAAGGTGGGTGGATCACCTGAGGTCAGGAGTTTGAGACCAGCCTGGCCAACATGGCGAAACCCTGTCTCTACTAAAAAAAAAAATCCAAAAAATTAGCCGGGCATGGTGGCAGGCGCTTGTAATCCCAGCAACTTGGGAGGCTGAGGCAGGAGAATCACTTGAACCCGGGAGGCAGAGGTTGCAGTGAGCCGAGATCGCGCCATTGCACTCCACCTGGGCAACAAGAGCAAAAACTCCGTCTCAAAAAAAAAAGAATTTGCTATAATAGAAGATCCATGTGTACATTCTGTATGCAAATCTTAGGAAGATATTAGATCCCAGAAGGTTAAAGTTCCGATCTCTATATATTTGTATATGCTTTAAGGAGAAGTGGCATCCATGTAGATGTGGTAAATGGCTTATAACTCTCGAGGTTTCCAATTTCTGCTGTGGTAGCAATTCTAAACTCAGATGGACTTGGACACTACTCTGGATTACTGTCCCTAAATATCAACTACTGTTTATAAGCCAGCAGAGGCCAACTGAAATAGTACACATAAAGTTCCTACAGCATATCCCTCAGTCAGAAGTGGAAAAGATTGATTAAAGTTGGAGTATAAACATATGGGGCCCTGACCAAAAATATTGAACCGTACTACTAGAAATCCCCATTCTTTAGCTAAAGGATAATCTGACTTCACTTTTAATTCTTCATTGACTATTGGTGCTCTGAAAGAATAGGAAATAATAGCAAAACATGGGAACTCCTAGATAGCATACATTTATTTTTAAAATGTATACCATCGGCCAGGCACCATGGCTCACGCCTGTAATCCCAGCACTTTGGGAGGCCAAGGTGGGCGGATCATTTGAGGTCAGGAGTTGGAGACCACCCTGGGCAACATGGTGAAACCCCATCTCTACTAAAAATACAAAAACTAACTGGGTGTGGTAGCACACACCTGTAATCCCAGCTACTCAGGAGGCTGAGGCAGTAGAACTGCTTGAACCTGGAAGACAGAGGTTGCAGGGAGCCAAGATCACGCCACTGTACTATAGCCTGGGAGAAAACAAACAAAAAACATATGGTCAACTTCCCAAGTAAACTGACCAATGTCAGTTTAGGTTCAGTCTTACTGTAGGAGTGCCTGCCGTAGGCCAGCGCCTCTCAACCTTTCCACTAAGTACATTAAGATCCTAACAGTAATCATTGGGACCCCAGGTCATCGTCTCAACAGAAGCTCCAGATTTCTTCAAGTCTTGGCCCTCTTGTTTTATATCAAAATTTTATGTATATTATTTTTATATTTTCAAAAATTCTCCCCAGATCATCAAGTAATATTGAGATGCTGACATAGAAAAAAGTAGATTTCCAGCTGGTATGATCAGTGATAAATTGGACTTCATCAAAATTAAAAGCTTTTGTGCACCAAAGGATACTATCAAGAAAGTAAAAAGCTATCCCACAGAATAGGAGAAAATATTTGTAAATCATAAGTCTAGTATTCAGATGTCTAAAGAACTCTTAGAATTCAACAATAAAAAGATAACCCAGTTTACAAAATGGATATGAATAGACAGTTCTCTAAAAGAGACATATACATGGCCAATAAGCTCGTGAAAAGCTGTTTAATATCTTTAGTCATTAGGGAAATGCAAATCAAAACCACAATGATATATCATTTCACACCTACTAGGATGGCAATAATCAAAAACACACAAACAGATGTTGGTGAAGATACGGAGAAATTGGAACCCTCAAGCATTGCTGGTGGGAATGTAAAATGGTGCAGCCACTTGTGGAAAATAGTTTGTCAGTTCCTCAAAAAGTTCACAGTTACCATATGACCCAGCAATTCCATTCCTAGGGTTACACCCAAGGGAACTGAAAGCATAGATTCACACAAAAACTTGTACACAAATGTTCATAGCTTTATTATAATAGCCAAAAGTGGAAACAACCCAGTTGTCCACCAATTGGGACAAATTGAATGAATACACAAAATGTTATATCCACACAATGGAATGTTATTCAGCCATAAGAAAACAATGAAATCCTGATCACATGCTGCGACACAGATGAACCTTGAAAAATTGTGACATGAAACAAGCCAGACACAAATGGCCACATATTGTATGATTCCATTTATATGAAATACCCAGAATAAGCTAATTCGTAAAGACAGAAAATAGATTGGTGGTTGCTAGGGGATAAGAGGAAGGGTGAATTGGGAATGGCCACTATGCGGTACAGGGTTTCTAATGTTCTGGCATTAGATAGCAGAGATGAAAATGTTCTGGCATTAGATAGTGGAGATGGTTGCATAACACTGAATATACTAAAATCCACTGAATTGTACACTTAAAAAAATGAAGAAAGAAGGACTATGCATGATCAAAGAAAAAAATGCTTTGTGCTCAAGTAGGGATAGAATAAACAGTAAGACTGGAAAGACTGTGAAGGGCCTTGAATGGCAAGCTAAGGAAGTTAGCTTTCATCTTATAGATCGTAGGAAGCCACCAGAGTATTTTGAGCAGGGGTGGCATGTTTAAGGTAGTGTTATAGGAAGTTTAATTTGTGAAATGAGAAAGAGATACTATCAGCCAGGAGAGGTAGAAGGTTCTATAAAGTCAAATTGAACACCCGAAGTTTCAGATTTCATGAATGACCCTGGGTATGTGTGTATACACATATGTATGGGATTTGTAGTCATCTGGGGAAGGCTGAGGTGCTAATATGAATACTGAAAACTAGAGAGGGTAATATAGCAGAGTAGTTAAAAATGAAAACACTCTGAACCCACATGCTGTCTGGGTTCAAATTCCAGCTGGGCTACCTTCCAGCACTGTGACCTTAGGTAAGTCACTAACCCTGTCTGTGCTTCAGCTTCCTCTTCCGTAAGATAAGGATACCTACTCATCAAGGTTGTTTTGAGGATTAAGTGGGTTAATACATACAAAGTGTTTACAATGTCAAGCTTAAAGAAAGGTCCCCAAAAATGTCAGCTGCTAGTCTGAAACTCCAGAGCAGGTTTGAGAGTAACCCGCTGTTGTTCTCTGCCCCGGATAAACTATGAAGTAACAGTCCTAAAGTGTTAAAAGACAAAACAAATTTTTCTTTGTGAAAAATGACCCTTTAAAAAAACTCCATCTACTAATAATGAAGCTTAGTAGTAGTAAAATGATGATTTTTAGCCATAAAACGGGTTTTCTATATCTTCACAAATATAGTGTAGAGTTTCACAATATTCTTTGATATGAACCAGTCTCTCATACTTTCTGTATAGCACTGATTCGCTAAGTAAGATGCCAAGGCATGACCTCCCTTCAGGAATTGGGAATCTGCATTTTTAATAAGCATCCTAGGTAATTCTTTTTTTTTTTTTTTTTTTTTTGAGACGGAGTCTCGCTCTGTCGCCCAGGCCGGACTGCGGACTGCAGTGGTGCAATCTCGGCTCACTGCAAGCTCCGCTTCCCGGGTTCACGCCATTCTCCTGCCTCAGCCTCCCAAGTAGCTGGGACTACAGGCGCCCGCCACCGCGCCCGGCTAATTTTTTGTATTTTTAATAGAGACGGGGTTTCACCTTGTTAGCCAGGATGGTCTCGATCTCCTGACCTCATGATCCACCCGCCTCGGCCTCCCAAAGTGCTGGGATTACAGGCGTGAGCCACCGCGCCCGGCCGCATCCTAGGTAATTCTTATGCATGATACAGGTTGAGACCAGTGCCATGTACAGAAGTGGGAAAAATGGCTTATGAAACTCAGTTGTATTTAGCACACTGTGTTAGACATAAAATTTGAAAACCCAACCTGGACAACACAGTGAGACCCAGTCTCTACTAAAATAAAATAAATAAGTGAACATTGAAAACCAATGGATAGTAGAATGTATTCAGTTCAGTGAGACATGAAACAATATTTTTGCTTAATTGAATCAAACATATGTTAAAAAAAAAAAAAAAACTCACCCTACTCCCAAAGCACTCAATAAATTCTTCAGAGAAAAGGAAGAGCTTTTTGTACTACATTGCCTCTAAAATCTTCTGTAGGATAAGACATTTTAAGATCACTTAAAATCTTGTTTTAAGTTTTTAAGTCTCATTTTAATAACCAAATAAAATGGTTTTTATTTGAGCCAGTTTCAAGTTCTTAAAGTGACACATAGGACTTAACAAAATCCATTAGTTGTCATTTGTGCTTTGCCCATTTTTACTGATTTCTTCATACTCTGAAGGAAAAAAAATGCTACAAATGTATGTTGGTATATAAGAGAGTGCATTCCATAAATATTAGAAATTTTTTTTTTCTTTTTTTGAGATGGAGTTTCACTCTTTCGCCCAGGCTGGAGTGCAGTGGTGCCATCTCAGCTCACTGCAACCTCTGCCTTCCAGTTTCAAGTGATTCTCCTGCCTCAGCCTCCTGAGCAGCTGGGATTACAGGCGCCCGCCACCACGCCCAGCTAACTTTTGTATTTTTAGTAGAGATGGGGTTTCACCATGTTGGCCAGGCTGGTCTTGAACTCCTGACCTTGTGATCCACCCACCTCAGCCTCCCAAAGTGCTGGGATTACAGGCGTTAGCCACTGCGCCCGGCCAGAAAAATATTTTATAGAATTCAAACTTGTATTTTCTTTTGAAGGGATATAAAAAGGGTGAGAGAACCCAACAACCACACTTATTCAAATTTATAAGGATAATTAGGAGTATTCTCATGGTTATCTTTAGAATCTTAGCAGGGTAAAAAAGAGTTTATTGTTTCATTTGCTGAAACTCCTGAGAAGAAGTCTCACCACATTTGTATTTACAGAGATTAGATTTGGCAACTCTAAAGACAAGAGAAATTACTCATGATAAGTGTTTGGAGGGGTTGGAGAGAAAACAGCTAATTAGGCACTTGGCAGTGTGGCAGGGCAACCTTTGGGCAACCCAGTCCAGATTAGGTTAGAAGAGGAGCACGGACCTTTTGTCCACTGCAAACCAGTGCCACAAATGAAGTGGGAAGAGACAGGTTACCACATACTGGTTGGACTTGAGAGAGAACCAGAAAGTGTACAATCCCATAAGCATAAAAAATGGGGATAAAACTTCAAGTGTATATAAGGGTAAGAACAGGAGGAAGCAGTAACAGAGAGGGCAGGAGAGAAAGATCAGAAGGAATCGGACGCCTGAGAAGAGGAACTGGGGGCTGAGTCCTGTCCTGGCCTGGCCGCTCCCCATTCCTCCCTCTGCCTCTGAGGGCTTCAGTTTTCCCAAGTGAGAAACAGCTGTGCTAGATTGCTTCTACAGTCCTTTCCACTCCTGGACCGAAACAGTTGCCCCTGCATCTAAAATACGTAGCTCTAGCATATAAAATGCAGGTTACCTCAACTCCCCCCCGACTCCCACATCTCACTCCCTTCCTTTCCCTGCCTGCCCTAATTCTGGCTGCGTTCTGTTCTTGCCTCATATGGACTCTTTTTCTCCTCCCCTTCTTTTCCAATGTCATGCAGTCTCTTAACACTGGGTTTCAACCACTATACAGAAAAATGTTAGTGAAAAAGGAAGAGGGGTTCCATGCTGCTTGATTCTCCCTAACCAGGCACACTAAACTAGGGGTGACAGTGTATCACAAAGTCCAGACTCACAGTCTTGCTGCCCCTTCTCCTCTTCAAAGTTTGTTTCCGAAGTACCACCCCTTGCACCTCACATCCCAGCCAACTCTGCCTACCTGTCAGCCCCAGCCCTCCTCAGGCCTGCCTCAGCCTCACAGCCAGGATCCTACCAACACCAACACCGCGCCAAATAACCCCTCCCAAAAGCCTCACCGGAACTAATCTGGGGACTCTGCCTATTATTAGGAACACCTTGGATGAAGCCCCTACCCGCAGAATTCTGGCAGTAGCAGCAGAATTTTCAGGCATGTGCCTAATTTTGTTGGGGTGGTGGTTGATTATTTTTTTTAAATCTAGGATTTCTGGGATCTGAAGCTTATACAATCTTGGATATCTTCTTTAAGAAAAAGAATACAAAAATATCTTCTATAAGTTTTACAAAAATATATGACCATGTGAGCACGTTGCTAGCTCCCGCCCCCACCCCACCCCCCAGAGCCTTGGAAGGGGAGTGAAACTGAAGCTTTTTTAGCTTCATGGCAAATATGCTTCTTCCTGAGAGTACTGGGTACATTCACAGACCTTTATTTTTTACTTTCTATAGATTTAATTTAGTTAAGTCAGTTCGAAGCGGGCAAAGGCCAAAATTTCTCACCCCTAGGTGGCTCAAATTTCTGAGCCTGAGATTTTATATCTTAAAATCCATTAAAAGAATACTCAATTTTCGGCCGGGCGCAGTGGCTCACACCTATAATCCCAGCACTTTGGGAGGCTGAGGCGGGCAGATCACGAGGTCAGGAGATCGAGACTATCCTGGCTAACACGGTGAAACCCCGTCTCCACTAAAAATACAAAAAAATTAGCCAGGCGTGGTGGCGGGCACCTGTAGTCCCAGCTACCCAGGAGGCTGAGGCAGGAGAATGGCGTGAACCCGGGAGGCGGAGCTTGCAGTGAGCCGAGATCGCGCCACTGCACTCTAGCCTGGGCGACAGCCGTCTCAAAAAAAGAATACTCAATTTTTAAGAAGTTAGGTGTAGGTATGCTTATATAAAATATTTAGACATGCATAAGTATTTTAAGTGGCCTGAAGGAAGTACATGTATGCTACTTTTGCAAATATTTTCGCTTTTTTTTTTTTTTTTTTTGAGACTGAGTCTCACTCTGTCTCCCAGGCTGGAGTGCAGTGGCGTGATCTCGGCTCACTGCAAGCTCTGCCTCCCGGGTTCACGCCATTCTCCTGCCTCAGCCTCCCGAGTAGCTGGGACTACAGGCATCCGCCACCACGCCCCGGCTTTTTTTTTGTATTTTTAGTAGAGACGGGGCGTCACTGTGTTAGCCAGGATGGTCTCGATCTCCTGACCTCGTGATCTGCCTGTCTCGGCCTCCCAAAGAGCTGGGTGGGCATGAGCCACCGCGCCCGGCCAAATATTTTCACCTTTAAGATGCCCTGCAAGATGGCTGGTATTTTCCCGATTTCAAAGATGAAGAAATTGAGGTTTAACGAATGTAAGTAGGCCAGGCGCGGTGGCTCACGCCTATAATCCCAGCACTTTGGGAGTCTGAGGCGGGCGGATCACCAGAGGTCAGGAGTTCAAGACCAGCCTGACCAACATGGTGAAACCCCATCTCTACTAAAAATACAAAAATTAGCCAGGCATGGTGGCACACGCCTGTAGTCCCAGCTACTTGGGAGGCTGAGGCAGGAGAATTGCTTGAACCTGAGAGGCAGAGGTTTCAGTGAGCCAAGACTGCACTACTGCACTCCAGCCTGAGGAACAGAGCGAGACTCTGTCTCAAAAAAAAAAAAAAAAAAAAAGAATGTAAGTAATTTGCCCAAGCTGCAGAGCTAAATTTTAAACTAGATAATTCTGATTCCAAAGCCCAGATAATCTGGCTAGAAGTTGCACCAGGGGATTCACTGATTTACAAAGAATTAGAATGTGATAAAATTCCCTGAGTACAGGCAAGTGTGATTTTTATCTTTGCTAGTAAAGCCATTTAGATGTCTTAAAGTGCCTCAATCTGTTGCACCTGTTCTACTAAAACAAAGAAATGAGTCAACGGCCTCTTTTAGCTTTAACATTCTCTCTGTCTATACATTTTTATAGAATAATTTTTAGTTATTGCAGCAGGTTTCACCAGTCAGCCAACGGGTGTGTATAACATTAATCACTAGCACTACACCTCAGAAGTCTTGCTTATTAAGAGCACTCAGCTTAAGTGAAGAAATTAAAGAATTTTGGTAGGCCTTTGGGACAGTTCAAGTTTAGGTTGTTTGGCTGGGTTGAGAGAGTAAAAAACTAACATTTCTTAACCTAACCCTTTTTCTTTCTTTCTCACAGGTAACAACTATCCAATAGCTTACCTTTAAAATGTCCCCTCTATTGTTCCTCCCTCAGACATTTTTGATCACTTGTCCCAGTTTCCATGAGTCCTGTATCACAGCTGTCACAATGCTTGAGCTATTTAGGTGGAGGTAACTTTCAGAAATGAACTGCTGAAGGGTGCAGAGTGCTCAAGAATTAGATTAACAAAGAAAGTACACCTAAATTTAGCATTAAAATGAACTTTTAAAATATTTTTCAATAGGAGGATAAGCAAACATAAAAATGGGTGTGCTTATGTCTATAAACAGGTGCTGGAGCATAGATTGTTATCTGGACATCAAAGAATAATAGAGCTGTAGCTTTAAAAGAGCACACAGCTGGTTATTAGTGATTCACTCCCAGGTCACTGCCAAGTGCCAAGGCATGTGGCAAGAATAGTAGAATGGAAATCAGGTGATGTGGATTCTAATTTGAGCTCTGCTCTGTTAACCTTGGGCATGCCAGTTATCCCCTTTGGACCTTAGTCTCTTATCTACCTAATGAAGGGTTTGGAGCAGGTAATTCTTCAGTTCTAAGTAAGAATCTGTATTCATGAATAACTGTTCAGCATATGACTCAGCCCAAGGTGTACAGGATTGCTGGAGTGTGGAAGGTATGTTGGCTCCTGCCTGTACTAGCAACAAGGCTTAATCTAGTGAACAGAAAGGATCAAAGGTGGCTATATCCCCACCTAAATGTCCATGATCTACAAGTGCTCTTCTAGCTGGCAGAGTGGGTCAGTAATGAGATTTTGTATCTCATTATATGAAGTTCTAAGCACTGAACCTAATCAGTTACCCATCACTTAAGTAGACAGTGTCAGGCAGAGCTTAACTCTCCTTCCTATTTTCCTTTGTCTTCCTTTTCTCTGTAAGTTCTCTAACATAAGGAACTTCCATTTTGGTGAAAGAATAGAAAAGTTGAGGGACAGGCCAGGTGTGTTGTAAGTAAGACTGATCCAGCTGATTGGTTTGCCATTTAGATTGCATGGCAGACATCTGCCATAAGCACTTAAAACACACCTTCAATAGGCATTAGAAAGCACACACACGGCCAAACATAGTAGCTCACACCTGTAATGCCAATACTTTGTGAGGCTGAGGCAGGAGGATTGCTTGAGCCCAGCAGTTCAAGACCAGCCTGGGCAATATAGCAAGATGCCATCTCTACAAAAAATTTTAAAATTATCTGAATGTGGTAGTACATTCCTGTGGTCTCAGCTACTCAGGGGTCTGAGGTCGGAAGATCACTTGAGCCCAGGAGATCAAGGCTGCAGTGAGCCATGACTGTGCCATTGCACTCCAGCCTTTGCGACAGAGCAAGACCCTGCCTCAAAACACACACACTGACTAGGGATGGTGGCTTATGCCCAGCACTTTAGGAGGCTGAGGCAGGCAGATCACTTGAGGTCAGGAGTTTAAGACCAGCCTGGCCAACATGGTGAAACCCTACTCTACTAAAAATACAAAAATCAGCCATGCGGCCAGGTGCAGTGGCTCTCGCCTGTAATCCCAGCACTTTGGGAAGCTAAGGCAGGAGGATCACCTGAGGTCAGGAGTTCGAGACCAGCCTGACCAACATGGTGAAATCCTGTCTCTACTAAAAATACAAAATTAGCCCCGTGTGGTGGCGCCTGCCTGTAATCCCAGCTACTTGGGAGGCTGAGGCAGGAGAATCACTTGAACCCAGGAGGCAGAGGTTACGGTGAGCCGAGATCACGCCATTGCACTCCAGCCTGGGCAACAAGAGCGAAACTCCATCTCAAAAAAAAAAAAAGAAAAGAAAATCAGCCATGCATGGTGACACACAGTTGTAATCCCATCTACCTGGGAGGCTGAGGCAGGAGAATCGCTTGAACCTGGGAGGCAGAGGTTGCAGTAAGCCAAGATTGCACCACTGCACTCCAGCCTGGGCAACAGAGTGAGACTGTGTCTTGAAACACACACACACACACACACACACACACACACACACACACACACACACATAATTTGCTGTTGTTTTGGGGGCATGGCGGCACATACCTATAGTCCTAGCTACTTGGGAGGCTCAGGCAGGAGGATCACTTGAACCCAGGAAGTTGAAACTGCAGTGAGCTGTGATTGTGCCGCTGCACTCCAGCCTGGGCAACAGAGTGAAGTACTGTCTCAAGAAAATAAAAAAATAAAGAAATAAAAACATAAGGTTTAGATGGCAACTTTAAAATGTGAAAGGAGGATATACAGTTTTTCAAAATTCTTCTAGGAGCTATGCCAGCAAAAAGGTTTGAAGACCTGAAGACCATTATATCAGTGGCATAAACATCTTTAATTTGTCCTTTTCCTTCTCCTACACCTAGTCAATTGATTTTTTTTTTCCCATTTATCAATTTCAGACTCTGCCTGGTTTTTCACTTTCCCATCCATTTTGTTACAATATTTTTCCTCCCTTGAAATTAGCCCAGTCTCTTGGAGTGAATGCCCCATGCTCCTTCCTACCGCTGTGTCTTTACTACATTATCCTCCCTTGGAATGCCGTCATCTCTTCTCTGTTCAAGAACTACTTCTCCCGACCACTGTGGTCGAGATTGATTTCTCTTTAACCTCTACAACATTGGCTATTCCATACAGTTAGCCCTTAGCATAGAACATCATTGTTTGATTTTGCTCCTTAAGAATAGAAAGCACCTCTTAAAATTCTACCATATTCCCCCAATGCCTAATGCAATGCTAACCACATAGTGAGTGCTTAATAAATATTGTATTGACTGCCTAGAGTACAGAGCACTTGTTCACTCATTGTTCGGCCATTCAGCTAATACTTTTTGAGAAATTTTGTGTACCAGGAACTGTACTATGCACTGGGGTACGGTAGGGACTAAAGTAGATGATAATCCCTGCTTTGAAAGACTGAAAAGTAAGATATATGGTATGTCAAAAGGTAATAAGTACTGAGAAGAAAAATAGAAAAAGCAGGAAAGAAGAACAAGAAGTGTGTGATGGGGGAGGGTTACAGGGTGGGGAGGGGTAGTGTTGTATACACTTCTAGATAAGATAGGGAAGTCCTCACTGATACTTATGGTGACATTTTACAAAGGACCTGAGGTGTAGGAAGGATTTGAGCTTATCTGTGCAAAGAGCCTTCCAGGCAAGGAACTTACCATGTGAAGGCACCAAGGCTGGACCTGCTTAACATTCCAGGAAGGGAAAGCTTTGGGGCTGGAGCAGAAGGGTAGAGGCCAGATTGAGAGATGAGTCAGAGGACAGTGGGGCCCGGGCAGAGGGACAGAACCTGCGGGTGCTGGCAATCAGCCTTTTGATCTGAGTGAGAATAGAGGCCTTGAGAGGGCTTTGAGCAGAGGAGTGACCTGCTGACTTAAGTTGAATAGAACCCTCTAGATGCTTCATTAAGGCTAGACTGAAGGGAGGCAAAGGCAGGGTGAGATCAGTCAGGAGGCAAGTATATAATGATAATACATTGAATATAATAATGATATATTAATAATAATAATCCAGAGATAGTGGCAACTCAGACCAGGGGAAGCAGTAGAGGCGGAGAGAAGTGGTCAGATTTTGGATTTATTTTGAAGGTAGAACAGACAGGATTGCTGACTCTGTTGAGTAGTCAGCTGGGAGCTATTGATGGTTTCTGAGCAGGAGCTGAAGGAAGATTACCCCGGTATAGGACTGCTGGGAAGACGTGGTGCAGGCAGAGATCAGGTAGGAGGCCATTGCAAGGATTTAAGGGTGAGATCCATAAGGGTTTTAACTGCAAATCAGCAGAGGAAAAAGGGAGTGGTGATGGTCATGGTGACAGTGATGGTGAGAGAGACTGGAAAGGAGGAATCAACAGGATTTCATGACTAGATAACAGAGAACCAATATGAAGAAGGAAAACACTTTTTTTTTTTTTTTGAGACGGAGTCTGGCTCTGTTGCCCAGGCTGGAGTACAGTGAGACGATCTCAGCTCACTGCAACCTCCGCCTCCTGGGTTCAAGCGATTCTCCTGCCTCAGCCTCCTGAGTAGCTGGGATTACAGGCATGCACCACCACGCCCGGCTAATTTTTGTATTTTTAGTAGAGATGGGGTTTCACCATGTTGGTCAGGCTGGTCTTGAACTCTTGACCTGGTGATCCGCCTGCCTTGGCCTCCCAAAGTGCTGGGATTACAGACGTGGAGCCACCATGCCCTGGCAGGAAAACACACTTTTGAATGTTGTGTGACCTGGAGAATGGTAACACTGTTAATTTAAAAAAAAAAAAAAAGCCCAGAGAAGGCTGATTTAGGGAGAAATTTATGCCTTAGTTATACAGAGTTTGAGATGGTAATGAAATATCAAATTAAAACTGTCCAGCAAGGAAGTAGGAAATGTGGAACTGAAAAAGAAGTTAGAACTAAAGATGTGGATCTGTCTTTGGCATAAAGATTATATTAAGTTACTTGAGAGTAGATGAGTTTCCAAAGAAGCAGTGTAGCAAGAATAGTGGAGGGCCAAGACTGGATCCTGGGGGTCAGCAACATCTAGGAGCCAGAAAAAATGCCTTCGGTGAAAGAAACGGAAAGATGGGTCTATTCAAATTGTAGTCAGCCAACCCATGCCAGAAGTAAGCACAGAAAGTAAGAGTGAACATTGGCCAAGCACAGTGGCTGATGCCTGTAATCCCAACACTTTGGGAGGCCAAGGCGGGCAGATTGCTTGAGCTCAGGAGTTCGAGACCAGCCTGAGCAACATGGTGAAACTCCAACTCTACAAGAAATTAGCCGGTCCTGTGCACACCTGTAGTCCCAGCTGCTAGGGAGGCTCAGGTGGGAGGATCACTTGAACCTAGAAAGTTGAGGCTGCAGTGAGCTGTGAGCATGCCACTGCACTCCAGCGTGGGCAACAGCCCGGTGGCTCACGCCTGTAATCCCAGCACTTTGGGACGCCAAGGCAGGTCGATCACTTGAGGTCAGGAGTTCGAGACTAGCCTGGCCAACATGGAGAAACCCCATCTCTACTGAAAATACAAAAATTAGCTGGGCATGGTGGTGCACACCTGTAATCCCAGCTACTCGGGAGGCTGAGACAGGAGAATCACTTGAACCTGGGAAGCGGAGGTTGCCGTGAGCCAAGATCATGCCACTGCACTTCAGCCTGGACAACACAGAGAGACTCTGTCCCAAAGGGAAAAAAAAGAAAAAGATCCAGGAGATCCATTCCTAGGTATATACCCAAGAGAATTGAAAACATAAAAACATATGTTCACACAAAAACTTGTACATGGGCTCATACCTGTAATTGCAGCACTCTGGGAGGCCAAAGCAGGAGGATCATTTGAGGCCAGGAGTTCAAGACCGGCCTAGGCAACATAGTGAGACCCTGTCTCTACAAAATGCATGAATGTTTGTAGCAGCATTCTTCATAATGTTCCTAAAGTGGAAACAACCCAGTTGTTTGTCAGCTGATGAATGGGTAGATTATATGCAGAGTATCCAGGCTGGGCGTAGTGGCTCATGCCTGCAATCCTAGCACTTTGGGAAGCTGAGGTGGACAGATCATTTGAGCTCAGGAATTCAAGACCAGCCTGAGCAACATAGTGAGACCTTGTCTATAAAAAATTTTTAAATGTTAAAAAAAAGAATGCAGAGTATCCATACAACGGGATATTATTCAGCCATAAACAGGAATGAAGTACTGATACATGCTACAACATGGATGAACCTTGAAAACATGCTAAGTGAAATAAGCCAGACACAAAGGTCTACACATTGCCTGACGCCATTTATATGAAACACCTAGAATAGGCCAATCTATAGAGACATAAAGTAGATGAATGGTTGCCAGGCTCTGGGAGTTAAGAGAGAATGGGAAATGACTGCCAACATGTATGGGGTTTCTACTTGAGGTGATGAAGATATTCTGAAATTAGATAGATAGTGGGGATGGCTGCACAACCTTTTTTTTTTTTCTTTTTGAGATGGAGTCTCGCTCTGTTGCCAGGCTGGAGTGCAGTGGCGCAATCTCAGCTCACTGCAATCTCTGCCTCCTGGGTTCAAGCAATTCTCCTCCCTCAGCCTCCTGAGTAGCTGGGACTACAGGCAGGCACCACCACGCCCAGCTAATTTTTTGTTAGTAGAGACAGGGTTTCACCATGTTGGCCAGGATGGTCTTGATCTCCTGACCTCGTGATCTGCCCTCCTCCGGCTCCCAAAGTGCTGGGATTACAGGCATAAGCCACCATGCCCGGCGACAACCTTTTGAATATACTAAAAAACATTACATTTTACACTTTGAAGGGTGAATTTTATGGTAAATTATATCTCAGTAGAAAAAAATCCAGGAAACTGTGTATAGTCAGCCCTCCATATTTGTGGGTTCCACATTCATGGATTCTAAGCTAAATAATAATACAATAATAAAAATATAAATAAAAAACAATATGCTATATAGCAGCTATTTGCATTGCATTTACATTATATTAGGTATTATGAGTAATCCAGAGATGATTTAAAGTGTATGTGAAGATGTGCATAGGTTACATGCAATACTACACCATATTATATAAGGGACTTGAGCATCTGTGGTGTCTGCTGCGAGTACTAGAACCAATCCTTCATGGACACCAAGAGATAACTGTATTCAAAACCAATGAAACCAGTGAAAGAGAAGTTTCAAAAAGATTGAAAACACAGCAGGGCAGTCAAGGAAACCAGGGAGAAAGGAAAGACTAGTGGATTTGGGTATTAGAAGATGAAAGATTAAAACAAATCATTCCATATCAGCATGCAGTCCATAGACTACTCCTAAAAGTTCCTGAGACTTCTTTAAGGAATCTCTTTGGGGTAAAAATTATTTTCATGATACTACTAAGATGTATTTGTCTTTTCCCTATGTTGACACTTGCACTGATGTTGCAAAATGGTGGTAAAACTGCTGGCGCCTTAGCACAAATCAGGACGGTGACACCAAACTGTACCAGTGGTCACTGCATTCTTTACTGCCATGCACTCACAATCAAAACAGAGCCAGTTTCACTTAAGAATCGTTGATGAAGTGGTAAATTTTTTTTGTTTTTTTTTTTTGAGGCAGGGTCTTACCCAGGCTAGAGTGCGGTGGGGGCATCACAGCTCACTGCCGCCTCAACTTCCTGGGCTCAGGTGATGCTACCTCAGCCTCCTGAGTAGCTGAGGCTACAGGTGTGCACCACCACACCTGGCTAATTTTTGTTTTTGTTTTGTTTTGTTTTGTTTTTAGAGATGGGGTTTCACTCTGTCGCCCAGGCTAAATATTGTTAATTGTATCAAATGTCAGTCCTTGAATAAATCTTTTTTTTTTAACTGGTATGCACCACCACACCCAGCTAATTTTTGTATTTTTAGTAGAGACGGGGTTTCGCCATGTTGGCCAGGCTGGTCTGGAACTCCTGACCTAAAGTGATCTACCCGTCTTGGCCTCCCAGAGTGCTGGGAGGTGTGGGCCACCATGCCTGATCCTGAGTACATCTTTTTAAACTTGTTTGAAGAAATGGGAAATATGCATAAACCGCCTCTGCTGCACACTGGTAGAGTACGGTGGTTGTCACAAGGAAAAGCATTTGGGCGATTATTCAAGTTGCATATTGATTTAGCAGCTTCTTTTTTCACCGACCACCATTTTTACTTGAAAGAATGATAGACAAACTATGGTTTTAGACTTAGGCATCTGGCAGACAGTCTCTTGAAACTGTATGAAGTGAGCCTGTCACTTCAAGGTAAACAAATGACAATATTTGTAGCCAGTGATAAAATTTACACTTTCAAGTAAAAATTAGAATTTTGGAAAACTTGTATCCACTCCCATGAGCTTGACCACTTTTCAATATATACAGACTTTTCTGCTGAAATCAATGGTGAAATTTAAGGAATATGATTTTTTGATATGTATTCTAATGAAATATGTCAGTATTTAGAAGATCTGCCTAACAACAGGGAACCAGTATTTTGCAGTGATCTATGTGTGATGTTACAAAGTCATGCATGGTAAAATATCCATTCAAAGTGCAAGAGAAGCCAATGGGTTTTATTATAACAAAAGTTCCTAACTGTTAAGAAACTACTACTTGTCAAGTTTTGATGTAGCGCTAAAGAATATCCAAAATTATCTGAAAATGCAGATACTTTCTCTGTCTGTGTAAAGCCAGATTTTCTTTGTATATTTTAACCAAACTAACATATTACAACAGATTAAATGCAGAAGCAGATTTGAGAATCCAGTCATCTTCTATTAAGTCAGACAGAGGCCATAAATTTATGAAAATGTAAAACAGTGGCATTCTTCTCATTAGATGGCTTTATTTCTTTGATTGTTTTGGGAAATATAGTGGTTTACATTTAAAGTATGTTATTTATATTAATATAATGTGTAGTAGTTTTACTGTTAATATTTTTACTGAATTAATCATATCTTTTACTTTTTTTTTAGTTTTATTTTCTTCCTTTTTTTTTTTTTTTTGATTTGGAGTCTCGCTCTGTTGCCTAGTCTGGAGCACAGTGGCGTGATCTCAGCTCACTACAACCCCCACCTCCTGGGTTCAAGCGATTCTCCTGCCTCAGCCTCCCAAGTAGCTGGGATCACAGGCGCCTGCCACCATGTCTGGCTGGTTTTTGTATTTTTAGTAGGGTTTCACCATGTTGGCCAGGATGGTCTCAAACTCCTGACCTCAAGTGATCCACCCACCTCGGCCTCCCAAAGCATTGGGATTACAGGAGTGAGCCACCACACCCAGTTTTTAGTCTTATTTTCTAACACAGTAGACATTGATATATAGTTCCCACATTAACAAAAGTTGTTTGGGGTGCTCAATTTATTTATTTATTTATTTATTTATTTATTTATTTATTTTATTTTAATTTTCTTTTTGAGGCGGAGTCTCACTGTGTCGCCCAGGCTGGAGTGCAGTGGCACAATCTCGGCTCACTGCAAGCTCTGCCTCCCAGGTTCACACCATTCTCCTGCCTCAGCCTCCCGAGTAGCTGGGGCTACAGGTGCCCGCCACCACACCCGGCTAATTTTTTGTATTTTTAGTAGAGACAGGGTTTCACCATGTTAACCAGGATGGTCTCGATCTCCTGACCTCGTGATCCGCCCGCCTCAGCCTCCCGAAGTGCTGGGATTACAGGCATGAGCCACCGTGCCCCGCTTATATTTTTTTTATTTTTATTTATTTATTTATTTATTTTTGAGACAGGGTCTCAAAAAAAACAACTTTGTTGCCCAGGCTGGAGTGCAGTGGCATCATCGTAGCTCATTGTAGCTTCTGTCTCCCCAGACTCAGGTGATCCTCCTGCCTCAGCCTCTCAAGTAGCTGGGACTACAGGCACGCACCACCCACCCCACCCAACTATTTTTTTTATTTTTTGTAGAGACAGAGTCTTGCTATGTTGCCCAGGCTGGTCTCAAACTCCTGGGTTCCAGTGATTCTCCCGTCTCAGCCTCCCAAAGCACTGGGATTACAGGTGTGAGCCACCACTCCCAGCCAAATTTACCAGACTTAATGGAAACAGTCCATTTCTGTTTCTTCAGATGAAACCTCACAACTTTAGGATTAATAAGTAATCTCACAACTATTGTACAGGAAATAAGAAAACGTTCCCGCTAACAATGCACGTTGTGATAGATCTGGTCCCTGACACAAACAGCACTTGGAACTGAGTGAAGTCCAGAGACTGAATAATACAGTTCTATCCACTCCCTGTGCTTGACTACAACCCCTGAAGAGGGCTTGTACAAATTAAATGTATCCCAGCAGCTGCTTGAAAGACCACAGCATTGGCCGGGCACGGTGACTCACGCTTGTAATCCCAGCACTTTGGGAGGCCGAGGCGGGCGGATCACGAGGTCAGGAGATCGAGACCACGGTGAAACCCTGTCTCTACTAAAAATACAAAAAATTAGCTGGGCGTGATGGCGGGCGCCTGTAGTCCCAGCTACTCGGAGAGGCTGAGGCAGGAGAATGGCGTGAACCCGGGAGGCGGAGCTTGCAGTGAGCCGAGATTGCACCACTGCACTCCAGCCTGGGCGACAGAGACTCTGTCTCAAAAAAAAAAAAAAAAAACACGCATTTTGAATGTCCCTAGCATTAGGGATTATAAAGGTCCCATTCTAGTAGAAGATCCTCAGGTTTGGAGTGTACTAAAGGTCATCATCCTTCGCCTGCTAATAAATTTCTGAAGTCCCTGCTTTAAACAAACAATCAAAAAGAAGGAACAGTTACAGTGCTGCCAAACAAGTTCTTTTTTTTTTTTTGAGATGGAGTTTCGCTCTTGTTGCCAGGCTGGAGTGCAATGGCGTGATCTCGGCTCACCACAACCTCCACCTCCCAGGTTCAAGCAATTCTGCCTCAGCCTCCCGAGTAGCTGGGATTACAGGCATGCACTACCACGCCCAGCTAATTTTGTATTTTTTTTAGTAGAGACAGGGTTTCTCCATGTTGAGGCTAGTCTCAAACTCCTGACCTCAGGTGATCCGCCTGCCTCGGCCTCCCAAAGTGCTGGGATTACAGGCGTGAGCCACGGCGCCCGGCCAACAAGTTCTTACAAACCTCTGGGTTGTTACAAACCCATCTGGTGCTAATAAAGGTAAGGCATCAACCCCAATCTCCAAGCTGAGAATTTTATCCTCAGGACTGAGCACTGCGGCCTGCATTCGGATGTTAGTGGGGCTGTCAGAACCGTGTCTCATGCTGTTAAAAGTGGAAGTCCTTCCCACTCAGACCCACGGAAGCCAACTCTGATGAGTGGGAGGGTGAGCAGAAGGGGCTTCGGTCATTTTTTATAGATTCTTCAGGTAACTCTAGCCACCATATTAAGCATTGGCTCCCACAAAAAAGCATTAAGGCTCAGAAACATCTTGTAGGGTCACACCCTCCCTAAAAACAGCACATCCCTGAAGTGGTGGCTGGGCAGCCAGGCTCCAAAGCCCGCTGAGCTGAGCGGCAGCCAAGAACAAGGTTTGGTGTTTACATACTCAAAATCAGCCTGGGTTGTCACAGCAACTCACCTCAGCACAGTTCTTCCTTCTCCACGGCGGCTTGCTTCCAGGCTTTGCTGTTCTCCGTCACCGTCTTAACGTTCCTGCTAACCTGGCCTGCTGCATTCTTTTTATTTTTCTCCCAATTCCTCCGCCTTCTTCTCATGTGTTTGCTAGTGTGCAATACCTCACCTGTTTGGAACTCAACAACGTCCCCTCCTGCAAAACGCACCTGAAAACAAGAAATAGCACACAAGGCCTCTAAGTGGCCAGAACAGATGTTACCAGGCCTAAGTCCATAAGGAAAGCACCCAAGCCCCTTGCTTTTGTCTTAAATCTTTTTTTTTTTACACCTTTAAAATAAGGTTATGGTTTCTAAGGCCTGCCGTAAATTAGGAGTAGGGAGAGGAACTATTGCCAAGCACCCCAAAAGTTCAAGAGGTGACTGTTGATCCCAGAGTAGCAAGGAAAGGGACAGACAGGCTATAAGAAGTGGACACAAGAACTCAGAACTCAGGACAGTGTAGGCCTTGTTAGAGTCAGGCAGACAATTTCACATACCTCAGAACGTCATAAAGCCATCATGACTTTACTCTGGAATAGATACGATCCAGACACCTAGAAAATGTTAAATTAGATTCAACTTAAAGAGGCAGAGTAATATGTGTGGTGTTTTTTAATTTCGAGCATTCCAAATGGTTAAGGGTTTTCATGCTTAAAGAGAGAAACTTAGCTACCTAGAACTTATTTATGAGTGCTCTAGATAATTATCTACTGTTTTATATTTTTTTATTTATACCCCGTTACTAAAACAAAAGTAAAAATAAAGCAAAAGATTGAAGGCATTGACATTTAGTCTATATACTTTCTAGTTCCTGGCTCTAGTTCTTAGCAATATTTGCTGCTAACCTGGTGTTCTGTCTCTGCCAAATTTCTGCCCATGTGAAATATATGAGACTTGATCCTATTTCCTTGCTCATTGATCTACCTGAAAGGGTCATAGATGTCTCCACCTCCCTAGAGCTAGTGATCCTATATCCCATCATCTCAGCCAGCTAGAAAACGAACCATCACATGCCACCTCCTACCCAATTACGTGCTTCATAAACAGAATACCTGGCATATAGCAGGCATTTACTAAACACTTGGTGAATGAATACATGAGCCAGTAATCCATAAGATATCTGTAGAATTAATTACAGTTGAGCCTTGAACAGCGCAGGTCCTATGGGATCCCACCCCTTGTACAGTCAAAAATCCTCATAAAACTTTTTTTTCTTTTTTTTTTGAGACAGAATCTTGCTCGTTGCCCAAGCTGGAGTGCAATGGCGTGATCTCAGCTCACTGCCACCTCCGCCTCCTGGGTTCAAGCAATTCTCCTGCCTCAGCTTCCCAAGTAGGTGGGATTACAGGTGCCTGCACCACGCCTAACTAATTTTTGTATTTTTAGTAGAGATGGGGTTTCACCATGTTGGCCAGGCTCGTCTCAAACTCCTGATCTCAGGCGACCCACCCGCCTAAGCCTCCCAAAGTAGGGGATTACAGGTGTGAGCTGCCGCACCCGGCCGACAGGTGTAACTTTTTTTTTTTTTTTTTTTTTTTTTGAGACAGAGTCTCACTCTGTCACCAGGCTGGAGTGCAGTGGCTCTCTCTGCTCACTGCAATCTCTGCTCACTGCAACCTCTGCCTCCCAGGTTCAAGCGATTCCCCTGCCTCAGCCTCCTGAGTAGCTGGGACTACAGGTGTGTGCCACCATGCCCAGCTAATTTTTTGTATTTTAGTAGAGACGGAATTTCACCATGTTAGCCAGGATGGTCTCGATTTCCTGACCTCGTGATCCACCTGCTTCAGCCTCCCAAAGTGCTGAGATTACAGGCATGAGCCACCACACCCGGCCACATATAACTTTTGACTCTCCAAAAACTTAACTACTAATAGAAGACTTACCAATAGCATAAACAAGTTGATTAACATATATTTTGTATGTCATTTGTGTTATATATGTATTTCTTACCATAAAGTAAACTATAGAAAAGAAAATGTTATTAAGAGAATCATAAGCAAGAAAAAATATGTTTACTCTTCATTCAGTGGAAGTGGATCAGCATAAAGGTCTTCCTCCTCATGATCTTCAGGTTGAGCAGGCAAGGAGGAGGAGAAAGAGAAAGGGTTGCCATCTCAGCAGTGGCAGAGGCAGAGGGAAGTCTAAGGGGACCCTTGCTGTTCAAAATTGTGTTGATCAAGGGTCAACTATACTTGCATGAAGCTATAAATTTAAGAGCCTAGCCTATTATGGGAACAGCAATTAAAAAAAAAACACCAGTTGGCCGGGCGTGGTGGCTCACGCCTGTAATCCTAGCACTTTGGGAGGCCAAGGCAGGTGGATCACCTGAGGTCAGGAGTTCGAGACCAGCCTGGCCAACATGGTGAAATACCGTCTCTACTAAAAATACAAAAATTCACTGGGCATGGTGGCGGGCACCTGTAATCCCAGCTACTTGGGAGGCTGAAGCAGGAGAATCGCTTGAACCTAGGGGCCGGAGGTTGCAGTGAGCTGCCAAGATCGTGCCATTGCACTCTCCAGCCTGGGTAAAAACAGCTAAACTCCATCTCAAAAAAAAAAAAAAACACCAGTTGATCCTGGCACCAGGAAGATCAAATGGCATTTGTTTGTTTGTTTGTTTTGAGACAGAGTCTCGCTCTGTTGCCCAAGCTGGAGTGCAATGGCACGATCTCAGCTCACTGCAAACTCTGCCTCCCAGGTTCAAGTGATTCTCCTGCCTCAGCCTCCCGAGTAGCTGGGATTACAGGCACCCGCCACCACACCCAGCTAATTTTTTATATTTTTGGTAGAGATGGGGTTTCACCATGTTGGCCAGTATGGTCTCAAACTCCGGATCTCAAGTGATCCACCCACCTCAGCCTCCCAAAGTGCCTTGGTTTACAGGCGTGAGCCACTGCACCAGCCAGTACAGTTTTTTGTTTTGTTTTATTTTGGTTTTTTGAGACGGAATCTCGCTCTGTCGCCCAGGCTGGAGTGCAGTGGTGCCATCTCAGCTCACTGCAAGCTCCGCCTCCCGTGTTCATGCCATTCTCCTGCCTCAGCCTCCCTAGTAGCTGGGACTATAGGCGCCCGCCACCACACCCGGCTAATTTTTTTTTTTGTATTTTTAGTAGAGACGGGGTTTCACCGTGTTAGCCAGGATAGTCTCGATCTCCTGTCCTCATGATCCGCCCGTCTCAGCCTCCCATAGTGCTGGGATTACAGGCATGAGCCACCGCGCCCAGCCTTTTTTTTTTTTTTTTTTTTAATGTATGGGGGAAAAATGACTAGAAGGACAGAAACCAACATATAACATGATTGTGTGCATTTACTTATTTAACAAATAATTGAGCAATTTATTTCTGTATGATACTATTCTAAGCGTTTTAGAGTTAAGCAAACTCACAGTAAACTGTATTGCCCATGATAAAAACTGCAGTTACATAATTTAAAAGCAAGAATCGCAGCAATTCATCAGGCACAGTGACTCACGCCTGTAATCCCAACACTTTGGGAGGCCAAGGCAGGAAGATTCCTTGAGCCCAGGAGGTCAAGGCCAGCCTGGGCAACATAGTGAGAACTCATGTCCACAAAAATTACAAAATAGCCAGGCATGGTGGCAAGCACCTGTGGTCCCAGCTACTCAAGAGGCTGAAGTTGGAGGATCACTTGAGCCCAGGAGGTCAAGGCTGCAGTGAGCGATGATCGTGCCACTGCACTCCAGCCTGGGTGACAGAGCAAGAGACCCTGTCTCAAAATAAATAAAAATAAAAGCAAGAATTGCAGAAAGTATAAACCATGACCAACTCAAGAGAATAATCAATGAAAGAATAGGCAGAATGTCTTTCCAAAAAGCAGTTGAGAGATCCCCATCCTCCACATATGCACTAGTGCAGTGGGGATGTTGCCAGGCATGGCCGCCAGACCTCTAGATAGAACACTGAAGGTGAGTCTGCAGTAAAGCCATGGAATGTGCTAATTTTAGTTTAGGAATACCAAATTTTATTGACCGTTTTTAATTCAATAAGCAACCCTTGGCCATGTATAATCAGTTCATGACCCATCAGAAGATCCTCTGTGGTTCACTCATGGCCTTTGGACTATACTCTGAATCATGGCTTTAGAAGACATTTTTTTAGTATACTTAAATGGATTTTATAACTTGGTTGATGCCCAGATTACAGACTGTGAGGAGTATCTCCACATAACTTGTAACTGCTATATATGCAGTCAGCAATTCCAGTATTTAGCCTGATATTAATTTATATTTTTCCTCATAA
The DNA here is from genome assembly GCF_000001405.40 of Homo sapiens. Classification (NCBI taxonomy): domain Eukaryota; kingdom Metazoa; phylum Chordata; class Mammalia; order Primates; family Hominidae; genus Homo; species Homo sapiens. The sequence goes on along the minus strand of NC_000012.12, from coordinate 6,984,076 downwards.
TCTGATAATACAGTGCTAGCAAGATAGATCACAAAGTGTAAATGAGTGTTTCTGGAGCATAGATGGGTACGCTCAAATCTTTGTATCTTGTTTTTTAATAGAGACGGGGTTTCGCTATGTTGCTCAGGCTGGTGTCGAACTCCTCGGCTCAAGCAATCCCCTTGCCTCAGCCTCCCAGAGTGCTGGGATTATACATGGGAGCCACCATGCCTAGCTTCCTTGTATCATTTTTTAAAATTCAAGTAAGAGAAAATGTCTGGCAATAGTTCATAAGCTATAAATGAAACCTAGTCTTAGGACCCAGCTTTATATTGCCTCAATCAAATATTAATATCTTTAGTTCAAAATTTGTATTTACAAAAAACTTTTGGTTCTTGGGGATACCGTTATTGCCTTCTCTGTTGCCATCCATATAATGTATGTTGTTTTTTTTTTCTCTCTCCCTCTGGGCTGCGTTTCATGCCAGATAAACTTCCAAACCAAACTGGGATGGCACCAGGCACAAATAACACTCTTCTTATCTTTTCCCCCATCTAGGTTACCCCTTTGCTTTGTTTTATCGGCATTACCTTTTCTACAAGGAGACCTACCTCATCCACCTCTTCCATACCTTTACAGGCCTCTCAATTGCTTATTTTAACTTTGGTGAGTAAACTAAATTAGCAGTGACACCGCAATTAGTGGGAACCTGGAAGGAACAGACTTGAACAAAATTTCCTTGAGAGAATCTAATAGGTAGGGAAGTTATAATGCTCCCACTTGCAAAGAGGGTTGTATGAAGAGGAACACAGCTTAACTTTTCCTTTTTTTCTTTTATGTACATTCTTCTGTCAGATAAAAACATTTTGAGGGTGGTTACCCTTGCCATACCTCATCAACAAAGAATCCTCAGTTTCTCTGTGCTGTGGATGTAACTGAATGACCGAGCCAAGCAGTCCCCACTTAGATTCATTCTTCACTTCAGACATTCAAAAATACAGTAACAAGCTGGGTGTGGTAGCCCGGAATTCAAGGCTGCAGTGAGCTATGATTGAGCTACTGCACTCAAGTCTGGACAACAGAGCAAGTCGCATCTCTAAAAAAACAAACAAAAAAAGAAAAGAAATAAAATAACACCCTAATAATCTTTTTTATTTTAATAAATAATTTCCATCCTCTCCTCCAAAACATGAGGTTATTCTGAAAAAAAAGATCCTGATGCCAACATTTTTTCTTTATATATTACGTTGTGATTGGAAGTCTCAGGACGGTGGGAGTGTAAAAACCAGGCTAAATTCTCTCTTCTTGCATCCAGGAAACCAGCTCTACCACTCCCTGCTGTGTATTGTGCTTCAGTTCCTCATCCTTCGACTAATGGGCCGCACCATCACTGCCGTCCTCACTACCTTTTGCTTCCAGATGGTAAACGTCTTTCCCTTAGCAGCTCAGGCTACAGCTGACAGCGGTTCAGGGGACAGGGGTAGGCAGGGGACTGTGGTATAGAAATTAGCAGACCTAATTTCTAACCCCTCTCCCAGCACTTAGCAGTATGACTTCAGGTAGGTGGCTTATCACAGGCCCAAGTGTTCCATCCACAGATTGTAATGGTAACTCTTTGCCTGCCTCAAGGAAGGGCCACCAGCTAACCCTTTGCATACTGTGCCATTAGGCTCTTTGGTTTAACCCACTATCCAGGAGCAGAGTCACTTCAAGGCAAGACAGAAAAGCAACTTAGAATGAGTTAAAGAACCTAAGCCTAGGCCAGGCAAAGTGGCTCACACCTGTAATCCCAGCACCTTGGGAGGCCAAGGCAGTCAGATTGCTTGAGCCCAGGAGTTTGAGACTAACCCGGGCAACATGGTGAAACCCCATCTCTACAAAAAAAATACAAAAATTAGCCCTCCAGCCTGGGCAACATGGTGAAACAAAAAAAATTAAAAATTAGCCGGGTGGGGTGGCATGCACCTGTGGTCCCAGCATCTAAATTCTCATCTCAGTTTAGCCCTCATTTTGCCAAGAAGCCTTGAGCAACGCTCTTCCCATTACAGGTTTTCAGCACCTCCATTTGTAGGAATTTATTAAGGCTTTTAATGATGGGATGAGGAGAAAGGAAAAAGGAAAGAGAACATTGAATTTCAGAGCAAGGAGAAGAAATAGTAGTGATGCTAGAATAAATACTTCTGCCTCTCCTAGGCCTACCTTCTGGCTGGATACTATTACACTGCCACCGGCAACTACGATATCAAGTGGACAATGCCACATTGTGTTCTGACTTTGAAGCTGATTGGTGAGTGATGGTCACTGCCTGCCTTCCTTACATGTAGGTCCCTCCCCCATCTCACTAAAAACTTCCTCGGCACCCCCCCTCCGCCCCCCGCCATACACTTCTGGCTGCACTCAGTCTACAGGCCACATCCTCAGTGTCCTCTCCCACCACCCTACCCATCCGTTCTCTCTCTGCTCAGGTTTGGCTGTTGACTACTTTGACGGAGGGAAAGATCAGGTAAGTACCCATTCATCGGCAGAGAGGTTCAAGACTTAATGAAAGGGAAGAAAAAAGTTGTTAACAAAAGACTGAACCCAAATTCCAGAGCGGAGCCTCTCCCTCATTCCCCAGCCTGTGCAATCTCCCTTTCAGATAGCACTGAGCAAGGATCAACAAATCTAATTTGCCCAGGATCCAGCTCTTGCACAAAGTCCAGAGATCAATGCCAGCAAGGCATTTGCTAAAGCAGCAACAGCCAGCTATGCACACACATACGCATTTCCACAAGAAGCAACTATTTGTCATCCCCCAAAGAGAAGGCTATTTGAAGAACCCCAGTCAGTGGGGCACACAGGTGGGGAACACTCAAAGTGGCTCTTGTGGGGAGATTCAAGGCTATCCTGAACCATGCATTCTCTTCTTGGCATAGAATTCCTTGTCCTCTGAGCAACAGAAATATGCCATACGTGGTGTTCCTTCCCTGCTGGAAGTTGCTGGTTTCTCCTACTTCTATGGGGCCTTCTTGGTAGGGCCCCAGTTCTCAATGAATCACTACATGAAGCTGGTGCAGGGAGAGCTGATTGACATACCAGGAAAGATACCAAACAGGTAATTGCCCCTCTTGGTCCAGATGTTTGTGTAGGTATTTCACTCACTCTGAAGTGACTCTTCTGAAAGCTGCATTCTCCAGCATGACCCTGGCATAGAGACCTGAGTCATGCAGGCCCTGGACTGTTGTAACAGGCACTCTGTGCCAGGAGTGGGCCCTTTTTAGTTTAGGGTTCTTCCAGTTATCCATTCTAACACTAGTACAAACATAAAAATCCACATTTATGCCACAGGATTTTGCCTGAACCAGTCACATTTCTGCCTTTAAAGCCTATTTTCATGTATATATGAAATATATTTATGATTGATAGGTAGGTAGGCAGGTTGATAGGTAGGTAGGTAGATAGAGGCTGGGCACAGTGGTTTCACCTCTATAATCCCAGCACTTTGGGAGGCCGAGGTGGGAGGATCACTTGAGCCCGTGAGTTCTAGACCAGCCTGGCAACATAGAGAGACTCTGTCTCTACAAAAAAATACAAAAATTATCAGACATAGTGGCATGCATCTGTAGTCCAAGCTACATAGGAGGCTGAAGTGGGAGAATTGCTTGAGTCCAGGGGAGGTGGGTCAAGGCTGCAGTGAGCTTTGATCACACCACTGCACTCCATTCTGGGCAACATAGCAAAATCCTGTCTCAAAAATATTTATCAGTAGGAAATGCAGGAGGGCACAGTGGCTCATGCCTGTAATGCCAACGCTCTGGGAGGCCAAGGCAGGAGGATCACTGGAGGCCAGGAGTTCAAGACCAGCCTGGGCAACATAGTGAGACCCCATCTCTACAAAAAAAAATTATCCAGGCAAGGTGGTACATGCCTATAGTCCCAGCTACTCAGGTGGCCAAGGCAAGGGGATCGCTTGAGCCCAGGAGTTCAAGGCCACAGCGAGCAATGACTATGCCTCTGTACTCTAGCCGGAGTGGCAGAGCAAGGCCCTGACTCTAGAAAATAAAAATTAAAATGGTAAAAAAAAAAAAAAAAAAAAAGTTTAATTGCCAGAAGAATTCCTTCACTGAGAACTTGTCCATCCTGTGTTTCAGCATCAATTCAACCAAGAAATGAAGGAGCAGATTCAAAGTGGTTATTTTTATTATCTTACCTCCACTGGGTTTTCAGTCCCAATGGAGATTGTGAGACCTGGCAAGACCTTGAGATCAGTAGCATCCCTGAGGGGTAAACACAAGACTGGTCCACTGTCTGCTGCCCTGACTTTCCTACAACTCTTAAGAGGTTTGCAGTCCCCATTCCTCATAGCCAGCCATAGAAATCTTTCCCTGAAACAGGAAACACTTTGGGCAGCAGAGCTTCTCATCCCATTCCAGGTAGACAACCACACCCCTAAACACTCCTCTCCATAACTGAAGGTCAGAGGGTGAAGGGAATAGTCTCTGCTCTCTGTGACCAGGAACTTCACTCGTTCCTTTCCAGCATCATTCCTGCTCTCAAGCGCCTGAGTCTGGGCCTTTTCTACCTAGTGGGCTACACACTGCTCAGCCCCCACATCACAGAAGACTATCTCCTCACTGAAGACTATGACGTGAGTGTCTACTAAAGCAGCAGCAGCATGACTGCACCAGAGCTAGAAAATGGACAGGCAAGGATCCCTACAGATAGCAGAGAAGTAGGAAATATCATCTACAAGTGCATGTTGGTTTTGCTCTAGATCTGTGAGTTGTCAATGCCAGCCGTGCTGGGACATGTTCATCAGCCAGCACTGAACAACCTTCGCGGGCACAGGGCTGTGCCAGGTGCACATTTAGCACCCGTTGCCTTCTCTAGGAGCCGCTCCTAGCTTGCCTTATCACATCCACGTGACCCCTCAGAGCACAGCAGCTTCTGATTCTCCATCCTATTTTCTTCTCTTGACTGATACATTTGGGCACTTCTAGGGAATTCAGAAACCAAGGGAAGGGGGGAAGTGCTGGCTTTTGCTCCTGCCCAGCTGAAAGGCTTGAAAACAGTTCAGTAATTCTGGGCAGGTTTCTCTCCTTAAATTAAAATCCAATATGGGCCCCTCTGTACTTAACATTCCAAATGCTCATTCCAAACACTTTGCCAACGAAGGCAAACAGTAGAGAAGTTAAATACAGTGCTGCCCTTGAGGCTCTCCAAGGGAAAGGCGAATGAATATTCTCCAGGCCCTCTGCTTATTCCTCTCTGCCTATTGTGAAGGCAATCAGGCCAGACTATTGAGGGCATCTGGCAGCAGGACTCAGGCAGGTATGAAGTAGCCAGCCACAAGTGTGAAAAGGAAGAGTGCTGAGAGAAACTGCCTAGTCATGTGATATCCCTAATGCACTGTGCTTTCTTCCCTCAAGAACCACCCCTTCTGGTTCCGCTGCATGTACATGCTGATCTGGGGCAAGTTTGTGCTGTACAAATATGTCACCTGTTGGCTGGTCACAGTAAGTAGAAAAGTTGAAACAAGGTCCTATTTAGACAAGCCATGGGGGCCAGTATGGGGAGTGGCAAGAGCCCTAACTGAGCTATTCCCTCTCAGGAAGGAGTATGCATTTTGACGGGCCTGGGCTTCAATGGCTTTGAAGAAAAGGGCAAGGCAAAGTGGGATGCCTGTGCCAACATGAAGGTGTGGCTCTTTGAAACAAACCCCCGCTTCACTGGCACCATTGCCTCATTCAACATCAACACCAACGCCTGGGTGGCCCGGTGAGCTGCTGGTGGGGAGCCTGGACCCTGGTTCCTTCCTTCCACTGTCTTCCCAGATTGGAGGGCAGGGGTGTACCATGTCACCCCTATGCGTCTTTCCCATCTGGGCAGAACCCCCTGTCGCTCACACTGACTTTGACCCCCACCTATACCCCCCTCCCAAAAAAACCATTACTGTCATATTTGAAAAAAAGGCAAGATATAAAAGTGCGTTAAGACCTGGGTGTTACTCCAGCTCTGCCAATGGACTTATGTCCTCCACTGCCCTGTTTATCAACAGCTTTACTTGTTTGTCCCCACCACTAGAGTGTGGGCAGCTTGAGTAGAGTGTCTGGTTCACCACTGATCTCAGCATCAGCCTCAGTCACTGCTGCTGAACCAAGTGGCTCGTGCGCACACGGTCTCCAGCTCCGCCTTGGGTCTGCTTTCCATCTCTAAAAGTAATCAGTCAGCACTGCCTCCTGTACCCTCTGGGGGCTACACGTGGGAACCCACCAGCACTCCAATCCAATCCTCAGGGTGAGGACCCAGAGGCAGGTGGCGGGATGCAAGGACCAGTCAGTTTGAGGGTCGCCCCACCCACCCTTTTCTCCAGCTACATCTTCAAACGACTCAAGTTCCTTGGAAATAAAGAACTCTCTCAGGGTCTCTCGTTGCTATTCCTGGCCCTCTGGCACGGCCTGCACTCAGGATACCTGGTCTGCTTCCAGATGGAATTCCTCATTGTTATTGTGGAAAGACAGGTAGGCCTCCAGGGTGGGGGTGAAGGGGAATATAAGGGACAAGATGCTGATGAGCTCCTCCTCCCTCCCCAGGCTGCCAGGCTCATTCAAGAGAGCCCCACCCTGAGCAAGCTGGCCGCCATTACTGTCCTCCAGCCCTTCTACTATTTGGTGCAACAGACCATCCACTGGCTCTTCATGGGTTACTCCATGACTGCCTTCTGCCTCTTCACGTGGGACAAATGGCTTAAGGCAAGTGAAGGCCTGCTTGTGAGACTGGGAGGGACTCACTGCAACCTCAAAGGTTGCAAAGGACACTCCAGGCCTGTCTACCTTAGTGGCCTCTCTCTCCACAGGTGTATAAATCCATCTATTTCCTTGGCCACATCTTCTTCCTGAGCCTACTATTCATATTGCCTTATATTCACAAAGCAATGGTGCCAAGGAAAGAGAAGTTAAAGAAGATGGAATAATCCATTTCCCTGGTAAGTTAATACAGCTAAACTAAAACTACCACCAGGTTACAGAATAGAGCAACAGACTGGAAAAAAACAATAGTATTAGAAATCTGGGGTGAATTCCAAGGATTAGCCTGGCTACTAAGGAACACAGTATGGGCAATGACTACTGTGACTTATTGAGGCATGCTAGGAAACATCTGGAAGGGCTATAGACCAGGAATTACAGGAGTAACTAACCAGCCTTCCAAACTCCTCTTGTCTTGCAGGTGGCCTGTGCGGGACTGGTGCAGAAACTACTCGTCTCCCTTTTCACAGCACTCCTTTGCCCCAGAGCAGAGAATGGAAAAGCCAGGGAGGTGGAAGATCGATGCTTCCAGCTGTGCCTCTGCTGCCAGCCAAGTCTTCATTTGGGGCCAAAGGGGAAACTTTTTTTTGGAGAAGGCGTCTTGCTTTGTCACCCACGCTGGAATGCAGTGGCGGGATCTCAGCTCACCGCAACCTCCACCTCCTGGGTTCAAGTGATTTTCCTGCCTCAGCCTCCCAAGTAGCTGGGAATACAGGCACGCCACCATGCCCAGCTAATTTTTGTATTTTCAGTAGAAACGGGATTTCACCACGTTGGCCAGGCTGGTCTCGAACTCCTGACCGCAAGTGATCCACCCGCCTCCGCCTCCCAAAGTGCTGGGATTACAGGCGTGAGCCACCGTGCCCGGCCCAAAGGGGAAACTCTTGTGGGAGGAGCAGAGGGGCTCACATCTCCCCTCTGATTCCCCCATGCACATTGCCTTATCTCTCCCCATCTAGCCAGGAATCTATTGTGTTTTTCTTCTGCCAATTTACTATGATTGTGTATGTGCCGCTACCACCACCCCCCCCATGGGGGGGTGGAGAGGGGTGCAAGGCCCTGCCTGCTCCACTTTTTCTACCTTGGAACTGTATTAGATAAAATCACTTCTGTTTGTTCAGTTTTTCACCACTAGCATTCCTGACTGCTCTCTTTCACAGTTCTTCTCCATCATCAGGGTTCTCTCCTTTAGCACATGGGAATCTGGGAGCTAAAGCCTGCCTTCAAAGCATGGAACCAAACTGCAAACTCTGTAACCTCCTATCTGTCCCTGAAGTCCCGGGGAACAAACAGTTTTACACCACTGGATACTTTAGGAACCCCAAAACAACCAGGTTTGCAAGAACAGTATTCATAGGATAAACAAATAGCAAATGTACAGCCTTGGCTTCCCCAAACTCCACAGTCTCAGTGCAGAAAGATCATCTTCCAGCAGTCAGCTCAGACCAGGGTCAAAGGATGTGACATCAACAGTTTCTGGTTTCAGAACAGGTTCTACTACTGTCAAATGACCCCCCATACTTCCTCAAAGGCTGTGGTAAGTTTTGCACAGGTGAGGGCAGCAGAAAGGGGGTAGTTACTGATGGACACCATCTTCTCTGTATACTCCACACTGACCTAAGAAAAGAACAGTTTTGTCAGCCAACTCTGTCACTCAGTAGCTGTTTCAGCCCTTCTTTAGGGCAGGAAAACTATGGCTGAGCTAGTATTTCAGCTGTGCTGTTGAATATCAAATCCCTACAAAGGATGAAGAAGGTCCTAACTGTGACTTCCAATTATGGCAGCAGCCCTCAAAGGATGTGCCCTGGGGCAGGGTGTGGAACTGTCATGTGTCTTCTAGCTCATTGTAAGCATTGTTAAAATGCCTACTGCTCTGGGAATTCTATACTAAGTTCAGCTCTACCAAGAATTTCAGGGTTGAGCCCAGACCTTACCTTGCCATGGGCAAAGGCCCCTACCACAAAAACAATAGGATCACTGCTGGGCACCAGCTCACGCACATCACTGACAACCGGGATGGAAAAAGAAGTGCCAACTTTCATACATCCAACTGGAAAGTGATCTGATACTGGATTCTTAATTACCTAAAGTAAAAAAGAGAGAAAAGTCAGCCCCAGAAACATTCCCAGAACCAGCCTTCAACTAACAGGTTTCAATACCTCACCTTCAAAAGCTTCTGGGGGCCATCAGCTGCTCGAACACTGAGCTTGTGTAAAAGTTGAACTAGAAGGGGGAAAAAAGAGTTCAGAGCTAGATGGAGACCACAGTCCTTCTGTCCAGTCATCGAACAAGGAAAACCCCATGGATAAGATGAGTTCCCTGTGTGCTTTATATCTAGACTGGACTCCTGAAATGTTAGGAACAAACAGTTGCCAAGCATATGGCTAGCTGTACAGTGATGGGTTCAGACTCCCTCTTTCACTCAGCCAGGAAGCTACTGCAAGAACAGGAGTGGAGTTTCCACAAACATAGAAAAATAATAACAGTCCTTGTCCTGGTATTAATCATGTTGTTCTCCCATTTTCTCGCTTAAAAATCCACATTTAGTTCTCCCTTTTCCTCTTCCTCCCTTCTTCCCTACTGACAAGTTCATTCTAACTTTGTTCTAAGGCTTCTTACCCATGAGGCCACAAAAGCGGTCAAAGGTTCTGGGAATTCGGGTCTGGGGATTCACTTCAATCAGAACATTCTTCTGTGTATGGATATAAACCTGTAGCAAGCCAGCTCGGTTCAGGGGACTATCCATCAGCATCAGCAAACTCTGAGCAAAGCAGAAACCGAGACATGGTTAAGGCTGAAGAGAGGCAGCACTCAGCTGCCAACCCTTCCATACAGAGGCTCAAAGGGTTGTGAGCACTGTCCCTGGAGTTACCTGGTGGGTGATATCTGGCCGCGCTTCCCCAGGGTCCCGTCCATTCTTCAACAATATAGACTTGTGCTTGTCACAGTTGAGTAGCTCATATGTCTTCCCTACCTGAAGAACAGGGAACATGACGAGAGAACAGCATAAGCTTCTGTTACCTAGCCCCGTGGTTCTTCAAGTGTGGTCCCCAAACTACCAGCAGCAGCTGCACCTGGAAACTTGTTAGGCAAATTCTCAGGCCCACCCTAGACCTACTAAACCAGGAACACTGGGGGTGGAGCCCAGCAAGCCCTTCGGGGGATTACTGTGCAGCCTTATTTGCACTCCCCAGTGAATGGTCTGAGAGGGAAACAGGAGGAAGGGCACAACCTGTGACTTCACATTATCTACTAATACACTGGATTTAATTAAAAAACCTGTGGCTGTTAGGCAAGGCCAATGAGACATCCTGGAACTAGGCAGGAGTTAGTAGTTAGCAAGGCTGAATGCTGTGTTTATTACAGGAGCAGTAAGTAGGTACTGTGCAAAATATCGAGTCACCACCCTCAGTTTGCGTACACCAAACATGCACTAAGTGAAGAGCTGCAAATCTGAACAAGAAATGTGAAGGCCGGGCGTGGTGGCTCACGCCTGTAATCCCAGCACTTTGGGAGGCCGAGGCGGGCAGATCACAAGGTCAGGAGATTGAGACCATCGTGGCTAACACGGTGAAACCCCATCTCTACTAAAAATATAAAAAATTAGCCGGGCATGGTGGCAGGCGCCTGTAGTCCCAGCTACTTGGGAGGCAGAGGCAGGAGAATGGCATGAACCCAGGAGGCGGAGCTTGCAGCGCCACTGCACTCCAGCCCGGGCAACAGAGCGAGACTCCATCTCAAAAAAAAGAAATGTGAAAACTAATGATGCAGGAGGCAGTTTAATCAAAGAAAACTCTCAGAAGTAAAAGGAAGAGGGGTTATTCCCAGTTTTAAGACGGGCATGGGGGCAGATGCAGTGGCTCACGGCTGTAATCCCAGCACTCTGGGAGGCCAAGGCAGGCAAATCACTTAAGGTCAGGAGTTCAAGACCAGCCTGGGCAACATGGCGAAACCCCATCTCTACTAAAAATACAAAAATTAGCTGGGCATGGTGGCACATGCCTGTAGTCCTAGCTACTTGGGAGGCTAAGGTGGGAGGATGGCTTGAGCCCAGGAGACAGAGATTGCAGTGAGCCAAGACTGTACCACTGCACTCCAGCAAGACCCTGTCTCAAAAAAAAGAAAAAAGAAAGACTGGCATGAGCAAAGGTACAGATGGAATCAAGACAAAGTAGCCAGGTGTGGTGGCTTATGCCTGTGATCCCAACACTTTAGGAGGCCGAGGTGGAAGGATCACTTGAGCCCAGGAATTTGAGACCGGCCTGGGCAACACGGTGGGACCCTGTCTCACAAAAAAAAAAAAAAAAATTAGCCAGGCGCAGTGCCATTTGCTGGCAGTCCCAGTTACTCAGGAGGATGAGGTGGGAGGACTGCTTGAGCCAGGGAAGTAGAGGCTGCAGTGAACCATCACACCACTGCACTCTGTTGCCCAGGCAACAGAGCAAGACCCTATCTCAAAAAAGAAACAAAAAAGAAAAAGTGGAAACGAAGAAAGGAAATTTTGAGGAAAATTGGGAGCTGAGACACTAAAGGGCAGTGATTATATATGAAGCTGCTTTGTAAACCACAGAATCCTAATGTATCAAGCACAAAGCCAAAAATAATTCTGGAGTAAGCAGGGCAGGATGGGAATGACTGACAGACACTATCCTAACAACTCTCTGTACACTGGAAAAGACATCAGAAGTTTGATGTTAAAGAAGTGGACTACATCTGTAGCAGCTAAAAGAAATAATTCCAAGTTGCAATTTGGAGTCCCAAGGAGCATTAGGGTGGTCAGTAAAAAGTCTAAAAACAAACTGTTATATACAAATACAAGTTTTGGAAGGTTAAGTTTTTATGTATCACTGGAATGTATATGTCTAGCAACATTCTTGAGATATATGGCTCCAAAAAGTCTGCGAAAAAAGGGATGTAGATTTTGAAATTGAATAGTTGAAGTAATGTCACAGAGAGCACAAAGAACAAATGACCAAGAACTAAGTCCATGAGACACCCTTAGTTATAGAAGAAAAAAACCTTCTTGAATGAATAATACAGTTTCAACCCATTAGTAGGATATAATCATGTTTTCTATTCTTTTAATAGATTACAGGCGCAGGCCTGTAATCCCAGCTACTCTGGAGGCTGAGGCAGGAGAATCGATTGAACCCGGGAGGCGGAGGCTGCAGTGAGCCAAGATCGTGCCACTGCACTCCAGCCTGGTAGAGACTGAGACTCCATCTCAAAAAAAAAAAAAAAAAAAAGTGTATTTAGAACGAAGATTAAAATCCTGGCCTGACTTCTAAACCAATGCGATTTCTTCTGGGCCTATTCAATTAGTTCTAACGGGTAAGAGAAAGGAGGAGGAAGAACACTGCCCAAGGCTTTAAGATAGAGAACTGCTGGTTCTATTACATGTGGGGAAAGAGATGAATGATAGATAAAAATGCAGATGTAAAAGTTTTAAATAATAACCAGGTCTGGACAGTGTATCATAGGTGGATATTAGAGAGAGGTGACTATGGATACTAATGAATTGAAACACGAAGCCCTTACAAAAAGTGTGGGCAGACTAGGCTACATAACTACGTTTCTCATCTGCCCAGTAACTTGTCTTGGGATGTGGAATGACGCAAGGAACGAAACTTTCCTCTGCTTAGACTACTATACCACAGAATCCTGGTAAACCAATTGGAAGCAAGGAGGTGAGGGCTAGAATATCATTCAAAAAGAGCAAAAGAAAATGAGTACTACCGGCCGGGCACAGTGGCTCACGCCTCTAATCCCAACACTTTGGGAGGCCGAGGCGGGCGGATCACTTGAGGTCAGGAGTTCGAGACCAGCGTGGCCAACATGGTGAAACCCCATCTGAACTAAAAATACAAAAAAATTAGCCGGGCGTGGTGGCACCTGCCTGTAGTCCCAGCTACTCCAGAGGCTGAGTCAGGAGAACTGTTTGAAGGCGGGAGGCAGAAGTTGCAGTGAGCCGAGGTCGCGCAACTGCACTCCAGCCTGGGCGACAGAGCGAGACTCCGTCTCAAAAAAAAAAAAAAAAAGAAAGAAAAATGAGTACTACCATCCCAGGATGTCAAATCAACGCAAAGCCAACCAAGCCACCTTCCTTCAAAAGCATCTTTCACCCCTCTCTGCTTTCTACATCCACTCTGGGCCCCTTACCCTCATTCCACGGAGTCCCAACCTATCGATTTACTACTTCTCCACTTCCTGTCCCAAACTACCTTGACTGTCTCCAGACTGGCCCCTTCCAGCACCACAATAAGCCTACGGCCTCCGATCTTGTTTCCTGCCCCTAGTCGGGGCCGCTTGGGTGGCAGAGCATCCCAGTCCTGTGCCTGCTCCCCACCGCTTCGTTCACGAGGCTTGAATCCATCACTGGGCGCGGCCATCTTGCAACAATACCGGAAGTTGCGCTAACGCTCTTAAATAAGAACAGCGCGGCTTCTAATCACAAATTTCCTTCCGGCTGCCATTTTGAAAGTGGGCCAGGAAATGGAGATGACTTGCTGTCTTGCGCTGCCCTCCCTGGGAGGGCAGCCTTCCAGAAAGGGGCGGGACTTCCGTATGCGCGATTCCTGTGCGCGAAGTTCGGGTCCGTAGTGGGCTAAGGGGGAGGGTTTCAAAGGGAGCGCACTTCCGCTGCCCTTTCTTTCGCCAGCCTTACGGGCCCGAACCCTCGTGTGAAGGGTGCAGTACCTAAGCCGGAGCGGGGTAGAGGCGGGCCGGCACCCCCTTCTGACCTCCAGTGCCGCCGGCCTCAAGATCAGACATGGCCCAGAACTTGAAGGACTTGGCGGGACGGCTGCCCGCCGGGCCCCGGGGCATGGGCACGGCCCTGAAGCTGTTGCTGGGGGCCGGCGCCGTGGCCTACGGTGTGCGCGAATCTGTGTTCACCGGTGAGCAACCTCCGCCTGCTCGCCGGACGCTTCCAGTCCCTCCCCCAAACCCCTTGCCCTGTCCCCGCGCCCCTCCACGGGCCTAGCATTTCCTCTGAGCAGCGGCCTGGCCTGATCACCACCCATCTCCCCACAGTGGAAGGCGGGCACAGAGCCATCTTCTTCAATCGGATCGGTGGAGTGCAGCAGGACACTATCCTGGCCGAGGGCCTTCACTTCAGGTAATGGCGGGCAGAGCCTGCTGACCCTGACCTTTCACCCTTGACGCCGACCCAGCAGTGGCTATAGTCGGACGTGCAACAGGATTCAACGCTGCTCTTTTCCCACCCTCCTCATCCCTGCCCCTAGGATAGTGGGTGCTGCGAGAACCTCCAGCAGCATACAAACTGTTGTTTTCCAGAGGGACAAGAGAATCTCTCCTTGTCTGTGGTCGTGGAGAGGAGCAGGCCAAAAAACGCGTGGTGAGGGGAAACCGGGCAAGGCTAGTGAAACTGCGGCCTTTTCTTTTTTTTTTTTTGGAGAGGGAGTCTTGCTCTGTCGCCCAGGCTGGAGTGCAGTGGCGCGATCTCGGCTCACTGCAACCTCCGCCTCCTGATTTCAAGCGATTCTCCTGCCTCAGCCTCACGAGTAGCTGGGATTACAGGCGCCCGCCACCACGCCCGGCTAATTTTTGTATTTTAGTAGAGACGGGGTTTCACTATGTAGATCAAGCTGGTCTCGAACTCCTGACCTCAAATGATCCGCCCGCCTCGGCCTCCCAAAGTGCTGGGATTACAGGCGTGAGCCACCGCGCCCGGCCGAAACTGTGGCCTCTTAATACCTATCCCTGTCCTCTCCAGGATCCCTTGGTTCCAGTACCCCATTATCTATGACATTCGGGCCAGACCTCGAAAAATCTCCTCCCCTACAGGCTCCAAAGGTAGGTCTGAGCACTTGGTAATCACATGGCAGGTGGGATGATCAAGGTAGCTGGCAAGAAACCCCAGGGGAATATGGTAGTGTCAGGCCTTTAGGCCTCTTTCCACATCTGCAAGAGCTGTAACAAAAATACCTGCCTCCTGGGGTCAAAGCAGCAAATTCTGAACACACTGTGTTTGCGTGCTTTTTACTGTCTCCTCCCTGACGTGTATTCAATAAGAGTATTGTTTGTCCCTCGTCTTGTTCACTGCCTAGATCAAAGCTTTGTTTTAAAGCCTTTTTTTTCTAACTGCTTGACTTACTATATCTACAGTTACATCCACTAGTACACTCTGTTCTGGAGAAGTTTGTCCCTAAGCTTGACTAGTTCACCTGTTCTCTCCTTCTAGACCATACATAAAAGCCGTGCCTTTGAGTTCCCCAGACCTCTTCCTCCTCCCCACCCACGCACACATATACACCCTGGGTCAGGTAGCTCACCTGTAACCTGTAATGTACTTCTTTGTGCTATACCTAGTGCAGGTCGCTTATTCATTTACTAGACTGGGCCCTGGGAATAAAAGATTCATTAAACACAATTCTTGTCCCCCAAGTCCTTACAGGAGACATGATTACGGTACAGCACGAAAGCGCCCACGTTAGAGGTTGCACAGAGTACAGAGGGGGAAAGAGTAGTCAGCTCTGCTGGTGACGGGGTTTGCAGTTCAAGGCTTCACAGTGGGTGAGGGTGCATTTCAGCTGTGCTGCGTCTTGTCTTCCTTGTCAGCCTGATTAACTCTCCTCCCCCCAGGGTAGTGCCAGGCTGTACACCATTGCACAGGGCATACAGGGAGGAACATGAAGGAGAAAATGCTTGGGAAAGGGTGTTTGGCCTTGACCAGCCACTGCTGACCTCAATCTCAGACCTACAGATGGTGAATATCTCCCTGCGAGTGTTGTCTCGACCCAATGCTCAGGAGCTTCCTAGCATGTACCAGCGCCTAGGGCTGGACTACGAGGAACGAGTGTTGCCGTCCATTGTCAACGAGGTGCTCAAGAGTGTGGTGGCCAAGTTCAATGCCTCACAGCTGATCACCCAGCGGGCCCAGGTCTGACTCCCACCACCATCTGCGTGGTGTCAGCCTTTCCTTCCTAGGCCCAGAGTATTGGGAATTAGGAAAGGCAGCTTATTAGAAAAGCATTGTCACCCTAGTGCCATTTCCACCTAAAAGCTGTGCTAATTGCCACTGTGAAATAAGGAGAGCCAGCATTAGAACTCGATAGCACTCGGTGTTAGGAAGCACAGAGGAAAATGGCCAAGTCTTGGCTTTTCCTGCACCTCTTCGAGCAGAGAGGCTTATGTTACAGGTTTGCCTGACAGGAAGCTAAGGCAGTGCATGTTGTATTGAGAGTGAAGGGTTAGGGGTCGCAACCTTCCTTTCAGCTCCCCAGTCCCCTCAAACCACCCCTCCCTTCCCCTCTTCACCCCTGCCCTCAGGTATCCCTGTTGATCCGCCGGGAGCTGACAGAGAGGGCCAAGGACTTCAGCCTCATCCTGGATGATGTGGCCATCACAGAGCTGAGCTTTAGCCGAGAGTACACAGCTGCTGTAGAAGCCAAACAAGTGGGTGAGTCGCAAGAGCCGTGGGGTGAGGGCTTCTGAGATGCAGGAGGAGGAAAGACTCCATGGGTGGGGCTCCTGACCCAGGACAGGGTCTCCCTGACTCTCTCCCACCACAGCCCAGCAGGAGGCCCAGCGGGCCCAATTCTTGGTAGAAAAAGCAAAGCAGGAACAGCGGCAGAAAATTGTGCAGGCCGAGGGTGAGGCCGAGGCTGCCAAGATGATATCCTTCTGCTGGAGAGATCTCAGCCCAGCCCCTAGGGCACCTGAGTTCCCCATTCTCCTTCATGGGCAGGCTGATGAGACTAAGGCGAATGCGACTCCGTGCTCTCTGGCCCTTGGCTCCTTGTTGGGGGTGGGGACTACAGATGAGATCTGAAATCTTAGTGGTAGTACCTGAGCCATGACTCCCCACTGTAAGGCCAGATCAATAGCATTGGTGGCCTTGCCTTCATTTCTGGTGCTGCCCCTAGTTCCTGGCAGCAGCCTGCAGGGAGGCCCACAGGTGGGGTCCACGGTAGGGCTGGGCACAAGCCACCTGAGCGCAACCTTGGATCTGACAGCCCAGAGGAGGACTGGAGCAAGGGAGTGTGGTAAGGACAGGGCCAGGGATTGAGACCTGCCCTTGCGTGTACCTTAACCCTCCTCACCTTGGAGAAGCACTGAGCAAGAACCCTGGCTACATCAAACTTCGCAAGATTCGAGCAGCCCAGAATATCTCCAAGACGGTGAGTGTGTCAGCCCAGCGTCTCTGATGGGGCTGCCTTGAGAAAGTGCTTTCAGTTAAGGCACATTGAGGTGAGGGAATTCGAACCTTGCTTGTTCCGGTTTCTACTCAGATTGGCTTCTCTGGCCGGCGCGGTGGCTCACGCATGTAATCCCCGCACTTTGGGAGGCCAAGGTGGGTGGATCACCTGAGGTCAGGAGTTCGAGACCAGCCTGGCCAACATGGTGAAACCCCATCTCTACTAAAAATACAAAAGATAATGAGCCCGCTGTGGTGGCGTTTAGCTATATTCCCAGCTACGCAGGAGGCTGAGGCAGGAGAATCACTTGAACCCAGGAGGCGGAAGTTGCAGTGAGCTGAGATCATGCCACTGCACTCCAGCCTGAGCAACAGAGCAAGACTCCGTCTCAAAAATAAATAAATAAAAAATTGGCTTCTCCGATACTCCTCCTGTCAAGAATGATTCCTCTGGGTTCCCTGACCTTTTGTTCTAATCATAGCTGCTGCTCAGCGCTCTGGATCCCTAAGTGCGAGCAGAAACCATGTGTTACTCATTGCTGCACCCCTGCCCTAATCTGCATGTGTTCCATGTTAAGTAGCTGCTGAATTGCAGGGGTCGGAATTGAGGTCTTTGCTTAATGCAAGCATCTGTCTTATTTCCTGCCCTGTAGATCGCCACATCACAGAATCGTATCTATCTCACAGCTGACAACCTTGTGCTGAACCTACAGGATGAAAGTTTCACCAGGTGAGAGATGTGGCCACACTGTGGGGTATCACCAAGAACGTGGGACCTGAGTCTGGTTGTTTGGGCTCTGGAGCCTGCTACAGCTATTCATATGGCTCAGAGACATTGAACCAAAATTAGAAAAGGGGGTGGTTGACAGTTTCTATCTTGCATCTCATAGGATTGATTTTATGAGATCAAATAGGATTATTCACATAAAAAGCACTTTAATTATAAAGTTTTCATCTAACCAAAAAGTGATGAAAGATGATACTCAGTTTTCTTACTCAAGAGCCCTCAAACTCCTCTGGTGAATGGAGGGATGTTAGGAAAGGAGATGAGAAATAGCAGTGGCCATGAGAACATGCCTCCTCCTTTCATGAGCCTGAGATTCCTGGCTGTCAACCCTGTTTATCTTTTCTCTTGGGAGCAAAGGAGGGTTCAAAGCTGAGTGGGGCCTGAAGCTGTCAATTAACATGTGCATTTCTCTTCTCTGTTTCTTGTTCATCTGGCGATCTGGCACCACAGGGGAAGGTAAGCTGTTGTTGCTTCTGTGGGGTCCTGCAGGCCACCTTCTCCAGTACCCGCCTCCTACCCTACCCCCTTTCCCACCTCCCCGAAGACAAACCCTCAATCAGGGTAGGAGGGTCGTAGAGGGAATGGCCTAGAGTGTCCTGCCTCTCACATTTATGTCCCCTAATAATGTCATTATCTATCTTTTTTTTCCTACAGTGACAGCCTCATCAAGGGTAAGAAATGAGCCTAGTCACCAAGAACTCCACCCCCAGAGGAAGTGGATCTGCTTCTCCAGTTTTTGAGGAGCCAGCCAGGGGTCCAGCACAGCCCTACCCCGCCCCAGTATCATGCGATGGTCCCCCACACCGGTTCCCTGAACCCCTCTTGGATTAAGGAAGACTGAAGACTAGCCCCTTTTCTGGGGAATTACTTTCCTCCTCCCTGTGTTAACTGGGGCTGTTGGGGACAGTGCGTGATTTCTCAGTGATTTCCTACAGTGTTGTTCCCTCCCTCAAGGCTGGGAGGAGATAAACACCAACCCAGGAATTCTCAATAAATTTTTATTACTTAACCTGAAGTCAAGGCTTCACGTGTTCATGAACTGGGTAACTGGCAGCAAGCATGCGCACGTTCACATGTGCGCTCCTGGGTCTGTCTTTGTGTGTGCCAGCAGGGGGCGCAAAAGAATCTGGCTGGGGCGGCTAAGGGGAAGCAAGGCCTGGGCTCCGAAACAGGACCCAAGCTGGGAAGGCTGGCCCTGAGTTCTCGAGGCCCAGCTGTGCTCTTCACACACCCTCCATTTCTCCCACATCACCCATTTTTTTAAGGCTGGACAGCCATGGCTTTGCTGAGCCAGATTAAAAATCTGATGACCCCAACAGGAGCTGCTTCCTTGGCAGCAGGGTTCCTTGTGGCTGTGGGGAGCCTGCCTGTGCCTGTTGAGGCACTTCTGTGCCCAGAAGCCCAGTGGATCGCGTGGCCTGCTGTAGGCCCCCCAGACTCCATTTCTCAGTCACCAGGCGTGAGGAGCTGCTAGCTAACAGGCCTCCCCTGGGGAGGTGGGCTTTTCATGCCCGCAGTTCCGGGGCCAACAGAACAGGTGCCTGTCTGTTCAGTCCACAGATAAGCTGACACTTATCTTCCCAAGACAGGCCTTCCCGAATCTCAGGCACCAGAGAAACAGAGCCACCGTTTATACCTGAATCTCCCACTACTGCCCATTTCCCATCCCTGCGGGGAGACAAGGAAGATGTGGAACTCAGACAAAACATAGGTGCAAAGTATGTCCAGGAACTGCCAAATGCAGATAGGGCAGCAGGTGGATCTGAACAGAGGGACTGGGTTAATCTGCTTCGATTTTTAAGATATTTTTCTCTGCTTGGGGTTGAGTATCATGAAAGACAAAGCAGACGTCGCAGCCCCAATCCTGAGTTGCTGGGAGGCTAAGATGAGATAAACAACTAGACAAAAGACAGGTCAAGTGACTTGGATCAGTCTTCCTCATGTTCCCCTTCACACTTTATTTATTTCATGCTCCCAAGGCGGGAAGACAATGGAGGTGCCTAGGGAACCAGTGTTTCCACATCTTGCTGCAGCTGTAAAGGCAGCCATTTTGTCTCCTTCCCATTGTTCCCCTTTGCCTAGTGATTCGTCCCCCATCCAGAGGGGTGAAGGTCAGAGGTTGTTGGTCAGTAGTCCTCCATGGTCTTCAGGGCTCCCTGAAGGTTACTGCCGAGAGAACCCACCCGGGAGCCATCTTTACCAGACAGTGTTAGGAGCTTCACAATTAGACCATCCAACACTGTACTGGAAGATGGACCCAGGGCCGGCCGACAGAGAACTACGGTGCGCGCTCACCAGTTGCTACAGGGGACCCTGGCCACAGGCCAGGTGAGGTCTCTTGAGAGGGGGCGAGCCAACCCCAAGCTCAAGGTCGACTGTGGGTTCTGGATCCACCAGGTGACAAATCGCACTGGGTGGGAGGAGGGGCTGGGGCCCATTGTGTCCCTTAGTGGCAGCCAGCCAACAAGAACCACCCCTTGTGCAACGCTCTCAGCTCAAGACGAGGGGCTTCCGGGGTGCGTGGGAAGTGGGGAGGGGGCTGCAGCCAGCTAAGGGCTGGGGACCTGAGGCGATGGATGTTGCTGACACAGGGACAGGGGCCTCCATCATTACCCGGCAGTATTAGAGACTCCCAACCGCACCCAAACACTGCTGGGTAAGACGAGGGCCCCCGCCCAGCCCGCCCACCTTGGGTCAGGCAGCTTCAGGCCCAGGATCCCTGCGGAAAAGCTGCAGATCCCTGGCTCCCATCCCCCCACCACCCGAGTCCCTGGGGACACTTCCTGGTGAGCCCTGCTGCCCGCCACCAGCCACACCCTGGGTCGCTGATCACGAGGCCCAGGTTGCAGTCCAAGCAGGCCCTCCGAAGCCCCTCGACCGTCGGCCCGCCGCCTCTGAGCCACCTTCCCCTACCCCCGGCAGCCTTTCCCGACCCGCGACACACACCGATTTACCCACCCTCATCCCCCCTCTGCAGTCCCAAGCTCAGCCCAGGACCTCTCCCCTGGTGGCCTTTACCTGTCACCGGGCCCACCTGCCCCCAGAGAGTGGGTGCTGGGGAGACGAAGGGGCTTTAAGGCCCCAGATTCCACGGCCTAGAGCCCGCCCTGGCCTCCGCTCTTCCTCCTTCCTTCTCCGCCTGCCGGGCAGCCAGCGCAGGCTCCTTACCTGGGCCCCGCCTGCCACCCTGCGCACAGGTGTGTCCTCCTGCCATAGGCTGCCCCCCCACTGCCTTAACCCCTTCCCTCCCAGCGCCAGCCACGGGCACCTCCTCTAAGGCTTGGCCACTCCTCTAGGCCTCCCACCCTCTCCCAGGGGCCTCTTTTCTCCAACCTGCCTAGTCTCACCCCTGTCTCCAGAGGTACAAAAAGCGGGGGCTGTCCTTGGGTCCCCTCCCCACAGCAGATGCTGCCCCCAGGACTAGCCCATTCCTCTGTGGCCTCAGACCCTGCCCACAGCGGAGCTGCAGGCCAGAGAGATCCCTGAGGTCAGCGAGGGGTCAGCTGGGCAGGAGTTGGGCTGTGCCGCCCCGCAGTGCCCAGCCTGTGCTGGGATCCCCTGAGGGAAAGGGGAGGGAGAAGGCCCCGCCAGGCCTGTGAAGGGCAGGCGGGTCCCAGCAAGGTGTCGCTAGTGTGAAGTTACCCACCGCTACCCAGAGACCCCAGCTGGCCCGGAGCATCAGCCTTGCCCCTCGATTGAGGCCTGCAGAGGGAACGATCGCGCTCCACTCTCCGGACCGAGCTGCTCCCGGACCCACCTCACAGCACAGCCCTCAGTGGAGTCCAAGTCCCACCCCAAGGGCAGGTAGCCCAAGGGCGGTTAGAGGAGGTGGGACTTGCCTTTGTGCAGCTGCGGCTTGTATAGAAAGGGCGTTGCTGGGAGAGGGGACCTGGGCCCGACAGGTGATTGCCCCACCCGTGCCCTGGAGGGCCACAGCCCCAGGGAGCTATTGGGTTGCTCAATCCCTCGCTGTTCTCTCTCCCAGGCTTTGTTTGCTTCCTTCTTAATACCCGCCTGCAATTATTTGATGCTTGTGATCGGTTTGTGAATCTGTCTCCCTGACCAGCCTCCTAAGTTCCAGGAGGTCGGGGGACTGTGAATGCCTGTGACGCCGGGGGCTCTGTAAGGATTTGCTGAGTAATGCACGCCCAGCCTCTGGGCTTTGGGACCTGTGCTGTCTCAGCCTTTCCAGGAGTGGGCGCCAGCACTTCCTGAGGGATGACTCCCACCGGCTTTACTCCCCAGGACACCAGTGTTTCAAATAAAGAAGAAACCCCACTCCTGACATGGGGGAAGGAAGAGGGGACAAAAAACAAAGCACTCTTCACGTCAGCCAGCTCTTCAAACTCTGCCCAAGAGGATAAGGGCAGCAGCGGCCTGGATGAGGGGAGGAGCTGGGCGTGCCCGGGTGCTCTGAGGAGCCTGTCCCTGTTCCCGCCAGAGGGGACGCAGCCGGGCTGGCCTCAGGTCTGCGCTTCCGGCTGTTAACTACTCTTCTTAGTTCAGATCTGGAACTCAGCATCAGGGGAGTGTGATCAGGGCCCCCCTGAGGGTGGCCCCAGCTGCAACTCCAGGGTAAGGAGTGTGGGCTCTGGGGTCAGACAGCCTGGGTTCGAATCCCAGCCTCACTGTTCCATAGCCCTGTGACCTTGGGCAAGTGACCAAGTTACTTAGTTTTTCTGTCCCTCAGTTTCCGCCACGGTAAAATGAGAATGACAGAAGTGCCTAGACTGAACTAACGTGTGTAGTCTTTTAGTGCCTGGGCACATGGCAAGCGTGTGATGAGTCACTGTGCCCGTCTTATCGTCAGCCGTCATCTCGGTGCTTTTCACAACCACCCTGTTATGATCGCCCTCCATTTTAAAGAAGGAGACTGGGGAGCTTCACCCACGGTCACCCTCCCACGTGCGAGGCGGAGTCCCGACCCACGTCCGTCTGACGGAAGGCGGAGCTTTCACGCGAGGCACGCACGGAGGCACACACAGTTACCCATCCTGCCCTGCCCTCTGGCCGCCCACTCACTGGGCAAGCAAAGGGCTCAGAGGCGACACACAGTGATCCCAGGGCTTTATTTACAAGAGGAGAAGGGTTGGCCCTGCCTGGGGCCTGGCTGGGCTATATACAGGGTCAGGGAGAGGTGGGGGGGATGCAGCCATTTAAATTACAAAAGAATGGGGCACTCCTAGGTTCAGGTTGTGAGTCTGTCCATCGCGAAATGCTTCCACAGGGTCAGGGCTGAGGCTGCCAAGAGAAGGGAGTGAGGGAGTGAGAGGGTAGCTGGAACCTGGAGGTGGAACAAGAGGGTCTGGGGCAGCTGGGAAGCACAGAATGAGGCTGCGGCCACCCCATCCACCCAGGGAAGGCAGTGGAGCCAAGGACACAGGGCAGGGCAGGGAGGACACCCAGGCAGAAGAGCTGTACCATGGCCACCTGAGGACAGCACCGCTCACTTCCTCTTGAGGGAACCCTTGCTCTTCTCCTTGTCTGCTGACCGCTGCTTCTTCACTTTCTCCTCCCTCTTGTTCTTAGTGTGCAGGTTCTCATACACATCCTCCTTGTGTCTGCAGCCGGGTGCAGGGGGGCAAGTACAGGCAGTTGGTGCAGGTCAGGAGACAGCACAGGGGGACCCGGCACTGGCAGTCCCCTCTGGCCACCCCGTCTCACAGGTGACGCAGCCACGGTCCCTGCACTAGACTCCAAGCTCCTAGAGGACAGAGGCTACATCTCATACACGAGTGCGCTGCTGGTACCTAGCAGAGGCCCACACGTGTGGGCACTCAGGAAATGCTTATGAACAGAAGGGGTGAGAACCAAGCCTGAACTTGAAGCCAGGTCCCCCCAGCTGCAACACTTGTCCTCTCCAGAAAGTGAGGATCGGGCTGGGCAGGACAAAGGGGTGGATGCCGGGCAGTGGCAGTCAGGGCCACTCACTTGGACGAGGTGCGGGAGGCCTTGGCATGGGCATTCTTCATGGCTGGGGGATAGGTGATGTTCCCGTACTCCGACTCCTGGCCCTTCTGCGACTGTGGGCAGAGGGACAGTGGGAAGGTGGTGGTCCCAGCAGGGCCAGGTGGCACCCATCCTGCACTGCAGCCCCCCCCCCCCCCAGGCCCTGCTCTGCACGCACCTGCAGGACCTCCAGCTTCTTCTTAGTGGTTTCAATGAACTGGGCGATGGCCACGTAGATGAACTTGTACTGCGCCTCCGTCTGCACCATGCCCGAGCGCTGCGCCCGCACCATCTGGATGGTCTTCTGGATGTCAATGTCACAGTCCAGGCCTGGGTGGGGGGCAGTCAAACCTCAGGTCCAGGCATAGGCGGACACCGAGGGGCTGCTCACCCCCCACCCCCAAACCCCCAGGTGCCCCTCACCCTTGGTGGAGATGTTCTCCATGAGCATGTCGATGACAATGATGGTGCCTGTGCGGCCGATGCCGGCGCTGGGGAAAGACGGGGGTGCCATCAGAGGCCAGTCAAGCCCTCCCCGGGAAGGGGGGTACCCAGCGCTCAGCTCCAGCCCCAGGCACCACAGGAGCAGCCTGAGCCTCCAGTGATGGGAGGGAATGTGCCCAGGGTCACCGGGCAAGTGATGATGGAGGTTTGCCCAGCTCTGCATGGACACGCTCCACCTCGGGCTCTGCGGTGCTGACGCTGGCTCCCCAGCTGCCACCATCCTTCCCTCCTCCACTCCTCGCGCCGACTCCTCACTCCTAGTGAGTGGCTGCCCCCACCCCGGAAGACCTGGGACCCCCAAATCCCACCACTGTCCTGCCGGCTCCCAGGTACCCTGAGCCCTCCCCGCCTCTCCCTGAAGGAGTTATGGAGCGTCTCTCAGCATGGCTTCACTTCCCTTTTCCTTCAAACCCTGACGTCAGGGAAAGGATAGCCCTGAGACAGCAGGGTGCGGGGGCACAGGGTCAGGGGACTCAGGGGAGCAGTGCAGTAGGAAGTTTCTCTCCTTTCCCAGCCCTGGGCAAACAGACCTCAGGGAGACCCCAGGCCCACCCTCAGCTGAGCCCAGCAAGCTGATGCCCTGAGTCGCGCTGTCTAATTTCAAACCCAGATTGTCAAAAATAACCCCCCACACCCACTTCCTTCCTGTAACGTCTAAATAAAGGCCATGGGGCTTTCAAGAAGTGTGTGAATGTGTGTGTGGCGGGTGAGCAGGAGGGTAGCTCTCGGGGATGGGCCTGTCCCTGAGAGAGCACAGGACAGAGCCGCGTCCCCGGACAGCCCATCGGGGGCACCTCTAGATTCAGCCGACTTGCCCTGTCCCAGGACAAACAGCTGCTGGGGGAAGAGGAGGAAGCCAGAGGCCGTCGCAGGCCTGGGGTCCACGGAGGGAGTGGGAAGGGACCGGGGCAAGGCAGGTTCCCATTCCCCTATTCTCTGCCTGATGTGAGTTACTAAACTAGTAACAGCGCCCAGTTTTTGAGGGCTGACGGAATTCCAGCCACAACGATAGGGTCTCATTGAGTTCTCACGACAACCCTGAGATCCTGATTTTACAGATGAGGAAGCTGAGGGTTAGAAAAGTTAAGTAATTTGTCCAAGACCACACAGCTGGTAAGCGGAGGGGCCCTGCACCCACTGCCTCTCATCCACCCAGGCCAGGCCAGCTCAGTGGGCTCACCTGTGGAACCCCTGCTCCTCCTTGCAGCCCCCACCTCTGCACCTTACCAGAGGTCTCCTGATCACAAACATGCGGGTAGATAGACAGAGGAGTTATGTGCAGCCCCAAAGAAGCATCACCCATCCCCACACAGCCCTGGGGGCCAGGATGGGGCACTGCCTGGGGAAGCTGGGAGAGAGGGCAGAGTCAGGAAGAAGCCGAAGCCCTGCGGCTACCGATGGAAAAAGAGGAGGAATGGGGAGCACATGCCTCATAGATGTTCCTGGGAGAAGAAACCAACAGAATGGGACCTCGAGAGAAAGCGGAGCAGCCGGGACACAGGCCTACTGTGGGTGCCTGCCCGGCCTTGCCCTGACTAGCTTGGGCCTGGCCAGCAACTGGGTCCCGGGCTCCTCCTCTGTATTTGGCAGGGTTGGGCGAGATGGTACATCCGGAGAGGGCTCTGAGGAAGATACCCACAGGCAGAGGGCCAAAGTGGGGCTGGTTCCAGCCACGATCCACCCAGGGTTCTGGAGCCATGAGGGGACCCAGGAGAAGCCGGGGGTGAGCGGAGGGCACTCAATGTGCGAGCTAACGTTTATATTGCTTATAACAGCTCATGGCACTTAGCAGTATTTACTTCTCAGCTGTCACTACTACCATCAGGATTATCATCCTCACCTGCAGTGCACGATGATGGGCCCTGCGTGAGGCAGACTTTCCTGCCGCTGGTTGATCTGGTCCAGGAAGCTGAGGACACCCCCAGGCTCACTGGGGACCCCATGGTCGGGCCAGCTCAGGTACTGGTAATGCCAGATCTCCCGAATCAGGTCTCCCTAAGCCGAGGACATAGGGTCAGTGCCCCCTCCTCTCTCGGAACACCTCATCCATCTCACCCTACCCGACCAGAGAGGAGAACAAGTCCAGGGAGGGACTCCCGGAATGGGGCAGGGCGTGGGGGCCACTCACATTGTCCAGCGGGGAGACCTGTAAGGTACGGAGTTTGTATTCGGTTGTGTCATGCTCCCCGCAGTTGGTCACAGAGTAGGGCCCATAAGCACGCTGCATGCCCACCTCGGGCCAGTATGGGACGCATTTGTTCTGGAAAGGGAGGGTCGGGTGGGGATGAGGCACAGAGCAGGGCACTGTGGCCCATCCCAGGTCCTGCTCTATGTTCTGAGTGCCTGGCACCGGCCCAAACATTTGTTGGATGGACGGATGGGCTGGCAGAGAGGCAGGAGACCTGGGCTCTCGTCTCAGATCAACCACCAACAGGTGGTGAGGCCTGGCCAGCCACTTCACCGGTACATCCGTTTGTCATTCAACAAACGTTGCCAGGGCAGGCATTGTCCCCGAAGCTGTGCAAACCACACAGCTTCACAGACACAAATAACACCCAGTCTGTGCCCCTGTGCCTCGAGGAGCTCACAGAGACAGGTGACCGGGGGAGACACCGCGCTGAGGAGCGTGGCTGGGAAAGACGTAATTCTCCCTCTAGGTCCTGGAGGAAACAAGACCTGGATTCACAGAGGAGGCAGCGCTCCGGCTGTGTCTTCAAAAACGAGGCATCTGCCAGGCAGAGATAGTGTGGAGAGAGTCATTTCCTAGCAGAAAATGAGCTTGTGCAAAGAAAGGCTGGGAACCTGAAAGAGCTGGGGCTGCTGGGGGCGGTGAGCCTTCAAGAGAAGCGTGCGGGTCAGAGGGAAGCCACCAGACCTTGAATGCCAGGCCTTAGAGTGCGACTTTATCCCAAAGGTGACCAGGAGCCATGGAAGAGATTTCAGAAAGGAAGGAACTTGACCCAGTTTGTGTCACGGATGGGATCACTTCAATGGCAGCACAGAGGGTGCTGTGTAGGGGGAGCCTGCAGGGTAAGGGGCAGACTCCAGAGAGATCTATGGGGCAGGGAGGACAGGAGGGGCCTGGATGCAGACAGGTGGGGCAGGGGTAGGAGGAAGGAGGACAGCCTGGAACCTGGGTCTGGAGCTCAGAAGAGCCCAGGGATGCATGCAGGGATCTGGGGGTCACGTTGTGTAGTCGAGACTTTGTCACTAGCCCTCAGTTTCCCAACAAGGGCCGGACCCTCACCCCTGAGATCCCTTTCTGCCCTGGCATCTGACTGCTCTTCGACTTAATGGCATGACCACAAGCACGGGGGCGGATGCGGGGAAGGGGGGGCGCCCTACCCGGCCTTTCTCCACCTCTCGGGTGGTCATGACGATGACACGGCTGTTCTCCTGCCACGCCATCTGCCAGAAGTCATTGACCGTGGCCTCCAGACAACCCTGGCTGGCGATGTAGGTCTTAGCGTTCTCATCAGGGCCTAGCAGCTGGTTCTGGACGCAAGCGTGGAGAGACGCACCCCAAGACAGTGAGCCCCTTGGCCCAGCACAGGCCCTGAACCACTGCCACCCTCACCCATGCAAGAAGCCAGCTTCGGCTTTGCCCAGCTGTCTCTGGATCTAGGGTCCCCCCACCAGACAGGGAATTCCCAGGGCCCAGCCTCTCCTCCCACGTGGCCCACACTGCTGACCTTGATGTAGTTGGCATTGATGTAGTCGGACCCGGGGATGTTACTGTCCCGTCCCTGCAGGATCACTCGGCTGTGGTCAACTGGGAGTGGGCGGAGAGGAGGCGAGATGGTCTGGGTTAGCCAGGGACTCACCACACCTGGGTCAGACCCTCCTGAGCTAACAGGCCATTCTGGTCTCAGAAGCCATGAGGCTTGCGGGGGACTGTGGGCAGCAGGGGTGGGGGATCATCTGTATGGAGGGAGTGAGGGAGTTCACAAGGAGGTTGGGAGCAGGGGGCAACCTGCCTGCTGGTGGTGGGGAGGCACTTCTGGGAGGAGTAGAGGCCTTTTGGAGAAGGGGGAGGCTCTGTGGGGGGTGTGGGGAGATGGCCCCTCCTGGCGTGGAGGGTGGAGACCTGTGAGATGAGGGGAGGCAGCTGGGGCAGGGGCGGTATCCTGGGTGAATGGGGCAGCCTGGGTGCTCACAGGGGAGAATGTTCTTGTAGCGGTTCTTGCCCTTGTTCTCTGGCCGCTGCCCTTCCAGACGCTGGTGCAAGTTCTTCACCTCCTGCTTCTGCAAACTCTGAGATGTGGGTGGGGAAATGAGCATCAGCTCCCAAAGAGGGCATCCATCGGGGGAGCTCACGTGGGGTGGGTCAGGAGCAGAGGTGGGCAAGGAGGGGAAGGTGTCCGCCTGGGGCCCCAGGCCGCTGCCACCACCTCAGCTGCCCCAGCCCTGCCGGTCCCCACCATGCACCTCAAACTCCTCCCAGAAGCCAGCCTTGGCTGTATCCTCGGACTCCTGCTTCTTGTTCAGTTCCAACACTCGGTTCTCAATGTCAGCCGCATTCACCCTCGTGGCATAGTACGGCTGGGGTGGGGAAGAGCGAGAAGTCAGCAACTCAGAGATCCCAGAAGCTCACATCTGGGGGACAGCTCAGGGGAAGTGGGGAGGCAGCTGGGCCCACCCCTGACCTGCCGCAGGTAGACAAAGGCGCCTGAGGCCTCCTCAATCCCCGTCTTCTTGAAATGCTCCACCAGGTCCGTGAGGCTGTCGAAGGTCTCCAAACCACCCACTGTGTAGCGTCCACCCTGGGGGGAGCCAAATTAGGCCATTCACAGGACTTGAGTCTCCCTCCCTGGGTCCCCAGCCTTGAATTCAAGCCCAGGCAGACCCTCCCTGCCACCCACACTGTGGTCACAGACAGGAGCCTCAGCAGAGGCTCCCCCGCCGCCTGGCTGCCTTACCTCGCACATGACCTTGATGTGGGTGACCCTGAGCGGGGAGCCTGGGCCAGCCTTGGGCTGGTCACTGAGCACAGAAAGCACGAAGTCTCCAGGCTGGCTGAGGCTCTCACGCACAAGAAACGTCCAGGGCTCGCCCTTGGCCTGCAGCAGCGTCTCTGCCTGCCCGCCAGACATGTGGCCATGGTACCACCTAGAGAAGGCAGCGTCAGGGAAGGTAAGACCCAGGCCACAGGGGAAGGCGCTGAGCAGAGACATTCACAGAGAGGGGCCGGAAATCAAGCACCTACTGTGTGCCAGGCACTGCGCTACATGCTTCCAAATCCACCACCTCATTTAGGTCTCTCACAAACATGCTGAGAGCTAGGTATGATATTACCCCCATTTTATAGATGAGGAAACTGACGCTGAGCTGTTACTCACTGGCCTAGGGCCCTTGACTGACTCTAGGGCAAGCTTCCAGAGCTCTGTTGCCCAGGCTGGAGTGCAGTGGCGCGGTTACAGCTCTCTGCAGCCTCGACCTCCCAGGTTCAAGCCATCCTAGCCTCCAGAGTTCTAACCGGGCTTCGAACCCAGAGCCCACCTCTGAAAGGCAGAAAGGCTGGCAATATTCAAAATATTTGGAGGAGAGAAGCTAAGGATGAATCTCCGTGAAGGATGGGACTGTGCCCCAGCAGAGACCAGAGGCAAAGAGAAACGCAGACCGAGGCCACACCACAGGGAGTGGTGGGAGATGGACACACAGACTCAAGTCACAAGGAAGGCGGATGGGGTGCGCTCCGCCAGGGAGGCGGGGAAGACAACCCCACTGGGGAAAGAGTGGTGTAGGGGGTTCTGGGGTGCCCTGGATGATGTCACTGAAGGGGAGCCCAGGGTTCAAACGGATTTGAAGGGGCTGTCAGGGCAGAAAGCAGAACTAAGCCCTTTCCCCGAAGCACACCCCTTTCCCAGGAGGAAACTGTAGCCCCACAAAGCCCAGCCCCACAGGAAACCACGTGATGGAAAAAACACAAAACTCCTTCTGGGGAGAGAGTGAGAAGTGAGGTTGTGAGGTTTCCTCAGCCCAGGGACGAGGGGAGGGCGGGCAAATTTTCCAACCGCAGGGATGGGGGGAAGGAGGGGAGGACCAGTCTGTCCCAACCCATCTCACCCCTGCCCGGAGGTGACTCCAGCCGAGAGACCCCCAGAGCCTCCTAACCCCACTGGGCTACTTCAGCCCACCGCCTGGGGACAGGCTAGGACCCCAGGTAGCGGGGAGGGGGCTGAGCCCCTTCCCTCAGGCCCCAGGATGAGGAAGTCTCCATGCAAATGTCAGGCTGACCACAGGAAGCGCAGAGCCACCGAGGGACAGATGCAAATTCTCGCAGAGGAGGAGGCGCACAGACAAGGCAGAGGACACAGCAGAACCTGGGAGAAAGAGCCTCTCACACACTCCCAGGCTCAGGGGTGACACTGGCTCCTGGGACGGGTCACCCAAAAGGGCCTCCAGTGCGGCTTCCCTGGTCTTAACCTCCCGCCCCGGCACTGCCCTCCCTTCCTTCTCTCTCTTCTCTCTTCTCCTTGAACCCAGGCCTCAGCCTCCTCTGCAGGGGCCTCCTGGGGCCCTGCTCCTCTCTTCCACCTCCAGGCACTGGTCAGCCCGTCCTCCTCTCCTGGCTGGAGGCAAGGAGAAAGAGAGGACATGAGCTTTAGAGGGTCTCGGTGCCAAAAGCCCCCTGAGTGTTGCGGTGGGGAAGAGGAAGGGCAGGGGGCAGACACGGAGCCAGCCATGTGAGGCTCACAGAGAGAGGGAAGGCCTTGAAGGAGGCCGATCCAGGAAAGGAGGCCTCCCAGGTGGGCCACAGGGCTGCACCGTGACCGAATCCAGCTCTAAGTTTCAATCAGTGCCTTGACCAAAAATATTGATGCAGTTTGGAGGCCCGAATCTCAGAGAGGCTGCAAGCTGGCAGGAGCAAGGTTCCCGATCATTTCAATAACCGATCCATGAATGCAGGGATCCACGGCAAGGGCAAGTCGGCTTGGCCCAGGGGTGCATGTGAAAACCCCCTAGCGTTATTCCGCTGCCCTTTACTCTAAGGGGATCTGGCATTGAGATGCGGCTGCTGAAAGGAGCCATGGTGTCATGAGGAGCATTCAGAGCCCCCAGCCCCCAGCCCATGCCTTTGGGAGACCACAGGAGGAGTCGGGGAGGCCACAGGAAGGAAATGCCTGGAGTATTACTCTGTGCCCGGGACAGCGTGAGACACTTTACACAGGTGAACACTTCACATCGTGCTCTCAATGATCTCTGTTTGGGCCGGAGACCTATTTGACCCCACAGGACAGACCCATCCCCACGGGGCGGCTGGGACAAGGCATCAAGTGTCTTGGCAAGCATTCATCCCCATCTTCACCCCAGTGTCAGCTCCTCACTGTCCTAACATGTGCTGGGGTGAGGGGCAGACGGAGGAAGGCAGGCTCGATTCCAGAGGAAGAAGAGCTTTCTAACAACAGAGCTGGCCTGCACGACATGCTGGCCACCAGCAGTGGCCTCCCTGTCTCCAGTGGGACCTGGGTTGCAGCGGCCAGGGCTCCCGGAGTAGGGCGAGGCAGCTTTCTGTGGCTTCCTCGGGGTTAGGTGGAAAGGGTGGTAGGTTAGGCTCTGAGACACCAGGTCCCAGGACAGCAGGGAGGAGGGACATTGAGAGCCCCAGCTGGTGCAGGGAGGGGAGGGGATGGAGGGTAGGCAGCGCCGGCTGCCAGTCTCCCTGCCTCCCTGGCTGTTCAGGGTGGGAGCCGGCTCATCCCTGCTTGGGAATGGCGGGGGTGCGGAGCCCTCACCTCTCACTAGTGGGATCGGAGCAGTTCAGCGGGTACTTGAGGTGGATGATGGTGCCGTCGCGGTCCTGCAGGACACCCTGCTGCTGAGTGTAGTACTCCACCAGCTCTGTCAGAGTCGCAAACTTCTCCCCTCCATACAGGTCATAGAAATCCCCTGAGTTCTGGATCCGAATATGGGTCACCTGATCCCCCACCCTGCAGGGCACCAGGCGGTGAGGCCAGTCGGTGCAGGAGTAGAGGCAGGAGGGCAGGGATCGGCTGAGGTCCTGGGTGGGGGCACACATGGGCATGGGTGGGCACAGACAGGGATGGGGAGTGTGGGGGTTGGGGGCAAGGGAACAGACGGGGAGTCAGCACTGCCACGGGGAACCAGGAATGAGTGGTTCAGGGCCTGGATGGCACAAGAGAGTGGCCAAAATGCCCGGGGTTGCGGGGGGCCCACCTACCTGACGGAGAGCGAGAAGTCACCCTGGTTCTTGCGACTGGGCCGAGCCAGGAAGCTACCGTGGACACCTCGGCCCTTGAGCAGGGTCTCTGCATCCAGCCCACTGAGGTCTCGGTGAAACCACCTGGGCGGCCCAGGCAGGGCAGTGAGGAGGGGTCCCGTGGGCACCAGGCACCCTTGCCTCCTGTCTACCGTGGGTGGCAGGCCCTTACCTCACCATCCTGGGGGCTTCCGGAGAGGAAGGGGGCGCAGGGAATGAGGAGGTGCAGCTAGTCTGGGCAGGCAGAGAGCTCAGGGACTAAGCCTCAGATGCAGCTCCCAGTGCCGGGCCGCCTCACCACCCCCGGTGGTCCCAGTTCTGGGGCTGCCACTCCACTGGCCTGGGGCAGCCGGCAGGGCGGGGACAGGAAGAGGCGCGGCCGACCCCTTGGGGGAACTCACTTGTACTTCTCGTTTTAGAGCACAGCAAGGGAAGAGAAGCAGAGCAGGGTGGCACTGGGGGTGGGGACGGGGCCCACTTCCCACACGTCTGCAATCAAAGGCTCAGGAGCATGGCATTGCACATATGTGACAACACATGCAGTAAGGACACATGTGTGCCTTGCACACTCCAGGCCCAGATAATACTTCACGCATGCGAACCCAGACGGTCCCACGGCATCTCTCCCTCCTCCACCAGCTGCTTTTACGCAGCCCTCCCTGGCCCACGCTAATAACAATGATGGCGGTGACAACTGTCATCGAGTGAGTCCTGCTGGATGCCGGGCGCTGTGCTATAATGGCGTTCACATGCCTTGTCTGATTGGTTTCTCACCACAGCCCTATGAAACAGGGGCTATCTTTATCATTTTACAGACAAGGAACCTGAGGCTCAGGGAGTTTAAGGCATTGCCTGAGTCCATCAGTGAGTCAGCTGCAGTGCCAGGATTCAAACCCAGACAGTCCGGTTCCAAAGCCAGTGCTTTGAACTCCTATACACCAGCCCTCAGGGCTTCAAAGAACAGAGATTAAGAGCCTCCTTGTCCAAAGGGGCTGCCATGGGAGCAGGAGACTAATAGTTAAGACCTTGCCAATGCTTGCAAGAGAGAAGGGTGCCCTCCTCTAACCAACATATGCAGTTTGTCCATGCCACTGTGGCAGAGGGATGGACAACATGACCCTGAGCAGCCCTGTCAACATGGGTCCTTTCTAATTCTTGTCCCTAGGCCTCTGCCCTGCCCCAGCACTCCCACCAGGGGGCCTATCTCCTGGGGGGCTGGGGGACAAGGTCCTCACCATGGCTGATTTTCTCAGGGCTGGTTGATCTTAGAGGCCCTAAACACTAAGGTATATGATGCTGCCTACCTGTAATTCCAAATACAAACATCAACACCGCCAAACCAAAACGAGGAAAAGCAGCTCAACAGGGGATACATAAGAAACACATATTGGTGGCTTCCCCTAGGGAGGGAAACTGGGTGGCTGGAGGACAGGGCTGGGGGAGACACTTGGTTCTCTACATACCTTTTTGAATGTTATATGATGGGCATGCATTACCTTTATAAAAATAAATATGCTAACTGGGAACAATTTCTGGGAAACTTTTAGGGTACAGGGAAGGCTCTTTGTCTCTATCTGGATGCTGTTTGCATGGGTGTGTATAAACGTGAAGTTGGCCGGGCGCAGTGGCTCACGCCTGTAATCCCAGCACTTTGGGAGGCCAAGGCTGGCGGATCACGAGGTCAGGAGATCGAGACCAGCCTGGCCAACATAGTGAAACCCCAACTCTACTAAAAATACAAAGATTAGCCGGGTGTGGTGGCACATGCCTGTAATCCCAGCTTCTCAGGAGGTGGAGGTTGCAGTGAGCCGAGATCATGCCACCGCACTCCAGCCTGGGCAACAGAGTGAAACTCCGTCTCAAAAAAAAAAAAATTAAAAACCATACAGATCAAGATCAATGGTGATACAAGAAGATAGGCAGTCTGGAAGCGCAAACAAGGCAAAATAATCTGTAGAAAGTTCTGGAACTGCTCTGAGCCTCAGAATCCCCGCCTGACAAATGAGCTTAACAATATTTCCCAAATACTGATGTGAAAAGCTGGTAAGTGGCAGGGTTTCAGTGCTGCCAGCTTTTACATTATACTATTAATCCTCAGGCCAACCCTACTTAGTAGGTGTTATTCACCCAATTTTAGAAACAGAAACTAAGACTCAGAGATGTTAAGTAATTGCCCAAGGTCACAAGCTAGTGAGTAGGAAGGTGGGTAAAACACGGCTGTCAGACGCCGGAGCCTGGTGCCCTTTCCCCCAACAACCATACTGCAGCAGACAGCGTCGGGGGCAGATGGGATGGGCACTGCCACAGCCCATGATGGAAGGTGGAGGAAGAAGTGCTCCCCCAGAGGCAACATGGGTCAGGGCAAAGAGGTGGCACGCACAGAGTCCACATGGGCAGTGCCTGGCCGTGAGCAAGCCATGTGGCTGGAGCAAAGTTGTTCTGAGAGGTGGGGACCCTGCTGTAGAGGGTCATTCAAGGCCAGGCTGAGAAACCAAGGATGAAATCTGCACCAGGGGAGGCCTGGCCAAGCTACCTGGCAGGAAAATGACCACAGACGGGATCAGGGACCAGAAGACTCAGTAGGAACCCCATCGGTGGGGCCGACAGTGACAAGATGTGCACTGGGGCAGGGGCAGACATGAGTGTGAGAAGCAAGAATCAGCAGGGCTAGGGAGCCACCCACCCACAAACTCGCCAGTACTCTGTAAGCAGGTTGTCACTTTTTCTTTTCTTTTTTTTTTTTTTTTGAGATGGAGTCTCTCCCGCTGCACTCAGGCTGGAGTGCAGTGACGCAATCTCGGCTCACTGCAACCTCCGCCTCCTGGGTTCAAGCAATTCTCCTGCCTCAGCCTCCCTAGTAGCTGGGACTCACAGGTGCGCACCACTGTGCCAGCCTAATTTTTTTTTTGTATCTTTAGTTGAGACAGGGTTTCACCATGTTGGCCAGGCTGGTCTTGAACTCCTGACCTCGTGATCCACCTGCCTCGGCCTCCCAAAGTGCTGGGATTACAGGCTTGAGCCACCATGCCCAGCCGGTTGTCACTTTTTCTTTTTTCTTTCGACCGGTTGTCACTTTTTCTTTTTCTTTCCTTTCTTCTTTCGACTGGGTGTCACTTTTTCTTTTTCTTTCCTTTCTTTTCTTTCTTTCCTTCCTTCCTTTTCTTTCTTCTTTCTCGCTCTTTCCTTTTTTTCCTTCTTTCTCTTTTTCTTTCTTCCTTCCCTTCCTTCTTTCCTTCCCTCTCTTTTTTTTTTTTTTTTGACACAGAATCTTGCTTTATCACCCAGGCTGAAGTGCAGTGTCACAATCCAACTCACTGCAGCGTCGACCTCCTTGGCTCAGGTGATCCTCCTGCCTCAGCCTTCCAAGTAACTGAGACCACAGGTGCATGCCACTACATCCAGCTATTTATTAGTAGTAGTAGTAGTCGTAGTCGTAGTAGAGATGAGGTCTCTCCCTATGTTGCCCAGGGTGGTCTTGAACTCTTGGGCTCAAGTGATCCTCCCACCTCAGCCTCCCAAACTGCTAGGACTACCACATGCTTGGGCCATCATACCCAGTATTTTTTTTTAATAGAGATGGGGTCTCTCTATGTTGCCCAGGCTGGTTTTAAACTCCTGAGCTCAAGCAATCTTCCCCCTTCGGCCTCCCAAAGTGCTGGGATCACAGACGTGCGCCACCTCATCTCGTCAGGTTTTCACTTTCAACATCCTAGCTCCAACATGGTCTAACCTGCTGTGGCCCTGCCTCCGCTCCACTAGGGTCCTCTGCCACGGGCACACTGTCCTTTTTTTGTTTGTTCCCACATTAGGGCTTTGTGCTCACCATCTCCTCTGCCCAGAGATGCTTGACTCTTGATCACTACGTCACATGGCCAGCTCCTCTTCCTCCTCATCCGGGTCTCAGCTCAAATGTCACCTCCTCGGGAAGGCCTCCCTGATCCCTCCAGCTAGTAATGTCACCTGCACACCCAGTCACTTGCTAGCATATGAAGCTGGTTCATTTTCTTTTTTTTTTTTTTTTTTTGAGACAAGGTCTCACTCTGTCGCCCAGGCTGGTGTGCAGTGGTGCAATCATCGCTGACTGCAGCCTTGACCTCCCAGGCTCAAGCAAGCCTCTCACCTTAGCCTCTCCATAGCTGGAACCACAGGACGTGTGCCACCACACCCAGCTAATTTCTTATTTTTTGTAGAGACAGGGTCTCACTATATTGGCCAGGCTGGTCTCAAACTCCTGGGCTCAAGCAATCCTCTCGCCTCAGCCTCCCACAGTGCTGGGATCACAGGTGTGAACCACTACACCCGGCCAAGGCTGTCTATTTTCTGCGTAATACTTCTGAGAATCTGCAATGATCCAATTTATTGGGTTATTTGTTCGGTCTGTAACCTCCCACTGGAATGTAAGCTCCGTGAGAGCAGAGACCATGTCTGTCTTGTTCACTCCAGTATTACCAGCATCTTAAACAGCACCTGGTGCATAATAGATGCTCAACACGTACCTGTTGAATGAATGATGCAGGGGAAAGGGAAGTGAAAGGAAACAAAGAAGATGGGACCAAAGTCTGATGTTGGGAAGTGCGGAGAAGTTGGCTGGACGTGGGAGGGCCTTCGCGGGTGGCCTCTGACTGCTATGTTTGAGGTGTTGTGAGCTACCCAGGGGGACAGGTCCTAAGCAGGAGGCAGAAGCAGGAGCCCAGAGGCTGGAAGTAGAAATGCAATGGAGAGAACAGATACACACTTGTCCAGGGGAAAATGTTAAAGAGGGGGCAGAGGAGCATGAGTGAGCCGGGGGTCCTCACACCTTGCGGGAAGGGGAAGTTCATAGGGACCGGAAACAGGCGCAGGGCAGCGGCAGATCGCACTCACGTTCACACACGTCGGAGTGAGCATCAACAAAGCCCTCCCTCCCTCCAAAACTAACAGGAGACTGGGACCCCGATGGTGCCCGGGACTTACCCACGGGACAGCATCTCTCTGTAGGGAGGGGGAAGCCACGGCAGAGGGCCGCAGGGGGCGGGGCTGAGCCAGCGGCACAGCTGTGCACAGTGGCCCAAGCCAGGTGAGGAAGAACCGCTCAGTAATCAGCCACTTCCTCCTCGATCCTGCCTGCCAGGCCAATGGCACTGCAGGGACAAACCCTGGACTAATAGTCTCCAGGAAAAGGACAGGTGGGGCGGGGCTGGCCCGAGACCGCCCACAGCGGCCAGCTTCCCTGCAGCCCCAAAGCGGGAGTACAGCAGGCCCGCCTGCTGGTCCAGGGCCGCCTTCCCCCGGGAGAGGAGGAGCCACCTGGAGCTCCACCTGGAGCTCAAGCTGACAGAGCGGCGGGGTATTGGGTAGGGGAACAGACCAGGAAGTAACCCTGGCTGAGGAAGAGCAACCAATGGGGGAAACCTCTCCGTAGGCGGAAACCAAAGGGCCTAAGGAAAATCCCTAACAGCCCAGTTCCTCAGAGAAGGAGGTACCCCCTGTGCAGGCCCACCCACCCAGGGCGCTGAGGGACCCACTCCAGCCTCTCAACCTGCCCCGGGGGAAGGGGAGGAGCCTCAGGTAGGGTTAGGCCCTGGGGCAGGGTTAGGCCCAGCCAGGACCATAGGGAGGAGCTGTTCAGGGGGATGGGGCCTGGAAAGGCAGAGGGAATCAGGGAAGGAGAGATGGGGGTTGTCAGGTCCGCAAGAGACTGACACCAAGGCTAAGTCACAGGCGCATTTATTATTGTCTGGAACATCAAGGCCTTTCCTCCCCTGGCAGTGGCACAAGGGAGGGCCAACTCTCAGGAGGCGGCCACGCTGCCACCAGCAGCAGGCCCATGGGGTGGCAGGGTCATGGGCGGCAGAAACAGCGCCTTCAGCTTGCCTGACAGGCTGGCGATCTCAGGATCCTGGGCTTCGTAGGACTTGACCAAGCGAGCAAACTTAAGGACACCTGCAAGAGGGAGTGGAAGGTCAACCCTTCTCCTAAGGACCAGCGTGCCTAAGACACCTGGAGGGGGTGGTAGTCTAAGCATGAACTGCTCCCCCACTGGCTGGGCAGCTGTTTGCCAAACAGGACGCATGCAGGCCTCTGTCCCGTGTGGTTTGGATGATGACATTTGGTCTACACTGGGCACAACTAGATGGGATGCAGTGAATGAAAATGTCCCAAGGCAGTGTGCTTCTTGCTCTCAGGTGAACCATTTTAGCAGTTTAGTCACTGGAACCCCAAGAATGAACACGAGACCCCAGGTCTGTAGCTGGAACTCAGGAAGGCTATGAGGCAGCAGAGCTGAATCAGTCAACACCTTTGGGGAACACCAGGATCTCACCAAAAATTTAACCACCAACCCCCCCCAAACAAAAATTAGCTGAAACACCCTGGAGAGACTGCAGCCACTGCTGTCATGCAGACATGTCACTAAAAGGTGGCACAACAGCATTTAAGTCCAGCTCTGCTACTCGAGAGTCTGCACCATTAGAGTTTGCTTCCTCATCACAAAATGGAATAATAATGTGATTAACAGTACAGGTTGACCATCCTTAATTAGAAAATCCAAAATCTGAAATTATGAGTGCCAGTGTGAGGCCGAAAATGGAAAATTCCACACCTGACTTCATAGTGGGGGGTGGGGGAGACTGTAGTCAAAACGCAGTCAAAACTTTGTCTCATGCACAAAATTATTCAGACTATTATATAAAATTACCCTCAGGCTATGTGCATAAGGTGCGTGTATATGAAACAAAACAATTTCGTGTTCAGATTTAGGTCCCATCCCCCAAGATATCCATGTATATGTAAATATTCCGAAATCTGAAAAAACCCGAAACACTTCCGGTCCCAACCATTTCGGGTAAGGGATACAGAACCTCTACTGTACAAAACGCAACTCGGACGCACAAGCTCAGGGTAGACCCTGGGCTCTGAGTGCCAAGAATGTTAGTCAGATTGTGGCTGCCGCCGTGTGGCGAGAAAGGGGACAACCGCTCATGGGCCCACAGATCCGGCGCCCTCTCCCGACCCAACTCCCGCCTTCCCGCGTCTGACCCGCCTTCCCGCGTCTGACCCACCTTCCCCGTCGCAGCTGAAGCCATAGGCTTTGATAACCTCCTGCTGGATCTGCGTGGCCACGGGCAGCACGAATTGCAGCATCTTACCCATGTCGTTGCAGGCGTTATCCCGAGCCTCGTCCATGCGCACTGCATTCTCCGGGGCGGAGAACGCCTGGATCACCTCCGCGAGGACCACTGCGCGCCAGA
Organism: Homo sapiens; assembly: GCF_000001405.40. Lineage (NCBI taxonomy): Eukaryota > Metazoa > Chordata > Mammalia > Primates > Hominidae > Homo > Homo sapiens. Next base: position 6,944,463 of record NC_000012.12, on the reverse strand, counting down.
AGCATCCCAGGGAGGCGTCCCGGGTAGGCGTCGGAGAACAGACAGCGGGCCCAGCGGAGAGCGCAAGGAATTAGTGGATTGAGGCTGTAGGTAACCCAATAAGATCCCAAGTCTTGGGGGCAAGCGCCCCACTTAGAAGGACGGTACCCGGCGTCCCCTACCCCATTTTCCCGGCGGACGTAGCCAGGTTTGTCGCCCCACATCCTCCGCCCGCATCCTCCCCAGACCAGCAGCCCATGCCTTGACTACCCCAGGCCAGCAGCCTATGCCTTGACTAGGACGATTCTCACCCTTTGCTTGCTCAGCGCTCAAGGCCGCCGGTTGGGTCGAGGCGGACGCCATAGGGCGTCTGAAGCTCTAGGTTCAGCGGAGGTAAATGGAAAACTCACGAATAAAGAGCCACGTCCTACAACCGTTCCCAACGCCCCTGGGAGCGGAAAGGAAACAGCATCCGGCGCAGCCGGAAGCGCCCAGGCGTGGCCCAAACCTTCATACCCCAAGCTTACAACTGCATCAAGACCACCAAAACTACCCATAATTTTTGCACAGTGAAAACAATCTATCATTGGCAACAAACATCATAAGAGGGGCTTTCCGGTAAAAAGCCAGAAAGCCTACTAGACAAATTCTAAAAGAGCTGTAACACTGCTGCGTATGTGTTTGGAGAGAAGATGGGATATAAAGGAACTCCACAATTGATGAGGGTGAGCTTAGGTGACTTTTTTCTTGTTCCTATTACTGTATAAACAACGACGCATGTGGTAACTTTCAGTAGGAAAAATAATATTCTAAGGAACTTACTTAAGTCATTCATTTCTAGAGTTCGCGAACATTTGTTCTCAGCCCATGCAAATGAGTTCGGTGCTGATTGGTTGAGAAAGCAGCCAGTCACAGCCCCTTCGTTGTTGTTAAGCCCGGAGACCTGGATTCGGCAGTAAAGGCCCAGAGCAAAAGCCGTTGTCGCAGTTTCCTAAAGGCCTTGTCTATTGATGAGCGATGGAGCCTAATGCCCGGCCCGATTTCCCTTCCCTTCCAGGCTTTTATCACCCACTCCCTTCTCAAACTGTAGGTGGTTAAGGATGCCAGGTACTAATCGCCTGGACCTATTAAAACTAGCCCACCCCACCCCCGCTTCATAACCGGCTTTGTTTTTTGTTTTTGAGACGGAGTCTTGCTCTGTCGCCAAGCTGGAGTGCAGCTGGGGGGGATCTTGGCTCACCATAACCTCCACCTCCCGGGTTCAAGCGATTCTCCTGCCTCAACCTCCCAAGTCGCTGGGACGACAGGCGCGCGCCACCATGCCCAGCTAATGTTTTGTTTTTAGTAGAGACAGGGTTTTGCCATGTTGGCCAAGCTGGTCTGGAACTCCTGACCTCGTGATCCGCCCGCCTCGGCCTCCCAAAGTCCTGGGATTACCAGCGTGAGCCGTCGCGCCTGGCCTCATAACCGTTTCTTAAAGTATTCCACGGAAAGGTTTCAGGACTCTGAAGCCCTTGTTCCGGAGGACTCTGGTGGCTCCTAGCAGTGAGACCCGTCTGAATAGATTCCTAGAACTGACCACGTCAGAGGTGGGCCTGTCCCAGGCCTCTAGTGTTTGGTTGGTTGGGGTGTCTTTTGTTTGTTTGTTTTGAGATAGGGCCTTGCTCTGTCACCCAGGCTAGAGTGCAGTGGTGCGATCATGACTCACTGTAGCCTCGACCCCCAAGTGATCCTCCCACCTCAGCCTCCTGAGTAGCTGGGACCACAAGTGCACCACAACCCCCAGCTGATTTTGTCTTAAGATGGGGTTTCTCTATGTTGCCCAAGCTGGTTTCCAACTCCTGGGCTCAAGCAATCCACCCGCGTCTCACAGGCATAAGCCACAGAGCCCAGACCGAGGCCTCCACTGGCGCGCAGCGGTCCTGCCCAGCCTTGGGGCAGGAGGGGGCACCAGCACCCATGGTACCGCCTCCAGCTGAGTCAAGGCTCTGGGCTCTTCAGGGATCCCCTCTCCAATTCTTCCCAGCCCCCACACCCCGTTCCTTAAGAAGGTCTGGTCTCTTCCCGCTTCCCTGCCAGGCCCTGGCTGCAGTTCTCTCTAAGCACCGCTGCACTGAGACCCAGCCTCACCCCCATATCCCGCAAAGAATAGTCACAGCCATGTTCCTGGGGAGTTGTGAGGATGTTTTTGTTTGGTTGGTTTTGGTTGGGATGTTTTTTTAAGAGCGTCATATAGATATTTATATATATAAATTATTAGTGTGGGGAAGGGGCAAGGGGCATACATTGCAGAGGGGGCGCGCACACAGGGATCGGGGAGGGGCAGGGGTGGCACACGATGCTACGCAAAACAGCCACATCTAACAGATGAAATAATCACACCAACGGGGCAGGGGAGGGGCGGCGGCCACAGGGGTTGGGCATGGGGGAGGAGAAAAGCAGGGGGGACAAGGAAGAGAGACCTGGTCCAAGATTCTGTGCGCTTTCTGTCCCCATCCTCGCCACCTCCCCACCTCTGCACACCACATCGGGCCTTGGCCTTCTGTCTGTCCCTCCCTCCCCCACTCTCTGTCCAGCTGCGGAGGCCCTGCAACTGAGCAGCACCCTCTTGGCTCTGGGTGGCAGGCCAAGGGCACGGTGGGGGGAGGGTGGGGGTGCTCCAAGGTCCAATGTAGGAGCCATGGTGCTCTCTTGATCGCAGGTTCTACAGTGGCTTGTCGCTTTCCTTCTTCAGGTGACTAGGGAAGGGGCAGTGCATAGCAGAGAGGTAAGAGACTTGAGACCAACTCTGACCTTGCCCCCTCTTACCGAAGGGGTTGGGAGAGGAGGGGTTCCCTCCCCCAGGAGCACGGTGCCCAGCCGTACCATGCCCACAGCTCCTCCCAGGCTCGCTGAGCCCATGTCCCCTGGGCTGGGGCACCCTAGGGTACCTGTAGTAGTCCTCCTGGGCAGGCAGCGGCACACTGTGCAGCGGGTGATGGGCATGCAGCCACTGCTGCTGTTCCAGCGCCAAGCGCTGCAGCTCAGCTGACTGTGCGTGCATGGCCTGCAGCTGATGAGCTGCTGACATCGGGGCAGAAAGGGAGGCCGGCAGGTCCCGGTAAGGGGCAGCTGTGAGCAGGAAGGGCAAGGGGCATATGACCAACGGATAACAAGTACCTGCTCTGGACCAGGGGATAGCCAGCTCCTTTACATACAAAGGTAATGAACTAAAAAGTGAGGTAACACACCCAGTTCTGTAAGTTGCCAGTGGTAGGGTGGAATTGGGATTCGAACCTCTTAGGCTGACACTAAAACTCGTGCTTCTCTTGGGCAGAGCTCCAGCTCTCCTATTCCCATGCCCAGCTCCTCTAGGCACCTCCTCATCCCTCCCCAAGCCCAACTAGGCCCATCCCCCCACCCAAATACCTCCTTTCTGCCCTTTTCTCATTGGAGCTGCCTACCCCAACTTCCATCCTTACCAAAGAGCTGGTGACGAAGAACTTCGTTCTCGTGCAGAGGGTGAGGAAGCAGGGGGTTAGGGAGAGTTCCAGCTGGGTAGGGGATCCGGGTAAGGTGAGACCCTGAGGCCAGGGGGTCAATGAGAGGGTGCACCGAGGCAGAGGCTGGAGGGCAGAGAAGAGGAAGGTGTCACCAGAAGGCAGGTTTGGGGCAAACCATGCATTTGGGTGAAGGGATCCAAGCCTGGGAACTGAGTCAGACAAACACAAGGAGGTCCAAAGTGGAACAAAGGCAGAGTGGAAGAACTAGAGGCCTGGCAGGGGTGGACAGGCTGAGCCCTACTGGAGGAGGGACATATGGATGACACAGGACAGGAGATTACAGTCATCAGAAGGGTCTGAGGGGAAGGACAGAGAGAGGTAGACTGCGTGAAGAAGGTGGAAGATGATAGAAGTTTAGAAAATAAGACAAGAAGAGGCCGGGCACAGTGGCTCAAGCCTATAATCTCAGCACTTTGGGAGGCTGAGGCAGGCAGCTCACCTGAGGTGAGGAGTTCAAGACCAGCCTGGCCAAGATGGTGAAACCCTGTTTCTACAAAAAATACAAAAAAATTAGCCAGGCAGGGTGGCACACGCCTATAGTCCCAGCTCCTCGGGAGGCTGAGGCAGGAGAATCGCTTGAACCTGGGAGGTGGAAGCTGCAGTGAGCCGAGATCGCGCCACTGCACTCCAGTCTGGGCAAAAGAAAAAAAGGAAGCCGGGTGCGGTGGCTCACGCTTGTAATTCCAGCACTTTGGGAGGCCAAGGCGGGTGGATCACAAGGTCAAGAGATCAAGACTATCCTGGCCAACATGGTGAAACCCCGTGTCTACTAAAAATACAAAAATTAGCTGTACTTGGTGGCACACGCCTGCAGTCCCAGCTACTCGGGCAGGCAGTGCCTGCTGAGGCAGAAGAATCACTTGAACCCCAGAGGCGGAGGTTGCAGTAAGCCGAGATCGCGCCACTGCACTCCAGCTTGGTGACAGGGCGAGACTCCGTCTCAAAAACCAAAAAATGGTGAAAGGATAGTAAGTAAAGCTCATTATCGCCTATGACACCCAAACCCAAAGCTACAGGGCCCTTTCTAGAAAGTTACAGATCTAGAGATGGGGAAAAACATGAAAGACCTCGCAGAGGGAGAAGAGGAGAAAATGGCAAAAAATGAGTTGAATCCAGAGAAATCAGAAGATAGGTTTGTGGGTTGGGCACGGTGGCTCACGCCTGTAATCTCAGGACTTTGGGAGGCCGAGGTGGGTGGATCGCTTTGAGCTCAGGAATTTGAGACCAGCCATGGCCAACATGGCGAAACCCCGTCTCTACCAAAAATACAAAAAGTAGCCAGGTATGGTGACACACGCCTGTAATCCCAGCTACTCCAGAGGCTGAGGTAGGAGGATCACTTGAGACCGGGAAGTCGAGGCTGCAGTGAGCTGTGATTGCGCCACTACACTCCAGCCTGGGTGGCAGAGCCAGACCATGTCTCAAAAAAATAAATAAGAAGACAGGTTTGTGAAGGGCTTGGGAGAATGGGGCTGTGAGAATAGAAAAGTGTCCTTCAAAAGCTCCCGTGTGGGCCTCTGTCATGGGAAGGATACTAGACTATGGAGAGAACTGGGCTGTGGGGCATACAGGCTTTGTGGCCAGGGAAGGCCATGAGAAGACAAGGCTGAGAGAACGTCAGGGAGGCAAAGTTCAGGGCAGCAATCTCAGGAAAGGTTCATGCCAGGCCAGGGGAGGAAAGTCTTGGCCATAGGAATGAAAGAGCCCAGTCATGATAGGGGGAAGGTGGCCCCAAAGGGCCAGGGCAAGGAAGGAGGGGTCTCACCTGCATGGATAGCATCTTGCTGGTGCAGGTGCAGGTGCGAGTGGATGTGGGAGTGCTGGTGGTGATGGGGAGTCACATTGAGCATCTGCAGCCGGGCCAGTGGGTCATTGCCCAGGGCCGCCACCCTTTCTGCGTGCTGCCTCTCAGCTGCCAGCCGCTCAGCATAGGACATGTCAGGCCGCAGGGCTGGCCCAGCTGCCAGCGCTAGACGTTCTCGCTCCAGGGGCCCCAGGCTCGGATGAAAGGGGAAAGGGTGCAGGCCAGGTGGGCCAGGCTGCAGAGCCAGGCCCCCATGTCGGGGAAAGGGATCCAAGCCCGGCCCAGGGACCCCATGTAGGGGTTCCAGCTCACTAGGCTTCACCTCAAAGCCAGGCTTGAGGCGGTCACGGAGGTCTCGTTCACGGGCTTCCCGTTCCCTCTCCCGGGCAGCTGGATCACTGCTGTACAGGGCCGGGACATTGTAACCCAGGAGCCCCGGGTCCACTGCCCCCAGGGGCACGTAGAATGGATGGTTGCGATTGCCAGGAGACATGACATGAGGCCGGGCATATTCACTGAGAGTGCGCAAGGCTGGAGTGTCAGGACCCAGGTAGGGGGGCACTGTAGCCACCGCACTGCCCGGTTCAAATGGAGGGCGATGGGGCACTGGGCCCAGAGATGGGCATTCCACCGGAGCACGGCCCTCCTGAGCCAACTTCTGTGGGATACAGGGAAAAGTGGAGTCAAAGCGGCAGTTATGAAAAGAGGTGGCTGGTTTTAAGCTGCCCATTTGTTTCGACAGCCGAATGCCAAAATGCCTCAACTCATTGAAACTCTGCCCACCTGGAACTTAACTGCGGCCCCCGCTCCCGAATATTTGCCCTTCTTGGGATCCACAGGTAGTCCCATCTGAGCATGCCTTTTCCCAACCCAGGAATGCAGATGGCTCTCGCTGAAAACCTTTTGGGCTCCATTTCCTGGGCTGCAGTGGTACCTCCCCTCCGACAGGTGGCGACGTGACTCGCCCGCCCACCCAGCCACAGCCCCGCAGCGTAGCGTAGCGCAGCGCAGCGCAGAGGGAAGGAAGGAAAGAGGGAAAGAAGGCGGTGGCGCAGGCAGTGACGCACTCACCACGCTGCGTTCAAGCTCGCGCTCCTTCTCGCGCTCGCGCTCTTTCTCGCGTTCCCGCTCGCGCTCGCGCTCCTTTTCTTCGCGCGCGCGCTGCTCGGCCTCGCGCCGCACCTTCTCCACCAGGTCGGCCCGCTTCTTGGCCAGCTTGGAGCCCTCCAGTGGCACGAAGTACAGGTCGCTGCGCGCGCACGAGTTGAAGCCGCGATCCAGGTGTTTGTTGAACCTGCCGGGCGTGGAAGCAGCGGGCGCTCAGGCGGTGCGAGCTGCCCGATGGAGCCCGCAGCGCCGCGGCCCCGGCGAGTGCTTGTAGCCCCCGCCTCAAAACCACCCCTGCAGGCTGTGAGCTGCTGCGGGCCTCACTGGCCACTAGGCCTGGACGGAGGAGAGGGGCGTGCTTTTCTAAAACACTACACCAGCGCAAGGCCCCTCCCTGCTACTCCCTCTCTCGTCGCCGCCTTGTCGTCGTCCCCTTTCCAGGCCCACCTCCGCCCCACCTGGCCGCTCACCTGGCAGACTGACTGGCATGGCTGGGTACATCTACCACCTTGGGAGGGGGCGAGGGGCTGCGGGCTGGGGGCACCGGGCTCTCGGGGGTCTCATACTCCTCAGCCGGCTCCTGTTTGATCTGCGTGGCGCTCAGGGGCGGCCCTGAGGCAGGGGCCGCAGGTGGTGGTGGCAGCGATGGCAGGCCTGAGGGCCCCGCAGGTGGCAGGGGCCCAGGTCCCACGGTGGGCGAGCCCGGCTTGAAGGTCCCTGGGCCTGCAGGTGGCGAGGTTCCTCGATAGCCCGGTGGGGTCCCCGTTCGGAAGGAGGGAGGCGACCCGGGTTTGTATCCGGGTGGGGTGGCTGTCTTGTAGGCCCCCGGGGACGGGGCTCTCTTTCCGTACGGTGGGGGCCCAGGTGGGGAGGCCGTTTTGTAGCCTGCTGGCGAGGAAGCCACGGTGGCAATGACCGTGGAAAGGGTAGCCGAAGAGGTGGTGACCGTAGGCACCGGTGGGAAAGGGTAGGGCGCCCCTTGAGGGCCCTGGGAAGGGGAGGGGTGTGAACATGGGTAGGACCCTTGAGAAGTGGAAGAGGAAGAGTTGGAAGAGGAAGAGACTGGAGGGCCATTGGGGCCTGCTTGGCTGTAGGACACCTGGCTGTGAGGTGGGGGCAGGTGTGCTGGCCCTGGTGGGTAGGGCCTCAGAGACCCCAGGGAGGGAGACATGGCGTAAGGGTGTGCGTGGTGGGAGCTACCGCCCTCCAGTGGGTGGGGAAATGCTCCAGGAGGAGGGGGCCCAGAGTTTCCGTGATGCTGCTGCTGCTGCTGCTGCTGCTGCTGCTGCTGCTGCTGCTGCTGTTGCTGTTGCTGGTGGTGATGGTGATGTGTTGAGACTGGTGGGTGGGCGGTGGACTGGGCCCCAGTAGAGGGAGGGAAGGGGCCTGGATGGGCATTGCTGTTGGCTAAGAGGCGGCCATAGGGAGGAGGTGGTGGGGGACCCTGGCTCCACACAGCCTGGGATGGGAGAGAAGGCTGAGTATACTTGGGGGGCTGATTGGAGACAGAGAGGCTTGTTGGGGGAGGGAAAGAGTGGGGGTAGCTGGGCAATGCCTGGGAAGCTGGGAAGGGGGAGGCAGAGGAAGAGGAGGAAGAACTGGAAGAGGAGGCTGCTGCAGAGCTACTACTAGAGGATGAATAAGGAAACCTCATGGGGGGCGCTGGAGCAGAAGAGGAAGCAGGAGGCAGAGAGTGGGGTGAAGGAGCCAGAGTTGGGCCCTTCTCTGGGCCAGGAGGAAGTCCACCCATACCCTGTCCCATGGCGTGGGGAGAGGGCAGATGACCAGGTAGTGGTTGGGCCCCCAGGCCAGGGGGAGAGGCTGATGCATTGTTGAGGGGTCTCAGGGCAGGTGGGGGAGGCAGGTTCGGTGTCACATGGGGGAAGTTGGCTGGTGGTGGAGCAGAAGGTAGGTTCCCACCACCCACTGGAGTGGTAGGCGGCTTTGTTGGGGGAGCACCACTAGCCCCAGAGCTTGATACTGAAATGGGAGTAGTGGGTGGGGGGTGCTGCTTACCCCCATTAGGGCCCCCCACTGATGAGGCAGCCCCTCCCCCCTTGGGACCCATTGGGGGTCCAGACAAAACTCCACCAGTGCCCCCAGGATAGAGCTGTGGGTGAGGGGGAGGGGCCCCAGGAGGAGCCTGGAACATTCGAGATGTGGGGGGCTCCATGGGAGCATGATATCCAGTGGGTGTCACAGAAGGATGGGGTTCAAAGCTAGCCTCTGGCTGTCGAGGGGTGCTGTCTGGCGGTTGAGGGGAAGGAGGAAAGAGTGGAGGTGGGTGGTAGGGGCGGGCTGGGCCCTGGGACAGGCCAGAAGATGAGTCAGAGTCATTCTCCACACTTCCAGGGCTGTAGATACTGGGGGACGTGCTTCGGTTGTCCTGGTCGATATCCCTAGGGTCGCTGCTGCCATCATCATTAAGGCTCCGCCCGTCCAAGCTATCCAGATCGGAGGGAGACTGTGGCCGAGGGAGTTCCTGCTGTAGAAAAGGGAAGACTCATTTTTTCTCTTTTCCTTTCCTGCTTCCCTGAGATTTGGGGCTCTCTTGCATAAAATCATTTCCCCTCACAGCACACTGTTGTACTGTGATGTGGTGAGTACTCTTGCTCAAGCCCACCTCTTACCATCTGGGGATTTCTCACTTTCCTCACATTCTTGGCTGCTCCCTAGCAGCCAGTCTTGTTTCCCGCCTGTAAAACCCTATTCCTTCCTCAAGGATCCATCTCAAGCACCTTGTCTCTACCCACAGCTGACTCCAACTCCCTGTCTTCCACCATCTCATAACCACCACTTTAACCATCCTCCATCCCCCAAGCCCTTGGTTTTTATACCACTTCTGGCCGGGCACAGAGGCTTACACCTGTAATCCCAGCACTTTGGGAAGCTGAAGCGGGCGGATCACTTGATGCCAGGAGTTCCAAACCAGCCTGGCCAACATGGTGAAACACTGTCTCTACCAAAAATACAAAAATTAGCCGGGCATGGTGGCTCATGCCTATAATCCCAGCCACTCGGGAGGCTGAGGCACAATTGTTTGAACCCAGGAGGCGGAGGTTGCAATGAGCTGAGATTGTGCCACTGTACTCCAGCCTGGGTGACAGAGCGAAACTGTCTCAAAAACAAACAAACAAAAAAAAACAATAAAAAAGAAAGACCACTTCTGCATTTTCCTTAAGATTTATTTGTTCCTCCGACTAAGACTTCTCACCCAGAGACTAGAATCCCCCAACTCTTCTGGTCCCCTTTGGCCCTGCCTGGTCATCTGGTGGTCTGTCAAAGCTCTAAGAATCTCTCTGGCATATTATAGACAGAACTGCTCTCATAAGCACTATGATCTGGCCTTTCTCTTATGTCCCAGGAGAGATCCAGCTAAGAATAGTGAGCATAAGCAAGTCTGAGAAAAGAATGGTCACAAGATGGGTCAGGATGGCGACAAGGGTTTCCCACCTCAGTTTTGGTCTTTTTTGGTGCATTGGTCTCCTCACTTTCACTCTCTGAGATCTCCTCACTCCGACCCTGCTTGTTGACCTTTGGGGTGGAGGCTTCCTCTACTCGGGCCTTCTGTTAGAGAGAAAGAGAAAATTCCTGTCTTTTCCCTACCTCCCGAGCTCCACCGTTACCCTCTGCCAAACAGGAAGTTCCCCCACAACACACACACACCCTCAGCCCCAGTGCCTTGGGCATCCTGTGGGAGGACCTGAGGACAGAATACCTTGGCTGTCTGCCTGGACTTCTCAGCTTTGCCATCACTGCTGGACGTGCTGACCCCTCCAGGGGAGGCCCGGCCCCTCGATCTCAGTTCTTCCCGGGGCCCAGGGGCCTCTTTCTTCCGTCCACTCCTCATTGACATCTACAGGAGGAGGAAGGAGGTAGGTAACACTGTTCTTTACATTGCACCTAACTTTATGGTGCACATTATTTGTTCTTCTTCTCTAGACCCTTCCTCCTAGCTTGCCTGCCCCGCCCCTCATCTTTCATGTCTCTCATTTTAACTCACCGAGTCTTTATTCTGTCGTGTCTTCATTCTTCAGGCTGTGGAGACCCCATTCTCCTCTGCCTGGGCAGCTGAATACAGAAACTTCTCTGCTCCACCCCAAGTTCCCCACAGCTGTGGTCTGGGAAGCAGGATCTCCAAGTTTCCAGTGTGGGCACCTGGAACTTTTGCAGGATCTGTTTTCAATGAAACCTGTTAGAAGGAAACCATCAGAGTCTCCAACTTGGAGAACAGAGTCACAAAGGAATACTATTCTGCTTGTCAGAGAACTGAGCAAGCGGCCCAACCCTAAGCCTTTGGGCCAAGAGGTACAGATACCACAAGACATTGCTGGCATGCCCCATGGGCTACCTTAGCTATCTAAAAGGGAGGCAGATTCTGCTCGAAGTATAATCTCTTTCATCTCTGTAGAGGGCAGAAAATTCGGATGTACCTACAAGCCCCAATCCAGGAGATCACACAGTTTACCCTTCATGATCCCTAAAGGATATTTGTGAACACACACATTCCACGGAGCCTTACAAAGGAACATAAAGAAATGGAGCGGGGCATGGTGGCTCATGTCTATAATTCCAGCACTTTGGGAGGCCTAGGTGGATGGACCACAAGGTCAGGAGTTCAAGACCAGCCTAGCCAACATGGTGAAACCCAGCCAGGCGTGGTGGCACGTGCCTGTAATCCCAGCTACTCAGGAGGCTGAGGCAAGCAAATCACTTGAACCTGGGAGGCAGAGGTTGCAGTGAGCCGAGATCATGCCACTGCACTCCAGCCTGGGTGACAGAGTAAGACTCTGTCTCAAAAAAAAAAAAAGAAAAAAGAAATGACATTGAAGTATGAATTTATTGAATACCTTCTTTATATCAAGCCCTTCACATACATGATTTCATTTAATATTTACAACCAACCCTGAATGGTAAGCATTATTACCCTCATTATATAGGTGAGGGAACTGAGGCTCAAAGATTGTGATTGTGACTAGCCCAACCTCACACAGTGAGGAACCAGTGACAGAGCCAGAATCAAACCCATGTCGGTGACTTCAAAGCCCATGCTCTTTCTTCTATACTTTGCTGTATTCTCCTCAGAAGTTGCTGGGGAGAATTCTCAGAAGGCCTAGATCAGTCACAGAGATATGAAAAGAATCTTTTCTCACATCAGAGTAGGTAGAAGAAGAATGTCCCATTCTATAATACAAAGGAACACAGCCCTACCAATCCCAAGACTAAACCTAGGTAGCCCCAAATTGTAGAACTTCATTTTTGAGAGCCCCATAAAGGACCCATTCTCTAGTACTTGAGCTCCCTAAGGCTAGAGGAAAAGTCAGGGTTTTCACATGAATGATTAAAGACTCAAAATATCCGTGAGCAAACAACACAGATGTACCAGTTTTTAAGCCTATCCTCCTACTTGGTGTAGACTGGGTTACACAGTTTCTCACAGCCAATCCATCCGTATCTGTCTATCAGCAGGTATCTATCTTTATCCAAATCCCTATAGCCAGCTGTATTCATTTGCACTTGTTTGTATTTCTTGCTAAGTGTCAAGTCCCTCCAAATTACTGATTGTAAGATCTTTTGAGAGCAAAAATGGTATTTTCTTACTGTTTTCTTCCTTTCCACTGATGTGTGTGCGCTCTTCTTGTGATTGACCTTTAAACCCACTAACATCAGTAGGTCTTTCTTCCTGAATTAAGTGCTGCTAGCTCCAGTGGGAACAGACTAAGCTTACCCATGTATTCTATTCTGAGTTGGAGGCCTGCTAGGTAAACGGCATGTCCATATTCTGTAGTGTATTTTTTCCCAAGAAACACAGTAATTCTCACTCACCTCCACGGAACCATACTGATGCAGGCAGTAAGGGGTGAGTCTAACCTTTCCAGGAAACTTCACAATTTACTTAGAATCACAAAATTGCTGGGACAGAGCCTATCTTCTGAACTTTCAACTGATGCTCTGCCCAGTAGACTTGTCTTTTTTTTTTTTTTTTTTTTTTTTTTTGAGACAGAGTTTCACTCTTGTTGCCCAGGCTGGAGTGCAGTGGCGTGATCTCACTCACTGCAACCTCTGCCTCCCAGGTTCAAGCGATTCTCCTGCCTCAGCCTCCTGAATAGCTGGGATTACAGGCATGCACCACCACACCCGGCTAATTTTTTGTATTTTTAGTAGAGACAGGGTTTCACCATGTTAGTCAGGGTGGTCTCGAACTACTGACCTCAGGTGATCTGCCTGCCTCGGCCTTCCCAAGTGCTGGGATTACAGGCGTGAGCCACTGTGCCCGGCCAACTAGTTTTCTTTTTTTTTCCTTTTTTTTTTTTTTGAGATGGATCTTTGCTCTTGTTCCCCAGGCTGGAGGTGCTATGGCATGATCTCAGCTCACTGCCACCTCCGCCTCCCAGGTTCAAGCGATTCTCCTGCCTCAGCCTCCCAAGTAGCTGGGATTACAAGCGCACACCACCACACCTGGCTAATTTTTGTATTTTTAGTAGAGACGGAGTTTCACCATGTTGACCAGGCTGGTCTCGAACTCCTGACCTCAGATGATCCACCTGCCTCAGCCTCCTAAAGTGTTGGGATTACAGGCGTGAGCCACCATGCCCGGCCTTTTTTTTTTTTTTTTTTTTTTCAACTACAGCTATTTTCCCACATTTTTTAGTTGTTATGTAGACTGGTTTTAAAATACTATCAACCAAAAAAAAAAAAAAATCCGAAGAACAACACCCACCATAGCAAAAGAGGAAAACAATCTTAAACAAAAAGCACAACAAAGATGACTATTTGTGATTGGTGTATTTTTGCCAGCCCTCCTAGAGAAGGGTGTCCATCTCCCTTCCCCATCACAGAACCTGTTCACCAAGTCAGTTAGGTTAGGGGATCCAAAAGGTCAGAGAAACACAGGAATGTACCTGAGGAACACAGCAATCATAGTATGCCCTTCTTTTTTAATCACCTGAAATCTGATAAAAACTAGCAATGAGAAGCTTTGAAGGAGAAAAGCAGTCATAAAAGAACAAGTAATCCTGGGGATAAGGAGTGGCAGACGAGGAAAGGAGTTAGGGGTGGATTGTGTGTCTTTCTAGACCTGGGTCATGTTTTAGCACCAGCCTACACTCCTAGCAGGCAATCACTGTAACTAATATTACAGAGCACCTACTCTGTATCTGGCCACATACTAAGCACATTCACCTTCATTACCTTGCTTTATTTTATTTATTTATTTATTTATTTATTTATTGAGACGGAGTCTCACTCTGTCACCCAGGCTGGAGTGCCGTGCCGCGATCTCGGCTCGGCTCACTGCAAGCTCCACCTCCCGGGTTCACGCCATTCTCCTGCCTCAGCCTCCTGAGTAGCTGGGACTACAGGCGCCCGCCACCACGCCCGGCTAATTTTTTTGTATTTTTACTAGAGACGGGGTTTCACCGTGTTAGCCAGGATGGTCTCAATCGCCTGACCTCGTGATCCGCCCGCCTCAGCCTCCCAAAGTGCTGGGATTACAGGCGTGAGCCACTGCGCACTGCCATTACCTTACTTTAAAAAGAAAATGATTAAGACCAGACTGGGTTGGGAGGAAAGTGAGAACTAGAAAAAGAGCCCCTAAGTAAGAACAGGAAAAGAAATTAAGAGAGAAATATGGGATGTCAGAAGGAATACAGTGGAGTCACAAGCTCTCTGGGAGGGGCTCGCAGGCTAAATTTCAGGATCATTGGCCCAGCCCCCAACATCATTCTGGACCTGCCAGACTAACAAACCAGTCCAAAGTGACTCCTAGATAACAATGCAGCCCAGACCAGCAGATAACGATGCACTGGCCTAAGCCTTCTGAGAATCCGGGACCTTCAGAGAGGCCTCAGAGATCATCTCATCTATAGCCCCTTCATCTTAACAATGAAGCCCAGGCTCAAAGAGAAGTGACTTGCCCAAGGTCACAGAGGCACAGCCAGGTCTAGACACAGGTCTCCTGGCTCCTGTTCTATAGTATTTCCCCTGCATGAAGCTGTTTCACAGCCCTCTGTCCTGGGCCACCCTCACCTGGGATGGGCCTGGGAGCCCAGCCATTTCTACAAGGTCAGGGAAGAAGGCCAAAGGTTAGTTGAGGGAAAGAGGAAAAGGGTTACTCAAGAAGGGAGGCTCAAAGAGGAATTCAAGTTTTAGAAAATGAAAGAAAGTGCAAAGAAGCAAAAAGACAACTCTACAAAAAATAACATAATAAGGGAGGTAGAGGTCAGAACCAACTGCCAAAAGATGGTGTAACCTGAACAGAAGCGTTTTCATCCTCCCATCATGCCCAGGTGGAGAGACTTGGAGAAACACCTATGATCTGCAAGGAACGTATCTACCTGTTCCAACAGACTTCAACATGAAAGGGTGCACACCGTGGGGAAACTCCCAACCACCAACAGATCCAGAAACAACCTCCAAAACCCAGCCCAGAGTCCCAAGGACAGCCACAGGCTGAGGTCCAATAAACATTCGAAGCCCCCCCAACCAATCTGACATCCCACTGGATCACTACCATAGCAACACAGTGGCAAAAGGTGCCCCTCAAGAGACCATCCCAGGTGTCCATCTGGCAGCTACCCCCTACCCCAGTTGCCAAAGCAACTCCTACCCTCCTATAGCACCTCAGGTAAGGGAGCTTGAAGGTACCTACCCTAGTCAAAATAAGCCCATGCACAAAGGGAGATCTTTGAGCTCAAAGCAGTAACTAAGGCCTCCCTATATAGATCACAGCTCCAGGGGCAGCGGACGCTCCGGAAATTGGAGGGTGGAGGGTGGAGGTCGCAACTTGCCTGGAGTGCCTGTAAGGTTGCTCAATTCTCCATTTCCATCCTCCCAGAACCCCTTTCTTCCCAACTCCCCCTTCTGTGTTCCTGTTTTCCTCCTCACTAGTTTTGGGATAACCCACACTACTGGGCCCCAGTGCCCTCTCCAAGAAATAACTATGTCTGGGATAGGGAAAACAGGGTCAGAGGTGACCTGCAGTAGGGGAATGAAAACCGTCACAAAGACATGGCCTTCCCTCTTCCACGCTGGAAAACCTCCGGCTCTTCTCAAAAATGGACCTCTCTTTGCCCAAGCCTCCGTCTCCCCCAGGTTCATCAGCCACAATCCCTCTTTCCACCTACCACACCCCTTTCCCGTTTCCCACTTCCCGTCTATTCCTAAAGCCCCCAACCCCAGGCTCCGGAACCCGTGTTCTGGTCCTTTGGAGCTTTTTCCTGGAGGCTTCATGCCCCACCTCGCTGCCATCTCTCCTATCCATTCTGCCTTCGCCCGGAACCCCACTCACAGCATCCCCCGTTTTCCTCCGCCAACCCCGGCCTCGATGTTCCTCCTCTTTTGAGTCTGCGGGTCCCGGATACCCTCTGGCCCCACAGGCCTCCTCCGGAGACCCTCCCTCCTTCCCCACCTTCCCGATCCTCCCGAAACCCTGGCCCCCGACTCTCCTCGGCGGGCCCCACCCCCTGAGCCCCCGGCCCTCAGGCCAGGCAGAGCCCGCAGTGGGGGGACGGGATTGGGAAAATAACAAATGGAGGCGGCGGCGGCAGGAGGGGGAACTGGGAGGGGTGGGGGTGGGGAGCCGCAGGCCGGAGCCCGGGCGGGACAGAACCCCGCGGGCCCGGGGCCCAGGCGGCCGCAGACCTTACCTGCTGGTAGCTCGGGACGGCTGGCTGGCTCCGAGCGGGATTCCGGGCTCCGGCGCCTCTGGGGGGCGGCGGCGGCAGCTCCCCCGCCCCCCTCTCCTCTTCTCGGCCTCAGTCGCCGCCGCGACGACGGCGGCGGCGGCCCCGACCCCCCCGGAGGGCGGCCCCCATCCCCCCTTTTCCCCGCCTGGCCCCAATCGCCCGCCGGCCCCCGGAGCAAACCCCGATCCCCGCTCTGCTCCCCACCTCCCCGGGCTCGCCGCCTCCCCCTGGCCGCCCGGAATGCCCCGGGCCGCGCCGCCCGCCCCCGCCGCGCCGCCCGGCCCCGCGGCCCGCCCGGCCCTCGGCGCGGTTCCGACCCGCCGCCGCCCGCGCCCGCCTAGCGCAGCCCGCACCCGCGCGATCCCGGGCCCCTCGGCCGCCTCGCCCGCGGCCCCCGCCCCTTCCCCGGCAGTCGGCTCCCTCTCCCCCCTCCTAGCCCCTCCCCGAAGCCGCGGTCCCTCCGAAATGGCCCGGCCCGAGGCCCCGACCCGGCGCGGGGCTGCGGACGGGCTGGGCGGTGCGTCCGGCGACTCGCACAGGAAAGCGGACGGCGAAGGGAGGGAGCCTGGGAGAGGGGGATGGGAGAAGGGAGGAAGAGGGAGAAGGAGGGAGCGCGGAGGAACGGAGGAGAGAGGGGCCAGGAGGGAGACGCGAGGGAGGGAGCGCGAGGCAAGCCGCGAGGGGGGAGAGAGGGGGAGCCGGAGAGGGGGAGGCGCAGCGCGAGTTGGCCGAGGCCGAGGCCGAGGGGGCCGGGGCGCGGGGAGGGCTAGCCGTGGCGGAATGTGGGGAGCCCGCGGGCCCGGCGCGGGAGAGGGCTAGGTAGGAGGGGCTGTGGGTGGTGAGGGCAGATGAGGGGAGGCTGAAGTTTGGGGGCGAGCGGGTCTGTGGCAGAGGTGAAGTGGGAGGAGTTTGGGGGATCCTGGGGTAGAGATTGGGATAATGGGATTGGATTGGAAAGATGGAGCTGCCTGGGGGCTTTGTGGGTGCCTGGTGAGAAGTGAGAGAAGCTTGGGGTGAGGGATCTGTGGCAGAGATGGAGCCAGACGGGTTTGGGGGCTATTATCAGAGAGAATGGGATGGAAGTTTGGGGTCATAAGGAGAGAGAAAAATTGAAAAGATGACATATATAGAAAGATGGGGCTTCTGGAAAAAGTAAAGCTTTTGGGGGTGATTAGTGTTGACAAAAGAGTCATAAATATAAGAATTGGGGGTGGGGGGATGAAGGAATGCTGGAGAGAGAGAAGTCCAGAGGAAACGTCAGTGAGGAGAGAGAGGAGGGAACGCGTGAGGAACCTTAAGAAGGGATGAACGAGGTGGGCCCAGGTGCCAATTCTAGGGAAAATAGGTTCTGGGTGAGAAAGGAGGGCTCTGGATGGGAAAGAAGGGTGGGAGACACCGGGCTGGCTGGATCCTGGGGGTGGGGGCTCCCAGTAGAGCCGAGGAGGGTTTACTTGGGCGGGCAGAATGGGGAAGAGGGGGATAAGAAGATTGGAAGGAAATGTAAGCTGAACAAGGCCTATGGCTGGCGGCAGTATGGAAGAGGAAAGATCATGGATGGGAAAAGAAAATGGAGATGGGGCCGGTGCGGGGGCTCACGCCTGTAATCTCAGCACTTTCGGAGGCTGAGTCGGGTGGGTCACTTGTCAGGAGTTCAAGACCAGCCTGGCCAACATGGCGAAACCCCGTCTCTACTAAAAATACAAAAATTAGCCGGGTGTGGTGGCGCATGCCTGTAATCCCAGCTACTCAGAGGCTGAGGCAGGAGAATCCTTGAACCTGGGAGGCAAAGGTTTCAGCAAGCAGAGATCGCGCCACTGCACTCCAGCCTGGGAGACAGAGCGAGACGCCGTCTCAAAAAAAAAAAGAAAAAATGGAGATGGGAAACGAGGGCAGTTAAAGGAAATGACAGATGTGGGAGCGGGGGGAGGTTGCTGGCAAGCTCATGGGTAGATAGGTAAGGGATACAGCTTGGAGGAGTGAGACACCATCCTCAGGCCTTCCATCTAGTGGCATCTCCATTTTCCTTCTCAAATCTGTTGAAAGTCATCACTAAAGATCCCCTGGGTCACAGGGAAGCAGTCGGGTGAAGACTGGGCTTAATGTGGACCCAAATCCCTGGGTATCCTTGTTGCTCAATCCCACTTGTTCTAAGGTGGAGACAGTCCCCACCACAGACTGCAGGCTCCTCCCAACCCTTCCTCTCCCTCCCCTGCTCTCCAGGTAGCCTCTGGCAGTCAGTCTGCTCCCGGCCGTGAAGCCAGCACCTCCGCCAGCCCACCACCAGTTCCTTCTCCTGGGCTCCCTCCTGGCCCTCCACCAAGCGGCAACATCTCCCAGGACAAAGGACACAGGGTGATTTTTGGCAGCAGAAATTGGGAAGGCCAGAGAATGGGAGGGAGGCAGGCTGGCAAGCCGGAAGAGCTGGAGCTGGAGTGTGGATTAGGAGCCCTCAGTAGAGCTCCAGATTTGGGGTGGGGGTCGGGTACTTGTGGGGCCAGTCTTGCTGGAGGCTAAGGGTGGGCCCTGAATTGGCAAGATCCCACCTGCCTTCAGGGAAGGAAGGAGGTTAGCTCTGGAGCAGCTCAGTAGATTTTTGTCTCACAATTCCTTGGGCCAGATTCAACAAAGTTCTGGGAATACTCAAAAGCTCTAAACAAGATTCCAGAGCACTGGGGAACTGGGCGCAGGAACAGGAACACTTCCTTGGCCTGGGAATGAGTCATCACTCTGAAGTCCCTTGAATTGGTTGGCACTCACTTTACCACTCCAAGCACACCTTCCTCCCAGGGCCTCCCTGAGACCAGGCCAGCTCCCTGTCTCCCTGTGCACCCCGACTCCCTTCCTCTTGCTCTAGGGTAGCTGCTGCTCCTCCCCACCCCTGACTTTGTTCCAGGGCTCCCCCTTTCCCTCTCACCCTCTCTCCCCATGGCATTTCCTCTCTTTCTGTACCACTCAGTTCAGTCTCCCACTGGGCCTTGGCTCAAGCCCTTTCCAAATCCCTTCCAGGCTGAGCTCTTCTCCCTTGTTTTTTAATCACTAAGGAATGGGCTACAATGGATACTAAAAGAAAAATTTAGGCATATGTGGGGATAGGGGATGGTGAGAGTCACAAAAGAAACCATTGTCTACCCTCTCCCATTCCTCCCCTACCTGAGGGCCAGGCTTATAGTCCAGCTGCAGGGGACATCTCTCTCTCTCTCTCTCACACACACACACACACACACACACGCACACGCACACACACAGCCCCAGCCATCCCTCACCCCAGCTCCCTCTCTGGCTCAGCCCCCCACAACCCATTGGTCTCCAGGCAACGGCACAAAGGGAAAGTGGAGAGAAGGGCCTGGGAGGCCCAGGCAGAGCTAGCTGTAACCCAATCCAACCCCGATACTTTGGGGGTTGGGGGGCCAGACTGTCAGAGAAGGCGACCTGGTGAGGAGGGATGAAAGAAAGGACAGAGGCTAGGAACTAGGCTCAAACTAGGATAGTCCTGGTCAGTCTGGGAGTTACTAAGGTAAGATGGGTATCAGGGACCCCAGAGAAAACTGAGAGGCACAGAGGAAAGTACAGGAAACCCCAAGGGAGGCATAAAGGGTCGCCAGGAGAAAAGGGAAAGATGAGATGCCCACACTGAAACTAAAAGGCACAGAAATGGAAAGGGGGCATGAGGCTCTTTGAACTGAAAATGGCTGAGGTGTCAGGGACCCGGGAAGGAGGGCAAGAAAAGAAATGGGCCCTACCCATACAGAACTAGAACCTATTTTAGCCTTGGAGCTGGGCAGGATGGCAGAGGGAGCCAGGACCAGACCTTCGCAGAAGCAGAGCGGGAGGCCCGCAGGGGACAGCCTTGAAGTTCCTCCCACTTGGCGTCCAGTATGGCGTCCTGCAAAACTCTGACTCCCTCTAGTGGTTAGATCTCCCATGTGCAAACCCTATCTGTGGGACGCAACCTTGCATCCGAGCCACTAGGAAGGGATTTGTCCCCCTCGGGGGTACCTAGAATGAGCATCTCAACGCTGAGGCCCCATAAGAGTTAACGAGTTATAGCTAAGGAGTAGTACGTCTCTAGCCACATATTGGAAACCTACTGTTAGTCTGACCCAGCCAGGGTTCTGTTAAGCACTTTTGTTCCTGAATCTTCAGTTTATTGAGGACTCTGTTTCCTTAGGTCCTTCCGTATACTACCCCCGGAACCATTCTTCCTTCCCATTTCCCCATCTTGCAGTGGGTGATGGCCATGAAGTCCTGTTCCATTCGAGAACCAGCCAGGGTTTTGTTGGCAGAGGCCCAGTACAGGAGCTGCTCCAGTCCACAAGCCCTTTGGATATGAAAACACCTTAGACCCCCTTTCCCCCAAAATGCGCGTGCACACACACACACACACAAAATATTTTATGCTTTTAGGGGCTCTTGAACCCCTTAATTCACCTGCGTCTGGGAGCCAAGCCTTCTGCTAAGAAAGCAGGGGCCACATGCACCCCACCTAGCCAGAATGGGGTAGGCAGTGCCATCATCTCGGCCATATTTGTTCAGTTTGTCTTCCTCTTTTTGTGCCCCCCCAGCTCTGCTATCCAGTTTCACCAGCTTCCAGGTGCTCCATCTTCTCTCCCCTCATAGGGACTAGAGTAAGACTCCTTAGACACAACAGTGCACTGATTCAGACTTTAATGGAGGTGCTCATTTCAATGCCACAGAGGTGGTGGCAACTGTGGAACGTGGCATGGGGAGTGAGAGGTTGCTCTGGTGCAGCTGGAGGAAGAACAGGGAACCTAGGGTTGGGGAGAGATGTATAGAGGAAAACTCCCCCAGGCACACAGCCTCCGCTCTGGACCAACGCAGGCTTCAGTGAGTACACACAAAGGAACTGATGTCAAGGCCCTTTCTATGACCCTTCCCATTCTAGCAAGACCTCCCACCCCAGTCATCTTGGGATCTACAGCCACATGAAATACAGACACATCGTTCCCCCAAGTCAGGCCAGTTTTAGGCCATTGAGTTATGGGGAAATGATTAATGGGATGAATGAAAAACAAATAAAATAAATAAATAAATAAATACACTAAAGCCTTATTAGCCAGGCGTGATCACATGCCCAACACTCCCCTCCATCCCAGCACTATGCACAGTTCACGGCTCATATGCAAAGTGGAAGACACGTGGGACAAGAGCAAAGCACAAGTGACACATGGTCCCTCTCTAACACCTCAGCACACCAACCCTGACGCTCCCATCACAGATGCTGATCATTCTTCCACGGACCCCCTTTTATAATAATCCTCATTCACATTTCTAGTTTCTGAGGGAAGAGAGAAAGAGAAAGGAAGAAGTGGAAAGTGCGGAACCCCAATGAGTAGGGCACAGAAAGGAGGGCGAGCAGAGACAGCAAGAGGTCAGGTAAGCCAAGGAGCAGCGGAGCAGGTCAATCAGGGAAGTTCTGGGCACCCTGGGGCTCAGGGGATCTCAGGGGGTGAACTATCACAGATCAGGACAGCAAGGTTCCAGGAGGATGAGACAGAGGTTCCACGTCTCCAGGCAAGCAGAGGAATCACAGCACACTGGGATTACGGAAGTTATGTCCGGCAAAGCGAGCTTCATCCCCCAGCTCTTCCTCAATTCTGAGAGAGATGAACCACAAAGGAAGTGGTCAGGGATGCAGGAGGATCCTGCTTCTCTCTCTAGGGGTCCCCCAGACTCCAACCACCCCCACACCACCTGCTTTTGTGTCCTGCCCCAAGGCTTAGCATTCCCTGGCTTTCCCATGTGATCTCTGGGATTTGTCAATCAGGCCATCAATAAACCCAGGAAGCAAAAACCAATATTATCTGTTGGACTGTTATCCAGGAAATGGACTGTTATCCAGGCCCTTGGTGCTACAGATGGTCTGGCAGGCAAATGGGGCCTTTAGCCATCTGGGCCAGGGGCTCCCACCCCAGGGACCCTCACCTCATGAGCTGGTTGTATTTAGCCAGACGTTCAGAACGGCACGGGGCACCAGTCTTGATCTGAAACATTTCAAAGGATTTGCAGCTCAGTGACTGCCCTCTCACCCCTGAAAGGAAACTTCTGCTCTCCTGAAACTCCCCTGACACCCTCAAACACCTGGAAGGAGAGACCAGGTGGGTGAGCTAGAAATACCAATCCCACAGAGAGTTCTCTTCACTCACCAGGCTGCCTCACTCACCTGGCCTGTGCACAGCCCCACCACCAGGTCAGCAATGAATGTGTCCTCAGTCTCTCCTGAGCGATGACTCACCATGACCCCCCAGCCATTCTCCTGGGCCAGCTTGCACCTGTATCCACACACAGCACTGATTCTCCAGCTCTCACACTGGGCACTCTCTTCCCAGCCCCAACCTTGGTCTATGTCAGGAAACATCTAGGGGAAAGCTATCTGGGAGGGGAGCAGAGAATCAGGGGTGGAGGGGCAGAGGTGAGAGAACTGTGAGGATGATTCCAGGTTCCCCGCTCTCTTTGGCACCCCTGGGTAGAATTAGGCTGGAGCACTTGCAAAAGGAGTCTTATAGAAACGAGGACCACACAGGAGAGGGCCAGAAGTCACTCACGCTTGGATGGCTTCAGTGACCGAGCCGATCTGGTTGACCTTGAGCAGCAGACAGTTGCAGGCCTTTTCTTCCACTGCCCGCTCAATACGTTTTGGGTTGGTCACTGTCAGGTCATCACCCACAATCTGGATCCCTACATTGGCTGTGAACTTGGACCAGGCAGCCCAATCATCCTGGTCAAATGGGTCCTCAATGGAGACCACTGCAGAGAGAGCATGGTGGGGAGGGGGGAGGTGTTCATCTTCCCTGGGTCTCTACATCAGGCAGGAACATGCCCCTTTATTCCCTGAAATGGACAGGCCCTTGGTTAACTACACCTGCTCATCCTTGCTAAGACAAATCCCCCCAGTGTAAGCCTGCCCTAACTGATTCTTAACTTTTTTTTTTTTTTTGACAGAGCCTCATTCTGTCATCCAGGCTGGAGTGCAGTGGCACAATCTCAGCTCACTGCAACCTCCACCTCCCCAATCAAGTGATCCTGCCACCTCAGCCTCCTGAGTAGCAGGGACTTTAGGTGTGTGGCACCACACTCAGCTAATTTTTAAAATTTTTGTAGAGATGAGGTCTCACTGTATTGCCAGGCCAGTCTCGAACTCCTGGATTCAAGCAGTCCTCCTGCCTCGGCTTCCCAAAGTAATGGGATTACAGGCATGAGCCACCACGCCTGGCTCCTGATTCTTATTTCATAAAACCTTACATGGAGAGGCCAGGCACAGTGGCTCATGCCTGTAATCCCAGCACTTTGGGATACTGAGGTGAACGGATCACTTGAGGATAGGAGTTCCCTGGCTAACATAGTAAAACCCCATCTCTACTAAAAATACAAAAATTAGCCAGGCATGGTGGTGCACGCCTGTAATCCCAGCTACTTGGGAGGCTAAGAGAATCGTGCAGTGAGCAGAGATCTCACGCCACTTCCATAGGCTGGGCACAGTGGCTCATGCCTGTAATCCCAGCACTTTGGGAGGCCGAGGCATGCAGATCACTTGAGCCCAGTAGTTTGAGACCAGCCATGAGCAACATGGCTAAACCCTGTCTCTACAAAAAAAAAAAAAAAAAAAAAAAGTTAATTAAAAGCAAACCAGCCAGGCGTGGTGGCTCACGCCTGTAATCCCAGCACTTTGGGAGACCAAGGTGGATAGATTACCTGAGGTCAGGAGTTGGAGACCAGCCTGACCAACATGGAGAAACCCCTGTCTCTACTAAAAATACAAAATTAGCCAGGCATGGTGGCACATGCCTGTAATCCCAGCTATTCGGGAGGCTGAGGCAGAAGAATCGCTTGAATCCGGGAGGTGGAGGTTGTGGTGAGCCGAGATGGCGCCATTGCACTCCAGCCTGGGCAAGAAGAGTCAAACTCTGTCTCAAAAAAAAAAAACAAAACAAAAAAAACAACCCCACCCCCCCCCCAAAAAAAATCTTCCAGTAACAAGGGTTCACAACCTAGCTTTGCATTTTCCTGTTCTCACTGCCAGCAAGCCCTTCCTCATTGCTAATCCAAATCCTTAATTCTGCAATTATGTTGATTTTCTTTCGCTCTGTGTCAGGAAGATGGCGACCAACTGCCTCCATCCTGAGATAAAGGCCCTGGGCAGACTTGCAGAAGCTAATTCAGTCCCCCTCAGCCTTCTTTCTACTCACACATCAGTCCCAGCTCCATTCAGCATCCACAATTTCATCAATCAAAGATACTGAAATGTTCTAGTTCTCTGCTAGATCCAGTCACACTCATATCATCCCTGGTTCCTTCCAGAGCCTTCCCCATGACCCCAGTAGTTTTCAGAACCCATGACTTTAATCAGGATCTGAGACAGAACAGATTGGTCACGGGTACCTGCATTTTTACACTACATACAAAGCCCAGTCTTTGCAGGTGGCTCCTGCACCCTCTCCCTGGTTCTCAGGTTCTTCTTAGGACACCCCCACCTGGTGCCTGAGTCAGCACCCCATAAGGTCCAGAGTTGCTGGGACACGTCCCTGCCTGCCCCCAGACCTCCCCCTCACACCACTTCCTCTCACCAGGATAGTCCCTGACAAAGTCCTGGTAGAGTGCCCCCAGCTGGTCCCCAGTGATGTATCGGGAAGGATCAGTGGGAGACTTGAAGTCCAAGTCATATTTGCCATCACGATAAAACTCTGAGGCAGCAACATCCATGCCAATAACGATCTTTTCCGTGTAGCCAGCCTTGTCGATGGCTTCCTTCACCAGCTCCAAGGCTGGGGACAGAATACAGTGAGATTATAGTACAAGCAGGAGGGATGGGCAAGGAGGAGGAGGGAAAGAAAAGACATTCAGGGCAGAGGTGGAGGGCTGTTCCTGAGGGAAGTGTGGCGGGGATGCTGTTGGGGTTATCCCCAGGTCTGGGAGGAGAGGCCATCTTCTAGGAACACAGAGGAATGGAATTCTCTTAATAATACTTACTATACTTTCATTGGTATCATGTCATCTAAGCATTTTATATATATTTCATTTAAGCCTCACACTACCATGAGCTAGATTCTGTTATTATTTCCAGAGAGAAGTAAGAAAGTTCACCAGCAGTAACTCCACAAGTCAAGGTTCAAATAAATCCAGGTTATTTGGCCCCAGAACCTTAACTCTTAACCACTACCTATATTCTTTCCATTCCCTATACAGTTTCCCCCAAGGCACAGAAAAATTAGGGATTCTAGAGGCCTAGGAGGTTGGGACGGGGACAGGACAGATTTCGAATGGATGGGATGAATCCAACAGTCATCCAGACCATCTCCCAGTATTCCCAAGGGCTCCAGTGACAACTTTTTTTTTTTTTTTTTTTTTTGAGACGGAGTCTCGCTCTGTTGCCCAGGCTGGAGTGCAGTGGCATGATCTCGGCTCACCACAACCTCCGCCTCCCGGGTACAAGCGATCCTCCTGCCTCAGCCCCGCTAGTATCTGTGATTACAGGCACACGCCACCATGCCCGGCTAATTTTTGTATTTTTAGTAGAGACGGGGTTTCACCTTGTTGGCCAGGCTGGTCTCAAACTCCTGACCTCAGGTGATCCACCCGCCTCAGCCTCCCAAAGTGCTGGGATTACAGGTGTGAGCCACCGCGCCCGGCCTTCCAGTGGCAACTTAACAGATGCTAACACATCTGGCTAGGCAGGTAAAAGACTGTCCCCTGGCCAGGCGTGGTGGCTCACGCTTGTAATCCCAGCACTTTGGGAGGCCGAGGCGGGCCGATCACAAGGTCAGGAGTTCGAGACCACAGTGAAACCCTGTCTCTACTAAAAAATACAAAAAATTAGCCGGGCGTGGTGGCGGGCGCCTGTAGTCCCAGCTACTCGGGAGGCTGAGGCAGGAGAATGGCGTGAACCCGGGAGGCGGAGCTTGCAGTGAGCTGAGATCGAGCCACTGCACTCCAGCCTGGGTGACAGAGCAAGACTCCGTCTCAAAAAAAAAAAAAAATACTGTCCCCCTAGGTCTGCATGTGAATTTGGCAGGCTCTCTGCAATCCACTCTAAGAACTGGTACCTTTTGGAGTTTGCAGAGTCCTAGGACCCTCCACGCCTACTCAGGACTTGGTGAACTGTGTCACCCTTTCTGATGTCCCACAATAGGGTAAGACTTAGAGCTGGGAGTGGGGCTCCTGGCCTCACCTTCACTGTTCTCCAGGATATTGGGGGCAAAGCCACCTTCATCCCCCACATTGGTGGCATCCTTGCCGTATTTGTCCTTGATGACTCCCTTGAGTGTATGGTAGACCTCTGCACCTAGTCGCATGGCATCCCGAAAGCTCTCAGCTCCCACTGGGAGGATCATGAACTCCTGCATGGCCAGCTTGTTGCCAGCATGAGAGCCACCATTGATCACGTTGAAGGCCTGGGGAGCCACAGAAAGACAGAAGGGTCAAAGAGCCCCTCCCTGCCCGCCCCAGGAGTGTTAACCCAAGATCCCAAACTTCCCCCAGCTTTCCGGACTAAGTCTCACGTCCCCATCCTTCCTCTTTACCTCCCTCAATTCACTTTCCTCCCATCATTCCTCATGAGTTGCATGCTCCCTCCCCCACCCGCCCCTGGGAGAGCCGCAGGCTGGCTTATTGCTCACCGGCACAGGCAGGATGAGGTCTGAGTTCCCGGCCAGCTGAGCAATGTGGCGATACAGGGGCAGTTCCCGCTCAGCTGCCCCTGCCTTACACACGGCCAGAGACACACCCAGGATGGCATTGGCCCCAAACTTGGCTAGGAGATTATAGAGGAAGGTGCTGAGCACAATGTCCCCTTCTCCTTTCTAGCTCCTGCCTCCATCTGTAGTCTCCAAAAGGAGCCAGTAAAGGAGACCCCCTCCTCCCTCCCCACCCCTGCCCCAGCAACACCTCATCCATGCTCTCTTGAAAACAGCAGGGAGAGGAATGGGTGGGGAGGAGGAGATTGGAAACGGCAGAGAGCCACACCTCTTTCTAAATATCCCTGAGACCACAGACTCTCTCAGGCCATCCCCCTCCTCTGTATGCTGCAAAGAAGGTCTTCCTTCTGCCTACTGTCGGTCCTTCCCTCTGCAGCTAAACTCATCTCCCCTTGCTCTGGCTTTGAGAGGAGAATGCCCCTGACAGTCATTCCTGAGGAAGCCACTACAGCACTGGCCCTTCAGCTCTCTATCTGCTCCACGCCTCCCCACCCTGACGCTTCCCCACTTTCTCCCGGCCCCGGCTCACATTTGTTCTCAGTCCCATCCAACTCCAGCATCAGGTTGTCCAGTTTCTCTTGCTCCACCACAGAGAGACCCTGAGGGCAGAGCCTCCATCACCCAGGGCCAGGCTGGAGGCTGAGCCCTAAGGCAGAGGGTCCCCTCATTCACACCCAAGCTCACATTTGGCCAGGGTCCAACCAGGTCCCTGTGACAGGGGCCTACCTGGATTAGGGGACCTGAACTCCCATGGGAGCAGGGTGCATTAAGGAAGCTGTTCCCCACCCTTCCCCCTTGTAACCATGATTCCTAAGAGTGGGCCTTCTTTCTTCCCTTCCTCCTGCCCTGCTCCGGGATTCCTTCCAGAACTCTGGCCCTGCTATCCCCAGCAAAGAGCAGGCCTCACTGAGCTGATGAGGGCTGGCGCGATGGTGGAGTTGATGTGGTCCACTGCCTTCAGGACACCTGGGGAAAGGAAGAGGCTGGACTGGGTCGGGCCAGGAGGGGCCGGAAGGGATCAATGGGAGGAGGGGAAGCCATGCTAGAGGAGGACTGGGGACTGGTGTGAGGTAGGGGCATAAGGCTGAGGTGGGGGAGAGTCTGGAAAAGAGAAGGGACCTCACCTTTGCCTAAGTAACGCTGTTTGTCTCCATCCCTCAGCTCCAGGGCCTCATAGATGCCCGTAGAGGCTCCACTGGGCACTGCAGCCCGGAAAAGACCTAAAGGAGGAACATGGAATGAGAGGGAGTGAAGAGGACACAGGGGCCAGGGAGTCCTTCAGCCTTCTGGCTCTAAACTGCCTGCCTACCACATCTAGCTCTCTCCCCACACTGCTCCCTAACATCCCCCCACCCCCACCCCACACACACACTGAGGCAGATGCACAAGAAGTGGCCTCCTCATCCACCCATCTGAGGCCCCACATGCACAAGTGGGAGCCCGCAGAAAGAAAATTGCTTGCAGCACACGTCTGCACACATGCAAGTGCACAGGCAGACACACGGAGGCAGGACATGCCTCACACGCTAAACTCGAACACAGACCCACCTACCCTGGCTCCCCGGACAAGGAGGATCCAACCGCCACAACCCAGGCTTGTGAGCCTGGCCCAGCACCCCATACCCCTGGGTATCAAAAAAGGCCTCCGAACCCCTGGCCGAACCCAGCCTGGCCGTGGAAAAGCTAGGGCTGTAGGAAGGCCCATGCCACACCCATTACCTTTGGCAGTATAGAGATCCACCTCCACTGTGGGGTTCCCGCGGGAGTCCAGGATCTCCCGGGCCCAGATCTTCTCTATGGACATGATGGCTGGGATCTCCTCGGGTGGAAGGGAAGGAAGGAGAAAGATAAGAGGCTTAGAGGGGTGGAGCCTGAGATCAATGGGCGGGGCGGGAGGCTGGGAGGGATGGGAAAGAGGTTACTGCAGTGGGTGGGGGGTGGGTAGGGAGGCGCTGGCTGCAGTCTAGGGCTGTAGAAGGGATTCCCCCTCCCCCCTGGGAAGAGGAGAAGGTCAATGCAGTGAGGAAGGGGAGGTCACTGCAGTGGGGGGCGGGGTAAGATCAAATGATGAGATGGGAGAACACTGCAGTGAGGAGGGGAGGGGCACGACAGTGGTTCCCGCGCCTCTTTGCAGCTTGGCCAGCCGGTGGGGTTCCCCCAGATCTCCTCAGAGCGGAATGGCTGCCAGGCTTGCATTTCTCCTGGGAGCCAAGAAGAGGATGGGCTGCCTGGGCCTCTCTTCCAGAGCCCCCATACCTCCCCAACTTAACACCCCAGCTGCCTGAACACTGCCCCTTCCCCAAGGTCCCACTCTCTCCCAAACGTGTATCCCTCCTCTTCCCGCGAAAGGCGCATGCAATACAGGTGTCGGGGAAGAGGGTCCTGAGAAAGGCCCTGCAGTCCCTGGGGGTTGCAGCGGGAAGTGAAGAGGATAAGAGCCGGTGGGGAGTGGAGGCGAGCTGGGCCTGTCCTCCCCTCTGCGCCTCGACAGATCCCCACTTCTTCCATCTCTCCCCCGTGCAGCAGAGGGGAGGAAGCGCGAACGGAGAGGGGCGCCGTGGGGAAGAGCAGGAGAGAGGGGAGTCCAAGGGAAGTCTGGGGGAGGTGAGGAACGGTGAGAGAAGACATTTCCCCAAATGCAAACCAAAAGGGACGCTCTAGGATAAAAATGCACCGCCCGGAGAGGCTCCCAACTTAGAAACAAATAGAACCGTAGATGAGGGCGAGCACCGGGAGAGAGGCAGGCAAGGGTGGAGAGGCGCAGTTAGAGATAGGCGCGCAGAGGGCCAGAAAGCGAAGGCAGCGGGCGGGGAAGGCCAGGGAGGGAAGGCGCCCTGGGCGCGGGCGGCGGAGCAGGTGCGCAGCTGCACCGGGCCAGAGATGCGGAGAGGTGCGCAGCGGCACCGGGTAAAGGAGGCAGGGGCGCCGCGGCGAAGGGAGGGGGCCACAGGGGCTCTGGGCCTGGCGGGGGCTTCACCTCGGGACTGCAGACTCAGACGGTGGTAGTGGCGGTGGCGGTGGCGGTGGCGACGGCGGCGCTGAGAGAGCGGGAGTGGCAGTGGCGGCGGCGGCTGCGGCTCCCGGGCGGCGGGCGGAGGAGGCGCCTATAGGGCCGCGCGGGCGCATGTGACCCGGAGCCCCCGATGAGTCAGGAGCTGCCGGCGGAGGCGCACGTACGAGCGCGGGTGGGGGACCGACGAGGGTGGAGTGGGGAAGGGAGGAGGATGGGGGAAGGGTGGGGGCACCCACGACCTGGCCCCAGCGCACACAAGCGCTCATACCCACGGCCCGACCCACTCGACAGTAACAGGCAGAGCCGCACCCCTGTAGCCCGGGTACGAAGGCCCACACTGCCAGTGAAGCCCAAGACAGCCTCAATGTCTCACAAACCCGGTCAGACACAGGAGCATCACTCTGTTTCTTTATTGGAAATCCGAACACCCCAGCCGCCTTCGCAAGTCTCTCCAACCACTCCTACCAGCACCCCGCGGCCCACGCGGTCTTGGCTCTCACCCACGCCTGCCCGAGGGCGGCCCCCGGCCTAGGCTCCAGGCAACGCTCAGGCCTAGGCACCCCATTCTGCACCCCACACTGCCCAGAGGACCGGCACAGAGCAGATCCTGGGCCTCAGGTTGTGATGAATTTCCAGCTTTGGGGCAAAAACAGGCATCCTCTGTTCTCTGTCATACATGTGGTGGCTGCCCCTGGGAGTCTGATCAGGTCTGAAGGCCAGCGTCTTTGATCTCCTGGAGGTAGAAGACAGAAGTAAATAGGGACCAGGCGCTGTGGCTCACCCCTGTAATCCCAGCACTTTGGAAGGCGGAGGCGGGCAGATCACGAGGTCAGGAGATCCAGACCATCCTGGCTAACGTGGTGAAACCCCGTTTCTACTAAAAATACAAAAATTAGCCAGGCGCGGTTGCATGCGCCTGTAGTCCCAGCTACTCGGGAGGCTGAGGCAGGAGAATTGCTTGAACCCAGGAGGTGGAAGTTGCAGTGAGCTGAGATTGTGCCACTGCACTCCAGCCTGGAGACTAAGCAAGACTACCTCGCAAAAAAAAAAAAAAAAAAAAAAAAAAAACAAACAGAGGTAAATAAAGCCTCTCCCCTATCTAAAGTGCCTGGCGGCCACCCTCATCTCTTCAGTCTCTTTTTGCCTCACTCTGCCCTCTTTTCTTCCCCCATCTCTGTGTCCTGTTTTTAGCTTCAGATTTTTTGTGCTGGATCTTCCTCTCCTGCTTCTCTCCTAGGTCCAGCTGCATACACCACCAACTTTCCCCTGCAGCCCCTACCATGCACCCACACCTGTCCTTTCCTAGCCGACTTCACTCTGTGTCAGGTATGGCTGCCCCACCCCCCACCAACTCCTCTGCCTGCCACCCCAATTCTTTTCACTTACTCTTCTGGCCTCCTAAGTCTTTCTCAGCTGGTCCCAGGCCCCTTGGGTCCCTTTTCCTCTCCCTGACTCCTAACCCTCCTCTCTTTAAGGGTCCTGCTTGTCTGATGCTTTCCTCTCCCACCTCCTTCTGCAGCAGCTTCCCCTCTTGCCTCTTCCCCTACCTGCCCAGCCCTTGGCCTCCTCCCACTGCCTCCCTGCAGGCTTCCTTACTATCTTTAGAGGCTAGAACTGCTGCTAGATCAATGACTGTTCGGGTTCCAGGTCACGCTGGGGCTCAGGCTCCTGCTCCTTTTCTTCCTTCAGCCTCTGTCGAATCACATCAGCCTCAGCCCGTTCCTCCTCCTCATAGAATTCCTTGTCCAGGCGTTCAAGGTATGGCATCTGCACCAGGGCCTCCTGGCGGTAGCTGGTTTCGTCCGTGCATGGGTTATCAAGCAGCACCAACGCTCGCAGCTTGGGCAGGTCTCGAAGCTTGGCCAGCTCCCCCAGGTTGGCCACCATGTTGCCCCTGCCAGTGTGGTCAGGAGGGGTTCATGCAGGAATAATGGGCTTTGGTTGCCAGTTGCTAGGAATGGGGCCTCTGGGGGACTCTCGGGGTTCCAGTGTCCCTAGAAACACTGTGAGGACTGGCCTGCCAAGCCTTGCCAGATTTACTGCAGAGGTGCTGTGTGACCCCGCTCTGGTCCTGCTTCTGCCCTTCAAGGAATCCCTAAGTGCCATATTCTACTCTGTAATACATTCATGTGTTCTTTTGGTGCAGCAAAGCTAGGCCACAACCCTGTCTTGTAGCTGGGGAGGAGAGGGCAAATTTTCCTCACAGGGAGAGACATTTTCTGTGATCACACCTAAATGGAGGGTAGAAGGTAGGACCCAGCCTGGGCAACATAGCGAGACCCCATCTGTACAAAAGCTAAAAATAAAAAAATTAGCTGGGCGTGATGGCATACACCTGTAGTCCTTGCTACTTAGCTGAGGAGGAGGGATTGCTTGACCCCAGGAGTTTGAGATTACAGTGAGCCGAGATCGAGCCACTGCACTCCACCCTGTAGGACCTAGGTCAGTGGACAAGGAACTGGGATCTAAGCTGGAGTTTAGGGTGGTGGATGCTCGGTTCGTGCTCTCCACAAAGAGAACCTAAGGCTATGGATGGGTTGGAGCCTCCCAACCTGAAGAATAAACTTCATCTCCTAATGTGCCTCATTATATGATACTCTGTTTTTATTTTATTTTTATTGAGACAGGGTCTCACTATGTCACCCCGGTTGGGGGTGCAGTGGCATGATCATAGCTCACTGCAGCCTTGAATTCCTGGGCTCAAGTGATCCTCTCACCTTAGCTTCCTAAGTACCTCCAGGCATGTGCCACCACACCTGGCTAATGTTTAAATTTTTTGTAGAGACTGGGTCTCACTATGTTGCCCAGGTTTGTCTTGAACGCCTGGCCTCAAGCAGTCCTCTTGCCTTGGCCCCCCCAAAGTGCTGGGATTACAGGCGTGAGCCACCATGCCTGGAATTTTATTTATTTTCATGTTCTGGCTTTAAGCTTTTATGAAATCTATTTAAGTGTTTCAGCCTGATCTCATGGTCGTGCTGAGCCTCATGCAGTGTTTCTCACCAGGAGGGCTACAGGAACTTTGTACTGGACTCTGCCATACATTGTTGGATGCTTAGCATCTCTGGCCCCAGAGGCACCTGCCAATCATTGAGACACCCTCACCCCCCTCCACACACACACCCGACTTACTCTCAAAACATCCCCATTTAATAGCCACTCAGGAAGGGTCCATCATGCCTGTCTAGATCATTAACAGGAAGATGGCACAGATACACACCCCACCAGATCCGTGTGGCAGAGTTCATGAATAAGAGAATGCCCAGGGGGTCAGGATGAGAGTTGGGGCTTCCAGATGCAACCACCTCTCCCTACTTGGAGATGCTCTTTCCATTACCAGCTCAAGAATCTGGTCTTGTTGACTAAGGAAAGAGGCAGTTTCCTTACATGTTTGCTGAAATAAACACACATAAAGTCCTCCATCCGACAAGAGTTGCTGATCTTCAGTGCCTTTCTACCAAAAGATTTTCTTACAAATGTCCTTCTCTCCTCAAATCTGAGCACATCTTGTGTTTTTTTAATCAGTAAAAAGGTCATCCCTTACAGGTGGGGCTCAGGAGAAGAGAGGCAGGAAATGGGAAGGTGAATTGGGACCGAGGAAATGGAGAAGGGCAGTGGAAACTTATATAGGATAGGGTGAGGAAAAAAGAGTTGGAGCCAGACTGTGAGCCCCTTAGGAACAGGAATCACCTCTGATTCCTTTCTTTCTTTTAGAGACAGCTCACTCTGTCACCCAGGCTGGAGTGCAGTGGCACAATCATGGCTCACTGCAACCTTGAACTCCTGGGCTCAAGTGATCCTCCAACCTCAGCCTCCTGAGTAGCTGAAACCACAGGTGTGCACCACCAGGCTCAGTTAATTTTTATTTTTAATTTAATATTTTAATTTTTATTTAATATTTTATTTTTGTTTTGTTTTTGAGGCAGGGTCTGGCTCTGTCACCCAGGCTGGAGTGCAGCGGCTTTATCTCAGCTCACTGCAAACTCCACCTCGAGGCTCCAGCGATCCTCCCGCCTAAGTCTCCTGAGTAGCTGGGATTACAGGTGCCTGTCACCATGCCTGGCTAATTTTTGTATTTTTGGTAGAGATGGGATTTTGCCATGTTGCCCAGACTGGTCTTGAACTCCTAGGCTCCAACGATCTGCCCACTTCGGCTTCCCAAAGTGCTAGAACTACAGGTGTGAGCCACCATGCCGGGCCATTATTTTCACTTCTGTAGAAACATGGTCTCACTAGGTTGCCCAGGCTGGTCCTGAACTCCTGGCCTCAAGTGATCCTTCCTCCTAAAGTGCTGGGAGTACAGGCATGAACCACCATGCCCAGCCTCTGATTGCTTTAAATGTCCCCAAAACACAGCACAAGGCCTGGCACATAGCACATTCTCAATAATTGTGGATTGAATGAATAAAAATTCAGGGGTCACAAGCTATAAGGGATTTAGTGTTGCAACTCAGTGCAGAAGAAAGGAAGGAAAGCCGGGCTTTCCTTGAGAATCCAGCTGTGGGCTAGGACTGGGGGATTGGGCCAGGGAAGAACACAGACTCAAAAGCTGCACCTGGTCAGGGGTAGGGGCAAGGTGGGGCTTGGAGAGGGTGCATACCTCAGGTTGAGGTACTGCAATGATTTCATTTCTCTGGAGAAGCCACTCAGGGTGTCAATCTGGTTGTCTCGAAGATGCAAGGTGGTGAGATTGCTCAGATCCTCCAAGCCTTCCACCTTCTTCAGCATGTTTTGGGCCTAGACCCCCAGGGCACAGTGGATTGATTGAGAGGGAGCAGGGATAGGGAAGAAAGAGAAGTCAGAATGAGATAAAGCAAAAGAGGAAATCCAAGAGGTAGAGAGGGAGGAGTGGAAGAAAGGAGTGGGGGTGAGTAGAGATCAGTATAGAAAGTAAAGAAGTTCAGGAGAAGCTGCCATCCCAGAGAAAGGTCAGCAGTAACCCTCTACCATTCGCCCCATCAAAGCCACTTGGGATGGAGGAGATGCTTCAACCCACCCCTACCCGGCCCAGGAGCCCCCAGGCCACCACTGAGGATTGGCATCAGCACCATCCCAGAATAACGAAGCTTAAGAGTCTAAAAGACTAAATATTTCAGTGGCTTCCTGTGGAGTTATTATATATATAATATATAATATATTATATAATATATAAAATATATATTATATATTATATATTATATACTATTATATATAATATTTATATATTATATATAATATACTATTATATATAATATTTATATATTATATAAAATATATTATATATAATATACTATTATATATATTTATATATTATATATATTATATATAATATATACTATTATATATATTTATGTATTATATATAATTATATATAATATATTATATATAATTATATATAATATATAATTATATATTATATCTAATTATATATATTATATATAATTATATATTATATATAATATATAATTATATATTATATATTTTATATATAATATATAATATATAATATATAATTATATATTATATATTATATGTAATTATATATTATATATAATATATAATTATATAATATATAATATATATTTATATATAATATATAATTATATAATATATAATATATATATCGGTTTTCATCCACAGTCCCTAGCTTATAACCCCCATAATAGCCCTTCTTGCAGTCTTTTGTTATAAAGTTGGGTGTGCTGGGCCTCAGGGGCAGGTCTCAGGAACTTCTCCAGCCGTCTTTTCACCTGCTCCAAGAGAAAGCGCTAATCTTTCCCCCCACTCCCTCTTTCTGACTGTGATTCTTTCTTTTTTTTTTTTTGAAACAGAGTCTAGCTCTGTTGCCCAGGCTGGAGTGCAGTGGCGCAATCTCGGCTCACTGCAAGCCCCGCCTCCTGGGTTCACGCCATTCTCCTGCCTCAGCCTCCCGAGTAGCTGGGACTACAGGTGCCTGCCACCACACGCAGCTAATTTTTTTTTTTTGTATTTTTAGTAGAGACGGGGTTTCACCGTGTTTTTCTTTGGTTTTTTTTTTTTTTTTTTTTTTTTGAGATGGAGTCTTGCTCTGTCTCCCAGGCTGGATTGCAGTGGCGTGATCTCAGCTCACTGCAAACTCTGCCTTCTGGGTTCAAGCCATTCTGCTGCCTCAGCCTCCCTAGTAGCTGGGATTACAGGCGCATGTCAGCACACTGGGCTAATTTTTGTATTTTTAGTAGAGACAGAGTTTCGCCATGTTGGCCAGGCTGGTTTCGAACTCCGGACCTCAGGTGATCCGCCCGCCTCAGCCTCCCAAAGTGCTGGGATTACAGACATGAGCCACCGCGCCCGGCCTGATTGTGGTTCTTAAGACCCTCCCCAGCGACAGCCTCCCCAGTTTCCTGGGGGAAGGAATACTAAGATCATGAAGCTTCCATGAAAAGCCAAGAGGACTGGGTCCAGAGAGCTTCTGGGTAGCTGAACACGTGAAAGCTTTTGGAGGGTGATGCATCTGGGAAGGGCATGGAGCACTGCACCCATATCCCCATACTTCGCCCTAAGCATCTCTTCATCTGTATCCTTTGCCCTTGCAATAAACTAATAAAAACCACTCTAGAAAATTAATTAAATCCAGAGAAGAGGTCATGGGAACCAGCTTCATGTTGAAGCTGGTGTGTCAGAAGTTCTGGAGGCTTGGACTTGCAACTGGTGTATGTGGGCGGTGTAGGGGTCACTCTTGGGAACCGAGCCCTCAATCTGTGGGATTTGATGCCATCCCCAGGTAGACAGTGAATCGAATTAGAGATCACCCAGCTGGTGTCTACTACTTGGTGTATGGGGAGAAACCCCCACACCTTTGGTCCCGGAAGTCGTATGTTGATGATTGTTGTGGTGGTAGTGTAAGAGCTGAAGAAAAACCCAGTCTGAGAGGAGGGTTTTCCTAAAACATTTCCACAGACTGATGTTTGTACCTCAATTATGGTCCATTTTGCTACTACCTGTATCAAGGTAAATTATCTCTGTATTATCCACACATTATATATTATCAGCCCTGCTAGGTGGCTGTGTATCTCCACAGCATCTGGAACCAACTATGGTCTTGATAATAATACCAGTTATTATCATAATGATGAAGTTAGTAGCTGAGCCTACTAGAAAGCAGGCATCCTGACCCCCAGGACAGTGCCCTCTTCCCTGCACCACCCTCTGACCCAGTGAGCTACCAGGTAGAGGTTCTTCAGCTTAGGAAGATTGATTCCCAGGGTGCTTTCCAGCTGGTTCCCCCGAAGCTCCACTGTGTGCAGGCTGATCAACTTCTCGGGGTCCAGACCTGTCACCATGTGGATGCTGTTCCCTGGGGAGGAGGGTTTCAAGAGCTCAAAGGGCCACTCCAAATGCTCAGCATTAGAGCCTGAATTTGGGGAGCCTCTAAATCATCCTACCATTCGCAAAGCAGGGTAGATACTGAGGAAGGCCAGCTCCAGACTTAATACCTCTGGAGCCCTGAGGCAAGTGGTGTGGTAGGTAGTCCAAGGTCCTGATGGACATATCCACCTAAGCCTTTGAAGAGTGAATGAAGCAGCTGACATGTCTAATTCCCTCTCCTTCTTCAATTCTTTGCTCAAATGTCATCTTCTCAGTGATGGTTGTCCTAACCAATCTATTTGACATTGCCACCTGTGTCCCCCATTCCTCTTACTCTGATCTATTTTTTCCAAGGCACTTGTCTCCTTTTAACATGCTACATGAATGTACTTACTGTGTTTGTTGTTACTTGTTTGTCTCTCCCAATTAGAATATAAGCTATATGAGAATAGGGACGTTCCTTGTCTTATTGGATCCTATATGGTTAGCATGTAGAACTGTCATAATGAATCATATTGCGTATCTGAATGAATGAATGAATGCAGACTGCCATGTGCCCTAGCCAAGGACCATACTGCCCACTTCTGTTGGCCTCAGGCTAGGAAGGAAAGAATCTTGTGTAGCCCATCCTAAAGACCCACCTTTGAGATTCAGGGTTTCAAGACGAGGATGAGAGATGCCTTCAGTGTCAGTAATCTGGTTATAAGCAAAACTAGCAATCTGCAGGTAGGGCAGTTCATTCATCTGGGCACTTCGCAGCCGATTGCCATCAGCCTTGAGCCAGAGCAGGTGGGTGAGGTAGTTGAGTGGAGACAGGTCTGTCAGGTGGTTCTCAGAAATATCCACATAGCGCAGATGGATGTAGGAGCGCAGCAAGTAGATGTCTGTCAGGTCCCTAGGAGATGGAAGAGGGAGAAGAAACCAGGTTTAGGGTTAAGCACCCAGTGAGGACTGGCAGAGTTGCTAAAGCAGAAGGCAATATGGAGATGGCTTATAATGGGGAGAAGAATGGGCAACAGATGGTAGGGGAGAAGAAGGGTAAGAGAAGGTAGGTGGGTTCTTAACAGTGGGCAGAGAGACCTGTGTCTGTGAAGGACAGAGAACCCATACTCTGAAAGACAAATAAGGGAATCCAGCAGGAATCCCCCCATATACTCTCAATCTCCAATTCCCCAGGTCAGCTTTGATAGGAGAAGTCTCAGAGCTCCTGAAAAGTAAATTCTGTCCTTCCCTTTCCACTAGGCATGAGAAGAGTCAAACTCTCAACCAGAACACCCAGGAATGACAGTGGGAAAGGAGATAGGGGCCCTACAGTCTCACAGTCCTCATCTGGTCCCCCCAAAACGCACCTCTCTTTAACCTCCAGCTTGACATAAGCATGAGCCAGCCCATTGCCTGTCTTACAGAGCAGAGAAAGCCCTTCCTTCATCATGTCCTCCGTGAGGGGGGTGGGCAGCCACTGCAGGTAGAAGTGGAGTAAGGTGTCTCTCCCCTGCCCAACCCCCTCCTTCAGCCCTAGGACCCCTCCTTGTCCAGGCTCTCACTTCCTCAGGGAACTCTTCCCCCTCTTTTCTGTAGTCCTCCCCCTCCTCTGTCTCCTTCTCGTCCTCTTCTTTCTCAGAATCATCCTGGTCTGGCTCAGAGTCTTCTAGATCATCTTCATCTGACATCTTTCTTCCCTCCTGAAAGCTCTGGAGTCAGATAAGCTCAGTCCTCCTCCTGAAAAAGAAGGTCTCATCAGCTTCTGCCAGCCTTCAGCTCCTTCATCGTCATTGACACGTGCCACTCCCATCACCCCCATGACTTCTGACCCACCAACTCTAGGCTTCTTTCCTTATCCCTGTGAACATCTCATTTTGATTCTCAACTCCCACTTCACACTTTCCACTGAGGACCCCCTCCCTTCAGGATGTCACCCACACCCCCAGGCCTTTCCTGTCCTTCACAGTGACTCCAGCTCTCCTCCAGCAGCCGGGTGTCCCTATTTCCTGGGCTTCCCTCTCCCCCATTCTTCCCACCTCCCCCTTAAGCCATGCTCTCCAATCTTCCCTACCAATTCCTCCTCCTCTCCTCTCAGCTCCCATTGCGCCATCCGTAATCCCTGCTCCATTCATTTCTTCTACTTTTCCCTCCCCACTGGGCCAATTTCCTTGGGCCCTCTGGTACACCAGCCTAAAGCGCAGTCTCCAACCCTCCCACTCAATTCGCCTTAGCAAAGGGGCTCAGACCCTGTTTCTGCTCAATCAGAAGCAGTTCTGGAGAGGCCCTTGGTCCCGAGAGGGAAGGACTGTTTAGCAAGCGGGCGAGGGGAAGGAGGGGTTGTGTACTGCTGTTATGGCAACGGGGACGGGGCACTTGGCAACTGCAGCTCGCCACCGTTGAGAGTAGAGCGGCGACTACCTGATGCGCAAATCAGCCGGGGAGGGGATTGATCAGTAGTTGCCTGGTTACCACGCCACTTTCCCGTCCCGGGAACCCGGATGAGGCGCGGAAGGGGCGTTGGGCCGCTAATTGGCTGAGGACAAAAAGAAGTGGGCAGGGCTGAGAAGCGAGAAGAGAGGGGGCGGGGCTAGTCATTACGTCACCCAAGACCTTAAAGGGACCGGACATCTTCAATGCAAAAGTATTGTGAATTCAGGAAAAACTCGTCCTTCGAAGCAAAAAGGGCGGGGCTGCGAGGAAAAGCAAGAAACACCAAGATAAGGGGTCTTTTCCCCTTCCCCCTATAGTTTCTGCTCATTAGTTATTTTCAGGTAGACCTTTGGAAGGTGGCTTGGTGGAGCGGAAGGAGTCCAGACCCAGATACCTTAAGAACTGGGTTGGAGTCTTGGCAGATCTGCATTTGCTAGCTAAACGTACCCAAGACTCTTTGTTATCTGTAGAATTAGCTTAACTATATCAACTGACAGGGATCCAGTATGAGTTATCCTGGACTGGTTTGATGCAAACCTTTTAGTGGGTGGAAGGCAGAAAATTCAACATCTGCCCACTAAAATACTCCTGATCCAACGTTGTTATATCAGTAATCAACAGGAACTGGCATAGCCAAACCCAGGCACTCAGGCCTGTCTGACATGTTGAAGGAGATGAAAAAGATGTTGAGATGCAATAAATATTTCTGGAGAGTTTGTGCGAGACATTATGTCAAACATCTTTACAACTGATATTTAATCTCTGCAACAGTCCTGTAAGATAGACATTTGAAAGAAGAGGATACTGAGGCTCAGGGAGGTTAAGATGACACAATTCCTGCCTGGGGAAAGGGGGATGTTACCAATCTTGTTGTGGAATCTAATGTAAATGAAACAATGAGGTAACCAGGTAAGATGGCATGTGATTCATTGTTAAATTGTGCCCACAGACTTTATATAACGGCAAAGTGGTCTGGTGGAAGATGTGGTGGGCAAGAAATCAGGAAGTATTATATTACCTCCTGCCCAGGGCAGCTTGGAGGAATGTGGTTAATAGGCAAATCTGTTTACTTGGTGTCATGGAACCAGTAGGGACTTTAAAGTCAGAGACACCAGCTTCAAAACCCATCTCTACTACTTAATACCTGTGTGTCCTTCAGCAGGTTATGAAATCTTACTGAGGTCTAATTTCCACAGTCGTGAAATGGGGATTATTAAAACGTCCACCTGTAAGGATTGTTAAGGGATTAAAAGAGATAATGTGGGTAAATCGCCTTGCACTTAGTTGACCCTTAGTAAACATTTTCCTGCTCCTCCCCACCCCTGGCCTGTGTCCTTGGTACTGGGGTTGCTGTGAGGAAAAAGAAATAATAAATATGAACACTCTGAAGAGTGAGATGTGCTATACAAATGAAAGTTATTGTATTGTTGGAGTGTGGAGAAGGGAAAAATCCATGTGGTTTGATGTAGTCAAAAGAAATGGATATGAGTTTCCTTGGCCAAGAAGAAAGAGGAAGACACATTAGATGGGAAGAAAAGTTGTGATGTAAGGGTTAGGAAGGTGTCCTTGAACATACACTTTTGTTATTTTGTTTTTATTTTTGTTTTGAAATAGAGTTTCCCTCTGTCGCCCAGGATGGAGTGCGGTGGAGCAATCATAGCTCACTGCAACGTCCACCTCCTGGGCTCAAGCAGTCCTTCCGTCTCAGCCTCCTGGGTACCTGGGACTACAGGTGTGCGCCACCATGCCAAGTTAATTTTTTTGTATTTTTTGTAGAGACAAGGTTTTGCTATGTTGCCCAGGCTAGTCTCAAACTCCTGGGCTCAAGCAATCCGCCCGCCTCGGCCTTCCAAAGTGCTGGGATTATAGGCATGAGCCACTGCGCCCTGCCATGCTTTTGTTAAGCACTTAATCTGTCCCTGTGCTCCGGGACAGTAAAGCACAGAAGTCCTTATCTTTTATCTTCAAGAGGTGTACAGTTCAGTGACAAGATTAAGTACACAAGTAATTCAATATAATGAGACATGTTATAATAATCATACCCAACATTTATAGAGCTTTTACTAAGTGCTAGGGATCATTGTATAGTATATGCATATACATGATATCATATATTCGGGGCAGAGATTTCAGAGGCAGGAATCACCTGTGGTAATGCTTGGAGAAGAAAGAGCTCAATGCCTGTGCAAAGAAAGCAGGTGGTTCTGCTGGCTGGAACAGTAGGTGCAGTCGGGGGTTGGAATATGGTAGAAGCAGTAAACAGACTTGGATCACACTGAAGGATCTGGACTTTATCCTGAAAGCTGTGGGGAGCTATTGAAGGTTTTATTTCGTGTTTAGTTGGCAAGGACTGAAGTTACACTGTGTAATGAGAGCTAGATACTCCACAACATCCTTGATATTTTTCCCCCATCGGCTGGTCTAGATAGAGTCTCTTTCAATTATAAAAGTAATATTTAGGCTGGGCGTGGTGGCTCACGCCTGTAATCCCAGCATTTTGGGAGGCCTAGGCGGGTGGATCACCTGAGGTCAGGAGTTTGAGACCAGTCTGGCCAATATGGTGAAACCCCGTCTCTACATACAAAAAATTAGCTGGGGTGGTGGCTCGCACCTGTAATCCCAGCTACTCGGGAGGCTGAGACAGCAGAATCGCTTTAATACAGGAGGCCTAGGTTGCAGTGAGCTGAGATCGCGCCACTGCACTCCAGCCTGGGCAACAAGAGTGAAACTCCGTCTCAAAAAAAGAAAAAAAATTAGCCAGGCGTTGTGGCTTGTGCCTGTAGTTTCAGCTACTTGGGAGGCTGAGACACGAGAATCACTTGAACCCGGGAGGCAGAGGTTGCAGTGAGCCGAGATCACGCTACTGCACTCCAGCCTGGGCAACAGATCGAGACTCTGTCTAAAAAAAAAAAAAAGCCAGGCGCTTTGGCTCACACCTATCATCTCAGCACTCTGGGAGGC
Organism: Homo sapiens; assembly: GCF_000001405.40. Lineage (NCBI taxonomy): Eukaryota > Metazoa > Chordata > Mammalia > Primates > Hominidae > Homo > Homo sapiens. Next base: position 6,901,930 of record NC_000012.12, on the reverse strand, counting down.
CAAGGTGGGCGGATCACCTGAGGTCAGGAGTTTAACACCAGCCTGGCCAACATGGCGAAACCCTGTCTCTACTGAAAATACAAAAATTCGCCGGGCGTGGTGGCGGGCGTTTGTTATCCCAGCTACTCCGGAGGCGGAGGCAGGAGAATCGCTTGAACCTGGGAGGCGGAGATTGCAGTGTGCTGACATCGCACCACTGCACTCCAGCCTGGGCAACAGAGTGAGACTCGGTCTCAAAAAAAAAGAAAAAAAGATTTTTAGATTAGTTTAGGGTTTTTTTCTTCTAATTATTCAATTCTAATATGTCTTGGGCTTCTTTCATGTCACTAAGCATAAATCTACCTCTTTTTCTCATAGTTGTCTAGTCTTCCATTATGTGGATATACTACCACTTTCCTTTCTTTCTTGCGTTTTTCCTTTTTTTTTTTTTTTTTTTGGTGTTGTTTTTTTTTTTTTTGAGATGGAGTCTGGCTCTCTCTCCCAGGCTGGAGTGCAGTGGCGTGATCTCGGCTCACTGCAAGCTCTACCTCCCGGGTTCACGCCATTCTCCTGCCTCAGCCTCCAGAGTAGCTGGGACTACAGGCGCCCACCACCACACCTGGCTAATTTTTTGTATTTTTAGTAGAGACGGGGTTTCACTGTGTTAGCCAGGATCGTCTCGATCTCCTGACCTCGTGATCTGCCCTCCTCGGCCTCCCAAAGTGCTGGGATTACAGGCGTGAGCCACCGCGCCCGGAACTTTCTTGTGTTTTTCTAGAGACAGAGTCTCACTACATTGTCCAGGCTGAGAGGCAGGAGAATAGGGTCCGGAGGCAGGGAATCTAAGGCCGAATCATGCTGACTGAATATCAGAGAGTACTCCCTTTTCAAACCCTCCTTTCTCTGTATGGCATTTGAAAAATGAAAGTACGTCTGATTGGTCCCCTCTCACAACCAGTCAGACTGATAGCAGGCCTACTCTCTTCATTTTGATTGGTCCCCTCCCACAATTAGACTGGCAGTCGGCCACTACTTCATTTGCATAGGGTGAACCAATGGGAAACCTCTAGATTGTATTTAAACCCCAGAAAATTCTGTCACCAATGCTCTTGAGCCACTTGCTGGAGCTTGCTCCCACTCTGTGGACTGTACTTTCCTTTAAAATAAATCTCTGCTTTTGGTGGATCAAGAGGTCAAGAGTTGGAGATCAGCCTGGCCAACATGGTGAAACCCCATCTCTACTAAGAATACAAAAATTAGCGGGGCGTGGTGGTGCAAGCCTGTAATCCCAGCTACTCAGGAGGCTGAGGCAGGAGAATTGCTTGAACCCAGGAGCCGAGATCGTGCCACTGCACTCCAGCCTGGGCGACACAGCAAGACTCCGTCTCGCGGGCACGGTAATTAAAAAAACAAACAAAAAAAATCTCTGCTTTCATTGCCTTGCTTTGTTTGTGTGTTTTGTCGAATTCTTTGTGCAAAACACCAAGAACCTGGACAATTACCCTCAACCGGTCACAGCTGGAGTGCAGTAGTTTTTCACAGGCACAACTGATGCAGGGCAGGTGAACACCCAAATTGGCGATTAGCCCAATAAGGCTCATGGTTCTTTCCTGAGCATGTGGTAGAAGATACAGCTTTATTGAGGATGCAGTTTTACAGCCCCATGACTGCTCCTACCGAGCAAGGCCACCCTCTAGGCAGTGTGTGGAGAGCAGCAACTCAGGGAAACTTCTGCAGTCACATTTATATTGACTTTTAATTACATGCAAATTAAAGAGTGGGTTATTCAGAAATTTCCAGAAAAGGGGTGGTAACTTCCAGGTTGTTATGGAAAAAGGCAGTAACTTCTGGGTGTCGCCATGGCAATGGTAAACTGTCGTGCTGGTGGGCGTGTCTTACGGAGAAGTGCTTTCTGTGCCTCTTCCCTGTTTCAGCCAGTCTTGAATCTGGTCCAAAGTCGAGGTCCTGTTTCCTGCCCACAATCATTGTGCACTACAGCCTCAAACTCCTGGGCTCAAGCCATCGACCTGCCTCAGCATCTCAAGTAGCTGGGACTACAGCTGTGTGCCACCAAGCCTGGCTAGACTTTTAACTGTTCCCTATTGATGGATATTAACTTTTTTTTAAAAATTGTCCATATTACAAATAACGCTGTTTAAATCCCCATAGATATATCTTTGCTCTTCTGCATGAGTACTCTGTAGCAGTATTCCTCAAATGTTAACGTGTATAGAAATTGCTTGAGGATCTCATTGAAATGTAGACCTCTCAAGTGATGCTGATGCTCTTGATTCATGGACTACGCATTGAGTAATATGACTATGTGGGAAACTTTTTTTTTTCTTTCCCAGGCTGGAGTGCAGTGGTGCAATCATCATGGCTCACTGCAGCCCCAACATCCTAAGCTCAGGTGATTCTCCTAACTCAGCCTCCCAGGTAGCTGGGACTACAGGCGCATGTCACCATGCCTAGCTAATTTTTTGCAATTTTTGTAGACACGGGTATTTCTCTATATTGCCCAGGCTAGTCTTGAACTCCTGGACTGAAGCCATCTGCCCGCCTCAGCTTCCCAAAGTGCTGGGATTACAGACAGGCAGGAGCCACCGTGCCCGGCGTACATTCTTAGAAGGTAGAATTTCTGGGTCAAATGGTACGTACTTTGCCAATCTTAATATGTCAAAAAATAGCTTTTGAGGGCTGGGTACAGTGGCTCACGCCTGTAATCCCAGCACTTTGTAAGGCTGAGGCGGGCTGATCATCTGAGTTTAGGAGTTTGAGACCAGCCTGGCCAAAATGGTGAAGCCCCTTCTCTACTAAAATACAAAAATTGGCCAGGCACAGTGACTCACACAGTAATCCCAGCACTTGGGGAGGCTGAGGCGGGCAGATCACGAGGTCAGGAGTTCGAGACCAGCCTGGCCAACATGGCAAAACCCCATATCTACCCCCCCCCCCAAAAAAAAAAAATAGCCGGGTGTGGTGGTGGCACATGCCTGTAATTCCAGCTACTGGGAGGCTGAGGCAGGATAATCGCTTGAACCCAGGAGGCAGAGATTGCAGTAAGCTGAGATCACGCCACTGCACTCCAGCCTGGGTGACAGAGTAAGACTCTGTCTCAATAAATAAATAAATAAATAAATAAATACAAATAAATTAGCTGGCATGGTGGCACACACCTGTAATCCCAGCTACTTGGGTGGCTAATGTACAAGAATCTCTTGAACCTGAGAGACAGGGGTTGCAGTGAGCCAAGATTACGTCACTGCACTCCAGCCTGGATGACAGAGCAAGACCCTGTCTCGAAAAAAACAAACAAAAATAACATTATTCTAACTCTTCTAAAGATTGTTATTTTACAGTATTTTTTTTTTTTTTTTTTGAGACAGAGTTTCTCTCTTGTCACCCAGGCTGGAGTGCAATGGCACAATCTCAGCTCACTGCAACCTCCGCCTCCTGGGTTCAAATGATTCTCCTGCCTCAGCCTCCCGAGTAGTTGGGATTAGAGGTGTGTGACGCCACACCTGGTTGATTTTTGTATTTTTAGTAGAGATGGAGTTTCACCATGTTGGCCAGGCTGGTCTCGAACTCCTGACCTCAGGTGATCCACCCGCCTCAGCCTCCCAAAGTGCTGGGATTACAGGCATGAGCCACCGTGCCTGGCCAGTATTTTTTCTTTTTCTTTTTGAGACAGAGTCTCGCTCTGTCACCAGGCTGGAGTGCAGTGGAGTGATCTCGGCTCACCACAACCTCCGACTCCCTGGTTCAAGTGATTCTCCTGCCTCCGCCTCCTGAGTAGCTGGGATTACAGGCACGCACCACCACACCCAGCTAATTTTTCTATTTTTAGTAGAGATGGGATTTCACCATGTTGGCCAGGATGGTCTCAATCTCCTGACCTCATGATCCGCCCGCCTCAGCCTCCCAAAGTGCTGGGATTACAGGCGTGAGCCACCACTCCCGGCCCTGGCCAGTATATTCTTAAATATTACTGTTGAGCCATATATATGACAATGGTGGACTTTGATGAATATCTGCACATCTGTAGTAAAATGTGAAGCTATCTTCATTCTGTTGGTATGGTAAACTTTTAAAATATCTTACTTTTTAAAAAGAGTTGGTTTGTGTGTTTTCTATGCTTACAAATTTTTCCATAGTACTGTAGATCATTTTAGTGATTAAATTTGACCCTTTTGACAGAAAAACAGGTCAATGAGTTCCTTGGGATCAAGAAGGGGTTGACTTCTTGATCTTGATCTTGAGGGAACTGTTAGAGTGATTCTACGATTGTTCTATGTCTTGATTATGATAGGACTATGCATTTGTCAGAGCTTATACTTAACAGGGTGATTTTTTTTTTTTTTTTTGAGATGGAGTCTTGCTCTGTCACCCAGGCTGGAGTGAAATGGCAAGATCTCGGCTCACTGCAACCTCTGCTTCCTGGGTTCAAGCGATTCTAGTGCCTTAGCCTCCCGAGTAGCTGGAATTACAAGCACGTGCCACCCTCCCACTTCAGCCTCCTAAGTAGCTGGGACTGCAGGTGCGCCCCACCATGCCCAGCTAATTTTTAACTTTTTTTTTGTAAAGATGGAGTCTCACTATGTTGCAGAGACTGGTCTGGAACTCCTGGGCTCAAGCGATTCTCCTGCCTTGGCCTCCCAAAGTGCTGGGGTTACAGGCATGAGCCACCATGCCCAGCCAGCCAAGTGCAACTGTTAACTGATTATAGCTGTATAACAAATCATCTCAAAACGTAGCAGCTTAAAACAGCAAAATGTATTATCTCAGTTTCTCAGGAATCCAAGAGTGGCCCAGGTGGGTTCCAGTCAAACGGCTGGCTGGAGCTGCCGTTATCTGAAGGCTTGGCTGGGGCTGAAGGATTTGCTTCCAAGATGGCTTACTCACATGGTTGTTGGCAAGACAGTTCCTTACCATCTGGACTTCTCCACAGGGCCTGAGTGCCCTCATAACATGGCAGCTGGCTTCCCCCAGAGCAAGTGATCCAAGAGAGAAAGAGACCAAGATGAAAGCCACTCTGCCTTTAACTGAGTCTCCAAAGTCACACACCATCACTTCCACTTTATGCTATTCTTTAGACGCCAGTCACTAAGTCCAGCCCACACTCAAGTGGAGGGGAATAAGGCTCACCTCTTAAAAGGAAGAGTATCACAGAATTCATGGACATATTTTTAAACCACCACACAGACACATTAACTTCTTGTCTCTTATACATTTTGAAAATATTTTCCTACTTTGTCATTTCACTTTGCTTATAGAGTGTCACCTTACAGAAATTTGACATTTGTGTGTAGTCCCAACTGCCAGTCTCTTGCATAAGGCTTCTGAACTGTGGGTCTGGTTCAGAAAAGCCTTTTTCACCCCTAAGGTTATGAAAATATTCTCTTGACTATTTTGATGGTATTTAAATATTTTTCGGTCTTTATTACATCTAGAATAGGTTGGTATATAGTGTGAGGTAGGGGAGCCAAAAGGGGAGCCAATTTTTTTCTACATCATTTATTGATTAATCCCATTCTTCTCTACTGACTTGAAATGCCATCTTTATCATATATATGGGTTTTATTCCTGGACCCTATTATCTTCCATTGATCTCTATGTCTACTGCTGCTCCAATGTCATACTGTCATAACTATTGATTTTAGTATTGATTTTTCTCTATATATCATATATCCTGCCACCTTATTATTTCTTTTTTTTTTTGAGACAGGGTCTTTTTTGTTTTTTAAGACAGAGTCTCACTGTGTCACCCAGGCTGGAGTGCAGTGGTGCAGTCTCGGCTCACTGCAACCTCTGCTCCCGTCAAGCGATTCTCGTGCCTCAGCCTCCTGAGTAGTTGGGATTACAGGCGCACACCACCTTGGCCAGTTTTTTAGTAGTAGTAGTAGTAGTAGTAGTAGTAGTAGTAGTAGTAGTAGTAGATTTGGGGTTTTGCCATGTTGGCCAGGCTAATCTCAAACTCCTGGGCTCAAGCAATCCACCTGCCTCAGCCTCTTAAAATGTTGGGATTACAGGCGTTAGCCACCACCCCTGGCCTGAGACAGGGTCTTGCTTTGTCACTCAAACTGGAGTGCAGTTTGGGAACATGGCTCATTGCAGCCTCAAACTCCTGGGCTCAAGTAATGCCTTGGCCTCCCAAGTAACTAGAATCACCTAGTTACCGGGCATGCCACCATGCCTGGATAATTAATTTTTAAAATTGTTTTGTAGAGATAGGGTCTCACTATGTTCCTTGGGCTACTCCCCAATTCCTGGGCTCAAGAGATCCTCCTGCCTCAGCCTTCCAAAATGCTGGGATTACAGGCATGAACCACCATGCCCGGCCTTCTTTTTTTTTTTTTTTTTTTTTTGAGACGAAGTCTCGCTTTTGTCCCCCAGGCTGGAGTGCAATGGCGCGATCTCGGCTCACTGCAACCTCCGCCTCCCAGCGGAGAATCAAGCGATTCTCCTGCCTCAGCCTCCCGAGTAGCTGGGATTACAGGTGCTCCCACCATACCCAGCTAATTTTTGTATTTTTAGTAGAAACGGGGTTTCACCATGTTGGCCAGGCTGGTCTCGAACTCCTGACCTCAGGTGATTCGCCCGCCTCAGCCTTCCAAAGTGCTGGGATTATAGCCGTGAGCCACTGCGCCCGACCCAGGCCTTCTTTTCCTTTAGAAACAGGGTCTTGGTCTGTCACTCAAGCTGGAGTGCAGTGGTGTGATCACAGCTCACTGCAGCCTCAACAACCCAAGCTCAACCAATCCTCCTACCTCAGCCTCCCAAGCAGCTGGGACTACAAGCACACACCACCATGCCTGGGTAATTTGTGTGTGTGTGTGTCTGTGTGTGTTTTGTAGAGACGAGGTTTTGCCATGTTGCCCAGGCTGGTCTTGAGTTCCTGGGCTCAAGATATCTGTCTGCTTCAGCCTCCTGAAGTGCTGGGACTACAGGCATGAGCCACCGCACCCAGCCCACCTTATTGTTTCTAATAATAGAATAGACTATTGGATAGAAAGAAGTAGAAAAACTCAATAAATTCTAAAATGTTACTTTAAATTCTTAAAATAGATAGCAAATGCATATATATGGTATATATCTAGCATATGATTCAGTGAAGGTAGAAGAATCTTGAAAGTTTAGGAAGCTGAAGATGATAAGTGTATGGAGTAAGGAGGTAGGGATGGAGAGGAAGACTCAACAAGACTCAGCAACTGAATGGACATAGGACATGGAGAAGATGAATATATCCAACTAGTTAGTGGTAATGGAACACTGTATTACTCTGTTTTCATACCCTATAAAGAACTGCCCAAGACTGGGTAATTTATAAAGAAAAGAGGTTTAATTGAGTCACAGTTCTGCATGGCTGGGGAGGCCTCAGGAACTTTGCAATCATGGCAAAAGGAGAAGCAGCCATGTCTTACATGGTAGCAGGCGAGAGAGTGTGAAGGAGGAACTGTCAAACACGTAGAAAACCATCAGCTCTCATGAGAACTCACTCACTATCACAACAACAGCATGGGGGAAACCGCCCCCAAGATCCAGTCACCTCCCACCAGGTCCCTCCCTGGATGTGAGGATTACAGGGACTACAATTTGAGATCAAATTTGGGTAGGGACACAGAGCCAAACCCTATCAAACATCCTCATAGAGATGTCCATTAGGCCACTGGAGACAGGCAGCTAGAGCTGAGTCTCAAAGTTGGCTGATCCTTCAGCTCTACCATGTCTTCCAGGACTGCAATCCACAGTGATGACTTCTCCTGTAACTGAGTCTTCCCAGTGTCATGTGATGGCTGCACATAGCTATCAGAGACTCAAGTGGGACCACTGACAGTCCTTTCTTACTGCTGTCTCATAAGAGCAAGGAACCATCCACTTTCCAGAAGCCTCCTGATTTATTTTTATGTGAGATAATAAATGTCCATATGAAATGCCCTTTAATACCATTTCCTCAGAATTTTTATGACTCAGTAGAAAGTTTTTTTGTTTTTTGTTTTTTGTGTTTTTTGTTTTTTTTTTTTTTTGAGAGGGAGTCTTGCTCTGTCACCTAGGCTAGAGTACAGTGGAGCAATCTCGGCTTACTGCAAACCTCTGCCTCCTGGGTTCAAGCGATTTTTCTGCCTCAACCTTCCAAGTAGCTGGGATTACAGGCGTTCACCACCACACCCAGCTAATTTTTTGTATTTTTTGTAGAGACAGGGTTTCACCATGTTGGTCAGGCTGGTCTTGAACCCCTGGCCTCAGGTGGTCTGCCTGCTTTGGCCTCCCAAAGTGCTGGGATTACAGGCGTGAGCCACCATGCCTGGCCAATGCAAAGTATCTTGATACACTGCTCCTTGCAAATCACTGATACTCAAAAGGCTTTCTTTGTATATCTACTAGCCATAGAGTTTGCAAAACCAGATGTATGTTTGTTTGTGTGTGCATGTGTGTGTGTCCCATTTTTCACATTCAAATTATTATTATTGAGATGTAGTCTCACTTTGATGCCCAGGCTAGAGTGCAGTGGCATGATCTTGGCTCACTGCAACCTCTGCCTCCCAGTTCAAGTGATTCCCGTGCCTCAGCCTCCCAAGTAGCTGAGATTACAGGTGACCGCCACCATACCCAGCTAATTTTTGTATTTTTAGTAGAGACCGGGTTTCACTATGTTGGCCAGGCTGGTCTTGAACTCCTGACCTCAGGTGATCTGCCCACCTCAGCCTCCCAAAGTGCTGGGATTACAGGCATGAGCCACTGCGCCCAGCCTGCTTTTCTTTAGTGTTACCTATATCACTTTCGGATGCTCAAATCAAAATCTTTGGGTCATCCTTGCAGAACTGCCAAACAGAACTTTTTCTTGTTTTCTTTTTCTTTTTTTTTTTTTTTTTGCAACAGGGTCTCACTCTGTTACTCAGGCTGGAGTGCAGTGGCACAATCATGGCTCACTGCAGCCTTGACTTCCTAGACTCAAGTGATCCTCCTGCCTGAGCCTCCCAAGTAGCTAGGACTACAGGCATGCACCAACACGCCTGGCTAGTTTTTTTGTAGCGGTGGGGGTCTCCCTATGTTGCCCAGGCTGGTCTCAATCTCCTGTCCTCAAGGGATCCGACTGCCTTGGCCTCCCAAAGTGCTAGGATTACAGGCATGAGCAACTTGCACTTGGCCTCCAATAGATCTTGAGTTCTTCAGTTTCACTCTGCACCCTACTGCCTGGCACAGTGTCTAGCACACAGTAAATGTTCAATAGATACTTTTTTTCTTTTTGAGACAGGGTCTCACTCTGTCACCCAGGCTCAACTGTAATAGCGAGATCACAGCTCACTGCAGCCTGGACCTCTCAGGCTCAAGCAATCCTCCCACCTCAACCTCCAGGGTAGCTGGTATTACAGGAGTGAGCCACTATGCCTGGCCTAAATGTGCTTTTTTAAAAAAAGTAATCAAGAGCACCCTCCCTCAATTTGGATTTGCCCTTACAGATAAACTCCCCTTACCTCCCTCCACGTTGAGAATCACTGCTAAGTCGTGAACAAGTGACAAGCCTCCATGATACCCTGTTAGGATTAACTAGCAAGAAACAGAGGCTCGGAAGGATGTCAAAAGGAAAACTAGGGCCAGGCGCGGTGGCTCACGCATTTAATCCCAGCGCTTTGGGAGGCGGAGGCGGGCGGATCACCTGAGGTCAGGAGTTCGAGACCAACCTGACCAACATGGTGAAATCCCGTCTCTACTAAAAATACAAAATGAGCTGGGCGTGGTGGCGCATGCCTGTAAGCCCAGCTACTCGGGAGGCTGAGGCAACAGAATCGCTTGAACCTGGGAAGTGGAAGTTGCAGTGAACCAAGTTCAAGCCACTGCACTCCAGCCTGGGCGTCCGAATGAGACTGTCTCAAAAAACAAAAAAGGAAAACTAGGAAAAATTGAGTATTTTTAAAAATAGCAAGGATAGACAAAAGAGCATTTACCTTTGTAACAGGTGTGCTACTTTACGCTGCAGTTTCTTTCTCCTCTTTTTGAAAGGGTCTTGCTATGTCACCCATCCTCCCAGAGTATTCACAGGCGTGATCATAGCTCACTGCAGCCTCGACCTCCAGGGCTCAAGCAATCCTCCTGCCCTAGCCTCCTGAGTAGCTGGGACCACAGGCATGAGCCATCGCCCCAGCTACCATAGTTTCTAACACAACCTGGGTGTCTCCCACTTCTGACCTCCCTCCTCGGGGAGAACAAAATGATTGTCTCCCAGTGGAGAGTCCCTAGACATAACCACCATGATAGAAGAAAGAGGGCTGGGGAAGGAAACATTTTGAGGGCTGATGCAATGGAACCCTTTAAAACGTAAAGAACTTTAGTAGGTAAGCCTCAATTAGGAAGTTTCTCACAAGCACTCAGTCCATTCCACTCTCTTCTGGAACCCGAGCTAGAGACGCCCTCAGCAGCCAGTTTAGCGGCGGCCCTCGCCGCCAAGAACGGACTTTCAGCCTCGGGCCCTAGTTTCCGCCCTGGGATCTCTGTTCCGGGCCAGAATGCTCCACGCATGAAAGTCAGCGCTGGGGCCGGAGAAGAGATTGGCGGGGACGGAAGCTGCAGTTCAGGGGAAAGCCCGATGGCGGGCTCCAGTTTCTGTAGCCACTAAGGAGTGAACTACTGGGAGGAGAGCCCGAGACGCGTGCGGCCGCTGTGGGGCGCGCGCGAGGCACTCGGACCGCCGGCCTGCTGCGCTCCCGCTCACGTGACCGCCGCCCGGCGACAGTCAGCGTCTGCCCCGCCCCCTGCCGCGAGCTTTGCCGTGGTTACGCAACTGGCACCTGGGCGGCTGCGCGGGGCGGGGCATTGGCGCTGGGCGGGGAGGAGCGAGGCGTTGATGCGAGGCGGGACGGAGCGTTGGCGCTGGGCGGGACGGCGACCGAGAATCCTGGTTTTAAACATTTTTTGCTGTGTCATTTGCCATTTCCTCCCCGCTAGTGGGCAGGGGGAGGCTCTTCGGAGTTGGATCTTGACTTTGCCATTTTCCAGTTCTGTAGTCTCGGACAATACGTTTAACTTCTCTAAGCCTCAGTTTACGAATCTAAAAATTGGTTTATCTTTGTTGTGAGGATTAAAGGAAATGTGGAGTTTCATCGCAGATTCATTCAACAGTGCTCAGATTAAATAGAGCAGAGTGGGGCCAGCCCCCATTCCGAGCGAGTGTAAGATGGGGAGACTATGTTCTCTTGGTCCCAGTTCTGAGCCCTTCGTTTGTATCTTGTGACGCTGACAGCGATTCTACTGTTTTATGTCTTAAACTAGATTGTAGTGTTTTAAGATACTTCCTTTCTGTATGACATGATCCATCTGAAAGGCCATCAAGCACTTTAGGCACTCAACCGAAGAAACAATTCCCTTCCATGCTAGCATACAAGTCTATCCCCAAAGTGGAAAAAAAAAAAATACGGCCTCAAAAAATCTGTACATTCAATCAAGATTCAAAAAATTTGTGAAGCGAGGTCAGCAGATTCTCCTACAACTGCTAAAGTGACAACGAAGATATGTGGTTAATGAAAATGGCAGGCCGGGCGCGGTGGCTCACGCCTGGAATCCCAGCACTTTGGGAGGCCGAGGTGGGTGGTCCACCTGAGGTCAGGAATTCGAGACCATCCTGGCTAAAACAGCGAAAACCCGTCTCTACTAAAAATGCAAAAATTAGCCGGGCGTGGTGACGGACGCCTGTAATCCCAGCTACTCAGGAGGCTGAGGCAAGAGTATCACTTGAACCCAGGAGGCGGAGGTTGCAGTGAGCCGAGATTGCACCATTGCACTCCAGCTTGGGCAACAAGAGCGAAACTCCGTCTCAAAAAAAAAGAAAAAAGAAAATAGAAAGGCCACTAAACATTACCGAAAGACAAAAACCAGAAATATGTGTCTGGGCCAGGTGCAAGTGGCTCAGGCCTATAATCCCAGCCCTTTGGGAGGGCAAGACCAGAAGCTAATCCTCTTGAGGCCAGGAGTTGTAGGCTGCAGTGAGATATGATTGCACCACTGCACTCCAGCCTGGACAACAGAGCAAGACCCTGCCTCTATATATTAAAAAGAAAGAAAACCAAAAAGAAATATGTGCCTTACAATGGCAAGACGTGGCAAAAAAAGAGAAGAAAAAAACTCTTCATCTCAAGTCATAGTTCAAACCTCCTACTAGAGAAGTCAGCCTTTGGATGGAAAGATTTCAAAACCAGCCAAGGATGGCATAATGATTTTAGAAGCCCATTTAAACCTCAAAAACACACAAACTATTGGTGAGATGTGTCTGTAGAGGAACAGACAGCACAACCCACTCAGAGCTATTAGAAAGGTTTATTGGCATAGGCCAGGCACGGTGGCTCACGCCTGTAATCCCAGCACTTTGGGAGGCCAAGGCAGGTGGATCATGAGGTCAGGAGTTCGAGACCAGCCTGGCCAACATGGTGAAATGCCGTCTCTACTAATAATACAAAAATTAGCCGGGCATGGTGATGGGCACTATAATCCCGGCTACTCGGAGGCTGAGGCAGAAGAATTGCTTGAACCCAGGAGGCAAAGGTTGCAGTGAGTCAAGATCGTGCCACTGCACTGCAGCCTGGACAACAGCGCAAGACTCCATCTCAAAAAAAAGAAAAATTACTGGTGAAAAGGCCATCTTCCAGAATACCATGAGGTTAGTGGTTGCTATCTTCTGGGGAAAGATGCCCAACTGCATTTAATATTTCCAAACTAGAAACACAAGGCCCTGGTTTGAAAGCAACTCATGATCTTCTGAATGCTATTCCCCTCCACCCTTTGCCCTTGCCCCCAAGTGCAGGGGCAGTGTAGTTCTACAGGGCTGTCATTCTACAAATCCTGGTGCCCTTTAAAAAAAAAAACAAAACAAACAAACAAAAAACGGCGGTACGGTGGCTCACACCTGTAATCCCAGCCTTTGGGAGGCTGAGATGGGCAGAGCACTTGAGGTCAGGAGTTCAAGACAGCCTGGCCAACACAGTGAAACCCCATCTCTATTAAAAATACAAAAATTAGCCAGGCATGGTGGCACACCCCTGTAATCCCAGCTACTCGGGAGGCTGAGACAGAATTGCTTGAACCTGGGAGGGAGAGTTTGCAGTGAGCAGAGATTGAGCCACTTTACTCCAGCCGCGGCTGCAGAGCGAGACTGTCAAAAAAAACAAACAAACAAAAACCTGCCTGTGCTCTAGCAATCAAATGCAAAGTCCTGGGTGACTGTAGTACTTTCCCTGATTCAGTTTCAAATATCTTCATTCTAGAAGTCAAGCAGGACCTCAAAGAGAAAAAATCTGGCTTTGTGCTGCAGGACACAACAATACCACACTGATGTACCACACACTTTATGAATGTGCTCATAAAGGCGCTGAATGAAGGTTTCCTGTCCCAACATGACTCCATCCTTCACTCTGCTGATCTAAGCATTATTTGCTGTTTCAAAGCCACATACATTAGGCTGAGATTCTCCCTTGACTCCCAGAGCCATGGATGCTGACCCTAATCTTAATGTGGTAAAGATCTGGAAGTCCTTCCATATTGCTAGTTGCATCATTTCTATTTAAACAGGCAATGGGAGGCCAGGTGTGGTGTCTCACGCCTGTAATCCCAGCACTTTGGGAGGCTGCAGATCTCTTGAGTCCAAGAGTTCAAGACCAGCCTGGGCAACATGGCAAGACCTCATCTCTGCAGAAAATTAGCTGAACGTGGTGGTGTGCACCTGTAGTCCCAGCTACTCAGGAGGTGCAGGCAGGAGGATCACCTGTGCCTGGGAAAGTTGAGGCTGCAGTGAGCCATGCTCATGCTACTGCACTCCAGCCTGGGTGATACAGCAAGACCCTGTCTCAATAAATAAATAAATAAACAAACAAACAAACAAACAGGTAATGGAAGCAACGAAGCCTGACAGTCAATGCATGTGGAATGTGTTCAGAATTTTAAGGGTTTCTTTCTCTTTTTTTTTTTTGTTTTTTGTGTTTTGAGACAGAGTCTTGCTCTGTTGCCCAGACGGGAATGCAGTGGTGTGATCTCAGCTCACTGCAACCTCCACCTCCCATGTTCAAGCAATTCTCCTGCCTCACCTTCCCAAGTAGCTGGGATTACAGGCATGTGCCACCATGCCTGGCTAATTTTTGTATTATTAGTAGAGATATTATTTTACATTATTAGTATTATTTCACCATGTTGGCCTGGCTGGTCTTGAACTCCTGACCTCAACTGATACACCCACCTCGGCCTCCTAAAGTGCTGGGATTACAGGCGTGAGCACCGCGCCTGGCCAAGGGTTTCTATTGACAAAGAAGTGAAACTCATTGTGCAAGTCGCCTAGCAAGTGGATCGTGATGGCTTTGTTTATACATCATTGAGGAAGAAAGTAAAGAACTTCTTGGCCTGGCCAGGTATGGTGGCTCATGCCAGTAATCCCAGCACTTTGAGGGACTGAAGCCGAGGATCCCTTGATCATGGCTCAAGGTGACAGTGAGCTACTTCGCCACTGCACTCCAGCCTGTGTGACAGAGTAAGACCCAGTCTCTAAAATATAAGGAAATAATCATAAAAATAAAGAAGTTTTTGAGAGCCACAGAGAAACACTAATAAAAAATCTTGAGGAACTGATAAAAATCACCCTCAGGAGAAAAAGGAAAAGACCAAACTAAAGCTTCATAAATTTACTGAAGTGTTTCATGCTGCAAAATGTCTGAATAATTTTTTTTTTGCATTATTCCTGATATATTACAAGTCCTCAACAGGGCTTTATTTTTTTTCTTTTCTTTTCTTTTCTTTTTTTTTTTTGAGACAGAGTCTTGCTCTGTGGCCCAGGCTGGAGTTCAGTGGCACAATCTCGGCTCACTGCAACCTCTGCCTCCCAGGGTCAAGCAATTCTCCTGCCTCAGCCTCCCTCGTAGCCAGGACTACAGGCACACGCCGCCATGCCTGGCTAATTTTTTGTATATTTAAAGTAGAGATGGGGTTTCACCGTGATGCCCAGGCTGGTCTTGGACTCCTGAGCTCAAACAATCCACCCACTTTCGCCTCCCAAAGTGCTAGAACTACAGGCGTGAGCACCGCGCCTGGCTATTTTCTTTTTTCTTTTCTTTTCTTTTCTTTTTTTTTTTTAAAAAAACAACTTTAGACTTTAGATATATGTGGGGAAAAGCAAAAGAGATCAGATTGTTACTGTGTCTGTGTAGAAAGAAGTAGACATAGGAGACTCCATTTTGTTCTGTACTAAGAAAAATTCTTCTGCCTTGAGATTCTGTTAATCTATAACCTTACCCCCAACCCCGTGCTCTCTGAAACATGTGCTGTGTCAACTCAGAGTTAAATGGATTAAGGGCGGTGCAAGATGTGCTTTGTTAAACAGATGCTTGAAGGCAGCATGCTCCTTAAGAGTCATCACCACTCCCTAATCTCAAGTACCCAGGGACACAAACACTGCGGAAGTCCGCAGGGACCTCTGCCTAGGAAAGCCAGGTATTGTCCAAGGTTTCTCCCCATATGATAGTCTGAAATATGGCCTCGTGGGAAGGGAAAGACCTGACCATCCCCCATCCCGACACCCGTAAAGGTTCTGTGCTGAGGAGGATTAGTAAAAGAGGAAGGAATGCCTCTTGCAGTTGAGACAAGAGGAAGGCATCTGTCACCTGCCTGTCCCTGGGCAATGGAATGTCTTGGTATAAAACCCGATTGTATGCTCCATCTACTGAGATAGGGAAAAACCGCCTTAGGGCTGGAGGTGGGACCTGCGGGCAGCAATACTGCTTTGTAAAGCATTGAGATGTTTATGTGTATGCATATCTAAAAGCACAGCACTTAATCCTTTACATTGTCTATGATGCAAAGACCTTTGTTCACGTGTTTGTCTGCTGACCCTCTCCCCACAATTGTCTTGTGACCCTGACACATCCCCCTCTTCGAGAAACACCCACAAATGATTAATAAATACTAAGGGAACTCAGAGGCTGGCAGGATCCTCCATATGCTGAACGCTGCTTCCCCGGGTCCCCTTATTTCTTTCTCTATACTTTGTGTCTTTTTCTTTCCCAAGTCTCTCGTCCCACCTTACGAGAAACACCCACAGGTGTGGAGGGGCAACCCACCCCTACAGATATATTTAGGGCTGTTTGCATATGTTTATAGAGTATTTAGTTTACTCTAAAAGATGACAAGACAGCTCCCCTCAGTGAGACCCTGGCCTAAATATATTTGCTTTATTTATATAGCAAGAGGATAACATTAAACGTGGAAGCTTTCAATTTGTGGCACTGAATGATGATCTACACAGGGCATCCTTCAAAGGCTACAATTAAGGATCCACTGGCCAGGCATGCTGGCTCACGCCTGTAATCCCAGCACTTTGGGAGGCCAAGGAGGGCAAATCACGAGGTCAGGAGTTCGAGACCAGCCTGACCAATATGGTGAAACCCTGACTCTACTAAGAATACAAAAATTAGCCAGGTGTGGTGGCGCACGCTATAATCCCAGCTACTCAGGAGGCTGGGCAGGAAAATCACTTGAACCCGGGAGGCAGAGGTTGCAGTGAGCCGAGATCCTGTCACTGCACTCCAGCCTGGGCGACAGATCAAGACTCCATCTCAAAAAAAAAAAAAAAGGATCCACCTAACTTTTCAGCAGTACAAGCCCGATTGAGATCTTCTGGTCCGTTTGTTTGCCATTCATGTTTTATGCCTTGAAATTTCTTTTTGATTGCATCCTTGGAGCTTGTATAGATCATTTTACTTTTCAAAGGTGCTAGTTCTGATGCCCACAAGAAAACATCAATTCTTCTGGATTCTTTTGTTTCAAAGCTTGCATCATACAAAGCATAGCAACAATCTTTTTCAGGAAGCATTCCCACAAAATGCTTGAAAGGCTCACTTATAGTTACACCAACATCTCCAACCAAGATCTCTTTGCCTTCTACATGATGCACTTTTTGTCTGCACTGAGACAAAAAAATGACAGCCTTTGTTCTTTTCTTGATTTCTTCTGGTGTGGAGCATTTACGAACTCTCATGTCATAAAAAATGCGACACACTTCATCAGCAACTTGCACTCCTGAGGCACGTTGTTCAGAGTTCTGCTCTGCCGAGCTTCCAGTCTTTACATTCAATTTCCTATCTCACATCTCCAGTTGTATGTCTCAAAGGCATCTGATGCACAACAGGTCATCTTCGCCCACCACCACAGGGACGCGGGGGAGGGAGCCGGCGGGTAGTGAGTCTGGGCAGCGTCCTCCTCGTGGCTGCGGGACTGAGAGGGCGGGTAGTGAGTCTGGGCAGCGTCCTCCTCATGGCTGCGGGACCGAGAGACCCAGCGCGAAGCTGATGCAGCGGCTCGAGCCTACCCGTTTTTTTTTTTTTTAAGCGTCCTCTTCTACAGCTTCCTTGGCTCTTTGTGCCTATATGCCGAAGAGCTGGGCATTTGCATGGGCCATACAGAGACTAACAAGGCCTGGAAGTTTTCCTCCTAGTCAGCGATGACTCTGGCTTTCTCCTTGTAGACATTGCCGATGGGCATTTCTGGTCCTGTCAGCTGAGTATCCAGTTCGAGTTCTTCAGCAGAACTGTCTCCCTTCTTGGGGGCCAAGGGCTTCCTGGGGAAGAGGATGAGTGAGGAGCGGTCCTCCTTCAGCCTCTGCACCTTGGCCTGCAGGGCCTGGGTGGACTGGTTCCTCCTCCTTGCATCCTCAGAGATGCCAATGGTCTGGGCCACCTTCTTGTAAATGCCAGCCACCCTTAACTCCTCCAAGCTGAGGCCCCTGCCAGCTTGTGCTTTGTAGTGATGCCTCAGCATGGGGCACCTTACTATGGGTGGATGGGCCCATATCAGTGGGCCATGCAGCCTGCTTTTGCTGGCCACCTTGCTTCTGCAGGTCTGCCCCATGGGCTGGCTGAGCCACATGGCCACACCACTGCCAGTCCTTGTGGAAGTTGGGCTTCAGGATCATGCCATTCCGGCTGGGTGCCCTGCCTCCCTCCAGCCCAGGGGGTAGCGAAAGAGAGGAGGGAGCAATTGAGGGACCACCCACAGCCATGTGCACTCACCTGGCCACTGCCACCGCCCTAGTCCTCCAGCCTGGCCGCGCCCACAGATCCTGGTCTGGCAAGAGGCCTTCTTCGACAATGAAGAGGCCCCAGCTTGGGCCGAGGTCCCTCTATGGCTCCGTTGGTGACAATGCTAGGCCTATGGCGGTGGACAGAGCCCGATGACCCCCGACAGTGCTGGAACTCTGAATGATTTAATTTCTGAATAAAATGTCCCTATGGAAAGAAATCAGAAAATTGCATGTGGTTAAATCTATATGTTGTAATCCCTTATTACCCAGCAATTCTGCACATAGTTTTGCACCCAAGAAAAATGCATGCCTAGCTCCACCAAAGACTTGTGAAAAAAGTTCTCTGAAAAGGAATTTGGTTTTGTTTTGTTTATTAGTTTGTTTGTTTTAAAAGACAGGGTCTTACTCTGTTGCCCAGTTTGTAGTGCAGTGGCACATTCGCAGCCCCTGCAGCCTTGAACTCCTGGACTCAAGCAATCCTCCCACTTTGGCATCCTGAGTACTAGGACTACAGGTGTGCACCATCACCCAACTAATTAAAAAATTTTTTTATTGGCCGGGCCCAGTGGCTCATGCCTATAATCCCAGCACTTTGGGAGGCCAAGGCGGGTGAATCACCTGAGATCGGGAGTTCGAGACCAGTCTGACCAACATGGAGAAACCCTGTCTGTACTAAAAATACAAAATTAGCTGGGCATGGTGGCGCATGCCTGTAATCCCAGCTACTCGGGAGGCTGAGGCAGGAGAATCACTTGAACCCGGGAGGCAGAGGTTGCAGTGAGCCGAGATAGTGCCATTGCACTCCAGCCTGGGCAACAGAAAAAAAAAATTATTGGCTAAGGAGGTCTCGATATACTACCTAGGCTAGTCCCCAACTCCTGGCCTCAACTGATCTTCCCATCTCAGCTTCCCAAAATACTGGGATCACAGGCTGTAAAGGAATTCAGA
The DNA here is from genome assembly GCF_000001405.40 of Homo sapiens. Lineage (NCBI taxonomy): Eukaryota > Metazoa > Chordata > Mammalia > Primates > Hominidae > Homo > Homo sapiens. The sequence continues at coordinate 6,882,960 of NC_000012.12, read as the reverse complement.
GGGAAGAGACTTTATTCCAGTGAACAGTGTGTAAACCAGCAGCATTCCCCAATTTGGAATTTTTTTTTTTTTTCCAAAAAATAAAGCTCTCCTTTGTTTTTCTTCTGCAGGCCTCATGGTCTTTTGTTAACAGACTTGTACAGTAATGTACATGGCAACTTTATAATGGTGGAAAACTGGAAACAATTTAAATATCCATTAACAGGCCCAGTACAGTGGCTCACATCTGTAATCCCAGCACTTTGGGAGGCTGGGGCAGGTGGATCACCTGAGGTCAGGAGTTTGAGACCAGCCTGGCCAACATGGTGAAACCCCATCTCTACTAAAAATACAAAAATTATCCAGGCGTTGTAGTACATGCCTGAAGTCCCAGCTACTTAGGAGGTTGAAGCACGAGAATTGCTTGAACCTGGGAGGTGGAGGTTGCAGTGAGTCGAGATCGCACGACTGCACTCCTGTCTGGGCGAGAGAGCAAGACTGTCTTAAAAAAAAAATCCATCAACAGTACAATAGATATATTGTGGTATATTTAGATGATGGAATACTATATGACAATGAAAATTATGAGCTATTTCATGCAAGAACATGGATGACTTACAGATACAATGCTGGAAAGACACAAAGAATACATACTATGTTTTCTTTTTCTTTCTTTCTTTTTTCTTTTTTTTAGAGACAAGGTTTCCCTCTGTAACCCAGGCTGGAGTGCAGTGGAACTTCTGAGCTCAAGTAGTCTTCACATCTCAGCCTTCCAAGTAGCTGTGACTAGAGGCAAGTGACACTGCATTTGACATTATGATTCCATTTATATGAAATTGAAGAACAGACAACACTAATCTATACTGATAGGGGGTCTAATAGGAGCTACCCTTGGGAATGTATCATCAGGGAAAGAGCAAGACAGATGCTGAATTCTTTTTTTGTGTTTTTGTTTGTTTGTTTGTTTGTTTGTTTTTTGAGATGGAGTCTTGCTCTGTCACCCAGGCTGGAGTGCAATGGCGCGATCTCGGCTCACTGCAAGCTCCGCCTCCCGGGTTCACGCCATTCTCCTGCCTCAGCCTCCAGAGTAGCTGGGACTACAGGCGCCCGCCACCACGCCCGGCTAATTTTTTGTATTTTTAGTAGAGACGGGGTTTCACCGTGTTAGCCAGGATGGTCTCGATCTCCTGACCTCGTGATCCACCCGCCTCGGCCTCCCAAAGTGCTGGGATTACAGGCGTGAGCCACCGCGCCCGGCCTTGTTTTTGTTTTTTTAAGACAGCATCCAGCTCTGTCACTCAGGCTGGAGTGCAGTGGGCATGGTCAGGGCTCACTGCAGCCTCAAGCAGTCCTCCGACCTCAGCCCACCAGAGTAACTGGGACTAGAGGCGTGCACCACCACACCCAGCTAACTTTTTTGAATTTTTAGTAGAGACGAGGTCTCCCTATGTTGCCCAGGCTCATCTCAGAACTCTTGAGCTCAAGTGATCCCCTGCCTTAGCCTCCCAAAGTACTGGGATTATAGGTGTGAGCCACCGTGCCCAGCCAGCTGGATTCTTTATCTTGATCTTTTTGGTGGTTGTCACCCAAGTGTATATGTATGTAAAAGTTCACTGGGCAATTTAAGATTAGTGTGCTTTATATATGCTACATCTCAATCAAAAAGTAAAAACGGCAGTGGTGGGAGGGGACTTTTTTTTTAAAAGGACCGATCGCAGTGGCTCACCCCTGTAATCACAATATTTTGAGAGACCAAGATGGGTGGATTGCTTGAGCCCAGGAGTTCGAGACCAACCTGGGCAACATGGTGAAACCCTGTCTTTATAAAAGCATACAAAAAAATTATCCAGGCATGCTGGCGGGGCGCCTGTTGTCCCAGCTACTCCAGAGGCTGAGGCGGGAAAGTTGCTTGAACCCAGAAGGCAGAGGTTGCAGTGAGCCGAGATCGTGCACTGCACTCCAGCCTGGGCAACAGAGCCAGACCTTGTCTCAAAATATATATATATAAAAATTTAAAAACAGCCAGGCATGGTGGCTCATGCCTGTAATCCCAGCACTTTGGGAGGACGAGGCAGGAGAATTGCTTGAGTACAGGAGTTTGAGATCAACCTGGGCAACATAGAGAGAGTCCCTGTCTCTACGAAAAGTTAAATATTAGCCAGGCCTGGTGGCATGTGCCTGTAGTCCTAGCTACTCAGGAGGCTGGGGTGAGGCTGCAGTGAGTCATGGTCGTGCCACTGCACTCCAGCCTGGAGTACACTGAGACCCTGTCTCAACAAAATAATAAAATAAGTAAAAAGGCATTGTGGCACATGCCTGTAGTCTCAGCTACTTGGGAGGCTGAGGTTGGGGGGATTACTTGAACCCAGGAATTTGAGTCCAGCCTGGGCAAAATAGCAAGACCTCATCTATAATTTTTTTTTTTTTTTTGAGATGGAATGTCGCTCTGTCACCCAGGCTGGAGTGCAGTGGCGTGATCTTGGCTCACTGCAAGCTCTGCCTCCAGGGTTCACGCCATTCTCTTGCCTCAGCCTCCCGAGTAGCTGGGACTACAGGCGCCCACCACCACGCCTGGCTAATTTTTTTTGTATTTTTAGTAGAGACGGGGTTTCACTGTCTCTACTAAAGCCAGGATGGTCTCGATCTCTTGACCTTGTGATCCACCCGCCTCGGCCTCCCAAAGTGCTGGGATTACAGGTGTGAGCCACCATGCCCGGCCAATTTTTTTTTTTTTTTAATTTTTAAGTAAAAAATTTAAATTACTTGTAGCATTACGAAATTTTTTACCTTTTAGCAACAAATGTTTGACCAGCTCCAGATTCAGTGGCATCAACTGATGAATTGTTTAAAACAACCTTTTTTTTTTTTTTTTGAGACAAAGTCTCCCTCTGTCGCCCAGACTGGAGTGCAGTGGCGCAATCTCGGCTCACTGCAACCTCCGCCTCCTGGGTTCAAGTGGTTCTTCTGCCTCGGCTTCCTGAGTAGCTGGGACTACAGGCACGTGCCAGTAGGCCTGGCTAATTTTTATGTATTTTTTAGTAGAGACGGGGTTTCACCATGTAGGCCAGGCTGGTCTCGAACTCCTTATCTCAGATGATCTGCCTGCCTCAGCCTCCCAAAGTGGTGGGATTACAGGCGTGAGCCACTGTGCCCGGCCAACAACCATGTTTTAAACAACCAGTAGCAGCAGCAGCAGCAGCATCAGCAGCACAGGCGTGATTAAATTCTCAAGCTGAGCTAGAGCTAGCCATGGGGCAGGCACTGTTCTCTGTCCCCAGGCCTTGGTTATCACATGGGTCCTTCACTACTATTCATCATAGGCTGCCACCCACAGTCATGATGTTATTTATTTTTTGAGACGGGGTCTCGCTCTGTCACCCAGGCTGGAGTGCAGTGGCCTGATCTTGGCTCACCGCAACCTCCAATTCTAGACTCAAGGGATTCTCTTGCCTCAGCCTCTTGAGTAGCTGGGATGGCAGGCGCAAGCCACCAAAGCCTGGCTAATTTTTTGTATTTTTTGTAGAGGCGGGGTTTCATCATGCTGCCCAGGCTGGTCTTCAACTTCTGATCTCAAATCGGCCCACCTTGGCCTCCCAAAGTGCTGGGATTACAGGTGTGAGCCACTGTGCCTGGTCTTACAGTCATGATGTTATTATTGATGTCACATACTGGCAAGCATATCCAGGTTGGGTGGATGACAAGTTTCAGGTTCATATCTTTATTTTAGTATGCTTTCTTCTTCTTTTTATTATTATTTTATTTTCATAGGTTATTGGGGAACAGGTGGTGTTTGGTTATATGAGTAAGTTCTTTCGTGGTGATTTGTGAGATTTTGGTGCACCCATCACCCAAGCAGTATACACTGAACGCTATTTATAGTCTTTTATCCCTCCACCTCTTCCCACCCTTTCCCCCTGAGTACCCAAGGTCCATTGTGTCATTCTTATGCCTCTGCATTCTCATGGCTTAGCTCCCACTTATGAGAACATATGATGTTTGGTTTTCCATTCCTGAGTTACTTCTTAGTGTGCTGCTTTCTTCTTCCTCTTTAAAACATTATAAAATATTTTGTACATCATTTTATATATATATATATATATATATATATATATATATATATATATATATATATATATACAGCCACATAGTGATTTTTACACAAACGAATATATGCTCACCTAACAGATGCAGTAACTGAGGGATTTTCTTTTTCTTTTTTTTTTTTTTTTTGAGATGGAGTTTCGCTCTTGTTGTCCAGGCTGGAGTGCAATGGCTCAATCTCAGCTCACCACAACCTCTGCCTCCCAGGTTCAAGCGATTCTCCTGCCTCAGCCTCCCGAGTAGCTGGGATTACAGGCATGTGCCACCATGCCTAGCTGATTTTTGTATTTTTAGTAGAGACGAGGTTTCTCCATGTTGGTCAGGCTGGCCTCAAACTCCCGACCTCAGGTGATCTGCCTGCCTCGGCCTTTCTTTTTTCTTTTTTCTTTTTTTCCTAGTTCTTGTGGTCCTCAATTATTTTTATTTTATTTTACTTTATTTTTTGAGACGGAGTCTTGCTCTGTCGCCAGGCTGGAGTGCAGTGGCAGGATCTTGGCTCACTGCAACCTCTGCCTTGCGGGTTCTTCTGCCTCAGCCTCCTGAGTAGCTGGGATTACAGGCACGATTCTCCTTCCTCAGCCTCCTGCGTAGCTGGGATTATAGGCACATGCCACCACGCCCAGCTAATTTTTGTATTTTTAGTAGAGACGGGGTTTCACCATGTTGGCCAGGCTGGTCTCGAACTCCTGACCTCAAGTGATCCACCTGCCTCGGCCTCCCAAAGTGCTGAGATTACAGGCATGAGCCACCATGCCCAGCCTATTTTATTTTTTTGTTTTGTTTTCTGAGATGGAGTATCACTCTGTCGCCCATGTTGGAGTGCAGTGGCGCCATCCTGACTCACTGCAACCTCCGCCTCCTGGGTTCAAACAATTCTCCTGCTGAGGGATTACAGGTGCACACCACCACGCCTGGCTAATTTTTTTTTTTTTGTATATTTAGTAGAGACGGGATTTCACCATGTTGGCCAGGCTGGTCTTGAACTCCTGACCTCAGGTGATCCACACGCCTCGGCCTCCCAAAGTGCTGGGATTACAGGCGTCAGCCACCGCGTCCGGCCTATTTTATTATTATTATTTGGTAGAGATGGGGTCTCACTAGTCTTCCAGGCTGGTCTCAAACTCCTGGGCTCAAGCTCCTGCTTCAGCCTCTCAAAGTGGTGGGATTACAGGAATGAGCCACTGCACCCAGCCTACTAAGGGATTTCCAAGGGTAACTTTAACTATGTGACATAATTGTAATTTACTTCTCCTCATTTTCTATTCCTTCAAAATGTAAAGCTTGTGACAGTCCAGCCCCTTCAGCCTGGAGTTCCACCTACCAGTCCCCACATGTGCTGTCTCTCACCAAGGTTGCCAGTGACCTCTGACCAAAACAATCTTGTAAGTAATCAAAACTGAATTTTCTACCTTGTTCTATTCTCCTTGACCCTTCTGTTGCTCCACACTCTCTTTGTCCCCATCGCCCATATTTCACTCACTCATTCTCATAGTTCAACTCCTGACTAAAGACTGACACACCTCCCAAATCCCTGTCTCCAGCCCAGGCCTCTCATTCTGCCTCCAGACCTGCCATTTTCTTGTGTGTTCTGGATGGTTCCATTTGCTTGTGGCTCAGACACCTCAAAAACATATCCTAAACTGAACTCACCATCTCCCTCTCCCACCCTCCTGCCCCTGCCCTCAATTACTCCTCTTTCTGTCATCTCCATCTTGATTGGTGGCACCACCTTCCAATCAATTTTTCCAGGCTAGAAACTTCCCTTTCTCTTTTTTTTTTTTTTTTTTTTTTGAGATGGAGTCTTGCTCTGTCGCCCAGGCTGGAGTGCGGTAGCGCCATCTCGGCTCACTGCAGCCTCCACCTCCCTGGTTCAAGCAATTCTCCTGCTTCACCCTCCGAAGTAGCTGGGATTACAGGTGCCCACCACCACACACAGCTAATTTTTGTATTTTTAGTAGAGACAGGGTTTCACCATGTTGGCCAGGCTGGTCTCAAACTCCCAACCTCAGGTGATCCGCCTGCCTCGGCCTCCCAAAGTGCTGGGATTACAGGCGTGAGCCACTGTGCCCAGCCTCAACTCCATATCTAATCAGTCACCAAATCTTGCCGTTTCATCAGTGTTTCTTGAATTATTTTCATCCTTATTTCTACTGTCCTATTTCAGGCTGTTGACACTTGTCACCTGGGCTGCTGGAAATGGTGTCTTTGCTTCCAGTCCTTTTTTTTTTTTTTTTTTGAGACAGAGTTTCACTCTTGTTGCCCAGGCTGGAGTGCAATGGCGTGATCTCGGCTCACCGCAACCTCCACCTCCCAGGTTCAAGCAATTCTCCTGCCTCAACCTCCTGAGTAGCTGGGATTACAGGCATGCTCCACCATGCCCGGCTAATTTTGTATTTTTAGTAGAGACAGGGTTTCTCCATGTTGGCCAGGCTGGTCTCGAACTCCAAACCTCAGGTGATTCGCCCATCTCAGCCTTCCAAAGTGCTGGGATTACAGGTGTGAGCCATCGCGCCCAGCCAACTTCCAGTTCTATTTCCCTTGAAGCTCCTCTATGTTGCTGCCAGGGTGGTTTTTCTAAAATGCAGATCTGGCCAGGCACAGTGGCTCACGCCTGTAATCCCAGTACTTTGGGATGCTGAGGCAGGAGGATCGCTTGACTCAGGAGTTCGAGACCAGCCTGGGCAACAGACTGAGACTCTGTCTCTATTTTAAAAATTAAGAAATAATAATTTGTAAATTAAAAAAATAAAAATAAATTAGCTCGGCATGGCGGTATGCACCTGTAGTCCCAGCTACTCAGGAGGCTGAGGTAGGAGGATCAGCGGAGCTCAGGAGGTTGTGGCTGCCATGAGTCGTGATCACGCTACTCCACTCCAGCCTGGGTGACAAAGTGAGACCCTGGCTCAAAATATATAAATAAATCAAATGCCTATCTGACCATGTTCCTCTCTTCTTCTATCCTACAGTGGCTCCCCATCACTGGCCTGTCCTATGGGAAAACATTTGCATTCCTTAACTCAGCCTAGAAGGCCTCTGTGACTTGCTGTCTACTTATCTGGCCCTTCTCATGCTTCCTTTCTGGCTGTAGCAACCTTGAAGATATCGTACTTCCCCAAACCCACCTGCTGCTTCTTGCTTTTTTTCATGCGGACTCTTCTGTCTGGAATATCTTCTACATGCAGCAACCGTAACCCAACCTCCATACTGCAGAGAAGTGGCTCGTCTCAGGCCAATTCCTGGTCATCCTTTTAGATTCAGCCCAGGCTGGGCGCGGTGGCTCATGCCGGTAACCCCAGCACTTTGGGAGGCCGAGGCGGGCAGATCACGAGGTCAGGAGTTCGAGGCCAGCCTGGGCAACATAGTGAAACCCTGTCTCTACTAAAAATACAAAAATTAGCCAGGCATGGTGGTGCACGCTTGTAGTCCCAGCTACTTGGGAGGCTGAGGCAGGAGAATCACTTGACCCCAGGAGGCAGAGGTGAGCTGAGATCACGCCACTGCACTCCAGCCTAGGCATCAGAGCTTAGACTCCGTCTCAAAAAAAAAAAGAGAAAGATTCAGCCCAGTGTGAAGGTGTGAACCTCTTCTAGGACATGAAAAGATTCAGCCCAGGTGTGAACCTCTTTTGGAGATGCTCCTTTCCTAACTGCTTGAACCCCGGATAGGAGTCCTATTCTTTTTACTCCTATAGTACTTTCTTTATATCTCCATAATTTTATTTACTATTACTACATGATACATTATTTTATAAAAGTCTTTGTAACCTCCTTAAGGATTCACTGCTTAATCTCCAGTGCTTAGCACAAATCATTAAATGCGAACCAGAAACTCTTCCAAATGTGTTACATCTATAACCTCATTGGATTCTCACTACCAACCCCATGCAATAGATACTAATGTGATCTCTGTCTTACAGAGGAAGAAACAGGCACAGGGAGGTTCAGTAATTTGCCCAAGGTCATACACACACTGGCCTTCAGGTATTCATGCCCGGGGAGTCTGGTCCCACAGCTGGCATGTTTGCCATTATATTATATTGCCTCCTTATAGTGTCGGCACTCATTAAGCACATTGACAGCTATGCTTGGTGAGTGACTACTATGTACCCAGCTCTGTGCTACATGCTTTACCTGGATTATTTCAACTGCACAACAACCCTGTGAGGTAACTACCATCATTGCTCCTATTTTACATAACAGAAAACTACAGAAATCTGGGGCTGGGCGTAGTGGCTCATGCCTGAAATCCCAGCACTTTGGGAGACCCTGTCTCTAAAAAAAATTTTTTTTTGGCCGGACGTGGTGGCTCACACCTGTAATCTCAGCACTTTGGGAGGCTAAGGCAGGCAGATCACAAGGTCAGGAGTTCTAGACCAGCCTGGCCAACATGGCAAAACCCTGTGTCTACTAAAAATACAAAAAATAGCTAGGCGTGGTGGCAGGTGCCTGTAATCCCAGCTACTCAGGAGGCTGAGGCAGGAGAATCCCCTGAACCTGGGAGATGGAGGTTACAGAGAGCCGAGATCGTGCCGCTGCACTCCAGCCTGGGCAACAAGAGCAAGACTCTGTCTCGAAAAAAATAAAAATAAAAATAAAAATATTTTTTTAAAAATTAGCTGGGTGTGGTAGCACATGCCTGTAGTCCCAGCTACTTGGGAGGCTGAGGTAGGAGGATCACTTGAGCCCAGGAGGTCAAGGCTGCAGTGGGCTGTGATGGCGCCACTGCACTCTAGCCTTGGTGACAGCAAGACCCTGTCTCAAAAAAAAAAAAAAGAGAAATCGGGCAACTTCCCCAAGATCGCGCAGTTAACTAGTGGCATAGCTTCACTCAAACTCGAAGTCTTAATCAGGACACTCTACCAAATGAGATCAACGGCTCAGTAATGGATTGGCATCCAGTATGAAGACTGGACCAGCAGGGAGAACTATGATGCGTACAGCCTAGAGCCTGAAGCAGATTTCACAGCCTCAGAGGTGGCACAGGCTGACTCACAACCCGGGGCAGAAAGGGACCAGCCCAGAAACAGTGACCCAGAATCACAGGGAAGTAGAAATGGGATTCGGCACAATGAAGCCCCTCCTTGACCCCATGCTCCTTACCCTCAGGGGCGCAGGAGTTAGTCGCTCAGGCGGCTCAAAGGTCTTGACGGTGGAGAACACCATCCCCAGGGATTCCCGACGCGGTGATGCCATCAAAGCGTTAATTCTGAGATGGGCCTGCCCGGGTGCGGACTCTGCCGCAGCAAGAGAAGGGTTAACTGCCCCGGGCCTTCGCCGTGGGGGCGGGGCCTCGGGGAGGGTCACAGCCCGGGACTGAGACCCGAGGTTAACCGCCCGGGGTGGGCTCCACGGGGGCGGGGCATGCTCTCCGCGGCTGCTGCCGGTATAGAGCGGTAACTGCCCAGGAGGGGGCGGGGCCCCACAGGGGCGTGGCCTCGGAGCTGCACGGCCGTGGGCGGCGATGAGAGGGTTAAGCCCCAGAGGGCCCTGGAGGGGCGGGGCCGCGGGACGGGCTCGGCCCAAGGGAGGAGCTGGGGGCGGAAGCGGCCGGCGGTCTGCGCCCTGCGCGCCTCGGCTTCTTTCCGCCCGGCTCCTTCAGAGGCCCGGCGACCTCCAGGGCTGGGAAGTCAACCGAGGTTCGGGGGCAGCGGCGAGGGCTCCGGGCGAGTAAGGGGGATGGTCCATGCTGAGGCCCAAATGGGGCGAACTCGCGAGAGTCTCTGGCGACCTGGATCAGATGGGGCGAGGGCAGATGAAGGGCCCAGGAGCTTTGGGGCAGCGAGGAGGGAGGAGCGGGCCCGTTGGCAAACTTGGGTGAAAGGATGGGGTACCTGGGTGACGAGCCCCCGCCAGGATTCTGCTCTTCACGCCCCTTTTCTCCCAGCTCCCTTCCAGGTCAATCCAAACTGGAGCTCAACTTTCAGAAGAGAAAGACGCCCCAGCAAGCCTCTTTCGGGGAGTCCTCTAGCTCCTCACCTCCATGGGCCAGACAGCTCTGGCAGGGGGCAGCAGCAGCACCCCCACGCCACAGGCCCTGTACCCTGACCTCTCCTGTCCCGAGGGCTTGGAAGAGCTGCTGTCTGCACCCCCTCCTGACCTGGGGGCCCAGCGGCGCCACGGTTGGAACCCCAAAGACTGTTCAGAGAACATCGAGGTCAAGGAAGGAGGGTTGTACTTTGAGCGGCGGCCCGTGGCCCAGAGCACTGATGGGGCCCGGGGTAAGAGGGGCTATTCAAGGGGCCTGCACGCCTGGGAGATCAGCTGGCCCCTAGAGCAGAGGGGCACGCATGCCGTGGTGGGCGTGGCCACGGCCCTCGCCCCGCTGCAGACTGACCACTACGCGGCGCTGCTGGGCAGCAACAGCGAGTCGTGGGGCTGGGACATCGGGCGGGGGAAGCTGTACCATCAGAGCAAGGGGCCCGGAGCCCCCCAGTATCCAGCGGGAACTCAGGGTGAGCAGCTGGAGGTGCCAGAGAGACTGCTGGTGGTTCTGGACATGGAGGAGGGAACTCTGGGCTACGCTATTGGGGGCACCTACCTGGGGCCAGCATTCCGCGGACTGAAGGGCAGGACCCTCTATCCGGCAGTAAGCGCTGTCTGGGGCCAGTGCCAGGTCCGCATCCGCTACCTGGGCGAAAGGAGAGGTGAGGCCTGGGGCAGACGTGGGGAGAACTTTCTGTCCCTGGTGGCAGTGGTTTGGGATGGAAACTCTTCTGACAAGAGCAGAGGGGATGGACCTTCATCCAGCCTGCCTCAACCTCTGTTCAGTGCTGGGAAAGGCTAGGGGTCTTCACAGCTGTTATTTAATTTAACCCAACAGCAATAGAGGTGAAACAGGCTTGAGAAAGCAACTTTCTCAAGTTCTCTTGGCCAGTAAATGGTGAACCTTCAGAATGGAGGGAGGAACTGCAGGGATGAGAGAATTCAGGAGATATCAACCCCTGAGCAAGAGGTGCAAAGCGTTAGGTACTGGGTTTGATGTACAGGTCCAAAAGAAGGATGGGCAGAGCCAGGTACCCAGGCTGTATACCGGATTCCCTGGGCTCTAACCTGTCTCTGTGCCACATACCTACTTCCTTCCTCAGCCACACCTCTGGATGGAGACACTGGGGCCCTGGGCACCAGGGAGGAGAGCAGTGGAGGAGGCAGGGCCTTAGGGTGGGGCAGCAGGGGAGGAGCCTCCCCAGGAACTGACTGGGTCCAGGGCTTGGAGCTGCTCTCTGCAGTTGTGTGGGCTGTAGAGTGGAGGGCCATCCCTCCTCACCTCAGCCCCAGCTCCCAAGCCTCTGGAGTCAAAGCCTGGGCCAGCTCCACCACTGTCAGAGCCACCTTGGCCTGTTGTTTAGAGGGCCTTAGCCAGCTCTTCACCCCCAGCTCTGACTAGGGATGTGTGAAATCTTATCTGGGAGGCAGAACTTCCGGGTATCTCAAATTCCCCTTTCAGCCAGGTGGGCACACTCGAAGCAGGAAAGCAGAAAGGCATCTGAGTAGGACCCCGTAGTTTGAGGACATCTGGCTGGTGGCTGCACCCATACTTACATTCCCCTCCTTCTCTCTCCCAGCGGAGCCACACTCCCTTCTGCACCTGAGCCGCCTGTGTGTGCGCCACAACCTGGGGGATACCCGGCTCGGCCAGGTGTCTGCCCTGCCCTTGCCCCCTGCCATGAAGCGCTACCTGCTCTACCAGTGAGCCCTGTGATACCACAGACTGTGCTGAGGTCTTGCCACCACCCCTCCCCTTGGGGAGGTGGGGAGGCACTGCTGGCCTAGACCAGCTGCTGAAAGCTGGTGAGGCTGAGCCCCTACCCCAACCCAAGCTCTGCGGAAATCAACAGCCCCAGAGCCACTTGGAGGGAGGAAGAAAGGGAGCCGGCGTTCAAGGCTATGACAGTCTGCTACGCAAAACATTTTTTCAAGTAAAAATAGTAAGAGATGTTGTTATAGAAACCTGTTCTTGTTTTTTTTTTTTTCTTGCACAAATGATCATTTATATAGCTGCCTCAAAAAGGAAGATTATCTGGGCAAGTCCAGTGAAGGCAGACAAACCACAAGACCTAGTGCCAGGTTTATTCCCTCACATGGGTGGTTCACATACACAGCACAGAGGCACGGGCACCATGGGAGAGGGCAGCACTCCTGCCTTCTGAGGGGATCTTGGCCTCACGGTGTAAGAAGGGAGAGGATGGTTTCTCTTCTGCCCTCACTAGGGCCTAGGGAACCCAGGAGCAAATCCCACCACGCCTTCCATCTCTCAGCCAAGGAGAAGCCACCTTGGTGACGTTTAGTTCCAACCATTATAGTAAGTGGAGAAGGGATTGGCCTGGTCCCAACCATTACAGGGTGAAGATATAAACAGTAAAGGAAGATACAGTTTGGATGAGGCCACAGGAAGGAGCAGATGACACCATCAGAAGCATATGCAGGGAAAGGGCAGTTACTGGGCTTCTGGGCTGCTTAGTCCCTGGCTTGGCAGGAAGGGTAGGGAAGATGGATGGGGCTCATTGTTTGGCATTGATGATGTCCACGAATTCGGGCTTGAGGGAAGCACCACCCACAAGGAAGCCATCCACATCAGGCTGGCTGGCCAGCTCCTTGCAGGTTGCCCCAGTCACAGAGCCTGGGAAGGGAGCAGAACAAGGGCTTGGTCAAGAATGGGATGAGTCTGCCCCATCCCCACCTCCATGTCCGAGGGCTCAGTCTAGTCCTCAGCCCACTCCACCTCAGCCGGGAACCAAAGCCACTCACCTCCATAAATGATACGGGTGCTCTGAGCCACCGCATCAGAGACGTTGGACTTCAGCCATCCTCGGAGCTTCTCGTGTACTTCCTGGGCCTAGAACAAGAAGCTGGCCTAAGTAAGACCTTTTCTGCCTCTCTAAGAGGAAAAATCACTGGCACCAGTGGACACTTAGTGTGGTTTCTGACTGAGTCAGAGTACCAGGGCTCTGATCCAAGCCAGGCCCTGGACTGGATGCCCTTGGACAAGTCACTGTCTCTGGGTTCAAGGTCTCTGTGTCTTTGAAATAAGGGGTTGCCCCATGTGGGCTGTGTCTGTCCAAACCTATTGAGGCAGGCTGGGATGAGGGCAGGGCTCCTGGGCCCGGTTACCTGTTGGGGTGTTGCAGTCTTGCCAGTACCAATGGCCCACACAGGCTCATAGGCCAGGACGACCTTGCTCCAGTCCTTCACGTTATCTGCAGGGCAGAGATACAGATGGAGGGAAGGGTGAACAAGAAAGAGCTCTCCAGCCAGGTTCTCCGGAGTACGAAGAACGGTGGCCTACTGCCCCCTAGTGGACATTGGGGGATTTCCAGGTGGCATCTACCTTGGGGCTGGAGAAGTCATAGGCCCCAAGCAAAGATTGTCACTCCCCCTCCCCTTTTTCCTTTTCTGGATCAGCATGGGGACCAAGACAGGCTCCAGGGCCTGACCCTACCCTCTGAGTCTCTGTGGCCCTGGATAGGCTCAAAGGTCCCTTTCTCCAGAGATACCTGCGATGACCTTTGTCTGCTCGAAAACAACCTTCTCAGTGATGCCAGCTTCCCTTTCATCTAGCTTCTCCCCAATGCAGGCGATTACTCCGAGTCCCTCTGCCAGAGCATGGGCCACTTTCTGCCCAATCAGCTGTTGAGAAACAGACTTGGTGAGACATCCTTCTTGGAAAAAGACATCCCTTATCTTCTCTCTTGGCTACTAACCTCATCTGACTCCCCAAAGACATGCCTTCTCTCTGAGTGCCCCAGGACCACCCACGTGGCTCCGCAGTCTTTGATCATGCCAGGGCTAAAGGAAGAGATGAAGCCAAGGTTCAGCAGGGAGCCCACCCTGTGGCTTTCCCCTCAACGAGGAAAGTGAGGGAAGGGTCCCACACACCCCTCTCCACCTCGATCTCACCTGATCTCCCCAGTAAAAGCCCCATTAGTCACTTTGTAGCAGTTCTGCGCAGCCACAGCAATCTTGGGATCTAGCTTCTGCCGGGCGAAGTCGATATAGGCAGTAGGGGGAGCACAAACCACCTCTGAGGACAAGATGGTACCACAGGGGGATGAGACTAAAGAAAGCCTTCATTCCCCACAATTCCTAACCAGTGCCCTGGAGCCCCCCAGCCCTCACCCTCTTCTTCTTGGTTCTGCTCTCCCCCTTTTCACCCCAGCAAGATGACCTTTGTCCATTTTCCAGCCCAGGCTGGGTCTGCACTCAACTCGAAGAGCCTTCCAGATACCCCTGAGAGGCCACGGCCCTCACCCTGCCCTCTGCTCTTTTAACAGCTGGGGCTCCAATTTCCTCGAGCTATTCTCGGCATAGGCACCTCACAGACTCAGCATTCTCCAGGGAGCAACCCTGCTTCCCTTCTAAAATAGCCCATCCTCACCTCCCCTTTGCAAGGCAAGGATTTGTAGCAAAAGGAGAGGGGCCAACTCCTGGGGTTTGTATTGAGGCCTCTGGGGAATGAACGAGAAGGGGATGCCTCTTTGGATCAGGCCCGCGGCTCTCCGATTTCGGTGGAGGGAGGAAGGAGGATGGAGGAGAGCATCCTTTGCCCGTGGGTGGCAGAGACCTAACTGACTCAGAGGCCTTGCGCTTTGCTGTTTCCAGGTTGGGGAAAGCGGTAGGATGGCTCCTCACTCCCAAATCGCTCAGCCTGTTTGGCACGGGCTCGGTCCCTTCCGTGGAAGGCGGGAGTCGTTCAGGTTGCCGAAGGGAAGGGGTCAGATCTGGGGCTCAGGGAGCCCGAGCAGCTCGGCGCGGGGACGCGGACGCCGGCGAGGAAGGGGAGGAGTCTGGGGCTACGTGCGGCGGCGCACGGCGCGGGAGGCCAGGGCGCAGGGAGCGGGAAGCCCACGCGGCCCAGCCTCCCCCGGTCTCCCGCAGAGCCTCGGGCTCCGCTCCTAACCCCGTCGCCTGGCGGGCACAGCCCCAGTGCGCGCCCCGGGGCCACCTTCCTCCAGGAGACCCAAAACGTCCTTACCTGCCCCATAGTCCAAGGGGCATCATGTGCTCCGCCCTGCCCCCTCGACGCACCGACGGGGCTGCGGCTGCGAGGCCCCTGCCCGGACCCCAGCGGCCCTCGTCCCACAGCCCTGCATCAGGTCCGCGCGGATACCGGCCTCGGGGCCTCGGGGCCTCGGGAGAGGGCGCTGCCACTCCTGCCCCGGCCCCGGCCCCGGCCCGGCCAGACCCCTCCTCGGCGAGGGCTTACCGGTGTCGGCCGGCACCTTGGCCGCGTTCAGAGTGCCGATGAGCTCCCCCAGACTCTGCTTCCGCCCGTTCATCTTCCAGTTTCCCCCAACGAAGAACTTCCTGGAGGGCGCCATGGCGCTGGAGCCGAGGCGCTGAAGGTCAGTGTCTGCGCGCAGTCGCGGCCACTGCCCACTTATATAGAGCGCCGCGAAGTGGAACTCCGCCTCCTCGCCGTCCTCCGCCATGGCCCGCCCAGTCCCCCGGAGCCCTGCCCCCCGCCCGCCCTCCTGCCGCCGCCCCGGCCGCCGCCCGATGATGCACTGTTCCGACGTTCCCCCTTCTTGTGGCAACGTTCTAGGAGAGTCGGGGGCTCGGTCGCCTCCGCCTCGATTGCGGGGCTTTCGGGACAAGGCGAGACCTGTGAGCTCCGGCGCTCAGGGGAACCCTCGCTTGGCGACTTGAGTCCCCCACGGGGCCAGAAGTGGTTTTCAAGCGGAACTAGCTGGTGGCAACTTGGCCGTAGCCCAGATCGCCCACTGGGGCAGAGAGGGCCCCTCTCCAACTGTGGGATAGACAACCTCCTTCGCCCATCGGAGCAGCTCATGCCCGACTGCTGAGCAGGCACCCTTGTACCCAGGGAGTCTACCTGAGTGAAAACTTGCGGGACAAATGCAGGGTTCACAGCGGGAGGGGCAGCCCACACAGGCATAGGCCGCCAGGATCATCCCAACCCTCGCCCCGGCTGGCAAGGCCTGGCAGGAACTGCAGGGACTGAGTCCCAGCCTGAAGCCAGCTAGCCAGTTAGGGACATTTGGGAAATCCTCCACTCCTGTGTGAATAAAGAGAGGGAAGGGTTCTTCACTCCATCTTTCCTTGGCTTTGTGTCGGCATTTAGTCACTCTACTCCACCTCCCCACCCAACCCCAATTTTCCTAGAGCTCTAGAACCAGTGAAAAGTGGAGACTTGACTTTGGCAGGGAGGCGGCCAGAGTTAGGAGTTTTCTTAAGCGCCCTCCTGCTAACCCCAGGAAGGTAAGCCTCTCCCCCAAGGTATCAAACAGGACACAATTTAGCCGTTGTACTTTTATTCACATCGTGTATTTTGGCATTTTCCAGAGAAGGACAAGGAAGAGACAGGGTGGGGGAAAGACTGAGGCAGGAGGGCAAGTCGGGGGGTCCCTATTTCCCTCACATCCCTCCTTGACCAACCACACAGGGGCAAACAAAGGGGGAGGGGAGGCACAGGTGATCGCTCCACTGGGAGAGGATGCACAAAGCTACACCCACGCGCACAAACGAGACCCCTCCCTCCACACCAGGGGGCTGGGCGGGGCGACACAGAGAAGCAGAGCACTGTGGATTCCGGGGGCAGGGGAAGCAACAAAGTCTCCTTACAGACAGGTGGCCGGCCCCTCCCGTCCCCGTCCTGCTCCATCCCCAGAGTCTATCGCTGCCCCTCTGCTCTGCCCAGCCATTCTCCCACGGCCTCCAGCTTCTTCCCTGCTGCCGGGGACAAAAGGAAAAAGGGTACAGAGCAGAGGGGCTGAAGTCCATCCCTCAGCCCCTCTCCCTCATGCCAGGTGGTCTTCCCCTGCCCTCATTGGTAAGGGGTGAGGCAGGCTCTTAGCTGGCCACTCTCTGGTAGAAGTAGATGTAGCCCAGGTCCTTGGGCGGCTTCTCGGAGGCACACACTTTCTGGTCATTGTAGATCACCCATCTGGGGAAGTGGGGAAAACAGAAAAGGATGAACAAACTGGGCATTCAAAGTGGCATCATGTAGTCTCTCAGACATGGCCCCTGGAAGTGCTCTCCACACTCTCTGCCCATACCCCAAATCCACAGCCCAGCCACCATGTGCCTTAAGGGAGCTTCACAACCTCACAAGGGTCACGGACCCTATTATGTCTTCAGATCCTCCAGTACCTTTACAACCACCCTCCACCCATTCCAGGGAGGCAGGGGGTTGGTAAACTTTTTCTGGCAAGGGCCAGATAGTATTTGAGGTTCTGCAGGCTCTCTCTCTGGTCTCTGACACAACGACTCAACTTTCCTGCCGCAGCGTGAAAACAGGCACAAACAACACATAAACAAGTGTGTCCAGGTTCCAGTGAAAATTTATTTACAAAGGCAGGGGGCCTGGCCAGGCACGGTAGCTCATGCCTGTAATCCTAGCACTTTGGGAGGCCGAGGCAGAAGGATCACTTGAGCTCAGGAGTTCAAGACCAGCCTGGGCAACATAGTGAGATCCCATCTCTATTTAAAAAAAAAGCTGGTGGCCAGATCCAACCCTTGGGCCAATCACTGCTGCAAGACCTTCTGTCACTCTCTGGCACTTTATGTCCCCATCAGGCAGTCCCTTCACCTTCTCCCATAGCTATCCCAAGGACTTCCAAATGGCCCTCCTCATTCCCACCACCATTCTCCATTCAAAACGCATGTGGCCAGCACTCACCTGCCTTCTTTCTTGATGTGGCAGACGTAGTGACCACACATGGTAGAGGTGCCCATGTGACTAATGAAGGCAAAGAGCTGATACTCTAGGAAAGGAGAGAGGGGGTCAGAGAAGGAAACAGAAGAGGAATGCTTGAGTGATGGCCCAAAGATCCAGACAACAGCTCAGACTCAGGACAGGAGTTTCAGGGAATGTGAGGCAGGTACTGGGCCAGAGCCTGTCTCCATGTCAGAGAACCCCACCCTCAGATGCCACGTTGAGGTGGAAAGAAGCCCCTGACTCCTGAGGAGGGCAGAGCTGCCTGAATGAGGGATCTGGTGTAGTAGACTGACCAGATTCCACCAGGCCTGTCCTGCTTCCTGGGGATACTCACTTCCAGGACCATCCCGGACTTTAGGTCCCACTGGCACAGACTCAGAGATGGAGTCGGCAGCTGAGCGGCCCTCTGAGATGTCCATGGCAGCTTCAGCATCCAGGTCGTCAATGTGACTGAAGATCCAGTCCACAGCCCGTTCTAAACTATTGTTCTTGGAGAGGAAGGAAGCATTACTTTTTTTCTTGAGACGGAGTCTTGCTCTGTCGCCCAGGCTGGAGTGCAGTGGCGCGATCTCGGCTCACTGCAAGCTCCGCCTCCCGGGTTCACGCCTTTCTCCTGCCTCAGCCTCCCAAGTAGCTGGGACTACAGACGCCCACCACCACGCTTGGTTAATTTTTTGTATTTTTCGTAGAGACGGGGTTTCACCGTGTTAGCCAGGATGGTCTTGATCTGCTGACCGCGTGATCCGCCCACCTCACCCTCCCAAAGTGCTGGGATTACAGGCGTGAGCCACCGCGCCCGGCCAAACAGAAGCATTACATTTTTAACAAGTTCTGGGGCAAAAAACCCAGCAGTGAACGCAGGCTTCAGCTCCTTCATCGCAGCCACAAAAGAGTGGTGCCCAACCTCGGCCAGACCACACCTGTTGTCTTTGGTCTTGCTCAAGAAGGATGGCCCCTCATTCCCACCCCCTTCTTCCCCACTGGCCCCATGTCCTTAGCTGGGGCAGCCCATACCGTGGCCCGCAGCGCTTTCAAGGCCTGGTCCCGGGAGAAGCCCATGGAGACAATGGTGGTCACACAGTCCTCAGGAGGGGGGTCGGCTGCTGCGCTTGTGGAGCCCGGCCCACTAGAGCCAGGCAGGATGAGGGGGTTTGCAAAATCTGTGGATGTGAAGGGGTTGATGTGTTTGGGGGAGGATGGAGGCCCTGCCCCACCCTGCTCCCCACCCCAGCCTACCTGGATCATCCATGTGTGACATGACCCAGTTCATGGCGGCCTCAGCCCCGCTGTTGCCCGTGTAGTAGACAGCTTTGCGGCAGGCGTCCATAGGGAATCCCATCTCCACCAGCTGGATGATGACTGATTCATCCAGCATGGGCGCTGTAATGGGAATTGTGGGTACACGGACCGACTGATTGGGCCACTGTTTGCTCCTCCTCCCTCCCCCAGGACCCAGCCCTCTTCCAATCACCCATTCCATGCATTTTTCTCCCATGGATTGGCACCTTATCCCAAAACCAAAATGACCACACAATTGTAATGTGGGTCCCTGCCCATTCTCACAGAATGGGCCCTGTTTCTGGAGCATGATACCCCCACCCTACCCAAACCAGGGAGGTAACAAGGGCAGAGAGGCCACTAGCTGGCACTGCTGCCATCCACACCCAGAAGGTGGCTAGGAGTGCGCTGGGGAGGCCCCATGTCAATCAAAGAGGGCAGAGGAAATTTGAAAGGGAGGACAGGAGAAACACAAAGGACAGGGGCAGGGGATGCAAGGCAGAGAGGCCCCCATCAGCACGGGAGAGAGACAGGCAGGAAGAAGAGTCACTAACATGTCGGAGAGGAGAAGTGAGGGGAGCAGAAGGAGTCTTCGTCTTCGTTGCCATAGAAACCAAGGCTACCTTTGGGCTCATCCGGAGTGACCAGGGGTGGGGCAATGTCTGGCAGCTCCTCCTCTCCGGGCTGCAGCCCTGTGCCCCTCAACTGGGAGATGTCGAGCTCCTCTGGCATCTCGATGGACACATCTGTGGGAAAAGGGTCACCTCAGCAGCTCCCGGAGGCCTACCTGGAAAGTGATTCGGGAACCTCAATCCCCTGCCCCCTATGTCAGAACTGCTCTGTAAAGAGGAGCTGCTAAAAGCACGGCACCCATCTTAGGGGTCCCAGTATAAGACAAATAATACTAAGCCTGGGAGTTGGGAGGCCAGGATGCTGGTCCTAGATCTACCATAAATAATCTATGGACAGGGCAGGGGGCCTAGAACTTGTGAGACAGAATGATTTTATATTCCTGTGAGTCTCAACTTCCTTATCTAGAAAATGAAGGTACATCACGAGTTCTCAAATGACAGTCAGGGACCTGTAAGACTCACGAGAATTAATTGTTTCAAGATTATCAAAATGAAAACATTTTACCAATTATTTTAAAAAACTACAAAAATCACTTTTGGTTGTAAATCATACCTATAACAATCAAAGAAGTCTTTTAATATTTTTAGTTAGTGCTTTCAAACTAGATAAATTTTGAAACATTGAAGGTGATTTTTTTTCCTCTTTCAGAGGAAACTTTGAGAAACACTAGTTTATATGTGTTAAAGCCCCTTCTTTTTCTAGCATTTTCTGTGTAACCTCCCTCATTCCAGCAGCCATACCCAGTTTCTTGGGCACCCAGTCTAAGCCGAAGGTGAACTTCTTGATCTGGATGACCAGGTAGTCAGGGAATGAGGCAAATCGTGTGGTCCTAGGGAAGAGAGACTGTGCTGGTACCCAGACAATCCCCAGGGTTTTCCTCTCCTGAAACTCCCACCTGGGGTTCAGCCCCTCATGGGTAGAAGTCCCAATAACCCAGAAGATCCTCCATATTCTTCTCTTCCCCTGGGCAGGTGTCTGATGCCTGTCCTCGGCCAACGAGGAGCAGTAGAGGCCAGAAGGAAGGCTGTCAACAAAAAAAAGAAAAAGAAAAAAGCCCAGGCATGGTGGCTCATATCTGTAATTCCAGCACTTTGGGAGGCCAAGGCAGGACGACTGCTTGAGCCCAGGAGTTAAGAGACCAACCTGGGCAACATAGCAAGACCCACACGTAGGGAAAAAAACATAGCAAGACCCACACATAGAAAAAAAAAAAAAACCCACACAGAGAGGAAGAGCTGTTTCACTGGCAGGAGCAGCAAAGGGCTGGGTAGCTGACTCCCCGAGACCAAAGCCCTTTTTCAGGTCTCACACCCATGCCAGGTGCCAATGGCTAGGCTCAAAGTGTGGCTATTTGCTGGAAATCCAAATTCTGCCCACAGCTGATCCTAAGTGCCTGTGCTCAGCCATGACTGAGGGGCAATGAAGAGAGGCTACACTACAAAGAGACCCTGTGCCACAGAAGAGGGAGTGGTTGGGGCAGGACAAGGTGACAGATAGAGTCAGTACCCGTGTCCCCCCTACCAGGGCCCCTTGGTTCCATCAGGGCCAGATTACCAGCCCAACTGATTCAACCCTGAGGTTCCAACCACAAAGGGATGAAAGAACAGGGAAGAGACAGAAGTATCCTCTGGGATAGCTCTGCCATAGACCCACAGCCTCAGGCCCCGACCAGAGGACTTACTTGACAGCTACTGACTTGGCCTGCAGGGCCGTGCTCCAGAAGTCATCGACCTGCTCAGGGGCCCCGTAGGCCTCCAGGCAAGAGCTGAAGGGCACCTGGGCCCGAACCAGTTCTGGCAGTGCCATCTTCTCCTCTTCGGCTTGCCGCTTCTTCTCCTCGTACTCCAGAAGCTCCTCTGGTGACAGAATGGGTTGGTGGATCCTTCGGAGGGTGCTGCTTCTTTGCCTCCTTAGCCTCTCCCTACTGGCTCTGTGTCCGTATTTCAGTTCCTCTACCCTTCCAAAGCACCCCTGACACATGTCCAATATATCTCGCCTGTTTCCATGCAGCTCTGCTAACAAGCTGAGTGTCCACTGGACGAGGTTAATCTACCTACTCCTGGTGGCCCAGACTGGAACCTTGGCTGGTGAAGCAGGGCATTCCCTGGGCTGTGCTCCCATGAGGTGCCCAAGCATTCCTCCTAGACCTTAGCCTCCCACCGTGCCACGGCCTTGCTGATGGAGCAGCCTACCTTTGTTAAGGGCTGCATCCATGGGCACAGGCAGCTGCATGATGTAGTCAACTCGCTGGGTGTACTTCACCTTCTCTGTGGCCAGGCACTTGATCTTTTCCTCCACCAAGAAGCGGAACACTTCATTAGGATTTTCAGAGCTCCGGCAATTCCTCTATGGGAAAGAGGCAGGGTAGGGAGGTCTGGGCAGCCAGGGAACAGAATGGGGCCTGAAAGGTTCATGGGAGAGTCAGGGAGAGAAGGCAGACTACCACTCGGAACTCAGGGACACAAGAGCAGAGCAGAAACCTTCCCTAATTCACCAACCCCTCCCCATTTCTGGCCCCATCCCTGCACTGAGGGACTGTGTTAGAACACGCTTGTATTTTTCTTTATAAGCAGCAAGTATTCTCTTATCATTGTCTTTGGGCATAATCTGAATTGGGCTTCAAGCCCATCAAGGGTAGGGATCATCACCTTCACTGTCCTCCTCAGGTGCAAGCACTGTTCACAGGGACACAGACTGTTGGGGTTCAGGGATGGGACTGGGTTGGGGCTGATAGAGGGAGAAATGGGCAGGAAGGAGAGCGAGTAAATTGCAGGAAGATGGGGGTGTGCCATCTTGCCAGCCCTTACCTCCACCATGTTGATAAGGTGAAGGAAGAACTCCTGGGCATCCTGCTGCCGGTTGGTGGAGAATTCAGGGTGGCCCTTGCCGATGAGGGCCTTGAACATCCGAGGGGCAATGCCATCTTGAACTTCCTGGGAAGAGTCAGGGCAGGGACTCAGCTGGGGCTCAGTGGCCATCCAGGGGCCTTCTTTAGACATCTCCCAGACCTCAGCTTCCCCACAATCCCAGGGCCTGAAAGGGACAGGGTCCTAGACGCACCTTCTGTTCTGGCACCCGCTCCCCATCGCCCGACTCCGGTACTGGCTTGGAATACTCCCCGGAGAGAAGGCCATGGCCCAGCTTGGCCCTGCATTAATATCCAAGAAAACATTTCACTTCAGTCAACTAACGACCCTGTGTGTCCCCAGCTCAACCCCCTGCTCGTGGCTCTCCCTAGCTAACTCTCAACAACGTGAAAAACCTTAGATTCTACAGGAACCCAGCTCAAGACAGACAACACGTCCAGAAGACAGTCACCCGAATGCTCCTAATAGGCCAGTGGTGGCCGTGCACGGTGGCTCACGCCTGTAATCCCAGCACTTTGGGAGGCCGAGGTGGGCAGACCACGAGGTCAGGAGATCGAGACCATCCTGGCCAACATGATGAAACCCCGTCTCTACTAAAAATACAAAAAAAATTTAGCTGGGCGTGGTGGCATGTGCCTGTAGTCCTAGCTACTCAGGAGACTGAGGCAGGAGAATCACTTGAACCCAGGAGGCAGAGGTTGTAGTGAGCCGAGATCGCGCCACTGCACTCCAGCCTGGCAACAGAACAAGACTCCGTCTCAAAAAACAAAACAAAACAAAACAAAAAAAGGCCAGGGGTTAAAGTGCTGTGCCCCCCAGGCGGTCAGGGAGGAGGAAGGTATACGGCCATGACTGTCAACAGCTTTCCTACATAGGACCTGGTTACATACACCTGGGTGCTGAAATCCTGGGTAGGGTCCGTCGGGGCATTCTGGAAGATCTTCTCCAGCTTATCCACATACCTAAAAGTCAAGGGAAGGACAGTTGGAGGGGCTCTGGCCTGAGCGCCGAGGAAAAGGGAAGGAAGCAAACATTTACTAACTCTGTGAACGGGCTCCCCTCAAGAGTGGGGAGTTGCTGTGGGTGAACCTTGGAGTCGCTTCTCTCCAGCAACCTGCCTGTTCTCCCCTTCTCAGCTATGTCCAATGTGCAAGCACGCTCGGCGGCAGAGGAGCCGGGGAGGGGGAAGGTAGCCTGGGATTAGGATAAGTGCAGTTCACGTTCTATTGGACAGAACCTGTTGACATGTTCTGAGCATTCACATTCTAATTGTTCCCCAAATTCGAAAGTAAACTCATTTCTGCTGAGAACCTGCCTTTATTCTTAGTGTGCCAAGCCCCCCTCCTCCCCAAGTGCTACATGTCCATGTTAGGTGCTCATCTGATGTCACTGCCCTAAAATAAAGACCACCTGCTAACCCTTGAGTCTGTCAGAAGGCCACAGAGCCCTGGGACTTGGCACTCTGCACTATCAGTGGGGTTTGTGTGTTGGGGTGCTGGTGGTGCAGCTCCCTAACTTGCTCCCCTCACAGCATGTCAGCCAGAGTGTGACAGGAATTATTCTTTTTTTTTTTTAAGAGAAGACAGGGTCTCGCTATGTTGCCCAGGCTGGTCTCAACCTCCTGGGCTCAAGCAATTCTCCCATCTTGGCCTCCCGAAGTACTGGGATTACGGGTGTGGGCCAACACACCCAGCCGATAGGAACTACTCTAAGACTAGAATCAAACACAGAGGTGCTGAGGGAAGCTGAAGGAGGAGTATGCCCAGAGGGTGCTGACCAGGAGGGGGCCTGGGGAAGGAGAGGGCACTACTCACTTCCTCTGGAAGTCAGGGATGCTGAAGAGCACCTGGACCACAGAGTTGAGGTAGCAGCTGTTACCCAGGTTCCGGATGCCTGTGTAGCCAGGCCCAAACAGGGGCTTGAGTGGCACACCTGACTCCTGGATCAGCTCCCATTCACCAATCCGCTGGTTCATGTCTATCTCCAACTCAGTCATCGTCTTGTCTGTCTGTGTGAGAAGGGGCACTTCAGACTGAGTGAGAAACTCAACCCTGTAGTTTTTACCTCGATCTCTCACTGAGTCTAGGATGATACTCAACTGTGGCCTAGAATTTGTGGAATTACAGGCTCAAACATGGGAGGTATGTTGAGTATCGTCCAGTTCAAGTTCTGGAAGGCCACACATAATTGTCCCAGAGGCCCGTTAGTCATCAGGGCCTCTGCTTGAATGAGGAATAAAATTTCCTTCTACCTGAAATGTTTTTCCCATCCTTAAGTTACCCCTAACCTCCTTCACATTGTCAGTTAAGCATCGCTTCCTCAGGGAAATGTCCCTGATCCCTAAACTAGGCCAGGCCACCCTGCTGTCAATTACTGTAGTACCCTCCGCCTCTCTTTCACAGTGCCCACCAGTTTGCAACTATTCACTTATTTATCTGGGAATGTGACTAATGTCTGCCTTTTCTTCTAGAGTAGAACTCTTGTAAGCAAAAACCACATCTGTCTTATTCACACAGCCTCTAGCACATAGTAGGTACTCAGTACTATTCACTGAATAAATGATTTTAGATATTTAAAAGAAGCCTGTGTATCTTGGGGATGGGGTTAACTAGAAGATTTCTCCAAAACCCTACCTCAGCCTCAGGCAAAGAGGAAGGGCCCTCACAGGGGCAGGAAGTAGAAGAATCTGAAGTTGAAGGGGGTCTCACCTTCTGCATCTTCAGCATGTCGATGCCGAAGTGGGACAGGTGCTCAGCCAGGCTGGGGTCCAGGACCATGTCATCCTCATCATATGAGTACACGTCTAGAGCAGGAGGCAGGAAGAGAATCAGGGGAAGTGGCTCAGGACTAGCCAGGCCACCATCCCATCCCTTGCACAGAAGGGACTTGAGGGGACAGAAGGAGAGCCAGTAAGGTCCACCCTCTTGGTTCCCTTGAATATGAGTAATATGAGTGCGGTCATGGCCCTTCTGGGGCTGACGGTCAGGGAAGACAGATGAAACCGGGTGAGGGTTGGAATTACTTGTGATTCTGATTCTACCTGTATAGGATAAGGTAAGACAGGCTTGGTAGGAAAGGGATGAGGATTTGAGTGGGGAGTAATCAAAAATTTAGTCTCATCTGCAGTATTTTCCTTTTTTGAGACAGGGTCTCTGTAGCCCAGGCTGGAGTCCAGTGGTGCAATCATAGCTCACTGCAGCCTCAACCTCCCGGGTGCTCAAACAATCCTCCTGCCTCAGCCTCCTGAGTAGGTGAGACTACAGGCAGGAGCTACCACACCCAGCCAATTTTTCTTTTTTTTTCTTTTTTGGAGAGATGAGGTCTCACTATGTTGCCCAGGCTGGTCTCGAACTCCTAGGCTCAAGCAATTCTCCTGCCTTGGCCTCCCAAAGTGTTGGGATTGCAAACATGAGCCACCGCACCTGACTACTTTCCTTTCTTATCAAGATAATGCATTCATGTATTATACATGTCACACGAAATTACTAACAAATGAAATATATTTAAGCATGAGAGTGGCTGGAGGAGGGGAGGCTGTACCAGCTCCATCAGGGGTGATGGTGCCCAGCTTGACAGCTAACGGGTAGCCTGTCTCTCGGTAGTGCTCCACAGCGTGGTTGTTGCCCCCACTGCCATCGAAGTAGCGTCGCCCACAGAGGATGGAGCCATCAGTCAGGTTGAGCCACAGGTTCTCTCTCATGTCACACTTGGAGCACTTCCAGCCACTAACCCACAGAGAAGAGAATCAGCAGAAATGTGGGTCGGGGATTTGAGGGAGTGGCAGAGAGAGAGGGCTCTGCAGGCCCCCCGCCAATCCAAGGTCTCTCTCTCTTCTCCTCTGGCCATCCCCATGTCGTGTTCATTTCCAAGCTTCCCTTCCTGTCCTGCTCCCTACCCTCTCTCCCACCAGATCCCCCAGAAAAGTGGGCTCCTTGTCCTTGCTCTGGGGGTGGTGCCCGAGGCAGAGGGGCCAGGCCTCACCAGGGAGGGATTCGAGCAGGGTTGTCCAACTGCTTGAGGCTGAAGGCATGCTTAGACACCTGCCGTACTTCCCCATCCCATGCCTGCACCTCCTGCTTGCGGGAGGCTGAGTCGGCCGACAGTAGGGCCTCCACTGCACTGGTCACCTGGGGGAAGCAGAGGGTCAGAGGCAATACCCAACCCCCTGCCCCACATGCCCCTCTTCCCCTTGGCCTTCAGCTTTGTCAGTGCTTGCCTAAGACACCACTACCCTGGCCCATCTTGCTCTAGAATCTTGGGTAGCATAGGGGGCAGTCATACCCGATCTCTGACAATGTCAGGCAGTCCCCCCAGTCCATCCCGGGCAATCTCCAGGTAATCTGGCAAAATGACAATCTTCACATCCTCGTCTAATTCAAACTTCTCCTCGCTAAGGTCAAATCCGCCTTCAACACCTGGAAGGATAGGGAAGAAGAGGGAGAGTAGAGCAATGACAACAGGTCAATGTCCCTCCTCCGAGCCAGCACCTCACTTGCCCCATCCAGAGTTCTAGGGCCATCAATCAGGCCCACTCTTTGGGGCTTTCCTGGTGCTGCTGAGAGCCAGAAAGACCAGCTCAGGGAGAAGAATAGGACTGCAGCGGTGCTCACCAATAGCCAGCCGCGTGGGCTTCTTCCGGGGTGGGTCTCCAGTGCCTGTAGCAGGGTCCTCCTCTTTCTGTAAAGAAGCAGGAAGGGCTGGATCAGCAATGAGCACGAGCGAAGGAACAAGTCGGGAGGAGGGACGGAAGGAGGTAGTGCTTCATCTCAGAACGGAATAAAGCTAAAAAACATCTGTGCCAAGCTTTAATGACACAAAAGTAGGTGAAAAAAAGAAACTGAGTCCAATAGGAGGTCAGAATGGAACAGACAATGTACCCAGGCCTTGCCCCAGCCCTGCTCCTACCGGGCGCCGGGTCCGCCGGAGGTGCAAGTAGACTCGCTGGCCGGTCTTATTGAAATGTCTCTCCACATACTGTTTCCCAAAGCCCAGAAACGTGTTCATACAGATGTAGAGGCCCCCCTCAGACTCCTGTGGGACAAGAGGTAAGGGTGAAAACACGAGGATGTTATGAAGCCTGGTCAGGTGAGGAAACCAAAACCTGGAGTCAGAAACTGCTGGGTTCCAGAAGAAATGTTCTGTTCTCTAACACTGTGTGGCCCTTGGCAAGTTATTTAGCCTTTTAGGACCTGGGACATAGCTAAGATTCTCCCCATTTCCTCCCATGACTTTGATAACAACCAACAAGGACATCAGGGGGCTGAGGAACACCAGCTCATCGTCGCCATTCAACAGCAACACCAGTCACCATTTATCTTTCCACCTGCTCCTTCTTGGGCTTTGGAGCTCTTTAATCAATCACAGAGGACTTCCTTCACCTCTATCCTGGGGCTAACAGATCCAGAAAGTAAATGGGGATCAAATACTGTGGACTTCCAGTGCTGGAGATTACATTCAAAGGGAAAAAGGGTCCCTTCGTGGGAGAGGAAAGACTTTCATGTGAGACACTGAACCCAAACCAGGGGACACCTAAGACAAACCCTATCTCATCTCCATGATTCAGAAAACCTTCCAGACCAGAGGAGCAGAGATTCCAGCACTTGAACAGTATATCTGACCCGAGTGTGCCAGCAAGCAAAATTACCTTTCCTTTAAAAAAAAAAAAAATTTTATTTTAGAGACACTGCACTCTGTCACCCAGGCTGGAGTGCAGTGGCACGATCATAGCTCACTGCAGCCTCAACCTCCCCGGCTCAAGTGATCCTTCTGCCTCAGTCTCCAAAGGAGCTGGGACTACAGGCACATGCCACCATGCCTAGATTTTTTTTTTTTTTTTTTTTAGAGGTGGGGTCTCGCTATGTTGCTTAGGCTGGTCTTTAACTTGTGTGGCCTCAAACAATCCTTCCACCTTGGCCTCCCAAAGTGCTGGGATTACAGCGGTGAGACTAAACATCCAGCGAAAAAGACCTTTCTTTTACCACATTCTACCAGGTAGTCGAACCCTGGTCCACACTGTGAGTCTTCTCCCTCCTCTCCTGCTGAAGTGTGGCTTCCAGGGGAACAATGACTTGTTAGGGACTCACAGCTAAACATGCACCCAGTCTGGCAGGGTCATGAAGTCCAGCATTCCATAGCCACCACCCTCTCTCCTCTGCCTCCCCTCCGACCAATAAGATCCCTGCTGAAGTCCCAACAAATCACCAATCTCAAAGCCATCCCGTTCTGACAACAATCTCGCAACACTTGCTGAGATAGCTAGAACACACATAACCCGTGAAAACAGGGACAGACGGGTGTCCACCCAGAAACACAGCTGAGAAGGGAGGATGGGCTTCCCCCAAAGCTGACCAAGTTTTCCAGTGCCTTTGTAAAGAGTGATGGAGAAGGTGGAGGAGGAAATTGGAGACAATAAGGGTCTTCCCTCAGATCCAAGGCTTTGAGCAACAACAGACATCCTCTTCCAGGAATAAAAGTCTCAGTGGCCTTGAACATTTCTCTGCTGTGATATGAAAAATAGTGCACTGTCTAAGGTAGTTCTTGGTCCCATAGATTGCTCTGTACCACTTCCTAGGAACAGTGTGTACTGCAAGTTCATGAACAAATAGAGCATTTCTCACCGGGGAGGTCAACTAAGCTCTTTCTACCATGAGCCCAATTTGAAGGTAACCAAATATGCTGGAAGTTGGTTAGCAAAGAACTAGGGCACACTGAAAATCTCTTGACTTGGGGTGAAAAAGGGAAAGTTTCAGAAGATTACAAAAACCCTTTTTGGATTATTCAAAGCAGTTACTAAGGAGAGAGACAGGAGTGAATAAAAGTGTAAAGAGGGACCCACTGACTTCTACCACCTGCTGGTAATTTAAGAAAAACCTTTCCCTCCTGGGAAGAATGTGGGAGCTCTGAAGTGATTAAACTCCTCTGTTGGAAATTAAAGATGCTGATTTCACCAAGGATTGGGAACCCCGGAGCTCTGCTCCGCGCAGTGCTCTTTTACCTCTGCCAAAGCCAGACTTCAGAGAAGCAGCACATTGTCTGAGGCCCAGATCAAAGCCTAGCAAACCAAGCAAACCACAAATCACAGTGATGATCCTGAACTGGGCCTCACATCATGCTGTTCTACTCAGTACTGGTGATGCAGTAATGAAGGCTTTCCACTCTGACTTGCAGTTTTCAGGCCATGAGCTGGTTCTGGCAGAATACACTGGGCAGGGCACAGCAGCTTGAGGGGAGGGGTGGTGAGGGGGGCGGATCCCAACCAAGCTGCTGCCTTCTCAGTTCAGGCCCCAAAGGGCCTCCGCTTGAGGGTGACATAGGGAAGGCAGAACTGCAGGAAGGGAGGTACCAGGTGGAGCCTGCAAAACGTGAAGCATGGTGTGGGAGGTGGCTTTGTGTAACTAGCCAAGAGTGGGAGCGGGATGGGAAAGAGGCCTTAGCATCCTCCGAGAAAGAAACCACCTCTCTAGGAATACTTTAAAAGGGGTTATCTCAGCTGTCTGTGATAGGCTGGGGGGCGGGGGGAAGGGTGGGGGCTGCGGCCATTGCTCACTTCAAAGGAGAAACGACTAGAGCTTTCCTCTCCTCTTTCCTCCCCTCCCCGCCCCCTGTCTGTTTTAACCACGGGGTGGAGGCTCTCTGCCTTTCTCAGAATCGGACTTCTTGAGAGTCCACTCCCAGACTATTAACCGCCTAGGAACTGCGGTCCCCACCCCCCAACTCCAACCCCGGCCGAGAACAGTGGGGAGTCGTCCCCATCACTCCTACACGAGACTACAAAACCCGGAGAGCCGTGCGCGGCAGACAAGGCCGACTGCCAGGTTTTCTCAAGGGTCCACTTGGGGGATGTAGTCCGACGGTCGGGCTGCGCCCCTAGCTTAGAACGGCAACGAAGGCAGTGAGTGACTACAATGCCCACAGTGCTCCACGAAGCGGGGAGCCGGAGAGGTGAGCGCGGCGGCTTCCGGGGACGGTAGTCACACGACAGCCGCAGTTAATGAAAGGCAACGGCAGAGTGGAGCGTGGGAGACTACAAGTCCCATGGTGCATCGCAGGGAGGCGGTAGCCCAAGCCTTGCAGGCCCCAGCGGAATGACCAGGGCGATGGAAGGAAGTCGTGCTCGTTGCGGGCGTGGGGAATGGGCTTACCGGCGTGTCGAAGGAGAAGGCGCACTCGTCTTTGTGGACCCGGTCTCCAGCCTTAGGGACCCGGATCGTCGGTAATACTGACAGCAGCGCCTCCTCACTCAGCTCCGCCATGACACCGGCAGCAGCTTCTCCACACACGGCGGCTCCCACCGTTCCCAGTCCCCTCCCCTGCCCCTCCCGTCCAATGAGCGCCACTCGTTAGGGGCATGCGCCGCGGAGACGACGCGCGAGAATGGCAGTTGGACGGAGCCTGCCTGCCGGTGCTCCGCCCCTGCCCCGCGCTTGACTGACGCCAATGAGAAGCGCTCCTAAGGCAATTGATGGTTGAAAGAACCAATCCCACTCCTCCAGGGCGGGAGCGCACGTAGAGCAGCTAGGTGGGCTTCGGGGTTGCAGCTGCTGCGGCTCCGCAGCTGCTCCGGCTCCGGGACCCTTAGAGTCCATTCGCGTGCCTTCTATTGAAGAGCAGGAACTGACGGTTGTTTTAGGCCTCTCAATTCCAGAAAGTTTCCTGGGGACCTGTCCGGTCGGAAAGTCGAGGGACAGTTGTCTTGGTATTTGTAAAGGGGGTATCCAGTGAGGCGGAGCTTGAGGGGGTTGTGTCGAGTGACTGATACAGCTGTCAACCAATAAAGCTACTATCGCTCGCCTCAGGAAAACCATCACAACTCCAGCTGGATGTGCGCATAATAGTGTAATCACTCATGATTCTATTTTGTTTAATAATTCGTTCTTGAGACTAGACGTCTCGAAAGCGAAGACTGGCACTCCTCAGCCTGCCACGGACGGCTCGCAGGCCGATACTGAACAGAAGTACCCTTATCAAGGAGGCGTCACCCCTGGGCAAGCCTAGCATCAGTCCATTGACACCTACAGTCACCATGATAGACGTTCTCCCAGACCAACAGCTTCCTTTGGCTCGAGGCGGGTCTTACGTGGAGGGCCTATGGGAACTACGTCGGCTCAGCCAATAGGGTCAGGGCAGGGGGCGTGGCGGGAAGTTTGAAACTGGTAACTTCGGGAGTTGAGCCACGAGCTGTTGTGCATCCAGAGGTGGAATTGGGGCCCGGTAAGTGATTTGAATAATTTAATAAATAAGTTAGAGGGCTCAGCAGGCCCAGAACGAGCCATTTTGTCAGCTGCAGCAGTCATTAACTCCGCAGAGGCCTCTGGTCCCTCGCCAGGAAGTTTCTTCACTGGAAACTGGGAAGACAGGGTGGTTTAGGGTTGAAGGTCCGACGTGGAAGAGATAAGGGCTGAGACCTGAGTCACTTCTCACAGGCATTCCCTCCTCGTCCCGGGCTGGCCCTTGCCCCCACCCTGCAACTCCTGGTTGAGATGGGCTCAGCCAAGAGCGTCCCAGTCACACCAGCGCGGCCTCCGCCGCACAACAAGCATCTGGCTCGAGTGGCGGACCCCCGTTCACCTAGTGCTGGCATCCTGCGCACTCCCATCCAGGTACTCTGGGCCAGCGTGGGAAAGGCAGAGAATGTCTGAATTCTTGGGTCTCTTCCTAACCTGATTTTGAGAGAGCCGTCATGACCCCACCCTTATCCTAGCCTTATTTTCTGCAATCTCAATCTGTGTGGGGTAGGCTGGATATCTGAGGGCCTTGGCAATTCCTTCCTGGAATATGGGGAGGAGAGGAGAGAAGAGTCAGGGCCCAGACTTGTTCTAGCCTATGGTCTTGACAGGTGGAGAGCTCTCCACAGCCAGGCCTACCAGCAGGGGAGCAACTGGAGGGTCTTAAACATGCCCAGGACTCAGATCCCCGCTCTCCTACTCTTGGTATTGCACGGACACCTATGAAGACCAGCAGTGGAGGTAAGCGTTGGGCCCAGGGAATGCTGATGAAGCTGTCATCTATTATTCTTGGGTAGGGTCCATGAAGCCATTCTCTCAGGGTTCCTTAAAGGGGCCTCTATCCTCCTGCTTCGGACCCATCTCACTCTTATCTCAATATTTTGTTCCCAGCCTGGGTGCGGTGGCTCATGCCTGTAATCCCAGCACGTTGGAAGGCCGGGGTGGTCAGATCGCTTGAGCCCAGGAGTTCAAGACCAGCCTAGGCAACATGGCAAAACCCCATCTCTAGAAAAAATACACACACATAACACACACACACACACACAAAAGCACGGTGGCATGGGCCTGTGATCCCAGCTACTCAGGAGGCTGAAGTGGGAGGATTGCTTGAGCCCACAAGGTCAAGGCTGCAGTGAACTGTGATCACGCCACTGCACTCCAGCCTGGGGGACAGAGCAAGCCCCATCTCAAAAAAAAAAAAAATTGCTCCCTTTCACCTTGATTTCCTTGATTTCTCTCTTCCCACTTGCTCACCCTCCTGGGCATGAGTCCTGGGTTTCTGTATGTTTTGCTCCTTGCTGAATGTTGTGTATCAGAAGGTCACTGTTCACTTCACTTTCTTCCTCTAGACCCCCCAAGCCCACTGGTGAAACAGCTGAGTGAAGTATTTGAAACTGAAGACTCTAAATCAAATCTTCCCCCAGAGCCTGTTCTGCCCCCAGAGGCACCTTTATCTTCTGAATTGGACTTGCCTCTGGGTACCCAGTTATCTGTTGAGGAACAGATGCCACCTTGGAACCAGACTGAGTTCCCCTCCAAACAGGTGTTTTCCAAGGAGGAAGCAAGACAGCCCACAGAAACCCCTGTGGCCAGCCAGAGCTCCGACAAGCCCTCAAGGGACCCTGAGACTCCCAGATCTTCAGGTACAGAATCTAAGGCAAGATGCAGGGAAGATAAACTAGGATAATGTTTTGGGATAAGGTCCATGGGTGAGTGTGGGAGGAATAAACTGTAAGTCCTAGTTTTGGGTCCTTGCTTTAACGCCTTACCCACCCCAGGTTCTATGCGCAATAGATGGAAACCAAACAGCAGCAAGGTACTAGGGAGATCCCCCCTCACCATCCTGCAGGATGACAACTCCCCTGGCACCCTGACACTACGACAGGTAAAGGAAGAGAAAGTGCAAGCTGTTACTAGGATATCCAACGTAGAGGGTGGGAGACCCTTTTACCCAGATCTTCCCTCTTCTGAACAGCAACTCCCCCCAACTCATACACTGCCGTTTTCAGGGTAAGCGGCCTTCACCCCTAAGTGAAAATGTTAGTGAACTAAAGGAAGGAGCCATTCTTGGAACTGGACGACTTCTGAAAACTGGAGGACGAGCATGGGAGCAAGGCCAGGACCATGACAAGGAAAATCAGCACTTTCCCTTGGTGGAGAGCTAGGCCCTGCATGGCCCCAGCAATGCAGTCACCCAGGGCCTGGTGATATCTGTGTCCTCTCACCCCTTCTTTCCCAGGGATACTGAGGAATGGCTTGTTTTCTTAGACTCCTCCTCAGCTACCAAACTGGGACTCACAGCTTTATTGGGCTTTCTTTGTGTCTTGTGTGTTTCTTTTATATTAAAGGAAGTAATTTTAAATGTTACTTTAAAAAGGTATATGTAAACCTTGCACCGAGTTTTCTGTGTGTAGAATGGCGGCCTAGAGAGCTTGCGTTCCCTGGCCTGAGCCCACTGATGCTCTGAGCCTTCTTTGCACATCTCCCTTTAACCATGGTGTCCCTATGGCTCTGTCCTTGGCCCTGCTCTCCCTGGGTGTTTACTTCTAGGGCTTTAGCTATCACTTCCCTATATTCTGGTAACTTTCAGGTCTCTCTCTCTAACCCTGACCTTTATCCAGCTGCTTTATAAGTACTTCAAAGTCAGTTTGTCTAAAACTGAATTTATGATCTTCCCCCAAAAGCTATTCCTCATTCCCTCTTCCCTATCCTTGTGAATGACAGCATTATCTACCCAGCCACCAAACCCAAACCTTGGCCATTATCTCGAATCCTTCCCTCCCAATGTCCTATATCCTAGCATTTGGTCACTAAATCCTGGTGATTCCACATTTTGTTTGTTTGCTTGTTTTTTAGAGGCAGGGTCTTGCTCTTGTCACCCAGGCTGGAGTGCAGTGGCACGATCACAGCTCACTGCAGCCTCAACTTCCTGAGCTCAAGCGATTCTCCTGTCTCAGCCTCTCCAGTAGCTGGGATTATAGGCATGAGCCACCACGCCTGGCTAATTTTTGTATTTTTTTTATAGAGATGAGGTCTTGCCATATTGCCCAGGCTGGTTTCAAACTCCTAGGCTCAAGTGATCTGCCTGCCTCAGCCTCCTGAAGTGCTGGGATTACAGGCATGAGCCACCATGCCCAGCCTGCCCAGGTAATTTTTAATTTTTTTTGTAGATACAGGGTCTTACTATGTTGCTCAGGCTTGTCTCAAACTCCAGACCTCAAGAGATCCTTCTGCCTCAGCCTTCCAAGGCTCTGCGATTACAGGCATGAGCCACTGTTCCAGCTGATTCCACATCTTTAATCTCTTCCTAATCCCTCTCCCTAACCCCTCTGTCCTGTCGCTCTTGCATTTCTTGCCACCTGCCTCCTACCTTGTTTCCCCAGTGCCAGTCCCTCCCTTTCATCAACCTACACTGCTTCTTTCTGAAAGATCTGGAGCAATCTTTCTGAGAAGCATAACTGATCATGTTACTACTCTGCTCAGAACTCCTCAATGGCTTCTCATTGCCCTTAGGAAAAAGTCTGGACTCTCTGGCTTGACATTCAAGACCTTTTATAATCTGATTCCTTCTCAAGCTAACCCTCCCGTACAAACACATGGGCACCACAGGCAGGCCATAGCGAACTGCTGCACACAGTCCCCCAGCCACCTGCTGAATACCTTCTCCCCCTGACCCATCTCAGGCCTCCTCCCATAAGCCCACAAGCTATCCAGTACCCAGCCTTTATCACAGCACCTGTAACACATTACTGCCCTTAAATGGGACCTGGGTCTTTTTGGAACAGAAGAGAGTAGAAGGCAAACATCACAGATGTACCAGGGTGCTACACTTTATTGCAGGTGTCTTAGGAGAGAAAAAAAGGTAGAAAAAGGAGAAAGCATGAATAAGAAGAGGGCCAGGACCCTAGTGGTGCCAGAGCCATAGTCACAGGGCCAAACGCCCTATACCACCCAGGCCTGGACAAAGGTAGTGGCTCTGGGGGAGGAATCCTAGGGCCTGGGGCCTCAGACTCAAGTCTGCTGGGCCTGCAAAGGGCTGGGGAGGGGCAGGTTGTCCTTGCTCATTAAGGGAGAGGCTGTGAGGACTGTGGGGAGGGAAGGCCATGGGAGGAGATGGGGCAGTTCTTTGCCCCTGTGTCCCTGATGCTGCCTCCCAAAGGCACAGTCCCATGCTCCCCACTGCCCTCAAAGGAGAAAGCTTAGTGGGAATGGCACCCGGAATATAGAAGAGAACACCTGAATGAGATGGGGTCGGGCAGGGGGCTGCTGAGTGTGTTCACTGCCTTCCACTTCCCTTTCTCCAGCCTCCTCAGTTCCAGATTTTGAGGAAGCTGTCCCAGGAACCTGTGGCCACAGCCATCCCGTCAGCTGTGACTCCCAGGCAGCTCACCCTGTTATCGTGGCCAGAGAGGATGCCTGAGGAAGAGGGAAAGGAGTCAGCCTGTCTCTCCAAGCTGATTTGGAAAGCAGTGTGTGCATGCGTGTAAGTGTATGTGTGGGTGTGTGGGTGTGTGTGTGTATGTGGGTGTGTGGGGGGATATGTGTGCATGTGTATGCATGTGTGGGTGTGTGTACGTGTGTGTGTGCATGTGTGCTTGAGCACATGCATGCAGGGATCCTAGACTCGGTAGACTGGGCTCAACCCCTGAAGAAGGCTAAGAGACTGAAAGAGGATTAGCTGTAGGGCAGGGGGTTCTCTGTCAAGAGCTTTGGTTGGGGGAGGGCTGGGATCAGACAGAGAAAGGCTGGAAGCATCTGTGTACTATGAAAAAACCCGAGGGCACCTTGACAGGTGCTGGAAAAGAGAAGGCAACCGTTCATCCTATTTCTTTGCTTCCAGATGAAGAAACTGAGGCCCATGGAGGAGTGACTTGTGCAAGGACACTCAGAAAGTGAGCAACAGAATTAGGATTTGGATTCTGCCCCTGGCCAGTGTTATTTTCATCAGCACCTGGCCTCTTGATAGAGAAGAAGCCATCCTATCTGACCAACTTCAGGCTAGTCTTAGATGAGCCCTAGGCTGCAGTCAGGGCCCTCGGGCCACTCCAGATCTCCTTGATTCTGCCTTGATTCCATGTTTCCCTGAGGCTGTCTTGCCTCTCAGTGGGTGCCCCTGAAATGCCAGGAACCCAGAACTGACTGGACAGTCATGGTCCACAGATCTCCTAGGGCAGGGAGCAGTCATGGCATTGGGCAGTGGAGAGAGGCTGCTTAGAGCAACACTGAGGGAAAACAGTCCTAGTTGGGAACCAAGGGGTACTGGATTCCAGGGGTGGAGTCACCCAGTGACAAGGGACAGCAGTAAGAGAGTCCGAAATGGGAGCTGATGGGGGGTACAGAATGGGGAGGGAGGGCTGGGGAGGGTCCTTCCAGCTGAGGAAGCAGCAGCCAGGGCTGGCCCTTACCCACACGCTCAGACTTCATGGAGTCCCAGACATTGCAGTTGAAGTCGTCGTAGCCAGCGAATAGTAGGCGGCCACTGAGGGAGAAGGCCACGGACGTGATGCCGCAGATGATGCTCTCGTGGGAGAAGCAGATCAGCTCCTGGTCTGCCCGCAGGTCAAACAAGCGGCAGGAAGCGTCATCCGAGCCCGTGCAGATGGCCTCTCCATTGGGGAAGAACTGAGGGCACGGGTGGCAAGTGGGTCAGGGATCAGACCTGGGCAGCCCACAGCCTCTCCCGCCCTCTGCCTCCCACCTGACAGCTCCAGGGCAAGCCGCTGCTCTCAGCCTCCCTGCCTGTCCCTCCCTTGGTTTGGGGTGAGAAGCAGCCCTGCCAACACATACCACGTGCCAGTGACTTCCCTATGCCCCTCGCCCGCTCTGCACTATACAGCGCTGCAGGCAGGCATCATTTCCACGTCGCAGGCAAGAGCACCAAGGCTTGCCTGCAGTGACCCGGCTAGAAGGGCGGACGGAGGTTGTCCCAGACTCCCAGACTACACAAGTGGGCTGGATCAGGGTGTGTAAGAACAGGGTCCAGTACAAATGCAAGGCCTGGATCTCACGGCGAGCAAATGTCAGATAAGCTCAAACGGAGGGAGAGTCTACAGAAAACTGGTTTGTACTCTTCAAAAACGTCAATGACATAAAAGACAAAGGTGGGAAAACAGTTCCAGTTTAAAGGTGGTGACGAAAAAGATATGGCGAGGAAAGGTAATGCACGTTTCTGGATTGGATCCTGGACAGAAAAAAACATGAGCTATTATGGACATTTTTGAGGCTATTGGTGAAATTTGAATATAGACTGTAGACTGTAGTATTGTGTCAATGTTGAGTTTCCTGATCTTAAGAATCATACAGTGATTATGCTACAGAAGGGCTTTGTTTCGGGAAGTACTTAAGGGGTAAAGAAACATGATGTCTGCAACCTACTTTCAAAAGACACAGAAAGAAAATGTATATCTACATCTAAGTGTGTATGTGTGTGTGTATCTATGGCTATTTCTCTACAGAGAAAAAATGATAAAGCAAACGTGATAAAATGGGCTAGGCGTGGTGGCTCATGCCTGTAATCCCAATATTTTGGGAGACTGAGGCAGGAGGATCGCTTGAGCTCAGAAGTTCCAGCTCAGCCTGGGCAACATAGTGGGAACCCATCTCTACACAAAAATCAAAACATTAGCCAAGCGTGGTCACACGCATCTGTAGTCCCAGCTACTCAGGAGGCTGTGGTGGGAGGATTGGTTGAACCCTGGAGGTTGAGACTGCGGTGAGCTATGATAGCACCACTGCATCCAGACTGGGCAACAGTGTGAGACTCTGTCTCCAAAAAAAGGAAAGAAAGAAAGGGCTAGGGAAGACTGGGCACAGTGGCTCACATCTGTAATCCCAGCACTGCACTCTGGGAAGCTGAGGTGGGAGGATCACCTCAGGTCAAGAGTTCAAGACCAGCCTGGCCAACATGGCAAAACCCCATCTCTACTAAAAATACAAAAATTAGCCGGGCATGGTGGCGCACACCTGTAATCCCAGCTACTCAGGAGGCTGAAGCAGGAGAATTGCTCCAACCCAGGAGGCAGAGGTTGCAGTGAGCCAAGATTGCACCACTGCACTCCAGCCTGGGCGACAAAGTGAGACTCTGTCTCAAAAAAAAAAAAAAAAAAAAAAAAAATACAGTAAGAAAGGGCTAGGGAAGCTATGGGAGGGGCAGAGGATGTGTATTGTATGTGTTGTGGGGAGTGTCGGGGAAGGAGTTGGAGTGAAGCTGGGGTGGGGGGTGCACTCACACAGATGGCGTTGATGTCCGACTCGTGGCCAGTGAAAGTCTGACGGCAGGTCCCCTCTCGCACATCCCAGAGCTTGGCACTGGCATCACAGGCCCCCGAAATGAAGAGATTGAAGTCAGGAGACACAGCCAGGCTCATGCAGTCACCCGTGTGTCCCACAAATACAGTCTTCTGCTGCCCAGTCTCAATGTCCCACAAGGCACTGCCAAAATGGAGGGAGACTGTTAGAGAAAGGCCGGGCCCACTCCCAAGCCCCAGCACCAGCAATGTTCAGCCTCACCACGTGGTGTCCCCCGAGCTGGTCACAATATTGTTGTCATCCAGGAAGCGGCAGCAGGAGAGATAACCTGGAGGCGGTTAGAAGGACAGTGCCCTGGCTGCAGAGCCACAGCCCACTGGAAGCCCAGGGTTCCCTGAACCCCTCAGGAGGGGAGGAGAGGGTCTCTCCCTCACCTGTGTGAGCAGAAAGCTCCCGGCTGACCTTGACATTGCCCTCACGGGATTTGAGGTTGTAGATGGAACACATGTTGTCCAGCCCCCCACATGCCACAAAGTTCCCTGATGGGGCATAGGCACAGGTCATGACCCAGGAGGAGCGCAGTGGGATGGCGTGCACCTGCAGGGAGGGTGGTTTGAGCAGAGATGGGACCGGAGCCAAGCTCCCAGCTGGGCACAGGAGGGTAGGCATGGCGCCCTTAGGAAGGATGCAGTGGTGGAGGCTCAGGGAGGCAGGGCTGGTACCTTGTTGGTGGTGTAGCTGTCCCACACGATCAGCTTCCCATCTTGCGAGGCACTTACCAGCAGCCTGGGGAGAGGGCATCCCATATCATGCAAGCCTCCCCTTCCCGCCTTCCTCACTCCCGCTCTCACCCTCCCATTCTCGGTTCCCCCCCAAGCCTCACTTAGAATCAGTGGCCCAGTGCATGGCGTAAATCTTGGCCAGGTGTCCCCTTAACGTCCGCCGCGTCCGCATCTGGACTCGTCCCACCACCTCTAGGCCAGACACCAGCTGCAGAGAGAGGGGCACTGAATATCAGGGTGAGCAGGTTACGTGCCCAGATGTCTGTCACTGCCACTGATCTATACAAGTTCCCGCTCTGTGCCAGGCTCTAGGTCAGGCCCCCAGCCTTAGAGAAATAAGTCTCTGCCCTGGAGTGTCTTAGACTGATGTGGGAAAGAGATGCATGCATGGCCAGAGGTGTGTTGCTTGTAAGTGTTTAACAAGCACCTCTCCAGTGTTGGTGAGGAAGGTGGGAAGGTGATTTCCACGATACGAATACTTGCACTTTGACCAGTTTCCAGCTGCCAATGTGAGGTCATTGGAAACAGATTTGGGAAGAGATGCACAGAGCTGGCTCTCCCAAGCCGAGAGGAGCCTGCTTGCACCCACCGCTGCAGCACGGCTAGCTTTTTAACTGGGTGCCTGGGGCATCACCATGACCCTGAACTGTACCTCCTGAAATCTGTGGTACTATGCCCCTTGAGCTCTAACCACATTTTAGACTTAGGCTGGGGGTCCAGAGTGAACAGACTTGATTTGCCATCACTTGCATTGCTATCTTTTTTTAAAAAGTTAAAAGCAATTTTTTTTATATTAAGAAGAGATCTCACTATGTTGCCCAGGCTGGTCTCAAACTCCTGAGCTCAAGTGATCCTTTCACGTCAGTCTCCCAAAGGGCTGGGATTACAGGCGTGAACCACTGCGCCCGGCCTGCTTTGTTATCTTGGGCAAGTTGCTTCACCTCCCTGAGTCTGTTTACTCAAGGTGTAAAATGAGGCTTATCATAGCACCTACCTTACAGAGATATCATGAAAATTCAATGAAATCAGGTATTTATGCAGCTTAGCCCAGTATCTGGCTCATAAAAAGTGTTCACTATTAACATATTTAATCCAATCTAAGATGCATCACTAAGAAAGAAAAGATGCTGTCAATTCTAATTGAAACAATGATCCATTGCTGAATGCACCTTGATTTCAGAGATGTCAAAATGTGAAGAAATGTGCATCTTAGAATTGACAAAATACAGCATAGAAAACTAGCAGCTAGAGTCTACAAGGGCTTTATAATTTACAAAGTACTATCGCTTCTTCATCTTCAAGGCCCTGGGAGGGGGCTGTGGTCACTCTTGTTCTACGGATGAGAATAGGAACCGTGTCCGCATCTTTCGCATCCAATATGGTGCCTGGCTCAGAGCAGGTCCCGCTAAAATGTTGGTCGAATGAATTAATTAATGGGTTTCCTCACTCCAAGGACGTGCTGTACTAATGCTCGGAGCAACGCGCTATTGCGGGTCGGGGAGCTCCCTTCCCCTCCCCCCATGCCCTGCCTTCCGGGGGACAGGGGGTCTTACCTCTGCCAGAGTAACGTCAGCACAGGCTTTCCTGGCATCCTGCAGGGAAAGCAGACATCAGGGGAGCAAGGGCGAGGTGGGGGTGGCAGGTGCATGGGCCTTCAGGGCAGGTTGGTCTTGGGGCTCTGGGGCTTGGGGGTCTCAAATATGCGAACCAAGTTTAGAAAGTCCCTGGTCACTTCTAGTCACTCAAGAGCAAACCCAGCCCCCTCCCCCTGGGCCACGCTCCTCATGTCCCCAGCTGTTTTCTGGGGCCCCAGGGGTAGGGCTCTGGAGTTACTGCAATCTGCTTCTTGAGCTGCTCCGCTTCCTGACGCAGTTGCTCCATCTCCCCCATGGCTGACAGGTCGAGGGGTCACTCTGGCTCCTGCCAGGAACATGGGGTCGGTGTTGAGGAACCCCCCACCAGGCTGTGCTTCTGCCCTTCGTGCCCACACCAGACTCCAAGACACAGGGAAACGACTGGGTGGCTGCACCCTCTCCCCAGCTAGGCCCTCCAAGTTTGAGGTCCTTTGCGTCCAGCCCCAGCCTGCCTGAGCCCTGCCTGCGCCCCAGCCCAGGAGAGCAGAGCCCAGGCCAGCTCCCTCTTACTTGGGCTCTGGCTGGACCTCGGCCGGGTTTCCAGCTCCGGTTCCTGGGAGCCTCCTTACTCCCTCAGCTGCGACGCCCGCGCCCGCCCGTCACCTGCCCAGGCTCTGCTGCCAGAGGAGCTGGCCTGGCCTGGCCTGGCCCCGACCGGCGGGGGGTTGGGGGGGCCTGACAGGGAAGGGTAGAGCCAACCACAACGTCAGGCAAATGAAATCAGCTGGCAGGGGTGGGGGGAAGGGGTGGGGGGAGGGAGGGAGGTGTACGGATTCCAGAGAGACTTGGGCCCAGCCGGGAGGAGGGTTGGGGGCAGGAGTGTGGGGCCATAGAGAGGGGCAGCCCCCACCACAAGCCCTGAGAGAGGAGGGGGTGAAGGGGTGCTTCCCTGGTCAGTCTCTGCAGGCAGAGATAAGAGCATCAGGCCCCACAGGATTAGAGCAAAGCTGTGAGGATTAAGGGTTGGGGTTTGGGAGGGGTGCAAAGGAGCAGACAACTACAGCTCCAGTGGCCCCCCTGGTCCCGGCCCCCATCCATGGTGATGATCTTGGCAGTCAGGGCCACTTAGCAACCAGGCCAGGAGGTGGGATATAAGGGTGATAGATGGCCCCATTGTCAGTACCTCAAACTGTGCTCCTCAGCTCAGGGTGGTGGGGAAGAGGGTTTGGTGAGTATGGGAGGGTACAGGCAGGAGCTGAGATTAGAAAGGACTGATCTGGATAATCCTTCTTCTCGACAAACCCCAACCAGCTGCCTCTGGGTCTGATCCTGTTGGGGGAGAAAGGTACAGGGGACCCACAGAGAAGGATGGACAGGTCTGCCCCTATTGTGGGCGGGCAACGGATTTCAAGTGGAGGGAAGGCCCGCACGCTGCTCCCAGGCTGGGGTCTGGCCCCCTCCTTGCCCTCTCGAGGCTGTGAAAGCAGGGGTCAGAGAGAAAGCAGGCGGCCCTAAGTCTCAGCAAAGCTCAGAGAGGGAAGACAGGGCTTACACTTGGAGGCCTAAGGAGCAGCTGCCAGGGGCTTGGGTCATTTGCATGAGGGGAGCAGGTGGCTGAGATTTCCCTGACAAATCACAGGCTCCAGGCGCCCCGCCTCTGGGAGGCCCAAAGACACCTGTCTCCTCCCAGGCCAGCCAGAGCCACCCCCACCTCCAGCCATCACAGAATCTGTGATACACTTGACTGGCCCCTGGCTGAGAGATCTTCACGACCTTTATTGCACAGACTGGGAGAGAGGAGCAGGGTTATACCTCCCAACCCCACCATCCTCTTCATTTAAAGCATCAGCCTCCTCCCCTGCCATTTCTGTTCAGGGAGGCACAGTGTTCCCCATCTGTCCAGGGCTGCAGGTCCGGCAGCGGGGCCCCGTCCCAGCTCCCCAGGCCTGGTGAGCTCCAGGCTAGCCTGTGCACTGTCCTCTGAGTCCAGGCCCTTGTAGGTCCCCAAGATGGTGGGGGTGCAGGGACAGAGAGCTTGCTGTTCTGCTCCTGATGTCACACAGGGGCTTCCTGTGTGTCCTGGCATCAAGATGGCCTTCCACAAGTCAAGTGGCCACATCCTCAAGGAGCTGGCTCAGCCACTCACAGCTCCTCCCGAACCCGAGGTGCCCTTCCAGTCTTGTCTTGGACCCTCTGGTGCCTGCGGCTAGGGGGCTCTGGGGAAGGGTCTTTGCTGGGCATTTCTTCCTCTTCCTCTTCCTCCTCCTCCTGTGACTCCTGCAGCAGTTCTTTGGCTTCTATCCACTCCTGGGGTTGGGGAGGAGAGTGTGGCCCATTCCCTGCACCCACCTTCCCTGGGTCAGCTCAGCCCCTGACCCTCACCGACTGTGAGCCTTCTCGGGGGCTCCTTGCCCACCCTTCACGCACCAGGAGAACCACATCCCTTCCTACCCCGCTCCTTACCTGCTCCCTGTGCTCAGGTGCCCACGTGTGCCACAGTGCCAGGGCACAGCGCCGTCCCCGAGTCACGGCCCACACCCCATGGGGATTCTCGACACCGGAGCTGAAGGCCACAAGGCGCCCACAGCGAGGACGCACCCGAGCCTGGAGGGATGAGGGCAGGTTCAGCTCCAGGGATTGGCTCTCTCAGAGAACTTGGCCCTCACTCCCTAGAGCAGGATGGGGACAGGGGCACAGAGAGGATCAGCTCTCTCGCTACCACTTCCTACTCCTTAATTCAGGGACTAGCTTGGGGCAAATGAGAAATCAGCTTCAACTTGCAGAGCAAAAATGCAAGAGGAGTTGGGAACCAAAGGAAAAAGGGGTCTCCACGGATGGTCTCCTGTTGGTTCCTGACCCCTGGTACCCTGATTTTTCCCACTCAGCCCTTTGAATCCAGGGCTTGAAGCAATCTGGGGCTGTGCATGCAGTACCAGACTCTATGCAGAAGGGGATACAGATATTGGAACCATTTTCACACCCCACACCCAGATGAACAATCACTGCCCCTCTCCTCCTACCCAATCCTAGCCCCTGGTGTCCGGAAATTTCCCACCTAACATTCATTAATTGCTTATCATTACCAGGCGC
Source organism: Homo sapiens (assembly GCF_000001405.40). Classification (NCBI taxonomy): domain Eukaryota; kingdom Metazoa; phylum Chordata; class Mammalia; order Primates; family Hominidae; genus Homo; species Homo sapiens. The sequence goes on along the minus strand of NC_000012.12, from coordinate 6,838,513 downwards.
TGCCTCATTCTTTTAGGTACATTACCTAAATTACTTCCTACAATGACCCTTTAAAATACGTACTATTATTATCACCCCAGTCTAGGAAACTAAACCTCAGAAAGGTTCAGAATCCGAGCCCCAGTCAAGGCGGCCCTGGTATCTGTGCGCCAGCCACTGTGCTCACCTCGCTGCAAAGAGGAAGGACTATTTCAAGTTCCCCAAATCCCTAGAATAGGGCCATGGAGTCCTGGAGGCACCTGCAAGCTGTGCTTCATTCACCCTTCTTTAGGAGGCGAGACAAATACTGATGGTAGGGTTGATTCGGCCACTTAGAGACCTTGCTACGGAGGAAGCAGCGGGAGGGCTGCGGAGGCGGGGAAGTGAAAGGGTTAAAAGCCCTGGCCATTTCCCTGCATTTGCCTCTGGAGCCTTCTGTTTTGAATCCTGACCCCACAGCTGGGCCCTTTGTCACACCGTCACACCCCCCACTCCACGCACCGTGACAGTGAGGGCGTTGGGCTCCGTGAAGAACAGGTCCCCACCCTGGAAGTCATCGTTGAGGTAGAGGAGTCCGCTGGGGAGGGAAAAAAGCAAGAGGCAGTGAGACCCCAACCCAGGCCCAGGCCGGCAGTGGGATGACCTTTGTCTGCCCACCTGCCTGACCACTAGAGGGGCTGCCCACCTGTAGTCCCGATAGGTGTAGGCTGGGGGCTCCCGCCAGCACTCTCCCGTGTCAGGGTCCAGGACGCAGTTGTCTGCGTGCACTGGGTGACTCAGGTCCATGCGCTGCTCTTGCTCTCCTAGGACACAAAGGGGTCTGGGGGTACCTCTGTGCCCCTGTGCCCATCTGCCACCCTGTGGGCTCAGGCCGTGCACGTCCACCCCGGGGCTCTTGGGGGCAGTGTCCTGGGGGCAGGGCCTGAGGTTGGAGAAGAGCAGTGGGGGGTCCCTGTCGTACCTTCTATGGCGCTGCGGCACACCAGGTGGGTGAAGGACAGATGCAGGGGCCGTTCCGGGGAGAAGTAGGCCTGGGTCAAGGTCCGCACCCGCTCGCTCACCTCCAGAAGCAGCTTAGCACCCTGACTGCCCACTGTCCCAGCCCGGGCCAGCTGCAGGCAGTGAAAGGCAGGGCAGAAAAGGAGGAAGGCAAGGGGAGGGTGGTCTCGGCCCTAGCCCCTGCCCAACTCTGCCGCTCTCCACCCATGGGTTTGGAGTCTGTCAGCATCCAGCTCTGTCCATCAGCCCAAACTGCTCCTTCTCTCTCCATGACAACAACCCCGGCCCCAGCTCTCAGAACATCCCTTTTCTCCACGCTGGGTCCTATCAGGTAGTCTCGGTCCCAAGAAAGCTCCTTCACAAAAGCCCAGGCCCTGGGGCCCGGCTTCCTGCACAGCCTCTCCTCCAGGTCTGGGCATCAGACGGGCCCGGGTGCCTCCTGTGCTCACCTGCGCAGCCTTAAGCACCGTGAGCCCCTCGAAGCGTTCATGGGGGGTGTGAGGGGAGCGGCGACCACGATAGCCAGACCTGGCTCCAGCCCCAGCTGCATCCTAAATAGGAAGGAGTTTACCGTGGAGTCACTCCCCCAGCCCCTCACTGTCTGCAGGGCTGCAAGACCCTCCCTCCGGCCCTCCCGCTCTCCAGAAGAAGCTAGATGCTCCCACAGTTCTGTTGTGGCTCGTCTTCCTGAGCTGCTGCTCTTTCCCAGAGAGTGCCCACCGCCACGGCTGTCCGATTGTCCCTCTCTGGTACGGGCTGGAATCCCGCTTACTAAGGGGACTGTGGAGAGAACTCGGGAGAGCTTCCTACAGCAGTAAGGGGGCCTCTGAGAGGGTAGGGACAGCTGGAAAAGTGGGGCAGAGCTGGGAACTAGGCAGGAAGGGCTTGATCATTAATCCCCGATGAGCCAAGAATAGAGGAGTCCCTCTGGAAACAGGACCCTAAGAGGAAGTTCCACAGTTAGGCCAGACTGGCGGTAGGGAGACAGCATCAGCGGGCTATCCCTCTCTGACCTCTTCCCACCTGACATGCTCTCGGAGAAACTGTGGACTCCGTGGCTCCCCCACTCCTTGATACTGAGTCACAACTACCCAGCCACCTCCGCGACCACTCTCACTACCTGGGGGTCTCCTAATATCTGGATGTCTACACTGGAATTATTCGCTTTTCTGACACCCGTTTTTTGTCTACTTTTTGAATTTGTTTAAGCACCACTATCTAGTTACGCCTGCATACAAATCTCACTTCTGAGAGACACCTAGTCACCCAAGCCGTCTAACCTGGGGTTTTTTTTTTTTTTCATTTTTTGTTTTTGAGACGGGGTCTTGCTCTATCGCCCAGGCTGGAGTGCAGTGGCGCCATCATAGCTCACTGCAATCTCCACCTCCCAGGCTCCAGAGGTCCTCCCACCTCAGCCTCCCAAGTAGGTGGGAACATATAGGCGCATAGGCCCAGCTAATTTTTTGTATTTTTGTAGAGACGGGGTTTTACCACGTTGCTCAGGCTGGCCTGGAACTCCTGGGCTCAAGCCATTCGCCTGCCTCAGCCTCCCAAAGTGCTGGGATTACAGGTGTGAGCCACCTCGCCAGCCAACGGTGGCATTCGTCAATTACTCCCCTTTTCCGGGTCTTTCTCCCACTGCATTCTACAGACTGCCACTAGAGGGCTCTACCACTCCTACAGGTGACTCCAGACCCTGCACCTGATTCCAGGTACTACAGGAATGCAAAAGTCAACCGTCCTAAAATCCTGCAACAGCTGTCTACCATACACAGATAAAGCCCAAACTCCTTGGGAGGCCACAGAAGACACTCACTGTCCCTCGGCCTTCATGTGTGGGCTCTCTCCCTCTTTCCCTATACTGTCTCTTGGTAACATACACCCTGATGATTCTATGTTCTTTTTTAATTAATTAATTAATTAATTAATTATTTAAAAAAATTTATTTTTCGAGGCGGAGTTTTGATCTTGTTGCCCAGGCTGGACTGCAATGGTGCGATCTCGGCTCACTGCGACCTCCGCCTCCTGGGTCCAAGCGATTCTCCTGCCTCAGCCTCCCCAGTAGTTGGGATTACTGGCACCTGCCACAATGCCCACTAATTTTTTTGTATTTTTAGTAAAGACCGGGTTTCACCATGTTGGCCAGGCTGGTCTTGAACTCCTGACCTCAAGTGATCCACCTGCCTTGACCTCCTAAAGTGCTGGGATTACAGGCATGAGCCACCACACCCAGCCAGTGATGATTCTGTGTTCTAAGAGCTTTATCATGTGCTAACTCATTTAATCCTCACAACGACACTATGACAAAAACACTATTATTATCCTCATTTTATAGATGAGCAAATTAGGCTCAGAGATGTTAAAATAAATTGCCCAAGATCACACAGGTAATGACTATGGAGCTGGCCCTGCTCTCACCCCTGTGCTTGACTGCAGTTCCCAGAATGCACCATGCTCTTCTCCCTCTTAGACTGATTCCACCCCCAATCGCCTGACTAACTCATCCTTAAGACTGAGCTCAAATACCACCTCTCCAGCAAGCCTTCTATAACTGCATTTCAGTGCTTCTATTTGACATACTTTTTTTTTTTTTTTTTGAGATGGAGTTTCGCTCTTGTTGCCCACGCTGGAGTGCAATGGCACGAGATCAGCTCACCACAACCTCCGCCTCCCGGGTTCAGGCGCTTCTCCTGCCTCAGCCTCCCGAGTACCTGGGATTACAGGCATGTGCCACCACGCCTGGCTAACTTTTTTGTATTTTTATTAGAGACAGGGTTTCTCCATGTTGGTCAGGCTGGTCTCGAACTCCCAGCCTCAGGTGATCCACCCACCTCGGCCTCCCAAATTGCTGGGATTACAGGCATGAGCCACCATACCCAGCCCAAAAACATACTTCTTTTACCAAACTTACCACCTGCTTATATTATGTATTTCCTTGTCTGTTTCCACCTCTACACTTGAGCTCCCAAAGGGCAGAGTCTATAATCATCTTCCTCTCCCTAGAACCTAGCAGTTTCTAGTGTATAGCAGCTACTCAGTGAGTATATTACTGAATGAGCACTAACCTAAGATAAGGGTTGAAGCTTCATAAAATGGTAGCCTCAACCTGGTGAGTATGAGTCATTCAACCTAAACTAGGAGGGAAAGAAAGGCCTGCGTGTCTGCTGAGCCATCAGCCAAGCCAGTAACTAAACTCTTGGCTAACCAAGCAATCCTTACCTGCACACTCATCCATTTTTATGCCTTCATGTTTTTTGTTTTGTTCTTCCTATCAATTTCTAGCAAAATTCATTTGTAAAGAACATCCACCTATGTCAGCTAAATTAAGACGAGACGGAACTTATCCACAGCTGAGAGGCAGTGGTAAGCACAGTCCCGGTTGGATAATCAGGACAGGCAGAATGAAGGGGGCAGGCCAAGAGCAAGGGAACAGGTGATTGTATCCAAGAGTCTTGAACGAGCTGATGAGCTTGCAGGTCTTCCTACCTTAGCCAGCTGCAGCAGCACCCCACACTCGGCTGGGGTGAGCAGCCCATCCAACACCGCCCGCTCCGACCCATTCAGCTGCCTGGAATCCTGGGTCAAGGTCACACCCTCCAGGAGAAGGACATCTGCCAGGGAAAAGACAGAGCAGAGGGGGCTGAGCATCCCCTAAGGGCAGGCAGAGCAGTAGCTGGCAGCCCCCAGACCCTCCAGGCTCCTGCCTTCTCCCTCCCAGGAACTCACCCTTCCAGTAGGTCAAGGGCTTTGGCTTCACGGGCTCATGGTCCCAAGGCCTCTTCTCTTGATCCTCTCTCAGGGGTGAGAGATGCGCTCAGTGGGTGCCCAGGACAGTCCAGACCCAGCCTCCCAGCTCGGGCCAAGCCCCTCCCACCATGGGGCATATCCTACCTGAGCTTTTCTCTAAGTGCCTCAGGGATGAGAGCTGCAGGGGTCCAGGGGTCCTGCGACAGTCCAGAAAAGCATCATCACCCACCAAGGTCAGCCCCTGGAATCCCTGACATTAGAGCTGAAATATCTCATTAAGTTTCTTCTGTTTCCAGAGAGGAAGACGGAGGTAGGAAAAGCCCGGGACTCAATGTCAGGAGCCCTGGGCAGTGGATCAAACTGTAACAACAAGTACAACTATAACTCATATAGCACTTACTATCTGCTAGGGGCTATTCTAAGAGCTTTATTCATGGAAATGGAATTTATCCTTTAAAGTTCACAACAGTCTCATGAAACAGAATATTAAAGTGCTCATTTTGTAATTGAGAGCCCTGAGACACAGAGAAGTAAAGTAACATGCTCAAGATCACACAGCTACAAATGACAGGGTTAGTTGTTTTTTGTTGTTGTTTTTTGTTTTTTGTTTTTTTGAGACGGAGTCTCACACTGTCGCCCAGGCTGGAGTGCTATGGCGCGATCTCAGCTCACTGCAACCTCCGCCTCCTGGGTTCAAGCGATTCTCCTGCCTCAGCATCCCAGGTAGCTGGGATTATAGGCGCCCGCCACCACGCCCAGCTAATTTTTTGTATTTTTAGTAGAGACAGGGTTTCACTATGTTGGCCAGGCTGGTCTTGAACTCCTGATCTGGTGATCCACCTGCCTCGGCCTCCCAAAGCAGCGTTAGGTTTTAAACTAGCTGCAGGCCGGGTTCCGGTGGCTCACGCCTGTAATCCCAGCATCTTTGGGGGTCCGAGGCGGGTGGATCACCTGAAGTCAGGAGTTCAAGACCAGCCTGGCCAACATGGTGAAACCCCATCTCTACTAAAAATACAAAAATTAGCCAGGCAAGATGGCGGGCACCTGTAATCCCAGCTACTCAGGAGGCTGAGGCAGAAGAATCGCTTGAACCTGGGAGGTGGAGGTTGCAGTGAGCCAAGATCGCACCATTGCCCTCCAGCCTGGGTGACAGAGTGAGACTCTGTCTCCAAAAATAAAAATAAAAATAAAAAAAACTAGCTTCAGAGTTCACACATTTAGCCAGTCGTTCTCAAGCAGGACACTTCTGCCCCCAGGGGTCATTAGGCAAAGTGTGGAAACATTGATTGCCATGACTCAGGGGCTGTCAATGTGCTATTGATCTCTACTGGGTAGAGACCAGGGAAGCTGCTGAACACCCTCCAAGGCATAGGACAGGCCCTGCCCTCTGCCCCAACAAAGAATTATCCAAAATGTCAGATCCAAAATATCAGTAGCGCCAGGAAGACTGAGAACGCCTGCTTGATGCCCTAGTCCTAGCCATAGATAACCTCCGCCCCGCAGTTTCCTCTCATAACTACAAGAAGAGAAATAAAAGCAGCAGTAACAGAGCTTTCTATATTTTGTTATCAAATGATGTGGTTTCAACAGCCCTGTGAAACAGATGTGATTATTCCAACTTACAGGTAAGGAAATTGAGGCAGAGGCAAGTTGAAGTTCAGAGATGTTTGGGGCAGAGGAGGACTGACATTTAGGCCTGCGTGACCCCAAAGCCGCCCTAACTACAGGCACACTGTCTCCGTCCCTGTAAAACTGGGATGGCAGACTCTTCTCCAAGCCTCATGGTGGAAAAATGGAAAACTCTGTTGCAAACCAAAGTGCCATCCCTCCTGGGAGTGCGGAGGGGTGAGATGGGCAGAAGTGGAGTGACTCACAGGATCCTTGAAGCTGGTCCCCAGGTGCTCCATGGCATAGTAGAGCTGCCTCTTCTCCCCCAGGGATCGGAGGATGAAGCGCTGGATGTCCTGAGGGTGAGATGATGAGCAGTGAGGGGTAGCTGGAGGAAGGCAGGGAAGCGCCGGCTCTAGGGCACTGCCTGGGTGCTCCATGCTCCTTGAACCTGGCACCATGCCCCCCGGTTCCTCTGTTCAACGTTCCCCCTCAGCAGCTTCAGAGCATCTGGACTTAAACTGGAAAGGGTGTAGGGGGTGGGAGTGTGTGTGAGTGTGTGGGTGTGTGTATGCATGAGTTTGGGGGCTGGTGGCAGGCAGGAGTGAAGTAAAGGCAAGAGAGACGGGGCTGAGGGCTGGAATCGGAACTCCAGGCTGCCGTGGGGAGCAGGGAGTGGAGACGGAAGTCAGATGCTGGACTTGGAGTCCTTTGGGTGACTAGAGTGCTCGGGTAAGAGGCCAGCGGGGGGTGGGGGTCCAGGTTACTTCTCAGGTCTATTTGTTTGATTTGGGGCTACCTCCCAGGTGAGCGTGGAGAGGGGATTACCTCTCTGGGTCCGAGGCCAGGTCTCGGCTCTCCCAGCTGGGCCTGGTACTGGTTCAGAGCCCTCTTGGCAGCCTCATCCTCCGGGTAGAAGAGCAGGACACTCAGGACATTTTCTATAGCCTGGGACAGATTGCCCACTGGAGAGGGAGCGACAAGGTCAGGGGTTGGGGGATGAATACTTAGAGCACATTGATCCTTGGGGCAGAGGCAGTGCTGGAGAAGGTGGTCTCCAGAGGCCAGACAGCTAACTCCAAGAGCCCCCTTCCCACTGGCAGACAAGTTCAGCTGCCGGTTCTTTCAAACACTGGTGCAAACATACCTTAGCTGGAGAGTTCAAAGAAGAGCAAGAGGGGGGAAAATAAAGGAAGGTGAGAAGCAGCAAGGCAGAAGGAAGCCCATCTCCTGAGCTTGTCACAGGCGCCAAAGGAGGGCAAATTAGAGTCCTTGTGAAGTGATGGTTCCCATGCAGCCCTGACAGTGAAACTACAAATCCAGAGACAGATGGGAGGGATAGAGAGATGGAGCTCAGGATAGCAGCAGAGGCAAATCTTCACTCCCCGTTTCCACCCTTCCCCAACTGACCCTGAGCATGGGCCTCATGTAGCCGCCTCAGCTGGTTGGGAAGGAAGTCTGGGACAGGGAAGCTGCGACCAGGGCGTGTGGCTGTTTCCCCCACACAGCGTTGCCGGCACTGCAGGACCTGAATCCAGTGTCCTGCAGAGGAAACCCATAAGCCATTCAGCTTGTTCATGCCCCTCCCTGGGCACCGACCCACCCCCTCACACACGGGACCCTTACCTGCAATGGCCTCATAGAGGCCCCCCTGGCTCGCAGCCCCATCCTCCTCTTCTTCAGCCCCCTGCTGCTCCTCAGGCCCCTCACAGTCAGCACGGCAGCTCTCCATCTGGGCCAGGCTCCCCTGAAGAGCCTCCTCTAGCCTGGGCAGTGCCAGTCCTGCCTCCTGGCGCCCCAGTAGCTCCAGGCCAGTGTCATAGGCTGCCTGTTGGGGAAGGGAGCAGTCAGTCACCTAAGATCCAGGGGTTGCCAAACTGGGAGGTAGAGAGGAGAGGGGTGTTGGTCTCATTTGGGGCAAGGACTCCATGTCCCTCTTCACCGTGGAGAAGAATAAGGGTGGGCCTCAGAATCATAATGTTAGAACATCAGATTTCAGTGATCATCCAGGAAGGAAACGAAGTCCTAGAGAAGGACTCCCAGCCAGGGTCGCTGAGGATCATTACCCCATCTGTATGCTCAAGCAGCACAACGCACAGTTTAGTGAGGCCTGTGTATCCAGCCAGGAAAAGGCTGGTGGCAAGACAGGGGTGGTGCTGGGATTCTCACCCAGTGTGGGGGCGTCTCCAGGTCCCGGAAGCTCTGGGGCCGAACTCCCGACATTCGTCTGTACTTAGCCATGTCCTCCCGCATCTGCAGGTGCATGGGGTTTGCTACAAAGAAGGTGTGTGCTGCCGCAGCTGCCAGATCCAGCTTCTTCAACTGAGGAGGCGAAGGGAGGAGGGCATCAGAGCCCTGGGACGGGGGGCAGACCTCTGCCCCCTGGCCAGCCTCCCCACCCTACCCCAGACACACACTCTGGGTGCCCCAGAGCCTCATGGAAGACTGGCCAATCAGAACCGCCCACCGCCCGAACTGCAGATCCCCTAGAGGCCAGAACGTTGGGACTCTCAGAAGGCTGGCACCGAGGGAAAGGGGATCTAAAGACGTCGGAGTTGGGTGGGACATGGGTCTCAGGACTTCAGGACCTCAATTTGGGAGACCAGGTGGAAGTGATGGCTTAAGTGAGGTGGGGAAGTGGGGGAGACCTCAGCGACCAGCAAAACCCGCAGGTCTCTAGGACCCTGAGCTGAGGTGAGTACAACCGGCGCCCCGCTTCCCCAGCCACGTAGGCAACTGCTGCGGTACCGGCGGCTGCGGCGTGCTGTCCCCTCCCCGCCCGCAGAGGTCTGGCCTCGGAGGACCCCAACCTTGCCTCCGTCTGCTCCTTCCTTTCCGAAGCTACCTCCTGCCCCAAGCGAAGGTTCACACTCACCACCACCCCCGACACACACACACACCCACGCACACTTCCCGTCCGAGAGCCGGTTTCGCCCCCACCGCCTCCGCTTCATTCCTAGGAAGAGGCGGCCCTGTCCCTCCATCTTCGATCTGCTCCCGTCCCACCTCACGACCTCCCCGCCCCATTCCCATTCTGCTCGCACTCCCCCTCGGCTGCTCCTCTGCGATCTCAAGAGGTCCTCGCGGTCGCTTAGCCAGCTCCTACGCAGAGGCCCGCGGTACGCTCCCCAGCCCCGTGCGGGGCCCGGGCAACAGCATTCCGCCTACTCCTGGGCAACGCAAAGTAGGACAGCGTCGTGGTGAGGGCTGGGACCCTCGGAGCTGCCCGGCCCGCTCCCCACCTGGTAATAGGCCCTCTGCAGGTAGTTGTAGGGCTCCCGACGGCGGAAGGCGTCCCGGAGCGCGCTCCCCACGCGAAGCCGCGCCGCGCCCCCGGGGCCCAGCCTCCGTGCTGCGCACTGGGTCAGGCAGTCTGCGCGGCGGAGCGCTGCACGGAGAAGCTGTCGCTCCCAGGACCCCTGCGTGGGTCCCGGCCCGGAGTCGGGCTCCGGGGCCCCGAGAAGCACGGCGGGGAGCGCGGCGCCCGGATCGGCCGCGCAGCTCGCCCCGCAATCCAGCCGCACCCGGCCCAGCGCCGCCTGGCTCCGCAGCGCCTCCCGCAGCAGCGCCACGGCCGGCGCCCAAGCCCCGGCCGCGTAGGCGCGCAGCCCGTCAGCGTAGAGCAAGTCGGGGGCCTGCGGGGGCGCCCCCGGGGACAGCTGGGTCAGGCCGGGGGGCTCAGGGGACCCCGGGGGAGGCAGCAGCAGCAGTAGCAGCAGCGGCCGGAGGAGCCGGAGCATGATGTCGGAGCCGCCGGCAGCCGAGGGGAAATGCGGGAGCCGAGAGGGAGGGAGAGGAAAGGGGGGAAGGGGAGGGAGGGGGAGGAAGGAGAGATGGAGAGGCGGAGGGAGAGGGAGAAATAATGAGGGAGGCCGAGAGAGAGAGAGAGAGAGAAGATGGGGCTGAGACCCGATGGTGGGAGAGGCCCATGTGAAAAGATGGAGAGAGAAGAGTGCTGAGTGGACAAAGCTGGTCTAGTGTGGAATAAGAGGGAGAAACTGGGAGGAGGAGGGCAAAAGGCGGGAACTGGAGCAGGCCTGGGCATCCATGAAGGATGACTTCAGCCCCAGCGGTGACTTCAGCCCCTGAGGTCTGGGGGTAACTACTGGGGCTGTGTTCCCTCCACACACACGCTTCTGGGTCCAGAAAAAGGAGTGTGGACGCCGATCCCCCCCTCGCCCCCCCCCACCCCCCCACACTCATCCACCCCTGCACTCCCACCCCCCCACACTCATCCACCCCTGCACTCCCACCCCCCCCACACACTCATCCACCCCTGCACTCCCCCACACACACACTCATCCACCCCTGCACTCCCACCCCCGCCCACACACACACTCATCCACCCCTGCACTCCTTTGGAGAAAGAGCTTTAAAATGCAGCAAGGAGGAGGTGTCCAGGCCCGGGACACTGCATCAGCCCCAAAACCTTTCCTGCCCATAAAGTGAGCCCCTGCATGGATTTGAGGTTAGAAGGAGAGTTGGGCACTGGGGCTGGAGCCACGCTCTAAAACCACCTCAACAAATCTGAACAGAGATCCTTCATACCCCAACCAACGAAGATGTGTGTCCTCAAGCCCCGCCCCCAGCAGGATATGCTCCTCCCAGCCTTCCCTGTGCGAGGCTGCCTGGTGGAGCATGTGATCATTTCTCCATGTGTCCTTCTGTGCCTCTGTCTGCTGCCCCTGCTCTGTCGTGTCCCCTGTGAGCCACTCCACCCTCCAAGCCCCTTTCCACCGCAGTACACTGGACACTGAGGTTTCCATGGCAACACTTCAGACTTTAATACATATTGCTAGGGGTGATGGAAGCTGAGTAGGGCATCTGGTCACTTGGATGGGAGAGAGCAGGGCCTTCTGAGCCCCAAATCTAGCGCCCGTCTCCCCAGAGTCTGGAGGCAGCTGCCCTACTCTCGGCCAGAATGAGGTGTTACTCACTCAGGCTTTCTCCTCTGAGTTCAGCAGGCCTGCTTGGGCTCACAGGGTCAGCTGGGGAAAGATGGGGTTGCCTGGGCCCCAGGATCCTCCCCAAGCCCTTGCACTTTCTTCACCCCCCGTCAGGGAGCAGCGTCTCCCTGCGCTTAGTCCCAAAGGAAGTCCAACGGCTCTGCTCTCAGGGGACCCAAGGGAGAGTCGGCGGGGTGAGAGGCCCAGTGGCCGGGGCCGACGAGGAGAGTGCCCTGGTGAGGCAGTCGGAGAAGGCAGAGGTGTCTCATCGATGAAGGTGGTGATCTCCTCCCGGAAGAAGCCAGGACCCCGTGGGGGTCCCCCACCTGACCCCAGAACCCCACTCTCCAAGAATTGGCGAAGGCTGGCCAGCCCCCCACCTTCAGCCTCTTCCTCGTCCTCCTCGTCCTCCAACCTGTGTCTTTGTCCCAGGTACTCAGGAGGACCCCCGAGGGCCCGGCTCTGGGCTGGGAGGACCCGGATGTCATCAGAGGATGACCACTTGTGCAGGAAGGAGCCTGGTTCCCGAGGGGTAGAGAAGATGTTTGTCTCATCATGGGACAGACGCCGGGATAGGGGGACCTGGGAAGAGGAGCGGGTAAGACCTGAAGGTGCTGCAGGGACAGAGGCAGAGGCAGGAACCAAGTGGGGACTCCGGAAGATGGTGCCACCTTCTTAACCTTCAAAACGTTTGCTCCGGTGGGCAAACCTGGCCCCACGAGGTCTGAAGGGATGCCTCTCTTGCTATAGCTTTCTTTCACCCAGCTCTATGGTGCCCTGAAAGCCAGGGCTAGGGAAGAGGGGATTGGGGTGCCTAACAGACACTGGAGAAAAGTGATGAGCGGCACCAAGGGTAGGAGATGTATCCCCCAGTTCCATACCTGTAAGTAGTGGACTCTCTCAAGAGGAGGGAAGAGCATGTGCCTTCCAGGCAGCAGCTTCACCTGGGCGGGGTCCCGGCTCCCTGGTCCTGTGGCTCCGTTAGCATCAAAGCGAACTTTGCAAACTCGGCCCTCTGCATAGTCGTCACAGCCCCCATCTAGGAGAGAAAATGGGCAGAGTGGTTACAGGTAGGGAATGCCTACCGCGGCCTCCCACCACTGCCTTTATAAGCTCCCAGAGACCCCTTTAGTTCCCATTAGCATGTATGTTCCAAGAGGACAGTGAGAGTGGCTAGCATTTGCTGCGTTCAGTGCTAAATCCTGAGTGGAGTGCTTCATACATATAGATGAAGTTATTGAAACAATTGCCTGCACTCCCCCAAGAGCCGTCCCTATAGCTGGGGGGCCTCTCTCGGGAAGCTCAGGTTCCCCATAGTGCCAGAGCTGGGCAGTGTGGGTTTCTGGAGGGGAGCCTAGGCCCAGTGAAGGGAGCCCTGAGTGCTGCGGGAAGCAGTGAGTGGACAGCAGGGTGCCTGCTTAGGGAAAGGGGAGCCCAGGGTGGTGCAGATTCTGTCCAGTAGGGGGCACTCCAGGGCAGCCCATCCTCTGGCTGAGAAGGAGCGGCAGAAAAGGGAATAGACAGATGTCCAGGAAAGCCAAAGCCCAGCCCCTCCTCTGACCGTCATCTCCATCCTCCTCAGACATGATGGCCACGCATTGCTCCCACACTGTGCGCACGTCGGCGCGGTAGCGCTCGCAGGACCAGATGAAGGAGGGCAGCAGCAGCGTCTGTGCCATGGAGCACCACAGCACAGCCAGCACCATCCAGGGGGGCGCCGAGTCCGACTTGAGGGAGAAGAAGCTCACCACCTGGGGAAGGGTGGGAGCGGGCTGGGTCAGGGCCAGAGCTGAGGAGCCCACCTGAACCCCATATCCTAGTGCAGCTGGTGGGCAAGACGTCAGAAGTAATGCCTGATCCCTGTGCTCCAACAGAGGCGAAGCCGGAGGTGGAGATGGAGTGAACAGAGGGAAGGGACTGACTCAGAGGAAGGTCGGGGAGAGTGCTGGAGACAAAGCCCTGCGGTCAGGAGGGAGAGGAACAGAGGTGGACCAGGAACCGTAGAGACAGACAGGAACCCAGGAACAGTGACTAGATGGGGTGGTGGGGTGAGCCCTGTGGGATTTCCAGCCAAGAGTGCTCAGAGACCATGTGGCAGCCCGAGGGAAGGAGGGAATGGAGAGTGGAGCCCAGCGGCTGGATGAGAGGTCTGCGGCTGAACCGTGGAGCTGCAGGATGGATGACGGAGCTGGAGGACAGGTCGTGGAACTGAAGGACGGTGATGGAGCTGAGGAGTGGGAACTGAAGCAGATGCTGGAGCTGGGGTAAACAGGGTAGTGGGAACTAAAAGACAGATGATCAAGATGGGGGCCACAAATGGAGTGGGGGATGGACAGAGGAGAGGAAGATGGATGATGGAACTGGAGGAGAGATGACGGAGCTGCTGTATGGCTGATGAAGTTGGAGGTCAGGTGATGATGCTGGGGCCTGGATATTGGGGAGAACAGGTGGGGAGGACCCCGATCTCACCAAGATGGGCACCCCTGTGAGTGAGTCATAGAGAAAGACGATGGCGCTGACCAAGTTGGTGACCTGCAGGGATGTCTTGGCAGACTCCGAGCCATCCAGCGAGGACCGCCGCTTCCCTCGGGCATCCTCCACCACAATGGCTGGTACCTCAAAAGCTGGCCGGGTACCCAAGGCCCCTGGCCCACCCGCTTTGGTCCCCCCACCACCCCCCACTCTCCGGGCCTGCCGAGCCCTCCGGGGCCGGGCCCACAGTGTCTGGTAGAAGGTGATGGCCACACAGACCAGACCCATGACAATTCCCCCAAGTAGCAAGAGGCTGAAGCAAACGCCAAAGCCGAGGCCGATCTTGGAGACTATGAACTGGCAGCCGCGGGCATAGTAGCGCTCGCCGTTGTTGTGCCAGCCAATGGAGGGCAGTGTGGAGAGGATGAAGCTGACCATCCAGATGCCCATGACGGCATGCAGTGCCTGCTTCTTGGCGTTGCTGAGGCGGTAGTTGACGGGCCAGCGCACCATCCACATGCGATGGTAGGAGAGGGAGGCGACCGTGAAGCAGGTGGCCAGCGCCAGGGTGTAGTAGGTGGACACGAAGACCTTGCAGATACTCTCGTTCCAGTCATAGTCGGAGGAAGCCTGACGACGCAGCTGCACCACGGCAAAGGTGGTGAGGGGCACAGCTGCCATGAGTATGTGTGTGCCCGCTAGGAAGCAGAGCAGCAGCTCCAGTGGCTTGTGCTTCTGCTGCTTGGCCGAGATGCTGAGGATGATCCAGGCATTGGCCAGCAGCGCCAGGAGCCCACAGGCCAGCCAGGACAATGCGTTGGAGCGCAGGGAGGCCTCCTCTGCCCCCGCCCCGCCCCGAGCCATCCTATCCTCAGCCCCCCACCCCCTTGAGCTCTGTGGGGGTGGGGGCTAGGTCTCACCCAGGAGCCCCACTCACAAACACTCCCATGATCCCCACAATCCTCGCCCTGTCAGCAGGCAGGCTGCCCCCAGGCTCACCCCAGTGCTCAGCATTGCATGATGGACCCAGCTGAGGGCAGATGTAGAGGGCAGGGGAGGAGACTGAGGGTCAGCAGAGGCAATCCTCAGCTTTCATACTGGGCGGGGCCTTCCTTAAGCATCCCTGCAATTGATGGGGCAGGCAAGCTGGCTACTTTCCCAACTATGAGGCTGGCTGGGGGGTTCTGGTCCCCATGCTGGGACTTCCAGGTCTCTTTTGCCTCTGGTTCTTGACCAGTCAGGAATCTTCTGGATGCCCCAGGGATTTGGGGGTGGGGCTCAGCCCCCTGGACAGGCTGCAAGGGAAAGATGAGATGTGGGAGGGAGAGGGCAAAGGTAGGGCCTGGGCTGGTCTCCAATCAGCCTCCTGTGCCCCCTTTCTTGAAACTATAGGCATGACTGATTACTAAGGCCCTGAGGGTCATTCAGAACATTCCTTTGCCTTAACTCTGACAGCTAAACACCCCACACAGATGAGAGCCGCACTCTTCCAGACCTCTAGGGAAGAAGGTATTCCCACCTCCCTGTCTCCTTTAGCCCTTCCTCCTCCCGCTGGAACTCCCAGGTTCCTTCTTAGAACATCCCCTGCTCAGCACTACTCCACCCCTATCTTCAAGTCCCTAAATGTCTCTTCAGAACTACTGATGGGAGACACAAGACTGGTTTCCTCTTGAGGGTTCACAGTGAACTGGGATATGGCATCACAGCCTTCCTCCCCTACCTGCCGGTCTCCTGGATGCAGGGGTCTTGGTGCTTAGCCCCTACTTCCCCAAACCTGGGTGATCACCCTCCAGCTACCCATATCTGGGAAAATGGGAGAAAGGAGTCTGGGACCGAAGGGGGTGCTAGGGAACCTGAAGGCGGGGAAACCGCTGACATCAGAAGCATCCAGAAATGGAAAGAGGGGGAACTAGGGAGAAGGAGGAGAGTTTGAGCAGAAGAGAAAGAGGGGGCAAAGTGGTAGTATCTGAAAATAGCAGGAAAAGCTCAAACCCCCTGGAGAGGAGGCTTTGGAGGGAGGAGGGACTGGAGGAGGGAGGGAGGGAGGGAGCAGGGAATAGGAGGCTGAGAAGAAAAGCCAAATGTTCAATAAGGTGCTGACTCCCCGTGGGGAGACCTTGACTCTTCCTCCCTGGCCCAGAGCCTCAGTTTCCCTCTCATGGGAGGAAGGATGGTCCCAGTTTTAGTGCGTGATGCTGAGCTTCAGTGAGCCCTGGGAAGGGGGGTAAGGGAATCGGGTGAAACCCTGAACAGAGTGGGGCTGTAAGGAAGCACATAATGGCTTTAGGGTAAGTGGGGTAAAAATGGGGCACAGCAGTGAAAGGGTCTGTTTCCCATGGAAGCAGCTCAGACCCTTGCTTTCCCCAAGAGGTCCTGGTCCACCCCCACCCTTGGCTTCCCTCCGGAGCCCAGTACACCCTAGTTGCCATGGCAATGGCCAGCCAGAGGGAGGTGGAGGGACTTGGCCAAGAGCAGCCCCCAGTGTCCTCTCCTACAGCCCTGGACCCCTTCCCACCCACCTCCACCCAGGCCCAGCTGGTGGGCTCAGGATGAAAGAGATAGGGAGTCAGAGAGGGAAGGAGGCAGGAAAGATGTGAAGGACAGAGAGAGGGAGGTGAAGGACAGGGAGAGATCAGAGGAAGGTGGGAAGGGGGATCTGGGAGGTTCCCTGGCCGACGGGGTCCCTCGCCCTTTGGGGTGAAGGGGTAAGGTCAGGCGGCTCCTCCCTCCTGTCCCCCTCCAGGTTCTCCAGGGCAGAAACAGCAGGTGGCTGGGGAGGAGGGGCCGGCCTAGGGGAGAGGAGGCAGCTTGAGGGGGAAAGGGAGGCAACACAGGGGACGGGGCAGGCAGGGGTCGTCTTACCTCTCTCCGGCTGCGCCCAGCACTGCCATGGAGACCGCACTCCCGACGCGGCTCTCTCGGGCTCCCGCTGCCTGCCGGCTCCAGCTCGCCCGCCCTCCTCCCTCCTTCCCTCTCTCCCTCCCTCCCTTCCCCCGGGCCTCCCTCCTCCCCCTCAGTCCCGGCCTCCCAGGCTCAGCCCACGGCTCACTCGGTCTCTGCCCCTCTCACTCTCCAGGACCCTCTCTCCCGGGGTCGTCCTGCCAGTGAGCCCAGGCCAGAGGGAAGGCAGGACAGCTTTGTGGGGGGCGGGGGGGGGCGGGAAACGAGTGCAGGGTGGGGAACTGGACGGTGGTGACTCGGGGAGGAGGGGCAAGGAAGGCGCTGAGAGGGAGGGCGGTGAGGAGGATGGCTGGGAACCGGCTTCATTGGTGAAATGGTTCATGTCCTGCCCCCACCCCTTCCCGTTTTCAACACGAACACAAGCTCCAAGAGGCAGCTGGTGTTGTTGGGGACTGAGGAGCTAGCTGTTCGGGGAGGAGGAAGCGTGTGTCACTGTGTGTATCTGTGTGAGGGCTGGGCCTTGGGTTTGGGAGTGAGGGGGCTTGTGGTGCACACTGGGGCTGCTTGTGGAGTTGGGGGTGGTTGTGCACAAGCTAAAAGGATGTGGGCGCATGCATGCACACAGACACACACACTCTGCCTCCTCCTCCTGGAACACAAACACATATGTTGGGGATACAATTTGCACACACATGTTACAGTTTCTCATAGTCCTTTTTCTCTGCCACACACATACACCAGGAGAGCTCACACAACCCTGAGTCTCTCCCCCACGGTATATCACACACATGTAATTACAGAGTCTCAGCCTCACACACACACAGGCCCACACAGAGCCCTGTGGGTTGTGGAGGTGGGTAGCCAGCCTCCACAGAATTTTTCCCTCTCCAGGGAAACTTCATCTCCTTCCTGGGGCACGCCCAGCAACCTCTCCTCTGGGTCCGACCCCAAAGACCAGAAGATTCCTGGTCCCCAGAGAAGGGGTCTCTCTCTCTCTCTCTCTCTCACACACACACACACACACACACACACACACACACACACACGAAGAGCATCTTTATAGTAAGTTTATTGTATTTTTATTTCAGCTCAGGGGAGCAGGGGTGGAGAGTGGGCACAAATGCAAAGTAAGCAAATGGGGAGCCCCAGCAGCAATAGGGGGGTCTTCCTGGAAGAGGCAGGCTTTAAAGACAGGAGGAGAAGGAAATAGGGAAAAGGAGTTGGGACTGAGGGAAGTGGTGAGGAAGGGTAGGAAGAGAGGGGATCCTGAGAGAAGTGGATCAAGAAGATTTGTAACCCTGATTTCCCTGTGTCCTGAATGGTCTGGAGGAGGGTAAGGGAGGGTGTGGGGCAGGCGCAGAGCCTGGCACAATCACCTTTGAGGTCCCTTAGAGGGTTCCCTCTCAGGCTAGCTACCCCCTCTCCCAGCAAAGCTCGCTTCCAGGAGGTTCTGCACAGGGTCAGTGACTGGTCACTGGGCATTCTCTCCTGCAGTGCCTGTGCTCCCAGCTTGCGCTCTGATTAGAAGAGCCAAAGGCTTTGTCCTCTGGTAACAGATTCTGCCACCAGCGGGGGATGAAGGAGGGATTTTAGACAGGGAGGCCTTCATCCCTGCTCGTAAATTCTCTGAGATGGACCCTTCCCATGGGTGCTGTGCTTCTGTGAACCCAAAAGTACACATTGAGTACCCACCACTAGCCACTGGTGAGAGCCGTGTGGCATTTGTCCCTGCATTCAAGAGGCAGCAGTGGAACTTGGGACAAGGGACCTGGGTTAGTCCCGACTCCAGCACTTGCTAGTCCGGCACTTGGTAATCAATCATCTAGCCTCTCTGAGCTCTGGTTCTGGTCTATAAACTGGAGATGATCATCTTAGTTCTGTCACTGCCAGCCTTGTAGGATTTTTCTAAGTCTCAAATAGACAGAGGATGTGAGACATCCCTTGAGGCCGTGTACATGGGGCTGTGTCCAGAGGGGCTGTTTGTGCAAGGTCAGGATGTGAGTCTGTGGTCCCACCCACATAGGGTGAGAAGCGGGCAGCATGGGGCAGGAGGTACTGGCTGCCAGAAACCTCTGGATCTGCATCCATCCTTGACTGGCTTGGCTGTGTGATTTTGTGCAAGTTCCTGCCCTCTGTGGTCCCAGGGTCCTGTCTTGTAAAAGAACAGTCCCATGCTCCATGCTTCCAGACACCCAGCCTCACCCTCCATGCCAGCCAGGGCTGGCCCTGAACACTCCCCTGGGATCCAAATGAGCAGTGGGGAGAGGGTCAGAGAGAAATAATGAGAGAAGGGCTAGGCTTGAAGGAAAAGGAAATGGCGTGGAGGACGGTGTGATTAAGCCTCTGGAAACTAGAGAGCAACACTCAACCAGTGAAGCCGGGGCCTAACCCAGGAGAAACAATGGCAAATTGTAGAGGAGGCGAACAGGAGGCCAGAGGCTGGGGATCTGCTACATTCATCTGGTCCGCAGGCAGGAAACGCGGGGCAGACACCTGGGGAGGCTGCAAGTGGGATCTGCCTGGCCTCGTGCCTCAAATGGGGCTACATGTCTTCTGAAACCGGCTGCAGGAACAAAGAAGAAGGGGAGCAGGTCTGTCCCCACTGCAACCCCTTTGCGTTCTAGCACCTCCAATGGCCTTTCCAGCGCAGCACAGCTCCAGTGGCTTTCCAGCAGGGCCTTTCCTGGCCTGCTGCTCCTTCAGCTCCATCCTCCCACTTCTGCCTCCTTCTAGCTCCTGGCCATCTTTTCCCACCCCTCTATCCTCTCCACCACACCCCTTTAGCCCCCATCTCCTCACCTCCACCCCTCCCAGCTCTTCCTCCTCAACTCCTTCCTCCTCTCCATCCTCCCTTCCTGCCCCCCTTTGCTCCCCTTCCTCCCCCTCCTCTCTAACTCCCTCCCCCTCCCCCTTTCCCCTCTCTCAACCCCTCCTCCCAGATCCTTACTGAGGACACTGGCAGGTCTTCTTCTCACTGAGGAGTCTCTTGATCTGAGACATCCGCTCTGCTTGGCGCTGTCCAGGGACAAGAAAGGGAGTCACGAGGGTCCCAGGCCTCCAGAAGGGAGGTGCCCCTTGGTGGGGGGAGTGGGGGAAGCTGCGACAGGAGAAGCAGTTACATGGCCCAGGCCATCTATCCTGGAATTAACTCTCTGCTCCTTCCTGTCTCTCCCTTGAGTGGGATCTGGGACAGGGCAGCAAGGGAACTTACGAGTGGGCAGAGGGAGCTGGGCCAAAATCAGTTCCCATATACAGGATCTCCTGGTAGAGGACTCAGGGGTTTGAGGGCCTTGTGGGGACCAGGTGTGGGGTTACTCACCCTTCGGTGCCGGCACCTGACACAGAAGAAGATGCCTAGCCCAATGAAAAGCAGGAGGCCGGCGACGCCCCCCAGCACAATCAGGGCCATTGGCTGCACCGGGGTGGACCATGTGGGCAGAACTGCAAGGGAGAGAAATGTGCTCAATGCACCGCCCTCCTCCACGGGCCAGGGGACTGAGGACTGCCCTGCAATCCCTCCTGGCCAGTCTCTGGTTTGACCCTGGGGTTGGGGGAGAGGGGAGGGGTGCCTGGGGGCTCTCAAAGGCCGCCAGTGCTGGGGAATCGGTTTTATGTTTGGGCATATCCATATCCAGGGCACTCTGGAGAGAGAGAAGCTGTGGTCTGGCTCCTGGGCTGTGTGTGTGAGTGCATGTGTGTGTGCATGTGTGAGTGTGTGCATGTGTGTGCGTGTGTGAATGGTGTGAATGTGTGTGTGTGCGCGCGTGTGCGCGTGTGAGTCCATGTGTGAATGTGTGTGCGTGTGTGCATGTGTGTGAATGTGTGCCTGTGTGCGTGTATGAATGTGTGTGCGTGACTGCATGCATGTGCGCGCGCGTGTGTGCACATGTGTGAATAATGCGTGTGCGGATGTGAGTGTATAAGTGTGTGAGTGTACGTGTACGACAGTGTGTGGGTGAGAGTATGTGCGTGAATGTGTAAGTGTGTGTGTGCATGCATGTGTGAGTACATGTGTGTGTATGAGTGTGTGACAGTGTGTGAGTGCATGGGTGTGAGTACATGGGGTGAGAGTGTGGGTGTGAGTGTGGATGTGTGTGTAGTGTGTGTATGAGTGTGTGCGAGTGTGTGAGTGATGTGTGTGCGTGTGTGAGAGTGTATGGGAGTGTGTGCATGTGTGTGAGAGTGTATGTGTGTGAGTGTGTGTGTAAGTGCGTCTGGATTTGGAGAAAAGCCAGGAGCCAGGGAGGGGGGCTCTCGGTCAGGTGGACCCCATCCCTAGGCTGTAGACCTGAGGGAGTGGGAACTTGTAGAATTACAACTGGCAGCCTAGAGCCCAGGACCACAACCCACCTCACTTCATCACTTCTATGCCTCCTTTTGGGGCCTCCAAAGCACCCTGGGACCACAGAGGACACCATACCCATAACCCCCCAACTCAGGCATTGGGAGGCCGGGACTCTGGGTGGTCTCTGCCAACCACAGGAAGGTCCCGCAGCCCAGGAGGCAGAGGCCTTGGAACCTGGGTCCTTACCCTTGATGTTGGATTCCAGCAGGACCTGTCCCGAGTCACTCAGCAGACACTGCCACATCCCCGCCTCAGGGTTCAGCACCCACACCGCCTTCTCCCGCTTCGAGACCTTTGCCTCCTTGTTCTCCAGTTTCAAACTCAGCATCAGCTTAGGGGAGGTGGGTCCCCACACCTCACAGGTCAAATTTTTCTGGAGCTGAGTGGCTGCAGAGGAACGAGAGGCTGAGATCAAAGGCCTGAGATTCAGTAGAACAATTAAAATGATACTCTATATGGGTGACCTTCTTTTAGCCTTTTAGAGCAGGTTTTCATGCAGTCCTACGAGGAAAAACAGCGTTTGGGGTCCAGTGGTATTGGATTTGAATCCCAGCTCCACTGCTTAGCAGCTGTGTGTCTCTGGGCAAGTGACTTAACAACCTGCACCCAGATAGTACTAAAGGCAGGCATACATGTAAAGTGTTTGGATGGGGCCCGACACGTGCTGAGCATCAAGTGTTAGCCATTACTATTTGCAGAGTCGTTATGATGATAAGGAGATAAGGAAGCCAGAAACTCAATTTGGAGCTTGACATTATCATCATTACTATCACACAGAGAGCAGATTTCATTATCCTTATTAGACAGGTCAGGAAGCAGGCCTGCAGTGGGAGGGGGCTTAGCCAGGGTCACAGAGGGTTGGTTATAGGAAGAACTGGAACCCTGGTTCTTAGCCCAAGTGCTTTGGGGATCTTCAGTGAAGCCAGCCCCAGGCTGGCTCATGGATGTCTCAGTTCAAAACCAGCCCCAAACCCAGAGGGCCCTCCCTCACTTCATCCAGGTGACCAGGGCCTAGGCATCCCCTCTTGGGGCCTGGCTTGCCTCAGAGGGAGCCCTGGGCCAGGCCCCTCCAACTCCTTCCCCTGCCCACCCCTCCCTGGCCTGGCCCCTCACCTCTCATCACCACCAGGTTCACTTCCTGATGCAACTTTCCTGTTTTCGCTTCAAGGGCCAGGGTGAGGTTTCCAGAGCCAGCATACTGAGGCAAGGCCTGGGGCAGGGTGAGGTGGAGCGGGAGCTTCTTGCCCATCTGGAGCTTAGGGTCCTGGGTAACCCGTTTTACAGACACTTCCTTGTTCTTCAGGTCAAAGGTGATCCAAGACTTGGAGGAGGAAGCCCTCTCCGCCTGCCACCACAGCTCGCCACTGCCCGTCAGCTTTTCAACTGTAAAGGCGAGTGGGAAGGAGAACTCCACCTGTTCCCCCTCTTTCTTATAGACTATGCTGGAGGCCTTCTGGAAAGCTGGAGGTGGGAAGGGAGAGACCCTGGGTGAGGAGATAGGAAGATGAGGGTGCACGAGTGGGGTTGGCATGTGGAGGCAGCAGGGAGATGGAAGGGGACCCGACGAGTCCAGACACCCACCTTGTCACTTCAGATACTTCAGTTCCTTCCTACCTCTCCAGCCTTCTCTCCCTTCTTCCACCCAGCATTTTCCTACAGCAGGCCACCTCCCTCCTCCCGGAAGCCATCACAGAGCAGCCCAGCCACAGGGGATCCTTGCTGTCCTTAGGATTCCTGGACCACAGAAGCCATTTGGCCTCCACTCCTTAGAGGCGTATTCATCACCCTTCACAAAATAACAGCGAACACTTAACTAGGGCTTACTCTGTGCCAGGCACCATTTTCAGTGCCTTACGTATATCAGTCCTCAACTTAATACGAGGTAGTCACTATGGCAGTTAACATCATCCCCATTTCACAGAGGCTGAAACCAAGGTGCAGAGAGGTTTAGTAACTCACCCAAGGTCACATGGTTGTGGCAGAACCAGGATTTCAATCAGCGTACATGCACTAAACTGGCACACTACCTTATGTCTACCTTAAGTCACATAAGCACCCAGGGGACAGGATCTGGGGTAGGACCTTGGTCTCCCCACAGTGGCCTGGCTTAGAGGTCCAGAGGTACAACATAGAACATCATCAGGGTTGGCTTACTGGTGTTAGTGTCCCTGAGTAAGTGGATTTGCCAACTTGGTAGGGGTGTGGAGCTGAGGCAACAAAGAAAGTAAGCTCCCTGACATTCCTCCTTTGGGGCCTCCAAAGGAGACTCGGGCCTCTAGCATCCTTACCTTCCCCAGCCTTTCCTTTCTCCATGTCCACCACACTGAGGGGTGGCTGCCAATCAGCCCCCTGAGGATGAGGGCCCCAGTGAGTCCTTCAAGACAGGCCTCAGCTCTAGGGGACCTAGTCTTCTCCACTCCTGACCTCCCAGCACCAGAACCAGAAACAGGGCAGTCAGAGCAGAGGGAGGGGCTGTCAGCCCCTGGGGCAGGGAGGAGACTGCGCGAAGAGGGGCTTCCCTTACCTAGCACCACGATGTCTATTTTGAACTCCACCTTCTTCTGGTTCTGCAAGACAGTGCATGTCCAGGTGCCACTATCCTGGAGCTCCAGCTGAGACACGGAGAGGGTCTTCCCCCCCTGTATGTTTTTACCCCTTGGACTCCTACATTGCACTGAGGGGCTACTACCAGGGGGGCTCTCCAAGGTCAGGGTCAGGCTCTGCCCCTGAAGCAGGTGGGTGTCAGAGTTGGCAGTCACTGTGGAGGGAAAGGCCAGCTGTGTCACACACATACCATCCCCAAGGAGAAGGGCAGACAACAGGAAACCAACAACATCTCTCCATTATCGCCGTCCCAACATCTCCTTCCTCCCAGCACCCAGCTGCGCACCCCCAGCCAAGATAGGGTTTCCCTCTCCCCTCCTCTCTCTCTTCTTTCCTCCTCTCCCCTCATCCTCTCTTCCCCAGTCTCTCTCCCTCCTTCCCTTGCCTCCTTCCCTTTTCTTTCCTTTTCCCAAGGCCTCTTCCCTCCTCCGCCCACCAGCATCCCTCACCTGATCAAGAAGGGTTTTAAGACATTTGGAGGCCAGTTTGACAGCCTGGTCCTCTTGGGGCTGCTGCGGTATCACCAGCTCAGGCTGGATTTGGTGCAGGGGTGGGAGTAGTGGGGAAGGGAACCAGGCAGGAGGTATCCTCATCCCCACCTGCCCCACTCACATCCGAACACTAGCAATTGCACCTCCTCCTTCTGGTCCTCCACTTCACAGATGTAAGTATCTGAGTCTTCTATCTTAAGATTCTTGATGATCAGGGGAAAGTTTCCTTGGTCCCAAAGGCTTCTTCTTGAGTCAGCGCGATCATTCAGCTTGGATGGACCTGGGAGCAGAAGACATATGGGGGGGGACTGAGGCGCCCTGGAGACAGGGCACCTCTGGCAAGAGAATGCCCACGGCTCTTCTGATATCAGTTGCTAATTTCCTGCAACATCTGCTCCTCGTTCTAATCAGAGAAACCCGGTCTGGCAAGGAGGTCTCATCATATCCATTTACCTGGCTGGGACAGTAGCTCACAAATACAAATAAAATCATATCCTTATTTGGAGAGCACCAACTCCTACATGCCAAATACTTTACAGGCATCATCTCAGTAATCTCCACAATAATTCCGAGAAATAGATACTGTCAACACTGTTTTGTTTATTTTGCAGATAGAGAAACTGAGACTCAGAGAGATTAGGTAACTGCCTAAACTCTCACATATTGAGATTAAGTAATTACCCAACTCTCACACATTGTAGGAGAATAAACCAGTACAATTTCTTTGGATGGTGATTTGTAATCTATACAGAATTACAAATGTATATACAAAACCAAATGTCCATCAATAAAGAATAGGTTAAATAGATCATAGCTCACCCATTCAGTGGACTGCTATGCAGCCGTAAGAGAGGAATGAGGAAGTGCTTTGTGTACTAATTTGGACCCGTATCTAAGAAACATCACTAACTGAATAAAGCGAGATGTTAAACAGTCTACTATTTGTTTTTAAAGGTGGAGAAAATATATTCTTTGTATATGAAAAGAATAATTCTCGAATTAAACATAAGAAAATGAGGCCATTAAAAAGAGCTATAATGTCTAAAAAAAAATTAAAAAAGAAAATGAGGCCAGGCATGGTGGAAATCTCTCATCCCAGCTCTTTGAAAGATCGAGGTGGAAAGATTGTTTGTGCCCAGGAGTTCGAGATCAGCCTGGGCAACATGGCGAAACCCCATCTCTAAAAAAAAAAAAAAAAAAATTTTTTTTAATTAGCCGCCTTGGGAGGCTGAGGTGGGAGAATCACTTGAGCCCAGAAGTCAAAGGTTGCAGTGAAACAAATGAGATGGCACCACTGCACTCCAGTCTAGGTGACAGAGTGAGACTCTGTCTCAAAAAAGAAAAAAAATTAACTGAGTGTGGTGGTGCATGCCAGTAGCCCCAGCTATGCCGGAGGCTGAGGTGGGAGGATAACCTGACCCAGGAGGTCGAGGCTGCAGTGAGCTATGATCATGCCACTGCACTCCACCCTGGGCGACAGAATGAGACCCCATTTAAAAGAAAAAAAAACTGGGAGGCTGAGGCACAAGATCGCTTGAGACTGGGAGGCAGAGTTTGCAGTGAGATCGCACCACTGCATTCCAGCCTTGGTGAGAGAGTGAGACTGTCCCAAAACACACACACACACACACACACACACACACACACACAAAAATAACCTTGGTTGCCTCTAGGAAGAGGAAGTGAATACTCATGTGTAGGAAGAAAGCTTTTCACTATATGCCCTTTGCTTTTTTTTTTTTGAGATGGAGTTTCGCTATTGTTGCCCAGGTTGGAGTGCAATGGCATGATCTTGGCTCACCGCAACCTCCGCCTCCCGGGTTCAAGCAATTATCTTGCCTCTGCCTCCCGAGTAGCTGAGATTACAGGCATGCGCAACCAAGCCCGGCTAATTTTGTATTTTCAGTAGAGACAGGGTTTCTCCTTGTTGGTCAGGCTGGTCTCGAATGCCCAACCTCAGGTGATCCGCTCGCCTTGGCCTCCCGAAGTGCTGGGGTTACAGGCGTGAGCCACCACACCCAGCCTGCTTTCTTTTTTTGTTTGTTTGTTTTTATGGAGTCGAGTGTTCGATCTCTGCTCATTGTAACCTCTGCCTCCTGAGTTCAAGGGATTCTCTTGCCTCAGCCTTCGGAGTAGCTGGGATTACAGGTGTACACCACCACATCTGGCTAATTTTTGTATTTTTAGTAGATACAAGTTTTGCCATGTTGCCCAGGCTGATCTCGAACTCCTGACCTCAAGCAACCCGCCCACCTCAGCCTCCCAAATTGCTGGGATTGCAGGTGTGAGCCACTGCACCCAGCCTATATGCCCTTTTCTATCTTTTGAATTTTGACTCCCGTAAGTGGTGGAGCTAGGATTAAAATGCAGCCCGTCAGGAGTCTGGGACCAACCTAGGCAGCCAATCGAGACCCTCGTCTCTAAAAAAAATTATTTTAAAAAAAATTAGCTGGGTGTGGTGGCACATGCCTGTAATCCCAGCTACTTGAGAGGCTGAAGCAGGAGGATCACTTGAGCCCAGGAGTTCAAAGTTACAGTGAGCTATGATTGTAACACTGCACTCCAGCCTGGGCAACAGAGTGAGGCCTCATCTTAAAGAAAAGAAATTTTTGGCCGGGTGCGGTGGCTCACGCCTGAAATCCCAGCACTTTGGGAGGCCAAGGCGGTGGATCACTTGAGGTCAGGAGTTCAAGACCAGCCTGGCCAACATGGTGAAACCCCATCTCTACTAAAAATACCAAAAAAAAAAAGAAAAAAAAAATTAGCCAGAGCATAGTGACGCATGCCTGTAATCCCAGCTACTTGGGAGGCTGAGGGAGGAGAATGGCTTGAACCCGGGAGGTGGAGATTGCAGTGAGCCAAGATCACGCCACTGCACTCCAGCCTGGGTGACAGAGTGAGACTCTGTCTCAAAAAAAAAAAAAAAAAAAGAAAAAGAAAAGAAAAAAGAAAAGAAAAAATGTTTTAAAAAATAAAAATAATTCAGGCTATTTCGCTATGCAATGCTATCTCTGGAAAGTTCTTCTGGCATAAGTATGTGTCTCCTTTGGCCTCTTCTTGTAAAATCTAATAACCATCACCAAGGGAAGTTTTCTCTTTAGCTGTGCATTTTCTGGGTGCAGTGGAAGCTCCAAAATCTCTGTAGAACAGGGCTTTAGAAGCTAAATTTACATAGCAAACAGTTCTGTTTTGTTTTGTTTTTACTTAGAATGTATATTTGGAGGAATGGGGCAAAGGTGGCTAAGACTAAAGCCTCTCACCCTGCTTGGTACTGCCTCTGCCTCCCTGAGATGCCCAGGTCCTCTCCCTCTTTCTGCCTTGGTGTGGGAGCCTGGATACCAGTTCAGTCACTCACTCTCCTTTCTCTCCTCTTCCAGACCACACAGTCCTCTTCCCCACTGCTCAGCTCTTACTGTCCAGGAGCCCCTTCCAGACAACCTCACAGCCTCAGCACACAGTTGCCCCAAGCTTCCTCAGAGCACGGCAGGCACCCAATCCACCCCACACCTTCAGTTTCACACTTTTTAAAAAAACTTCCCTACTCAAGACAACCTGGACCCAACCTCCCCCTTTATTTGTTCCTTCAGTGGTTCCTGCCCTACTTGCTGTTTGCCCTGGATCTACACACTGCTTTAATTCCCCAGCTTACCCTGAAATTCAACTACATTCCTTTCACAGTTCCTTTACCAAACTTCTTAAAAGCGTGGCCTACTCTGGTTCTGCCCCACTTTGCTCCGCCTCTTTTGTTCCTCCCCTCCATTTCTAAGTATGATTCGTTTTTCTTCGTCTTGAACTCTTGCTCTGACATCTACATTTAGGTGTTGTCCCAGACTCTGTCTTTGGTTCTCTTCCCCGTTTCTACAGACATTCTAAATTCCACCTCATCCCCAGTCAGCTCTGCAGATTGTGGCCAAGTTGTTACTGCCAGCCCTGACCTCTCTCCTCAGTTCTAGGCACACATTTCCAATGGTCCAAGAAATAAGTTTATGTTAATATCCTGCCATCACCCCAAACGCAATTGGTTCAAAATGAAATGTATAACCCTCCTCCTAAAATAACTCTGCCTCCTTGCTTCTCTTCAAAAGAAAACCATGGCCTGCTTGTCCATGCTGTCCCATACTTTGAAAAAGCTATGGCAAGATAATATGAAAGGTCTAAGCATATGAGTGAGTCTGGGACAAATTCATGGGACAACTGGTATTGAATGAAGACTTAAAAGAGGTATGGGCCTGTGGCAGGTGCGGTGGCTCACGCCTGTAATCCCAGCACTCTGGGAGGCCGAGGCAGGTGGATCACCTGAGGGCAGGAGTTCAAGACCAGCCTGGCCAACATGGTGAAACCCAGTCTTTACTAAAAATACAAAAATTAGCCAGGAATGGTGGTGCACGCCTGTAATCCCAGTTACTCGGGAGGCTGAGGCAGGAGAATCCCTTGAACCCAGGAGACAAAGGTTGCAGTGAGCCGAGATCGCGCCACTGCACTCCAGCCTGGATGAGAGAGAGAGACTCCATCTCAAAAAAAAAAAAAAAAAGAGGTATAGGCAATGGACTAGAGACGGGGAGCAGCAAGGACATTACAGGAAGGGAGAAAAGCTCCAGAGAGGCAGCACAGGCAAGCTGTGGGGAAACCTCCTGGGTGCAGAGGTTTCCACTGGGAAACTGAGCAGTGGCGCTGAGAGGGTGAACGTCCTGCAGAGGCTTCTAGGCTTAGTCTAATGGGCTAGGATGTGGCATGTGCAAAGCATGGCTTTGGAAGGCAATGCTGCAGCAGGGGGAAGGGAAATCCAAGTAGGCGAGACTAGTAGCAGACCAAATTACCTGGAAGCTCACTGTAATCCAGGTGGGAGGTATGTGAGCCTTGGCTGGTGATGGTGGCATTCCCATGGGAACAAAGAAGAGGAAGAAACTAGAACATTTTTTTTTTTTTGAGACAGGGTCTCACTCTGTCACCTAGGCTGGGGTGCAGTGGCGCAATCACGGCTCACTGCAACATCTACCTCGTGGGCTCAAGAGATCCTGCCACCTCAGCCCCCCAAGTAACTGGGACTACAAGCATGTGCCACCACTCCCGACTAACTTTTGTATTTTTTGTAGAGACGAGGTTTCGCCCTGTTGCCCAGGCTGGTCTCGAAATCCTCAGGTCAAGTCATCCAGCCGCCTCAGCCTCCCAAAGTGCTAGGATTACAATAGGTGGCAGACATCATGCCCGGCCCAAAACACTTTCAAAGCAAGGAAAGGTCATAATTGATGACGATAGGAAACCAGGGATTGAAGCAGAGAAAAAAACATGACTCTGTGTTTCAGAAATTGGGAGAACAAGGAGGGTGATACTGTTATTGTTAGAAATCAGGAAGTTGGGAAGGGGAGCTGTTCTGAAGGAAGATGAGATCCATAGAAACAGAACAAAAGCATCAACACAAAAGACTTAAGAATTTTTGGAAAGTAGTGCATTGTTTTAATCTCATAGGCAGTGAAAGAAATGCAAATTAAAACAATGATATATTTTTCAATTATAAAATTGCCCCCCCCAAAAGTTTTAAATAATACTACTCAGTGCTGACAAGATGTGCTCAAAAAGTTCATATCCTTAATTTCATTTCTGGAACTTTATCCTTAAAACAATAATTTTAAAATGCAAACCATAATTTAGCTACAAAAATAATACTTACAGCATTGTTAATAGGATACAATGTTAGACAAAATGATAATGGCCATATATTAGGGGACAATTAATTTGATGGAATTCTAGGTTAGCACCAAAACCAATATTTACAAATAACTTACAATGAAATAGAAAATACTAATAATATACATTTCTAAGTTGTCTTAAGATAATCTTTACTTACAGAAGTAAGCTCTTGGCTTTTTAAAAAGAAGAAAATTATCTCACAAAGTAGGGAAGGAAAAGAAGAAAAATTTAAAAAAAAAGGTAAACTTCACTTTTTTTTTTTTTTTTTTTTTTTTTTTTTTTTGAGACAGAATCTCACTTTGTCACCCAGGCTGGAGTGCAGTAGTGTGATCTCGGCTCGCTGCAACTTCGCCTCCTGGGTTCAAGTGATTCTCCTGCCTCAGCCTCCCAAGTAGCTGCAACTACAGGCGGGTGCCACCACGCCCAGCTAATTTTTTGTATTTTAGTAGAGACGGGGTTTCACTGTGTTAGCCAGAGTGGCTCAATCTCCTGACCTCGTGATCCACCCGCCTTGGCCTCCCAAAGTGCTGGGATTACAGGCGTGAGCCACTGCGCCTGGCCAATCTTCACTTTTTAGGTTAGTCATTTGAACTACAAAAATTATACGCTTTCCTGGCCCTGCCTGCCTGCTTTTTTTTTTTTTTTTTTTTTTTTGAGAAAGAGCCTCACTCTGTCGCCCAAGCTACAGTGTAGTGGCGTGATCTCGGCTCACTGCAACCTCCACCTCCCGGGTTCAAGCAATTCTCCTGCCTCAGCCTCCCGAGTAGCTGGGACTACAGGCACTTGCCACCACGCCCAGCTAATTTTTGTATTTTTAGTAGAGACCGGTTTTGCCATGTTGGCCAGGCTGGTCTCGAACTCCTGGACTCAAGCCATCCACCCGTCTCAGCCTCCCAAAGAGCTGAGATTACAGATGTGAGCCACCACGCCTAGCATTAAACTAAACTTATTATTTTGAGATAATTGTAGATTCACTTGCAGTTGTAAGAAGTAATACAGAGAAATCCTATGTGCCCTCTATCCAGTTTACTCTGATGGTAATAACTTGCAAAACTGTAGCACTATATCTCAACCAGTATGCTCACATTGACACAATCAGAATACAGAACATTTCCGGCGCCATAAGGTTGTTGCTTTTTGTAGCCATACCCCTTCCCCTCCCCATCCCTGAGCCCCTTAACCCCTGGCAATCACTCATCTGTTCTCCATTTCTATAATTAGTTATTTTAAGAATGTTATATAAATGGATTAATACAGTATATTACCTTTTGAGATTGGCTTTTTTTCACTCAGCATAATTCCCTGGAGATTCATCCAGGTTGTGGTGTGTACTATGATTCATCCTTTTTATTGCTGAAAAGTATTTCGTGGTATGGATGTAATCATTCACCAGTTGAAGGACATCTAGATTGTTTCTAATTGTTGGCTACCATGAATAAAGCTGCTATGAACATTTGTGTGCAGCTTTTTGTGTGGGCATAAGTCTTCATTGCTCTAGGATAAATGCCTAGGGGTGCAATATTGCTGGATTGTTGCATGTTTTTTGTTTGTTTGTTTTTGTTTTTTTGAGACGGAGTCTCCCTCCGTCTCCCAGGTTGGAGTGCAATGGCGCGATCTCGGCTCACTGCAAGCTCCGCCTCCCGGGTTCACACCATTCTCCTGCCTCAGCCTCCCGAGTAGCTGGGACTACAGGCGCCCGCCACCACGCCCGGCTAATTTTTTGTATTTTTAGTAGAGACAGGGTTTCACCGTGTTAGCCAGGATGGTCTCGATCTCCTGACCTCGTGATCCACCCGCCTCGGCCTCCCAAAGTGCTGGGATTACAGGCGTGAGCTACCG
The DNA here is from genome assembly GCF_000001405.40 of Homo sapiens. Classification (NCBI taxonomy): domain Eukaryota; kingdom Metazoa; phylum Chordata; class Mammalia; order Primates; family Hominidae; genus Homo; species Homo sapiens. The sequence goes on along the minus strand of NC_000012.12, from coordinate 6,806,894 downwards.
CGCCCGGCCGCATGTTTTGTTTTATAAGAAACTATCAAACTGTTTTCCAGAGTGGCTTTGCCATTTTAGCCTCCCACCAATATTGGAAGAATGACCCAGTTTCTCCACATCCTCATCAGCATTTGGTGGTGTTCCAATTTTGTATTTAGCCATTCTGATAGGTTTAGTGATAGCCTATTGTGGTTTTAATGTACATATCCCTAATGATTAATGATGTTGAACAACTTTTCATGTGCTTATTTGCCAACTGTATGTCCTTTTCGGCCTGTTTTCTAATTGAATTGTTCATTTTTTTGGTTTTGAGTTTTGAGAGTTGTTTATCATATTCTAGATACCAGTCCTTTGCTAAGTATGTGGATTGTGAATATATTTTCTTATATTCTGTAAACTGTCTTTTCTTATTATTCTTCTTTTTTGATATAGGGTCTCGCTCTGTTGCCCAGGCAACCAGGCAACATCTTGGCTCACTGCAACCTCTGCCTCCCTGGCTCAGTGATTCTCCCACCTCAGCCTCCTGTGTCGTTGGGAATACAGGTGCACCCAGCCTGGGTGACAGAGCAAGACTCTGTCTCAAAAATAAATAAATAAATAAAAATAAATTTTAAATATATGTGTACACACACGTGTGTGTATAGATGTATATTCACAATAAATAGATGTATATACATCTATTCACCTGTATGTGTATATATATGTGTATATACTTGTGTATGTGTGTGTGTGTGTGTGTGTGTGTGTATGTACCTTTTTTTTTTTTTGGTAGAGACGGGGTTTCCTCATGTTGCCCAGGCTGATCTCAAACTTCTGGGCTGAAGTGATCAGCCTGCCTCAGCCTCCCAACGTGCTGGGATTACAGCGGTGAGCCACTGTGCCCAGCCTCTTTTCTTCTTCTTAATAGGGATTTTGCAGAGCAAAATTATTTTGGTTTTGTTTTTGTTTTTGAGACAGGGTCTCCCTTTGTCACTTAGGCTGGAGTGCCAGCTGGAATGCAGTGACACAATCATAGCTCACTGCAGTCGTGAACACCTGGGCTCAAGCGATCTTCCCACCTCAGCCTCCCAAAGTGCTAGGATTACAGGTGTAAGCCACTACACCTGGCCAACTTGTTTATATCTACAAAAAATCTTGCTGGTATTTTTATAGGAATTGGATTAAACTTGTATATTAATTTGGGGAAAATTGATATCTTTCTTATGTTGAGTCTTCCAATCCATCAATCCATGAGTACAGCATGTCTCTCCATATATTTAGATCTTCTTTGACTTCTTTAATCAGCATCGTGTAGTTTTTAGCATACAATTCAATGCTTTCTTTTTTCTTTTTTTTTTTTTCGGGAGACAGACTCTTACTCTGTTGCCCAGGCTGGAGTGCAGTGGAACAGTCTTGGCTCACTGCAACCTCTGCCTCCCGGGTTGAAGCAATTCTCCTGCCTCAGCCTCCAAAGTAGCTGGGATCAGGCATGCGCCACAACACCTGCCTAATTTTTGCATTTTTAGTAGAGACGGGGTTTCACCATGTTGGCCAGGCTGGTCTCAAACTCCCGACTTCAAGTGATCCGCCAGCCTCAACTTCCCAAAGTGCTGGGATTACAGGCATGAGCCACTGCACCTGGCCCTACGCATGTTTTTTAGATTTACACCTAAGTATTTCTTTCTCTCTTTCTTTTTCTTTTCTTTTCTTTTCTTTTCTTTTTTTTTTTTTTTTTTTTTTGAGATAGGGTCTTGCTCTCCTACCGAGGCTGGAAAGCAGTGGTGTGATCATGGCTCACTGCAGCCTTGCCCTCCTAGGGCTCAAGCAATCCTCCCACCTCAGCCTCCCCAGTAGCTGGGACTACAGGCATACACCATAATGCTCAGCTAATTTTTTTTTTTTTTTTTTTGAGACGTAGTCTCACTGTGTCACCCAGGCTGGAGTGCAGTGGCACAATCTCAGCTCACTGCAAGCTCCGCCTCCCAGGTTCACGCCATTCTCCTGCCTCAGCTTCCCGAGTAGCTGGGTCTACAGGCGCCTGCCACCACATCCAGCTAATTTTTTGTGTTTTTAGTAGAGACAGGGTTTCACCGTGTTAGCCAGGATGGTCTCGATCTCCTGACCTCATGATCCGCCCGCCTCAGCCTCCCAAAGTGTTGGGGTTACAGGAGTGAGCCACTGCACCCGGCCATGCTCAGCTAATTTTTTACTTTTTGTAGAGACAAGGTCTCACTATGTTGCCCGGGCTGGTCTTGAACTCCTGGGCTTAAGCAATCTTCCCACCTTGGCCTCCCAAAGTGCAGGAATTACAGGTGTGAGCCACCATGCCTGGCCTTTTTGAGCAATTATAAATGGTATTGTAGTTTTAATTTCTGTGTACACATGTTCCTTGCTAATATATAGAAATACAATAGATTTTTTATGTTTATCTTATATTCTGCAACCTTGATGAATTCATTTATTAATTCTAAGAAGTTTCTTACAGATTCTTTGAGATTTTCTATGTAATCATGTCATCCACAAATAGGAACAGTTTTATTTCTTTCTTTCTGATCAGTTTTCCTTTTATTTCATTTTTCTTGCCTTATTGCACTGGCAAGGGATTGCAGTATTATGTTGAATAAGAGTAGTAAGAGCAGACATCTTTGTCTTATTCCTGCACTTAGGGAGAAAGAATTCAGTTTTTCACCATTAAATATAATGTTAGTTGTAGTAGGGTGGGTCTTTTGCATTGTGTGTGTGTGTGTGTGTGTGTGTGTGTGCTTTTTATTTTATTTATTTATTTATTTATTTATTTATTTATTTATTTATTTTGAGACAGAGTCTTGCTCTGTCGCCTAGGCTGGAGTGTAGTGGCGCGATCTCAGCTCACTGCAACCTCTGCCTCCTGGGTTCAAGTGATTCTCCTGCCTCAGCCTCCCAAGTAGCTGGGACTATAGGTGTGTGCCACCACACCTGGATGACTTTTTGTATTTTTAGTAGAGGCAGGGTTTCACTGTGTTAGCCAGGATGGTCTTGATCTCATGACCTCATGATCTGTCCACCTCGGCCTCCCAAAGTGCTGGGATTACAGGCGTGAGCCACCACTCCTGACCTTTATTTACTTATTTATATTTTATTTATTTATTTATTTATTTTTTGTGATGGAGTCTCACTCTGTCACTCAGGCTGGAGTGCAATGGCACGGTCTCAGCTCACTGCGACCTCCGCCTCCTGGGTTCACGCAATTCTCCTGCCTCAGCCTCCTGGATAGCTGGGATTACAAGTGCCCGCCACCACGCCTGGCTAATTTTTTGGTATTTTTAGTAGAGACGGGGTTTCACCGTGTTAGCCAGGATGATCTTGATCTCCTGACCTCGTGATCCGCCTGCCACAGCCTCCCAAAGTGCTGGGATTACAGGCGTGAGCCACCACGCCCGGCCCCACAAGCAATTCTTATAATAACACCTTTCCATAGATATTATTAAGTGTTCACTGGTCAGGCGTGGTGGCTCACACCTGTAATCCCAGCACTTTGGGAGGCCAAGGTGGGTAGATCACTTGAGGGTAGAAGTTCCAGACCACCCTGGTCAACATGGTGAAACCCCATCTACTAAAAATGCAAAAATTAGCCAGACATGGTGGTGCACACCTGTAATCCCAGCTGCTCAGGAGGCTGAGGCAGGAGAATCACTTGAACCCAGGAGGTGGAGGTTGCAGTTAGCCGAGATCATGCCACTGCACTCCAGCCTAGGCGTCCAAATGAGACTCTGTCTCAAAAAAACAACAAAAAAGAATATTCACAATTTTATTTCTGTCAAGTAGACTTTCCAAAATAGCTATTATTAGGTCCAAGGGTTTTAGAGTTTTGTATTCGTTAAACATTGCCAGATTACTTTAAATAGTTAGTCTAGGCCGAGTGCGGTGGCTCACACCTGTACTCCCAGCACTTTGGGAGGCCAAGCCGGGCTGATCACGAAGTCGAGAGATTGAGACCATCCTGCTAGCATGGTGGAACCCTGTCTCTAATAAAAAAATAAAAAAGTTAGCTGGGCATGGTGGCACGTGTCTGTAGTCCCAGCTACTCGGGAGGCTGAGGCAGAATTGCTTGAACCTGGGAGGCAGAGGTTGCAGCGAGCTGAGATCGCGCCATTGCACTCCAGCCTAGGTGACAGACCGAGACTCCGTCTCAAAAAAAAGAAAAAAAGTCTAATAATTGGTAGTCTCATTATGATATAACTTAAGGAAGGAGTAGGAAAAAAGGTATATACAGTATGATATCATTTACGTAATTATGTATATAATATTCTCCACGCCGAACAACAGTGGAAGAAAATAGGCCACATGCAGTGGCTCATACCTATAATCCCAGCACTTTGGGAGGCCAAAGCGGGAAGATCACTTGAGCCTAGGAATTCAAGACCAGCCTGAGCAACATGGTGAAGTCTCATCTCTACAAAAAGTAAAAAATTAGGTGAACATGGTGGCGTGCACCTGTAGTCCCAGCTACTGGGAAGGCTGAAGTGGGAAGATCACTTGAGGCTGTGATGTGTTGTGGTCATGCCACTGTACTCCAGCCTGGGCAGCAGAGTGAGACCCTGTCTCAAAAAGAAAAAAAAAAAAAAAGATTGGAAGAAAATCAATCAAAATGTTAGCAGAGGATATCTCTGAGTGATAGAAGTATGCATGCATTTGATTTTCTTCCATATTCTTTTCTTCATTGACCAAATATTTTGTAATGAGCATATAATAGTTTTAAAACCAGGAGAAAAGGCCAAGTGCAGTAGCTCATGCCTGTAATCCCAGCACTTTGGGAGGCTAAGGTGGGAGAATCACTTGAGGTCAGGAGTTCAAGACCAGCCTGGCCAATATGATGAAAACCGGTCTCTACTAAAAATACGCAAATTAGCCGGGCATGGTGGCACACGCCTGTAGTCCCAGCTACTCAGGAGGCTGAGGCAGGAGAATTGCTTGAACCTGGGAGGCAGAGCTTGCAGTGAGCCAAGATCATGCCCACTGCACTCCAGCCTGGGCAACAGATCGAGAGTTTGCCTCAAAAAAAAAAAAGTAGAAAAAAATGATTCTGGGCCGGGCACAGTGACTCACGCCTGTAATCCCAGCACTTTGGGAGGCCAAGGAGGGTAAATCACGAGGTCAGGAGATCAAGACCAGCCTGGCTAACACCGTGAAACTCTGTCTCTACTAAAAGTACAAAAAATTAGCCAGGCATGGTGGCATACGCCTGTAGTCCCAGCTACTCGGGAGGCTGAGGCAGGAGAATCACTTGAACCCGGGAGGTGGAGGTTGCAATGAGCCAAGATCACGCCACCGCACTCCAGCCTGGGCGACAGAACGAGACTCTGTCTCAAAAAAATAAATAAATAAACTAATAATAATAATAATAAATNTGCAGCTTTTTTTTTTTTTTTGAGATGAAGTCTTGCTCTGTCACCCAGGCTGGAGTGCAGTGGTGCAATCTCAGCTCACTGCAGCCTTTGCCTCCCAGGTTCAAGCGAGTCTCCTGCCTCAGCCTCCTGAGTAGCTGGAAGTACAGGACTGCACCCCCACACCTGGCTAATTTTTGTATTTTTAGTAGAGACCGGGTTTCACCATGTTGGCCAGACTGGTCTTGAACTCCTGACCNCCGGTGATCTGCCCACCTCAAACTCCCAAAGTTCTGGATTACAGGTGTGAGCCACTACAGCCGGCCTTTTTTTTTTTAATTAAAAAAATTTTTTTTGGCTAGGCATAGTGACACACACCTGTAATTCCAGCACTCTGAGAGGCCAAGGTGAGTGGATCACTTGAGCTCATGAGTTCGAGACCAGCCTGGCCAACATGGTGAAACCCTGTCTCTATAAAAAATACAAAAATTAGCCTGGCATGGTGGTGCATGCCTGTAGTCCCAGCTACTTGGGAGGCTGAGGTGGGATGATGACTTGAGCCTGGGAGGTGGAGATTGCAGTGAGCCGAGATCACACCACTGCACTGGAGCCTGGGTGATAGAACTAGACCTTGTCTCCAAAAAAAATATATATATATTTTTTTTCATAGAGACAGAGTCTCACTATGTTGTTCAGGCTGGTCTTGAACTCCTGGACTCAAGCAATCCTCCGGCCTCAGCCTCCCACAGTGCTAGGATTATACATATGAGTCACTGTGCAAAGTATTATCTACATAGGTCTGTAGCAACAATACTCAAGAAATCACGGGTTTTAAGTGATAGTGATTGTTCTAAAACTCACTAAAATAAGTTCATGAATATTAAATATTAAAATATTGAAATTCACATACCACCTTTCCCTGGGCCACCAGCAGTTGGTGTAGAGAAACTCTGGATAAGAATGCCACTGAGTTTCTGTCAACCCAAGCCCTCTGGGATCCCAGAGTTTAACTAAGACCAGATCTCAGACACCAAAGGCTTTCACTCCATAGTGTGTTTTCCTCCCTGGATGGGGAGCCAGGCAACCCTACCTTTAGTTAAGAAGGAGCCCTGATTTCCCAGAATCTTTATCTGGTTGGAGTTTTTCCAGTGGAATTGTATGCTCTTCTTCTGGGAAGCTGTACAGGTCAGTTCCACTGTATCCCCTTTTTTGCCCAGCACCACTTTCTTTCCCTGAGTGGCTGCTGGGAGGAGCGCTAAGTGGAAAAGAAAGGAGTCAGGTCTCAATGTCGCCGCTGTCCCCCTCTACCCCATCCTCCACCTTTGCCTTTCCTCCCACGTCATCTGCATTGAGACCCCAGGTCTGAGAACTTACCCAGTTGCAGCACCAGAAGCAAGTGCCTAAAAGGGACTCCCCGGTTCATTGTGGCCTTGCCGAGGGAGGCAGGGGCCTGAGCCAGTAGGGACCTGAGCCCACAGAAATGGCAGGGCCTGAGGGAAATGCCAATCATTAGTCAGCAAACATTTACTGGACCTGGAGTATACAGGGGCGATACACAACCTCTCCCTCAGGACCCTTGCAGCCAGCCTAGTGAACTTGAGGCAGGAGAATAGCAGAGGGAATTGGAGGTTGGATTAAGGAAGGAATGAGTAGGAGCAGAAGCAAGAGAAAGAGGCAGGTGAGCAAAAACAGAAGATAAATAAGTGAATAAGGAGCCCCATGGCTGGCTAGATCCAAACCAAACCAGTTAGGAGCAGCTCCTAAGAGATGGGCATATACTAGGCTGGGTGCGGTGGCTCATGCCTGTAATCCCAGTGCTTTGGGAGGCCGAGGTGGGTGGATCACTTGCGGTCAGGAGTTCGAGATCAGCCTGGCCAACATGGTGAAACCCCATCTCTACTAAAAATACAAAAATTAGCCGGGCGTGGTGGCATGCACCTGTAGTCTCAGGTGCTTAGGAAGCTGAGGCAGGAGAATCACTTGAACCAGGGAGGAGGAGGTTGCAGTGAGCCAAGATTGCACCACTGCAAAAAAAGATGCACATGTACTACAGAGAAAAGATATCCTCAAAATGACCCCGTATAGTAATTAGCTACTTAAGGTTCATGCCTACAGAGTGCATATCATGCATGTACTTAAAACTATGGGAAGGAAATGACACGTAAACACACAGAGGCCAAGAAACTAAGCAACCCACCTGTCAACCAAAAGGCACATGCTGGCTAAAGCTTAGGCAGCTTGAGGAAAAAGAGAAAAAAAACACATAGAAAAGGCCATGAAATATAGCAAAGTGATGCTGATACCATTCGCAGGTCATCCTTGATCCATAGTGGATCGTACTGTGCTTAATAAACTTTTGCTGCTTTGCTATTTGTGTGTGTCATGTCCAATTTTTTGTTTGCGGCACCAACAACTTGGGACTTCACAACATCAGCCAGTAACAAAGTAAACTTGCACACCCCTAACTGGATGCTCTGAGATACACACCACGAAATGCTATGCTCAGGCCAGGAGGGGGTTCTTTGCTGGGATGAGTGAGGAGGGGATCAGAAAAGGATGCATGGAGAAGGTGGCAAATTGGCGGGGAGACCATGGAGCCAGGCCAGGACGTGGAAATGCTTGAAGGCCGTGCTGAGATGCTGGGACTGGATCCTGGGCACTAGAGAGCCAGCAGAGGATTTTCTATAGAGAAGAAGATTATTAGATTTGCCACGTGGACCCCTGCAGCTGCTGAGTGAAAGAACTGGAGGAGGCGAGGCACCAAAGGCAGAACTGCAACCATCCTGGTCAGCAAAGGGCCTGAGCCAAGTGGCTGTAGAAATGTGTGGGACAGTTCTAAGGTGACGTTCCCAAGAATTGGGGCCTGATACAGCGTGAGAGGTATGGGGAAAAGAAAGAGAGATCAGATTGTTACTGTGTCTATGTAGAAAAAGGAAGACATAAGAAACTCCATTTTGATCTGTACTAAGAAAAATTGTTCTGCTTTGAGATGCTGTTAATCTGTAACTTTTGTCCCAACCCTGTGCTCACAAAAACATGTCCTGTATTGAATCAAGGTTTAATGGATCTAGGGCTGCGCAAGATGCACTTTTAAAAAGTTCTTGCCTCACACGTGTAATCCCAGCATTTTGGGAGGCCAAGGCGGGCGGATCATGAGGTCAGGAGATCGAGACCATCCTGGTGAACACGGTGAAACCCCATCTCTACTAAAAAAATACAAAAAAATTAGCCGGGCGTGGTGGCGGGCGCCTGTAGTCCCAGCTACTCGGGAGGCTGAGGCAGGAGAATGGCGTGAACCCGGGAGGCAGAGGTGGCAGTGAGCCGAGATCGCGCCACTGCACTCCAGCCTGGGCGACAGAGCAAGACTCTGTCTCAAAAAAAAAAAAAAAGAAAAGTTCTTGCAGGCAGTGTGCTTGGTGAAAGTCATCACCATTCTCCGTTCTCTATTAACCAGAGACACAATACACTGTGGAAGGCCGCAGGAACCCCTGCCCGAGAAAGCCTAGGTATTGTCCAGGTTTCCCCCCACTGAGACAGCCTGAGATATGGCCTCATGGGAAGGGAAAGACCTTACAGCCCCCCAGCCCGACACCCGTAAAGGGTCTGTGCTGAGGAGGATTAGTGAAGGAGGAAGGCCTCTATTCGGTTGAGATAAGAGGAAGGCATCTGTCTCCTGCTCGTCCCTGGGAATGGAATGACCCGGTGTAAAACCGATCATACATTCTATTTTGAGAGAGGAGAAAACTGCCTTATGTCTGGAGGCGAGACATCATGGCGGCAATACTGCTCTGTTACTCTTTACTACACTGAGATGTTTGTGTAAAGTTAAACATAAATCTAGCACATCCAGGCACAGCACCTTTCCTTAAACTTATTTATGACACAGAGTCTTTGCTCATATGTTTTTCTGCTGACCCTCTCCTCACCTTCACCCTATAGCCCCACCACATTCCCCTCGCGGAGATAGTAAAGATAGTGATCAATAAATACTGAGGGAACTCAGAGACCAGCACCGGTGCAGGTCCTCACTTGCTGAGCGCCGGTCCCCTGGGCCCACTTTTATTCCTCTATACTTTCTCTGTGTCTTATTTCTTTTCTCAGTCTCTTGTCTCCACCTTGCGAGAAATACCCACAGGTGTGGAGGGGCAGGCCCCCTTCAGAGAGGTCAGGGGAGAAAGAGCAGAGGGCCATTTCTCTGTCCAATATCAGACCAACCCTACAAGGCCTCTGAGTGGGCCAAGCAGAAGGCGTTGGTCCAGGGTTTGGATGAAGGAGAGTTTCCTGTGCGCTTGGCAGACAGGCGAGACTGGGGGTGGTGGGGGCAGGGCAGAGAGGCTCTGAATGGACCATGGGGAATGGACAGCTGTAGATTAGAGGAGCGATTCCCAAAGTCCTGGATCAGTAGCAGCGGCAACATGACCTGGGAACTTGTTAGAAATGCAGATCCTCGGCCCCACCCCAGACCTGCTGAATCAGAAACTGGGGGTGGGTCTAGTCATCTGGGTTTTCACAAATCTCCAGGTAACTGATCACGCTCAAGTTTGAAAACCATAAGTTAGATGGAGAGGAAAGGGGAGAGGTGTCCCCATTCTGAGGTGTGCAAAGGTGGTAGGGATGTGCGAGGAGGCTTCGGAGGAAAGAGAGGGCTCAGGGAGGTGATGGTGGAAGAAGGTATGGGAAAAGCCTTTGAGGCTTGACTGTAAATCTTTTTATTTTTAGTTTAGATCCACTCTGTCACCCAGGCCAGAGTGCAGTGGTTCAATCATAGGTCATTGCAGCCTGGAACTCCTGGGCTCAAGTGATCCTTTCATGACAACACCCAGCTAATTTGTGCAGGCAGTGATTGCAAATATTGACAGGCAGGTCGAAGAGCTGGAGCTTTGTCCTGGAGGTGAGGGGACCCACTGCTGATTTTTTGGTAAAGATGTGGCATGGTCTGTGTGGAGCTTCGGGAAGCTTGATGTGGTAACTGGGGACCAGATGACATGGGACTGGAGCAGTGATTATAGGAAAGGCACCAAGATAGCACCTCAAAGGAAGGCTGGAGCAGGGCTCAAGTGTCTTTGAATCCAGGCCTAGGATATAAAGTGGGCTCAGAGAGGTGACTGCCTGGGGAAGGTGTCACCATGGACCTGGCCCCTGCTGGTGAGACAAGATCTTGCCTCCAGACTTACTCTGTCTTCCAAGCTTGGTCCTTCTTTCCCCCAGTGGCATCTTTGCCGTTGAAGCTTGGTGACGATCTGCCTACTCTGAAGTCCCACAGCACCCCGTTGACATGCTCCTGGGTGTGTTCCACCTTCTACTTTGTGTATAGTGATTTGGTTTCTCAACTCTCCTCCTCTAGCTTGAGCCCCTTGAGGACAGAGATGACAGTCTAGCCAGCTGTGTGGCCACCACAAGCCTGGCAGCAGCTGAGACATAGAGAGAGGACTTGGTATGGCTTTGGCTAACTTAAGCCAAATTGAATTGTATGGAGGAGCGAAAGTCACTGATTTCTTCTTTCTCTATTCACCATATTAATTCTGTTTCTAAAACGGGTCACTGAAATGTATGCACACATCCAGCCCAGCCTGGATGAAGCCCAGTCGCCCCAATCCAAGCTGTTCATCCCCACGGGGCCCTGCCAGCCACTCTCCATCCTGTCTGTGGCTCTCCACCAAGGGGCTGACAGCCACACATGGCTCATAGGCTCTCTTGCCCTCCAGCACCAGTCGGGGCTGGCCAGTGGGAAGTGCCTTTCAGAGATGAGATGGAAGGGTGGGGGAAAGAAGCTGGGATATTTTTCCTACTCTATCCCTGCCCTGGGCATATTTTCTGTCAATAGCTGTGTGTTCATCCTCACCTGCAGCCCTGCCCCTCCACAGCTTCTGTGGGGTGGCCCCTTATCCAGAGTGCAAGCACTCTCTGGGTTCCAGAAACACCATTTTCACTTCTTCAGGACTCTTCCTGCTGTTAATAGTGTCTGTGCTTCAAATTGATTGATTCCCTTAACCTATGTGAATAACCCCCTTTCTACAATCTCTTGAACCATGGGAGGTGGACTGTGTTTCCTGCTGGGCACTAAGACACAATCTGTGGAGAGGAATGGGGCACTCAGAAGGTGTGGGGGCTTGGTCCTCTTACGGTGGTTTAGGAGAAGATAAGAAAAGTGACTCCATCTTTGTTAGCTGCCTCCAGTTACTCCATCTGCCTGGAAGAGGAGGTAGCCAGGGCTTAATACGTGGTAGGTGCTTGAGATAGACAGGTAGGTAGATAGATGGATGGACAGATAGATAGATAGATAAAATAGATTAGATAGACAGATTAGATAGATTAGATGATAGATTGATAGATTAGGTAAATAGATTAGATAAACATACAGACAGATTAGATAGATGATGAATAAGATAGATAAAATAGATTAGGTTAGACAGAAAGATAGATTAGATAGATAGATAGATAGATAGATAGATAGATAGATAGAGACAGACATTTAGGGACAGACACAGTGGCTCACACCTGTACTCCCAGCACTTTGGGAGGCTTAGGCGGGTAGATCACCTGAGGTCAGGAGTTCAATACAAGCCTGACCAACATGGTGAAACCCTTCTCTACTAAAAATACAAAATTAGCCGGGCACAGTGGTACGGGCCTGTAATCCCAGCTACTCCAAAGATTGAGGCAGGAGAATCGCTTAGAACCCAGGAGGCGGAGGTTCAGCAGTGAGCTGAGATCGCGCCACCGCACTCCAGCCTCGGCGACAGAGCAAGACTCTATCTCAAAAAAAAAAAAAAAACAAAAAAAAAACAGACATACAGACAGATAGATTAGATAAATAGATGATAGATAAGATAAACAGATAAAATAGATGAATTAGATTAGACAGTCAGACAGACAAGATAGATATATAAGGCCGGATGCAGTGGCTCACACCTGTAATTCCAGCACTTTGGGAGGCCAAGGCAAGTGGATCACCTGAGGTCGGGAGTACGAGACCAGCCTGGCCAACATAGTGAAATCCCATCTCTACTAAAAATACAAAAATTAGCTGGGCATGGTGACGCACGTCTGTAATCTCAGCTACTTGGGAGGCTGAGGCAGGAGAATCACTTGAACCCGGGAGGCGGAGGTTGCAGTGAGCCGAAATCACGCCACTGCACTCCAGCCTGGGCAACAGAGCGAGACTCCATCTCAAAAAAAAAAAAGATAGATATATGTCCAGGCACGGTGGCTCACGCCTGTAATCCCAGCACTTTGGGAAACCAAGGTGGGTGGATCACTTTAGGTCAGGAGTTGGAGACCAGCCTGGCCAACATAGTGAAACCCTATCTCTACTGAAAATACAAAAATTAGCCAGGAGTGGTGGTGGGTAGTCCCAGCTACTGAGGAGGCTGAGGTAGGAGAATCGCTTGAACCCGGGAGGCGGAGGTTGCAGTGAGCCGAGATCGTGCCACTGCACTCCAGCCTGGGTGACAGAGTGACTCTGTCTCAAAAAAAAAAAAAGATAGATAGATCAATAGATAAGATAGATACATAAAGATAGATAGACAGATATAGATAGATTAGATAGATAGGTGATAGATAGATAGATAGATAGATAGATAGATAGATATAGATAGATAGAAGCCGGGTGTCGTGTGTGGTGGCTCATACCTATAATCCAGCACCTTGGGAGGCCGAGGCAGGCAGATCACTTGAGGCCAGGAGTTTGAGACCAGCCTGGCCAACATCATGAAACCCCCGTGTCTACTAAAAATACAAAAAAATTAGCTGGGGATGGTGGCGGGCGCCTGTAATCTCAGCTACTTGGGATTACTTGTAGTGCCACTGCACTACAGCCTGGGCGACAGAGTGAGATTTTGTCTCAAAAAAAAAAAAGATAGATAGATAGATAGATAGATAGATAGATAGATAGATAGATAGATAGATAGATGATAGATAGATACAATTTTGTTTAAACCGGGGAAGTAGGAAGAAAAGAGGTCAGGAAGGAGGTTTCTGAAAAAGGAGGAAGGGAGACTAGCCACCAGTGATGGTGAAGTGTTTACAGGTTAGCATGCAGATGGGAGGCATCTAGGGGAAGGCTGCAGTGAGAAGAGTAGAATAGGAGTAGCCTCATACCAAAGAGTGGTTCCCACTGTCCCCCATCCCAGACTGACTGGGTCCTTGGTGAGCAGGGGATGAAAGAGGGGAAGTCTCCATAAACGATATCCCTTCTCTGGGGTCCAAATTCAGCTTACCCTGATAAGATGCCTGGGGAAGACTAGAGGCATTCTTGACCCTTCCCCATATGGTGGCTGTTTTGACTCCCCCAGCTCCATGGTCCTGAGGTATGTGCAGACAGCCACCTCCCTGCCTCCAGCTCCCTGTTCTGCCTCATCTCACCCCAAGGCTCTGCTAAGTGGAGGAGGCTGTGGGTTTCCAGCATGCTTGCTTTGGTGCTTTGGGCTTCCGCTGCCACCCCAGAGATCTGGCCTTTGATTCCCATACTCAGCGTCCCCAGAGGTGTCTTACCCTAGTACGGTAGCATCCTGTATACCAGCACTCCGAGAGAGGCTGGGAGGGCTCTCTGGTCCCTCAAGCCCTGGCACGTCTCTCTCTCTCTTTCTGTCTCTCTCTCTCCCTCCTTGCTTCTCAGCTCACATCTGTGCATTTCTGTATCTATGCTTCCCAGCCCCCAGCTTATGCCCCCAGCCTGCAGCTCCCTGTGTCTGTGTCTGTCTTCCTCTTTGCCTCATATACCAGGCGGCCGTGCTGGCTCTCCCGGGCTCCCCTGGAATGCCCCTTGCCTCTTCTCCTTTTTCAGCTTCCCCTCTCAGGCTGCCACTAAGCTCTAGCTCCTTCCGGTCTGTACACAGTCCTCCTGGCCTTTGGCAGCAATGCAGACCCTGGACAAGCTTTGATCTGTGGGGAGCCTGCCGAGCACGCCTGCAGCCCAGGGTGGATGTGAGGGAGCCGGCTGCAGGGTGGGAGGGACACATGGACAAAGGGAAATGGACAGAGTTCCCCAGAATGCACAGAGCCTCAAGGGAGGAGGGGAGGGAAAGATGTGGGAGAGAGAGACCTGGAGCAGCTTGTTAAAGCAACAGCTATGCACACACAATCCACAATCACACACAAAGCGCAGGGTAGTACAAAAAAAGAGGAAAAGAAGAAATTCTGAGAAGCAAGACAGATGCACAGAGCATAGATCCAAAGTGAGGCAAAGAGAGACTGAGAAAGAGAAGAGACCAAAATGGCAACACACACCACGCACTTTCTCAGAGCCTTGAGGTTCCTGCCGCCCTCACCCCTGGCCCCCAGGGATGGGATGAGGGGCGAGGCTTGGGAGGGTAAGAGGGCCCAGCTCCACCACAGCGAGAGTCTGTGGTCCCACAGGCACTTTTATCTTCTCCCCATAACCCCCAAGCAGCCCACTCAAGCCCAGCCGCGGGATGTGCCCCACCGCGTTCACCCTCTCTACTGCTGACTAGCTTCCTATAAACTTCCTAGAGACTGTGACCCCTCTAAGGAACTCTTGTGGTTGGTGGCTGCAACCTCCGCCATCCTCTTCTTCGCCTCAGACACCCACATCGGGGGAACCGTGCCCACCCTCCTTCCCTCATCCCCTCAAAGGTACAGAACAGAGCTCAAACTCAGAGCCTTGCAAACCCAGACCCCTGCCCACCTACTTCTGATTCCCCACCTTCATCAAAGTTATTTTGAGACAGGGCCTCACTCTCGCCCAGGCTGGAGTGCAGTGGCACAGTCAGGCCTCACTGCAGCCTCCGTCTCCCAGGCTCAAGCAATCCTCCCACCTCAGCTTCCCAAGTAGCTGGAACCACAGGCACACACTACCATGCCCAGCTAACTTTTGTGGGGTTTGTAGAGATGGGGGTTTCACCATGTTGCCCAGGCTGGTCTCAAACTCCCAGGTTCAAGCCATCCTCCTGCCTCGGCCTCTCAAAGGGCTGGGATTACTGGTGTGGGCCACCACGCCCGGCCCATCACAGGTATTTCATTCAACAAACATTTATTGAGTGTCTAAAATGTGCAAGACTGGCCCAGTATGGTGGCTCACGTCTGTAATGCCAGCACTTTGGGAGGCCAAGGCGGGCGGATCATTTGAGGCCAGGAGTTTGAGGCCAGCCTGTCCAACATAGTGAAACCTGGTCTCTACTAAAAATACAAAAAGTAGCCGGGCGTGGTGTTGGGCTCCTGTAATCCCAGCTACTCAAGAGGCTGAGGCAGGAGAATCGCTTGAACCCAGGAGGTGGAGGCTGCAGTGAGTGGAGATCACGTCATTGCACTCCAGCCTGGGCAAGAGAGCGAGACTCCGTCTCAAAAATAATAATAAAAAATAAAACGTGCAAGACAATTGGTCTAGCCAATTGCCCTCAGCACCACCCCGCCATTACGGCCAGGGTCAGAGCCTAGGGCTGCCCCCAAGCTCTGTCTAGCACCAGTGGTGGGAGGAGTTTTTATCTAGATATAGACCTCTCCTATGTAAGTGCTCCCACATTGAAAGAGGGAAATCATCTCCCGAGTGTCTCTAACGCTGTCCTCAGGGGCTCTTTCATCTGACTTTGAGGGCGGCGGCCATTTTGTATCAGCCTACAGCATCTGATACAGCACAAGGAATTATTGGTCAAAATGTGAAGTAGCAGTGACTTCCCCCATCAGGCCCTGCTCTTAGCCTTGCCCCGATAAAAATGTCCACCACAAGAGCAGGGCATTCAGGAAGCACTATCCCACTCAGAGTGAAATCTTTGAATTATTGAGAACAGGGCCTTTCCGTTTTGAGGGATCAGAACGTACCCCAGGAAACCTCTCTCCCAGAAGAAGCCTATGAGGGGAAAGCAGAGGACACTGGGGATAGCACGGCTTCAAGGCCATGAGGTCTCAGGGGCTGGAAAGGTCTGAGGGCGGAAAGGCTGAGATGGCACAGGGCTTCCCTTCAGGAGGGACAGTGAGTCCTCACTCTCCCTCACACCCTGCCAGGCCCAGGAGGGGCTGCACATCCTTCTGTAACTCTCCCGGCCTCATGAGACCCCTACCACCAATTCTTTTCGAATCCGTTTCTTAAATGACATATTTATCTAAAGATATGTATCTGCAACTTTTAGGGCAATTCATACGCAAAAGCTCAGTTTCAACACTTTCTGAGAATTTTAGCTTTCCTATTTCATGAATCATTTTAAAGCTAACTAGAGTAGAAGTGCCTTTAGACATTGTTCAAAAATCTTAAAAGAGCAAAGAAGCAGACAAAAATTTAAAAATACACACAGAAACACAAAAGGTAGTTAAAAGAGACTATTACATAGATCATGCGACTTATGAAATGCTGCAAGTATGATATTTGGTGTCAATTTTTGGAGATTGTCCCGTTAAGGAAAATTGGTTTTGCAAGAATTTTCTCTAGACTAGATTCCACTTCTTTTGCTCTTTTTCTTGTTTTTATGTTTTTCCTCATCATTTCTTTTTTATAGGTTTCCTCCCACCTTATATTTATTTATTCTTTCTAATTTTTTCCCTCCCCTTCTTCACTCTTTTTCTCCTCTTTTCCCCTCTTCCAGTCTTCTCCCCTCAACTGCCCACGACTAGTTGCCTTCCACGCCTTTCCCAGCCTGGGATAGTCTCCAGTCTTCACTCCCTCTCTGATCTTGCTATTTAGGTCACTACTCCTCTAAGGAGCACCCATTGCTCTGGACACTGAGCTGTGCACGCTGGGGCTGCAGAGAGGAGTCTAGCACAGTCTCTGACCTCTGGAAGCTCACAGTTCCAGTGGGAAATCGCTGCTCATGACCAGTTCCAAGAGAAATGCAAGAGAAGGTGGCCAGAGCTGTGGGCAGACAACTGGGCAGAGCACATTCCTGTGCATCTGCCCCACGTTCCCCTCCCTCTCAGCTCCGGGGAAGGAAGCCGAGTCTGACCACCTTACCTCTGGGCTTGCGTCTTTCTTGCCCGCTGCTTCTCAAACAGGCGTATCTGTGTGAGGACTTGGAGCTCTGCAACCAGGAGCCCAGTGGGGAGGGTGCTTTGTTCCTTCTGCAGAGTCGTGCTTAAATGAAGAGAGACAGGAAGCCCGATGGCAAGGCTCCTCCACACCCTAGGCCTGGGCCGGCCCCAAACGTCACCAGCTGGAGCTGGGTTCCCCACCCCCCAGGCTCTCAGGGAACATGTCAAAGTGAAAATGCCAAAGTCAAGGGAAAAAGTTAAGCAGAATCAGGCTTAAATCAGGAGTCAAACTGTCACTGCCACTGTTAAGCGGCAAGAAAAAGATGGCAAGAAAGATTCCATTAGTGGTAGCGCCATGTCTGACCAGGCTGTGGGGAAAGAAGTGGGAGGCAGTTGGGGGCATATGGGAACAGCAGTGGTAAGCCCACAAACAGCTCCTTGCTCTGGGGCCCTGAGGGCATGTGTCCAGTGGGTGCCCCAGGGGTATCTGTGGAGGCTTTATAGGTGGCCCAGTGTGGAAGAGAGGGCGTGGGCTGAGCAGAGAATATCTGAGACACCAGGAGTGACTGTTAACCAGGCTCTGTTCCTCTAGGCGTCTCTGGCCAGGCCTCAGGTGCTTTCCTCTAGCCCGAATCTACCATGAACTCTCTATGTGAGTATCCGTCTGCCCATTGGACATCTCCACTGGGAAGCTCACCGGACATAGCAAACTCAACACACATCCCCAACTATGCATACCACCTGCATACTACCACCCTCCAAACCTGCTTCTCCAGGCTTCTCACTCAGTGAGGGGCTCACCATCCACCAACTTGCCCAAGCAAAATAAATTGGGTGTAATCTTTGACACCCCCTTCACCCAACTTCTCCCACGTATTTATTTACCAGTTCCTGTGGATGTTACCTTCTAAATGGCTCCAAAATCTACCCAAGTCACTCTGCACTACCACTACTGCCACCATGCCAATCCAAGATGCCAATATCATCCCTTGCTCGGACAACAGCTCCTGCCTCCTCACTGGTCGCCATTCTCCATACCACAGCCCAAGTGATCATTTAAAGATGCACATGTGAGTGTGCGTTTTCCAGTCTGAAAAAAGTGGGGCTGGGAGTGGTGGCTCATGCCTATAATCCCAGCATTTTAGGAGGCCGAGGTGGGGGGATCGCTTGAGCCCAGGAAGTTGAGGCTGCAGTGAACCGTGATTGCACCACTGCACTCTAGCCTGAGTGACAGAGTGAGAACCTGTCTTGAAAAGAAGAAAAGAAAAGAAAAGAAAAGAAAACTCTAGTTCAGCTTGCGACTCCAACAATTAACACAAGTACCCCTATTTGACAGCATTGTACTTCATCTGTAGCATATAGTACTGTGTGCTACTTCTCATTTCATGACACACCGTACTCAAGGGTTGAGATTTAATAAAATTAGTATTTACTGCTTCATTAAAGGCATTCTATATATATATATATATATATTTTTTTTTTTTTTTTTTTTTGAGAGGGAGTCTCACTCTGTTGCCCAGGCTAGAGTGCAGTGGCGTGATCTTGGCTCACTGCAACCTCTGCCTCCCGGGTTCAAGCAATTCTCCTGCCTCAGCCTCCCAAGTAGCTGGGGCTACAGGCATGCGCCACAATGCCCAGCTAATTTTTGTATCTTTAGTAGAGATGGGGTTTCACCATGTTGCCCAGGATGGTCTTGATCTCTCTTTTTTTTTTTTTTTTTTTTGAGACAGAGTCTTGCTTTGTCATCCAGGCTGAAGTGCAGCAGCATGATTTCGGCTTACTACAACCTCCGCCTCCTGGATTCAAGCCATTCTCCTGCCTCAGCCTCCCGAGTAGCTGGGATTACAGGCACCCGCCAACATGCCTGGCTAATTTTTGTATTTTTGTAGAGACAGGGTTTCACTCGTTGGCCAGGCTGGTCTTGAACTCCTGACCTCAGGTGATCCTGATCTGCCCGCTTCGGCCTCCCAAAGTGCTGGGATTACAGGCACGAGCCACTGCGCCCGGCCTCATTAAGGGCATTCTTAAGTAAAAGTGGCATTAATTTTTTTTCTTTTTTTACTGTAAGTACCTGGCAGTGAAGAATGCAATGACTATCATATGGTTTGGCACCACTGCCTTCATTTATGCTAAGGCAGCAGTTTTATCCAGATTGTTTTTGCAACATTATTGCAATGTCAACATAGTGACAAAGGAAAATAACATCCTGTATTTTTTTATGAAAATAGCTTGACCTTGAAGATCCCCTGAAAGGGTCTCAGGGACTCCCAAGGGTCTGCAGGCCACACTTCACTCTGAGAACCACTGATCTAGGTAATTTTTATTCATTCTTCAGATCTCAGCTATCGCTTTAGCTGTCCCCAAAGTCTATTTTCTCCTTCTTGGTAATAGAACCCTCAATTTTTAGCTGAGCTCTTAGCTACCCAGATTTAAAATATACTTCCCAGCCTCCCTCACAGCTGGATGTGTCCAAGTGACTCAATTTTGGTTAATAGATAGAAGTGAAAGTATTAGGTGCAACCTCAGAGTTGCTCCTCAAAGTGGGGAAAATGTATCCTCCTCAGGCCTTCTTCCTTCAGACTAGAAAGCAAACACCCTCCCTATTGTTCACAGCCAGTCTGCTTTTCTCATTTACATTACCTGGCAGGCTCTGGTAGGCATTGATGTTTTGAGCCCTGCTCCATTCATTCATGTACGTAGTTAAGCGTGTACCAGCCCAAGGCACTCTGCTAGGTAGCTGGGGATGTGATGTTGAAGAAGACAGATATGGTCACCACTCCAGCTTATGACATAGACACTAAACAACGAACAACTTCATTACAATTCGACAAGCGCTACAAAGGAAAAAGCACAAGGTGCTGGGAGATCTTATCACAAAAGAACCTTCTTTCAACTGGGAGAATTGTCTATCGGTAAGCACTGGGTTCTGCTACAAGCAAAAGAAAACCCAAAATAATAGAGGCTTCAACAAGATTGAAGTTATTTTTCACATGTAGGAAGTGTGGAGGTGGGTGGTGCAGAAGAGAGGGAGCAGCACGCCGTCCTCCAGGGCCAAGATTGGGGCTGTTTATATTTTGTTGCTCTACCATTCTCCTGCACAGGACTTCCTCCCCAGAGTCTCAGAGGATACTCAGGTTCCTCAGTTGAAATCAGTTTTCCTTGTGATAAGATCTCCCAGTCCCCTGTGCTTCTCCCTTCGTAGCAATTTTCCAGTTGCAATGAAGTTATTTGCTGCTTAGTGTCTAGCTCACAGGCCAGAGCGGTGACCGTGTCTGTCTTAGTTAGCACTATGTTCCCAGCACCCTCACAGATGCCTTGGCCCTGGAAGACCCTTAATGCTTGTTTAATATTTTCCTAATATATTAAATTTTATTGATATTAAATTTATTGCGGTAAAATACACGCAACATAAGATTTTCCATTTTAAGCTTTTTTTTTTTTTTTTTCCAAGACGGAGTCTTACTCTGTCCCCCAGGCTGGAGTGCAGTGGCACAATCTAGGTTCACTGCAACCTCCACCTCCTGGGTTCAAGCGATTCTCCAGCCTCAGCCTCCCGAGTAGCTGGGACTACAGGTGCCCGCCACCACGCCTGGCTAATTTTTGTATTTTTAGTAAAGACGGGGTTTCACCATGTTGGCCAGGCTGGTCTCGAATTCCTGACCTCAAGTGATCTGCTCACCTTGGCCTCCCAAAGTGTTGGGATTACAGGTGTGAGTCACCACACCCGGCCATTTTAGGCATTTTTTAATGTACTGCTCTGTGGGACTGAGTACACTCACATGGTTGTGTAACCATCTAGAAATTTTTCATCTTCCCCAAATGAAACTCTGTACCCATTAAATACTGACTCCTCATTCTAACTCCCTGCAACTCCTGGCTATTGAATAATATTTTTTTTTCTTTTTTCTTTTCTTTTTTTTTTGGAAACAGAGTCTTGCTCTGTCGCCGAGGCTCGAGTGCAGTGGTGTGATCTCGGCTCACTGCAACCTCCGCCTCCCAGGTTCAAGCGAATCTCCTGCCTCAGACTCCCGAGTATCTGGGATTACAGGCGTGCGCCACCAAGCCTGGCTAATTTTTGTATTTTTAGTACAGACAGGGTTTCACCATGTTGGCCAGGCTGGTCTCGAACTCCTGACCTCAAGTGATTCTCCTGCCTCTGCCTCCCAAAGTGCTGGGATTATAGGCGTGAGCCACTGCACCAGGCCAAATAATTTTTGAATGGATAAATAGAGAAGTATGGACAAGAGCAGGAGAGCAGGGCTACAAATGTAAATGCTTACAGGAGCCCCCTAGGTAGTGCAAATGAGAAAGGTACACTGGTGGTGACCAAAAGGGAAGGGTAGGGACTGGGGGAAACCAGAGAGTACTTGCCTCAGCTAGTTAAGGGCAGCCATTCCCTGCATAGCTGTCTGAGTTGACCGTAGAGGCTATACTGGCATGTGAGCCTAGAGTTGCCTGCTCTGCCAAAATTTCTAGAGAAGGTGAAAACCAGACATTTATGTAATACCTCCTGATTTTAATATTGGTAACAAATTTTTTCAACTTGTCGTGACACTGGGTAGAGCAAACAGAGCATTCCAAGGGCTGGCTCTAGCTTTGGGCCCACCGGTTTGCAGATTCCAGACCCGATGGACGGTGTGAGAACTTGCAGCTCTGTGAGTCTGTGGCCTGGAAGTCAACGGTCCTGAGAACCTGGCTCTCTCTCTGGGGTTTCCAAACAGGAAAAGAAAAAAGGAAGAGAGAGGGTGAGTTTATAGTAAACATTTGGCATTGTTGTGTGCTTTATGTGGTTGTATCTTTTATTTAATCCTCATGAGAGTGATAAGACATAGGTATTATTGTCCAGGCCATACAGATGAGGAAACTGAGGCTTGAAGAGTTTTTTGTTTTCTTAGACAAGGTCTCGTTCTGTCACCCAGGCTGCAGTGCAGTGGCACGGTCACAGCTCACTGCAGCCTCAACCTCCAGGGCTCAATCTATCCTCCCGCCTTAGCCTCTCAAGTAGCTGGAACTACAGGCATGTGCCACTGTACCCAGCTAAATTTTTTTTTCCCCTAGAGATGGGGTTTTGCTATGCTTCCCAGGCTGATCTCAAACTCCTAGGTTCAAGCAATCCACCCACCTCAGCCTCCCAAAGTGCTGGGATTACAGGCATGAGTCACACTGTGCCTAGCCGAAGAGTTTCAGTTGTCAAAGGTCTCAGAGCTAGTAACCACAGCTGGTGGAACCGGGATTTGAATTCACCCGCTTGGACCCCAGTTTCTGGGTGGTCCCCCTCATTGCACTGCCTCTCCTCTGCATTAAGAAGGTCCAGGACCAGGCATGGTGGCTCGTGCCTGTAATCCCAGCACTTTGGGAGGCCGAGGCGGGCGGATTGTGATGTCAGGAGATCCAGACCATCCCGGCTAACACGGTGAAACCCCATCTCTACTAAAAATACAAAAACAAAAACAAAAACAAACAAACCAAAAAAAGAAGGTCCAGGCGGGGCGTGGTGCCGAGTGCCTGTAGTCTCAGCTACTCAGGAGGCTGAAGCAAGAGGATGCCTTGAGCCCAGGAGTTCTGGGCTGTAGTGCACTATGCAGATCAGGTGTCTGCACTGAGTTCAGCTTCAGCGTGGTGACCTCCCGGGAGTGGGGAACCACCAGATTGCCTGAGGAGGGGTGAGCCAGCCCAGGCCGGACACACAATGGGTCACAATTTCCATGCTACCCATGCTAATCAGCAGTGGGATCGGGCCTGTAAATAGCCACTGCGCACCAGCCTGGGCAACATAACGAGAACCCACCTCTAAAAAAAAAATAAAAAATAAAAAAAGAAGAAGAAAGGCCAGGATGACAGCTAAGAGAAGTCTTCTCCCTTAGCAGTGGAGGGAGGTATGAGGCCCACTGCCTCACCTGGAGCTTCTGAGGCTCAGCAGTGCCATGGTCCTCACATCTC
Organism: Homo sapiens; assembly: GCF_000001405.40. Lineage (NCBI taxonomy): Eukaryota > Metazoa > Chordata > Mammalia > Primates > Hominidae > Homo > Homo sapiens. The sequence goes on along the minus strand of NC_000012.12, from coordinate 6,783,705 downwards.
TAGAGTGGTTTTCCATTTTCCAAGCACTTTCACATTCATTTGTACATGCCAGACCTTTTTGGTAGGTGTTGCTGTTACTATCCTTACTTTACAGAAGAAGAAATGGAAGTCAAGCTGTCTGCCCCCATCACATGTCTGAAAGCATGGAACAGGGGGAGTTCCAGAGGCTATTTTTGCTGCATGTATCCTGCCTCTCTAGGCTGTAGAACGGGAGGAGGCCAAGCCAGGGGAAGGAGTGATGGGGAAGAGAGAGAAGCCGGTGTCAGAGGCTACAGACAGAGTGCTGGAGACTGGATGATCTGAGAGGCCTAGGGCAGCCAGGGTTGCAGGAAAGTTGAAAGCCCCAGGTGCAACTCTGCGGTGGCCTCCTTACCAGAAGTATCTTTGGCAGCACTGACGCCCTCTGCAAAGGGGGCTGGGGGCAGGGTTTGAGGATGGGGAGCAGGGGAGGGGTCTTTGGGGCTGTTCTCTGGGAAGCAAAGTCTAGGAGCATCGATGCCATCTCTACCCCATCCACATTTCCCCTGGCTCCAGGACCACTTTTTGCCACTCTCAGAGGGTGGTTCTGGGCCTCCCCTACCCCACGGGAAGTTTGAGTAGGCACGTTTCAGAGCTCAGCCCGGGCTCAGACAGCTGACACCTGCAGCCCCTTGGAGAAACTGTCAGCCACAGAGTGGAGCAGATAGAACCGACCCCACCCCAAAGCAATTCCCTTCAAAGGAAGAACCCCACCCTGGGGTGGGCCTGTGCGGGGGACCCTAAGCTCCTTGATCTCCTCCTTTGAAGGAGGGATAGCAGCAGGGGCTCAGGCCTGAACCCTAACATCTCTACCTGGTAGGGGAGGTGGGCAGGGAAATTTCTGGGCCTGCAGAGGCTCCTCCTCTGCACTATGGAGCTGAGAAGACCACGTCAGGGGTAGGGGAACCGCTGGCAAACCCGACTCCAAGGCTGAATGTGCACAGTATGGCCTCCTACCTCACACACTCGACTTGCCAAGGCCCTGGACCTCACTTGGCTTCCAGAACTTCTGGAGAGTGGACAAGAGAAGAGGGCTGGGGATGGAGATGCTCAGAGACGTCCCTTCCCGTCTCTTGGCCTATCTCTGTTTCAGGCACTGCTCCCCACTCTGACAGCCAGGCTGCAAGATGGCCCCCAGTGACTCCTGTCTCCCTCAGTTCACACCCTTGCATTGCCCCCTCCTGCTTGCACCAGGTTGGTCTCTGTGATCAATAGAATAGGGCAGAAATTATGGCACGTTGCTTTCAAGATCAAATCTAATCTTGAAATAAAGATGTGGTAGCTTTTGTCTTTTCCACGCTGTCCCTCTGGGGGAAGCCAGTTGCTGTGTCGTGTTGTGAGAGGCCCCATAAAGACACCCACACAGGGAGGAGTTAAGGCCTCTGGCCGACAGCCTCCCGAGTGAGCTGTCTTGGAGGCAGAATCTCCAGCCCCATCCCAGCCTTCAGATGGCTCCAGACCTGACCCTCACCTCAGCAGCAACCTCATGAGCAACCCTGTGCCAGAACTACTCAGCAAGACTGCTCCTGGATTCCTCGTTGTGTGAGATAATGTTTATTATTATTGTTATTATTCTTTTTAGACACAGGATCTCACCCTGTCACCCAAGCTGGAGTGAAATAGCACAATCATGGCTCACTACAGCCTGGAAATCCTAGCCTCCAGTGATTCTTCTCCCTCAGCCTCCTGAATAACTAGGACCACAGGTGCATGCCACCGTGCCCAGCTCATTTTTAAATTCAAAAAGAAAAAAAAATGGTAGGCTGGGTGTGGTGGTTCACGCCTGTAATCCCAGCACTTTGGGAGGCCGAGGCAGGCGGATCACGAGGTCAGGAGATCCAGACCCATCCTAGCTAACACAGTGAAACCCCGTCTCTACTAAAAACACAGAAAGTTAGCCGGGCGTGGTGGCTGGCGCCTGTAGTCCCAGCTACTCCAGAGGCTGAGGCAGGAGAATTGCTTGAACCCGAGAGGCGGAGCTTGCAGTGAGCCGAGATGGCACCAAACTGCACTCCAGCCTGGGCGACAAAAGCAAAACTCTGTCTCAAAAATAATTTATTAATTATTAATTAAAATACAAAAATTCAAAAATTAGCAGGGTGTGGTGGTATGCACCTGTAGTCCCAGCTACTTGGGAGGCTGAGGCAGGAGAATCGCTTGAGCCCGGGAGATGGAGGTTGCAGTGAGCCGAGATCAAGCCACTGCACTCCAGCCTGGGTGACAGAGTGAGACTCTGTCTCAAAAAAAAAAAAAAAGTAGAAGTGTGATCTCACTAAGTCACCCAGGCTGGTCTCACACTCCCGGCCTCAAGCAATCCTCCTGCCTCAGTCTCCCAAAGTGTTGGGATTACCAGTGTGAGCCACCACACCCAGCTTATTATTTTAAATTACTAAGTTTTAGGGTAATTTGTTTGTTATACGCCAATAGGTAACTCACGCACCCCCCTTCCTTCTTAACAAGGAGCTGAGATGATTCCCACCCACCCACCCACTGAAGCTCCCTGAGCTCGTGGCCTCCTGATGCTCCTTCCCCTCCAGGACCGCAGCCTGGAACACTGGTTTACAGATCAACCTGGAGAAGCCAAATGAATTAACCAAGCTCCCTAGGGGCCTTTGGAGGACAGGAAAAGGGCTGGAGATTATCCTGCCAGACGGAGAGTGGGGGGCTGTGGGAAGAGGAGTGGGAGCAGAATGTCACCCTGAGGAGAGACCCCACAGAGAAGCACTCACGGAATGCAGCCCATATGCCCTTTCTTCCTTCTGCCCTTTGCTCTTCTCTAAGGGGTAAAGGAAAAAGGAGGCCCTTCGTTCTGCCTCTGTCCCCTCCCTGTCCCCTTTATGAAAGAGCATGGGGAAGTCCCCGCATAGGCCTCAGTGAATCTTCGATGACTACTCTCATAAGCCCAAAGGGCATAGGATGTTAGCTAGTAAAAAGGAAAAATGCCACCCACAGAACTTTCCAGGAAACCCCTGCCCTATTAAAATATCAGGGCTTCCACTAAGGCTGTGGGGAGCAGGGTCCTGGGCTGGAGCTGAGGAGTCTCTGAGCAGCAGCGAAGGGTAGGAACGATGCTTTGGAGGCTTCTTGTTTTTTGTTTTTGAGACAGGATCTCACTCTGTCACCCAGGCTGGAGTATAGTGGCACGATTATGGCTCACTGCAGCCTCAACCTCCCAGGCTTAGGTGATCCTCCCACCTCAACCTCCCAAATAGCTGGGACCACAGGGGCGTACCAGCATGCCCAACTAACTTTTTTTTTTTTTTTTTAGAGATGAGGTCTCACTATACTGCCCAGGCTGGTCTCGAACTCCTGGGCTCAAGCAATCCTTCTGCCTCCGCCTCCCAAAGTGCTGAGATTACAGGCATAAGCCATGACACCTGGCCTGGAAGCTTCTAAAAGGACTTCAAGACTTCCTTTTGCAGTGTGATCATCTCTGGCAGGGCCAGAGCTTCCTCCTTCCTGTGCCAGTGTTTCTCTGCCAGTGACAAGGCAAGAGTCATCACCATCCTGAGGCTCAGAACCTCAGATTGCTGTAAATGGTTCATTGTTCAGGCTTCAGAGGGTCCCCCCTCTACCTAAGGCTCTGCACAGAACAAAGGTGTCACCTTCTTCATCGTCTGTCTCTAATGAGTGACTATTGTGTCTCTGCAGGGACATGTCCTCAGGTCTGTCTTTTTGTGTCTTTTTGCACACGGCACACAGACCCAGTGGGATGCCACTCACACATGCCACCATGCCCCTCCTGCTCCAGCAGTTTCACTCCCACTCACCCACTCGCTTTCAATATTTTGTTCTCCTGTATGGGGTTAAAGTCCCCTGACAGAGTCATCTGTGGCCAAAGTCCAGGGCCCCACACCTATTTGCAGGCAGAGGTCTCTGTCCCATGCCAGACTGGAGGATGCCATGTGCTGAGGCCGTGTTTGCTCTGCTGAGAGGACCATTGACATGGCCCAGGTGAATGCTCCAAGACAGACAGACAGAGCAGGGCGCAGGCCGACTTGGGTTCTTCAATATCATTCTTAGCATGACCAGAGCAGGCCTGCTTTCTCCTTCACTAATGGATAATCAGACAAGTACTCCACACACACAGAGCACTTCACAGTTTCCAAAGCCCTTTATTATCCAATATTCACAACAACCCATTTTGGTGGGTTATTATCATTATCCCATTTAATAGGTGAGGAAACTGAGGCTCAGGGAGATTGACTACAGTTACATCAGCAAAGCTGGAATGAGAAGCCGGGGCTCCCGACTCCCACAGCTGCAGCTGGCTGTTTTGCTCTACGCACAGGCCTTTGTTCACAGCCTTCCCCTTTGTCAGACATAGATTACACCCTTGAGAGGGCCAGCCAGGGCTGTATCTCCTGAGACATGCATTGTTCAGTCCCTCTCCTGAAGGGTGCATAGGACATGTGACAGTCACCGGGCACATACTCATATGCTGCACATAGAACGTGCATAATACAAAGGCGGTGCCTGCATTCACAGCAGTCTGTGCCCTGCCTTGTCCACTGCACTGCTCAACTCCTCAGGCCTGCCGCAGCCGGCCCAGTGACCTCCGTTGGGGTGTGACAAGCAGTGACCACTGGGTGGCAGTGTGTTCTCATGCCTGGGACCAGAAAAGCCTCCAAGGGCTGAGGAACGTGGGGGGTGGGGCAGAGGTAGGAGCCCCAGCCGGCTGCCCAGAGAGGTTTCCAGACCGGATCTCCTGGAAGACTTGACAAGGCAGTCCTCTGCGCGCCGCGCGTGTGTGTGTGTGTGTGTGTGTGTGCGTGTGCGCGCGCGCGTGTGTGTGCATGTGTGTGTGCACGTGCGCGCGAGCATATGTGCGCATCTGCTGCAGCCGGAGGGCCAAGGACAAGTGCTGAAGTGCAGCTGAGTGTGGGGTGGGGTGGACCCAAAGGACAAAAATATCAAGGAAACCAGGGCAGCCAGCGCACTGTGGGTGGAAGGTGGGTGGAAGGACGGAGGAGAGAGCTGCGGAGGCAAGGGGCAAGGGCTTTTTCGGGGGAGCTTCAGAGAAATGATTACCCAGGAGAGAGAAAGAGAGAGTGAGCGCAAGAGAGAGAGAGACCAAGAAAGAAACACGAAGCAGCCAGAAACAGAAAAGGGGAAGGTGAGGGAGGCTGGCTGGGGAAAGTAGGTTAGGAGGCTAGGGTGGGAGAAGGGAGCCCTCAGAGGCTGGGGAGAGACGGGAACCTTCACTTGGACAAGAAAGAGCCAGACTCAGGCTTGCTGCTGACAGGGAGTTTATTTGGACTGGGCTGCTGAGATCTGCTGGCTGCCTCAGCTCCAGGTCAGAGCTGCTCCGGCTCGGGCTCGGGCTCGGGCTCCGGTTCCGGCTCCGGCTCCGGCTCCGGTTCTTGCTCCAGCTCCTCTATCTTGCTCTGAGCCTGCGGAGGGTGAATCCCTTGCTCTAAGGCAGAAAATCGTCTTGGTCGCCACTGTGAGAAGAGATGGAGAGAGAGACGGAGGGCGGAAGGAGGAGAAGGATGAAGGGAAGCGGATGAGGAGGGACACTGAGTCCCTCTATTTTTTCTCAGCGCCCCTGCCCTCCCCATCTGGTCCTGGCTTTCTCCCAACCCCCCTTCCAGCCTACCCAGGCACAAGCCATCCCTGGAGTGAGAGGCTTATGAAGAAGGGGGGCTCTGAGGGCAAGTTCAGGGTCCCATTTGGTCACCTTCCTGAGGAAGGGGTGCCATCAGCACTCTGAGGATGGAAGAGCGGGAGCTGCTGGGGGGCGGGGTTGCCATGTCCCTGGCTCACCTGTCTTCTCCAAAGGTGAAAGCCAAAGGCTCCAGTCACCAAAAGGAGCAGAGAAAGGACACCAAGGATGAGAAACAGCAGGAGGTGGCCTGCTGGGAGGGCACCTGGGGCTCTCCCAGAGCGTTGGGCACCTATGGAGAAAGTACAGGATGAGGCATAGGGTCAGGACTAGAAAGGACACTTTGTCATTCTCTCAGACTTTACAGATGCAATGAGATCCAGAGAGTTTAAGGGACTTGTCCCAGGGTCATTCAGCTGATCAGTGGCGGAAACGGGTCAACCCTAGGCAAAAGCCAGAGATCAGGTCCCTGACTGGAAAGAAAAGCGCTGGGATGGGGGTGGCAGGGGCTGTTCTGGAAGGAGGATAAAGATTATTGCTGTGGCGTTTGGGTCCTGGCATTCTGGGGCCTCGGACCTGGGCTAGACAGCTCTGTGAAGTACACTGCTGCTCCAAGAAGCCTCTCCCCCTGGTACAGCTGGCATTGCCAAGGCTGGGAAAGGAGCTGGGCCTCCTGTGCCTCCAGCCAAGGTCCTGAGAAACTCCTCTGGGATGGGGTGTCCAGAGAGCTCCACACAAAGCGTTCTTGTCCAGATACTGGAGTCACCTCACAAAGCAGCTTCCCCAGGGATCCAGGTGACCCAAAGGATTTGGGAGTCACTGAAAAGAGTAGAAGGAAGAGATCTTTTGGGATTCTGCCCCCCTTACGTGATATCACAGGTTGAACCCCAAGTCTCAATCACCCTGCACTCACTTGGGTTCTGGCCAGGGGAGGTTGGGGAAGGACATCATGGGTCATGGCCACGTTCATCTTTTTCTTTCTATTTATTTTTTTATTAAATTGTATACAGATGCGTTTTCACCATGTTGCCCAGGCTAGTCTGGAATTCCTGGACTCAAGTGCTCCTCTCGTCTCAGCCTTTCAAAGTGCTGGGATTACAGGTGTGAGCCATCATGCCCTGCCGGCCACATTTATCTTATTCAGACAATGCTCTAGTCAGCTCCCTCCCCTGCTCAAAACATTTCCAGGCTCCCTACTGCCTTCACACTCAAACTGGCCCTGGCAGACCACAGAATAAATACTATTACAGATTCTTTTACATTACTTTCTACTCAAATGCTCAGAACCCTCAAAATCAGTCAGATGAGCTGACCCCCATCTACTTCACAATTTTGGAACTTCCATGATGCGGCTCACATCAGTGTCCCCTGCCTTGTGGTGCCCCCTGAATGAACATCATCCCCCTTTCTGAAGGTATAGAGAACAGGGAACTGACCCATTCATCTAGAGACAGAGCATTCTCCAAGTTGTAAAGTGAGAGATGGGTGGGTGGGAGGAGACAAAGGGTGAAGGGCATCTGAGTAGTGTCCTGGAGAGTGATTTGGTGATGCAGACACCTGAGTTTAGACCCAGAGTCTGGCACTTCCCAGCTGTTTTGAGAAAGTCTTCGGGGTAACAGTATCTCTCTCATTGAGCCGTCTACATAAAACAGTTGACCTTCAAGAGGGCATTGGACAGAAAGAACTGGTGGACTTTGATGACTGATGGGATGTAGAGAGGAGGAGGCCAGGTTTCGAGGTGGATGGATACCAGTGGATTACTGACAGGCTGAGTCAGCAAGGGGATTGGTGGGAGAAAAAGCTGGGGTTCAGGGTAAGGCGGCTGAGAGGTGGTATAACATCTAGTTAGAGGTATCCAGAAAGCAAGTGAAAACTCAGGATTGGCCTTCAGGAGATGTATTATCCATTAGCATGTTCACGTATTCATTCAATCTCTATACATTATTAAGCACCTGCCGTGGGGTGCTACTACTGAGTGGCCGCAGGTGCGTGCTGCAGACATGGCTAATCTGTCATGGCCGATAGTTATCAACCAGTCAACACATACTCTCTGAGTATTCTTTTTTCTGTGTTTGTTTTATACTGTCTTGGAAAACCCTTGCTCAGTAAATATTTGCTGACCAAGGGACGGATTTATTCACTCCTCCCAAATCCAGGCCACTTCCTGCAACTCTAACCCAAGCCCTGGCTGCAAAGTAGACAAGGATTCTAGAAATATATTCTACCTCTTTCGAACCATTCAGAATTTTTGTCACCTTTCCTTCTAACTTCCCAGACCCTCCCGCCAATTGAGAGCAGGGGAGTCCCATAGAGAACGGTGGAACTTTTATCTTGTGACTCAAGAGGAGATTTTCAGTTTCGTTTCTTTATTATGGGGGTGAGAAAAGTGGGGGCCGAGATGGGCAGGCTCTGGAACTTGTGCCCAGTGGCCTGGCATCACAGGGTGGGTTTGCCTAGTCTTTGCCCTGCCAGCCCTTCCTCCCTGTCCTTTCTACCCTGGGAGGGCAGCTACTCCTTTCCCACCTGAGGCTGACCTGTGATGATTGCCAATGTGACAGTGGCATTGAGCTGCTGTTCCTGCAGATGGATATGGCAGGTGTAGGTCCCAGCCTGGGCCTGGCTCACATCCTCTAGTCGAAGGGTAAAGTCGCCATTGTCTCCAGTCACCAGGAGGTCAGGGCCTCCCCCAGGAGGAGTCCACTTGGCAGTGAGGAAAGACCGGGTCCCCACACCAGCAGGCAGGCGGCAGGGCAGCCCCACCCTGGAACCTGCTCCAGCGTACACTGTCAAGGGAGTTGGGGGCTCCAGACCTGAAGAGAAAAGAAAACCCAAAGTTAAAGCTGGGTGCTGCAGTGGGGAGGGAGTGCTGGGGCTGCAAGGAAGGGAGGCAGAAGAATTCAGGAGATGGTCTGGCTCATAAGAGTGCTAAGGAGCAGAATAAGGTGATGAGCTGAGGAGGCTCAGAAACCCAGCAAGTGGGCTTAGCCGGAAGGAGAGGGAAGGCCGGCAATGACGCTGGAAGGCCACGGGAGAAGCAAGAAGGGGTGATGGCAGCTGTGAGGCTGCCAGCAATATAAAGGGGTCGAACAGTGAGACCCACAGCAATGACGTAGGCCACTCGCTGCCGAGAACCTGGTTTGGGGACCCATAGTTAGGGGAGGTGACAAGGGGGGCAGGAAGGAGTTGTGGTCAAATGTGAAGCAGAGTGGGGGAGTTACCCAGAACAGTGAGGTTATACATGATGGAGACGTTGAAGCCATCTCTGTAGGTGAGGATGCAGCCCCAGGGCCCAGAGTCCATGGGGCTGACTTGGGGCAGGAAGAGGAAGCTTTCCGCTAAGTGGTGATGGGGGGACTCCCGGACAGGGACTCGGCCCTGGCCCCGGTTCCGGAACCAATGCACAGAGGCTGGGCGGTCAGGGCGGCTGAAGGAGCAGTTCAAAATGACCCAGTCGGAGGCTCTGAGAGATCCTGGGGGGCTGGCAGTCACTGTGCAAGGATAAAGAAGACTTCATCAGCCCACTGGAAACAATTTCCCAACACAGCAGGGCTGCCAAGCCGGAAGCTCCTGGAAACAGGCACCTGGCTTTAGACTTGTCTTCTCCTCTCCCACATCACCCTCTCCCCATCTCAGCTTCCAGCACCTGGAGGTGCATAAAGTGGATCCCCAAGACTCCCCAGGACCACTTTCCCCGTCCCTGGCCTGGAGTTTACTTGGCATCAGCCACCCTTGCCGTTTTCCTGGCCTGGAACCCCGCGAAGCCCACCCCCTGAGCTACAGATATCTGAAATGAATCACTTTAGCCCCATGCTCTCCCCCCCTCCCCCTCCCTCTGGGCACTCCCGCGTGGGTGGGAGAAGGGGAGCTCGGGGGTGACACAATCTCTCCACAGGGCCCCCCATACACGTGCTTCGGGGGCACCTTCCACTCCAGCAGGCCGCCCACCCCCTTCCTCTACTCTTCTGGGAGCTCTCCGACAGGGCCTAGGGCGCAGCCTCTGCCCCAGCCCTTCCTGCGTCCCGGGAGGCAGGGGATGGGGACCCACCTCCCAGCCCTTCTCCCATCGTCCCGCCCCACATACTCGAGGCCTGGCCCAGGCGCAGACGGAGGCGGCAGGAGAGGGCGCGGTCCCTGAGGTGCACCGCGGCGCGGTACTCGCCGGCGTCCGCGCGCCGGGCTGGGCGCAGCCATAGCGAGAAGTCCCCGCGCTGCCGGCCGCGCTCATCCAGCTGGACGCGGGGCTGCAGGGGCAGCCTCCCGCTGCGCAGGCCTCCGGGACCCACGCTCAGCACCGTGTAGCGGCGGGGCCTGGGCCCCCAGGAGGAGGGCGCCGCCGGGTGAGGGCCGGGGGCCAGGGGATGGCCGGGGGCGGCAGCGGGCGGGCCACTGGGCGGGAAAGAGAATGGAGTTGAGAAGCTCCAGGGGTAGGAAGCCCGGGAGGATGCAGGCAGCCACCCGTTGAGGATGAGAAAGCCCGCCCCAAGAGTTCTCTTGACCACCAACCGTCCCCTCACGCCCGACCCCTCTGTTGGACTGGCCGCATCCACTTCTGGAGAGAAGGGATGCTGGCGTGAGGGTCGCTGATTGCAGAGCAAGGGCAGGAACGGTGCAAGCGAGGGCAGGGAGACTGGGTCACTGGCTTCAGAGGGAGTGACACCTCAGGGCAGGGGACAGAGGACCGGCACGGGTGTGGGGTTGAGTGCTGGATTCGGAGGTCCTGTTGCCCAAGTTTGGGGTGCATACCTGTCTGGCTGATGCTGCCAAGTGACCCCTGCTCTTCGCAGAAGGCTGAGATCCTGGAGGGGGATTGTGGGGCTGCAGGGGAGCTGGGCAGGAGCCCCCTCCTGGGCCCACACCACCGGGACCTCAGCCCCTGGCTGGAGAGGCTTCACTAGGTGAGCAAAAGAGAGGCCAAGGGGAGGGGGCGTGAGCCGAGAGGCAGGGGTAGAGAAGGAGCCTGGGTGTTTCCCGAGGGAGAAACAGGGTGCAGGAAGAACTTGGGTTTCTGTTTCTTCTCTGCCCAGAGAGGCTTTCGGGGTGGAAGGACTGCCCAAAAAAGGGATTAGAAGAATCCACAGAGCTAAGGACCTCAGGACCTTTGTGGCCACAGAGATCCCTGCTGGTCCCCTCCTGTGGGGCTGGAGGTCAACCCTCCCGCCATCCCCGTTTTACCTGGAGCCACCCAAAGCGGCTGCAGAAACAGCAAGCCCAGGAACTGAGCCTCCCACATCTCTCCTATGGTCTGGGCAGCGCTGAGCCCTCCAAAAGGAGGTCAGAAAAGGAAAGGGGGCAGTGGTGGGGGGTGGGGGGTAAAGGAGAAGTTCTGCAGAGAGGGAGGTGGAGGAAGGGGTTCTAGAAGAAGGGAGACCAGGAGAGGGCCTTGGAGAGAGGGTGGGGAGGGATGACCAGAGGCCGGAATCCAGAGGAAAGCTGGAAAGCTGGGCAGATCAGGCAGCCTGAGGAGGTGGGGGCGGGGGTGTCCCAGGGAACAGAGCAGGGCCGTGGCGGAGAGCAGACAGAGCAAAGTGGCCGTCGTGGCTGGGATGCCGTTCTGCTGGTCTCTGGGCCTTCACCCCTGTGCCCGGCCTTCCCTCCACCTTCCCCACTTCCCCTCCTCCCGGCCCGCCCCCCGCACCCCAGGGCTTACGGTTTCGCTTCGCAGTGGAAAGTCTGAGGGGGTTGATTCCCAGCAGCAGCACCCTCCACCTCTCCACCTCTGTGGTGGCGCTCCCCTTGTTTACTTCCTCAGTCCTGGGTCTCCCCACCTCCCCCTCCTCGCCCCTGCCCCACCCTCCAGACTGCTCCCTCTCCCAGGGACCTTCTGCCTCCACGAACCATTTCTGCCTGGAACTGCCCCCTTGCCCATCTCTAAGCTGCCTCCTCAGTCCCAATATTCACACCTCCTTCTTGGCAAGCTCTTTCCTTGTTGCTCAATCTCCTTCCTCGTTCCCTTAACCTCCCAGAACTTCGTGACCCCTTTAGACCTGCCTTTCCACCCATCAGTACAATGTCCCTGGGAACATGGTGGACAGGAAGCCTTACTGCACCCCAAAAAATGGTAGGTCTGAGGCTAGGCATGCCAGCTTTGTGGGGCATGGAGAATAACTACATTGTATTGAGGCTTCATTACGTGCTAAGCACTGTATTGGACACTTTACTTATAGTAATTCATGAAATCTAATGCTTTTCCCCATTGTACAGATGAGGAAACTGAGCTTCAAAGAAATTGTACAATTTGCCAAGGTTAGGGAGCGTGAAGATAAAAGCTGTGAGTGTACCTGTGTGCGTGACAGTGTGTAGTCCTGACCTTGGATGAGTTACGGGCGTCTCCTGGGAGAAATGATGCTGTTGATGAGTCAACACCCCTCCCCACTCCAACTCAGGTCCCCATGCCCTCAGAAGCATCCTCCAGTCCAGAGGTTCCGAACTAAGAGGAGAAGGCAAGGGCCATGCGGAGATGGAGAAATGCAGAAATCTTAGAAATCTCCTAACAGAGATCAAACTCAGGGGAAACAGAGGCAGTGGGACTAGGGAAGGCCCAAGACTGACAAGAGTCATACAACTCCCGCTCCCCAGCCCAGCCCAGGGAGAGTTGGAGGGCAGGTGACGAAACATACAGCCGACCTGGGGATGACACGAGACCCAGGATTTCCCTGCTTGACTGGAAGGAGCTCGCTTCCATGCCAGGCAGAGGGCATCTCTGATGCCAGGCAGCTCACTCCAGATCCTAGCAGGCTGAGACCCAGGACTACCAGCCCTCTCCCAGCTCAGGGGAAGGACTTCCTGTTTCTGGGCTGTTTCTCTGTGCCTGGTTCAGCACAATAGAGCTGGTAGCTTTCCACTGGGCTCAGCAGTGTCTAGGTCTTGTGTGGGTTAGCAGGGAAGTGTGTATTGCTGGGGAGGAGCATCCCTGAGAATCCAAAACAGGACATAAGTCAGCTCTCAGAAGAGCTGGGCTCCAGGCCACCCCTGGAGGGCTGATCTTGTCTTCTTGAGTCGTGGGTGGTAGGAGTGTGCTGCTGCTTTTGTATCAAAGGGAAGGGTCCTGGCAGAATGGGAGGTCAGCCACCCTCCTCCCTCTCTACCCTTTTGTCGCACTGACTGGAGCCCCCGGGAAAGCAGGAGACAGGTTAAAAACAGAAGCGCGACCATTTCTTTATTAAATTATACAAAAAGGGAGGGGAGGGGGGCAGCTGTGGGGCTCGGCCCCAACCCCGGCCCCACCCCGGCCTGGCGCTGTCTGAGAAGAGGGGATCTGAGGGAGATCCAGGGATCAGGCAGGATAGGGATGGGGCAGGACATGAGGCTGGGGGATGCAGAGGTTAGGTGGGAGAGGCTACCGGAGGAAGAATGAGGCTGGTAGGGGAGGGAGAAAGAGAGCAAAGAGAGAGAGGAGCAATTGGGGGCCAGCTGGAGAGCTCAGATGGAGCAGGTCAGGAGGTGGAACAATGGCAGAGTGAGGGTGGAGGGCGCAGTGTCTGGAGAGGCGGAAATGAGAAGGCTGGGGAGAAAGAAGAGGGTGGCAGCTCTGGTGCAGGGCCCAGAGCAGGGAGCCAGGTGAAGAGTGGCTGGACTTGGCTGCCCCCACCCCCACCTCCAGGCCCAGAGAGGCCTCCCAACCCCAGCCTGTTGGCAGGGGCTCACGCCGATGCCCCATTTTCTGTCTTCTGCCGTTTGGGATCCGCTTCATCCTGTGGAGAGGGAGAGAATGGGGGAGCTGTAAAATGGGAGGGGAGACCTCCCCCTGTCCCGGTCCTGTTCCAGCCCCCACCCCTGCCACACAGGGATCTGGGTCCAAATCCAAAGGGCGCCCAGCCCGGCTGCATCCCTGACAGCCCCTCAGGCCCAGCAACCCAGCCCAAACCTCCTCTTCGGCAGCTCTCTTCAGCGCGGGCCCTTCATCATCCTCTTCTTCTTCTTCCTCATCTGAGGAGCCAGAAATGGGTCATTGGGGAAGGGCAGGAAGCTCTGGCAGAGCCCCCGTGGTCGCCCTCAGCCCTGCTTCAGGTCTTCAAACCCACCCTGACTCTGCTCTCCTTTGAGCCCAGACTTTGCCAGCCCAGCCTCCCCTGCCCCTCCCCACCTTCTTCTTCCCCTTCATCTTCCTCCTCTCCATCCTCGGCAGTTTCTTCTTCTTCCTCCTCAGCCCCGTTCTCCTCCTCCTGTGGGGACCAGGAGAGGGAGTAGCCTCAGGCTGGCTGCATGCCTTGCCCACCATCACCACCAATGGGACTGGAGCCTGGGTGATAAAAGGGCTTGGGATGGGCCACAGGGTGGGGCAGCAAGGGTGACAGGGCTCAGGGGAACGGCAGGACCCAGCACCCTCGGAAGGAAAGCAGAGGAAGGATGAGATGATTGGGAGGGAAGATGGTAGGGCAGATGTGGTCCTCTCCCCCACCCCTCCACACCTCCACCACTTCTTTCTTTCGCTCTTTCCGGCTTGCCTTCTCCTCCACCTTCTCCTTCTTCTCCTTCAGGTCCTGCAAAGGAGAAAGAGGTCACCTTTCTCACCACAAATGGCTTGCAGCCCCTAAGTCCCTGCAGCCCCAGTTCTCCCTCTGTAGTGAGCTTAGAGGTGTGTGAACTGAATAAGGTGGCCACAGCTTAGAGACAGAATAGGGGCCCTAGGGTCCTTACATTAGGGCCATGAAGGGGTTGAGACCAAACACCTCCTTCCCCAAGACCCAAGGTGAGGTGGGAAAGGGATGAAGAAGCAGGAGCGGGCAACCAGGGTAATGATCCCCACCCCCATCAAGTTCTCCCAAACCTCACTGGCTGAAGAGTTCAGCTCAGCAAAGCAAATCCTCTCCATCTGCTTGCAGCCTCAGTGCCCCGCCCCCTCCTGTGTCCCTCCGCCTCCCTTGCCTGCCCCGCCACTGCCCGCCCAGCTCTGCCTTTTGTCTACCTCTGGGGCCTTTTCCTGAGGACTCTCTCTCCTGGGCATCCCTCCCAGCTTCCCCTTCAGCTTCTAAGGTCTTTGTTTCTCTCCATCTGTGTCTCCCTAATCCTCAGGCCCCTACTTGGCCAAACACTACACCTTAGCACATTCCCAGCACCCCTCCCACTTTCTGCCCTCCCCGCCCCAAAACAGTTCAAGTAGTTTCCTCTATCCCTGCCTCCCATGGTGTATGCATGGGTGTAGTGGAAGTAGCCATTTACGGTGGAAATGTAGGTGAAGTAGAAGAGAAAACAAGGAGGGGAAGAGTAGCAGGCGTGGGAAACAAGGAGAGAGCAACAAACAAGGTCTGTGACTGGGGTGGGATAGGAATGGAGAAGAGGGAGGGACCAGTCTAGGAGACCCTCCCACCAGCCAGCCCCTCTCCTTCACCCCAAGATCCTAGCAGGCATAGGTTGACGTCCTGTGCTGATATGGCACATCTGAGTCCCTTCTGGACACTACACTAGCCTCCCAATTCAGATTCCAGTGCTCTCCCCACCCACTCCTTGGCAGGCACAGTGTAACACGGTAGGTGTCCTTGTGTGATCTGATCTGGTGTTGGTGTGCCACGCTGTGTATCTGATTCCATGTGAATGGAAGTCTCCTGTGTGAGATCACCCTGGGCGGGGGGGTCCTTTCTGGAACAGGATAGGGGATAGGAGAGGAGCCTGGTGCAGAACGGCTGCCCTGGGGGGCACTCAATTCCCTTCTCCCTTTAAGGGTAGCTCAGAACTCTTCACTCTCACTCCAGAGAGGGTGCCCTTCCACCCCACCGTGAGGTCTTCATTTCTGTGCCACAAGGTCAGTATGGCATTTCCACTACCTAGGGGGCTCTTCCCTACGTCCTGGGCCAGGAGAGCAAAGAGCTGGTCAGCTTCTCTCTGGGGGCCCCAGCACCAAAAGTCTGTATGGCCCTGGCCTGACTTTCCCATCTGGGCTGATGCAGGGAGGGAGAATACCAGAGACCAAAGTTCAAGGGGCCGGGCCCTCTCCTCCCCTGTTCTGTCCTTCTGGTCACTGTCCTTCCATGATCCCTTTTCCAGGAGAATATGTGACCTGGGCCCTAGGTCTTCTGCTAAGCAGCCCTCTGGCCTCATTTACTCAACACAGGCACACACACCGACACCGGCCGACAGCCATGCACAGACACAGTTAGAGAGGAGCACCCACGCGATGGGAGACACATGGCCCAGCGTTGGGCCATTCTGGTCCACACTCTTGAGACAGCACGGGAGCACAGCGGAGCCACTCAGCACTCACAAAGCGACAACATGGCTCCAGAACATCTACGTCTCCACATGCACACATGTAACTGACACGGGCAGTCCCACACACTCGCTGGATTTCAGACATACAAAGACACCTACTCAGTGAAGTCACATGCCACCGCACAGCCCGCCGGAGGGCCACACGGGCGCACCTTGGCAGATCGCACACAGCCCCTCTCCCACCGCCGTTAATCCCATTGGCTCCCCCCGTTTCACTCCGCGGGCCTCCGGGAGACCTGTGTGACGGCCCCTCAGCAACCACCGCGCCCCCCCCCCCCGCCATACACATACACACACAAGATAGGGCTCCCAGCCCCCAAACCCCGGCCGCGTTAATTTCCCAAAGCGACACTCCGCAGGTTCCCTGGGGAAATTAGAGGAAGGCTGGAAGAGAGGCAAGGGCGAACGGATGGGGCCGGGGAAGGGAGCTGATGAGGGCGAGGACAGCTCGACGCAATGCCATGCAATGCCCAGCCTCGGCTTTTTCGAAGGCTAGTCCTGCCCCGCTTCTAATTTTTAGGAATTCGAGATTCTTTCAGTGTGTATGCGGGAAGGGGACGATGAAGAGAAAAGAAAGCTGAAAGCCAGCTGAGGGGAGGGAACGAGAAAACAGAGGCGGCCGCCGTCCGGGGAGAGAAGCGAGCGACGGTCGGGCCGCGGGGAGGGGCCCGGAGGAGCAGCCTCCAGGGAGAGTCCTGTTTACACTTGAGGATCTCAAACCGCTTAGCGAGGAAAGGTGAGGTCAGGTTGCAAGCAAAGACGCGGCAGCGGGGCGCAGGGAGGGGGCGCGGCAAAGTGAGACTCGGGGCGTTCGGACGGGAAGCCGGACGGGATCCGGTCAGCGAGGTGGGGCCGAAGAGGGGTGGGGACGGCTGCGGGGGACGGCGCGACCGGAGCGGCGAGGCCGGGCGCCGTGGTGCGCGCAGGGCAGCTAGAGGGCGCTGGCGCTAGCCGCGCGGAGCCGGGAAAGGAGCTCCGGGCCGGGGAGCGGTGGGAGGGCGCAGTGGGGTCCGCCAGGACCCGGGCGCAAGGGCCGCGCGGGGCCGTCGGGGGCGGCCTGGGGCGAAGGACCGCGCCGGGCCCCAGGGCTGCGCGAGGTCCGGGCCGCCGCCGCCCCCGCCCGTACCTTGGCGCTCAACTCGGCCGCTGCCTCCACGCTTTTCTCCGACATGGTGCCGGGGCCGGGGCCGGGGCTGGCGGGGAGCCGGGGTCCCGGGGCCGAGACGGAGGGGCCCTGGACGGCGGAGGGTGGCCGCGGCCGGAACCTGGCGCGGTGGCGGCGGCGGCGGCGACAGCGGCAGCGGCGGCCGCTCGGCAAGCTGGGTCTCTGGAAGAGGCGGCAGAGGCGCGCGGGGTGGGGCGGGGGTGGGTCTGGAGCGGAGACCCGCAGGGCTGCGGCCGTCCGGAGGGCGGGCGGAAGGGCGGTGCAGGCGGTGGCCGGCGCGCTCGGCCGCGGTAGCTCGATCCCGGGCTCGCCGCCCCCGCACCAGCAGAGCTGCCGCCGACCAGCCGCTGCCGCCCCCGGGAAGGGAACCCGCTTATAAGGCGGCGCTGCCCGACGGGAGGGGCTTCCCAGGGGTGGGGCAGGCGGGAGCGGGGAGGAGAGGAGAGGGGAGGGGGATGAAAGAGGAGGTTGGAGAGGTGGGGATAGGAGGATGAAAGCGAGGGGAGGGAGAGCTAGGGAGTCGGGAGGGAGGACGAGACCAGGAGGGGGAAATGGAGAGACTGACGGCCGCGGAGAAAGAGTGGGGCGAGGAGGTGGGAAGGGGTGGGGTTCCTGCGGGGAGGCACCTTTCCAAATCCCAACCTACTGCCTGCGAATGTGGAGTCTGGCTTTTGGGGGCGGACTGGAGAGGTGGCCAGAATCCTACTGACCCCAAAAAAAGCCCTGGGATTTTGCCAAGGGGTGGGGTGAGGGGAGCAGATGGGAAGATAGGGCAGGTATTTGAGAAACCAAAAGCTTAAAGAAGAGGAAGAGGGTTCGGGCGCTCCTTCCACACCACGCCGGATTTCCCCCTCTCATCCTCCATCCACATTCTCTGGATGGCCTTGAGGAGGGATGGGAGGGCAGAAAGGGCGGCCCAGCCTTCTGTCCCGCCAGATTGACACTTGTGACCCTTGCCGGGTGCCTCCCTTCCTGGCCCCGTGCTGTGAGCCGGGGGGAGTCAGGCCCCCTGGTCTCCTTTGCTGTCTTCCAGCTCTCTTCCATCTTCTACCTCTCTTATTCGCCCGTCTCACCTCACTTTTATTCGCCTGGTCCTTCTATTTCTCTTCATCCGTCCTCAGTCATCTGTACCTAGACCCCTCCTTCACAACCAATTATAACTCGAATCGCTCCCATTCTTCTCTCACCTCTTCTCCACTCCTCACTGACTCTCTTCTGCCCTTCCACCTCTGGTCTCTTTCCCTATCTTTCCCAGACAACCCTGCTCTTGTCTTATCTGAGTCAGGCACCTGGCCCTCTATTCTTGGCTGGCTTTCCTCAACTCCTCTTTCTGTCCTCATTTTTTACATTTTCCATCCTTCAGCTTTTCTCATTCCTCTGCTGCCATCTTCCCTAGCCTTTCTGGGTTATATTTGCCTCCTTTGCAAATATAATACAGGTCCAGGTCTGGAGTTCCAGCCCCACCCTATTCCACACATCCTCAGCTCCTCGCCCTCAATCTCGGTATCTTTGAGTCATTTTGAAAAGCTTGGGATTTCAGAAGGGAACAGGGGCTGGGTTGTGTATTAAAGGTCAGGAAGGTGGACAGAGTGGAAGGCTGGGGTTTGGAAAAAGACCTTTGGTGTGCGTGCACTCCCATATTTGTCTGTCATTATCATTATTCCTCATCTTATTATTTTCATTTTATTAATAAAAAACTACGTTGATGATCATTATCATTATTTTGTGTTTGAGTGCTTAAATACACCATCTTTTGGTCCCTTGATGTACACGCCTCCCAGTTTCTCTTTCTGACTTTTCTATCAATATTTCAGTCTCAGTCTCCTCAAAAATCTTGGGGCCCCACCCAGGATTTTTCCTTGCCGGACTCTGTCCATCTTTTCTGAGATCTTTCCATGTCCCTCTCTCAATCTGTTTCTCTGACTCACTGGCTGATGTCTTCAGCCGTCTCTCACCGTCTCCATCTCTGTACTCCTCTTGCTTCATTTATCTCCCTCTCCTCGATCCTTTGCTACTCCCCCCCCCGCCCAACCAACAACCCAGTCTCCCAGTCTCGCTCCCTCCCCATCAGGCTCTTTCCTCTCCCTCCCGCCTTCCTTTCCTCTTCCCTCCACTCCACCTCCCAGCCCCGCCTGCTGTCTCGGACACCCTGCTGGGCTCTTACCCTGTTGCCCTGGTAACCGCCCCCCACTCCGGTCACCTCCACTCCTCTCCCCCCTCCAATCACCGCCACCAACAACCTCCATCCACCTTCCTCCTATTTTTCCTGATAGCCAATAGAAACCCTGTTGCCAGGTGGAATGCTCATTTGAATCAGCCAATCCAGAAGCCTAACTGCTTGCCCTGCCTTATATGGGGATGTGAGGAGGGCCACTCCCCCAACTCCAGCCCCACAGGGGACCAGCCCCTCCAGTGTCCCTTCTCCCCGCCCTAAAGAGAGGCTGGGACACTCCCTCTCACCCTTCCATAAGGGACCTGGCCTCCCACTTCTCTAACTGGGACCACCAGGGTTAGCGTGGGCTGTGGGCCGGACTGTGGGCTGGGCCTCAGGGCTGGGGGTGGGAATGAGGTGTGATTAGGGAAGGGGAGGCGGAGGGAGCCGGGAATTTTGCCCAGGGAGGGGTGTCTGGGAGCAGAGGCAGCTGCAGTGGAAAATTCCAGAGAGATGGAGAGGCAGAGAATGGGAATCCTGCCCCAAAGCCCAAGGGAGTGCCTTGAGAATCTAAGAGCTTGAACACTAGGGTCCGAGGGACCCCAGGGAAAAGATCTAGAAAGCTGGAGGCCTGGATCGAATTCCTTTCCTGGTGGATGAAGCATCCTTTAGCCATCTCTCTCTGGTTGGACAACAAACCAGTCTTCTGAAGTCTTGGCTTCATGAGAAAGAAGCTGGAAGTGAGACTTGGGATGAATGTGGAGTGAGTGGGATCTGAAAGCCACCCGACAGTCCTAGGGGTTAGCCTCAGAGCCTCTGGGGCCAACGGTGCTAAATGGCCTGTGTTTGCTTTTCTCTGTGGAACTATTTCTGAGGCTTTGTGGAGGCTTGCCTATTCCTAGAATTACCTTACTCTACAGTCCAATTGAGAATTTCTCCCACTAGTTGAATGGGGGAAGCATGTGCTTCTTACACATTTTCTGAAAGCGGGAAAAAGGTGACCAGGTGAGAACAAGGAAGGTCTGAGCCCCCTGGAAACGATGACTTCTGGCCTGACATCCTAGAAATTTACCTTGATACCATGTGTGGGAAGTGTTCAATTCTAGTTATTTCCATCTCATTCTTGGTGAATTCTTCCCCCTCTCCAGCTTCCTGGATTTTTTCAGTGTGCCTATTTCTCCTGTTGGTTAAGGGGTAAGGAAGGCCTAGTTATCATTCAAGGCCTTGGAAGACAGAGACCTGAAAGTTGGGGGGGCTATCTCCACTCCTCGTTTTACTTTATCCCCATTCCATTCCCAGTGACCTCATTTTCTATCCCCCATTTACCCCATTTTCCTTTGCTTTTTTTATTTTCAATCTAAAACTTTTCAAAACGAAAGTCAGTGGAGAGTTGAGAGGAGATGGAGTCCTAGAGGAAGACCTAAATTAGCCTAACTTCGATCATGTTTTTTTATTATTGTTGTCTTGAGACAGAGTCTCACTCTGTCACCCAGGCTGCAGTGCAGTGGCACAATCTCCACTCACTACAACCTCTGCCTCCTGGGTTCAAGCAACTCTCATGCCTCAGCCTCCCAAGCAGCTGGGATTACAGGCATGTGCCACCACACCTGGATAATTTTGTATTTTCAGTAGAGACGGGGTTTCACTATGTTGGCCAAGCTGGTGTCGAACTCTTGACCTCAGGTGATCTGCCCACCTCGGCCTCCCAAAGTGCTGGGAGTACGGGCATGAGTCATCGCACCTGGCCGGATCATGATTGAGTGTGTTACCTCCATGGGTGTTAAAAATAAGGAGAGATGATCTTCCAGGCAACATTAAGGCACATCCATCATGCGTCCCGTCTCCGTGGGTACTCCTTTTCTGCAGTGCCTCCCTGATTCCTCCTGACTTTGCAGACCCGTATCCCTTTTTCCCATATGTTGTTCTCAACACCCAATCGCCTTCCTTGGTCTTCCACCCATACTAATGTCTCCTGTGGCATAGTATCTAACACCACACCAGGGACAAACAAGAAAGCTCAATAAACCATCTATTTCCTAGCCCAGTGGCACCATTTTGGACTCAATCTCACAGCTCTCTCAACCTTCTTCAAGGAAGCTGGGAAAACACACCATGCTGCCAGGATACTGGCTTCCCTCCGTCTGACTTGAGATCTTCCCAGTAACTACTGGGAAGATGTCCTGGTTGGAAGTCTCTTTTATGTTTTGAACATCACAACCAAAGTTTTTGTGGTTTTCCTACTTTTCTCCATGAAATTTCTCCCCAGTAAAAAAAGAATGGGTTTCACCTTTGTACCTCTCCTTCAGATTCTTTTTTTTTTTTTTTGGGACAGGGTCTCACTCTGTCACCCAGGCTGGAGCACAGTAGCACGATCTTAGCTCGCTGCAACCTCTGCCTCCAGGGGCTCAAGTGATCCTCCCACCTCAGCCTCAGTAGCTAGGACTGGAGACGCCCCACCACACCTGGCTAATTTTTTTATTTTTCATAGAGATCGGGTTTCACCATGTTGCTCAGACTGGTCTGGAACCCCTGGGCTCAAGCCATACACCCACCTCAGCCTCCATTATAGGCGTGAACCACCACGTGGGCCCTTCTTCAGAATCTTGATTGGCTTTTCTTATTCCCCCTGCCCTCCTTCGGGAATGCCTTTGCCTTTTTTTTTTTTTTTTCCGAGAGAGAGTCTTGCTCTATTCCCCAGGCTGGAGTGCAGTGGCGCAATCTCGGCTCACTGCAACCTCTGTCTCCCGGGTTCAAGTTCTCCTCCTGCCTCAGCCTCCTGAGTAGCTGGGATTACAGGCACCCGCCACTGCGCCCAGTTAATTTTTGTATTTTTAGTAGAGACAGGGTTTCACCATCTTGGCCCGGCTAGTCTAAAATTCCTGACCTCGTGATTCACCTGTGTTGGCCTCCCAAAGTGCTGGGATTACAGGTGTAAGCCACCGCACCCGGCCTCGCCTTTGCTTTTACACCTAGAATAGTTTGCTATTGCCTGACTCTCTCTGTCCTGCCTTCAATTTCTCCCCCACATTCACTCTTCAACATGTCTTCATGGGCCTTCAACAAAGTCCAGAAGGAAGGCAACATTTATGGGTGCCTTCCAGCTCTGTCCAACAAAACTTTCTGTGATGATGGAAATGTTCTTTATCTGCACTTTCCAACATAGTAGCCACTAGTCGTGTGGTTACTGAACACTTGAAAATGTGGCTAGCGCAACTGAGGAACTGAATTTTTTTACTTTTAATTAATTATTATTATTATTATTATTTTGTAGAGACAGAGTCTCACTCTGTCACCCAGGCTGGAGTGCTGGAATTCAGTGGCATGATCTCGGCTCACTGCAACCTCTGCCTCCCAAGTTCAAGCAATTCCCCTGCCTCAGCCTCCCAGGTAGCTGGGACTACAGGCACACGCCACCACACCTTGCTAATTTCTTTTGTATTTTAGTAGAGACGGGGTTTCACCATGTTGCCCAGGCTGGTCTCGAACTCCTGAGCTCAGGCAATCTGCCCACCTCGGCCTCCCAAAGTGCTAGGATTACAGGCATGAGCCACCGCGCACGGCCTTTTAATTAAACTTATTTATTTATTTATTTATTGAGACGGAGTCTCGCTCTATTGGCAGGCTGGAGTGCAGTGGCACGATCTCGGCTCATTGCAACCTCCATCTCCAGGATTCAAGCAATTATCCTGCCTCAGCCTCCCGAGTAGCTGGGACTACAGGTACGCGCCACCATGCCTGGCTAATTTTTGTATTTTTAGTAGAGATGAGGTTTCACCATGTTGGCCAGGAATGGTCTCGATCTCTTGACCTCGTGATCCGCCCACTTCGGCCTCCCAAAGTGCTGGGATTACAGGTGTGAGCCACCGCTACCGGCCATTAATTAAATTTAAATAGCCACATGTGGCTAGTGGCTATTTTCCCATATGGGATAGCAACACTTTAGACCTTGGCCCTAAACTGCCTCTTTTTCCACCTTTTCAACCTCCATCACCAGTAATCCTTAAGTAGAAAGTCAGGGAGCAACTCTGGCTGCTGTGTTTCAGGTCATCAGGGCCACTGTTGGCACATACTTTACCATAGGTGTGTGTTTGTTCAGAGTGTTCACATTTTCATAGATTAAACAGACTGTGTGGCTGATCCAGGGGACCAGTAAAAATGAAAAGGCAAGGGAAAATAGGACAAGGAGTAACAGCTAAAGACTTGTTTTGCCCAGAAGACTGAGGAAGGGAGGATTTCATGACCAGAAGGAGACGATGACAGTGTCCACTGAACCCTCCCAGGTGACTTCAATCTCAGAGGTCCTGTTCTCTCTTCACAGACTCCCTAAACTATTCCATGTTGTACTGCAATGGGTTTAAGTCCCACTGCCAACACACACCTCAAACACACTTTCAACTCTCTGGCACTAGCTTCTCTCCGGAGTTCCAGAGTGATGATTCCAGTTCTGTTCTGTTCAGTTCTCCCCGGATGCAACACAGCTCCTCAAACCTAACTTGTTCCCACTGAAATTCCCTTGGGTTTCCTCTTTCAGTTGATGGGACTGTCCTCCACCCATACATTCGCGCCCAGGGGTCAGCCACCTTTTCTTTCCCTCCCCAGATCCCTCATTCCTTGAGTGCCTCCTCTGCTGTCTAATCCCCGCCCTGCCTCTGCTCAAAGGCTCACTCGCTGACTTTAAGCTTAAGCTCCTTAGGGTTTTCAATCATGATTTTAGAATTTTTTTTTTTTTACATCTTCAGCACCTATTTCCATACCTGGAATATTGTAGAAGCTCAAAGATGTTTCCTGAAATGCATAAACTGCCTTTCTACCTAAAATATAAACAGACTATTGTAATTTTCCCTACAGGACAAATTCTACAAGCAAATACGGCCCTTCAAGGTCTGGTTCCTTTTAACCTCTGTAGCCTTACCTCACACCACTACTCCCTCAAAGTTTTGCTACAGCAATTTTTTTTTTTTTTTTGAGATGGAGTCTCGCCCTATCATCCAGGCTGGAGTGCAATGGCGCCATCTCAGCTCACTGCAACCTCCGCCTTTAATAGAAACGGGGTTTCACCATGTTGGCCAGGCTGGTCTCAAACTCCTGACCTCGTGATCCACCTGTCTCGGCCTCCCAAAGTGCTGAGATTACAGGCATGCGCCACTATGCCCAGCTAATTTCGTATTTTTAGTAGAAACGGGGTTTCTCCATGTTGGCCAGGCTAGTCTCGAACTCCTGACCTCAGGTGATCCACTTGCCTCAGCCTCCCAAAGTGTTGGGATTACAGGCGTGAGCCACCGTGCCCGGCCAGGATGTCTTCTTGAAATGATTAAAGAATAATTTGAAACTCCAGTGCTAATGCCAACAGGTACCATTAGCATATCTACGCAAGACGGTCTAATATCCAATATCTTATAGTCAAACTAGGTGTGGAAGTCCCTCATTCATGTTGTCCACATCTCCTCCTACCTTAGGCTAGCTTCAAGAAATGAGTGTCCAGGTCAGTTATCCCGGATAGCCACACAGTCGCGAGTTTCCAAACAGTCACCGCTTTAACATATTCTCAAACCACTATTTGTACATTTTCAGTACAGTACTTGGCAGTGTAAGCAGTTCCTAGGCCAGAAATCCTGGAAACATCCTTGACTCCTCTCTCACACTGCATCCATCCATCAGCAAATTCTGCTAGCTCTATCTTCAAAATACATCCAGAATACGACCGACCCCTTCTCATTGCCTCTACTGCTTCTAACCTGCTCTAAGCCACCATCAGGTCTCATCTGGATTATGGCTACAGCACGCTAATAGGGCTTTCTGTTTCTGCTGTTGCCCCTCCCCCAACAGTCTGTCCTCCATACAACAGCCAGAGTGATCCTTTCGCAGGTTTTACAAAGGCTTAGAAAGTCCCACATGACTGGCTTCCTTCTTCCTCTGTGACCTGGTCTCTCACCACTGCTCTTCCTTCTTTCACACGTGTCTAGGCACATTGGCTTCTTGCTGTTCCTTGACCACACTAAGCATGCTTCTGCCTTCCTGCATACTTGAGGGCCTTTGTGCTTGCTACCCTTTTTTGTTGTTTATTTTTTGAGACAGAGTCTCGCTCTGTTGCCCAGGCTGGAGTGCAGTGGTGTGATCTCGGCTCACTGCAAGCTCTGCCTCCCGGGTTCAAGCAATTTTCCTGCCTCAGCCTCCTGAGTAGCTGGGATTGCAGGTGCCCGCCACCACACCCAGCTAATTTTTTTATTTTTTTTATTTTTTAGTAGAGACAGGGTTTCACTGTGTTAGCCAGGATGGTCTCGATCTCCTGACCTCATGATCCACCTGCCTTGGCCTCCCAAAGTGCTGGGATTACAGGCGTGAGCCACCACGCCCAGCCTAATTTTTGTATTTTTTAGCAGAGACAGGGTTTCACCATGTTGGTCAGGCTGGTCTCGAACTCCTGGATTCAAGTGATCCACCCACCTCAGCCTCCCAAAGTGCTGGGATTACAGGCTTGAGCCACTGCACCTGGCCTGCTCTTGCTACTTCTGCCCAGAATGCTCTCATCCCAGCTATTTCTCTCACCTTGTTCAGGTCTCTGCTTAAATGTCACTTCATCAGTGAGGTCTTCCCTAGTCACCTACATCAAAAGCAACAACTGCCTGCCTCCCAGCTTGCCTGCCTGTTCTCCATCCCCATTCTACCTTGCTTTATTTTTCTATCATTACTGTATCTCCAGAACCATGAACAGTACTTGACACAGAGTAGGCATTCAGTACATATTTGGCTATATATATATATATTTATTTATTTATTTATTTATTTTTTTAAAGCTGAAAAGGTGACTTTTAAAAAATGCTCTCAAGTCACTTTTCTCTCTCACTGAGTTGGCATTCCCCCCTCTCTCTACCTGGGGCACCTTAGCGCTCCTTTTTATAGTTTATCTCCCTCCCCCAACACAAATGCACATCACATCCACACACACTCAGCCACACCCGCTCATGCCGCTCAGGCAAAAAACTCAGTCTCCCCTCATTCCCTCATCACTCCTCCACCCTCCCTCCACTCTAATGTCTCACAGCCCTGGGATTGCTCCAGAGGCATGACCTCACATCTGAAGAGACGACCCCTTTTCTGGCCCGGCTGTACCCTCTCAAGGACTTCATGACTTTGGCTCCATCAGATAGAACAGTGAATGCTGGAACTTTGTTTCTCTTCCTTGCCAACAATCCTTATCTGCCTTATGATTGAGCCTCACCCCTGGCAGGGCCTGCTCTCCCTTCTACATCTTACCTATGGGACACTGTTCACCACAGTTCACTGGACAGAAAGGAAAGAAAAGAGAAAAGAAAAGAGGAAAGGAAGGAAGGAAGAAAGAAAGGAAGGAAAGAAGGAAGGAAAAGAAAAAGGAAGGGAGGGAGGGCAGGCCAGGTGCAGTGGCTCATGCCTGTAATCCCAACACTTTGGGAGGCCAAGGCGGGCAGATCACCTGAAGTAGGGAGTTCGAGACCAGCCTGACCAACATGGAGAAATCCTGTCTCTACTAAAAATGCAAAATTAGTCAGGCGTGGTGGCACATGCCTGTAATCCCAGCTACTCCGGAGGCTGAGGCAGGAGAATCACTTGAACCCAAGCTGGGAGGCGGAGGTTGTGGTGCGCCGAGATCATGCCTTTGCACTGCAGCCTGGGCAACAAGAGCAAAACTCTGAAAAAAAAAAAAAGAGGAAGGAAGGAGAAGAAAAGAAAGAAAGAAAAAGAAAGAAAGAAAAAGAGGAGAGGAGAGGGAGGAAGGAAAAAGAGAGAGAGAGAGAAAGAAAGATAAAGAAAGAAAGGGCCGGGCACTGTGGCTCATGCCTGTAATCCCAGCACTTTGGGAGGCTGAGGCGGGCAGATCACGAGGTCAGGAGATCAAGACCATCCTGGCTAACACGGTGAAACCCTGTCTCTACTAAAAATATAAAAAAATTAGCCAGGTGTGCGGGCACCTGTAGTCCCAGCTACTCGGGAGGCTGAGGTAGGAGAATGGCGTGAACCCGGGAGGCGGAGCTTGCAGTGAGCCGAGATCGTGCCACTGCACTCCAGCCTGGGCGACAGAGTGAGACTCCGTCTCAAAAAAAAAAAAAAAAAAAAGAGGGAGGGAGAGAGGGAAAAGACAAGAGGGATGGAGGAAGGGAGAGAGGAAGAGAGTGAAGGAGAAGAGAGGAAAGGAAATGAAGGAGAGGGAGAGACCCGGAGAAGGAAGACAGACACAAACTCTGGTTACTTGCAAAATTACATCCCTTTAATTCCTGGAGTAGACAACTGCCTATATGGTATGTCTCCAAGAACTCTGAAAATGGGCTCTTGCATTTGCTCTTTCATCCTCACCTGTTCAAGAGGTTTTTTTTTTTTCTTTTTTTCTTTTTTAGAGACAGGGCCTTGCTCTGTCTCCCAGGCTGGAGTGCAGTGGTGTGATTATGGCTCAAGCAATCCTCCCACCGCAGCCTCCCAAGTAGCTGGGACTACAGGCACACACCACCACACCTGGCTAATTTTTTTTACTGAAGAGACAACGTCTCACTATGTTGCTCAGGCTGGTCTCCAACTCCAGGGCTCAAACGAGCCTCCTGCCTTGGCTTCCCAAAGTGTTGGAATTACAGGTGTGAGTCACTGTGCCTGGCCAACAATTTCCTTTTTTTTTTTTCTTTTTTTTATTGAGACGGAGCCTTGCTCTGTCGCCCAGGCTGGAGTGCAGTGGCAAGATCTCGGCTCATTGCAACCTCTGCTGCTGGGTTCAAGCGATTCTCATGCCTCAGCCTCCCAAGTAGCTGGGAGTACAGGCACGTGCCACTATGCCTGGCTAATTTTTTTGTATTTTTAGTAGAGACAGGGTTTTGCCATGTTGGCCAGGTTGGCCAGGCTAGTCTCGAACTCCTGACCACAAGTGATCCAACCACCTCGGCCTCCCAAAGTGCTGGGATTACAGGCGTGAGCTACCGCGCCTGGCCAGCAGATTCTTAAGTTTTGGAAGGAAGAAGAGAAAGGACTCTAGGCACCTAAAGGCGGTACGTAAAGGATAGCAGGTGGCTGAGCACAGTGGTTCATGTCTGTAATCCCAGCACTTTGGGAGGCCAAGTTTGGGCGAATCACTTGAGCTCAGGAGTTTGAGACCAGCCTGGGCAACATGATGAAACTCCCCATCTCTACAATTTAATTAAAAAAAAAACAAAAAAACGGATAACAGGTAACTAAAAAAGAAAAAGGTGGCTACAAGACTGTATGCCTTCAATTGGCAGAGACCGTGTCTTATATTTTGTATGTATGCTTAATACAATGTACCTAGGACAGTTCCAGGCCTCATTAAACATTTGCTTTTTATTTTTATTTTTATTTTTTTTGGAACAGAGTCTCGCTCCATCCCCCAGGCTGGAGTGCAATGGCGTGATCTCGGCTCACTGCAACCTCCACTTCCCAGGCTCAAGTGATTCTCCTGCCTCAGCCTACTTGTGGGATTACAGGTGCTTGCTACCATGCCCGGCTAATTTTCGTTTTTGTTGTAGTTGTTGTTTTGAGACGGAGTCTCACTGTCGCCCAGGCTGGAGTGCAGTGGCACAATCTTGGCTCACTGCAATCTCCATCTCCTGGGTTCAAGCGATTCTCCTGCCTCAGCTTCCTGAGTAGCTGGGATTACAGACATGTGCCACCACGCCCAGCTAATTTTTGTATTTTTAGTAGAGACTGGATTTCACTTTGTTGGTCAGGCTGGTCTCGAACTCCTGATCTTGTGATGTGCCCGCCTCAGCCTCCCAAAGTGTTGGGATTACAGGCGTGAGCCACTGCGCCAGGCCTTAAACATTTGTTGATTGGCTGGACAATAAAGAACTTGCTTTAGAAGGAGGAGAGGACAAAAGAAAAAAAATGGATAGGATCTCTTTAGTTAAGTTTCAGCCACAGAACCTTTACTGGGACAACTCTTGATCACATGTCAAACTGCTTTCATTTGGGGCAAGAGGATAAGGGGAAGTTGCATGGTGGGAAGTGCAGAGATCTGGAAGACAGAAGATTTTACTAAGTCTCTTCCCCCAGAAATAGCAATGAAAAACAAATTTACTTGTATTCTGTCTGTTTTCCTTTGACTTGCCAGTCTGTCAGCTTATATCTTAATTATCTATCTCTGCTCCCTGTCTCTATTATTGTTTTTTCCTCTTTAATAATGATCAAGTCCAAAGAAACGTGAGAAGCCCTGTTCCTAGCACCTTTTCCTGAGTCACCAGGGACCCCCTCTTTCTCCCCCAGGGAATTACTGGGAACAAGTCTTTCTCATTGGGTCAGACTCCACACAGCACTAATATGGCTAAAAGCCAGAGTAAAGAACCAGGGAAAGCTGGAGTTTGGATGAGTCTGGTTAAAGTCCATCCTAGACAGTCCAAATGCCCTGACCCCAAAGGGGAAGGCCCTTCTCTCCAGCAGAGCCAGATTTTATGCAAGACATTTAGTATGTCAAAGTATCAGTCTCTGGCCTTGGAGGCAGGTCTTCTGGGCCCCGTTTTAGCTCCTCCCCTGGGTGATCCAGGTTAACTGAGCTCTCCACTCCTTTGTTCCCCCAAACTTTAGACCTTTGACCTAAGAAAGCAACCAAGAAAGGTCAGTGCAGGACTGGGAGCTCTTGAGGACACAAGAATTAGAGTAAAAGGAAGGGGAGAGTGGCATTAAACTAATAGATTCAGAACTGTAGCCTTTCCCCAGTCCAACCCTTCACAGATGGGTAACGGGGGAGGGTCCAGGTCCCTCTCCAACGCGAGTTCTCAAGGGCCTCCGGTTCCAGCCTGGCCGAGGAGCGCCATCTGGCGGCCAACCCCCCAACCTGGATCCTCTGCCCCATCCGACTTTCTGAAGCCCGAACTAGATCTGGGCTGGAGAGTTTCACCTCCTCTGCGTCACTCCGGGGACTCCGCCCTGCCAGGAACGCTCCTCCTCAAGCGGGGACAGGCCCAAGCGCCTCCCCCGCAGGAAAACTGCCCATCCTCCCTCTAGGGTAGACTGCTTCTCCAGTAGAGTCGGCTTAAAGCTCCCCCCAGGGATCCGCCCCGCCTCGTCGCCCACAGAGCGCCCGCCTCTCCCCAAGGGGCATCTGCCCCTCGTCCTCCAGTTTCCCCTTGAGGAGGGAGAGAGAACGTGCTGCACTGCGCCCCCAGGTTCAACCTCCAACCCGGTCCCTCCCGAAGAATGGATTCCTCTTCTCCTTCTCCTCCCCTGCCTTATGGGAGCCTCTTCCAGTCCACAGAACCCAAATCGAGGTTACTAATGAGCTCCCCTTCTTCGTGCCCAGGGGACCCCTCTCGGCCTCAGGCTCTGCTCCCCTGAGCTTGGCCCATGGCCCCGGCGCCCCTGGGACTCGGCCCCAGCCATCTCACCACCCGCGCCAGGGGGCGGGGCTCCCACGGCCCGGCCCCGGGTGGGCGGGTCTATCGTGACGTCACTTCCGCCCGGGCCTGGCCGAGGTTCGGGCTCCGTTGGCCGAGGGGGCCGTACGGAGGTGGCAGCTGTGGGAGGAGGCGGCGTGGAAGGCCGAGGAGCTCAAGCCCGGACCAATCCCCACGTTCCGGGCCGCGACCCTGACCCTGCAGCGTACCGGGAAGCGAAACCGGCCGGATGGGCCGCTGAGCCCGAATCGGGCACTGGTGAGGCTCGGGCAGAGCTGGCAGCCCCGGACGGGAGCGGGCCCACGGGGCTGCAGGGTCTGGGAGCCCGGGATGCGGGGTGGGGAGAGGAGAGGCTCAGGCCTACCTCTCCTGCTCGCCTGGCGGGGAGGCGGGAGCTAGAGGAGTCGCAGACAGGCGCGGGGGGCTTAGTGAGGCCCGCCTGGGGGAGGCCTGAGTGTAAGGAGGGGGCGGGGTGACTGGGGTCATTAATGGGGCGGAGGACCTGCACTTGGCATTCTCATCTAGAACGGTGTCGTCGGCGGGAGGAGGGGAGAGTATGCTACCGGCCAGAGCTTTGGGAAGAGGATGGCTCTGAGTGGGGGAGGGAAAAACCGAGAGGGTTGGAAAAATTTTCCATGGCCCTAATTGAGAAAGAGGTTTGAAGAGCCCTTCCCTCCCTAGAGGGTTGTGTGGAACACCTGGAGTAGGGTCTCCCTGGAGTTTAGGGGGTCAGTTACAGGATTTGGAAAGGACAGTGCTCTGAGAGTCCCCACACTGAGTGGGTGTGCAAAACCCTGGCCACCTCCAAGTATCTGAGCTTCCATATCTTTCCAGTGTGGAGCCCCCTGGAGCTGAGATCAGGATGTTCCGCTTCATGAGGGACGTGGAGCCTGAGGATCCCATGTTCCTGATGTGAGTATTCCCTCCCCCTCAAGCTCTCCCACTCCAGGTCTCTGAGCAGTTCAGGCAGACATCGGGGTTCCCATTGCTAGGAATGGTTGGAACTGGCTGGATACCTAGCTCCTACCTAGCAGGAAGTAGGCATCGGTGCCACTGTTGCTCTGTGCGTATTTTTTTGCAGGGTGGTGGAGGGATTGACAGTTTGGCGCTTCTGCCATCCATACTATGTGCTCACTCCACAGGGATCCCTTTGCTATTCACCGTCAGCATATGAGCCGTATGTTGTCAGGTGGCTTTGGATATAGCCCCTTCCTCAGCATCACAGATGGCAACATGCCAGGGACCAGGCCTGCCAGCCGCCGGATGCAGCAGGTAATGATGCTGAGACACACCTGAGACCCAAAGAAAGGTTGGAGGTTAGTTAGGAAAGCACTTAATTTTCTTGCACTACAGCCAACTGAGCAAGTGAAATGCTCTAGGAGTTGGGGAAAGGGTCAGGAAAAAGGGCTTTGTGACTCCCTTTTGAGAGGATGGAAAAAAATTGAGGCCATGGGCCTGGTTTGGGATTGTAAAGAGATAGGATGTGGTCTCTAATTTCTGTTCCTCATGTGTTCCTGTAGGCTGGAGCTGTCTCCCCCTTTGGGATGCTGGGAATGGTGAGTCTTTATCTCCCTGTGTCCTTCCATCTCAGACACACTCTCTACCCTTAGATATTATTCCCAAATGTGCCTCTTAGGAATAGTTTCATGAGTAACCCCAGAATCTTCTCTTTTTATGGCATTCACAAAGCTCTGAGCCTGTTGGGTACTAGGAGCCCTGTGGGTTAAAGGTGTTAAACTCTTGTTGGGAGGCCGAGATGGGTGATCACTTGCAGTCAGAAGTTCGAGACCAGACTGGCCAACATGGTGAAACCCCGTCTCTACTAAAAATACCAAAAAAGCCAGGCATGGTGGCACACACCTGTAGTCCCAGCTACTCTTGAATCCGGGAGGTGGAGATTGCAGTGAGCCGAGACTGCGCCACTGCCCTCCAGCCTGGGCAACAGAGCCAGACTCCATCTCAAAAAAAAAAAAAAGAAAAGATGTTATTAACTGTTGTACTCCTAGAAGTTCATACGCATTAGGAAGATGTAATTGTCTAGCAAAATTTGTTCTTTTGAGGAGGGAAGTGCAGTTAAAGGGCCAACTAGAGATGATTTTTTGGTAGGTTTTAACAATTTCATGCCTTACCTCTTTAGAGTTTAGAATCCATTACTTTGGCTTGCTTCCTAAAGATGGGGGGAATATAGCAAGCAGGAGAAGGAAAATTGGATCACAGCAGTCACAGAGACTGAGGAAGGGGTCAGCAGTTCACAGGAGGAGAAATATGAGTATTCTGGTTATTTTAACAGAATGAGAAAGAGAACTTGCTAGATGTGAAGGAAGAAGAGAAAGGAAATGTGCAGCCATGTGGGTTGTGGGTTCCTAAACAGGATCAACTCTGAACACTGACTTTGCTTTCCTGACTCTGTTTTCCATCTCTTTCCTCCAGTCGGGTGGTTTCATGGACATGTTTGGGATGATGAATGACATGATTGGAAACATGGTGAGACTTGCCCCATACCCTTCCCCGGCCTTGCTCTCAGTGATGGCTGACAACACCTTGCATCCTCTAAGGCAAGAGGGAAACAGTATGCTAGTGAAGGGTAAAGTACTGGATAAAGTAATTGAACCAGAGAGCCTTGGGACCCTGTACCTGCTGTCATGCCTGCCTGAAGCAGCCGGCAGCAGCTCTCTTACGTAGCATACAATTAAGGCCCTGTCTCTTCAGGTCCTTCTTGCTCGTGGTTGGACTCAGAGGAATTTGGGAGGGTAATGATGAGGCCTGATGTTTTTTCAGTTCTTGCATTTTGTGAGAAAGATACAGGCTAGAACAGGCAGCTGAAGGGTGAAATCCCTTCACCAGGGGTGATGCCTCCCCATTCAGCCCTCCCCTACCTACCCTGTCCTCAGGAACACATGACAGCTGGAGGCAATTGCCAGACCTTCTCATCTTCCACTGTCATCTCCTACTCCAATACGGGTGATGGTGCCCCCAAGGTCTACCAAGAGACATCAGAGATGCGCTCGGCACCAGGCGGGGTGAGTTGGGGAGCCCTCCTGTCCCAGAGAAGGTAGGATTGAGCGGCACCGCCAGAAACCCTGGCTGCTTTTTTCCGGATTGGGTTGTGTGTGGTGTGTTTATCCTGAGATGGTATAGGCAGGGCTTTGGAAGGGGCGGCTGAGTGTGCCACGTTCTGCCTCATCCCAGATCCGGGAGACACGGAGGACTGTTCGGGATTCAGACAGTGGACTGGAGCAGATGTCCATTGGGCATCACATCCGGGACAGGGCTCACATCCTCCAGCGCTCCCGAAACCATCGCACGGGGGACCAGGAGGAGCGGCAGGACTATATCAACCTGGATGAGAGTGAGCCTTCCCTCCCGCTTCCTGGCTGGCAGCCCCTAACCCGGTTCCCGTGGACATCCCTAACACATAGACACTTCTGGGGCAAAGCTCTGGGTCAGCCCCATATTCCTTTTTTTTTTTTTTTGAGATGGAGTCTCGCTCTTGTTGCCCAGGTGCCCAGGCTGGAGTGCAGTGGCGCGATCTCAGCTCACTGCAACCTCCGCCTCCCGGGTTTAAGCAATTCTCCTGCCTCAGCCTCCCGTGTAGCTGGAACTACAGGCATGTGCCACCACGCCCAGCTAATTTCTGTATTTTTAGTAGAGACAGGGTTTCACCATGTTGGGCAGGCCGTTCTCGAACTCCTGACCTTGTGATCCACCCACCGACCGTTGGCCTCCCAAAGTGCCGGGATTACAGGCATGAGCCACTGCACCCAACTGTCAGTCCCATATTCTTACCGCACTTGGAGCCTCCTCCGCTCGGGCGGAGTCAGGTGCTGGCGGTGTCTTTGTGAGGGGCCTACTTTGTCCCTGAAGTTCCGTATTGATAGTGTTACACCCTTCTCCACCTTGATCCGTTTCTTTCTCCCCTCTTTATCTTTTTCAAATCCGCAATTATTAAGTACCTAGTGTGCACATAGGACTGTGAACCTGAACTGAAGAATAATCCCATTCTGATTTCTTCCTCCAGTAGGCCACCTTACGCCTACCGGTGGCTTCCTGGGACCGTGCAGAAACCAAAAGAGCTAAGGGAATTGCCACCCCACCCATCCCTGCACGCACACTCAGCCTTCGCCGCTTTGGCCCGAAAAGCTGTGGCTCGCTCGCACATCGGCCTCCAGGAGCCAGGCCGCACACAGGCCTCATGTCCGCTCTGTCCTTTCCAGGTGAGGCCGCAGCGTTTGATGACGAGTGGCGGCGGGAGACCTCCCGATTCCGGCAGCAGCGTCCCCTGGAGTTTCGGCGGCTTGAGTCCTCAGGGGCTGGGGGACGAAGGGCGGAGGGGCCTCCCCGCCTGGCCATCCAGGGACCTGAGGACTCCCCTTCCCGACAGTCCCGCCGCTATGACTGGTGAGGGCCCCGGGCCCTCAGCCTCTCTTGTAAGTATCAGGAGTAAGGAGGGTGGGGTGCACCTGCGGACGGTCCTCGGCTGCAAGGCAGGCTCAGTTCAGGCTCCCGCAGGAGCTGCCTTTGGTAGTACAAGTTGACATGGAAAGAGAACAATGTTCTCACTGACATAGGGGATTAAACCCCAACTCCTGGCTCTTAACGTAAGTTTTTTCTTCCTTTTGACTTGTGCTCCTCTCTCTTTCCCCCTCCAGGTACAGGCTGAGAGGCTGAGAAATCATCCCCTGAATAACTTTTTCCTCTCGATTCCCATCCCCAATTTAATATTAAATTAACAGGCAAGCCGGCCCCCACCTCTCCCTGGGGGTCTCAGGGAGAACCTTTCACGGCACCCTTTCCCTACCTTTTCCTTCTTTAATCTCCTGGTTTACCATTGATGACTTCGCCTCTGCATCTACTGACTTGATTTTTCATTCTGCCACTCCATCTTCAAACCCCCTCACCTTTCCCATCCTACTCCTGCCATGCATTGAAGGGTCAATGCATTTTGGGGTGAGCTCTGGGTTTAGGGGCCCCCTCCATCCCTCAGCTACCCTGGATCTTTGCCCACCTCTTCCTCAGAGCCCCCACTGAGGGGCCGTAGCCCTATCTAGGGCTGTGGAAGGAGCAGACTGGTTCCTAACTCTCTCCCTCCTCCTGCCCACACACATCAAAAGAATCTTCCCTACACCCTTCTCTGCCTTTATTTTTTGATTTGTGCAACTTGTAACTAGGTGTTTATGGAATAAAGGAGAATGGAAAAAAGACCAAGTGGGATTCTGGCTGTACTTTTGATCTTTTCCTGTTCAATTCAACCCTGCTGTCTCCTCTGAAGTTACCTTCTCACTTTTCCTCGTCTCCACCTGTAGTCTTCGTACCTCAGAGTTCAAGCCCACATCTCCTTGGTACGGACAGACCATCAGCACTGCCAGGTGCAGGCCGTGAGCACTTGGCTGGGCTAGGCTGGGGCGTGAGAACATGAGCACCTCTCTCGCTGGCTCTTCCCTCACATTCTGCTGTAACTTTGCTCTTCAGGGATGTGTTGGGCATCTCTCATGGGTGCCTGCGGAACTTGCTGCCCCTTGCCCCTTGGACAGAGTTTCTTTCCTGCACTCTGGGTGGAAACACTTCAGATAACCCTACACAGGCCTTCAGAGGGGAGGAACTCTGGTCTGCAGCGTTCCACAAACCCTCCACCCACAGTAGTTGAGAATTTGAGCCCAGGGAAGGAGCCTAGAGAAGAAAACTAACCTGGAACCTGAGCAGGACTGGAAGGGCATGAGGAGCTCAAATTTCTCAAGACGTTTGCTCTTGCTTTGCCCAGCCAAATGGGTCACTCTGTTCCTCTTGGGAACTTACTTAATGATGACAAATGTGTAGGAGAGTCTGATAATGGTTTCCTCTTTATGAAAGTCTTGAGTTCTTTTCAGTTGGTAGGGACACAAAGACACCTAAGGCTCTGGGTCCTCTCAGGGAAGGGAGGATCTTCCCCTGTGTCTCGTGGACGAGTAGATTCAAGAGGATAAGGAGGATTTGTCCAGTGACTCAACAAGCAGAGAGATGAAGTTGAGCTCAACAACCAGGCACTGGTGTCCTAGTCCAGTGCAGTTACTAAATCTCAGTAAGTAGGCTAGGCTGGTGAAGATGCATGACCGGGTCAAGGGAACCCAGTGGTGAAAGAATCCAGGAATCCCAGAAGTCAATCTAGTGTGGATTATTCACCACCACCTGGGCTCTGAACTGTGGATGATGGAACTCAGCAGCCATGGCCCTCATCTTTTTATCTTTTTTTTTTTTGAGATGGAGTATTGCTGTGTCACCCAAGCAGTGGCGTGATCTCAGCTCACTGCAACCTCCGCCTCCCCAGTTCAAGAGATTCTCCTGCCTCAGCCTCCTGAGTAGCTGGGACTACAGGCGCACACCACCACGCCCGGCTAATTTTTGTATTTTTAGTAGAGGCAGGGTTTCACCATGTTGGCCAGGCTGGTCTCGAACTCCTGGACTCAAGTGATCCACCTGCCTTGGCCTCCCAAAGTGCTGGGATTAAGACGTGAGCTGCTACGCCTGGCTTCACAGCCCTCATCTTTAAGTGTAATCTTGCCCTGTCCAGATAAGCACACGACTGTTTCCTCTGAGAAGGGAGTCGTTTTCTTCACTCTCCTGAGAAGGCAGCAAGGTAACCTGGAGTTGAAGGAGCCTCAGTCCTTAGCTCGGCCACTGACAGCCTTGTGGTCTTGGGCAGGTCACTCACCTCCCTGGACCTGAGTTATGTGGGGCCCTTCTAGCCACAAAATATCAGGCCCAGCCTCTCAACCCGGATTTTAGTTCCAGTGCCCACACGCGCATGTGTAGTCTTGAGTGTGACTGCGGCAGAGTAAGGCTGCCCTGACCTCAGTCCAGGTGAGTCAGTCCAGTGTTTCAGGGACTCCCCTGTTCAGGTCCCAGCCTTTAGACATGTGAACTGATTTGTACTCCTGCTCCCTGCTGTAGGGTTTGGACCACCCTTCAGCCCAGCACTTACTCCTGGGGCCTGTGACTAGTTCTCAGCAGGGATATGTTGTGGGAAGTGAGGTGTTAGCATCAGTAGAGTGAGATGCTCAAGAACCAGCCCCCTAGCACGTCCTGACCTGTCTGCCACTGGGGTAAGGGCCACGGGAGAGGAAGAGGAAAGGAACTTTCCCGAGGGACACAGATACTCTACTTCCGGTCAGCTCTCCATCTGGGCCCAGCCTCACACAACAGCCACCCCTCAGCCACCGGCCCAGCGAGTATCCAGAGGACATGGGCAAACGCCTCAGGTTATTTTCTCCACCCCAGAACATTACAGGTTGGAAGAGGCTGACACTAGGTGTGTGACTAAGCAGAATAACACAGAGGAGGGAGACAGGATGCACACGCACAAGCAAGACCTGGCTCCACCACTCAGCTGCACTGTGGGAAAGACTTCCTCTCTCGCAACATCAGTTCCCCATTTTGTAAAATGAACCTTTCTAGGCACTGGTGACTATGGAGTCATACCTCAGAACTGAGACCTGAGTGAGTGCAGAGAGTCTGACATGCACATGGGATACAAATGACCATTCCATGCTAGTATTTCTCCCTGATCACTCTCTCCCTGCCTTGCTCCTTCAGGGTTCTCTGGTGGTCCCTCATCCCCCACTCCATCCTCAGGACCCCTAAAATACTTCCAGACACGATCTGGATCTCATCCTACTGATCTTGAACAGCTCCCAGCCGTTCACCCTCCCAGCTCCTGGCTGTCATCTTTCACTCTCTCCAGACCTTAGCCCCACAGGTCAGCAAAGAGAAACAAATGTCTGAGGCCACTCTCCCCCTGCCCTGTTTGTGGTTTGGGATTTTTCCCCCTTTCTATTGTAATGGCCTCAGGCCCTAGTAATAATACCCTTTTTCCTCCACCCTCTACCTCATGTCCAAGTCACATGAACAGGTGACCCAGAGAACCAGAAGCTGGCCCACAGAACCCAGCAGTCTGGTCTTGCTGCCTGCATATTCCAAGTCCATTTAACTCACATACCTTCCTGCCTTTATGTTCCCAATGCTGGGACTGTCATTCCAGGGGCTGAGGGAACAGCAGGGGTCAAAGATGCTTTCTCTCAGCCCATTCTGGTTGGGCTAGGGATAAGAAGAAAGCAGTCTTAACCTCTCTCACTCTTAGACATCACTGGAGTCTTCAGAGAGGAGAGGCAGGAAACGGGTGGTGCTGCACCAGGATGGGGAGATAAAGATGGGACGGTGAGGCATGGGAGGCACTGGGAGGTGAAAGAAATCACTGAGGAGCTGGGGCATGGGGAAGAGACCTTGGTAGCTGGCTCTCATAAGAAGCCTCTGTCCAGCCTCATCCCTTGGAGAGCCTGTGTTGGGGGCACAGAGCTGACATAGCCTGAGGGAGAGGAGCCTGGGACGCTGAAGCCTGACAGAGCTGCTACAGAGGGGGCCCTGAAACCCCCCAGTGTAGAGTGTGCTGATGACTCTTAGCCCTCTTAGCCTCCGTGTCTGCTTTTTTTTTTTTTTTAAAACGGAGTCTTGCTCTGTCGCCCAGGCTGGAGTGCAATGACGCTCTCGACTCACTGCAACTTCTGCCTCCCAGGTTCAAGCGATTCTCCTGCCTCAGCCTCCAGGTAGCTGGGATTACGGGCGCCCACCATCATGGTCGGCTAATTTTTGTATTTTTAGTAGAGACAGGGTTTCACCATGTTGGCCAGGCTGGTCTGGAACTCTTGACCTCAGATGATTCGCCCACCTCAGTCTCCCAAAGTGCTGGGACTACAGGCGTGAGCCACTGCACCTGGCCCGTGTCTGCTCTTAAACGGTAGCTCTTGGGGGACCAGCAGAAGCAGAGAGTGCTTCCCCACCTGGGCTCAGGCCCCTCTGGACTGTCCCTGAGATGAGGCGAACTGGGTTAGCCTTCAGCCTTTCTCTGCCCCTTGAGATTCTCTTCTTCCTCCCTAAAGCCCTTATCTTTTGGGTGGGAATAGGGTGCTGCTCCTGGTTTCTCCTGGCATCACCCCCTCCTTTTCATCTGTCACCTGCCACCTGGAGAGCTTGCCATTTCTGGAACATCATCTTGAAGATGTCAGTGTTCTCTGGCCAGGAGGCCAACCAAGCACCTGAGGGGTCTGAGACATTTGGGCCCATGAAACTGGAGGATGGGAGAGAGGGGGGACTTGAAAGAGCTGTCCAGGTGGGACTGAGTCTCTAAAAGAGCGCAGGCGCGGTGGCTCACGCCTGTAATCCCAGCAGTTTGGGAGGCCGAGGCGGGCGGATCACGAGGTCAGGAGATCGAGACCATCCTGGCTAACACGGTGAAACTCTGTCCCTACTAAAAATACACACACACACACAAATTAGCCAAGTGTTGTGGCAGGCGCCTGTAGTCCCAGTTACTCAGGAGACTGAGGCAGGAGAATGGTGTGAACCCGGGAGGCGGAGTTTGCAGTGAGCCGAGATCGTGCCACTGCACTCCAGCCTGGGGGATAGAGCGAGACTCTGTTTCAAAAAAAAAGAAACAGAGCAGAGATACCTTGGGAAAAGCCAAGATGACACTGAGGTGGTGTATTAGTCCATTTTCACACTGTTGATAAAGACATACCCGAGACTGAGTAAATTATAAAGAAAAAGAGGTTTAATGGACTCACAGTTACACATGGCTGGGGAGGCCTCACAATCATGTTGGAAGGCAAAAGGCACGTCTTACATGGCAGCAGGCAAGAGACAGAATGAAAACAAAGCAAAAGGGGTTTCCCCTTATAGAGCCATCAGATCTTGTGAGATTTATTCACTACCACGAGAATAGTATGGGGGAAACCACCCCTATGATTCAATTACCTCCCACCGGGTCCCTCCCACAATACGTGGGAATTACGGGAGCTACAATTCAAGGTGAGATTTGGGTGGAGACACGGCCAAACCATATCAGATGGGAAATGCTTTGGTGAAAGTAAACAAAGCTGTGTTCCTAGAGCACCACTGGTGACTTCAGATAAAGATGTTATGTATTTGAGGTGGGGGAATTCACAATTCACAAGGAATATGGCAGGGAAGAACAGAAGCCGATTCCCAATACAGATGAATCTTAATTTCAGCAAGCCCAAATATGTCATAAATGACAATTTCAGACTTAAAAAGAGACCTTAGAGATCATCTGCTCTGGAAATTCCCAAATGTGGCAGTAGGTCTGCTTTCAGACATACTAAAGCCGAATGTCAGGGTTGGAGATGATTCAGATGCCCCTTATCAGTCATTCCAGATATCATCAAAACCCCCCTTTCCATTTTCTTCTGAAGAAACGGAGAAGTGATTTGTTCAACATCATACAGCTATCTGATAGTAGCACAGAGAGAGCCAGGACTCAAAACCTAGATTGACAGAAATGATACTAATATGCTGTATGGAATGATTCACCATAGAAGTCCTTTAAATAGAAAATTTCCTGCAGGGCGTGGCAACTCGCACCTGGAATCCTAAACACTTTGGGAAGCTGAGGAGGGAGGATTGCCTGAGCCCAGGAGTTCGAGACTAGCCTGAGCAACATGGTGAAACCCCATCTCTACAAAAACAAAAACAAAGCCGGGCGCGGTGGCTCACACCTGTAATCCCAGCACTTTGGGAGGCTAAGGCAGGTGGATCACCTGAGGTCAGCAGTTCAAGACCAGCCTGGCCAATATGGTGAAACCCTGTCTCTACTAAAAATACAAAAAATTAGCTGGGTGTGTGTAGGGACCAGCCCCACAGGGTCGGTGGGTCTCTCCCTGTGTGCGGTGATGAGAGAGCATAGAAATAAAGACACAAGACAAGGAGATAAAAGAAAAGGCAGCTGGGCCCGGGCGACCACTACCACCAATGCGCAGAGACCGGTAGTGGCCCCGAATGTCTGGCTGCGCTGTTATTTATTGGATACAAGGCAGAAGGGGCAGGGTAAAGAATGTGAGTCATCTCCAATGATAGGTAAGGTCACGTGGGTCACGTGTCCACTGGACAGGGGGCCCTTCCCTGCCTGGCAGCTGAGGCAGAGAGAGAGAGAGAGGAGACAGAGAGAAAGACAGCTTACGCCATTATTTCTGCATATCAGAGACTTTTAGTACTTTCACTAATTTACTACCGCTATCTAGAAGGCAGAGCCAGGTGTACAGGATGGAACATGAAGGCGGACTAGGAGCGTGACCACTGAAGCACAGCATCACAGGGAGAGGGTTAGGCCTCCGGATAACCGCGGGCCAGCCTGACTAATGTCAGGCCCTCCACAAGAGGTGGAGGAGCAGAGTCTTCTCTAAACTCCCCCGGGGAAAAGGAGACTCACTTTCCCGGTCTGCTAAGTAGCGGGTGTTGTTCCTTGACACTTTTCGCTACTGCTAGACCACCTCCCAGGTTCAAGTAATTCTCCTGCCTCAGCCTCCTGAGTAACTGCAATTACAGTCGCATGCCACCACGCCTGGCTAATTTTTTATATTTTCGGTAGAGATGGGGTTTCACCATGTTGGCCAGGCTGGTCTCAAACTCCTGACTTCAAGTGATCTGCCCACCTGGGCCTCCCAAAGTGCTGGGATTACAGGCGTGAGCCACAGTGGCCGGCCTGCTTTGTGCATTTTAAAGCGCTTTAGTTAAATGCATAGACATTTAGAATTATTGTATCTACTTGGAAAACCAAATATCTTATTATGTAATGTCTTTTTTGTTTTGTTTTGTTTTTTTTGAGACAGAGTCTCGCTCTGTCACCCAGGCTGGAGTGCAGTGGCATGATCTCGGCTCACTGCAACCTCTGCCTCCCAGGTTCAAGTGATCCTCCTGCCTCAGCCTTCTAAGTAGCTGGGATTACACGCCTGGCTAATTTTTTTGTATTTTTAGTATTGATGGGGGTTACACCATGTTGGCCAGGCTGGTCTGGAACTCCTGACTTCGTGATCTGCCCACCTCGGCCTCCTAAAGTGCTGGGATTACAAGCTTAAGCCACCAAGCCCAGCCAATGTCCCTCTTTATCTCTGGTAATTTTCTTTGCTCTGAAGTTTAGTTAACTGTTACTACAGCCATTTTCAACTTTCTTTTGGTTAGTGTTCATGGTACGTGTTTCTCCATCTTTTTACTTTTAACCGACCTATGTCATACTTAAAAGTATTTGTTTTCTTTTTTAAGACACTGTATTTCTGGGTCTTTTAAAAAAATTATTTTGGCCGGGCGCGGTGGTTACGCCTGTAATCCCAGCATTTTGTGAGGCCGGGGTAGGCAGATCACGAGGTCAGGAGATCGAGACCATCCTGGTTAACACAGTGAAACCCCATCTCCACTAAAAATACAAAAAAAATTAGGAAGGCGTGGTGATGGGCGCCTGTAGTCCCAGCTACTCGGGAGGCTGAGGCAGGAGAATGGCGCGAACCGGGGAGGCGGAGGTTGCAGTGAGCCGAGATCGCACTACTGCACTCCAGCCTGGCAACAGAGTGAGACTCTGTCTCAAAAAAAAGAAAAAAATTATTTTGATATTTTTTTAAAATAGAGATGGGGTCTCTATTCACTGTGTTGCACAGGCTAGTGTCAAAATCATGGGCTCAAGTGATCCTCACGCCTCAGCCTCCCAAAGTGCTGGAGTTAAGAAGTGAGTCTTTTTTTTTTTTCTTTTTTTTTTTTTTTTGAGACAGGGTCTCACTCTGTTACCCAGGCTGCAGTGCAGTGGCACAGTTACAGCTCACTGCAGCCTTAACTTCTCAGGCTCAAGCAATCCTCCCAACTCAGCCTCCCAAGTAGCTGGAACTACAGATGTATACCACCAGCCTATCCGTCTTTTAATTGTAGTTAGGCCATTTAAATTTAATATAATTGCCCAGGTGTGGTGACTCACACCTGTAATCCCAGCACTTTGGGAGGCCAAGGCGGGAGGATTGCCTGAGGTCAGGAGTTCGAGACTGTCCTGGCCAACATGGTGAAACCCTGTCTCTACTAAAAATACAAAAATCAGCTGGGCTTGGTGCATATGCCTGTAATCCCAGCTACTCGGGAGGCTGAGGCAGGAGAATAGCTTGAACCTGGGAGGCAGAGGTTGTAGCAAGCTGAGATCGCGCCACTGCGCTCCAGCCTGGGCGACAAGAGTGAGACTCCATCTCAAAAAAATAAATAAATAAAAATAAAAAATTAATATAATTAGTATGTTTGCATTTATCTCTTTTTTTTTCTTTGTTTCTTTCTTTCTTTTTTTTTTTTTGAGACAGAGTCTCACTCTGTTGCCCAGGCTTCAGTGCAGTGGCACGGTCTCGGCCCACTGCAAGCTCCGCCTCCCGGGTTCATGCCATTCTCCTGCCTCAGCCTCCCAAGTGACTGGGACTACAGGTGCCCGCCACCACGCCCGGCTAATTTTTTTGTATTTTTAGTAGAGATGGGGTTTCACCATGTTAGCCAGGACGGTCTCGATCTCGTGATCCACCTGCCTCGGCTTCCCAAAGTGCTGAGATTACAGGTGTGAGCCACCGCGCCCGGCAATATTTCTATTATTTATTATTTATTTTGTTTGTTCTGTTTGTAATTTCTCTGTCTCCATTTTCCAGCCTTGTATTGGTTTACTTGAATGTTATTTAGTATTCCATTTTAATTTATGTACAGATTTTTTTCACCCAGTAAATCTCTGTATCATTTTCTTTTCTTTTTCTTCATTTTTTGAGTCGGAGTCTCGCTCTGTCGCCCAGGCTGGAGTGCAGTGGTGTGATCTCGGCTCTCTGGAAGCTTCGCCTCCTGAGTTCACGCCATTCTCCTGCCTCAGCCTCCCGAGTAGCTGGAACTACAGGAGCCCGCCACCACGCCCGGCTATTTTTTTGTATTTTTAGTAGAGACGCGTTTTCACCGTGTTAGCCAGGATGGTCTTGATCTCCTGACCTCGTGATCCGCCCGCCTCGACCTCCCAAAGTGCTGGGATTACAGGCTTGAACCACCGCGCCCGGCTTTTTGTTTTGTTTTTTGTTTTTGAAACGGAGTCTTGCTCTGTCGCCCAGGCTGGAGTGCAGAGGCGCGATCTCGGCTCTCTGCAAACTTAGGCTCACTGCAACCTCCGCCTCCCGGGCTCAAGTGATTCTCCTGCCTCAGCCTGCCGATTAGCTGGGACTACAGGCGCCCACCACCATGCCCAGCGAATTTTTTTTTTTTTTTTTTTTTTGAGACAGAGTCTCGCTCCTGTCGCCCAGGCTGGAGTGCAGTGGCGCGATCTTGGCTCACTGCAAGCTCCGCCTGCCGCGTTCACGCCATTCTCCTGCCTCAGCCTCCCAAGTAGCTGGGACTACAGGCGCCCGCCACCACGCCCGGCTAATTTTTTTTTTTTTTTTTTTTTTTGTATTTTTAGTAGAGACGGGGTTTCACCGTGTTAGCCAGGATGGTCTCGATCTCCTGACCTCGTGATCTGCCCGCCTCCGCCTCCCAAAGTGCTGGGATTACAGCCGTGAGCCACCGCGCCAGGCCTAATTTTTGTATTTTTAGTAGAGACAGGGTTTCACCCTGTTGGCCAGGATGATCTCGATCTCTTGACCTCGTGATCTGCCCAC
Source organism: Homo sapiens (assembly GCF_000001405.40). Lineage (NCBI taxonomy): Eukaryota > Metazoa > Chordata > Mammalia > Primates > Hominidae > Homo > Homo sapiens. Next base: position 6,738,731 of record NC_000012.12, on the reverse strand, counting down.
CTTGGCTTCCCAAAGTGTTTGGATTACAGGCATGAGCCACCGCGCCTGGCTTTCTTTTCTTTAGTGGTCGCTCTAGGACAGGCATTGGTGACATCTCGCCTCACTGCAACCTCTGCCACCTGGGTTCAGGCAATTCTCCTGCCTTGGCCTCCTGAAAAGCTGGGATTACAGGCGCCTGCCACCTCGCCTGGCTAATTTTTGTAGTTTTGGTGGAGGCGGACTTTCACCATTTTGGCCAATCTGTTCTTGAACTCCTGACCTCGTGATCCACCCGCCTCGGCCTCCCAAAGTGCTGGGATTATAGGCAAGAGTCACTACACTGGGCCGGCAAACTTTTTCTGTAAAGGGCCAGATACAATAAATATGATGAGCTTTGTCAGCCATACAATGTGTGTTGCAACACCCAAATCTGATGCTGTAGTGCAAAAGCAACCATACATGATATGCAATGAATGAGGTGTAACTACAGTCCAACAAAACTGTATTTACAAAAACAGGCAGTGGGCTGGATTTGGCCTGTGGAATATGGTTTACTAACCCTTACTATGGGGATTACAAAATACATACTTTTCACAATCAGAGTTTTTTTCTACCACTTCAAGTTAAATGTAGAAATTTTACCACAACATAGCTCCCTTTACTGTCTCATCTCGTAGTTCTCATATGTGTTACTATAAATGACAAACACCACATACTACAAATACTGAAACTCCACATACTAAACGCTAAAAATGCTTAGTTCTAGGTGAATTTATCTATTGATTTTTAATTTTTGAGACAGGGTTTCACTCCTGTTGCCCAGACTAGAATGCAATGGCACAATCTTGGCTCACTGCAACCTCTACCTCCCAGGCTCAAGCAATTCTCCTGCCTTAGCCTCCCAAGTAGCTGGGACTACAGGCACAGGCCACCATGCCCCACTAATTTTTTTTGTATTTTTTATAGCGGCGAAGTTTCACCATGTTGCCTAGGCTAGTCTAGAACTCCTAGGCTGAAGAGATCTGCCCATCTCAGCCTCCCAAAGTGCTGAGATTATAGGTGTGAGTCACCACACCTAGCCTTCTAGGTGAATTTATTTATTTCTTGAGACGGAGTTTCACTCTTCTTGCCCAGGCTGGAGTGCAATGGCGCGATCTCAGCTCACTGCAACCTCTACCTCCAGGTTCAAACAGTTCTCCTGCCTCAGCCTCCCAAGTAGCTGGGATTACAGGCATGCACCACCACGCCCGGCTAATTTTTGTGTTTTTAGTAGAGACAGGGTTTCACCATGTTGGCCAGGCTGGTCTCCAACTCCTGACCTCAAGTGTTCCGCCCGCCTTAGCCTCCCAAAGTGCTGGGATTACAGGCGTGAGCCGCGGTGCATGGCTCTAGGTGAATTTATAATTGTTTTAAAATTATATTTAGAGAATTCCCTCTTGAGACAAACATCAAATTTATGATTTTCTTTCAGCTGTCATAAACATTTTAAAGAACTTAAGAGGAGAAAAATAATCTATTATATTTACCATTGCTGCTGCTCTTCATCCTTAATGTTCCGTGTTTCCTTTGGTGTCATTTCTCTTCTGCCTAAAGAACTTCCTTTAGGATTTTACAGCGGGTTTTCCGGTGACAAATTCTTATTTTCCTTCACCTGAGAATATCTTTATTTCACATTCATTCCTGAGCAATATTTTCACTGGATATAGGATTTTGAGTTAATTCCCTTAAGCCCCTTAAAAGTATCATTCTAGTTCCACCTGACTTTCATAGTTTCTGACGAAAAATGTGCAGTCATTTGAGTCATTTTTATCCTGTGTGAAAAGCACTGTTTTTCTGAATGCTTGTGGGACTTTTTTCTTTGTCTTTAACCTTCGGCAATTTTATTCTGATGTGTCCAGATATGGATTTTTTTTTTTTTTTTTGAGACAGAGTCTAGCTCTATCACTCAGGCTGGAGTGCAGTTGGCTTGATCTCGGTTCACTGCAACTTCCACCTCCCAGGTTCAAGTGATTCTCCTGCCTCAGTCTTCCAAGTAGCTCGGACTACAGGCATGTGCCACCACGCTGGCTATGGACATGGATTTGAGTATATCTTGTTTGCTATCCACCAAACTTTTTGAATCTGTCTTTGTCTTTTGCCAGGTTTGGGAAGTTTTTGTTTTTGTTTTTGTTTTTGAGACAGAGTCTCGCTGTTGTCACCCAGGCTGGGGGAGTGCAATGGCACAATCTCAGCTCACTGTAACCTCCACCTCCCAGGTTGAAGCGATTCTCCTGCCTCAGCCTCCCAAGTAGCTGAGATTACAGGTGCCTGCCACCACGCCTGGCTAATTTTTGTATTTTTAGTAAAGGTGGGGTTTCACCATGTTGGCCAGGCTAGTCTCGAACTCCTGACCTCAGGTGAATGGTCCAGCTCAGCTTCCCAAAGTGCTGGAATTACAGGCGTGAGCCACCACATCCGGCCTAGTTATTGCTATTTTCTGTTTGGTTCTTTATATCTTCCATTTCTTTGCTAAGACTTTCTTTACATTTGTTTCAAAAGCATTCTCCCTTTCTTCTTCCTGCATGGTTAGACTGCTTGCAGCATTTGCTTTAAATTCCAACACTTCTGCCTCCTTGGGGTTGGCTGTCTTTTCCCTGGAGAGTTATTTGTATGCTGAGTCACCTTAAATCATACTCTGGATATTTTGAATATTATGGTTTGAGGCTCTGGGTCTTGTTAAAATCTTAAGGAGCATGTTGAACATGTTGAATGGTAATTTGTTTTAGCAGGTAATCAGGTTCAGGCAGCAAGTTTTGACCTGCCTTTTTGGCACTGTGGTTTCAATGTCGGTTTTATTTTAAAAGTGTTTGCAGTGCTATTTGGATCAGGCCGGCTCGGGTGCCACCCAGTGGCCAGTCAGACCTGGACAGTGATCCATTCTGTAATTCAGTTCACAAAGCCTTAGGTAGGCTGTTCAGGGACAGATCTACGCTTGCACAGCTCAGAGCTTAGCCCAGGAGTTCATAAACTTTTACGGGATTGTTCTCTTGATTTTCCTCCCGTGTCTCTCTGACATTTTTTGGGCCCCTGGGGCTTCCCTCTCCATTCCCATATGATCGTGCCACTGTACTCCAGCCTGGGTGACAGAGCAAGACATGGTCTCAAAAGCAAAATAAAACAAAAAACAAGATGTATTTGCCAATTGACTGATAAATGAACAGTAAGTATAGGATTGTCTATCTTGCCCCATTCCCCAAATTATGCATTTCCTATTGAGGGACAGGCAGCGGGTCACAGAATGAAGCCTTTCTGCCTGCAGGCCTTTATCCCACTATTCTTCCCATCCAAGATGCTCGCCCTCTCTTTCATCAGGCTAATTCCTACTTGGGCTTCTAGTTTCAGTTTAAAGGTCATGTCCTTGGAGGCTTTTCTGACCCCAAGCAAGATGTAGATCCCAGTTAAATGCTTTCGTGTCACCCAATACTTCTTAAAGTACTTATCACACTTGTAATATATAACCATGTACTTAAGAACCTCAAAGGACAAGTTTCTCTTGCTCTCTTGCCCTGTACTCAAAAGTTTCACTTTTCCCTTCTCTCTCAGACGGTGACCTTGGGCCCCCTTACATGTCTTCCAAGGCCCTGCAGTAGCCTTTTCAGAGCCCTTGCAGAGCTGAGTCAATGAGGGTGATGAGGGCACATTTCCAGTTCACACCCCGGAGGTTCTAATTCAATAGAAAAGGGTGGAAGTGGGGTCCAGGAATGCACATTTTCAGAAGCTCCCCTGATGATTTTGATGCTGGTGGCCCAGAAAAACTGCCTGTGATAGGCAGCTTCTAACATGGTTTCCAATGATTCCTGCTTGCTGACAGCCACACCCTGTGTAACCTTCACCCCTTGAGTATAGACTGGACCTGGTAACTGGTAAAAGTGAGGTAATGTCACTTCCATGATTAAGTAACAAAAGACTGTGACTTCATCTTGCTGGTGTTGTCTTTCTGGCTCTTGCTGTGATGGAGAAGGCTACCTCGGTGGCCTCTGGCCAACAGTCAATCAGGAAACGAGGTCCCCGGTCCAACCATCTGTGAAGTAGTGAATCCTGCTGACAACCACCGAGCGAGCTGGGAAGCAAATCCTCCCCAGTTGAACCCTGAGAGGACTATGGCCCTAGCTAACACCTTGACTCCAGTCTTGTGAGAAACCTAAGCAGAAAACTAAGCTCAGCCGTGCCGATTCCTTACCCACAGAAACAGATCATATTTATATGTTGTTTTAAGGCATGGTTTTAGGGTAATCTATTACGTAGTAATAGATAACTGTTGTGACCAGCCCTAAAATCATCCAAGATCACTATCCAGTAAGGATCAGCACGTGAGTGTGCAAGTGGATGACACGATTCTTGGTTAGGAAGATTCTCCTGGTGCCCTGGGCCTGGTTACACATGGAATCCCTAAATCCTGAACCCAATTTCGCAGTCAAAAACTGATCCTCACCAGCACCCAAATAATCTACTGTCCTTTCCCCATGCCTTCACAGCCAAGACCCTTCTTTCTGTGAATCAAAGGCAAATGGCATTTGTCTTTGTCCCATAACCTTGGGATGTGAATGGTTTCCCCTCCCTCTTTGGGTGAAGTCAGGCAGTCCCAGCCTAGGCCACATTGGACTTGAGAGCCATTCTTAAAGGCTAGAATAAGGGAGGCCTGGGAAGTTATGGCACCATTAGCCGGGACCAGCTTACACGTAAAGGTGATACTAAGTTTCAAAGGAAAATTGGAGCACGGGCAGGGGTGGCAGGACAGGCTCAAAGCACCAGGAGTTAGCAGCTTTTACACACTGGCGGGCGTGGGAAGAAGGGGTTTATTTCAGAGGCAGAGACTGAGAATCAAGTCTTGCTTGTCTAGGGAAAAGCTGAGAAGCTAAGAGTTTCAACTCCTGAAATGGGGCTCCCTAGACTGGTTTCGTTAAGTGACTGCCCCGCTCAAGACAACAAGCTTACCTAGCCAATTTGTAATCAAAAACCTAGGATCTGGCCGGACGTCGTGGCTCACGCCTGTAATCTCAGCACTTTGGGAGGCTCAGGCAAGCGGATCACCTGAGATCGGGAGTTCGAGACCAGCCTGACCAACACGGAGAAACCCTGTCTCTACTAAAAATACAAAAATTAGCTGGGCATGGTGGCACATGCCTGTAATCCCCGCTACTCGGGAGGCTGAGGCAGGAGAATCACTTCAACCCAGGAGACGGAGGTTACAGTGAACCGAGATTGTGCCATTGCACTCCAGCCTGGGCAACAAGTGCGAAACTTCGTCTCAAAAACAAAAAACAAAAAACAAAAAACAAAAAACAATGCAACAATGCAGGATCCCACTCCCACCTTTTTTTTTTTTTTTTTTTTTTTGAGATGGAGTTTCGCTGTGTCGCCAGGCTGGAGTGCAGTGTTGCCATCTTGGCTCACTGCAACCTCTGCCTCCTGGGTTCGAGCAATTCTCCTGCCTCAGCCTCCCGAGCAGCTGGGATTACAGGCAAGCACCACCACGCCCGGCTAATTTTTGTATTTTTAGTAGAGATGGGGTTTCACCATGTTGGCCAGAAAGGTCTTGATCTCTTGACCTCGTGATCTGCCCGCCTCGGCCTCCCAAAGTACTGGGATTACAGGCATGAGCCACCATGCCCAGCCCCTACTCCCACTTTCTAATTCCATGACTGATAGCTTTAGGACCAATGAAGAGTGGTCTATCCTAAATCTCCACCTAAAGAACATCACAAGCTCTGGGGAGCAGCTGTCAACCCCAGGACCCTCAGAAGGCAACCACTTCACATGCAAATGAAGGCTCAACTGTCCACTAGAGCTCTCCAAATCTAGGGAGTCCATGGCAGCACTCTAGGCCATGGATTCTGATCCTTCTAGCACACTCCCTGGAGAGCTCTAGTGGACAGAGGACAGAAGTCCAATGGCTTCTTCTTGCCACAGATCTGACAGTTCTGTGTGGTTCTGATGTGAAAATTCAAGTTCATTACCAACTCTTTCCCTTATAATTCTATGAGGTGGGAGGACATAGTCTGAACTCAAGCTCCTTGAGAGCAGAAACAGCGGCCATCATTTGTATGTCCAGTGCCTTTCAGTAAGTATCCACTACTTTTTTTTTTTTGAGACGGAGCTCATTCTGTCGCCCAGATTGGAGTGCAGTGGCACGATCTCGGCTCCCTGCAACCTCCGCCTCCCGGGTTCACACCATTCTCCTGCCTCAGTCTCCCAAGTAGCTGGGACTACAGGTGCTCGCCACCATGCCCGGCTATTTTTTTTGTATTTTTAGTAGAGATGGGGTTTCACTGTGTTAGCCAGGATGGTCTCAATCTCCTGACCTCATGATCCACCCGCCTTGACCTCCCAAAGTGCTGGGATTAGAGGCGTGAGCCACCGCGCCCGGCCTTTTTTTTTTTTTTGAGATGGAGTCTCACTCTGTCACTCAGGCTGGAGTGCATGATCTCGGCTCACTGCAACCTCCACCTTCCAGGTTCGAGCGATTCTCCTGCCTCAGCCTCCTTAGGGGATTATGGGCATGAGCCACCACACCCAGCTAATTTTTTTGCATTTTTAGTAGAGATGGGTTTCACCATGTTGGCCAGGTTGGTCTCACACTCCTGACCTCAAGTGATACGCCCGCCCTGGCCTCCCAACATGCTGGGATTACGGTCGTGAGCCACTGCACCCAGCCATATCCATTACTTCTGAATGGATGCTGAGCAACCTGTCCAAAGCCATACAGCTTGGGATCTAGGCCTCAGCCAGGGACTCAGCAAATAGTATCTGGGTCTCTTCATTTTCCAGCACTGTGCTTGAGTGAATTGGGAATGAGTCTTCTTCCCATCCACAAATATCAAACACAGAAGATACCCAGTTCAGGGTAGTTTGTAGATAGATTTCTCATAGATTTATTTCTGCGTCATATTATATATAGATATATGCATATATACCTTTTTTTTTTTAATACAATCTATATACCCTTCCCTTCCCCACCAAACTCACAAAAGGAGATTAAACCCTTCCAGGATTGCCATCAAGCTTCCCGAGATGGCCAGGGCCAAGAAAGAATCATCTCTCAACATGTTAAGAAACGGCTGCCATTCTTAGGCTCTGGGGTTGAAGCAGCAGCATTCCCAGGACCCAAGGGCCAGAGAGAGGAAAAGAAATGACTGTAGTGTGACAGGATTCTAGGATGAACATGTCCAGTGACTCCTGGCATGGCAGACTGGCTCCCAGAATTCTCAGGGTGTGAGTAAAGGTGGGGGCCCTATGGCTCTTCAGAGGCTGCTCAATAGGTCAGGGGTAGGGTATAGGAACTGGGGATCAGGCATGCAGGGATGGGGTGGCAGAAAAAACGCCTGTGGGTTATGCTCCAGACAGAGCGACCCCCATCAGGGCTACCCACCTACTCAATGACATGTAATGAACAGGGACAGATGCTGAGCTCTTAAGGAAACAAGGGAGAGAGCATGGCAGCGGGGAGCAATGGAACACATGAAGTCACAAAAAACAGAAAGTACCAACAAAAACATGACCTACATTTGCCTCCTCCCTAGAGAAGGTGTGATCTATGTTTGGGGTTAGGGGAGGTGAAGGGTCATGAACCTAGGATTATCAGCTGGCCAGGGGCACAGAAGGCTCTCTGAGGACTCCTAAGAGGCAGGCAGGCAGCTGGGACCCCACATCCCCAGGGAGGAAACGACAGTCCTTTCAATTCGACTTGGACCAAATCTTGGCGCTCCCTCGGAGCCTGGCAAGGAGAAGAGAGAGAAAGAGAGAGAGAGAGAGAATGCAGGGAATCCCCTAACCCCTGGAGGCTCCCCCACTCCCTACTCCCATGCAAATAACTGAAGGAAATGAGGACAGTGAGGTCCCTGGGGTAAAAGCAGGGCACCCTGCAAGTGAGCAGTTCCTGCTACCCTGGCTCACCCCTTGCCCTTTGAGGCTTTCTTGCTGGGCTGGCGCTGGTTGGTGCCAGGAGCTGGTTCCCTCAGCTCAGTCAGGTGTTGCTCAGGGTCCTGAGATGTGGCTGCGGCTGCTGCTGCCGTCGTAACTTTAATGGTTTTTTTAAGGTTGGCAACCTACCAGGATGAAAGGAATGGGGATAGCAAGGAAGGTTCCAGAACCTTCCAGCCCCTGCTCATCTGGTTGTCTGCTACAGCCACTGTCCAAATTCTCTCTGCAAAGGACAAGTCGCCCAGGCTGGAGGAGTTTGGGTCTGCCTGCTCCCCTGACTGCTCACCTCACTCTCAATCTGCTGCTTCAGGCCCAGCTGCTGCTCCTTGTGTTGGTTGGCACGGCTCACCTGCTCCTCAATGCCTGACAGCACGACCTCACAGCCCACACACCTGCAGGAGTCAGGGGAGAGAAGTGTCAGCAGACAAGGGCTGCGATCACAGACTCACAGAAAACTGACTCAAAAAGAACCCTAGAGGCAGGGCGCAGTAGCTCACCCCCATAATCCCTGCATTTTGGGAGGCCAAGATGGGCGAATTGCTTAAGCTCAGGAGTTCAAGACCAGCCTGAGCGATATGGCAAAAATCCGTCTCTACAAAAAATACAAAAACTAGCTGGATGTGGTGACACGAGCCTGTAGTCCCGTGCTACTCAAGAGACTGAGGTGGAGGGTGGCTTGAGCCCTGGAAGTTGGAGGCTGCAGTGAGTCAAGATGGTGCCACTGCACTCCAAACTGAGCAACAGAGCCAGAACACAGCTTCTGGCATTTTGAGTCTGAGTTGGGAACCCTCACCAGGGCACCTAGAAACCACCTGTGATAACACTCCTAGCAGTGGGATGGACACTCGGTGTGGTCAGAGAGGGATAAGGAAGCGCCTGGAGTGATGAGCAAGATGGGAGTAGGAACTGAAAACAAAATAGGGTAGGAGATGCCAAAGAGAAAAAGAGGTGACTTAATGAATACAGAAACCCTGAAGTTAGATGGGGACACAAAGAAAATAAAAAAGAGGAAAAGGGTCATGGCCTGTGGATAATGGTAGTTACAGATCAATCGACAGAGTCTAGCCTAAGACAGGCGACCGACCTTGCTGGTTAGGATCCCCTTAAGTATACCACTCCCTTTTCCTCCCCCAACTACTATATCAAGGACACTGACTTCTGCCGCCTCCCAGGGCCTCCCCTACTCCTGCATTCCCCAGAAGCCTTTGGAGGGATGAACTCATTTCCCTTCATCCTCTTGGGTTCCACCTCTGCGGACCAGCCCAGCTCCTGCCCTCTCTCACCCTGAAGCGCCTTTCTCTTTCTCAGGGTGAGAAGGGGACAGTGCCAGGATACGGTTCTCACCATTCCTGCAGGGTTCGGGCAATGGCACTGAGGTCCTGGCGCTGGATGTCCCGCCCGATGCTGTAGTCAACCTCGAGCCGCTGGTTGCGCTGGTCCAGGGAGCCACGAAGCACGTCAGCATACACAGCCTCAATCACAAGGTCTTCCAGCTGCCGCACATTACGCAGGGCAAGAGCCTCCAGCAACACTGCATATGGGATACACTGGGGCCGCGGAGATCAGGCCAGGATTTGTGACGCTCCGTAGTAGAGAAGGGCTTCCAAAAATCTTCCCTCCTTTTCCCCCTGCCCTAGCCCACCTGCCCTCCACTCCCATTCCTAAATCACTTCCTCTAAGAGGCTGGTTCTAAAGCAAAATAAATAAAAGTATTCCCACTTCAAAAACAGCATCATTAGAAGGACAATCTTAAATAAAATACAAAATGCTCCCCTAACACCCTCACCCCTGACACACCACAGAAGGAGAAAATGACATCTGCCTGGGTGTCACTCCTTTAGCCACAGCTCAGGGTATCACCCAGTCCTTAGTCAAGATCAGCTTGATACAGGGGAGTAAGCAGAAGTGGGAGAGGTGTGGAGTTACTGTTTATCATTTATACTCTGCCTACCTGCAACGGGCATTCCTTTGGAGGTATCTCTCAATAGAGAGCCTGGTTTAAATTAAATCCCAAGGACAACTGAGAGTCAAGTAACTATTGCGAGGTTGCAGACTGGGCAGGCTGGGGAGGTGGGTGGTGATATTAGACAAAAAACAGCCTAACAGGAATACAGAGATACTTCTAGAATATATATGTTTTATCCTAACAAAGAGAAGCCTAGCACTTCATCAGGAGAGCCCTGTTTCCAGCAGTGGGGAAGAAGGTATTGTTGAACGACACCTGAACAACATCCTAGTTGCTATTTTGACCAAAACCACAGAAGATGTTTATTTAGAACTTAAGTTGATTAAAAAATAAAAACAACACAGAAAACTAAGAATACTATCAGCCTAAACAGTTGCTAATGGAGTTTATATACAGACCTTGGAGGAGGGGAGGGCAGGAAGCAGCCACGGTCTAGACAAGGGCTGTCCTAGTGTGGACTCCCAAGGACATACAAAAGGATGCTCTAGACCGTAGGACTGGGGGACTGCCACTCACCTTTACTTTAGCAGCCAGGGTGACAACTGAGAGGTGTCGAAGCTTATTCTTCTGAGCCTCTGTTAGTGGAGGAAGATTCCGGGCTTCAGCTAGGGAAAAACGACAAAGTGTAAGGAATCCTGATTTCAGTTTTCTGGGAAGCCCTAGCCTCCTTCCCTTCCCTCCCACTTTCAATGCCAATTCAGGTCTTGACCCTGACCCTATGCATCCAGGGATCTAAGTGGGATATCCCAGGAATTTCTTCTGAGTCCCTCCAGAAATTGCCCTTCTCCCATCTCCATTACTCCAGAGCACCAACCCCTCTGGTTACCTAAGTAGTCAGCGTATGTCCCATAAGCAAACACTGTGAGCAGCCGGAAGGTAGAGGCAAAGTCACTCTCAGCCAGCTGCGAGAATGAGGAAAAAGGAGGTGACGGGAAGTCTTCCCTCTCCACCCTCCCAGCCTTACCCTGTTTGGAACTCCACTTTTTGGCCCCATCTTTCCCGGCCAATGTTAACTCTCCTGGCTCACCAAAAGGAGTTCTCTGCCTCTCTGATCACTCTTCACATAGGAAGGGCTCATTTCCACCTTCAGGCTTTTGTTTACACTATTCTCCCAAACCACAATGCCCTCTTGCTCCATACGTCATCCAATTCCTACCCTAAATTCAGAGTTGAAGACATTCAGTTTTCAGAGTCAAACAGACATACACACCAGACACTGCAAATTGTGTTGCCTGCCCTCAGAGTGTTTGATGTTTCTAAATTGGAATATGTCTAGACAGTCTCCAGTACTCCCCAATTCACCAGACTCCTGCCTCAGCCTCACTCATCTCTGACAGCTGCACAGCCTAGAAAGACATCTAAACTTATGGTCTCTGCTTCAGACACACCTGACCAGGACACTGTCTTGCATCACCCAGCCCAGTCCACCCAGATTTCCTCTCCTCCTATCATGGATCACTCATTCTGGCACTTTTTTTTTTTTTTTTTTTTGAGACAGAGTCTCCCTCTGTTACCCAGGCTGGAGTGCAGTGGCGCGATCTTGGCTCACTGCAACCTCCGCCTCCCAGGTTCAGGCAATTCTCCTGCCTCAGCCTCCCAAGCAGGTGGGATTACAGGCGTGCACCACCACACCAGGCTAATTTTTGTATTTTTAGTAGAAACAGGGTTTCGCCACATTGGCCAGGCTGGTCTCGAACTCCTGACCTCAGGTGATCCACCTGCCTTGGCCTCCCAAAGTGCTGGGATTATAGGCGTGAGCCACTGTGCTCAGCTTCATTCTGGCACTTAATCAATCAATCCTTGCAGAAGGTTGCTACCTAAGAATATCTTTCAACAAGATTATAGACCCAGTCTCAGGTATCCCACAGAGCTATGCAGTAATTGCCTCGCAAGAAATACTTGCTAAATAAATAAATAATTCAGATTTCTATCCATTCATCTTCTCTCTTCAACTGGAATGCAAGCTTCAGAAGGGTAAGCTCCATGCCTGGTGCTTTTCTTGTATTCCCAGACCATAAGAAGGGTAGTAAAGAGCCACTTAATAAGTGCTTCTTTTTCTTTTTCTTTGAGATGGTGTCTCACACTGTCACCCAGGCTGGAGTGCAGTGGCGCGACCTCGGCTCACTGCAACCTCCGCCTCCCTTTTTTTTTTTTTTAAATTATACTTTAAGTTCTGGGATACATGAGCTTTTGTTTGTTTTATTTATTTATTTATTTTTTTTTTTGAGACAGAGTCTCACTCTGTTGCCCAGGCTGGAATGCAGTGGTGCAATCTCGGCTCACTGCAACCTCCTGCCTCCCAGGTTCAAGTGATTCTCCTGCCTCAGCCTCCCGAGTAGCTGGGATTACAGGCGCCTGCCACCGCGCCCGGCTAATTTTTGTATTTTTAGCAGAGACGGGGTTTTGCCATCTTGGCCAGGCTGGTCTTGAACTCCTGACCTCATGATCCACCCACCTCGGCCTCCCAAAGTGCTGAGAACAGGCATGAGAGGCATGAGCCACCATGACTGGCCCTGTTTTTCGTTTTTGTCTTGTTTTTTGAGATGGAGTCTCGCTCTGTCGCCCAGACTGGAATGCAGTGGCTCGAACTCAACTCACTGCAACCTCAGCCTCACCCTTCCAAGCAGCTGGGACTACAGGCGCCCGCCACCACACCCGGCTAATTTTTTGTATTTTTAGTAGAGACGGGGTTTCACCATGTTAGCCAGGATGGTCTCCATCTCCTGACCTCATGATCCGCCCACCTCAGCCTCCCAAAGTGCTGGGATTACAGGCATGAGCCACCGTGCCCAGCCCTGTTTGTATTTTTAACAGAGACAGGATTCTGCCATATCGGTTTCACCTCCTGCCCTCAGGTGATCCACCTGCCTTGGCCTTCCAAAGTGCTGGGATTACAGGCATGAGCCACCGCACCCAGCCAAGTGCTTCTTTTTCATCACTTTGATTGATACTCTTTAGTTCCACTGCAGATGAAAGCAGGGAAAAGTCAGCCAGTTTTCTCCATATCACAGAGTGATCCAAAAGGTTAAACCACAGGCCCCAAATAACTTAGCTCAGTTTACCCACATACCACTGTCAGCATGTCAGGACTCAGGCTGCCTCCTCTGATTGTAAATTAACTCTGCCACTTTTGTGTGAACGGTTCTCTCTGCTGTGTTCCTAGCAGTTTGCCATGTGTCTCTGGGAAAAAGACACGTTCTCCCTTAGCTAACTTGAATAGATTAGCATATGCTGCACATAGGGAAGAAAAGGGCATGCTAATTTAACATGTTCACTCTCCACTTGTACCAGACTTCACACTTTCCCATAATCTCACTTTATTCCCACAACAGAGAGGGGCAGTATTGTCTCCATTTTTAAAAGAGAAAGTTGGCTAGGTGCGGTGGCTCAAGCCTGTAATCCCAGCACCTTGGGAGGTCAAGGCGGGCGGATCACGAGGTCAGGAGATCGAGATCATCCTGGCTAACACAGTGAAATCCCATCTCTACTAAAAATACAAAAAAGTTAGCCGGGCATGGTGGCGGGCGCCTGTAGTCCCAGCTACTGAGGAGGCTGAGGCAGGAGAATGGCGTGAACCCAGGAGGCAGAGCTTGCACTCAGCTGAGATCACGCCACTGCACTCCAGCCTGGGTGACAGAGCAAGACTCCGTCTCAAAAAAAAAAAAAAAAAGAGAAAGCTGAAGCCCTAAAACAAAAGTGACCTGATCAAGGTGACATGAGAATTAACAGCTACTACACTGGTGGAGACCGGCTGGAAATCAGGTTTCCTATTCTGAATAGGATGCTCTTTTGCTTAAAATGAAAAATAGTGGGCTTTACAGATCCCTTATCTCCAAAGGAGAGCTGGTTTGCTTGTTCACTGGTTACTTCTGCAAGTTGGCATTTAATTATCACTGTTTTCTTGTTCAACTGAATGGTTATTGGATCACAAAATGAGCCCTGCCCACCCATTCTCAAATTCAAACCTTTGCCCACGCTTCTCTGAGGGCTATTCAAGCCAGCAACCCACCTCTCTAACATTGGGCATGTCCAGCAGTTCTCCAAACACGTAGACACCAGGGGCCTCCAGCACCTGATGGATGAGTGTGGCCAGCGCTGCCCCCTTGGCCGACTTGGCTAGGAGCAGAAATTGCTCCTGGTTCTGCCCTGTCACCTTCACTTCCGCACTCATCACTGCACTGAGTGTGGGGGACTTGGGCTCAGGATGTCCAGAGCTGCAAGGAAAGAGGATGTGAAGCTAGAGGTCCCCGATGGCTGGTCGGATGGGAAGCACAAGGCTGAGGGACTGGATTGTAAAGGCACTAAGTCGGTTCTGCGGTGAGGAATCAGACATGGAGCGGTCTAAAATTCTGATCTAGGAATCCTAAAGTCAGCCACTTCGCAAGGCTGCCACACCCACCCCCTCCCCTGGGCCTAACCCCAAGCCCCATCACGTGCACCCCATTGAACCCCAAGACACAGGATGCAAAGGAGAAATGGGTGTCGCATGGTGTCCACCCTGACGACGCTCCCTCAGCTCTCCATTGCTGCCCCGCACGCGCCCACAACCACGTGACCTCACCCCCATTGAAGCTTACACGTGGCTCCGCCCCCTCCCTTAAAGACACCGCCCAGCGACCGTGGGCTCCCGCCGACTGCTTCGTCGTACCCTGGGTCAGGCTCTGCGGGCCGCTACCTGGAAGCTTCGACCTCCAGCGCACCGGGCGGGGCCGCCGCTCCGTCACCTCCGGCAGCTGTTCCAAGCCTTTCCTGCCACCTCCCTGAAGAGTCGCTCTGGCCACTAAACTCTATGGCGGGCTTCCGGCCGTACTTCCGCTCTAAGGACGCAAATTTCGGCAGGACATGCCCCACCCCCGCGTTCCGACCGCTGAAGCTCCAGTGAGGGACGCAGGCATTCTACTCTTCGATTGGTCGCTGGGGGAAGAATGACGGGCGCCTTTTTAAATGCTTTATTTCAATAAAACTTTATTAGTGGAAGAGCGCCAGCTATTAACTACAGACGTCTCTGGTGGGTCCCTGGTCCCGGCCCATTCTGTGTCTGTTCTAAGCCGCTGGAGAGCTGGAGATCAGGACTGCACTGGGTACCTGAGGCAAGAGAAAAGCTGTAACGGAAGGAGTGAAGAAGAGGGAAAAAAACGGGATGAGGAAACAAGGGGCAGAGAGGAAGCAAACAAAAATCAATAATAGAAGTTTAGCAGCAGAGATCACCTAGGTGGTTCAACCACTCACTTTTTTGAAGAGCAGGAGAAAAGAAGCGAGAAAAATAAAAGAGAGAATAAAGCTAACATGTATTGAGTGCTTACTATTGGTCAGACATCTTTTAAAATTTTATTCCGTTGAATCCTCACAAATATTCCCCTGTGACTTCAGGACACCCTCTACCATGATTACTACATATGTATTAATACTTGTAGAATGATGCTTTCAGTACATGGACTCTTAATTTCTTGGGGAGGAAAAAACCCTATGTGGTTCTCATTTTACAGAAAAGGAAATTGAGGCTCATAAAAATCCAAGGATTTATCTGGAGCTTTTCAAACTCAAAACCATCTTTCTACTTCAATATGATACTTTAATAAAAACAAAAACAACTAACATTTCTATAGTGTTTTATATTTCACAACAGGCTTGCAGAAGGTCAAGTGAGGGTAAAGTTAATGACATCTTGGCCTTTGTGTTAAGCCATGAGCATTACTTAATTCATCTGATACAACGATCTAGTAATTGTTATCTCCACTTTCCAGATGGAAAAACTGAACTCAGGAAAATTAAGAAACTTGTAAGTAATGGAAAGACAAGAAAGTGAAAAAGAGAAAGATAAAGAGAAATAGGACTCGTAGTCTGTTAGGGCTAAAGGAACTGCAGATGCAGTTTATGGTCCGCATATTTTGGTTTGTGATAGAAAATAAGCAGAAACACAGAAAGGAAAGAGAAAGGAGGAAGAGGAGAAGAAGAAATGAATGGAAAAGGTGAAACAAAAGTGAGTAGAAGGAATCAAAGGCATAATAAAATATTCAGAGTTTGAAGGAAGCAAGGAATTAATGAGTCCAAACATTATTATTATTATTTTGCATCCACCCCTCCCCGCCCCAAGCTTATCTTTTTTTTTTTTTTTTAATTTGAGACGGAGTCTCGCTCTGTCGCCCAGGCTGGAGTGCAGTGGCGCGATCTCGGCTCACTGCAAGCTTCGCCTCCCGGGTTCACGCCATTCTCTGGCCTCAGCCTCCCGAATAGCTGGGACTACAGGCGCCCGCCACTACGCCCGGCTAATTTTTGTATTTTTAGTAGAG
This sequence comes from Homo sapiens, assembly GCF_000001405.40. Taxonomy (NCBI): domain Eukaryota; kingdom Metazoa; phylum Chordata; class Mammalia; order Primates; family Hominidae; genus Homo; species Homo sapiens. Next base: position 6,722,537 of record NC_000012.12, on the reverse strand, counting down.
ACGGGGTTTCACCGTGTTAGCCAGGATGGTCTCGATCTCCTGACCTCGTGATCCGCCCGCCTCAGACTCCCAAAGTGCTGGGATTACAGGCGTAAACCACTGCGCCCGGCCAAGCTTATCATTTTTAGAGAGAAGGGAAAAACATGTAAGATGAAGGGATGAGAAAATAACCCGTATTTGTTCTATTTTGCGCCAAGTGCTTTATTTGTTCATTTTTTACTTTTTTTTTTTTTTTTTTTTTTTTTTTTTTAGAGGCATGGTTTCACTCTGTTGCCCAGGGTGGCGTGCAGTGATGCGATCACAGCTCACTGCAGCCTCGATTGTTCAAATTTTTATCTTATTTATTTTTTTTTGAGACAGTCTTGCTCTATGGCCCAGGCTGGAGTGCAGCGGCACAATCTCGGCTCATTGCAACCTCCACCTCCCAGGTTCAAGCGGTTCTCCTGCCTCAGCCTCCCAAGTAGCTGGGATTACAGGGACGCGCCACCATGCCCGGCTAATTTTTGTATTTTTAGTAGAGCTGTGGTTTCACCATGCTAGCCAGGATGGTCTCGATCTCCTGATCTCGTGATCCACCGGCCTCTGTCTCCCAAAGTGCTGGGATTACAGGCGCGAGCCGCCGCACCCGGCCGATTGTTCAAATTTTTATTCGATCTTTGCAACCCTATGAGGTGCATATTAGTGTCTCAATTCACCTGTGAGGACACTTAGGAATACAGAAGTTAAATAGTTTGTTGAAGGTTACCGGTCTGTGATGAAACTGAGATCTAAATGCAAGTTTGTCTGATTCCAACACTGTATTGAGAAAGATAAGCGAGCTGGGCGTGGTGGCTCAGGACTGTAATCCCAGCACTTTGGGAGGCTAAGGTAGGCGGATCGCTTGAGGCCAGGAGTTCGAGACCAGACTGGCCGACATGGTGAAACCTCATCTCTACTAAAAAAATAATAATTAGCAGAGCGTGGTGGCAGACCCCTGTAATCCGAGCTACTCAGGAGGCTAAGGCAGGAGAATTGCTTGAACCCTGAGGAAGGAGAAGGGGACAGAGGTTGCAGTGAGCCAAGATCCTGTCTCTGCACTTCCGCCTGGGCAACGGAGCAAGACTCCGTCTCAAAAAAAAAAAAAAAAAAAGAAAGAAAGAAAGAAATGAGCCAGACAGAGTGGCTCATGCTTGTAATCCCAGCACTTTGGGAGGTCAAGGCAGGTGGCTCACTTGAGGTCTTGAGATCAGGAGTTTGAGACCAGCCTGGCCAACATGATAAAATCTCATCTCTACCAAAAATACAAAAATTAGCCGGGTGTGGTGGCGCATGCCTGTAATCCCAGCTCCTCGGAAGGCTGAAACAGGAGTATCTCTTGAATCCAGGAGGCAGAGGTTGCAGTGAGCCAAGATTGTGCCATTGCACTCCAGCCTGGGTGACAGAGCAAGATTCTGTCTCAAAAATAAATAAATAAATAACATTTAAAAAAAGAAAGAGAAGCAGGAAAAAAGCAGAAAGGAAAGAGCGACAGAGAAGAGAGCACAAAGAAAGAGATAACCTGAGATTTACTCCTGATTTGGTCTTAAACCAGCTGTGACCTTAAAGCAAATCAAGCCATTTTGTGGTATCTCCTCTTCCATATCCGCCAAGAGAGATTAGATGTTAAGGCCAATTTGGGTTCTGATGTCTTATGGTTCTATAGGAGAAAAAGGAGTGAGAGGAGAATATGAGAGAACAATGAGTAAGGAGATAAAAGAGAGTTTGGAGAAAGACAGGAGAGGAAATGGACTAAAGAAGTAGGATTAGAGAGAGAAGAGGAGGAGCAGGAGGAAATGTGAGAAAGATAAGAAAAAGGAGTAGAAATGGGAAAAGAAGAGGAGAAAGTGGGAAGAAAAATAAAGGTGTCCCAAGAAGAGGATGGGAACTAAGTAAATATAAGCAAAGTCCTGGAGGTAACATTCATTCATTCGTTACTAAGTGGCAGTTATATACAAGGGTATGTGCCAGGTGCTGTTTTTCATGCTAATTATAGAAAAGATGCACTGAAATAAAGCTAGAAAAGCTGACTGACATCCAAAGAGTCAAACATGTAAGAAAATATTTATCATTGAGTCAAAAGATATTATTGTTCTAGCTCCTGGAGAGGTAGACAAAATCCCTGCCTTCTTGCTACTTGTATTCTTGTGGTAGAATTCAGGCCTTAAATAATTACAAGGTGATAAATATGAAGAAAAACAAAAACAAGGTAAGGGGGATGGGGAATGCAGGAGACATTTGTTATTTAAGGTCCTTAGGAGGGCCTCCCTGACAAGGTGATAAGGAGCCAGTTGGATGGATTTGTATGGGAATTTCACAAGCAGAGCAAACTACCAGTGCAAAGGCCCCGTGATGGGGACATACTAGATGTGTCTGAAGAGCACCAAGGAGGCCTTGTGGCTGGACCTGATTGAGAAAGGGGAGAGGAGGCAAGGTAGAGCGAGAGCAGGGTGTCCAGATCATGTCTTATGGGCGACTGTAGGGACTTTGGCTCTTGCTTAGAGTGAGATGGACGGCCAGTGGAGGATTTGAGCAGAGGAGTGACACCATCTGACCCACACGTTTAACATATTAAAATGGCTACACGGGCAGAACCAATTAGACCAATTAGAAGGCCACAGCAATGATGCAGGCAAGAGACGGTGATAACTTAGACCATGATATCAGTGGCGGATGCAGAGAGAAATAGCTGGATTATGTATGTATGTATGTATGTACGTATATTTATTTATTTTTGAGATGGAGTCTCGTTCTGTCTCCCAAGCTGGAGCGCAGTGGTGCCATCTCAGCTCACTGCAACCTCTGCTTCACGGGTTCAAGTGATTCTCCTGCCTCAGCCTCCCAAATAGCTGAGACTACAGGTGTGTGCCACCACATCTGGCTAATTTTCGTATTTTTAGTAGAGACGGGGTTTCACTATGTTGCCCAGGCTGTTCTCAAACTCTTGACCTCAGGTGATCCACCTGCCTCAGCCTCCCAAAGTGCTGGATTACAGGCATGAGCCACAGTACCTGACCTGGTTTCTGTACTTAACTTAAAGTGAACAGAATTTGCAAATTGATTAGATGTGAGGTATGAGAAGAAAAGAAAGTCAAGAATGACATCATAAGACAGGCACAGTGGCTCACGCAAATAATCCCAGCACTTTGGGAGGCCGAGGAGGGTGGCTCTTTTGAACTCAGGAGTTGAAGACCAGCCTGGGCAACATAGCAAGATCCTGTCTCTATTTTAAAATAAGGGGAAATTTTTTGTTTTTTGCTTTTTTTTTTTTTTTTTTTTTTTGAGACAGTCGTGCTCTGTCGCCCAGGCTGGAGTGCAGTGGCATCCTCTAGGCTCGCTGCAACCTCCGCCTCCTGGGTTCAAGTGATTCTGCTGCTTCAGCCTCCCGAGTAGCTCAGACTACAGGCGTCCGCCACCATGCCTGGCTAACTTTTTGTATTTATTTTTTTGAGACGGAGTCTCGCTCTGTCGCCCAGGCTGGAGTGCAGTGGCGCGATCTTGGCTCACTGCAAGCTCCGTCTCCTGGGTTCACACCATTCTTCTGCCTCAGCCTCCAGAGTAGCTGAGACTACAGTTGCCCGCCACCATGCCTGGCTAATTTTTTTTGTATTTTTAGTAGAGACGTGGTTTTACCATATTGGCCAGGCTGGTCTCGAACTCCTGACCCTGTGATCCACCCACCTCGGCCTCCCAAAGTGCTGGGATTACAGGCGTGAGCCACCAAGCCTGGCTGGAAATTTTTTTTTTTTTTTTTTTTTGAGACGGAGTCTCACTCTGTTGCCCGGGCTGGAGTGCAGTGGCACGATCTCGGCTCACTGCAACCTCCGCCTCCCAGGTTGAAGCAATCCTCCTGCCTCAGCCCCCCCAGTAGCTGGGATTACAGGCACCCACCATCACCCCCAGCTAATTTTTGTATTTTTAGTAGAGACGGGGTTTTGCTGTGTTGGTCAGGCTAGTCTCAAACTCCTGACCTCAGGTGATCCACCCACCTCGGCCTCCCAAAGTGCTGGGATTATAGGTGTGAGCCACCATGCCTGGCCAGAAATTTTTTTTTTTTTTTTTGAGATGGAGTTTCACCCTTATTGGCCAGGCTGGAGTAAAAGGGCACGATCTCGGCTCACTGCAACCTCTGCCTCCCAGGTTCAAGTGAGTCTCCTGCCTCAGCCTCCCTAGCTGGGATTACAGGCATGTACCACCATGCCTGGCTAATTTTGTATTTTTAGTAGAGACAGGGTTTCAACATGTTGGTCAGGCTGGTCTGGAACTCCTGACAGGTGATCCACCTGCCTCTGCCTTCCAAAGTGCTGGGATTAGAGGCGTGAACCACTGAGGCCTGCCAAAACATTTTTTATTTTAAAAAAATGACATCATCAAGGCAAGTAGCACCAAACTTTCAAAGTACAGATCATATTAATTTTATACACACTATTGCAGAAAATAGGAAGAGAGAGCACCCCTTAACTTATTCTATGGGGCCAGAATCACCTTGATAACAAAATCAGCAAAGGGCAATAATGTAAAGGGAAATTTTAGTCCCATCTAATCAGGAGGCTGAGGTGGGAGGACCACTCAAGCTAGCAATTCAAGATCAGCCTGGGCAACACAGCAAGACCCTGTCTCAAAAAAAAAAAAAAAAAAAAAAAAAAAGGAAAGAAAAAGAATGAAAGGAAAATTGCCCAGCACAGTGGCTCACACTTGTAATCCCAGCACTTTGGGAGGCCAAGGCAGGGGGATCACCCATCAGGAGTTCGAGACCAGCCTGACCAGCATGTTGAAACTCCATCTCTACTAAAAATATAAAATTAGCCAGGCATGGTGGTGCATGATCACTCCTGATCACGAGGTCAAGAGTTTGAGACCAGCCTAACCAATATTATGAAACCCCCCTATCTCCACTAAAAACGTAAAAATGGCTGGGCGTGGTGGCTCACACCTATAATCCCAACACTTTGGGAGGCCAAGACGGGTGGATCACCTGAGGTCAGGGGTTCCAGACCAGGCTGGCCAACATGGCAAAACCCTGTCTCTACTAAAAATACAAAAACTTAGCCTGGCATGGTGGCACACACCTGTAATCCAGCTACTTGGGAGACTGAGGAAGAATTCCTTGAACCCAGAAAGACAAGGCTGCAGTGAACTGAGATCACACCATTGCAATCCAGCCTAGGCAACAAGAGCAAAACTCCGTCTCAAAGAAAAAAAAAAAAATTAGCCAGGTGTGGTGGTGTGTCCAGAATTGGTGGGTTCTTGGTCTCACTGACTTCAAGAGTAAAGTAGCAGACCCTCGTGGTGAGTGTTATAGCTCTTAAGGTGGTGTCTCTGGAGTCTGTCCCTTCTGATGTTCAGATGCCTTTGGAGTTTTTTCCTTCTGGTGGGTTCATGGTCTCGCTGGCTCAGGAACGAAGCTGCAGATCTTCCCGGAGAGTATTCCAGCTCATAAAAGCACCATGGACTCAAAAAGTGAGCAATAGCAAGATTTATCGCAAAAAGTAAAAAAACAAAGATTCCCCACCGTGTAAGGAGACTAGAGCAGGTTACTAATGCTGGCTGGGGCAGCCTGCTTTTATTCTCTTATCTGGCCCCACCCACATCCTGCTGATTGGTAGAGCCGAGTGGCCTGTTTTGTCAGGGCGCTGATTGGTGCGTTTACAATCCCTGAGCTAGATACAAAGGTTCTCCACGTCCCCATCAGATTAGTTAGATACAGAGTTTCCACACACAGGTTCTCCAAGGCCCCACCAGAGCAGCTAGATACAGAGTGTTGATTGGTGCATTCACAAACCTTGAGTTAAACACAGGGTGCTGATTGGTGTGTTTACAAACCTTGAGCTAGATAGAGTGCCGATTGGTGTATTTACAATCCCTGAGCTAGACATAAAAGTTCTTCACGTCCTCACCAGAGCAGCTAGATACAGAGTGTCGATTGGTGCATTCACAAACCTTGAGCTAAACACAGGGTGCTGATTGGTGTATTTACAATCCCTGAGCTAGATATAAAGACTCTCCACGTCCCCACCAGACTCAGGAGCCCAGCTGGCTTCACCTAGTGGATCCCGCACCGAGACTGCAGGTGGAGCTGCCTGCCAGTCCCGCGCTGTGCGCTCGCATTCCTCAGCCCTTGGGTGGTCGATGGGACTGGGCGCCGTGGACAGGGGGCGGCGCTCGTCGGGGAGGCTCGGGCTGCACAGGAGCCCATGGAGGGGGTGGGAGGCTCAGGCATGGCGGGCTGCAGGTCCCGAGCCCTGCCCCGCGGGAAGGCAGCTAAGGCCCGGCGAGAAATCGAGCGCAGCGCCGGTGGGCTAGCACTGCTGGGGGACTCAGTACACCCTCCGCAGCCACTGGCCCGGGTGCTAAGTCCCCCATTGCCCGGGGCTGGCAGGGCTGGCCGGCTCCTCCGAGTGCAGGGCGCACCAAGCCCACACCCACCCGGAACTCCAGCTGGCCCGCAAGCGCCCCACGCAGCCCCGGTTCCCGCTCATGCCTCTCCCTCCACACCTCCCTGCAAGCTGAGGGAGTGGGCTCCAGCCTTGGCCAGCCCAGAAAGGGGCTCCCACAGTGCAGTGGGGGGGCTGAAGGGCTCCTCAAATGCCACCAAAGTGGGAGCCCAGGCAGGGGAGGTGCCGAGATCAAGCGAAGGCTCTGAGGACTGCCAGCACGCTGTCCCCTCTCAGTGGCGGGTGCCTGTAATCCTAGCTACTGGAGAGGCTGAGGCAGGAGAATCACTTGAACCTGGGAGGCCGAGGTTGCAGTGAGCCGAGATCGTGCCACTACAATCCAGCTTAGGCAAAAAGAGCGAGACTCCATCTCAAAAAACAAACAAACGGCCGGGCGCGGTGGCTCACGCCTGTAATCCCAGCACTTTGGGAGGCCGAGGTGAGTGGATCACAAGGTCAGGAGATCAAGACCACCCTGGCTAACACGGTGAAACCCCGGCTCTACTAGAAATACAAAAAATTAGCCGGGCGTGGTGGTGGGTGCCTGTAGTCCCAGCTACTTGGGAGGCTGTGGCAGGAGCGTGGCATGAACCCGGGAGGCAGAGCTTGCAGTCAGCTGAGATCATGCCACTGCACTCCAGCCTGGGCGTGAGACTCCGTCTCCAAAAAAAAAAAAAAACCAAAAAAAATAAAACAAAAAAACAGGAACAGACGGGGCGCTGTGGCTCCTGCCTGTAATCCCAGCACTGGGAGGACGAGGTGGGCGGATCACTTGAGGTCAGGAGTTCAAGACCAGCCTGGCCAACAGTGAAACCCTGTCTCTAAAAAAAATACAAATAAATTAGCTTGAACCTGGGAGGCGGAGATTGCAGTGAGCCAAGACGGCGCCACTGCACTCCACCCTGGGCGACAGAGTAAGACCCTGTTTCAAACATAAACAAAAAAAGAACACAAAAATTTTCTGACTAGGAGGAGGATAGAGAGTGTTGTGGGTATTTTTGGTGGTGTTGTTTTTGTTTTTTGAGACAGGGTCTCACTCTATCGTCTAGGCTGAAGTGTGGAGGCACGATCTCGGCTCACTGCAGCCTCAACCTGCCAGGCTCAGGTGATCCTCTCACCTCCGGTCAGCCTCCCGAGTAGCTGGGACTACAGGTGTATGCCACCACTTCCAGCTGTTTTTTGTATTTTTTGTAGAGTTGAAGTCTCCCAATTTTGCCTAGGCTGGTCTCAAACTCCTGACCTCATGCAATCCTCCTGCCTTTGTGGCTGACTGCAACAAATACTACTTGAGACCATCATTACAACAGTTACTACTGTTACTACTTGAGACTGTCATTACGAGACTGAATGAAGGGACAAACAGAAATGAAAACTTAAGACAAAAGAAACTGTTTTAAAGGAAGGGTCCAGGGGAAGAAGAAGAGAGCTCCCTGCTTCTGTGAGCAAAGGCGGCCCCTCATTCTTTCCACCTGTAACATGCCTTGGCCTCCCAAAGTGCTGGGATTACAGGCGTGAGCCACTGCAACCAACCTGAGAATGATTTTTATTTTTATTTATTTTTATTTTTTTGAGACGGAGTCTCACTCAGTCGCCCAGACTGGAGTGCAGTGGCGTGTTCGTGGCTCACTGCAAGCGCCACCTCCTGGATTCATGCCATTCTCCTGTCTCAGCCTCCCAAGTAGCTGGGACTACAGGCTCCCGCCACCATACCCGGCTAATTTTTTGTATGTTTAGTGGAGACGGGGTTTCACCGTGTTAGGCTGGTCTCGAGCTCTTGACATCAAGTGATCCGCCCGCCTCCGCCTCCCAATGTGCTGGGATTACAGGCGTGAGCCACCACGCCCAGCCGAGAATGATTTTTAAATTCAAGATACAGGTCGGGTGCAGTGGCTCACGCCTGTATTCCTAGCACTTTGGGAGGCCGAGGCAGGCGGATCACTTGAGGTCAGGAGTTCCAGACCAGCCTGGCCAACATGGCAAAACTCTGTCTCTACTAAAAATGCAAAAAAGTTAGCTGGGCATGGTGGCGTGTGACTGTAATCCCAGCTACTCAGGAGGCTGAGACAGAAGAATCGCTTGAACCCGGGAGGCAGAGGTTGCAGTGAGCTGAGATTGCACCGCTGCACTCCAGCCTGAGCGACAGAGACGAGACTTCTTCTCAAAAAATAAATAAATTAATTAATTAAATTAAATAAATAAATTCAACATACAAAAAGCATAACCACAAAATAAGAGGTTGATAAATATACTCCTACGAAAATTAAGAACCTCTGATAATTAAAATATATAAAGGAAAAAGTGAAAAGAGGTTCACAAATGCCTTAAAAAAGGAACAGATATTCGCAACATATATAACTGGCAAAATATTAGTATCCAGCATATATAACAAACTACAAATCTGGCTGGGCGCAGTGGCTCACACCTGTAATCCCAGAACTTTGGGAGGCCGAGGTGGGCGGATCACTTGATGTCAAGAGCTCGAGACCAGCCTGGCTAACTTGGCGAAACCTCGTCTCTACTGAAAATACAAAATTAGCCAGGCATGGTGGTGCATGCCTATAGTCCCAGCTATTCAGGAGGCTGAGCCAGGAGAATCACCTGAACCCAGGAGGTGAAGGTTGCAGTGAGCCGAGATCATGCCATTGCACTCCAGCCTGGGCAACAGAGCAAGACTCCGTCCCCCTCAAAAAAAAACAAACTTCAAATTGGCCAGGCATGGTGGTCCACGCCTATAATCCCAGCACTTTGGGAGGCTGAGGCAGGAGATCCCCTGAGGTCAGGAGTTCGAGACCAGCCTGGCCAACATGGTGAAAACCCATCTCTACTAAAAACACAAAAATTAGCCAGGCATGGTGGTGGGCGCCTGTAATCCCAGCTACTCAGGAGGCTGAGGCAGGAGAATCACTTGAACCCGGGAGATGGAGGTTGCAGTGAGCCGAGATTGTGCCACTGCACTCCAGCCTGGGCGACAGAGCAAGACTCTGTCTCAAAAAAAAAAACAAAAAACAAAACAAAAAAAACCACTACAAATCAATAAGAAAAACACAAGCAACTCAAATGATCAGGCATTTCCTAGAAGAGGAAATTAAAAAGGCTAATAAGCATATAAAAAGATGCTCAACTGCATTAGTAATTAGAGAAATGCCAAAAAAATCCACACGGAAATACTATTGTATACCACTAGATTGGCAAAAATTAAGAAGTCTAAAAATACTAGCATTAGAGAGAATGTAGATCAATCAGTATTCAAATATTGATGAAAACTGGCCAGGCACAGTGGCTCACGCTTGTAATCCGAATACTTTGGGAGGCCGAGGCGGGCAGATCACCTGAGCTCAGGAGTTTGAGACCAGCCTGGCCAACATGGGGAAACCCTGTCTCTACTAAAAATACAAAAATTAGCCAGGCGTGGTGGCGTGCGCCTGTAATCCCAGCTACTCAGGAGGCTGAGGCAGGAGAATCGCTTGAACCAGGGAGGCAGAGATTTGGGTGAACTAAGATTGTGCCACTGCACTCCAGCCTAGGTGACAGAGCAAGACTCCACCTCAAAAATAAATAAATAAATAAATAAATAAAACTTTAAAAAGTTGGTGAAAATTGAAAACAATTTGGCATTCTTTCTCAAAGCTTTCTTTTTTTTCTTTTTTCTTTTTTTTTAGACAGAGTCTTGCTCTGTCACCCAGGGTGGAGTGCAGTGTTGCAATCTCGGCTCACTGCAACCTCTGCCTCCAAGTTCAAGCAATTCTCCTGCCTCAGCCTCCTGATTAGCTGGGATTACAGGCATGTGCCACCATGCCTGGCTAATTTTTTTGTATTTTTAGTAGAGTTGGGGTTTCATCATGTTGGCCAGGCTAATCTCGAATTCCTGACTGCAAGTAATCCACCCAACTCAGCCTCCAAAGTGCTGGGATTAGGGGCGTGAGCCACCGTGCCCAGCCAAAGCGCCCAGCCAAAGCTGATTTTTCTTTCTTTTCTTTTCTTTTTTTTTTTTTTGAGACAGGGTCTTGCTCTATCGCCCAGGCTGGAGTGCAGTGGCATGATCTTGGCTCACTGCAAACTCCGCCTCCCAGGTTCACGCCATTCTCCTGCCTCAGCCTCCTGAGTAGCTGGGACTACAGGCACCCCCCACCGCGCCCTGCTAATTTTTTGTATTTTTAGTAGAGACGGAGTTTCACCATGTTAGCCAGGATGGTCTCAATCTCCTGACCTCATGATCCACCCAACCTCAGCCTCCCAAAGTGCTGGGATTACAGGGGTGAGCCACGTGTCAGGCCAGCAACGTTTATAATAGCAAAAAAAAAAAAAAAAAAAAAAAACCAATTCATAAATACGTCAACAGAATAGACAAAGTATGATATATTTGGTATATTCACTCAGTAGCACTTTACCTTCCAGTGAAAACATATGAACTGCAGTCACATGGAACAATATGGCTAAATCCTGGAAATGTAATAGTGAGTGAAAAAGCAAGTAAACAGTGCTAGAAGGCTACATATAATATTTTATTTATTTATTGAGACAAGGTCTGGCTCTGTGGCCCAGGCTGGAGTGCAGTGGTGCAATCTCGACTCACTGCAGCCTCAACCTTGCACGCTCAAGTGGTCCTCCCACCTCAGCCTCCAAATAGCTAGGATTACAGGTGCGTGCCACCATGCCTGGCTAATTTTTGTATTTTTTGTAGAGATGGGGTTTTGCCACATTGCCCAAGCTGGTCTCCAACTCCTGGACTCAGGCAATCCACCCATCTCATCCTCCCAAAGGGCTGGGATTACAGGTGTGAGGCACTGCGCCTGGCCATATTTATTTATGTTTTAAGACAGTCTCGCTCTGTCACCCAGGTTGAAGAGCAATGGTGCAATCATAGCTCACTGCAGCCTCAACTTCTGGGGCTGAAGAGATCCCCCCATCTCAACCTCACAAGCAGATGGGACCACAGGCATGTGCCACCACATGCGGCTATTTTTTTTTTTTTTTTTGGCAGAGACAGAGTCTCCTATGTTGCCCAGGCTGGTCCATCTTGAACTCCTGGGCTCAAATAATCCTTCTGCCTCAGCCTCCCAAAGTCCTGGGATTACAGGTATAAGATGCCATGCCCAGCCAGTTATTTTTTAGAGATAGAGTCTAGTTCTGTCGCCTATCTGGGAATGCAGTGTTGAAATCATAGTTCACTGCTGCCTAGAACTCCTAGGCTCATGGGAATCCTCCTGCCTCAGCCTCCTGACCTGAGTAGCTGGGACTATGGGCGTGTGCCACCAGCCCAGCTAATTTTTGATATTATTATAGAGGCTATGTTGCCCAGGCTAATTTTTTTTAATTTTTTATTTATTTATTTATTTTCGAGATGGAGTCTTGCTCTGTCACCCAGGCTGGAGTGCAGTGGCACGATCTTGGCTCACTGCAACCTCCGCCTCCCAGGTTCAAACAATTATCCTGCCTCAGCCTCCTGAGTAGCTGGGATTATAGGTGCCTACCACCACACCCGGATAATTTTTGTATTTTTAGTAGAGATGGGGTTTCACCATGTTAGGCAGGCTGGTCTAGAACTCCTGACCTTGTGATCCGCCTGCCTCGGCCTCCTAAAGTGCTGGGATTACAGGTATGAGCCACCACACCCATCCATTTTTATTCTTTTACTTATTTTTTATTTTTTTTTTTTTTTTGAGACGGAGTCTCGCTGTCACCCAGGCTGGAATGCAGTGGCACAATCTCGGCTCACTGCAACCTCTGCTTCCTGGGTTCAGGCGATTCTCCTGCCTAAGCCTCTTGAATAGCTGGGATTGCAAGCACGTGCCACTATGCCCAGCTAATATTTGTATTTTTAGTAGAGACGGGGTTTCACCATGTTGGCCAGGTTGGTTTCAAACTCCTGACCTCGTAATCCGCCCACCTTGGCCTCCCTAAGTGTTGGGATTACAGGCGTGAACCACCGTGCCCAGCCTAATTTTTATTTTTGGAGACAGTGTTTTGCTTTCTCCCAGCCTGGAGGGCAGTGGTGCAATCATAGCTTACTGCAGCCTCAAACTCCTGAGCTCAAGCAATTCTCCCACCTCTGCCTCCTGAGAAGCTGGGAATACAAAAAAAAAATTAAAATAAAAAAACACCAGAGTTTCACTCGTCACCCAGGCTGGAGTGCAATGGCACGATCTCGGCTCACTGCAACCTCCACCTCCCAGGTTCAAGCGATTCTCCTGCCTCAGCTTCCCAAATAGCTAGAATTACAGGCACCCACCACCATACCTGGCTAATTTTTGTATTGTTAGTAGAGACGGGTTTTCACCATACTGGCCAGGCTAAGTCTCGAACTTCTGACCTCAGGTGATCTACCCACCTTGGCCTCCCAAATTGCTGGGATTACAGGTGTGAGCCACCACACCTGGCCTAATTTTTTAAATTTTTCATAGAGATGACATTTTACTATGTTGCCCAAACTGGTCTGAAACTCCTGAAGTTAAGCAATCCTCCCACTTTGGCCTCCCAAAGTGCTGGGATTACAAGTGTGAGCCACTGTGCCTGCCCGCTCTATTTTTCTGATTTATGAAAAAATGGAATGCTTCATGAAGGTGCGTGTCCTCCTTGTGGAGGGGCCATGCTAATCTGTGTCATTCTGTGTCTGGAATTGGTGGGTTCTTGGTCTCACTGACTTCAAGAATGAAGCCGTGGACCCTGGCGGTGAGTGTTACAGCTCTTAAGGTGGTGCGTCTGGAGTCTGTGCCTCCCGATGTTCAGATGTGTTCAGAGTTTCTTCCTTCCCGTGGGTTCGTGGTCTCGTTGGCTCAGAAGTGAAGCTACAGACCTTCACGGTGAGTGTTACAGCTCTTAACGCAGTGCGTCTGGAGTTGTTCGTTCCTCACGGTGGGCTCATGGTCTGGCGGGGCTCAGGAGAGAAGCTGCAGATCTTCGCAGTGCGTGTTACAGCTCATAAGAGCAACGCGCACCCAAAAACTGAGCAGCAGCAAGATTTATTGCAGAGTGAAAGAACAAAGCCTCCACAATGTCAAAGGAGACCAGAGCGTGTTGCCAATGCTGGCTCAGGCAGCCTGCTTTTATTCTCTTATCCAGCCCCACCCACATCCTGCTGATTGGTAGAGCCCAGTGGCCTGTTTTGACAGGGTGCTGATTGGTGCATTTACAATCCCTGAGCTAGATACAAAGGTTCTCCACGTCCCCATCAGATTAGTTAGATACAGAATATGGACACAAAGGTTCTCCAAGGCCCCACCAGAGCAGCTAGATACAGTGTCGATTGGTGCACTCACAAACCTTGAGCTAAACACAGGGTGCTGATTGGTGTGTTTACAATCCCTGAGCTACACATAAAGACTCTCCACGTCCCCACCAGACTCAGGAGCCCAGCTGGCTTCACCTAGAGGATCCCACGCTGGGGCTGCAGGTGGAGCTGCCTGCCAGTCCCAGTGCCCTGCGCCCACTCCTCAGCCCTTGAGTGGTCGATGGGACTGGGCGCCATGGAGCAGGGGGCGGCGCTCATTGGGGAGGCTCGGGCTGCACAGGAACCCACGGAGTGGGTGGGAGGCTCAGGCATGGCGGGCTGCAGGTCCCGAGCCCTGCCCCGCAGGAAGGCAGCTAAGGCTCCGTGAGAAATTGAGCGCACCGCCAGTGGGCCGGCACTGCTGGGGGACCCAGTACACCCTCCGCAGCTGCTGGCCCGGGTGCTAAGTCCCTCATTGCTCCGAGTGCGGGGCCCACCAAGCCCACGGCCACCCGGAACTCCAGCTGGCCCGCAAGCGCCCCACGCAGCCCCGGTTCCCGCTCGCTCATGCCTCTCCCTCCACACCTCCCTGCAAGCTGAGGGAGTGGGCTCCAGCCTTGGCCAGCCCAGAAAGGGGCTCCCACAGTGCAGTGGTGGGCTGAAGGGCTCCTCAAATGCCGCCAAAGTGGGAGCCCAGGCAGAGGAGGTGCCAAGAGCAAGCGAGGGCTCTGAGGACTGCCAGCACGCTGTCACCTCTCAATTCCAATGTTCTTATATGTGTTGCCAAAGTTAGCAGTAGTAGTTTTTTTTGTTTTGTTTTTGTTTTTTTTTTTTTTGAGACGGAGTCTTGCTCTCGCCCAGTCTGGAGTGTAGTCTTGTGATCTCAGCTCACTACAACCTCTACCTCCCTGATTCAAGCGATTCTCCTGCCTCAGCCTCCCAAGTAGAGGGACTACAGGTGACCGCCACCACGCCCAGCTAATTTTTTTTTTTTGTATTTTTAGTAGAGACGGGGTTTCCCCACGTTAGCTGGGCTGGTCTCGAACTCTTGACCTCAGGTGATTCACCCGCCTCAGCCTCCTAAAGTGCTGGACTTACAGGCGTGAGCCACCGTGCCTGTCCATTTTTACTTTCTTTTATTTTTATTTATTTATTTATTTGTTTATTTATTTGTGTGTGTGTGTGTAATGGAGTCTTGCTCTGTCACCCAGGCTGGAGTGCAGTGGTGCAATCTTGGGTCACTGCAACCTCCGCCTCCTGGGTTCAAGCAATTCTGCCTCAAACTCCCAAGTAGCTGGGATTACAGGCGCCTGCCACCACGCCCGGCTAATTTTTTGTATTTTTAGTAGAGACGGGGTTTCACCGTGTTAGCCAGGATGGTCTTGATCTCCTGACCTCGTGATCCACCCGCCTCACTCTCCCAAAGTGCTGGGATTACAGGTGTGAGCCACCGCGTCTGGCCTATTTTTATTTAAAAAAATTTTTTTTTTAAATTTTTTGTTTTCAGATGGAGTCTCGCTGTCACCCAGGCTGGAATGCAGTGGCACAATCTTGGCTCACTGCAACCTCTGCTTCCCGGGTTCAAGCGATTCTCCTGCTTCAGCCTCCCAAATAGCTGGGATTACAAGCACTCGCCACTACGCCCAGCTACTTTTTGTACTTTTAGTAGACGGGGTTTCATCATACTGGCCAGGCTGGTCTCGAGCTCCTGACCTCCTGATACGCCCACCTTGGCCTCCCAAAGTGCTGGGATTACAGGCGTGCGCCACTGTGCCCAGCTGAAAACTATATTTTAAAAACAGGGAGCCAGGCATGGTGGCTCACACCTGTAATCCCAGTACTTTGGGAGGCCGAGGCGGGTGGATCACCTGAAGTCAGGAGTTGAAGAACAGCCTGGCCAACATAGTGAAACCCTGTCTCTACTAAAAATACAAAAATTAGCTGGGTGTAGTGGCACACGCCTGTAGCTCAGGTACTTGGGAGGCTGAGGAAGGAGAATCACTTGAACCCAGGAGGCGGAGTTTGCAGTAAGCAGAGATAGCGCCACTGCACTTCAGTCTGGGCGACAAGAGTGAAACTGTCTCAAAATAAAATAAAATAGGCCAGGCGCAGTGGCTCACACCTGTAATCCCAACACTTTGGGAGGCCGAGATGGGTGGATCGCCTGAAGTCAGGAGTTTCAGACCAGCCTGACCAACATGGAGAAACCCCGTCTCTACTAAAAATACAAAAATTAGCCGGACTGGTGGCTTGCGCCTGTAGTCCCAGCTACTTGGGAGGCTGAGGCAGGATAATTGCTTGAACCTGGGAGGTGGAGGTTGCAGTGAGCTGAGATCATGCCACTGCACTCCAGCCTGGGCAACAGAGCAAGACTCTATCTCAAAAAAATAAATAAAATAAAATAAAAATAAAAACAGGGGCTAGGAGCTGTGGCTCATGCCTGTAATCCTAGCACTTTGAGAGGCTAAGGTGTTAGGCCAGGTGAGGTGGCTCACGCCTGTAATCCCAGAACTTTGGGAGGCCGAGGCGGGTGGATCATGAGGTCATGAGATCGAGACCATCCTGGCCAACATGGTGAAACCTTCTCTACAAAAAATACAAAAATTAGCCAGGCGTGATGGCATGCGCCTGTAATCCCAGCTACTTGGGAGGCTGAGGCAGGAGAATTGCTTGAACCCGGGAGGCAGAGATTGCAGTGAGCCAAGATCGCGCCACTGCACTCCAGCCTGGCAACAGAGTGAGACTCTGCCTCCAAAAAAAAAAAAAAAAAAAAAAAGAGGCTAAGGTGTTGAGTTGAGGCCAGGAGTTGGGGAGACCAGCCTAGACAACATAGTGAGACCCCCCCACCTCTATAAAATAATAATTTAAAAATTAGCTGGGCTGGTGGTGCACACCTATAGTCCCGGCTACTCTGGAGGCTAAGGCAGAAGGATGTGCTTGAGCCCAGCAGTTCCAAGCAGCAGTGAACTGTGATCACACCACTGCACTCCAGCATGGGCGACACAGTGAGACCCTGTCTCAAAAAGAAAAAAAAGTAAATTACAAAATTTAAAGAGTTTAGGCTGGGCGCGGTGGCTCATGCCTGTAATCCCAGCACTTTGGGAGACCGAGGTGGGCGGACCACGAGGTCAGGAGATCCAGACCATCCTGGTTAACACGGTGAAACCCCATCTCTACTAAAAAATACAAAAAATTAGCCGGGAGTGGTGGCAGGCACCTGTAGTCCCAGCTACTTGGGAGGCCACTCCAGTCTGGGTGACAGAGCGAGACTCTGTCCCAAAAAAAAAAAAAAAAAGTTAAAGAGTTTAGATTTAAGTTGATACAAAAGAGAAAGAATTGGAGAAGTAGAGGAGATGGTGAATAGAGAGCATCTTCTTGGAAAGCTTTCCTGTAAAGGGAAGCAGAGAAGGGCAGAGGCTGGGGCCGGACAGCCAGTTGAGGAGGATATTTTAAGCTGGGAGTAATTACAGCGTGTTTGTGTGCTGCTGGCAATGATCAAGTAGACAGGAGGAGGGCCGGGCGCGGTGGCTCACGCCTGTAATCTCAGCACTTTGGGAGGCCGAGGCGGGCGGATCACGAGGTCAAGAGATCGAGACCATCCTGGCTAACACGGTGAAACCCCGTCTCTACTAAAAATACAAAAAATTTGCCGGGCGCGGTGGTGGGCGCCTGTAGTCCCAGCTACTCGGGAGGCTGAGGCAGGAGAATGGCGTGAACCCGGGAGGCGGAGCTTGCAGTGAGCCGAGATAGCGCCACTGCACTCCAGCCTGGGCGAAAGAGCGAGACTGTCTCAAAAAAAAAAAAAAAAAGTAGACAGGAGAAGAGTGATGCTGCAGGAGAGGGAGGGACATTTGCAGGAGTGATGACTTTGGGTGGGTGGCAGGGTTTGAGATTCCCCACAGTAGGTGCAGTGGGGCTAAGGGTGTGCTGGTGGGAGTGGGGAAGTTTTCTCCTGCTTGTTTCCATTTTCTCAGAAAAGCAGCAAGCAAGATCATCAGCTGAGAGAGAGAAGGGTTCAGAAGAAGAATATTGGATATTTGAGGACAGAAAACAGAAATTCACCCTAAATGAGCCCAGTCACGGTGGCTCACGCCTGTAATTCCAACACTTTGGGAAGCCAAGGTGGGAGGATTGCTTGAGCTCAAGAGTTCGAGACCAGCCTGGCCAACACGGCGAAACCCCGTCTCTGAAAATAAATAAATTAATTAAAAATGAGCCCAGAGATAGTGATGAAGATACCAGCAGAGCCAGAAACAGGACAAGGATGTATAGAGACTGTATAGAGACTGTAGAGTGTGGGTAGGTCCTCAAATTCATCTGAAGTCACATTTATCACTGCACTGTCTCCCTACCAGACTGTAAGCTCCACCAAGACAGTGATGACTTCATTCTTGCTCTCCGCTGTATCCCCAGCCATGGCACGGTACCTGGCGTGTCACACCATTTAAATGACCATATTTGTATGACCAGCCTGGACAACGTGGCAAAATCTCATCTCTGCCAAAAAAAAAAAACAAAAACAAAAAACAAAAAAAAACAACCACCACCACAAATTAGCCTGGCATGGTGGCACACACATGTAGTCCCAGATACTTGGGGGCTGAGGTGGGAGGATTGCTTGAGCCAGGAGGTCAAGGCTGCAGTGAGCCATGATTGTGCCACTACACTCCAGCCTGGGCAACAGAGTGAGACCCTGTTTCAAAAAAAAAAAAAATGTGGAAAGAATGAATGAATCAAGAATAATAGAAATAATTAATGACCCAAGGTCCTCAGTGTCAAAGGCACTTACACTGAACATGAATATTCACTTGATAAACTTGGTCCATGCCAGTGACATGAGTTCACCTGGAGCATATCCTCAGGATGCTCTGGGGCTTAAGGGGCCCAGGAGGTGGCAGGAGTTGCGCACCTGACTCACATGGCCCCTTGGCCGGGTTCACATCCAGTGTGCCTTGTCTTTCCCCCACCACTGGGAGACACTAGGAGGACGGCTCACTCGCTGCTGTTCTGACCTCAAATGAAGGGCTGTCAGGGACACGCAAGCAAGAGGGCAGCTGCTGCAGATGCTCGTCAGAACAGCAGGCTTCCTTCCTTTCACGAGGCAGGAGCGCCAGGCTGACAACGGGTCACAATGCAGCAAATGAAGGAGGAGGATCTGAAGGGGTGTGGACATGAGCAAGGGCTCAACCTGAAGCATTTGGCGTAGGGCAGAGATCAGTAGGGGGCAGGCAGCTAGAGAGGAATGGCTGGAGGACAGCAGAGGAGAGAATTAAAAGAGTTCAGAGTGGGCAGGGGTCCCAGAAGAAGTTCATTAAGTGGTACATGTTGAGCATCTACTACATTCCAAGGCACTGCAGTAGGAGTAGGGATACACGGTAAACAAGACAAATAAGATCTTGGCTCTCTAATGTATAGGGGGGCAGGAGAGAGCAGACAGTAAATAGTAAACACATATATGATCATTTCAGAAAGTGATGAGTCGGGCCAGGCGTGGCGGCTCACGCCTGTAATCCCAGCACTTTGGGAGGCCGAGGTGGGAGGATCACCTGAGGTCAGGAGTTCGAGACCAGCCTGGCCAACATGGTGAAACCCCGTCTCCACTAAAATTACAAAAATTAGCCAGGCATGGTGGTGTGCACCTGTAATCCCAGCTATTTGGGAGGCTGAGGCAGGAGAATCGCTTGAACCCAGGAGGCAGAGGTTGCGGTGAGCCAAGATTGCACCATCGCACTCCAGCCTGGGCTGCGAGAGCAAAACTCCATCTCAATAAATAAATAAACAAATAGAAAGTGATGAGTTGGAAAGACAATGAAACATAATGAGGAAACAGAGTGGGGGCCACTTTAGATTTTGAGCAGGGATGAAGGAGCCAACCAGGTGAAGATGGGGAGAGGGGTGGCAAAACATTCCAGGAAGAGGGAATCAAAAGTGGAGGGGCCGGGCGCAGTGGCTCACGCCTGTAATCTCAGAACTTCGTGAGGCCAAGGCTGGTGGATCATTTGAGGTCAGGAGTTCAAGACTAGCCTGGCCAACATGGTGAAACCCTGTCTCTACAAAAAATACAAAAATTAGCAGGGCACTAGTGGGCACTGCCAGAGGGGTGGGAGGGCTGGGAAGGCTGGAAGGGCCCCCCTGCATGCACACGCTAGCTACTTGGGAAGCTGAGGCAGGAGAATTGCTTGACCCTGGGAGGCGGAGGTTGCAGTAAACTGAGATCGTGCCATTGCACTCCAGCCTGGGCAACAGAGAGACACACTGTCTCGAGAAAAAAAAAAAGTGCAGGGATGCTAAGAGAATGACTTCTGATGTTACAGAACAGCAAGTAGTCTGATCCAGCAGGAGCACTGTGTATGAGGTGGGTACAGGCTGGTGGGCTTCTCCTTACAAGGAGTTCAGATTTATTCCAAGTGTAATGAAAAACCACTCGAATATTTTAAGCAGAGAAGAGCATGACATGCTTTTGATTTTTAAAATATTATCAATATAGGAAAAACTAGT
Source organism: Homo sapiens (assembly GCF_000001405.40). Classification (NCBI taxonomy): domain Eukaryota; kingdom Metazoa; phylum Chordata; class Mammalia; order Primates; family Hominidae; genus Homo; species Homo sapiens. The sequence goes on along the minus strand of NC_000012.12, from coordinate 6,702,383 downwards.
TTGTAAAGACAAGGGCAGAAGCAGGGACCAGTGAGGAAGCTATTATGATAATCTGGATGAGACATGATGGCTTAGACCAAGACTATAGCAATAAAGATAGAAGGAGATGAATTCGGGATATATTTTGGACGCAGAGCCCACAGGACTTGTTGGTGAATTAGATACAGGGAGAGAATCAGTGAAAAAAAGGGGAAGGGAGGGATGTTTCCTAGATTTTTAGCCTGAACAACTAGTAGTTGTGAAGCCTCAGGATGGGGATCACTGGGAGAAAAATGGATTGGGGGTGGGGGAATTCAAGACATCTATTTTAGTCAAGTTAGCTTTGCATGGCTATTAGACATCCAAGTGGAGATGTCAAGTAGGCTGTCGGATAAATGAGTCTGGCGCTCTGGATATAAATTTAGGACTCACTGACATTTACATAGTATTTAAGCCCTGGGACCGGATGAGATCACTGGACAGAGAATGTGGAAAGAGAGAATGGCCAAGGACTAAGCCCTAGGAGGCTCCAACATTTAGAGGTCACCCGAGGAAGACTAAGAACAGTCAGTGAGGTTGGAGGGAAATGAGGAGAGTGTGGTGTCCTGGAAGTGCCCTGAGGAAAAACAGCGTAGTGTGGTAGAGAGGGATGGGATCCAGGTGGTGGGAGAAGGGGCAGGAGAGGCTACTTTTGATAGAGACATTAGGGAAGGCCTCCCAGAAGGCGTTGGATCTAAGTGAGACTGGAATGAAAACAGTAAGTCATTGTGAAAAGCCAGGGAAATGTATTACTGAGGGAACAGCAAGTGCAAAGGCCCTGAGGCAGGTTAAACCTGTCTCCAACCAGGAAATCCACCAGGTCCCATGTGGCTGAAGCATAGAAATCTTTAGGAAAGGCAATCAGAGAGCCACCTAAGAGCCAGGTTATATAGGGTCTTGTAAGTCACAGCACGGAGTCTAGGTATTCCAGTGCTGGAAAAGCCCAGGAATTTCGACGTGATCCACTTAATGCATGGTAGCAGGGCCAGAGTGAAATAGGGGATCAAGCTGTGGGGATAATCCAAAGATGGTGCAAGGTCCTTCCTCCCCAGTCCTTTCCTCCACCCCTTGCCCCCAGCCTTGACCTCAGGCACTTTCTACAGCGGGCAAAACCAAGTTGGGGGACAGGCAGTGGTGACTCACGCCTGTAATCCCAGCACTCCGGGAAGCTGAGCGGGAAGGATCGCTTGAGCCCAGGCGTTCGAGACCGGGCTGGGCAACACAGCGAGACCTCATCTCTACAAAACACAATACAAAAGAACAAAGTTGGGAATGCAGAGCATTGAGTGACTCAGAATCTCAGAAACTGACTGAGGCGACCATGGGTGTCCCTGGAGTTGGGGTGAAGGAGGTGGGGAGACTGCCATCAGAACCCAGGGAAGCGGACGGTCGCTGGACCCTGCCAGCCTCTTCAGCCCTCCACCTGGGACATAGCCTGGCTTGACTCCTGCAGCGCGGCAGCAGGAGGGTTAAACCGTGCGTGGCCTCCGGCGCGGGGGGGAGGCGGAGACGGAGACGGAGCGGTCCCAGCCGCCGCGCCGAGCCCAGCCGAGCCGAGCCGAGCCGAGCCGAGGCGAGCATCTCCCACCGCCGCCGCCCCGCGCCCCAGGCGCCCGCCCCCCACCCGCTCCAGCGCCCTGCCGCGGGCCAAACCTCCCCACCATGCCCCGCACCCCGCCCGCTCCTGCGACCCCCCAGCCCCGCTCAGTCCCGAGCGCCCGCAGTCGTCGCGCCGCCGCGCCAAGCATGCAGGTGAGTGAGAGGGACCCCCACGCCCCCACCCGCGGGGAGCCCGGCCCTGCCCTTCCCGGCTCCGCGCCCTGCGCCTCCTGCCCCTCCCGACGCGGTCCCTCGCCCGGGACAAGGCCTCCAGCCTCCCAGCGCCCCTTCCCCGAAGGGCTCTCCATCCCTCCGCGGTCCTGGCTCGCTCCCGCCCTCCCTGGCGCAGCCGTCCCCGTCCCCGCGGCTGCCTCCATCCCGCCTCGGCTCGGCGGGCGGCTCCGCGCAGTCTCCTGCTTCGGGTCCCCAGTCCGCTCTCGGCACTCCCTGCCTCGGGGTCCCTTCGCCGACCTCCTTTTCCTCGTCTCCCCCCACTCTCGCCGCTCTCCAGCCCTGTGCGGGGAGTGCGGGCCTGCGGGATGGGTGGGATGGGGGCCACGCTGGGGCTGGGGCCCGGCTCCCGCACCCCGAGGCTCCTGCCCCACCCCCAGCTCGTCTCCTGCGCACAACAGGTCGGTGAGAAGCTGGGAGAGGGGTGGGGGTGGCGCGCCAGCCCGGGGACTGCGGGCTTCCTGGAGGGGGCGGCTGAAGCTGTGCGGGGCCCAGGGACTGGGTTGGCGCTGGCTGGGGGTGGGGATGCACAGGCGGAGGGGCGATAGTCCTAGAGTCAGCTGGCCACAGATGCGCCCTGGGAGCCCTTCTCCGCTTCACTGGTTCGCTCTACACGCCTCGCTCCCTCCCTCTAGCTTTCTTCCTTTCCCCTCTCTCTCCCTTCTTCCCACCATGCCCCCATCCCTATGTCTTTCGGTATCTCCACATCCCTTTACATTTGGGGGAGCAATTCCGAACTCCTCCATCTTTGCTGCTCCCGCCTCTGCTTCCCAGCCCGTTCCTCGTGTCATTTTTCCTTAAGCATTTATGTTCTCTCCTTCCCCACTTCCTTTCTCCCCATCCTGGGCTTTCCCCCCTTTTCTCCCATCCCCTTACTCTCCACTCCTCTGGCTGTCCTGCCTGGACCGCTCTCTCCTTCTCCTCCTGCCCCTTCTTCCCCTGCACCTGTGACCCCTTCATCCTCTCCGTTTCCCCTCCCTGACCTTTTCTCTCATCCTTTCCTCCCTTCGGCATCCTCCACAGTTCGAGTCTTCTGTACCCACTCTCCTCCTCTCTTCCCAGTTCTCTCTTTTTCAGGACTGCCTGCTCTCTCTCACCCTGCACTCCAGGCCAGCTTCCTCTTCACATTTCTCCTCTCTCACTCTTAACCAGCCTTCCATCTCCCAGCCCTTCACCCCTTCCCATCTCTCCCACTGCCTGCTTCCCCACGCCCTTCCCGTGACTTTCCCATCTTGTTCCCTTGTTGTTCTCTGGGAAGATTCAATGGGCAGATTTATTTATTTTATTTTTTGAGTCGGAGTCTCGCTCTTGTTGCCCAGACTGGAGTGCAATGGTGTGATCTCAGCTCACTGCAACCTCCGCCTCCCAGGTTCAAGGGATTCTTCTGCCTCAGCCCTCTGAATAGCTGGGATTGCAGGCGCCCACCACTACCCCCGGCTAATTTTTGTATTTTTAGTAGACACGGGGTTTCACTATGTTGGCCAAGCTAGTCTCGAACTCCTGATCTCAGGTGATCCACCCGCCTTGGCTTCCCAAAGTGCTAGGATTACAGGCGTGAGCCACTGCGTCTGGCCCATTGGGCAGATTTAGACCCAGAATCCACAGGAAACGGGTATCCTATCTTCACTCCCTCTGGGGAGCCTGCCCCTCCTGGATCCACCACCCTCAGCTCTGAGAACACACCCTTTCTCTTTCAAAACCAACCATCCCGATTTTCCCAGGATTCTTTACCCAGGAGAGCCACATTTGAGGGGGTGGTTTCTTCCTGACTCCACCTCCCTTCAGAGGGCACCTATGCACTTGGATGATTAAACATTAAGAGCAAAAATTATATTCTGTAGTTTTTCTCCCACTCACCTCTCTCTTTCTGTCTCTTTCCTTCCATCCCTCCAGCTCTTCATTCCTTTCTCCTGAAGATGCAGACTCCTGGGGCTAATCATAAGACAAATGCCTGGCACTGCCAGAGGGGTGGGAGGGCTGGGAGGGCTGGAAGGGCCCCCCTGCACGTACACACACTCACTGGCTTGCTCAGATTGACTTCCCCATCCCTCCCCCTACCCTCAGACTCCCTCCCTAGCGGTAGGTGCTCAAGGAATCACAAGGTTCTTGGCTCTAAATTAAGATCCAAGAAAAGCCTGGAGCTGTGGGCAGAGGAAGTGAGAAGAAGGGAAATCAGAGAAGCCAGAGTAGACCCTGGGGTGGAGAGGTAACAGGGACCTGAGAAGTTGTAGATGGGGCTGGAGTCTGGTCAGGCAACCACGCTGGAGTTTTTCCCCCAAAAGGATGCTAACAACCAGTGAATCCTGGGTGCAGCCGCATAGCTGGCAGCTGGGTGGCCTGGGAGGGCAGATGCGGGTAGAATTGGTGGATGAATTAGCTGGGGAAGTACACAGGGCAGGGCTGGGGTGTGACGGCCCCCTTTTTCTCCCAGTAAAGGCTGAAAATCTGGGTCACAGCTGAGGAAGACCTCAGACATGGAGTCCAGGATGTGGTAAGTTTGGCCCAGCAGAGGGAGCCTGGAGACCACATTCCCTGGGGCCATGACTCCTTCCTTCCTAGACCCATCCAGAGCCTTCCCATCCTGAGGGCCATCCTCCTTTGGAAGATGGGAAATGAGGCGAGTCTTCCCAAGGCCCACCTGCTTTCACAGGGAAACCTGGAGGTTTCTGGTGTGAACCTGTCCCTCCCTCACATAGGCCCACAGTAGGCCTGTGTCTCAGCCACGCTCTCTCCCTTCTTGCAGGCCTGCGCTGCTGCTGTCCCACCTCCTCCCTCTCTGGCCACTGCTGTTGCTGCCCCTCCCACCGCCTGCTCAGGGCTCTTCATCCTCCCCTCGAACCCCACCAGCCCCAGCCCGCCCCCCGTGTGCCAGGGGAGGCCCCTCGGCCCCACGTCATGTGTGCGTGTGGGAGCGAGCACCTCCACCAAGCCGATCTCCTCGGGTCCCAAGATCACGTCGGCAAGTCCTGCCTGGCACTGCACCCCCAGCCACCCCATCAGGCTTTGAGGAGGGGCCGCCCTCATCCCAATACCCCTGGGCTATCGTGTGGGGTCCCACCGTGTCTCGAGAGGATGGAGGGGACCCCAACTCTGCCAATCCCGGATTTCTGGACTATGGTTTTGCAGCCCCTCATGGGCTCGCAACCCCACACCCCAACTCAGACTCCATGCGAGGTGATGGAGATGGGCTTATCCTTGGAGAGGCACCTGCCACCCTGCGGCCATTCCTGTTCGGGGGCCGTGGGGAAGGTGAGTGGGAAAGGCTGGGAGGGATATGACGGATGGGGAGGCTGGGTGAAGACACCAAGGGGCAGAAATAGAGGCCTTGTCTGTTAGCTCCTTCAACAAATGTGTCAGGCACTATACTGGCACAGGATGCAGAGATAAAGACACCCTCTCGGAGTTCAGGTCCACTGGAGCAGACAGACATGAAAGGACTTGGAGAGGAGTCATCGTAATAAATGCTTTAATAGAGGCATGTGCAGCATGATTTACAAAAAAAGAGAAGTGAGAGTCTCCTCCTGCTTGGGGATCAGGACACCTTCAGAGAACTGACATTTGAGCTGGCCCTTGAAAAGAGAGTGGGAGTATTCTGGGCAGAGAATGCCATGAATGAAGGGCACTACCCGGGAGATGTCTTGGCTCAGGGAGTGCTGATGGAGGAACAGGGCCTGTGGTTTGGGAGTTGGGCCATGGCAGAGACTAGGACATCTCCACCCCTTAGTTTCCAGGCATAGTGATAGGTTCTCGCTGATCATGGGGCCTCATCCTCATCACATATACACATAAGATTTGGTGAAATACATTTGGGAAAGTGGAGGAAAAGAGCTGAAAACTCAGGGGAATGCTGGTGATAATAAAGAGTGAGGCTCCAGAGGGGCAGACAGAGCCGGCAGTGTGGATCCACACAGCAATGCCACTCCAGCCGACAGAGCCCACAGCCCAGCCCCCAGCCCCTCTTGGCTCCTACCACCTCGGGGCTCCCTAAAACTTTCTTCCCACCCCAATCAGGTGTGGACCCCCAGCTCTATGTCACAATTACCATCTCCATCATCATTGTTCTCGTGGCCACTGGCATCATCTTCAAGTTCTGGTAAGCTGGGAGGAGGAAGGTGCTGGTGGATGGGGACGGAATGTTTGGCAGTCGAGGCTCTAACCACGAGGGGCAGTGGCAGCAATTTTGCTGGGGGGTGGGTGGGAAATGCTGGATGAAGGCAAGACCTTGGGAAAAGATAATTAAGGATTTGGCTGGGGGAAGACGGTGAGAAATCAGGGCAGATTCTGTCTCCCAGGGAAATACAAGGATAAGGGAGGGCAGGGGAATTATTCCTGTGCATTCCTGGTGAGCCTCCCCTGCCCCTACTTCCTCCAAGACAGAGAAAGCTGACCCAGTCTGCAGAGCCCTTCTTAGGGTTGCCTGGGGGGAGCAAGAAAACCTGGAGCTTTCTTTGCACACATTTAATAATGGATCACTCAGTCCTTCACACTTTACTGAGAGAATCATTAGACTCAGGTGTCCAAGTCATCAGCTTGCTTTGAACTAGAACTAAACCTGCCAGTTGTCTGCTGAAGACAGAAATGACTCTTCTGGGCATGTAGGGGAGAGGACATTGTGGTGGTGGGGAGGGGATATTAATTTTGTCGATCTGGATCAGGTTTGGAGGGTAAGGAGGTTTAGATTACCAAGCTCCCCTAGAGGGCAGGGGAAGTGGCTTTATGGGCACAGAGTCCCAGGGGATTTAGTAGAGAGAACTGTTAAAGGCCAGTTTCTCTGCTATAAGATGTTGGGAGTGACTGGGCGAGGCTGGGGGTGACCACTGGTGCAGGCCCAGGATGGGGGCTACTTGAGTGTGCAAGAGAACCTCTTTTCCTCTGGTACCCCAGCTGGGACCGCAGCCAGAAGCGACGCAGACCCTCAGGGCAGCAAGGTGCCCTGAGGCAGGAGGAGAGCCAGCAGCCACTGACAGACCTGTCCCCGGCTGGAGTCACTGTGCTGGGGGCCTTCGGGGACTCACCTACCCCCACCCCTGACCATGAGGAGCCCCGAGGGGGACCCCGGCCTGGGATGCCCCACCCCAAGGGGGCTCCAGCCTTCCAGTTGAACCGGTGAGGGCAGGGGCAATGGGATGGGAGGGCAAAGAGGGAAGGCAACTTAGGTCTTCAGAGCTGGGGTGGGGGTGCCCTCTGGATGGGTAGTGAGGAGGCAGGCGTGGCCTCCCACAGCCCCTGGCCCTCCCAAGGGGGCTGGACCAGCTCCTCTCTGGGAGGCACCCTTCCTTCTCCCAGTCTCTCAGGATCTGTGTCCTATTCTCTGCTGCCCATAACTCCAACTCTGCCCTCTTTGGTTTTTTCTCATGCCACCTTGTCTAAGACAACTCTGCCCTCTTAACCTTGATTCCCCCTCTTTGTCTTGAACTTCCCCTTCTATTCTGGCCTACCCCTTGGTTCCTGACTGTGCCCTTTCCCTCTTCCTCTCAGGATTCCCCTGGTGAATCTGTGATGCCCCCAATGTTGGGGTGCAGCCAAGCAGGAGGCCAAGGGGCCGGCACAGCCCCCATCCCACTGAGGGTGGGGCAGCTGTGGGGAGCTGGGGCCACAGGGGCTCCTGGCTCCTGCCCCTTGCACACCACCCGGAACACTCCCCAGCCCCACGGGCAATCCTATCTGCTCGCCCTCCTGCAGGTGGGGGCCTCACATATCTGTGACTTCGGGTCCCTGTCCCCACCCTTGTGCACTCACATGAAAGCCTTGCACACTCACCTCCACCTTCACAGGCCATTTGCACACGCTCCTGCACCCTCTCCCCGTCCATACCGCTCCGCTCAGCTGACTCTCATGTTCTCTCGTCTCACATTTGCACTCTCTCCTTCCCACATTCTGTGCTCAGCTCACTCAGTGGTCAGCGTTTCCTGCACACTTTACCTCTCATGTGCGTTTCCCGGCCTGATGTTGTGGTGGTGTGCGGCGTGCTCACTCTCTCCCTCATGAACACCCACCCACCTCGTTTCCGCAGCCCCTGCGTGCTGCTCCAGAGGTGGGTGGGAGGTGAGCTGGGGGCTCCTTGGGCCCTCATCGGTCATGGTCTCGTCCCATTCCACACCATTTGTTTCTCTGTCTCCCCATCCTACTCCAAGGATGCCGGCATCACCCTGAGGGCTCCCCCTTGGGAATGGGGTAGTGAGGCCCCAGACTTCACCCCCAGCCCACTGCTAAAATCTGTTTTCTGACAGATGGGTTTTGGGGAGTCGCCTGCTGCACTACATGAGAAAGGGACTCCCATTTGCCCTTCCCTTTCTCCTACAGTCCCTTTTGTCTTGTCTGTCCTGGCTGTCTGTGTGTGTGCCATTCTCTGGACTTCAGAGCCCCCTGAGCCAGTCCTCCCTTCCCAGCCTCCCTTTGGGCCTCCCTAACTCCACCTAGGCTGCCAGGGACCGGAGTCAGCTGGTTCAAGGCCATCGGGAGCTCTGCCTCCAAGTCTACCCTTCCCTTCCCGGACTCCCTCCTGTCCCCTCCTTTCCTCCCTCCTTCCTTCCACTCTCCTTCCTTTTGCTTCCCTGCCCTTTCCCCCTCCTCAGGTTCTTCCCTCCTTCTCACTGGTTTTTCCACCTTCCTCCTTCCCTTCTTCCCTGGCTCCTAGGCTGTGATATATATTTTTGTATTATCTCTTTCTTCTTCTTGTGGTGATCATCTTGAATTACTGTGGGATGTAAGTTTCAAAATTTTCAAATAAAGCCTTTGCAAGATACTCGAGTCCCCTGGTTCTGCCTTCTGACCCCCGTAGAGAGGAGGAGAGGGGTGGGCAGCTAGGAGGAGGCACAGGATGAGGTGGGGACCCCCTCTAGACCTAAGTCACCTGCCCTCCTCTGACCTGGAGCTGGGGGCCAACTGGGGCTTTAACTTGGGACAAAATGGAAGGGAGCCATCCTGACGAGGAGCAGTGGTACAAGAGAGAAACTAGAATAGAAATCGTGGCTCACTTATTCCTTGCCAGGGAGGGTCAAGAGAGACCAAAAAAAGGGAGACAGAAGAAAAGGAAAGTTACATGGAAGGATAGGAGGTGGATCAAGGCGGAAGAGAGACCTGATAAGACAGACGGAGGGAGAAGGGGGAAAGGAGAAGAGAAAAATGGAGCAATGGAGAAAAGATGAGAGGGAGCCAGCCATCCGAAAGAAGCTGCCCTGCTTGGTTTATTTTCAGCTTTGCTCCCTAACCTGCCCCCACCCACAGCTGCCCCCCAAAAGCTGTGCAGAATCAGAAGCCCTGTGGTTAACTCGTTAGCTTTCCCTACTCTGCCCTCTCAGAGAGAGGCACTGCAGGGGTGTGGGGGTGGGATCAAGGGGTGTTTTTGGGGAGGGAATGCAGGCTGCCCAGCTGGGATCAGTCACCTCTCAGTCCCCAATTTCTAGGTTTGGCTCTTGTAACAGCCCTGTGAAAACCCACACATCAGCCTCTCAGCTGTTGCTAGGCTCTATTGCTATGGTAACCACCCAGGTCCCATCTATCCCCCCTCCCCCAATCTGTGCCCCACTTGCTCCCTGGAAATGCGGTGGCCCCAGGGAGGATAGGGATGATGTAGTGTACAAAAGGGTGGCCTGGGCTGCTCTGGACTGGATATGCCCCCATGCATTTATCTTTCAAGCTAGGTTAGGAATGTCTGTGTGTTGGTAGGTGTGTGCTTTAGGTGTTGGGAGCTTTACTGTGAGCTGAGGGAAGTGTGGCTGAGCCTGTGCAGCACATAATGCTGAGTGCCAGGAAGAGGCAGTGTATTTCTCAGGATTAGAGCAGTGTGTGCATTCAGGGCGTCACACTCCCTAAGAAAAGGACTGCTACAAGGGAAAGAAGCAGAGCTGGGCCAAGGATTGATGAACCAACTCAAAGCAGAGGTGCCCGGCAAACAAGCTTCTGAGGAGTCAACTCACTGGGGGCATGAAGATATCCCAGCAGGTGGCTGATGGGAGAGCGGGCTGGATAAAACCTGAGGGTACAGGATGAGGCATGGATGGTATACACTGTGGGCCGTGAGGGAGGGATCCAGATCCAAGGAGGGTGGGATAGGAAGCTTCATTAACCTTTCCTTCTTTCCCCACAGGAATCTAGTCCTTGTCAGGTGAGGGTGGGGAGAAAAGAGAAGCATTGGCACAGAAGGGGAAGGAGCTCAAGTGCCGGAGAGCACACTGGGCTCTCACCTTCAGCAAGGATCTCTCTTCAAAGGGACAGTGTGACCCGTGGCTCATCCATATGCAAAAGGCAAACATGAAGGCCCCTAATGAAGAGGGAATTAATTACTGCCTGATTAGACCACTGTTTCTCTAAATTTAAATAAATTAAAATACACCAGCAAGGTACTGGAAATCCTCACCTGTTCCCTCTTCCTAAATGTCCTCCTTTCCCCATGGAAAGTCAGAAGGCAGGAAAGACAGAGGAGGAAGGAGACTGTTCCAGACTCTGAACTGTACTAAAAAAATTCTCCCAAATGATACTGCACTGTCACGTTAGCCATGAAGAGTCGTAAGGCCCTGGGGAGCAAGCCCTAACTTTTCTCTCCTGTAGTTGAAACAGAGACTGTGGGGCTTTGAGAGGTCCTCAGAAAGCTGCAGCAGAGTCACTAGCCAAGAAAAAAACAATGGCCATGCTGTCCTTTTGGGAACTGGAAGGTTCTTCGAGGTCACACATCACAGCCACCACTGGAACCAGCGTCTCATCACCATCCTTTCTTTGCCTCCTGAGCTGTGCATCAAATGACTCAGCCAGGCTTCTCTTAGCATTTTTCTGGAATGCTTGCCACTGCGGCTTAGACCAAACCAGGGAATGGGGAAGCCCCCAGGAGGAGGGAGGGATCTCCCAGGCACAGCTTAGGGTGTGGAAGTGATTCAAGATGGAAACAGTATGCCAGCTGGAGAACCCCAGGCTAAAATTAACAGCCCTCCTCCCCCTACGCCCCACATTTATTGTTCTAAAGCTTTTCCCTAAGGAGTTCAAAGCACTTGAAACTTCTTTTTTTTTTTTTTGAGATGGAGTTTAGTTCTTGTTGCCCAGGCTGGAGTGCAATGGCGCAATCTTGGCTCACCACAACCTTCGCCTCCCAGGTTCAAGTGATTCTCCTGCCTCAACCTCCCAAGTAGCTGGGAAACTTCCTTCTTATAGCAAGGGCAGGAATAGGGCTGACGGAGACACGGAGACCCAGGAAGTGCCCAGTTAACATAAATAGGAAAAGAGCAGGAGGAGAACCAGAACGTATAGCTATTATTACTATTTCCTGTTCCCACCTTTCAATACCAGCCCCTGATGTCAAGGTTTCTTGAATCAGCAATCTCTAACCCACACAGCAATAGGTCTGGTCACATCTGAGCCCTTAAAATCCTTACTCTGCCAACTGTTGCTACTCAGTCAACAGAGACTGAGTGCTGAGCCCAAAAATGTGATAAAGGGAACAGACACTTTAAAAAAGATACAAACTACAATTACAATGAAATGCATCATCTATTTAAATATTTAAAGGCGTACTTTGTTACTTTCTTGCTTTGACCTTGGGGGAAAAAATCACTTAATCCTTTACAGGCTTATTTTCATTATCTGTAAAATGAGCATTATAATTATTTCTGTTAAAGTTATTTTTTGCTGGGCGTGGTGGCTCACGCCTGTAATCCCAGCACTTTGGGAGGCTGAGACAGGTGGATCAGTTGAGGTCAGGAGTTCGAGACCAGCCTGGCCAACATGGTGAAACCCCGACTCCACTAAAGATACAAAAAATTAGCCCGGTGTGGTGGCGGGCGACTGTCATCCCAGCTGCTAGGGAGGCTGAGGCAGGAGAATCGCTTGAACCCAGGAGGCAGAGGTTGCAGTGAGCCAAGATGGCGCCAATGCACTCCAGCCTGGGCAACAGGGTGACACTCTGTCTTTAAAAAAAAAAAAAAAAGGTTATTTTTCTCAGCAAGAGGCTCTTACCATTAGTAGGAGAGACCTCAGTTCTGCTTAGAGCTGAGCCCAGGGGGATTCTGGCCAGGTCGGGGTGCACGCTTGTAACAGCATTCACTTGTTCAAACAACATATTCAGCATTTACTATATGCTCAGCAAAGCAACGTATTTCCTTCCATGAGGAACTGACAATCTTGCTGGGGAATCACATGTATGAAATAGTTAAAATATCAATAAAAGGTACGTATTAAATACTATGGGAATTCAGAGGGACCATTACAGGTTGGAGCAATCAGGCAAGGCTTCCTAAAAGGGTTCATATTTAGGTGTTCATAATGAACTATAGTTCATTTATACAACAAGAGTTTACAGACCACTTAACTGCCAGGATATGAGGATACAGCAACGAACAATTCAGTCCTCGCTGTCCTGTAGCCAATATTTTAGTTGGGAGAGGTGGACAGCAAACAATAAATCAGGCAGTAATAAGTGCTATATTTAAGTAAAACAGGGTAAGGGGATAGAGATGTGGGTATGGGCAACAAGAAAAGACCAAAGTAAAGTAAGGGATGTGTCAGAGAGACAGATTTTGATGGCTGGGAGAGTTTCTAACTGGACCTAAGTAGGGACCTCCGAAAAACAAGGATACGTCCTAGTCCTTTCCCGCATATTCAAAGCATTGAGACATTCTTGGGGGTATCAGAAAAAATAATGGTAATTTCCTACATCAGCTTATTCAACATCCAGAGGGAAGAGAAACGGGGTCCCAGCATCTGAAGAACCCACACCTCCTCTCCTACCTTGATGGATAATTCATGAACCTGTCGCGTTTCCACCCCCCCACCTTCCCCAGATGTCCCTTCCGGAAGCTCAGGGCCGGAGTCCTCCGGTTTCAGCTTTTGCCCCTAGCGGAACCCGCCTTCACTTCCGCTATAGCGTCACATCCCCTCTTCCCAGTCGCTGGGCAGAAGCTATTTCCGCCCCGAGTTATCGTAACTTCTGCCCTGAATATCTCGCAGCGCTAGCGGCGCCGGAAGTGTTCCAGCCACTCCCGGAAGTGACTCGGCTTCTGCACGCCCCTCTTTCTCCATTAGCGCCCCCCCTACATTGCTATTTCCCTCCCTCCCCCCTTTTCGTTTCCGGCGCTCCCGCCTTCTCTCCGCAGAGCTCTTCTCTGAGCCTGTTGGGGGGAGGGAGGGGGGCGTGGAGGAACTGGGGTTCGCGGGAGCACGAGCTGCAGCACCACTTCCGGGTGAGTGCAAGGGGAGGGCAGCAAGGAGGGGGGGCCACCCACTACCTCGCGCCCCCGCCCTGCGGGTGTCTCGCGCGCGTTCCGTGCGTGTGAGTGTGTGGGTCTGTCTCGCTCCAGAAGTGCGTGCCCGCGCGCTGCGCCTTGCGCTTTTTCCCCTCCCTCGCCCCTTCCTGGTCCTCCCACCCTCCTCGGCTCCCTCCTTTCCCAGCAAACGCCGCCCCTCCCGCGCCCTGGCTCAGGCTCTGGCGCCGCCGCAGCCGTCGCCGCCCGGTGAGTCTCGCGCCGCTACAGCCGGCGCGCGCCAAGCTGCTTGCTCCTCCCCCCTCCCCTTTTCCTTGGGCAGGCGGGGAAGGGGGGGTCCACGATGTGACTGTGTGTGTGTCCGTCCCGGAACCGGAAGTGGTTGTGGAGGAGCGGGCGATGGGAAGGAATGGGGGGGTTTAGGGGGCGGGTGCCTGTCTGGTGGGTGGCAGAGTTCAGCTCCCTGGAGGGGAAGGAGGGACGTCCCAAGGAAGGGTCTTTGAGAAAGGGGTAGGGGACGACATCAGGAGAAGGCTCCCAGGAACTGTCTCAGGGGAGCGAAGGTTTTGAGGGGACAGCTGGGGTCTCCAGTAGATAGACCACGGTGCAGGCTGAGGGAGGTACTTCTTGGCACAAGGCCTCGGGTAGGCAGGGGGCGAAGTCCTCGAAGAAGTGGGGGGAAGGCTAGAGGAAGTGGCTGGGCCTGAACTGGCACTGTGCCTGCCACAAGGTCTTGTGCATCCCCCAGCCCTCAGCTTTGCCTTCTGAAGCCACTCCTCAGGGGCACAGACCCTCCTCCTCCTCCATCTCTAATGTTCTCTGACCCCTGGTTACCTGTGGCCTGGGAACGAACAAGGACCAGTCTCTGAGCCTAGGAGTGAAACCCAAACGCTGGTGATAGAATTCGTCTTAGTTTCTGGGAATTGGATTTATTTCTCTTGTATCCACGTAGAGGGTAGCACTAGACTGCTGTTATTATATCCACCCGTCTTTGGATTGCTGGCTGGGGGGTCTGCCTGCCTTCCAGACTGACTGCTGACAAATAATTCCTGAGGTTCTCCACAGTTCTCTGGTGGCTGCACCCTGCCTGGCCCCTGTAACCTAGACAATTTGTTTACAGAAAGTTCAGGAGCCCTGGAAAGGAGAAGGAATAAGACGGCAGGAGGAAGAGAGAGAGAGGGTAAGATGATTTTTGGGTTAATGGCTTTTCTGGTTTTGGGGGAGAAGGGGTCACAACCAAATGGGGCGTGTGTGTGTTTCACAATGTGATAGAATACTTAAAGTAATAGCAATTGTAATGCTGAGATTGTTGTGGAGAGAAATCAGTTTTTTTCTATTATCTCTTGAGGGTCAGGAAGTTTTTGTGTAAAAAGTTGGCGCTATCCCCCATCACTTTCCATTCCTACTAATGCTCATCAGGAATGAAATATGAAATGCTCAGGTGAAGCCACTGAATAGTGTTGCCTTGTGTCCAAAGGGGAAATCTTTATTCTGCTTTGGGACACAAAGACCCTAAATGCCAATATAGTCCTTATGGAATTGCTTTCCTGTGTCTGGAACAAGCAGAGCTGAGTTTAGAATGGAGTTCCTATCCCAAATAGTCCAGTGGAGTGTTAGAAGTGGGTCTGTGGAGTGATTAGAATCTGTGACACAGGGTTATTTGAATTTGGTATGGCAAGATGAAATTTTCAGGGGAAAAAAAAAACTGCTTCATGGTTAGTCTGGAGTGAAGTGGATAAAACTGTACGGAGTAGACTCCAGAAGTAGGTCTGGAAGAGTTTCGGGTAGCCTGAAAATGACAGTGAGTGGACCTAAAGAGTTTGAGTTCAGAACTTATGATCCCAGAGGTTGGTTTATAAAATGCCCTGTGGGTTTCTGAGCCAAGTTGTTGATTAAATATTGGGTACATATCTCTTCTTCTCCAGTCTTATTTATTTATTTTGGCCTCACATTCCCCAGATCCATCATTTATAGTGGAACAGACAGGGCAAGGAGAACCACCGTGCCGTCCCTCCCACAGGATGCAGGGTAAAGTGGTCCGGTGGTGCCCAGGCTAGAAGCTGTTGGCCCAGGTTGCCAGCTGTGTGGTGGTAGCAGTCCTGTTTAGTTTGTTTGTGTATGGTGTGATGATGTTTCCCAGTAACATTGGGGTGCATTTGTTCTGAGTTACTTGTACTTGGAAGAGTTTATGGATACTGGCGGGAAAGCGTCACATCCTACTGGGATGGCCCTTCTTGAATGTCTTTAGACCCTGAGAGAAAGAGATTTTGTTTCCTTTTGGAGAAACAAAAAAAACTTTCTCTGTGTTTCTTCATTTCAAGTCTTGAGCTAAGGTAACCTTTCTGCAGTTGTGTGTTTTGGAATGGTTTCTCAATAGCGTCTTAAGTTCTTTCTGTAGTTGAATTCAAGTTGATTGTTTTTTTCCATCTTTTTCTTGTTGATGCTACTTGTAGATGATTTCTAAACCGGAGGCTATAGATTTGTTACTTTTGGGTAGTTCCTTTGTAATTATGTAGTCCTTATGTAATTTTCACTAATTGTCGCTAATAGTCCTCATCTTGTGGAAGTGTTTCTGTAACTCTTCTTTTCAGGAGCACTTGGGGCATTTCATTCTTTCTCTTTTTTGTGCTGCCTTTATCTCATCACCATATGCCTTACAAACTTATTTATACAGGCCTCATCCTCTTCCATCCTCCATCCTGATAGAAACCTAGTAAAATGGTTAATTCATCCACTTAAATAGTTAAGAGTCATCCACTGATATAGGACCTAGAATTAGAATTCACAAGTCTTGGCCGGGCACGGTGGCTTACGCCTGTAATCTCAGCACTTTGGGAGGCTGAGGAGAGCGGATCACCTGAGGTCAGAAGTTCAAGACCAGCCTGGCCAACATAGCAAAATCCCGTCTCTACTAGAAATACAAAAATTATCCAGATGTGTTGGCAAGCGCCTGTAATCCCAGCTACTTGGGAGGCTGAGGCAGGAGAATTGCTTGAACCCAGGAGGTGGAGGTTGCAGTGAGCTGAGATCACGCCATTACACTTCAGCCTGGGCAACAAAATGAGACTCTGTCTCATAAAAAAAGAATTCAGAAGTCTTGATTCCCAAGGCCATTCTCTAGCTACTGAACTTGATGAGTGTATTTCATGGTTTTCTAAGGGTTGGTTGTGTTAAGGGAATGCTGTTTTCTTGGGGAAAGAAAATCATGCTTTATTTGAAAAAACAACAGTAAAAAAACAATTAGTGGGTTCTGGGAAAGAGATGGTGGTCTTCACCATATCTGCCAAAAACACCTGCTGGAGGCCATGTCATCTTTATCCCTGGATGGTTGGTAGCATTACGGAAGGATGTGGTCAGATAGACAAAGCTCTGGGCCAAGAGTTCAAGTCCTACCGTGTTTCACGACTATTATTAATACTTGATAGTGTCTCTCTTCTTTATCTCCTGAGGGCTTCTGAGATTTGAGATTGGAGAAGGAATATGTAGTTCCTTGTGTCTCTTAAGAGAAAATTACTCTCCAACTTAATTAGAGTAAACCTGCCTTCTTTTTTTTTTTTTTTTTTTTTTTTTGAGACTGAGTCTCGCTCTGTCGCCCAGGCTGGAGTGCAGTGGTCTGATCTCCTTTCACTGCAACCTCCACTCCACCTCCCAGGTTCAGGCAATTCCCTGTCTCAGCCTCCTGAGTAGTTGGGATTACAGGCGCATGCCACCATGCCCAGCTAATTTTTTGTATTTTAGTAGAGATGGGATTTCACCATGTTGCCCAGGCTGGTCTTGAACTCCTAAGCTCAGGCAGTCCACCTGCCTCGGCCTCCCAAAGTGCTAGGATTACAGGTGTGAGCCACCTCGCCCAGCAGTAAACCTCCCTTCCTATTAACAGAACAGTTGAGGCTTGGTGCAATAGTAAAGTTGATATGAGAACCCAGATTTTCAGCCTGCCAGCATTTTTCTTTCCACCAAATTATATCTTTCCTTCTCTTCTGTTTTTTCTTTCCTTTCTATTTCTTTTTCTTTTTTTCTTTTTGAGACAGGGTCTCACTCTTTTGGCCAGACTGGAGTGCAGTGGCGTGATAATGGCTGACTGCAGCCTCGACTTCCTGGGCTCAAGCAATCCTCCTGCCTCAGCCTCCCAAGTAACTGGGACTACAGGTGTGAGCCACCATGCCCGGCTACTTTTTTAATTTTTTGTAGATACAGGGTCTCCCTATTTTGCCCAGACTGTTCTTGAATTCCTGGGCTCAAGTGATTCTCTTACTTTGGCCTCCCAAAGTACTTTCTTTAAATATATAGGCATAATCATTAAAATTGGCACTCTCTGTGTAGACATGAGTTTTCTGTGTAACATCAGTGGGCTTCTTTGGGTGATAAGAATGTTGATATGTGCCTGATTGAATGTTGGGATGATTTGGAGAAATTTCCTCCACGAAAGATAGAGTAAGCGGTAAAACAGACAGTAAGCAGATATTTGAGTGATCTGGCCCCAGAACGCCCTGTTACACAACTCTAGGGGGCGCCATTTACATTGTATTCTAGCAATAGTTTTGATTCTTAGCTCTCCATTGATCTCATTTCAGGAGTACAAAGATGAAGTCAGCCTCATCAGTAGCACAGTGGCATAGCATTTCTCAGGTGTCATTTTGCTGGTAAAGGTTGCTTATAGTTGGATGAGCAGTTCTCTCTGTGGTCTCCCTTTTGGGCTGACCTATTTATCGGAAGCTGGTAACGCATATGTAGTGTCTTGTCCTTGGACCAGACACACCAGTTTATTGGATGCAATAAACTAGGCATCCAAGTAAGTGGAGGGGCTTTTTATTTATTTTCCTTTGTAAAGTCCGGCCTCTTTATTCAGGCTCTGTCATCCTAAAGTAAGTTATCTTGGTAGCTAAGTGAGGTTTCACAGAATAAGGAATATGACCTTGAACTGCATGTCATTTTGCTGTTATCAAAAACTTCAATTTTGAAAACATTTTTTGAGAACTAGCTGGAAAATAGTTCATTCCTGGAAATATTCTAAATTTTATTTCCTGGATCAAGCCATAACATCAGAAAGTGTGTACTACAGTTATATGGTTTTGGTTCCTTGTAGAACCCCTTTCCTTAACTTGCCCTTTGGTGCCTGGATTCACATTCCTGCTTTGCTATTTACTGTTGGACTCTGTGCCTCCAGTTTCCTCATTTCAAATGGGAATTACAGTACCTACCTCATTGTTGCAGGGACTAAATGATGTAGTAGTTGTAAAGTGCTTAGAACACTACCTTGAACACAATAAGTGCTTAATAAGTTTTAATGATAATGATAGTGGTGATATTGTCCACCAGTTTTTTTTTTTGAGACGGATTCTCACTCTGTTGCCCAGGCTCGAGTGCAGTGGTGCGATCTTGGCACACTGCAACCTCCACCTCCCAGGTTCAGGTGATTCTCCTTTCTCAGCCTCCTGAATAGCTGGGACTACAGGCGTGCGCCACCATGCCTGGCTAATATTTGTACTTTCAGTAGAGACAAGGTTTCACCATCTTGGCCAGACTGGTCTTGAACTTCTGACCTTGTGATCCACCTGCCTTGGCCTCCCAAAGTGCTGGGATTGCAGGCATGAGCCACCGTGCTCAGCCTCCTCCTTCCTACGTTTTCACATCCATAGTGCATTTACTTTACTTCCTTGATTCTTTTTTTTTTTTTTTTTTTTTGAGACAGGGTCTTGCTCTGTCACCCAGGCTGGACTGTGGTGGTGCAATCTCGACTTACTGCACTCAGGTGATTCTCCTGCCTCAGCCTCCCAAGTAGCTGGGACTACAGGTGTGTGCCACCACACCTTGCTAATTTTTGTATTTTTATTAGAGATGGGGTTTTGCCGTGTTGGCCAGGGTGATCTTGAACTCCTGAGCTCAAGTGACCCACCTACCTCGCCCTCCCAAAGTGTTAGGATTACAGGCATGAGCCACCACACCCAGCCAACTTCCTTGATTCTTTTGGGAAAATTATACATTGGCCCTTTCTTTCGTTTATTCTCCCTCCTAATTATTATTTTTAATCTTTTTTATTTTATTTTATTTTTTTTTTGAGACAGTCTTGCTCTGTTGCCCAGGCTGCAGTGCAGTGGTTAGATCTCGGCTCGCTGCAACCTCCACCTCCTGGGTTCAAGCAATTCTCCTGCCGCAGCCTCCTGAGTAGCTGGGATTACAGGCGTGTGCCACCATGCCTGGCTAATTTTTGTATTTTTAGTAGAGATGGGGTTTCACCATGTTGACCAGGCTGGTCTCAAAGTCCTGACCTCAAGTGATCCACCTGCCTCAGCCTCCCAAAGTGCAGGAATTACAGGCATGAGCCACCACACCCATTCTCTCCATCTTAATTCTCTACTTAATTCCCACCATTTATCACCACTCTTATCTCTTGTCTGTCATTTCTTTCCACTAGAAGGTTAGACAGGGATTATGCATTGAGACTTGAACCCCTAGCATTGTCTGCAAAATCTATATGTAGGTAGTCTACCGTTGTTCAATTCATTAAATATGTAATTGTGTCTTAGGTGATAAAGTCGTATGTTGGGGATATTTGTAAGATACAGATGTAAAAGATGTGATTGCTCCTTCCCAAAAAGTTTGGCAAGATTGAATTCTCTTAAACTGTGATCTGATTGTATCTTGATTCTGTTGCCTGAAAACGTGAGACTCCCATCTTTGCTTTGTTTTGTTTTTTGTTTGTTTTTGAGACAGGGTTTCTCTCTGTTACCCAGACTGGACTGCAATCTCTACTGACTTCAGCCTCTGCCTCTCGGGCTTAAATGATTCTCCTGCCTTAGCCTCCCAAGTAGCTGGGATTACATGCACCTGCCACCATGCCTGGCAAATGTTTGTATTTTTTGTAGAGATAGGGTTTCACCATGTTGCCTATGCTGGTGGACTCAAGCAATCTGTCCACCTCAGCCTCTCAAAGCGCTGGGATTACACACATGAGCCACCGCAACTTGCATGTTTTGTTTTGTTTTGTTTTGTTTTGTTTTGTTTTGTTTTGTTTTGTTTTGTTTTGGAGTTGGGGTCTTGCTCTGTTACCCAGGTTAGAGTACAGTAGTGTGTTCATAGCTCACTGCAGTCTTGAACTCCTGGGCTCAAGCAGTTTTCCCACCTCAGCCTTCCAAATACCTAGGATTATGGGTATGCACGACCGCACTCACCTCTTTTTTTTTCTTTTTCTTTTTTTTTTTTCAATTTTTTTTTTTTTAGAGACACGGTCTCAAATATATTGCTTAGCCTGGTCTCAAACTCCAGACCTCAAGTGATCCTCCTGCGTAGGCCTGCCAAAGTGTTGAGATTACAAGCATGAGCCACCACACTCAGCCGTAAGACCCCTTTGTAAAGCTATGGCTGGAAGGACCAAGTTAGTACCTGTATCAGATACTGATTAGTTTTATTGTGTTTTATAACTCAGAAAACAGAATTGATGTATACTTGATCTTTGGTCATTTAATAGCGAGCCTGTTTATGTGAAGCTGTTGTAGTCACAGATTTGGTACATTGCACCCTCGCTACTTTTTAAAAAGGCTGAAATACAGTTTTTCCCTTTATAGATTTTATGAAAATTGGGGGTGCTGTTTAATAGAACAAAAAAAGTGATGTTTTCTATAAAAGGATAAGGAACAGAGTTATGTTAGAGTAATTTTCAGCTTCGGCGCCTTTGTTGAAGATCCTTCCCTGTTTCCTTAGTACTTAAAACTGAGTTTCTGTGCCCAGCCTACCCTTTAGCTCTCAGTATCTTAGTGTTTGCCTCCAGTGTATCCTCAGTGGGTCAACTTGCCTGTCACGGGTCTTCCCCACCTGAACCTTGGTTGTGCTTTGCTCAGAGTAGCAGCCTGGTAATACTGTGTATTTATGTACTTTTTTTGTTACTCGTTTCCCCATTTCACCAGTCTCACACTCTCTTATTTGCCTTTTGTGGGGCTCTATCTTTGCTGGTCCAGGATTTTGGGAAGCTACTCTTGACCAACATACTGCCAATTAAACCTTGCCAGGAGAAGTGATCAGAATGTGAAACTGGGTGGTGGGATGCCTGTGTTCTGTACCCATCTGTTATTTGTTGGCATGATTCGGAGGGGTTACTTTTCTTCTTGTTTCTCAGAAAGTTTTTTTTTTTTTTTTTTGAGATGGCGTTTCACTCTTGTTGCCCAGGCAATGGCGCAATCTTGGCTCACTGCAACCTCCGCCTCCTGGGTTCAAGCAATTCTCTTGCCTCAGCCTCCCAAGTAGCTGGGATTACAGGCATGCGCCACCATGCCCCGGCTAATTTCTTGTACTTTTAGTAGAGATGGGGTTTCACCATGTTGGCCAGGCTGGTCTCGAGCTCCTGACCTCAGGGGATCCGCCTGTCTTGGCCTCCCAAAGTGCTAGGATTACAGGCGTGAGCTACCATGCCCAGCCGGAAGCACAGTTTTTGAGAAATAGGAAGCAGGAGTCTGGCACTGTGTGTGTATTCTGGCCTACTATCATGCCTATTCTGCATCCCTTTGGAAACCTGGGTTACTACTAGTGCCAGGACACTTTCTAAAACTAGAAGTGCTTTGATTCTCACTGCTCAGCGCGGCATGTGTGGTGCCCAGTGTAGCACCGTGGGTGTTCTTAGACCTTGGTGGGATTGGTGGGGTGTGGTCTTCAGATAGTAGTTGGTACTCAAAATATGTTTTGATTCTGATTTTTTTTTTTTTTTTGAGACGGAATTTTGCTCTTGTTCCGCAGGCTAGAGTGCAGTGGCGCGATCTCAGCTTACTGAAACCTCCGCCTCCCGGTTCAAGCAGTTCTCCTGCCTCAGCCTCCCAAATAGCTGGGATCACAGGCATGTGCCACCACGCCCAGCTAATTTTGTATTTTTAGTAGAGATGGGGTTTCACCATGTTGGTCAGCCTGGTCTCGAACTTCTGAGGTCAAATGATCCACCTGCCTCAGCCTCCCAAAGTGCTGGGATTACAGGTGTGAGCCACCATGCCCAGTCTTCATTTTTTAATTTTCTTAGTCGTATTGTGTTCTGGCCTGGAACCTTCTCAAACTACACAGAACTGTAGACATATTGGTTGGAACTCTTGAAATTTTTATTGGCTGGGCACAGTGGTTCACGCCTGTAATCCCAGCACTTTGGGAGACTAAGGTGGGCTGATCCCTTGAGCCTAGGAGTTCAAGACCAGCCTGGGCAACATGGAAAAACCGTGTCTCTACTTTAAAGAAAAAAGAAATTAGTCTGGCATAGTGTCACACGGCCTGTAGGCCTAGCTCCCTGGGAGGCTGAGCCTGGAAGATTGAGGCTGCAGTGAGCTATGATTGTGCCACTGCAGTGTAGCCTGGGTGACAGAGTAAGACCCTGTCTCAAAAACAGAAAAACTAAAATTTCTATTTCAAGGAATATAGTTTTGAAGAATAAGAGAAAGAGGAGTCATGCTAGGTACTGGCACCTGGCCGTTTTCAAGTCAGTCAGTGATTTGTTTTTTGTGACCTTAGCTACATCATCTCCCCTCTCGTGAGCTCAGTTTCTTTTTGCCAGCAAAGGAAAGTAATACCAGTTTTTCTTTAGGGGGCATGAATAACATTGTGTGAGTAAATGTGATACGTATAAGTTCTTTCACAGTCATGAAGTAGGATAGCCTCTGTTGGATGGGGATACAGTGACAAGGGGCTCTGACCAAGGGACTAATGTGCTAGACACTAAGTCTTGACTGCCAGTCCCCAGCCATGTGATCAGGTGCCAGAGGAGACCAGGAACTCTTCAGTTCCCCTTCTCCATTGCTTAGCTTTTTCTGAGTAATTCCTGAGTGTGACATGTTCTCTCATTTTTTCTTCAGGTAGAATGGAAGAATCTCACTTCAATTCTAACCCGTACTTCTGGCCTTCTATCCCCACAGTCTCAGGTCAGGTAAGTGGTGTTGCTTTCTTGCTCTCTCCAAGTCTCAGTAGTAAGTTCTGTTACTATGGAGACTGAAGGTACACCACATGCTGTTTTACTGGGTCCCCCACCCCTGAGAATTATCTAGTGTTTCTGCCTGGGCTTCTCTCTAGAAGGCCAGAGGTATGAAGTGCTCATCCTTGATCCCTAAGGAGGACAGACACTGAAGTGTGCTCACGAGCAAGCAGAATCAGCCTCTCAGGCTGAAGAGGGTGCTCCCGTCCCCTTCCTTTTCTCTTAGATCGAGAACACAATGTTCATCAACAAGATGAAGGATCAGCTGTTGCCAGAGAAGGGCTGTGGTCTGGCCCCACCTCACTACCCCACCTTGCTGACAGTGCCTGCCTCAGTGTCCCTGCCCTCAGGCATCAGTATGGACACAGAGTCCAAGTCAGACCAGCTGACCCCACACAGCCAAGCGTCCGTTACCCAGAATATCACGGTGGTCCCTGTGCCGTCTACAGGACTGATGACTGCTGGTGAGCAACTCTGCTCTTCTCCAATCTGAGGTGTTGATCTTCCATGATCAGTACCCCAGGCTGGAGGGCTCCAAGGACATGGGGAGTGGGATATGTGTTTGATTATTCAATCAAATTTTTATTAAGTGCCTACTGTGTGCCTAGCAATGTGCTAGGCATTGTGGGGGATACAAAGAAGTAGAAGATGCGGTCCCTGCCTTTGAGGAGGTGACATTCTTTCCTTCTCTGAATCAAGGAGTCTCCTGTTCTCAGAGGTGGAGAAGAGAAGGGAGTCAATCAAGGGGTAAATCTCACTGTTACCAGGGGGGTGGGGACAAGGGTTAGGAGACCATTATTTTTCTACAGGGTTTGGGATTTCCTGTGTACTCTGGGTTGGGTCGGCGGGGGGGTGAGGGGTTAATTAGACAATGATCTGGGGGAAATGAAATAGGATTAGGATCAGGACTGAACAACATGACGCCATCTCCTTTTTCTCCCAATCCTAGGTCCGGGTTTGGTAATCACGTCCCCCTCAGGCTCTCTTGTGACCACAGCATCATCAGCTCAGACCTTCCCCATTTCGGCTCCCATGATTGTCTCAGCTCTTCCCCCTGGCTCACAAGCCCTGCAGGTTGTCCCTGACCTCTCCAAGAAGGTAGCATCGACCCTAACCGAGGAAGGAGGCGGAGGTGGTGGTGGAGGTGGCAGTGTGGCTCCTAAGCCACCCCGGGGCCGGAAGAAGAAGCGGATGCTGGAATCAGGGCTGCCCGAGATGAATGACCCTTATGTCCTCTCCCCTGAGGATGATGATGACCATCAGAAAGACGGCAAGACCTACAGGTAAGACTCAGAGCCAGGGGCAGGATGGGGCGAGGATCCCTGGCTTGGTGATTCTCCCTGTACCCTCATTGTGTTCTGCCCCGGTCAGGCGCTACACTCTGACAGCTTCCCAGCTCTGAGCCACTTGCATGTCAGGTGTCCCATCATAGGATAGGAGGCAGAGCTGCTAGCATCGTGTTAGGATGCAAAGACCCATTTCACCCTTTCCTTTTTTTAACCCTTGTTTTGGGGGTCGTTAACACTGACTAATTTTTTAGTAACAGAGTAGAATTTCTCTCTTGTAATAAGGCTTTATGCTGGGTTTGAGACTCTTGGCTGCAGCTCCTTTTTGCTTTCTACATATTCCATTCCTATTTTTCTAAGAAACCTTTCTAGTAAGCACCTAACCTATGTGCCATCCACCAGTTCCTGGGTCGCATTTGAACACTGAGCCTGCCTTACCCTGCATGGTTGGGATGATGGGAGGGGCCTTCATAAGAAGGTAGGAGGAATAGGATGCCTCCCCCTTTGGAATATGTACTTAAAGAATGACTTTGCTCACTTTCTAATTTATGAAAGTCATTTTGATTCTCCACTTCCTCTAAGTTCCCCTTTACCAAAAAGCATTATATGCGTATTTGCATGTGATACTCTACAAAAATAATTACATAAGTAAACTCCCTGCCCTTTGAAAGTTGAACATCTTTTAATCCCTTTGAGAACTGTCACGTGCCCTAGTGGGTTTGGGGAGTTTGGTAGCACTGTATAGAGTGGGATAACTACTGTCACAGCTTTGATATAGACAGGGGCAGATGTGCATGGCTGGGAGTCTGGGTCTGTCCTTAGTTCCTTAGTGTACCCAGATGGGCAATGTTGTTCCCATTTTAGGAGCGAAGGGAACTGCGGCACAGGAAATGGACAGAGCCTTGGGCTCATGGATTCAGTTCCCGGCTCCACCACGAATTTGCTGTGTGACCCTGGGCAAGTCCTTTTCCCCTCTCTGGGCCTCAGTTTCCTCATCTGTAAAATGGGGATAATTCTGTTTATGCCTCCCGTTTGTTGGGAGTATATATCAGATAAGATTTGAAATGTTGGGAACTTCAAAAGAAAGTTAAGAAATTAGTTATTTAGCATTTATTTTTATTTGTGTTGTATAGTTCTACTATGGAGAGTAGCCTACAGAGTGTTTAAACCGCTCTTTATAAATGAAAATGAGAGGAGTGTTGCTATGCAGAATTGAGCACTGCAGAATTCCAGCTCATAATCCAAAAGTTCATTGCAGCTTTATTATTACAGGTGTACCCCACTTTATACAATAAAAGTGTTCCTGGAAAATGTTTCCATCATATCATATTATAAAGGTACCTGACAAGTTTGATTCATTTAAAGGCATTCTCTTATATATCAGTTCATAAAATTAAAATCCCTTTTAAGTTATCGTATAGAAATCTAGATTTTTATGTGTTTGTTTAAAATGAGGCCATTGTGAGATGGAGATACATCTATATACAATTTGTGGAAGTAGTAGAAGGATCCTTTAACACTCTATAGAGCCCTTCTAATGGATCAGGGTCCTCTCATTCTGCCCTTTCTTCACTGTGACCCACATTAAAGCTATCTCTGGACTTTCCAAACTGTATATATTAAAAGAAATGCACATATACAGTTGGAAGAAAGCCTCATGGGGCTTTTCACACATTCAGTATTTTTGGAATTCCTGAATGACCATCCACCCAGGAGACTACAAAGAACTTTGAAATTGAAGGGAGACTTATTGTATCCTAGGTAAACAGAATTTCTTCAGAAACTCAGAACTCTTGACATTCCAAAGAAATTTTTTTTTTTTTGAGACGGAGTCTCGCTCTGTCGCCCAGGCTGGTGTGCAGTGGCACAATCTCAACTCACTCTTAACTTCTGCCACCCAGGTTCAAGCGATTCTCGTGCCTCAGCCTCCCGAGTAGCTGGGACTATAGGTGCGCCACCACGCCCAGCTAATTCTTTTGTATTTTTAGTAGAGACAGGGTTTCACCACGTTGGCCAGGCTGGTCTCGAACTCCTGACCTCAGGTGATCTGCCTGCCTCGGCCTCCCAGAGTGCTGGGATTACAGGTGTGAGCCACTGTGCCTGGCAAAAGAAATCTTTTTATCACAGTGAATTTCTGTTTTGATGCATGTGTGGGTCAGCCATACCCTCTTCAGTGGTCAGTAGCATTTGACTGGCTATTGGGGCAGTTGGGTTCTGTTACTCTGGTCAAGTCAACGTATCTCCCACTCTTTGTTCCCATATATAAAATGGGAAGATCAGCCATGCCTTCATCTGTCTTGTAGAAATGTTTTGAGGCAAAGTCAGAATATTTGAAATTGTTTTGAGCATTTTAGGAAAAATGGATAATAATTCAAAGTGGCCATACTTGTAATTATTATAATCAAGGCCATTGCATTGCATGCTTCCAAGGGGTCCCGTTCTCATTGTGTTGGATGTGAATGGTGCCCCTGGAGGAAGGCACCCCATGATATGGATGCTGGCTTTTCTATCCCCTGCTGACTGCCACGACTCTCCAAAACTAAATTTCTTTCCAACCACCCAGCACCTTGCATTAGAGGACTCTCTTACTTGACTTCATAGGATTTTCAAGTTGGAAATATTTTAATGATCTCCTTGGTCAGTCCCTTCCTGGCAGATGATTCCAACCTCTGCTTGAATACCTCTGGTGTTAAGAATCTTAAAGTAGGCTGGCATCATGGCTTTGTAGTGAATAACTGCCCTTTGGCAAATTACTTACTTTCTGAGTCTTTGTGTTCCTTTCTGTAAAAACATGGATAAGACTTGCCAGGTTGTGAGGAGTAGAAACAATGTGTCTGAAGTGCCTAACCTAGTGCCTGGCACTGTCAGGCATAACAACAAATGGCAACTATTATCATTGTGGTCATCATCATTATTATACCTAGTGTCTTCTGAGATTGCTCATTCCCTTGCCAGCACATTATAAATGAATTTAAGTTTTGCAAGTTCTCTTATTGGAAACTTTGACTAAGTGGGTTATTATTATTTTTTAAAATTAACCTTAATGTTAAGGGCAGAATTGTGTATTGAACACCCTCACACACAAATTGACGAGATTTTATTTGGGTTAAAATAAATATGTTCTACCTGTCTGAGAAATTGTAGCATCAAGGGAAATTAGTTTGCAACTTTAGTACAGTTGCCCTTCAAGGGACAATGTGTCCAGCTTCTAACTTCAGTCTTAGTGAAATATTTACTAGCATGAGCTTGTCCATCAGCACTAAGGCTTAAGATGAATGCAGTTTTATTACTGGAGAATACTTGGCTTACCTTTGACTGTCCTAGGCATTTGCTCGCCCTTCTGGGGGCAAAAATTTATCTTTCCATTTTACAGACCAGAAAATTGAGGTCTGTTAATGAGCAAGTTTGTAACTGAAGCCTGAGTAGAACCCAGGCATCCTGATTCCCACTGGTTGTGTCCTTTGGATTATGCTCACTATAAACAGAGCCTCCCCCTCTCTCCTGCAATGATTGGGCATCTCAGACAACTGCCAGGGATCAATAAGCTGGTAACTAAAAAATTCTCCTGAGATGAAAAAAGTGCAGAAATCATGATCCCACACCATCTGAAGCCTCTCTTAAGAAGATAAGTTAGGGAGAACCCAAAGAAGAGGGACTTGTGCTAATTGCCTGGCTTCCAGGCCATTGCCTTTTCTACCAGCTCCCATTTTACACTGGTGAATTGTTTACGAAAATGAAAGATAGCTTTTACTCAGTAAAGTCTGAATAGTTGTGGCTTAACTTGCTCAGAGGCCTCCTTATTGATATTTGGTGGACAATACCAGAGTGGAAAGGATTACCAGCTTGGGATGAGTGAAAGTACGATCAGGTGCTACTGATGTCAACCCAGAGTGCTGACACTGGCTCCATGTGCTAGGGAAGAGGAAAGGTTTAGCGTGGAAGATAGGTGTTTTGTAATCATTTTTCTCCCAAATGCTTGAGGGATGGCACCTTCCCCTAGCAGCTACGTTGGTCATTGCAAAAGTGGTTTTCACTTGATTGTCAAGGGGCTGTGGGCAAGGGGTGGGTAGATGATGGATGCAACATCAGATAAGAGGGTGGAGAGCAGACATACCTGGTTTGAAAAAGCCCCTCCAAATAATTCTGATACTTCCTCACCCCCATCCCTCTAGGAATCGCTGCCAAAAAGGAAGTAGGGGAAAATCTGAGGGAAGAAAATTATCTATGGAGACAGGAGAGGATCCAGTTAGTTGTTCCTCATTATCATCTCGGGGTCTTGAGGAATACAGAGGCATGTGCTTCATACATAGGAACATCAGAGCAAGGAATTCCTTAAATGTTTGAAATCAAGCTGTAAGCAGAAGGCAAACAAGTTAACTGATATTCCTGGCCCATTGAAATTCGCATCTGCCCAGAGTTCATACTGTTTCTGTTTTATCTGGTTGAAATACATTTTTGCACATGGAGGCAGTCCAGTCATTCAGCAAACATTTATTGAATATTTATAATGTGCTGGGCACCATGTTAGAAGCTTAGGCCATAAAGATGAATATATAGAGCTCTACTCTCAAGTTGGAGTAGGAGAGACCTCAGATAGGTGGGCTTCTCTTGGAAGTAGAGGGGAGGGTTCAGCCACACCTTCTTGATGGGAAGGGTTCTAACCATTGCCCTCACTTGGCTCAGGTGCCGGATGTGCTCACTGACATTCTACTCCAAGTCGGAGATGCAGATCCACTCCAAGTCACACACCGAGACCAAGCCCCACAAGTGCCCACATTGCTCCAAGACCTTCGCCAACAGCTCCTACCTGGCCCAGCACATCCGTATACACTCAGGGGCTAAGCCCTACAGTTGTAACTTCTGTGAGAAATCCTTCCGCCAGCTCTCCCACCTTCAGCAGCACACCCGGTAAGGCTGCTCTTGGTTTACCCCACCACCTGGCCGTGAACCCTAAGACCATGTTGCCTGCACCTACTCCTCTCTCCACATGTATTATTCTTTCCCTTTCACCTTTGCCCATTGGTAGCCTCAACCTCCTATTACTGTCTGTGGAAATTATATATCCTAGCTATTTGGGGGGCCTTGAAAATTGTGGTCTCCAATTCCAAAGTCTGGAACAATTTTTGTGGTTTCTCTCTGTGTCTGTGTTTGGAAATCTTCTGCAGAGCAGGCCTGCTTTTACTATATGCTTCAGTTCAGAGCCAAGGTGTGCATTCAACTTCAGGTCCATGGGGAACAGGCGGTATTGGTCTTTGTTCAGATTACTATTTGGAAGCAGGGTGTCTGTGGTGAGTGTGTTAACCTTAGGAGAAAGCGGAGGGTTGATGAGATTGACTACTTTAAGGTTACCAGGAGCCATGGGTTGCAGCTCTTCATCATCTCACTGCCATTCTAGCCACCGACTTACGATCAGCAACAACCTAGATCTGGGTGTCCTCTTCATTTGCCTATCCAGGCTGGAGTGTTTTTGGGAGGAGGGAGGAAGGGGGTGCTCTCATCCGTCAAGCAACGTCATTTCACCCAGCAGAGAGCTGAGCCCCTGGTGTCGAACTGCTTCCTCCTCCCCCCTTCCCTCCTCTCCTCTCCGGCAGGATCCACTCCAAGATGCACACGGAGACCATCAAGCCCCACAAGTGCCCGCACTGCTCCAAGACCTTCGCCAACACCTCCTACCTGGCCCAGCACCTCCGTATCCACTCGGGGGCCAAGCCCTACAACTGTTCCTACTGCCAGAAGGCCTTCCGCCAGCTCTCCCACCTCCAGCAGCACACACGGTAAGGGAGAGTGGCGGGCTACTGACCCCGCCCCGCTGGCATGCCCTCCCCACCCCCGCCCCGGACACACACAACAACCCGCATGCGGGGGGCGGGGGAGAGACCTGGCTGGAGGAGAGACCTGGCTGGCATCTGGGAGAAGGAAGACCAAACAACACTGGAGATTCAAGTGGACACAGAGCTTCTCTGGGGCAAGAGCTACGTCGGGGAGCTGCAGTGACTATATGATATTCACTGATCCATGGGAGACAGACACGTACCTGGAGTAGAAACAACTTTTCTCTAATTTTCCTCCCTGAAAATACTCATGTACCCATCTTGGAAGATTTGCCCCTTGATGCCAAAACAGAGGCATTTGAGTGGAGAAGACCATACCTCTAGCCCTTAGGGCACCAATTATGAACAGGAAATAAAATCAGACATTAGCTGGGCACCAGCCTGGTGACACCCACAGCAACAAGCAAGGCTCTGAGGGATGCCAGGAGTAGAGAACAAAAGAAAACACGTACTAAATGTTCAGAGAGAATCAGCAAACAGAAAATGAAAACGCTTATGCTTCATAAAGATGCCCAGTGTTTATCCCGTGAATCTGGAGTGACTAGGAAGAAGGGAACCTGCCAACTAGAAGTGATGATCTTTGGTGCTATCTCAAGTTGAACTGGAGTCCAGACTTACAGGCCATAGACCGTCTCACCCGGCTTCTTGTGGATGTGATGATCTCACCTTAAAGTGATCAGACATCTTGCTTTGAGAAGAGGAGGAGTCAGGCTTTCCTCACAAATAAGAGACACGTCCTGTGATGTTTTTGAGATTTTATACCAGAGGTCCCGAAAAGCACCTGGTCATAGAGATGGTTCTGAAGTCGCTGATGAGGAGCAGGTGTCACTGCACCCTCAAGTCCTTGGCTCATCTTAGCAGAGGGCCCTGTGGTGTTGGGGAGAGAGGTCACATTGGTACTAAACTAGGCATTTCCTGTCATTAGGGGGCTGGGCTGCAAAAAGCACTTAGTTTTCATGAGTTTCCATTAATATCACTACTACTCTCCACAATCAGTGTAACTGCTTTTCTTTGTTACCATAACATTCTCTGGAAGTGATGCTCAAGGCTGAGGGGACTGTTTCTGGCCATAAGGTGGGGCCAAGGAAGACGCGTTCTGCTTTTCTTTTTCCTTGCCATTGTGTTTATCTTGTGTTCTTGAATGTTCGTTAGGACAGTTACTGTAGGAGCTGACTTGAATGCCAAATTGTGGGCTGCCTGTTCCTTGGGTGCCAAGTCCTCAGTCTCTCCTCCCCCAGCAGAGAGGAGCCTCAGCTTGAGCTGAGTGATGCAGGCATTGACCAGAAGCAAATCATCAGTACCTGATCCACATCAGAGAGGAAGGCTGGTGCCTCTTGGAGGCCCATCTGATGTGCCTCCTTAGGAGAGCAGGATGGGCCTGGAGAAGATTTGTTGAGCCAGTTCCTAAATGGTCTTGCTGACATTCTTTCCCTTTTTTCTCTTATCCTGTGCAGAATCCACACTGGTGATAGACCATACAAATGTGCACACCCAGGCTGTGAGAAAGCCTTCACACAACTCTCCAATCTGCAGGTAAATGTTCCACCCTCCACACAAGACCTTGAGTCTGAGACATGGGGCCATTTGAATAGTATCGTGGTTCTCAAATGTTTTCAGGACTCCTTTACACTCAAACATTATTGAGGGACCCAAAGAGTTTTTGTTTATGTGGGTAATAGCTGTCTACATAGACGTTGTAAAACTGAAAAACCTGAAAAATATTTATAATAGTAATCTGTTTAGAAAGAACAAAAATAAACCCATTGTGTGTTAACATAAATAACATATTCCAAGACCCTCCAAAAACAACTGAGTGAGAAGAATGGCATTATTATACATTTTTGCAGGTGTCTATTTTTTATTTTTGGGACAGGACCTTGCTCTGTCACCCAGGCTGAGTGCAGTGGTGTTATCATGGCCCACTGCAGCCTCAGCCTCCCGGTCTCAAGTGATCCTTCCACCTCAGCCTCCCAAGTAGCTGGGATTCTAGGCATGCACCATCACACCTGGCTGTTTTTTTCATTTTCGTAGAGATGGGGTCTTGCTATCTTCCCTAGGCTGGTCTCGAACTCCTGGACACAGGCCATCCTCCCGCCTCAGCCTCCCCAAAGTGCTAGGATTGCAAGCATGAGTCACCGCACCTGGCACAGGGGTCTTTAATGTCTTAAGCTAGAAGATGAGTAGATTCTCAGATCTGCTGCATCTGGCCTATTGTGTTATCACACATCATGTAACCTCTGTAAGGGTTACATGTAAAACATAAGGCACAATGAAGCCACTTGAAATTTTGAGGGGAACAAGATTTCAGTTAGGTTTTTCATCTTTGTGTTTGTGTGTGTGTGTGTGTGTGCGCGCGCGCGTGTGCGTGTTTGAGACAGAGGCTCGCTGGGTCACCTAGGCTGGAGTGCAGTGGTGTGATTTCAGCTTACTGCAACTTCCCAGGTTCAAGAGAGACAAAGGCAAACATTGTCTTATTATTTTGAAAAGATTTGGCTGGGCGCGGTGGCTCACACCTGTAATCTCAGCACTTTGGGCGGCGGAGGCGGGCGGATCACCTGAGCTCAGGAGTTGGAAACCAGCCTGGCCAACACGGTGAAACCTTGTCTCTACTAAAAATACAAAAAAAATTAGCCAGGCCTGGTGGCATGTGCCTGTAGTCCCAGCTACTTGCAGGCTGAGGCAGGAGAATCGCTTGAACCCGGGAAGCGGAGGTTGCAATGAGCCGAGATTGTGCCGCTGCACTCCAACCTGAGCGACAGAGTGAGAGACTTCATCTGGGAAAAAAAAAAAAAAAGAGTTTTGACCCTGTGGGCCCCCTGTGAAGGTCTTAGTGTTCCCTAAAGATCCCCATGCCTCATTTTAAGAACCACTGGACTGGTGAGACGGGCATAAGCTGTCTTGGGATCCTGGTATGTGCTACATGAGGTATGCTTCCACCCTTAGCCTGTAGCTTCTCAAGTTTCATTTGAAACAATTTCTACTTTCTTCAGATAGAGGGAGAAGCTGGGAGGCCTGACACCTACCTTTTTGCTTTCCATCGAGGTCAAGGGGGCAGGAGGAAAGAGTACAATGTATTCATTCTGGTTTCTCCCAATTTTCTCAGTCCCACAGACGGCAACACAACAAAGATAAACCCTTCAAGTGCCACAACTGTCATCGGGCGTACACGGATGCAGCCTCACTAGAGGTGCACCTGTCTACGCACACAGTGAAGCATGCCAAGGTGTACACCTGCACTATCTGCAGTCGGGCATACACATCAGTGAGTGCTCCGTTTCTTCTCTCCTTCCTCATAGTCCTCTAAGAGTACAGTCCACTTCACCCCATTTTCTGGGTAGAGATCTGTTGCAGTGAATACCCTGCCTCCCTAGCTCCAACTTAGCAGAACAGGTAAATATTCAGAAATTAATTAGACCCATTCTGAGGAATTTAGGGGATGCCTGATCTCCTAATCCTATAGAGACGCATAAGCTGTAATTCTTCATTTTACTTAAACATAAGGCAAAATAAAGCCACTTGAAATTTTGAGGGGAGCTGGATTTCAGTTAGGCATTTTCTTCTTCTTTTTTTTTTTTTTTTCTTTTTGAGACACAGTCTCGCCCTGTCACCCAGGCTGGAGTGCAGTGGTGTGATCTCGGCTCGGCTCACTGTAACCTCCACCTCCTGGGTTCAAGCGATTCTCCTGCCTCAGCCTCCCAAGTAGGTGGGATTACAGGTGCATGTTGCCATGCCCAGCAACTTTTTGTATTTTTAGTAGACATGGGGTTTCACCATGTTGCCCAGGCTGGTCTCAAACTCCTGACCTCAAGTGATCCACCTACCTCAGCCTCCCAAAGTACTGGGATTACAGGTGTGAGCCACCGCACCTGGCCCAGTTAGATATTTTCCATGAGACTCCAGAAAAGGTTGTAAAGTTGTTTCATTCAGGGGTCTTTGAAAAAAATAGCAGCTCATTCCTTTGCCAGTTG
Source organism: Homo sapiens (assembly GCF_000001405.40). Taxonomy (NCBI): domain Eukaryota; kingdom Metazoa; phylum Chordata; class Mammalia; order Primates; family Hominidae; genus Homo; species Homo sapiens. The sequence goes on along the minus strand of NC_000012.12, from coordinate 6,668,324 downwards.
AATGTTGAGTGACTTCTAAAGGTTCCTCTCTTTTTTTTCTCAGTAGTGAGCCACTGAAAGTGCTACTTGAGTTTTGCTCAGTCTTGGCTCCAGAAAACCAGTATAAAGCTTACTCTGCTTACAGCAGAATCAGAGCCTGGGGTGCTAGTTACAAGTAATCTCTTTTCCTTCCTCTTTATCCCTCAACTTCTTTTTACCATCTCCCTCAGGAAACATACCTTATGAAACATATGCGCAAACACAACCCGCCTGATCTTCAGCAACAGGTGCAGGCAGCAGCAGCAGCGGCAGCAGTGGCCCAGGCCCAGGCTCAAGCTCAAGCCCAGGCTCAGGCTCAGGCTCAAGCCCAGGCCCAGGCCCAGGCCTCCCAGGCATCACAGCAGCAGCAGCAGCAGCAGCAGCAGCAGCAGCAGCAGCAGCAACAGCCACCACCACACTTCCAGTCTCCTGGGGCAGCCCCCCAGGGTGGGGGTGGTGGGGACAGCAATCCCAACCCTCCACCCCAGTGTTCCTTTGACCTGACCCCGTATAAGACGGCGGAGCATCATAAGGACATCTGCCTCACTGTCACCACCAGCACCATCCAGGTGGAGCACCTGGCCAGCTCTTAGAGATCCGTGCTGCCACCCACTGGGAAGAGGAAGAAGTAGTCCTGGTGTCTTCTTTCTCCAACTCTTGGTGGGAAAAGTCCTTTTCTTCCTTGACAGGCCTTGGCTCCATCTCCTTGGGCCTCTGTCACGGCTTTCCTTCACAGGATACCATCCTTTTTCTGAACTCTTCTTCAAAAGGAACATCAGCCCTCCTGATTGCAAAGGAATACTGAGCTGATGGTGTCATCCAGCAGCCTCCCCTCCCAAGCAAAGCTTCTAAAACTGGGGGTCGGTGCTCAAGGGAAGGATTTGCTATGACCTCATAGAACCTTGTCCAGTGTGGCCACTTACCCTATCCTTACCCTCCTTATCCTCAAAGTTTGGGCTGATGTAAGACTAGAGGCTGGCCCTCCCAGATAACAGAGAAAAGGGAGCCCCAAATGCAACCAGCCTCTTGTTCTATTCTTGCCTGCAAAAGAACAGAGGTTTCTCAAATGCCTCAGTCCCTGAGAGCCATTTCTTCCCCTACATCGTCTCACTTTGCTTCCTATTGACTGCTGGTAGAAGGAGATTTGGGGTAGGGGCTAGACCTCCTTTTATTTGAAGGGGGCAAGGGCTGAGATGTGGTCCCCAAGGGGCCAGAAATTCCCAAGTTGGTCACAGGTGGCTTAGAAGTGTGTGTTATGGTTTTACGGATTTCCTTGAAGCCTCTCTCCTTCTCTGCCTACAAAGACCCTATACTCTCAGTCTCCCCAACCCACCCCCAAGGAGCTGTGGGAGGCTTTGTGTTATCTGTGAAACTCCAAAACAGGGGTGTTGCGGAGAAGGGAGAGTTCAAGGCAAACGCAAGGACTGGACTTAGCTCCCTAGGTGCCACAGTCAGATGCCGGACACGGATTTATATATAAATATATATATATAAATATATTATACTCACTCATCACGGCCATCTTTGTTGTAACCATTTCTGTGTTTATAAATGCATTATCTCTGAGAATTTTCATATTTGATGTTTTGTTTATTTTTGTCCTTTTTTTCCCTCTCTCCACCCCTGTCCTCTAGCCACAGCATTTTTCTTTTTGTCTTTTTTTTTTTTTTTTAAATCATGGCAGATTTCAGAGGAAAGGAAATTAAAAAAAAAATCAGGAAACCAGTTGTTATAAAGTAATTTAAAAATGAAGAAAAAAAGAAAAAAACTTATGTACAAACCAAGGGGTGTTTTTAGAACATTGTATAGAAATAAATTCATGTAAAAGGATCAGAGGCAGTGGAGCTACTGATGTGAGCGAGCATGCGGAAAAGGTATTTGGGGAGATGTCCAAGAACAGTACTGAGGATTTATACCAGAGTGTGTGTGTGATGAACAAGTGCTTGTGTGATGATGCCCCATTTGTGCAATTCTCCAGTCATGGAAGGGTACAGTTTCATGATGTCTCCAGTGAAATCCTGGTTTATGAGGACTTCTACATACACATTCTGTCATGGGGATTGCATTGCCTAAATATGTGAGAGCAAGGCTTTGGTTATGTGTTAACAAAACAGCTAAGCTCCCTATGGAAGAAAAATGGAAGCCTCTTGAAAGGACCTACACTCCTGCCTGAGTCTGTGGAAGAGGGGCTTGCAGTTGGCAATGTGTATACATATGTGTATTTGTTACCTTGTGGAAATCATAACCGGTTAAGGGGTGCAAGATTGATTTATGCAGGAGAGCTGTAGTACTATGGAGTAGAATGTGGTCATGAAACCTGGACTTCAGCCCTTTGCCTACCATCAACCAGTGTTGGCCAGGGTGCTTCTTCAACTGTTAGTGAAGGGATTGGACTAGATAACTCTGAAGATACCTTTTTTGAGAATTAAGTAACTTGCTTTAAGGCTGGGTGCGGTGGCTCACGCCTGTAATCCCAGCATTTTGGGAGGGCGAGGCAGGCAGACTACTTGACGTCAGGAGTTCAAGACCAGCCTGGCCAACATGGTGAAACCCCATCTCTACTAAAAATACAAAAATTGATGGCCGTGCACGGTGGCTCACGCCTGTAATCCCAGCACTTTGGGAGGCCGAGACAGGTGAATCATGAGGTTAGGAGCTCGAGACCAGCCTGGCCAGTATGGTGAAACCCCGTCTCTACTGAAAATACAAAAAATAAGCTAGGCATAGTGGTGGGCGCCTGCAATCCCAGCTACTCAGGAGGCTGAGGCAGGAGAATCTTTTGAACCTAGGAGGCAGAGGTTGCAGTGAGCCAAGATCGTGCCATGGCACTCCAGCCTGGGCGACAGAGTGAGACTCTCTCTCAAAAAAGTAAAATAAAAATACAAAAATTAGCCAGGTGTGGTGGCACGCGCCTGTAGTCCCAGCTGCAGGCTGAGGCAGAAGAATGACTTGAACCTGGGAGGCGGAGGTTGCAGTGAGCCGGGATTGCACCACTGCACTCCAGCCTGGGCCACAGAGCGAGATTCTGTCTGGAAAAAAAAAAAAAAACAAAAAAAAAAAAACCTTGCTTTAAGCACCGAAAAAGTTGTGAAAGTTGTGACCAAGCTCCCACATCCTGAGAACTCTGGGACTGCTGGCCAATAGTACTTGTTATGTAGTTGGGCTGGGATAAATAAAGCCCACTTAATTTAGTGCTAGATATCCTGTGTGGGCACCTAAGATGGTGTCTCAATATGTTGTGTAATACCAATGAATGTATCACATATGACCAAATATGCCAATGTTTCTTAGCTCCCTGCATATTTACTGCTTTTTCCTCCCACTCTCACCAACTCTTGAAAAGGCCCTAATGGCCCTAACTTCATCACCAGTATTAGAACTAGAATCTACTCTTTTTATGGATACACTCACACTCACTTATTCCAACAACCCTATGAGGGAGGTAGTAGTCTCATTGTATAGTAAAACAGGCACAGAGATCAAGTTACCGAAAAGCATGACTTTTGTAATTAGAGCAGTTTCCCGGATTCTATTGCTGTATCTTACTACCTGCACACTAGTAAACCTGGGGTTTACAGGCTACAGATCCTTTCAGCTCTGATACCCCCACCACTCTACAGCCCCTGAACCCCCTCCTCCAGCCTGCTCTTACTGTCCAGATAATGTTTCAAATACATCCCTGCATCCATCTCGAAGCAAAACAAAGCAACTTCCAATCCGCCCCGGGTTGGAAGTTCCTCTTCTCCACATATTTGGTAGAAATTATATAGCTGAAAGTCTGTCTCTTTAAAAACTTGCCGTAAGACATTGGTAATTCTTATGAAGGATGTGTGAGGGTACGAAAAGTGTGAGGGGTGGCAGCTATCTCTAAAATACTATCTTACTAACACCACTATTAGGTTATGGCCTTTGTGTTGGCAGTGTGTTGACAGCCTAGTGTGTTGGCAGCCTCTCATACCCTTGACTGCTTCCCATTCTGATGAAAACCATAGAAATCACTCTACCATAGCTGACTAGAGTGATGGCTAGCAACTAACTAGCCAACTAGCCCAGTAGTGATACTGCTGCATCCCTCAATCCCTTCAGAATTATGATGCTAACATCACATATAAACAAAAGGAAAACAAAAACACGAGATTTCCCCCTTAGAGAGTAGCAAGAGGGGCCAGGCACAGTGGTTCGCACCTGTAATCCCAGCACTTTGAGAGGCTGAGGTGGGCAGATCACCTGAGGTCGGAAGTTCGAGACCAGCCTCACCGACATGGAGAAACCCCATCTCTACTAAAAATACAAAATTAGTCTGGCGTGATGGTGCATACCTGTAATCCCAGCTACACGGGAGGCTGAGACAGAAGAATCACTTGAACCCGGGAGGTGGAGGTTGCGGTGAGCCATGATCACGCCATTGCACTCCAGCCTGGGCAATAAGAGTGAAAATTCTGTCTCAAAAAAAAAAAAAAAAAAGCAAGAGGGCAAGGCAGGAAGTAATATTTTATATGTGAAAGTGTATTCTAGTGTAACGTACAGGAGCTCTGACAAAAGATGTGCAGAATTATAGCTTTATTATGAGTCATTCTTTGTATTTATAAGTAGAAAGGTGATCATCTTTCTCAAGTTAAAAAAATAATGCTGGGGGAGATGGTGTTTGTGTGAGTGAATAGAAATTCAGACGGTTTAAATGTCTCAAGGCCTGATACTCTTCCCCAACTTCCTTAAGAAACTAACTGGCTTGAAAAAAGTCATTCTGCAAAAGAGGGAAAAAAAGTTGGATCTTCCAGTTGCTGAGAAGGTATGTTTACGCAATATGAGCCTAAAGTGAACAGTTACCCCTGCACGGATTACCATACATTCCCGTTTTGGAGGGAAAAAAGTTTGCTAGAGAATGCAAAATGGCGACCTCCAGTGACGTCATACCTGTCTCGGTCGCGTCCTGGGGTGTCTGTAAGGGCGGAAGCGGGCTACAGCCGCCTCACTGTGGGCGGTCGTGGCTACCATGCAAAAGGAAAAGTTTCAGTGTCGGGCGGATGTGTACCGGCGGTAATATAGTAAGGGCGGAAGTTCTCCTTTAAGGGCGGAAGTTCTCCTTTTAAGGGCGGAAGTTCTCCTTTTAAGGGCGGAAAGGCTTTAGCCGCAAAATGGCTTCGGCCCCTGTCGCGTTACAGTCACTTCCGGGGCGGATCGGAAGTTGCTTTGTTTTGCTTCGAGATGGCTGCGGGGATGTATTTGGAACATTATCTGGACAGTAAGAGCAGGCTGGAGGTGGGGGTCGGGGCTGCAGAGTGGTGCGGGGATCAGGGATGAGAGGATCTGTAGCCCTTAAGTTCCAGTGACGAGAAGGTCACAATTATGAAGCGGTTCTGTGGCAGGAAATATTGGAGGGTGCGGAGAAAGAGGGGGCGGGGCAGCAGGATCGAGGCCCCGCTGATGGGTGTAGACGAGGGAGGGGTGCGGTGTGGGGGTTAGAGACGTGTCTTGAAGGGCTAGTGTGCATGGCCAGGAAGATAGTTGCTGCCCCCATTCTCCAGGGTCTCCAGCCTCGGTAGATTTTTTTCCCCATAGTCGTTCAGAATCGTTATCACACACTGCCATTTGGAGAAGCGGTAAAGACCTCTCCTCCACTCCATTCTTCCTCAAAAGTGGCTTCTCATGGGGTTGAGAGTGGTGGTGATGAGTGACCACTGTCAGATGATGAACTAGAACGCTTCTCTTCATGGAGTAAAGATCTAATTCCCATCAAATGAAAATCTGGTGTTTATGCGATTTATGTAAACCACCCCTGCAGAAAGCCTATTGCTCTGTGCGCTTACATTTGTTTTAGGGCCCGGAGTCATTTATTCAACAAATATTTATTGAGGTCCTGCTATGGGTCAGACATAATGGCAGGCACTAGGGATAGAAAAATGAGTAAGACAAGGCTCCTGCCCTCAAGAAGCTCACGATCTAGTAGGAAACAGATTCTGCAAATAATTATAAAACACTGTGACAAGTGAGATAATGGAAATACATTAAAAAGGACACTTGGTAGGCAACCCTGGAGAAAAGGGGGGTAATTACCTGGGGATGTAGGAAAAGCTTTACAGCGGAGGTGATGTTTGAATAGGGTCTTGAAGGTTATTTGCCAGTGAGGAGAGAAAAAAGGAATTCCAGGTTGGGGAAAGCATCCGCAAAGGTACTGTGATGGGTTTGTGGCAAGGTCAAGGGTGTTTGATATTTATGACTCAGAGGTCAGCGTATTTGATATTTATGAATCTAAGGTAAGAAATTGAGAAAGGAGACTGGAGAAAGAGGCTGAGGCTAGATTGGACAAGGTCTTTTAAGCCAAACGAAGAAGTTTGCATTTTAAAGTAGAGTATGATTTTTATAGAGGAAAATGACTAATATATGGTAAATTGGAGCATGATATTGTTGATAACAGAGATCAATTAGTGATAACATTCCAGGACAGAGATAAGAACCTGATTTTAGGGAGTTACAGAAGTATTTAGGAGTTAAATATGAAAGGACTGACTGAATGACTGAGTGGTTGAGAGAGAAGGAAGAATCTAAGGTGGCTTCTTCCTGCTTAGAAAGTGAGGTAGACAGGCTGGGCACAGTAGCTCATGCCTGTAATCTCAGCACTTTGGGAGGCCAAGGCGGGCAGATCACTTGAGGTCAGGAGTTTGAGATCACCCTGTCCAACATGGTGAAGCCCAGTCTCTACTTTAAAAAAAAAAAAAAATTAGCTGGGCATGGTGGCATGTGACTGTAATCCCAGCTACTTGGGAGGCTGAGTCAGGAGAATCACTTGAACCCAGCAGGTGAAGATTGCAGTGAGCTAAGATCATACATACCACTGCACTCCAGCCTGGGTGACAGAGAAAGACTCCGTGTCCCTCTCAAAAAAAAAAAAAAAAAAAAAAACAAAGGCTGGTGGCCAGGCACGGTGGCTCATGCCTGTAATCCCAACACTTTGGGAGGCTGAGGCAGGCGGATCATGAGGTCAGGAGATCGAGACCAGCCTGGCTAACATGGTGAAACCCCGTCTCTACTAAAAATAAAAAAAATAGCCAGGTGTGGTGGTGTGCCCCTGTAGTCCCAGCTACTTAGGAGGCTAAGGCAGGAGAATCGCTTGAACCTGGGAGGTGGAGGTTGCAGTGGGCCGAGATCATGCCACTGCACTCCAGCCTGGGCAACAGAGTGAGACTCCGCCTCAAAAAAAAAACAAAAACAAAAAGGCTGGGAGCGGTGGCTCACGCCTATAATCCTAGCACATTGGGAGGCTGAGATGGGTGGATCGCCTTAGGTCAGGAGTTCCAAGACCAGCCTGGCTAACATAGTGAAACCCCGTCTCTACTAAAAATACAAAAATTAGCTGGGCGTGGTGGCAGACGCCTGTAATCCCAGCTACTTGGGAGGCTGAGGCACAAGAATTCCTTGAACCTGAGATTGCGCCATTGCACTCCAGCCTGGGCGACAAGAGCGACACTACACCTCAAAAGAAAAGAAAAGAAAGTTACTCAGCGGAGAAAAGATCATGCCAACTGCTGCAGAGATATTTTTTAGGATAGGCTTAATAACACCATTAGATTTGGTAAATCACCAGTGACTCAGTCTTGTGAACTGGTGGTAGCAGACCTGAAGTTGTAGGTTTAAACAGTAGAGGCATTTTATTTTTTTTTATTTATTTTATTTTAGTTTTTCTGTTTGTTTGTTTGTTTTTGAGACAGAGTCTCACTCTGTCACCCAGGCTGGAGCGCAATGGTGCGATCTTGGCCCACTGCAACCTCTGCCTCCCGGGTTCAAGTGATTCTCCTGCCTCAGCCTCTTGAGTAGCTAGGATTACAGTGCCCGCCACCATACCCAGCTAATTTTTGTATTTTTAGTAGAGATGAGGTTTCACTGTGTTGGCCAGGCTGGTCTCAAACTCCCAACCTCAGGTGATCCACCCACCTTGGCCTCCCAGAGTGCTGGGATTACAGGCATGAGCCACCGTACCAGGCCTTTTATTTTTTATATATATATTTAATTTTTATAGAGACAGGATCTGGCCATATTGCCCAGGCTGGTCTCAGACTCCTGAGATCAAGCGATCTACCTGCCTTGGCCTCCCAGAATGCTGGGATTACAGGCGTGAGCCACTGTGCCCAGCAAGTAGAGGCATTTTTAAAGTTTTAGGTGGAGTCTTGGCAAGAGATTTCTCTTGTACTGGGGTGACAAATATTCATGCATTTATTCAAGTATTTACTGAGTACCTGCTCTTTGCAAGTCATAATTCTAAACACTATGGAAACAGGAGAGAATATGATAGCCATGTTCGGCCTGGGGAGACAGATACCAAATAACTAATTACACATTATTTTTTTTAATTTTTTTGTTTTTTGAAACAGTCTTGCTCTTTTGCCCGGGCTGCAACCTCTACCTCCCTGGTTCAAGCAATTGTCCTGCCTCAGTCTCTTGAGTAACTGGAACTACAGCCACAGGCCACCATGCCCATCTATTTTTTTTTTTTTTTTTTGAGACAGAGTCTCGCTCTGTCGCCCAGGCTGGAGTGCAGTGGAGCGATCTCGGCTCACTGAAAGCTCCACCTCCTGGATGCACGCCACTCTCCTGCCTCAGCCTCCCGAGTAGCTGGGACTACAGGCGCCCGCCACCACGGCCAGCTAATTTTTTTGTATTTTTAGTAGAGACGGGGTTTCACCATGTTAGCCAGGATGGTCTCAATCTCCTGACCTCGTAATCTGCTCTCCTCGGCCACCCAAAGTGCCGGGATTACAGGTGTGAGCCACCGCGCCTGGCCTAATTTTTGTTTTGTTTTGTTTTTGAGATGGAGTCGCACTCTGTCACCCAGGCTGAAGTGCAGTGGTGCGATCTCAGCTCACTGCAACCTCCACCTCCCGGATTTAAGCAATTCTTGTGCCTCAGCCTCCCAAGTATCTGGGATTACAGGTTTCACCATGTTGGCCAGGCTGGTCTTGAACTCCTGGCTTCAAGTGAGCCACCCGCCTCGGCCTCCCAAAGTGCTAGAATTACAGGCATGAGCCACCGTGCCTGGCCCTAATTTTTGTATTTTTAGTAGAGATGGGGTTTTGCCAGGCTGCCAAGGCTGGTCTTGAACTCCTGGCCTTGAGTGATCCACCTGCCTTCCAGAGTGCTGGATTACAGGCATGGGCCACCGCACCCAGCCAACTAATTACACATTTATTTAATTACAGTTGGATAAGTGCTTTAAAAAGGTGGCTAGAATACCTTGACATAGATCGAGGGCAGTTAACAGAGTCTGGGAAAGTTGAGTTTGAGCTGAACTTTGGAAGAACGAACAGGAATTTAATAGGCCAAGAGGGATGGGGTGGATGGGATGAGGAAAAGCGAGCGGTGCATTCCAACTAGAGAGAACAGCATGTGGAAAGCCAAATGGCAGGAGGAGCACAGGCCAGTTTGAGGCAGTGCGAGGAGGCCAGTATGGGCAAAGCAGAGCACAAAGGGAGACTGACATGAGTTCAGGCTGGTGTGAGGTAAGCAAGGGCCAGAAAGCGCAGAACATCTTCAGAGCAGTAGGAAGTGACCAGAAGGTTATAAGCGGGAGAGTGACTTGATTAGGTTTGCATTTTTTATTTTTGTGTTTGTTTTTGTTTTTGTTTTTTTGAGTCAGTGTCTTGCTCTGTCATCCAGGCTGGAGTGCATTGGCGTGATCTCGGCTCACTGAAATGTCCACCTCCCAGGTTCAAGGGATTTTTGTGCCCCAGCCTCCCAAGTAGCTGGGATTACAGGCATGTGCACCAAGCCTGGCTAAGTTTTTGTATTTTTGGTAGAGACAGAGTTTCACCATGTTGCCCAGGCTGGTCTTGAACTCCTCAGCTCAGCTGATGCGCCCACCTGGGCCTCCCAAAGTGCTGGGATTACAGGCATGAGCCACCGTGCCTGGCCAGGTTTGCATTTTTTAAAAAGGACATTCTGGCTACTATATGGAAGTAGATTGGAAGTGTTATGTGTATAATAGAGGATACCAGGAGACTATTTGTAATTTGAGGACAAAGAGCTTGGAGGCAGAGATGGAAAATAAAAGAAAGGGGCCCGTCTTAGTGGCTCATGCCAGTAATCCCAGCACTTTGGGAGATCAAGGCGGGCGGATCACCTGAGGCCAGGAGTTCAAGACCAGTCTGGCCAAAATGGTGAAACCCTGTGTCTACTAAAAATACAAAAATTAGTCGGGTGTGGTGGCGCGCGCCTGTGGTCCCAGCTACTCCAGAGGCTGAGGCAGGAGAATCACTTGAACCCAGGAGGTGGAGGCTGCAGTGAGCCAAGATCGTGCCACTGCACTCCAGCCTGGGCAACAGAGCCAGACTCCGTCTCAAAAAACAAAAAAGGAAAAGAAAGGGAAGAGCTTTTTTTTTTTTTTTTGGAGACAGAGTCTCGCTCTGTCACCAGGCTGGAGTGCAGTAGTGCAGTCTTGGCTCACTGCAACCTCTGCCTCCCAGGTTCAAGTGATTCTCCTGCCTCAGCCTCCTGAATAGCTGGGATTACAGGTACGTGCCACCACACCTGGCTAATTTTTATATTTTTAGTAGAAACAGGCTTTCACCATGTTGGCCAGGCTGGTCTCGAACTCCTGACCTCGTGATCCACCCGCCTCAACCTCCCAAAGTGCTGGGATTACAGGCTTGAGCCACCACACCTGACGGGAAGAGCTTATTTATAAAGGAAGGTCACTGAAGGCGAAAAGGGTGGGATAGCCATGCAGAAATGGAAAGGTTTTGTAGAGAAAGAGTTAAGCATGGCCTGTCATGAGAGAACTGATCCATCCTGTCACAGATAAATCCAGAGGTTCAGAGGAAGGAAAACTGAGCTGCACTTTATTTTTTGTTTGTTTGTTTGTTTGTTTGAGATGGAGTCTCACTGTGTCGCCCAGGCTGGAGTGCAGTGGTGCGATCTCGGCTCACTGCAAACTCCGCCTCCCAGGTTCATGCCATTCTCCTGCCTCAGCCTCCTGAGTAGCTGGGAGTACAGGCGCCCGCCATCGCACCTGGCTAATTTTTTGTATTTTTAGTAGAGACGGGGTTTCACCATGTTAGCCAGGATGGTCTCAATCTCCTGACCTCGTGATCTGCTCTCCTCGGCCTCCCAAAGTGCTGGGATTACAGGTGTGAGCCACCATGCCTGGCCATTTGTTTGTTTTTGAGACAGGGACTTGCTCTATTGCCCAGGCTGGAGTGCAGTGGCTCAATCACGGCTCACTGCAACCTCTGCCTCCTGGATTCAAGTGATTCTCATGCCTCAGCCTCCCAAGTAGCTGGGATTAGAGATGCCCACCGTCACACTAGGCTAATTTTCATATTTTTAATAGAGATGGAGGTCTCGCCATGTTGGCCAGGCTGGTCTTGAACTCCTGGCCTTGAGTGATCCACCCCCTTGGCCTCCCAAAGTGCTGGGATTGCAGGCGTGAGCCACCATGTCCGGCCTGAACTGCACTTTAAAAGGAGCTGTAAGGCCTATGCATAGTCAGTCCTGTGATTGTTTCTCTCTCTTCCCTAGGTATTGAAAACCTTCCCTTTGAATTACAGAGAAACTTTCAGCTCATGAGGGACCTAGACCAAAGAACAGAGGGTATGTATAGAGTAAAAAGTTTTTGTATCTAATGAGTGTGTGTAATCATTTATTTTTCTACTTGATGTTACCGTATCATCTGGTATGATCTGGAGAACTGTGGCTTCTCTCGCTCCTTTTTTACGCTCTTGGAATTCTTAAAACAGGATAATGATCCTCATTTCTGTGTCAGCTTTTTCATAACAAATAGAGTATTGTGAAAACGCCTCAAGAATTCAAAGATGCTGTGTTCTTTATGTCTTCCTGGAGAATAATTAGCCAGGCTGGCTCACACCTGTAATCCCAGCACTTTGGGAGGCCTAGGCGGGCAGGTAACTTGAGGCCAGGAGTTTGAGATCAGCCTGGCCACATGGTGAAACCCCATCTCTACTAAAAATACAAAAACTAGCCAGGTGTGGTGGCACGCACCAGTAATCCCAGCTACTTGGGAGGCTGAGACGTGAGAATCGTTTGAACCTGGGAGGTGGAGGTTGTAGTGAGCCCAAATCATGCCACATGTCACTGCACTCCAGCCTAGGCAACAGAGCAAGACTCTGTCTCAAAAAAAAAAAAAAAGAAGAATTAAAGAAAGTCAACTCGAGTCATTTCTGCTCTCCACGTTTGATATATTTATAGGATGACTAGAATGTTTCTACTTCTCTCATTGTTAATGTTACTGTCACAAATTCCCAGTGTGACTTTAGACTGCAACATATGTTGGTAGATGGGAGGTTTGCTATATGAGAAGTCCTTAAAAAGAGAAAGAAAAAAGAAAGAGGAAAGAAAAAAAAGCAGTAATTGACAATGGGATCTCTATACCGTTCACACTTACAGAAGCATTAGATACCATCTCCAGCCTGGAACATTGAGCAAATTTGGCTGCATTGGGGCATTCACTTGGTTTCTTCAAAGATGTCTGTTGGAGCTATTCCCATACCCACTGAAGGATCTGTAGTCTTGTCTTCATTCTATGTAGCCATGTTCAAGGATGTAACAGACTGGTTTTGAGATACATGAAGCTGTGTCTTAAGTTACTCTGAGTTTACACATGAAAAGGTGAACATCATCAAAAACCCTGGACACAGTTCCCTGAGAACTGCCTGCCGAATGGTGAGAACCAGATTGCTTTTTTTGTAATACAGTTGTAACTCTTGAGTTCATGCATGGAAAGACAGTTGGAGATTATGGAACTATATGCTTTTTCAGCTTCTTCCAAGAGCCTGGAATGAAGTGGAGTATAAACAGTGTCTTCACAGATCCTCCTGGTTATCTGTTGCTGCACTATGTTAGAGTCAGACTTGTCTCTTACTACTGACATATTTATGAGCCCTTCCAAATATTAGTAAACATCTATAGTCTCAATGTCCTGGGACATTACCATTCTTCCAATATTAAAACATTTGGGGCCGGGTGCGGTGGCTTACGCCTGTAATCCCAGCACTTTGGGAGGCAGAGGCGGGTGAGTCTCCTGAGATAAGGAGTTTGAGATCAGCCTGGCCCATATGGTGAAACCCTGTCTCTGCTAAAAATACAAAAATTAGTCGGGTGTGGTGGCGCATGCCAGTAATCCCAGCTACTCAGGAGGCTGATGCAGGAGAATCGCTTGAACCTGGGAGGTGGAGGTTGCAGTGAGCTGAAATCACACTACTGCACTCCAGCCTGGGCAACACAGTGAGACTTGGTCTCAAAAAAAAATAAATAAAATAAAATAAAACATCTGGGAGACCGGGTGCCGTGGCTCATGTCTGTAATCCCAGTACTTTGGGAGGCCGAGGCGGGCAGATCACTTGAGATCAGAACTTCGAGACCAGCCTGGCCAACATGGTGAAACCACATCTCTACTAAAAATGCAAAAATTAGCCAGATGTGGTGGCGCACACCTGTAGTCCCAGCTACTTGGGAGACTGAGGCACGAGAATCCCTTGAACCCACGAGGCAGAGGTTGAGGTGAGCCAAGATCGTGCCACTGCACACCAGCCTGGGCAACAGAGCGTGACTCCGTCTCAAAACAAAAAAACGTGTTTGGAGCAATATCTAGGATGGACAAACAGGAAAAAAAGAAGTAATGGAAAATGAAAGAAGTTGCAATGATGAGCCAAATAGGATGGGCAGCCTGGCTGCAGTGGCTCACACCTGGAATCCCAACACTTTGGGAGGCTGAGGCAGGTGGATCATTTGACCAGGAGTTCAAGACCAGCCTGGGCAATATAGTGAGACCTCATCTCTAGAAATAATTTTTTTAAAAAAATTATCAGGGTGTAGTGGCATGTGCCTGTGGTCCCAGCTACTCCAGAGGCTGAAATGGGAGATCATTTGAGCTCAGAGGTTGAGGCTGCAGTGTGATCCATGATCATGCCACTGCACTCCATCCAACCTGGGCAATAGAGTGAGACCCTGTCTCAAAAAAAAAAAAAAAGAAAAATAGAGTGAGCAGTAAGATAAGCAGAATTGTTACATGGATGTTGGAGTAAGGTCTAATTTTAAATTGTGTGATATACTCAACTACTCAGGAGGCGAAAAGATAGAATCACTTGAGGACAGGAGTTGGAGGTCAGCCTAGGCAACAAACATAAGAGAGAACCTGCGCCTGCCTCTAAAAATAAATAGATTAGGCCAGGCATGGTAGCTCACCCCCAATAATCCCAGCACTTTGGGAGGCTGAAGCAGGCAGATTGCTTGACCCAGGAGTTCGAGACCAGCCTGGGTAACGTGGAAAAAGCCTGTCTCTACAAAAAAATAGAAAAAATTAGCCAGGCGTGGTGGTGCCTGAGATGGGAGGATCACCAGAGCTCAGGAAGTTGAGGCTGCAGTGAGCCATGATTGTGCCACTGCACTCCAGCCTGGGCGACAAAGTGAGACCCTGTGTCAAAAAGAAAAAATACTAATAATTTTGAAATGTATGATATTGATGTACAGACTTGGAAACCAGCAACAGCAGATGACTCAGCCTGATTTGCGGCAGACAACTGCTGTGGGATGTTTTTGAGAAGGAAACAATGGCTTTTGAGACAAAATTCAAGAAGCAGCAAGCCCTTCAAAGAAGCATCTTCAAACATGGACAAAAATACACTTCATATTAATGTGGTGTGCAAAGGATCCCTTGCTGTGTTTCAGTAATTTAAATTCCAACTATGATAGCAATGTTTTCAGCACCTTGAAAGGACCTTTAAAGCAAATATTGTCAGTATGTTCCATTACTTGAGTGCATGGCACAGTACCTCTGAACATTCAGTACTTTTTAGTTGGAAGGTTATGCTAATCAATGGAAAAGGTCCAAAGAACAAAAGGAAGAAATGTGTTTCACCTAGCCACTCAGGGGCCATTGTGACCAGGCCTCTGTCTCTGTTGTAGACCTGAAGGCTGAAATTGACAAGTTGGCCACTGAGTATATGAGTAGTGCCCGCAGCCTGAGCTCCGAGGAAAAATTGGCCCTTCTCAAACAGATCCAGGAAGCCTATGGCAAGTGCAAGGAATTTGGTGACGACAAGGTGCAGCTTGCCATGCAGACCTATGAGATGGTATGGCCCTGTTCATGGCTCCCCACCTACTTCCCATCTAATCCTCAGGGTCTTAGACCCCTCCTTCAACTGTGTTGGGATCTGTTTGGGGTCTGTGAGATCCATAAACTCTGCCTTAACCTATTTTCTTTAATTGGAGATAGTTTTGTACCTCTCCTTTCTCCTTCCTTTCCACCCAGGTGGACAAACACATTCGGCGGCTGGACACAGACCTGGCCCGTTTTGAGGCTGATCTCAAGGAGAAACAGATTGAGTCAAGTGACTATGACAGCTCTTCCAGCAAAGGCAAAAAGAGTGAGGAGGGGGCGGGGCTGTGAGAGGTGGGGCGAGGACTGAAAGGGAGAAGAAGTCAGCTCTTCATCTGGTGGGAAGTTTGGCACCAGGTTGGAAAGGGGGAGAGAAGAGGACTTAACCCATCTTTCTGTCTCCCTGCCTTCTGGCTTTCTCCCTCTTCCCTAGAAGGCCGGACTCAAAAGGAGAAGAAAGCTGCTCGTGCTCGTTCCAAAGGGAAAAACTCGGATGAAGAAGCCCCCAAGACTGCCCAGAAGAAGTTAAAGCTCGTGCGCACGTGAGTGATTCAGGGAGCCCTTTGCCGGATGACATCCTCTTCTCTCCCGGTGCCCCACTCCCAGCCTGCACCGCCCCCTGCCGCTTTCTATATGTCTGCGCCAAGAACTCTTCTTATCATTTTGGTATCTGCTGGAGAAGCCACAAATCATTTGCCCTACCAGGATCTCCTGCCACCTCTGAAAGCCTCAGGCTTTAGCTTCCCTTCCTGTAGATGACACTTTCTCTTCCTCTTGGCATGCAGAAGTCCTGAGTATGGGATGCCCTCAGTGACCTTTGGCAGTGTCCACCCCTCTGATGTGTTGGATATGCCTGTGGATCCCAACGAACCCACCTATTGCCTTTGTCACCAGGTCTCCTATGGAGAGATGATTGGCTGTGACAACCCTGATGTGAGAAACATTTTGCCTTAGGATGGGGGGTTGTGAGGGGCATGAAGGGAGTGGGTACAAGAGGGAAAATCCCACAGTTGAGTACTGGGACTTCAGAATAGAAGAAAGATGGGCTGGACGTAGTAGCTCTTGCCTGAAATCCCAGCACTTTGGGAGGCTGAGGCGGGCAGATCACGTGAGGTCAGGAGTTTGAGACCAGCCTGGCCAACATAGTGTAACCCCTTCTCTACTAAAAATACAAAAATTAGCTGAGCATAGTGGCACACGACTGTCATCCCAGCTACTCGGGAGGCTGAGGCGAGAGGCAGGAGAATTGCTTGAACCTAGGAGGCAGAGGTTGCAGTGAGCTGAGATCACGCCACCACACTCTAACCTGGGCGACAAGAGCAAGACTCTGTCTCAAAAAAAAAAAAAAAAAAAAAGCCTGAAAGCCTGGCGCTGTGGCTCACGCCTGTAATCCCAGCACTTTGGGAGGCCAAGGTGAGCAGATCACTTGAGATCAGGAGTTCGAGACTGGCCTGGCCAACACGGTGAAACCCCGTCTCCACTAAAAATACAAAAATTAGCCAGGCATGATAGCCTGTGCCTGTAATCTCAGCTGCTTGGGAGGCTGAGGCAGGAGAATAGCTTGAACTCGGGAGGCGGGGGTTGCAGTGAGCTGAGATCATGTCATTGCATTCCAGCCTGGGCAACAGAGTGAGACTCTGCCTCAAAAAGAAAAAAAGAATAGAAGGAAGATGGTGGGAACTGGTTGGCCTTGGGACTTCCAAGAATTCTCCAAAAGGATGGAGTAAAGGACAGGATGTTCCTAAGGAATCTGGAGGGGCTTTCTCTCCTTCCTCTGGCCCTTCCTGGCCCCTGACTACTTCTTTCTTCCTCTTCCAGTGTTCCATTGAGTGGTTCCATTTTGCCTGTGTGGGGCTGACAACCAAGCCTCGGGGGAAATGGTAAGTGGCAGGAGTTGGAGGGTCCCTAAGTTGAGTGGTCAAGGGCATTCTCCCTTTCACTCACTTTTCTCTCCCCTTCTCTGTTTCAGGTTTTGCCCACGCTGCTCCCAAGAACGGAAGAAGAAATAGATAAGGGCCTTGGATTCCAACACAGTTTCTTCCACATCCCCTGACTTGGGCTAGTGGGCAGAGGAATGCCTGTGCTGGGGCCAGGGGTTCAGGGAGGAGTGGATGGCACAGTGCTGTCATCCCTTCTCCTCCCCTCTCCCCACTCCCGGTGCTGAGGCTGCATCAGACCCTGGTAGGGAGGGGTGCCGCAGCCACTAACGGTATGTGCTCTCCTTCAGCCCTCTCCCTTCGGAGGGACGTGGTCTTGCCCACTGTCCTTTTGCCTCCATGCTGAGGTCGGTGCTGTATTTCAGAGGGAGGGTCCTTTTCATTCTCCTTGCTTTGTATTTAAGGACTGGGGCATAGCATGGGGGCAGTCCCCCAGACCTCTTCATTCCCCCTCCTGTGGTGAGGGCTAGGTGTGATCAACACTTTTCTTCTCCATTCCCTTCCTGCTTTTTTCATGGTGGGGGATCCACCAGGTCATCTAGGCTCTGGCCCTAGTTGAAGGGGCACCCCTTCCTCTGTGCCAAGAGGATTCATCCTGGGAGAGGGGGCAAGGTGGAATGCAGATAACTCACATGTAAAAGGAACTTGGGTAGGTAAATAAAAGCTATACATGTTGGCCTGCTGTGTTTATTGTAGAGACACTGTTTTAGTAAACATGCTGAGCATTCATTTTGCGTCCTCTGGGTTGGATGCAATGTGAGAGGATGGCATGCCAGAATTAGGACACGACATGAAACCAGAGTGGTGCCTCTGTCCGAGAACTTGTAAGTTCTCAACTTGGGAAAGACAGAGGTGCTGGAGGGTAGGCCTCAGACCAGGGGGTCTCCAAAACTTTGTAAATCATGCATCTTTTCTCCATAAAACATCTTTCACTTAATTTCCAATAAATGATGTATTTGTGCTATACATACGTACTGCTATACTATACATTAGCTTGACTTCTTTTTTTTTTTCCTTTGAGGCGAAGTCTCACTCTGTTGCCAGGCTGGAGTGCAGTGGCGTGATCTTGGCTCACTGCAGTCTCCGCCTCCGGGTTCAAGTGATTCTCCTGCCTCAGTCTTACAAGTAGCTGGGACTACAGGCACATGCTACCACGCCCAGCTAATTTTGTATTTTTAGTAGAGACAGGGTTTCACCGTGTTGGCCAGGATGGTCTCCATCTCTTGACCTCATGATCTGCCTGCCTTGGCCTCCCAAAGTGCTGGGATTACAGGCGTGAGCCACAGCACCCAAGCTGATTTCTTTTTTTCATTTTTTAAAATTTTTTTTAAAGTAGGCCAGGCCCGGTAGCTCACGCCTGTAATCCCAACACTTTGGGAGGCCAAGGGAGGTGGATCACCTGAGGTCAGGAGTTCAAGACTAGCCTGGCCAACATGGCGAAACCCGGTCTCGGCCAAAAATACAAAAATTAGCTGGGCGTGGTCATGGGTGCCTGTAATCCCAGCTACTCGAGAGGGTGAGGCAGGAGAATCGCTTGAACCTGGGAGGCAGAGGTTGCAGTGAGCTGAGATTGTACCACTGCACTCCAGCCTGGGCGATAGAGTGAGACTCCGTCTCAAAAAAATAAATAGGCTGGGTGCGGTGGCTCACACCTGTAATCCCAGCACTCTGGGAGGTTGAGGTGGGTGGATCACCTGAGGTCCGGAGTTCGAGGCCAGTCTGGCCAACATGTTAAAACCCCATCTCTACTAAAAATACAAAAATTAGCCAGATGTGGTGGCATGTGCCTATAATCCTAGCTACTTGGGAGGTTGAGGCAGGAGAATCACTTGAACCCAGGAGGCAGAGATTGCACTGTGCTGAGACCAGCCATAATTTTTGTATTTTTAGTAGAGACTGGGTTTCACCCTTTTTTTTTTTTTGAGATGGAGTCTCACTCTGTCATGCAGGCTGGAGTGCAGTGGCGTGATTTCGGCTCACTGCAACCTCCATCTCCCGAGTTCAAGCAATTCTCCTGCCTCAGCCTCCCGAGTAGCTGGGACTACAGGCACATGCCACCACGCCTGGCTAATTTTTTGTATTTTTAGTAGAGACAGGGTTTCACCGTGTTAGCTAGGATGGTCTTGATCTCCTGACCTCGTGATCTGCCTGCCTTGGTCTCCCAAAGTGCTAGGATTACAGGCATGAGCCATCGCACCGGCCAAGTTTCACCATTTTGGCCAGGCTGGTCTCAAACTCCTGGCCTCAAGAGATCCACCCTCCTTGGCCTCCCAAAGTGCTGGAATTCCAGGAATGAGCCACAGTGCCTGGTCTCTATTTTATTAATTTATTTTATTTTATTTTATTTTTGAGACAGGGTCTCACTTTGTCACCCAGGCTGGAGCACAGTGGTGAGATCTCAGCTCACTGCAGCCTTGACCTCTGAAGACTCAGGTGATCCTCCTACCTCAGCCTCCCCAAGTAGTAAGTGGGACAACAGGCGCACACCACCACACCTGACAATTTTTGTATTTTTTGTAGAGACAGGGTTTCGCCATGTTGCCCAGGCTGGTCTGGAACTCCTGGGCTCAAGGAATCCACCCGCCTTGACTTCCCAAATGCTGGGATTACAGGCGTGAGCCACCAAGTCTGGCCCAAGACAATTTCTTGTTTTATTTTTCTTTTTTACTTTTGCTTTTGGGTGGGGACAGGGTCTCACTTTGTCACCCAGGCTGGAGAGCAGTGGCCCGATTGCACCTCACTGCAGCCTTGGCCTCATGGGCTCAAGCGATCCTCCCATCTCAGCCCCCCAAGAAACTGGGACTACAGGCACGTGCCACCACGCTTGGCTAATTTTTTGTACTTTTTGTAGAGACGAGGTTTCGCCCTGTTGCCCAGGCTGGAATTTCTCATTTTAAACACAAAACAGATACAAAAGCAAAAGTTCTCCTCCCATACCTCAGTGGACTGTCTTACTCGATTCTCCCTTGGAAACCACTTTCGTAGACCACTGAGCCACCCTCTTGTTTTCCCCTTGGACCCATTTTGCTCATGGAGGCGCCCTGTCTAGTTCCTACCCAGATAGGCCTTGACTTGGTTTTGCACATTCTATCTCTGCCTGCGCTTAGCTCTAGACCTCACGACCTGTTTGTTGGGCGAGTTGCTTCCCTAAGCCCCGATTTCTCATCTGTAAAACGAATGATAGTGTATCTACCTTATGGGATTCCTATGGCAATTACGTAAGGTAGTGCATGTAAAGATGCTAAGTGGCTGGCTACGGTGGCTCACACCTGTAATCCCAGCACTTTGGGAGGCCGAGGTGGGCAGATCATTTGAAGTCAGGAGTTCAAGACCAGCCTGGCCAACATGGTGAAACCCAGTCTCTACTAAAAATACAAAAATTAGGCCGGGCATGGTGGCTCACGCCTGTAATCCCAGCACTTTGGGAGGCCGAGGTGGGCGGATCACAAGGTCAAGAGATCGAGACCATCTGGCCAGCATGGTGAAATACCATCTCTACTAAAAATACAAAAATTAGCTGGGCGTGGTGGCGTGCACCTATAGTCCCAGCTACTCGGGAGGCTGAGGCAGGAGAATCACTTGAACCTGGGACGCCGAGGTTGTAGTGAGCCGAGATCGCACCACTGCACTCCAGCCTGGGCGACAGAGTAGGACTCCGTCTCAAAAAAAAAAGAAAAAGACGCTAAGTGAAGGTAGCTGTTTGCCATTCCTACCATCTGGATGGGCTCTGGCCACTTTAGGGCCCTGAGAGCCCGGCTGTCGAGGCCCCGCCCCGGCCCGCTCTTTGTGACGCGTGGGCGGTGCCCGCGTGCGCCCCGCCCCGCGCCTGCGGCTCTCTCTGCGGCTTGGCCCGTTAGAGGCGGCTTGTGTCCACGGGACGCGGGCGGATCTTCTCCGGCCATGAGGAAGCCAGCCGCTGGCTTCCTTCCCTCACTCCTGAAGGGTGAGAGGTTTACACCTGCTCCAACAGACTCTCCCCGGGCTAGTCCTCTCCCTCCCGAGAGCTCTGCTTTTACGGTTTCTGGATCGCTTCCTCATGGTGGTCGCGCTGGGTCGGCTCCCTAGGTCCTGGGATACTCCCATCTCCCCCCGCCCGCGGCCGGACCTTTGCCTCTGTCTCTAGACTCCCCCCGCCCTGGTCAGCAGGGATAACCCTCACCCCGTTCCTAATTTGCCAGTCTGGGTCTGTCTGTCCTGGTCTCGGAGCGGGTTTTGGGGTTCGGTCCTTCCATCATCCGTTCGCCCGCTCCGCAGTGCTGCTCCTGCCTCTGGCACCTGCCGCAGCCCAGGATTCGACTCAGGCCTCCACTCCAGGCAGCCCTCTCTCTCCTACCGAATACGAACGCTTCTTCGCACTGCTGACTCCAACCTGGAAGGCAGAGACTACCTGCCGTCTCCGTGCAACCCACGGCTGCCGGAATCCCACACTCGTCCAGCTGGACCAATATGAAAACCACGGCTTAGTGCCCGATGGTGAGGGCCAGACTAGGGGGGAAACCGAGGCACCCAGAGTGTTCACCCAAACCTCAGGGCAAAAACCCCTGTGCTCATGTGAGGCGGGGAAGGGCATGGCTGGCACCACACCATGAGCTCGTACTCTCCACCCTCCCCATGGCGTGGAGTCCATTGCCCACAGCCCCACCCCAAGCTCCCCACGGGTTCATCTTCTCCACCCCTGCCCTTTCTCAGGTGCTGTCTGCTCCAACCTCCCTTATGCCTCCTGGTTTGAGTCTTTCTGCCAGTTCACTCACTACCGTTGCTCCAACCACGTCTACTATGCCAAGGTGAGGCCCAGGACAAAGGTTGGATTTGGTGCCCCAGGGCCAAGGGAGAGGCGGCAGCAGTGGGGAGTTGAGGAAGGGTTCCAGGAGAGTCATCCTTAGCTCCTCCTTCCCTGCCATTTTGCCAGTCATTTACCCAGATTATATATGAATACAGTCTCACCTTGGATATTCAGATTGAACAATTCTGTTACTGCAAGAAAAGTAGAGAAGAGACTGGGCATGGTGGCTCATGCCTGTAATCTCAGCACTTTGGGAGCCCGAGATGGGCAGATCACCTGAAGTCAGGAGTTCGAGACCAGCCTGGCCAACATGGTGAAACCCCGTTTCTACTAAAAATACAAAAAAAAAAAAAAAAAATAGCCGGGCTTGGTGATGGGCGCCTGTAATCCCAGCTACTCGGGAGGCTGAGGCAGGAGAATTGCTTGAACCCGGGAGGCAAAGGTTGCAGTAAGCCGAGATCATGCCACTGCACCCTATCCTGAGTGGCAGAGCAAGACTGTGTCTCAAAAAAAAACAACAACAGGGACGAGTGCGGTGGCTCACGCCTGTAATCCCAGCACTTTGGGAGGCCGAGGCAGGCAGATCATGAGGTCAGGAGATCGAGACCATCCTGGCTAACACGGTGAAACTCTGTCTCTACTAAAAATACAAAAAATTAGCTGGGCGTGGTGGCAGGCGCCTGTAGTCCCAGCTACTCGAGAGACTGAGGCAGGAGAATGGCGTGAACCCGGGAGGTGGGGCTTGCAGTGAGCCGAGATCGCGCCACTGCACTCCAGCCTGGGTGACAGAGTGAGACTCCGTCTCAAAAAAAAAAAACAAAAAAAACAAACCCAAAACCCAAACAAAAAGAAGTAGGGAAGAGGGATGGGAAGAGGCAAAGAGATAAGCCCTTACGTTTCTTCGAACAGGTCAGTGATTTTGAGTCAAATGCAAAAGTGACGGCAGGGATGTGGCCCAGACAAACAGAGATTCATCTTCTGAAGGGACCCTTTCTCAGGTCTAGAGGGTTCCAGCAGGGACCATGTCCCTTTATCCCTGCCTAGAAACTGAGAGATAAGACATGCTGGAAAAGGGGTTGAAGAACCAGCTGGAGCAGAAGTCTGCCCTTTAGGAAAGGCTTTCCCATTTTCCTTCTCTTCCTGCAGAGAGTCCTGTGTTCCCAGCCAGTCTCTATTCTCTCACCTAACACTCTCAAGGAGATAGAAGCTTCAGCTGAAGTCTCACCCACCACGATGACCTCCCCCATCTCACCCCACTTCACAGGTGAGACCCTCTCAGCAGCCGGGAGACCACCAGCTACTCCCACAACTCCCAGAGCCCACAACGTAAGGCATCCATGGCAGGGAAATGGGAAGCATGTTGGGCGGGAAGGGGGCGCCAGCAGACAGCTGTTTACACAAAGGAGTGTCAGCTTTTTATGAATACAAGTTAGGGCTCTCCTGGACCAGAATCTCTTCTGCCATTACTTACAATTTTGCCCTGAATCCATTTTTCCCAATTCCAGAGACATTGTTGCATTACAAAGGACCTCTAGGCCCTTTATAAGCTAATGTCTTCACTTTAGAAAGGATTGACTGCTAGCTACTCAGCATACTTGGTGTTTCCTAAGGGAGAGGGACAAATGGTGGTATTTGAGGTGGAAGTTAGGGAAGGAGGAGTGCTTGCCAGGGAGGTGGGAAGGTGATGCATACCACCAGCCTTACAGTTGCCGTGGTAATGTTCTTTTAGTTTAATACTTATGTTCTTTTCTGTGTTTTTCTGTGTGTATAAGTGTGACTTGGTCTGCTTTGTTTATGTGTGTGTCCCTCTGTGAACAAAGACACTCAGGGGCTAGAAGCCTGACTGTCTCTCTCCCTTCTCTCTAAACCCTGCTGTAGTGACAGAACGCCAGACCTTCCAGCCCTGGCCTGAGAGGCTCAGCAACAACGTGGAAGAGCTCCTACAATCCTCCTTGTCCCTGGGAGGCCAGGAGCAAGCGCCAGAGCACAAGCAGGAGCAAGGAGTGGAGCACAGGCAGGAGCCGACACAAGAACACAAGCAGGAAGAGGGGCAGAAACAGGAAGAGCAAGAAGAGGAACAGGAAGAGGAGGGAAAGCAGGAAGAAGGACAGGGGACTAAGGAGGGACGGGAGGCTGTGTCTCAGCTGCAGACAGACTCAGAGCCCAAGTTTCACTCTGAATCTCTATCTTCTAACCCTTCCTCTTTTGCTCCCCGGGTACGAGAAGTAGAGTCTACTCCTATGATAATGGAGAACATCCAGGAGCTCATTCGATCAGCCCAGGAAATAGATGAAATGAATGAAATATATGATGAGAACTCCTACTGGAGAAACCAAAACCCTGGCAGGTATAGGAAGTTTTGACTCTGTCATCCACCCTGCCCTCCCTTCTGCCTTTCTTGGGAGTGAGAAGCCCATTTTCCTAGCTTCAGCCTCCAGATCCACTCAGACCTGTCTGGACTTCAGGCACAGCTAGCAACTGCCTCACCAATTCTGTGCCCATTGTTGGCTTAAGCACTGCTCAAATGCTTATTCTCTATGTAAGCCCTGTACCTGGAGCTACCAGACTTGGGTTCTGGTCTTGTCTCTGCCCTGTTTAGCATTGCAATCCTGAGAAAGTAATTTCTCCTTTCGGGTCCTCAGTTCCTCATTTGAAAAATGAGGCGATTTGTCCAGAGGCCTCTAAGGCCCCATGCTAAGCATGCTGAATGTGTGTGACCAAAGCAGACACTAAGGGAAGGGGAAGAGACTGGATGTAGTTTCCTGCCCGGGCCACCTGGCCCAGCCCCACCCTCAGTGCTGTCTTCTTGCAGCCTCCTGCAGCTGCCCCACACAGAGGCCTTGCTGGTGCTGTGCTATTCGATCGTGGAGAATACCTGCATCATAACCCCCACAGCCAAGGCCTGGAAGTACATGGAGGAGGAGATCCTTGGTTTCGGGAAGTCGGTATGCCAGCCATACTGTCTAATGGATACATGCCACTGGGCATCCTCTTGGCCAGGCACTGTGCTAGGCTATGGGAGTGGAGGATGGGCAGGAGAAGCATGAGACATAGCTGGAGAGATTCTCTCCAAGTGGGACTCTTTTCTTAGGAAGGGCATTACCAGTCCACTTTAAAGGAGGAAGGCTCAAGACCCAGTCTGAAATGCAATCCAGTCCAGAATTCATTCTTCACCTCTTCACCTCCCTGAGTTGCCAGGCTTCCAGATTTCACTCCTTTTTTTTTTGAGACAGGGTCTTACTCTATTACTCAGGCTGGAGGGGAGTGGTGCGATCATGGCTTACTGCAGCCTTGACCACCTGGGCTCAAGTGATCCTCCTCTCATCTCAGCCTCCCGAGTAGCTGGGACTATAGGCATGTGTCACCATGCCTGGCTAAATTTTTTTTTATTTTTTGTAGAGATGGGGTCTCCCTTTGTTGCCCATGTTTGTCTAGAACTCCTGGGCTCAACCAATCCTCCTGCCTCGGCCTCCCAAAATGCTGGGATTACAGGCATGAGCCACCATGCCCAGCCTTGAGTCAACTCTTGATTCTTGATCCACCTCACCATCTTCCTAGCTTTGCCTTAGATGCAGCTCTTCTTCTTTCCAGAGAGTTCATAGAACCCATTCCAGGGAATCTGTAAAGAGATTCCAGTCTCAATGTGTCCTCAACAACCAGCAAGTCTACTCCCAGGAAAATATACCTTAGATTTTCACAAATAATACAATTTAGCAAACATTTTTCGAGAGCTCAGATACCATCCATTCATCTGTTTGTTCAACAAATACTGATTGGGAGGACAAGAATAACATAAAAATGAATGAGGTAGAGCATACTTGTCCTATATAAATCCAGACTTTCTATAAAGCTCAAGTAACTAGGATAATGTGAAATTGGGATGGTGACAGACAAATAGACTACCCAGAGCCCAGAAACAGATTTTCTGTGACTGATTTGTGGGAAAAGAGGAACTCCCATTTATGGTACTGGAATGATGGGTTAACCATGAGGAAAAAATGAAATTGAATTTCTATCTTACACCCAAAGATTTGGGTGTCCCCTGCAGATAGATGATCACCTAGGAGTAGATACACAAAAAACATTTCAAGATGATTTAAAGACTTAAGGGTTTCACACCATATACAAAAATTAACTCACAATGGATCAAAGACCTAAATGTAAGACCTAAAAGTGCCTGTAAAACTCTTAGAATAAAACTTAGATGTATCTTGTCATGAAAAAAAATACTGATTGGGGACAAACTCTACTAGATATTTAAGATGTTAGCAGTATGTGCAATAGAGCCAGTCCTCTGTCCTCTTGGAATCTAGGGCAGGAGAGAGACAAGGAAATATGCAGGATGGTGTGATGGGATCAGTGCTGTAGCAGGGATAGGCACAAAGTACAGAGAGCAGATGGGGTGGGTTGGGGACAACTCTCCATGTTTGGGAGGATCAGAGGGTGCTTCCAAGAAGAACTGATGTTTAAACTGAGACCTGAAGATAAAAGAAGTGAATCCAGGCAAAAGAAGGGGCTTGGTAGAAGATTCCTGATAGAGAATAGTATGTGCAAAGGCTATGATGCAAAGAAGAGTAGAAATTTCTTTTGTATTTTTTTGTAGAGACAGGGTCTCGCCATGTTGCCCAGGCTGATCTCAAACTCCTGGGCTCATGGAATCCATCTCAGCCACTTCCACTCAGCTGGAATTACAGGCATGAGCCACCGTGCCTGGCCCAAAGAAGAGGTAGAAATTTCATGAGTGAAATTAGTATGCTAACAATGAGCATACTGTTTCTGCTCTTAAGGGGCCAAGAACCCATGAGGGAGTTAATATGGATACAGTAATATTACAAAGGGAGTGTGGTCGGTGAGGTTCTTAAACAAAATGCAAGAAGTTCAGGGTTTTATGGAGGGAGCTCACTGGATTTGATGGCTTAGATAAGAGGACAGTAAGGAGGGAGTCCCTTTTACCTGGAGCAGAGCAGCAGGAGACAGAGTCAAAGAGATCAACAGGGTC
The DNA here is from genome assembly GCF_000001405.40 of Homo sapiens. Classification (NCBI taxonomy): domain Eukaryota; kingdom Metazoa; phylum Chordata; class Mammalia; order Primates; family Hominidae; genus Homo; species Homo sapiens. The sequence goes on along the minus strand of NC_000012.12, from coordinate 6,641,484 downwards.
ATGACGCAAAAACTCTTGAATGGCAACATGAGCATTTGCACTGAATTTGATAGGAAAGGGGAATCCAATAAAGATTTCTGGCCAGGGACATGATGCCTCCGTTATGTGGGAGGAGCAGGCAAGGTGCCATAGGAGATTGCATGCACTGTGACAGGCTGTGCCCATGGGGGAGGAAGGAGGACCGTGGGATTGACTAAAGATACTGCTTAGTACGATCTCCTGCTAGTGCTGAGGAAGCTGAGGGCAGAACCCAGCTGGGAGATTGGTAACTCCACTCTGAAGAATAGCTTCCAAGAACTTGGAGGTTTCCAACCCAGGTACTTGGATAGAGCATAGGTTTTAGAGTTGGAAGGACCTGGACCCATGTCCCAGCTTCCCCATCTGTTAGATAAGTGGCTTTGAGCAACTTACTCAACCTCACTGAGAGTCAGTTTCCTTGTCAGTAAATGAGAGTAATATTAGTATCTCTGCTGTTATAGGGTTGTCGTGAAAACTAAATGAAATGAGAGCATGTGTAGCCATAGTGCTGGCACTGGGTCACCTCTTTGTAAATATTAGCATTATCATTAGCAGAGGTGGCAGGGGAGGGTTATGAGTTCTTTTCAGATAGGCTAAGTTGGGGTATCTGTAAGATCACCCAATCACAGACATCTGTCAGGCACTTGGCAATGAGGATTTGGAGCCCAAGAGAGAGATCAGAGCTGGTGATAAAGATTTGGGTGTCACTCGCAGATAGATGATTACCTAGGAGTAGATAAATCATCCAGGAAGAGGGTGAAGAAATAGCTGAGGCAAGGTCCTTGAGGAACCCTTGGGGAGGAGGCCAAGTAGAAAACCCAGAGAAGCTTTTGGAAGAGGCTAAATGCAAAGACATTCTGCAGGGCCCACCCTGGAGGGCTGAGGCATGGGAGAAGGCAGGCCGCTGACTCTCAGCTTCAGCCTCACCCATTCCCCTGCCCCAGGTCTGTGACAGCCTTGGGCGGCGACACATGTCTACCTGTGCCCTCTGTGACTTCTGCTCCTTGAAGCTGGAGCAGTGCCACTCAGAGGCCAGCCTGCAGCGGCAACAATGCGACACCTCCCACAAGACTCCCTTTGTCAGCCCCTTGCTTGCCTCCCAGAGCCTGTCCATCGGCAACCAGGTATCTAGCCCGGCAGCCCGCAGTGGGAAAGGCAGAACTGGGTGGCAGGGGTGGGGTGGTGGTGGCCAGCAGGTGGGGAGGGGCACGCACCTCTCCCCTATCTCCTGTGCCACAGGTAGGGTCCCCAGAATCAGGCCGCTTTTACGGGCTGGATTTGTACGGTGGGCTCCACATGGACTTCTGGTGTGCCCGGCTTGCCACGAAAGGCTGTGAAGATGTCCGAGTCTCTGGGTGGCTCCAGACTGAGTTCCTTAGCTTCCAGGATGGGGATTTCCCTACCAAGGTTAGAACCTTTCCCCAAAGCTCAGCCCCATCCCTACCCTCACCCCATTCCTTCCAGTTACTTGCTGTGAGTAGCGCTAGTTTGTGGAAGGGGGCTTGGGCCCCTGGCTTCTGAGAACCCGTCCTCACTGAATCTCCTGCCTCTCTCCAAGAGACCATTGCACCCCACCCCACCCTCCACCAATAGAGCAGGCAAAGGAGTGGGGACCCAGAGGGCTGAGAAAACAGGAGCTAGAGGTTCTGGTCCCAACTCTGCCAGTTACTTGCTGGGTGGCTGTGATCAAGTCACTTCCTACTCAATCAAAGAGTCATCTCTACAAGAAATGACTGAGTGACACGTGCACCACTGCCCAACCCTGTGATCCAGGACTTCCCGGCCTTAGCCTGACGGGCTTCCCAGCTCTTCCAGTGCCTTCCCTGCTCAATTAAATCAACTTGGCTCCCCGTTCCCCTGAGTTACCTCCCCTGTGGAATGACCTGTTGTTTTAGATCCAGGCCTCTCCTCCTGTAGTTAGCAGGGAAAACCAAGGCAAGGAAAAGTAAGGGCAGCTGAAGCAAGGGCTGGTAGCTGAGCTGGGGGGCCCATGTCCAGCTCTTGTCCCTGGGCCCCTTGATCTGGAATGGGGAGGCGAGGTCCAAAGAAGGCAGTGACTCACTTCCCCCTTCCCTTATCTACCATTACCAGAAAAATCCTTGACATCAGGCCACTAATCGGGTCCCTGTCCCATGTTCTGGACCCTTATCTACCCCGTCCTGCCCCATTCCCGCTTCCTCAGCCACTTTCCCAGTAAGCTGACTGGCAGCCTCATACTCTCCCAGGCTCCTGGCTTCTTCCCAGCAACCTGTGACAGAGCGGCAGGGGAAAGGCAGAGGGAAAGCGGAGTGAGGGGCCGCCTGTGTGTGGAAGACCTGGGTCTTGGGCCACACCCTGCCCCTGGCTCTGCCCTAGCAGATATTCCCTGGAGTGCTGCTGCCTGGTGAGGCTTCTGATACCCTCTTCCCTCTCTCTGGCTCTTGGCTTAGATTTGTGACACAGACTATATCCAGTACCCAAACTACTGTTCCTTCAAAAGCCAGCAGTGTCTGATGAGAAACCGCAATCGGAAGGTGAGCACCCCTGCCCTGCCCCTCCTTCTCCCAGCACCCCCTCAATCAGTCACCATAACTGGTCTATTCTGAGGCCCCCTCTGCGAGCAGCTAGGATGTGGAAAGCGGTTCCTGCTTGCATCTCTGGGGCAGAGGCCTCCACCAGCAGGCTCTCCTCCATTCCTCCAGTCCTGGCGGAAGCAAGGCCCTCCTAGGCAGCTGGTGGATAACAGAGGAGGGTCCTAAGAGCACCACAGGAAGAACCCTTGGCTGGGCCAGGACTTGGACGTTGAGGTCTCGGTCTGTCTCCTCTTCTTACTCACCAAGTAGCCTGGGATGAGGCACTTCCCCCTCTGAGCCTCAGCCGCCTGTTTCTGCATGAAAGGGGTTGGGCTGCTTGATGTCTCCTCTGGCTTTAAAAACCCACATTTGAGTTTCCTCCTTCCCTCTACTGCCCTGTGCCCATGCCTGCCCACCTCTCGTTCTTTTGGGCTTCTGACACCTCCCCTCCTCCCCACTCCTGGCACCTGGCTCTGTGATACAGACCGTCTGCACTGAATCTCTGTGTAGGTGTCCCGCATGAGATGTCTGCAGAATGAGACTTACAGTGCGCTGAGCCCTGGCAAAAGTGAGGACGTTGTGCTTCGATGGAGCCAGGAGTTCAGCACCTTGACTCTAGGCCAGTTCGGATGAGCTGGCGTCTATTCTGCCCACACCCCAGCCCAACCTGCCCACGTTCTCTATTGTTTTGAGACCCCATTGCTTTCAGGCTGCCCCTTCTGGGTCTGTTACTCGGCCCCTACTCACATTTCCTTGGGTTGGAGCAACAGTCCCAGAGAGGGCCACGGTGGGAGCTGCGCCCTCCTTAAAAGATGACTTTACATAAAATGTTGATCTTCAGCCTGTGTGGCCTGTTCTGGTTATGATCCCCATCCTCAGCACTGCTACCCTGCCCCGTGGCAGTCAGTCCCCAACCCCTGGTTTTATGGATCCACCTGCCGGTGAGAGAATCTCATGGGAATGGTGCTCAGGGAAGCAGCCATCTGCCAGGAGAAGCAGAAGACCTGAGAACCCAGGGAGGTGAACTGAGGAAGGCCAAGAAGGCTGGGGCCCTAGGGATGATGTGGGCATGTGGGCACCTGTCTTCATTTCTGAAGCCCTAAGCCCCGTGATGTCAGATGCGAGTGTAGTATTGTTCCTCTGTAGGATAAAGGCCAAAGCCTGATGAGATCTTTTCCAAAGGGACCAATCCTGGGGTATAGGGAGTGTGCACCTTGCACTTAATCAGGAAGGGAAAAACCAGGAACTATAGCCTAGATCAGGAAACCTTGGGGTTGTTTTTGTTGTTGTTGTTTTGTGTTTGAGACAGGGTCTCGCTCTGTCACCCAGGCTGGAGTGCAGTGGCATGATCACCACCCACTGCAGTCTTGACCTCCTGGGCTCCAGCCACACTCCTACCTCAGCCTCTCAGGTCCCTGTGACCACAGGAATGTGCCACTAAGCCTGGCTAATTTTTATATTTTTTTGTAGAGATGGGGTCCCTCCATGTTGCCCAGGTTGGTCTCGAACTCCTGGGCTCAAGCAATTTTCCCACCTCGGCCTCCCAAAGTGCTGGGATTACAGGAAGGAAACCCTTGGTGTACAGGAATTTGCCAGATGATCTGGATGTTTAAGTGGTTGCATCTTAACAACCTACATTGAGGTATGACTCCAGCATTGGCCTTTATTATTATTATTATTATTAGTGAGACGGAGTCTTGTTCTGTTGCCTGGGCTAGAGTGCAGTGGCACTATCTTGGCTCACTGCAACCTCCGCCTCCTGGGTTCACGTGATTCTCTTGCCTCAGCCTCCTAAGTAGCTGGGATTACAGGCGCACACCACCATGCCCGGCTAATTTTTTGTGTATTTTTAGTAGAGAAGGGGTTTCACTATGTTGGCCAGACTGGTCTTGAACTCCTGACCTCGTGATCTGCCCGCCTCGGCCTCCCAAAGTGTTGGGATTACAGGTGTGATCCACCGTGCCTGGCTCAGCATTGGCCTTTAATAAGTTGACATATCCCAAAGTATGTTCCAGGGACACTGTAGAGTCTCTCTCCCTTCTATAGGTTCGCAGTAATTAACAGCATTTTGTTAAAGCTTGCTTACTATGACAGTTCAAACATGCACAAAAATAGAAAAGTATAATGCACTGTCATGTACCCTTCACCCAGTTTCCATGATCAACACAAGGCCTATCATCTGACAGCATGTTAAGGCCCTCCGGAGCGCGGTAATAGAGAAACCTGTTTAACCTAGTGCTTCCCAAACTCATTTCACCACAATCCCTTTTCCACCTACCACCAAAAAACTTGAACTTGTTTTTATTTATTGAGCATGGACAACATGCCCAGCCCTGTGCCCACAGGGCCACTTGTCTCTGTGTTGTCTGGCCCGAGGACACAAGACAACGGGCTGAGGAGAAACAGACCTAAGCAAAGAGGAACCATCCAGCCTAGTGACTGCTCGATGCGGGAGCCAAGTGTGCTCAGTGGGAGGCAGGACCTAGCAGAGCACTGTCATGAAGAGGGCCCCGGGCAGGGTGGGGCACAAGCCACGAGTGGCATGGACTAAGCCACGAGTAGCATGGACTAAACCACCTGGCAGACCTAGGAAAGGAAGACAGACACCCAGGGGGAACCGGTGAGGACAGCGAGAGGCTGGTGGGTTAGTCATCTGGCATCAGACGGTGGGTGTGCCAGGAAGAGTTCCCAGACACAGCAGGAATATCTGAACGATGGGTGGGGGCAGTTCCTAGTCGGGGCTGGATTAAGTATCCTTAGCTGCTGGGGTTTCTTCTCTGGCCAGTCCGTGAAGGCCTCTGAGGGCAATGCTTCCTCTTCACTCTCTCCTTGGCCCGTGTGGGGTTGGGTGAGTGCACTGAGCTGGGAGGGATGGGCTGAGATCTGCTGAGGTGGGTGTGTCCCCTCCCGCCCTGGGAGCAGGTCCTACCAGCCCAGCCCAGCCCAGCCCAGCCCAGAGCAGGCAGCGGAAGCCAGCTTGGGGCAGCGCAGAGCAACACGGAGCACAGGTATGGGGGTGTCACGAATTGAACTGCACAGGGAGCACAAGGGGAGCACCCCCCTGTAGAAATGGGAGATTTGGGTGGGGGACAGAGAAGAGGGTGGGCATGGGCCCTGGAAAACCCTTCTGAACAGAGTAAAAAGCCGAAAGGAGCTGCCTCAAATAGACAGATCTTTTCAGATGGCGCTGGACAAACAGCTAACATGCCTGCTACACCTCGGGAGTGCTCCTCTTTGATGCTTGAAGCCCCCACTCTGGGGCATCTCGCAGAGGCTGTGTCCTCCCCCTCCCCCTCTAGGCCCCCACTGTGGAACTGAGCCTTGGGCCTCCCAGGGAGGGCCCTCTGGGGACTGTTTACACACTTTTTCCACTCGCAGTTAAACCTCAACCCCTACACCACACATCCCCCAGGGCCAGGCAGATGACAATGAGCTGATCTAATCAAACTTGCTAATGGGTTGACTGGCAGAGATGTGTTCTCAGTGTTATCCTTCCCAACTAGCCAAGGTGTACTGTAATGGGGTCTTCAGGAAGTGCTGCCTTAACCCAAAAGGTGCATCTATATAAGGGGATTAGACTGATGGTCTTTGATGTCCCTATGGCTCTGATAGATGGTGGCTTCAGGGGATGGAATTTTGGAGGTGGGGGACATATTCGGAGGTCAGCAGGGCTTTATGATACCTTCACATCACACCATGAGGATGGGGCCTACCTCTTCCCTGTGGTTGTGGGGCCCCCATGACAAGAAGGGGACCTCCACCAGATTGTATCTCCAGAACTACTCCTTTTTTTCTCTCTTCCTTCCTTCCTTTCTTTTTTTTTTTTTTGAGACAGAGTCTCCCTTTGTCACCCAGGCTGGAGTGCAGTGGCACGCTCTCAGCTCACTGCAACCTCCGCCTCCTGGGTTCAAGCAATTCTCTGCCTCAGCCTCCTGAGTAGCTGGGATTATAGGTACGCACCACCATGCCCGGCTAATTTTTGCATTTTTAGTAGAGACAGGGTTTTACCATCTTGGCCAGGCTGGTCTTGAACTCCTGACCTCATGATCCACCTGCCTCGGCCTCCCAAAGTGCTGGGATTACAGGCATAAGCCACGGTGCCCAGCCATTTTTTTTTTCAAGACAGGATCTCACTCTGTTGCCCAGGCTGGAGTGCAGTGGCATGAACATGGCTCACTGCAGCCTCAAACTCCTGGGTTCAAGCAATCCTCCCACTTCAGCCTCCCGAGTACCTGGGACTACAGGCAGGCACCACCATGCCCGGCTAATTTTTTTTTTTTTTGAGATGGGGTCTCGCTCTGTCGTCTAGGCTAAAGTGCAGTGGCATGATCTAGACTCACTGCAAACTCCGCCTCCTGGGTTCAAGCTATTATCCTGCCTCAGCCTCCAGAATAGCTGGAAATATAGGCTTGAGCCACCACAACCAGCTACTTTTTGTATTTTTTTTGGGTGTGTGTGTGTTTGTGTAGAGACAGGGTTTCACCATGTTGCCCAGGCTGGTCTTGAACTCGCGCTAAAGTGATCCATTCGCCTCTGCCTCCCAAAGTGCTGGGATTACAGGCGCGAGTCACACACTCGGCCTCTGTTAGTTTTTTGAAATTTTTTTGTAGAGCGGAGCGTGGTGGCTCACACCTGTAATCCCAGCACTTTGGGAGGCCAAGGCGGGCAGATCACAAGGTCAAGAGATCGAGACCATCCCAGGCAACATGGTGAAACCCCCGTCTCTACTGAAAAGACAAAAATTAGTTGGGCACGGTGGCACGCACCTATAGTCCCAGCTGCTCGGGAGGCTGAGGCAGGAGAATCCCTTGAACCCGGGAGGCGGAGGTTGCAGTGAGCTGAGATCACACCACTGCACTCAAGCCTGGCAACAGAGCGAGACTCTATCTCAAAAAAAAAATATTTTTTGTAGAGATGGGGTCCCACTATGCTGCCCAGGCTGGCAGAAATCCTCCTTTTAGGGTGAGCTAAAGTTGTAGACCCAGTGGGACATGGAGGCAGGGATTGAGGTGAGACAGAAACTTACTCACATGCAGTATGTACAGGACTCACCACCCAGCCACTCAGAGGCACTAGAGCCCAACTCCATCTGTCTGATGCCATCTGCTCTCCCTACTCTGCTGCCCCCAGTGCATACCCCAGGACATACCTACTGACAGAGATCTTTTATGCCCAGGGGCATTTTAAAAAGCCCAGGAGAATGGCCGGGCACAGTGGCTCACGCCTGTAATCCCAGCACTTTGGGAGGCTGAGGAGGGCAGATCACCTGAGGTCAGGCATTCAAGACCAGCCTGGCCAACACAGTGAAAACCCATCTCTACTAAAAATACAAAAATTAGCCAGGCGTGGTGGCGGGCGCCTGTAGTCTCAGCTACTCGGGAGACTGAGGCAGGAGAATTGCGTGAACCCGGGAGGCGGAGGTTGCAGTGAGCTGAGATTGCACCACTGTACTCCAGCCTAGGTAACACAGCAAGCGAGACTCCATCTCAGAAAAAAAAAAAACAAAACCCAGGAGAAGGAACCGGCAAGAGCAGTGAGGGCTGAAGCCAGTGCACTCTAAAGTCAGGTGAGGTCAGCAAAGCCCACAGGCTCTGGTGGATTTCCCTGAGGAAGCAGGACCTGCCAGGCTACAAGCAAGGGTCAGATGCACACAGACCACCTCAGGACACAGGTCAGGGGGCTGGGCCTGCCTCCGTGGCTTCTCTTGGGACTGACTTTCTTGCTTTTCCAGCTCTCGAAAGCAGGGTAAAGGGAGAGGCACAATGGCAAGGTGATATCCGCACATCAGGGAAACTAGTTATTGAGCTGTAGACCACCTTTGCTTTCTGCCTTTTCCCAGACAAATGTCAGGAGGGATGAGGTCAGAGTACTCAGGGAGGGAGAAGCCAGGGCCGAGGATGATGCTGGAAATGCAGGAAAAGACAGGCTTCAGCAGAGAAGGGTGGGGAAAGGCAGGAGCAGGAATTCTGGCTGGAGAAGCAGGCAGGCCTGGGCCAGGGAGGAGGGAAGACACGACCTGACACCCGGGATCCGTGCCAGAGACTCCTCTCTGAGGAAGAATGTGGCCCCTGGGCAGAAGGAGGCCTCCCCGCCCACCCTGGGGACTTTGTACTGTCTCCAAACCTTGAGGATGAGGATTCATCCTCCTGTTCCATTTAGTCTTCCATCTCATCCCTGCCCCTCAGGACCAGGATAAGCGGAAGAAAAGGATTCATTTGTGCCCTCAAAACAGCTCTGGGACAGAGCTTTTCACAAAGGCTTTGGACTGAGCTAAGCTTCTGCTGGAGGCTCAGCACAGCTGGGGTCTGTTTGGAGGGCCTGGATACAGAGATACTGAGTCTTCATGATGAAGCCTGTCTGTGGGGAAAGGGTGCATCCTCCCAGCGCTGCCTGAACACAGAAGCAGAGGAAGTAGGCTTCGCTAATTCAGCGAGTGGGTTAGAGTACATACTAAAGAGGGACTTCCTGTGTCGGGGCTGAGACACTGATGGGCCACGAGACTCTAAAATGAGGGTGGGGCTATTCCAGAGCTGATTCTCAGGGGCAAGGAGGATGGGGAGATGTAAGAACCTTCTTTTCAGACCTCTGACCCTAGGAATTGGAGTCAGGGGACCCAGGATGTGAATTATTTGAAAGAGGAGGCAGGCCGGGTCCAGTGGCTCACGCCTGTAATTCCAGCACTTTGGGTGGCCGAGGCAGGCAGATCACAAGGTCAGGAGTTCAAGACCAGTCTGGCCAATATAGTGAAACCCCGTCTCTACGAAAAATACAAAAAATTAGCCGGGTGTGGTGGTGTGCGCCTGTAATCCCAGCTACTCAGGGGGCTGAGGCAGGAGAATCGCGTGAATCCGGGAGGCAGAGGTTGCAGTGAGCTGAGATTGCACCGTTGCACTCCAGCTCAGGCGACAGTGCGAGACTCCGTCTCAAAAACAAAAGAAAAAAAAACGGAAAGAAAGAAAGGAGGCAAAAGACAGAGCAAGGCATGTGGTGTTTGCGGGGAGGTGGGCAACACAGGAAGGGTATGGGGGAGGAACTGGGCAAAGAGGAGGCATTCCCCTGCCCCTGCCCTTCTCATTGTTCCCAGCCCCCTGGTCCTTTCTCTTCAGCTCCCCTCAACGTCATTTGCCCAAGAGGCTGGATACCAGGGCAGGGTGTGTGGAGGAGAGTGAGGGAATGATCATGATTGCACCTCCTGCTCACTTTTACACTCTTGTTCTCACTTCCTGCCTCTGGCATAAAATAGCCCTGCCCCTCTGGCTTATCTCAGCAAAGAGCAGTGCCCAGCCCAGCTCAGAGGGCAAATGGGACAGATCCCAGAGGCCCTGAGGAGGTAAGTAACCTGGCCCCCGGATGTGTACATGGGAAGCTGAAGGACGGAGACCCAGGGAGAAGGAAGGTGGCTGCACACATTCTGGTGTGTGAGCGGTGTTGGGGTGGGTGATATAGAAGGAGCAGTCCCGGACCCTCTGTGTGTGTCGTGGTCACTTTGCTCCTCAGTGCCTTGGGGTTGAGATCTCCCATGCTTGTGAAGCTGCCTGGTTCTGTCTGTGTAAGGATACTGTCCCTAAGGCAGGGCCTTCTTTCTCTTCCTCCCCAGCCCAGTTGTCTATGCACATACGTGTTTATTACAGGATGTGTATAGACACTGAGTTCTATGTTACTAGGGGTCTTGTGTGCACATCTCTTAGCGTGTGTGTATATGTGTCTGTGCACACACGTGTAATGAGTGGTATACTTACCTGACATCAGTGTGTGCCGACGTTCTTCAGCCTATGGGGGCCTCCATGTCCCTCCTTCCTGGTGTTCCTTCTTTTCTGGGGCAGCTGCCATTTCTTTGATTCCTGCATCTCTCCTACAGCCTGACCTCTTCTTCAAGGCAGGATTGGGGGAGAGGGTCTGGGCTGCCCCTCCCCAACACCTAGATTCCCTCCTTCCACATCCTGTTAGCCTCCTTTTTGGCAGTTTTTTCCATCTTCGCCATCTGGCCTGGCACTGTGCCCATTCAGCTCCTGAAGGGAGCCCCAGGGCTCGGGAAGCAGAAGTGTGGGATGGGGACCAGGCCAGGGGCCTGGCAGCTCTCAGTGCTCAGCTTGGGCCGTTCTGTGTGACTGTCAGAAAGAGGCGGCTTTTTGACCACCAGGATCCTTTATAAAGATGGGCTGGGGCCAGGTGCGGTGGCTCATGCCTATAATCTCAGCACTTTGGGAGGCCGAGCCGGGTGGATCAACTCAGGTCAGGAGTTCAATACCAGCCTGACCAATATGGTGAAACCTGTCTCTACTAAAAATACAAAAATTAGCCAGGCATGGTGGCGTGCACCTGTAGTCCCAGCTACTCAGGAGGCTGAGACAAGAGAATTGCTTGAACCTGGGAGGAAAAGGTTGCAGTGAGCTGAGACTGTACCACTGCACTCCAGCCTGGGCAACGGGGAGACTCCGTCTCAAAAAAAAAAAAAAAAAAAAAAAAAAAAAAAAAAAAAAAGATGGGCTGGGTGCAGTGGTTCACTCTTGTAATTCCAGCACCCAGCACTTTGGGAAGCCGAGGTCTGCAGATCACTTGAGGTCAGGAGACCAGCCTAGCCTGACCAACATGGTGAAACCCCATTTCTACTGAAAACACAAAAAATTAGGCAGGTGTGGTGGTGCGAGCTATGATCCCAGCTACTTGGGTGGCTGAGGCACGAGAATTGCTTGAACCCAGGAGGCGGAGGTTGCAGTGAGCCAAGATTGTGATACTGCACTCCAGCCTCCAAACGAAGTGAGACTGTATCCAAAAAAAAAAGAAACCCAAGAACTTCTCCCCTTTGGAATAGAGTAACAAGAGAGCATCGCCATTTCCTTTGCTAAAAAATTCCTAGCTATACCTTTACATTTATTTATTTATGTTTTTTGAGACAGAGTTTCACTCTTGTCACCCAGGCTGGAGTGCAGTGGCGCGATCTCAGCTCACTGCAACTTCCGCCTCCTGGGTTCAAGGGATTCTCCTGCCTCAGCCTCCCGAGTAGCTGGGATTACAGATGCCGCCACCATGCCTGGCTAATTTTTGTATTTTTAGTAGAGATGGGGTTTTCACTATGTTGACCAGGCTGGTTTTGAATGCCTGACCTCAGGTGATCCGCCCGCCTCAGCCTCCCAAAGTGCTGGGATTACAGGTGTGAGCCATCACTTCGCCTAACTTTACCTTTAAGTAGCCGCTCAACTAATAATCTTGGTCTATTTAACATTTTAATTTTTTTTTTTTTTTGACGGAGTCTCACTCTGCCATCTAGGCTGGAGTGCAGTGGCGCAATCTCGGCTCACTGCAACCTCTGCCTCCCGGGTTCAAGCGATTCTCCTGCCTCAGCCTCCCGAGTAGCTGGGATTACAGGCAGGTGCCACCAAGCTCGGCTAATATTTTGTATTTTTAGTAGAGATGGGCTTTCACCATGTTAGCTAGGATGGTCTTGGTCTCCTGACCTCATGATGCACCCACCTTGGCCTCCCAAAGTGCTGGGATTACAGGTGTAAGCCACCGCGCTTGGCCCTTTTTTTTTTTTTTTTGAGACAGAGTCTCGCTCTGTTGGCCAGGCTGGAGTGCAGTGGCACGATCTCGGCTCACTGCAACCTCCGTCTCCCGGGCTCAAGCAATTCTCCTGCCTCAGCTTCCCGAGTAGCTGGGATTACAGGCGTGTGCCACCACCCCTGGCTAATTTTTGTATTTTCAGTAGAGATGAGGTTTCACCATGTTGGCCAGGCTGGTCTCGAACTCCTGACCTCAGGTAATCCGCCCACCTCGGCCTCCCAAAGTGCTGGGATTACAGGCGTGAGCCACCGTGCCCGGTACATTGTAACTTTTTCAACAGAAAGACTTGAGATCAGCCAGGCACAGTGTAATCCCAGCACTTTGGGAGGCCAAGGCAGGCGGATTACCTGAGGTCAGGAGTTCGAGACCAGCCTGGCCAACATAGTGAAACCCAGTCTTCTCTACTAAAAATACAGAAATTGGCCGGGCATGGTGGTTCACGCCTGTAATCCCAGCATTTTTTGGAGGCTGAGGCGGGCAGATCACCTGAGGTTGGGAGTTCGAGACCAGCCTGACCAACATGGAGAAACCCCATCTCTACTAAAAATACAAAATTAGCTGGGCGTGGTGGCACATGCCTGTAATCCCAGCTACTAAGGAGGCTGAGGCAGGAGAATCGCTTGAACCTGGGAGGCAGAGGTTGCGGTGAGCGGAGATCGTGCCATTGCACTCCAGTCTGGGCAACAAAAGTGAAACTCCATCTCAAAAAAAAAAAAAAAAAAGAAATTAGCTGGGCGTGGTGGTGAGCGCCTGTAATCTCAGCTATTCAGGAGGCTGAAGCAGGAGAATCACTTGAACCCGGGAGGCGGAGGTTGCAGTGAGCCGAGATTCTGCCACTTCACTGCAGCCTGGGTGACAGAGCATGCGAAACTCCATCTCAAAAAAGAAAAGGAAGGAAGGAAGGAAGGAAAGAAAGAAAGACAGACTTGAGGTTCTTTGAAAATCATCCATCCACTCATTCAGTGTCTAGTATATGCTTTCTAATTGGAAGGATCTACTGGTTCTCCAAGTAATGGTTAAGAATGATCAAGTGGGCCTGGCGCGGTGGCTCACGCCTGTAATCCCAGCTCTTTGAGAGGCCAAGGCGGGCAGATCACGAGGTCAGGAGATAGAGACCATCCTGGCTAATACAGTGAAACCCCAGCTCTACTAAAAATACAAAAAATTAGCCGGGTGAGGTGGCAGGTGCCTGTAGTCCCAGCTACTCGGGAGGCTGAGGCAGGAGAATGGCGTGAACCCGGGAGGCAGAGCTTGCAGTGAGCCCAGATTGAGCCACTGCACTCCAGCCCGGACGACAGAGCAAGACTCTGTCTCAAAAAAAAAAAGAAAAAAGAAAAAGAAAAGAATGATCAAGTGATACTGTAATCATAGTGTAAACTGTTATTGAAATCTTGTTTGCAAGCTGTTTCCAAACAGGTCTTTTAAGGGAAGTGGTCTTTTACTGAGTTATACATTTGGACAAGATTGATACAAGAGCTATTATCACAGGATTAGAGCGTGGGCGGGGGTAGTTGGGGGCGGGATGGGTGTAGGAGGTGGGGAGGGTGGATTTCCTGTTAAGCAGCCAATGAGTATCGCTCAGGACCTGCTAAATGCAGAGAGTGAAATGTGTCTGCAAGGTGCGCTCCCACCCTAGGAGCTTACCATCTAGTTGGGGAAATAGAACAAATATACATAAAACGATTGAGGGGCTCAAAACAGCAAACTAAGTGCTTACGTATGCACTTAAGGGGGAATTTTAAGGAGGTTTATTTATTTTTTTGAGATGGAGTTTCGCTTTTGTCACTCAAGCTGGAGTGCAGTGGCACGATCTCTGCTCACTGCAACCTCCGCCCCTTGGGTTCAAGCAATTCTCCTGCCTCAGCCTCCCGAGTAGTTGGGATTACAGGCACCTGCCACCTCGCCCGGCTAATTGTTTGTATTTTTAGTAGAGACGAGGTTTCACCATGTTGGCCAGGCTGGTCTCGAACTCCTGGCCTCGTGATACGCCTGCCTCGGCCTCCCAAAGTGCTGGGATTACAGGCGTGAGCCACCATTCCCGGTCTATTTACTTATTTTTATTTAGACGGAGTCTCACTCTGTTGCCCAAACTGTAGTGCAGTGGCATGATCTTCGTTCACTGCAACCTCCGCCTCTTGGGTTCAAGTGATTCAAGGAGGCATATTTATGTGTATGTGTGAAAGATGAGTTTATGTCACCACTTTTGGAAGTGGTTATTTTTAATAACCCACTTCAAATAACCCACTTTATACATTTCAGTTGGACAATGAGGAAGTGAAATAATGTATCTATGTTAGATATTATGTATAGAAATTAAAATATGGTGATGATCAGTAAATGATACCTATTATTTTTAACATTTACAGAGGTAGGTGCTGAGAATACACAAAGATGAATAAGCCATGGTCCACAGCCCCTCCCTCTAAGAGTTCACAGTCTAATGGGAGGGGCAGACCAGGAACAGCTGACTACCATGCATGGGGAGAGCTCTGATAAACCTGCGCACTGTTGCGGAGGCACAAGTGAGGGTACCACATCCGCCTTGTGTTGCGGGGGCGGTTAGGGAAGGCTTTGCAGAGTCCTGAGAAAATACTAGGCTTGCCAGTTGGAGAACGGGAGGCAGGGCATTCCAAGTTGAAGAAACACCACATACAAAGGCAGAGTCCTGAAAACATAAGGTATGTCCACAATTAGTATTAGTTTGGTGTGAATGGAGCAAAGGAGCATGGAGCAGGGGAGTGTATCAGAAATGAGCCTGGTTTTACTTGCTTTTCAGCATGTTTAAGTCTCATTTGGTATTATTTTCATTGTTGAGACTGGTATTTTGCAGAGGAAGTATTTCTTTATTCCCTTTAACTGTTTTACTATATCTCTTACAAGTCTCAAACTGCTGATGGTGGTGGTTGGAAGGAGAACAAAACCAAATACAAGAAAAACTTGTGGCCAGGTACAGTGGCTCATGCCTGTAATCCTAGGACTTACAGAGCCCAGGGCAAAAGGATTGCTTGAGCCTGAGTTTAAGACCAGCCTGGGCAACACAGTCAGACCCCGTTTCTATGAAAAAATTTTTTCTTTTTTTGAGATGGAGTCTTGCTCTGTTGCCCAGGCTGGAGTGCAGTGGCGCGATCTTAGCTCACTGCAACCTCTGTCTGCCTCCTGGGTTCAAGCGATTCTCCTGACTCAGTCTCCCGGGTAGCTGGGATTACAGGCACCTGCCACTATGCCTGGCTATTTTTTTGTATTTTTAGTAGAGACGAGGTTTCACCATGTTGGCTAGGCTGGTTTCGAGCTCCTGACCTCAAGTGATCCACCCACCTCAGCCTCCCAAAGTGCTAGGATTACAGGCATGAGCCACTGCCCCTGGCCATCTACAAAAAATTTAAAAATTAGCCAGGGATGGTGGCACACGCCTGTAGGTCCAACTACTCAGAGACTGAGGTAAGAGGATCACTTGAATCTGGGAGTTCAGGACTGCAGTGGGCCAAGATCGAGCCACTGCTTTCCAGCCTGGACCACGGAGTGAGACCCTGTCTCAAAAAAAACAAAAAACAAAAAACAAACAAAAAACTTGTTATAGCCAGATTTATGACTTATTTTCTTGCAACAATTTAAACAGTTCCTTTTTTTTTTTTTGAGACGGAGTCTCACTGTCGCCCAGGCTGGAATGCAGTGGCGTGAACTCGGCTCAGTGCAAATTCTGCCTCCCGGGTTCCCGCCAGTCTCCTGTCTCAGCCTCCTGAGTAACTGGGACTACAGGCGCCCACCACCACGCTCAGCTAAATTTTTTTGTATTTTCAGTAGAGACGAGGTTTCACCATGTTAGCCAGGATGGTCTCGATCTCCTCACCTTGTGATCCGCCCGCCTTGGCCTCCTAAAGTGCTGGGATTACAGGCATGAGCCACCGCGCCCGGCCCTCTTTTTTTTTTTTTTTTGAGACGGAGTCTCTGTTGCCCAGGCTGGCGTGCAGTGGCTCAATCTCGGCTCACTGCAAGCTCCGCCTCCCGGGTTCATGCCATTCTCCTGCCTCAGCCTCCTGAGTAGCTGGGACTACAGGCGCCTGCCACCACGCCCGGCTAATTTTTTGCATTTTTAAAAGAGACGAGATTTCACCGTGTTAGCCAGGATGGTCTCAATCTCCTGACCTCGTGATCCGCCTGCCTCGGCCTCCCAAAGTGCTGGGATTACCAGCGTGAACCACCACGCCCGGCCTAAACAGTTCCTTTTGAAAGTAATAAGCTCGGTGTCTTGGGATAATTGCTCAGGGTCTCAGACAACTTCTCTCCCTAAGATGACATCTAGACACCCATGTTCACAGTGGCATTATTCACAATAGCCAAAAGGTGGAAAGAATCCAAGTATTCACTGACAGATGAATGGATGAGCAAAACATTATACAATGAAATACATTATTCAGCTATAAAAATGAAATTCCAGGCCAGGTGCGGTGGCTCACATCTGTAATCCCAGCACTTTGGGAGGCCGAGCCGGGTGGATCACCTGAGGTCAGGAGATCGAGACCAGCCTGACCAACAGGGAGAAACCTCGTCTCTACTAAAAATACAAAATTAGCCAGGCGTGGTGGCGCATGCCTGTAATCCCAGCTACTTGGGAGGCTGAGGCAGGAGAATCGCTTGAACCCTGGAAGCAGAGGTTGCGGTGAGCCGAGATCGTGCCATTGCACTCCAGCCTGCGCAACAAGAGCGAAACTAGGTCTCAAAGAAAAAAACGGAAAAGAAAAAAAAAGAAATTCCTTTACATACTACAACATGAATAGATCTTGGAAACATTATGCTAAGTGAAATAAACCAGACACAAAAGGACAAATATTGTATGATTCCACTCATATGAGGTATCTAGAATAGGCAAATTCATTGAGACAGAAAGTAGACTAGAACCAGAAGCTGAATGGGGTGCGGTGGGTAGTACTGCTTAATGACTGCAGAGTTGTTGCTTGGTTGATGAAAAAGTTCTATTTCTGGAAACAGAGAGTGGTGACGGTTAAGCAACACTGTCTTGGTCTTTGTTGTTGTTGTTGTTGTTTTTGAGACGGACTCTCACTCTGTCTCCCAGGCCGGAGTGCGATGGATTAGACCTGCTAGGGGAGCACTTGGCAAAACTCAACCCACAGGGCCTTCCCCTGCCTAGCAAGACTGTGCTGTCAAATTTATTCACATGTGGCTCTGGTCAAGACTAGCATGCAATCAGCCTATGAGGGCATTATTATATTATTATTCCCATTTTACAGATGAAGAAACTGAGAAGTCAAACCATTAAGCTGAACCCAGTTTGCTTTGACCACAAATCCAGCCCTCACAGGCGCAGTGATGCATGTGATGCGTAAGGCTGGGATGTTGTTCTGTATTTGGGAGTTTTGTTTGCTTGTTTGCTTGTCTGACATGGAGTCTCACTCTGTCACCCAGGCTGGAGTGCAGTGGCGTGATCTCGGCTCACTGCAACCTCCGCCTCCCGGGTTCAAGGACTCTCCTGCTGCAGCCTCCCATGTACTCAAAGAGTTTGACCTTTATTCTTTGGATAATGAGGAGCTAGCCTAGCACCTGGTCCAAGGAGGTGCTCCATAAGACCACCTATTGATTTGTGCTTATTATCTGTCTCCCTCCAATGGAATGTAAAGGAGGTGGGGGCAAAGACTTTTTGCTTTGTTCCCTGCTGTGAACATGCCTGGAACTTTCTATGAGCTCAGTAAGCAAGGAAAGAAGGAAGGAAGAGATCTTGAGATAGTAACAGCAACCTAAGCGTTTTACACACGTCATCTTAATCTCCAAACCTCATGAATTCTCTCTCTCTCTCTCTCATTTTTTGAGACAGAGTCTCGCTCTGTCACCCAGGCTGGAGTGCAGTGGCGTGATCTCGACTCATTGCAACCTCTGCCTCCTGGATTCAATCAATTCTCATGCCTTAGCCTACTGAGGAGCTGGGATTACAAGTGCACGCCACCATACCCGGCTAATCTTTGTATTTTTAGTAGAGGCAAGATTTTGTCATGTTGGCCAGGTTGGTCTTCAACTCCTGGCCTCAAGTAATCCACCCACATCAGCCTCCCAAAGTGCTGAGATCACAGGCATGAGGTACCATGCAGCCGCCTTTTTTTTTTTTTGAGATGGAGTCTCGTTTTGTTACCCAGGCTGGAGGGCAGTGGTACGATGTCAGCTCACTGCAACCTCCGCCTCCTGGGTTCAAGTGATTCTCCTGTGTGAGCCTCCTGAGTAGCTGGGACTACAGGTGCATGCCACCACATCTGGCTAATTTTTGTATTTTTAGTAGAGACAGGGTTTTGCCAGGTTGGCCAGGCTGATCTCGAACTCCTGACCTCAGGTGATCTGCCCGCCTCAGTCTCCCAAAGTGCTGGATTACAGGTGTGGGCCACTACGCCGGCCCTGGCCCTCTTTCTTTCTTTTTTGAGATGGGCTCACTCTGTCACCCAGGCAGGAGTGCAGTGGTGGGCTTGAGGCTCACTGCACTGCAGCCTCCACCTCCCTGGAGTCAAGTGATTCTCTCACCTCAGCCTCACAAGTAGCTGGGACTACGGGCATGTGCCACAATGCCTGGCTAATTTTTTAATTTTTTAATATTTTTTATTTTATTTTTTTTTGAGACAGAGTCTTGCTCTGTCACCCAGGCCGGAGTGCAATGGTGTGATCTCGGCTCACTGCAACCTCTGCTCAAGCAATTCTCCCTGCCTCAGCCTCCTGAGTAGCTGGGATTACAGGCGCCTGCCACCACGCCCGGCTAATTTTTTTTTTTTTTTAGTAGAGACAGGATTTTGCCATGTTGGCCAGGATGGTCTCAACCTCCTGACCTCAGGTGATCCGCCCACCTCAGCCTCCCAAAGTGCTCGGATTACAGATGTGAGCCACCACGCCCAGCCTTATTTTTATTTTTTATTTTATTTTATTTATTTATTTTGAGATGGAGTTTCACTCTTGTTGCCCAGGCTGGAGTGCAATGGCGCGATCTTGGCTCACTGCAAACTCCACCCCCCAGGTTCAAGCAATTCTCCTGTCTCAGCCCCCTGAGTAGCTGGGATTACAGGCGCCCGCCCCTATGCCAGGCTAATTTTTGGTATTTTTTTTAGTAGAGATGGGGTTTCACCATGTTGGCCAAGCTGGTCTCGAACTCCTGACCTCAGGTGATCCACCTGCCTCGGCCTCCCAAAGTGCTGGGATTACAGGCGTGAGCCACCGCGCCTGGCTATTTTTATTTTTTGAGACAGAGTTTCACTTTTGTTGTCCAGGCTGGAGTGCAATGGCACAGTCTCAGCTCACTGCAACCTCTGCCTCCTGGTTTCAAGCGATTCTCCTGTCTCAGCCTCCCGAGTAGCTGGGATTACAGGTGTGCACCACCACGCCCAGCTAATTTTTGTATTTTTAGTAGAGATGGGGTTTCACCATATTGGACAGGTTGGTCTCGAACTCCTGACCTCAGGTAATCCACCCGCCTCGGCCTCCCAAAATGCTGGGATTACAGGTGTGAGCCACTGCACCTGGCCCTGTATTTTTTTGTAGAGATGGGGTTTCGCCGTGTTGCCCAGGCTGGTCCCCAACTCCTAGGTTCAAGCAATTGGTCTGCCTTGGCCTCCCAAAGTGCCAGGATTACAGGTGTAAGCCATTGCACCCAGCCAAGATTAATTTTTTTGAAGTCACACAACTAGGCAAGTTAGCAAAACCAAGATTTAAACCTAGGCATCCGAGTCCCTGCCTTCAAACCTGGGTGTTTAACACTATACTATATAGTCCTGCCGTAGGAACCTATTCTAGCCCAATGGCAGACTTGAGGCTGAGAAAAGATTCAGAAGGCCTGCCAGTGGAGCTAAACATTTGTGTGTGCAGCCCTGTCTCTGTATAACTTCCGGCTTGCCTTCCTATTCCAGGTCTCTGCTGCTGATGAAGCTGTGACCAAACGCACCCAACCCTTGGCAGCCATCTGTCCCTGCAGCCATAGCCCACATTCCCATGACCTCCCTCTGCTTGTTTTGGGACCATGTCTGTACAGCCTCTAGGCCCCAGCCCCGGAGGTGAATGCCATGCCATGATTCTGGTGTGCTCCATGGCATCCCCAGCCTAGCTCCCAATCCCACTTTGGCACGATGTTAGCCAACAGCTCCTCAACCAACAGTTCTGTTCTCCCGTGTCCTGACTACCGACCTACCCACCGCCTGCACTTGGTGGTCTACAGCTTGGTGCTGGCTGCCGGGCTCCCCCTCAACGCGCTAGCCCTCTGGGTCTTCCTGCGCGCGCTGCGCGTGCACTCGGTGGTGAGCGTGTACATGTGTAACCTGGCGGCCAGCGACCTGCTCTTCACCCTCTCGCTGCCCGTTCGTCTCTCCTACTACGCACTGCACCACTGGCCCTTCCCCGACCTCCTGTGCCAGACGACGGGCGCCATCTTCCAGATGAACATGTACGGCAGCTGCATCTTCCTGATGCTCATCAACGTGGACCGCTACGCCGCCATCGTGCACCCGCTGCGACTGCGCCACCTGCGGCGGCCCCGCGTGGCGCGGCTGCTCTGCCTGGGCGTGTGGGCGCTCATCCTGGTGTTTGCCGTGCCCGCCGCCCGCGTGCACAGGCCCTCGCGTTGCCGCTACCGGGACCTCGAGGTGCGCCTATGCTTCGAGAGCTTCAGCGACGAGCTGTGGAAAGGCAGGCTGCTGCCCCTCGTGCTGCTGGCCGAGGCGCTGGGCTTCCTGCTGCCCCTGGCGGCGGTGGTCTACTCGTCGGGCCGAGTCTTCTGGACGCTGGCGCGCCCCGACGCCACGCAGAGCCAGCGGCGGCGGAAGACCGTGCGCCTCCTGCTGGCTAACCTCGTCATCTTCCTGCTGTGCTTCGTGCCCTACAACAGCACGCTGGCGGTCTACGGGCTGCTGCGGAGCAAGCTGGTGGCGGCCAGCGTGCCTGCCCGCGATCGCGTGCGCGGGGTGCTGATGGTGATGGTGCTGCTGGCCGGCGCCAACTGCGTGCTGGACCCGCTGGTGTACTACTTTAGCGCCGAGGGCTTCCGCAACACCCTGCGCGGCCTGGGCACTCCGCACCGGGCCAGGACCTCGGCCACCAACGGGACGCGGGCGGCGCTCGCGCAATCCGAAAGGTCCGCCGTCACCACCGACGCCACCAGGCCGGATGCCGCCAGTCAGGGGCTGCTCCGACCCTCCGACTCCCACTCTCTGTCTTCCTTCACACAGTGTCCCCAGGATTCCGCCCTCTGAACACACATGCCATTGCGCTGTCCGTGCCCGACTCCCAACGCCTCTCGTTCTGGGAGGCTTACAGGGTGTACACACAAGAAGGTGGGCTGGGCACTTGGACCTTTGGGTGGCAATTCCAGCTTAGCAACGCAGAAGAGTACAAAGTGTGGAAGCCAGGGCCCAGGGAAGGCAGTGCTGCTGGAAATGGCTTCTTTAAACTGTGAGCACGCAGAGCACCCCTTCTCCAGCGGTGGGAAGTGATGCAGAGAGCCCACCCGTGCAGAGGGCAGAAGAGGACGAAATGCCTTTGGGTGGGCAGGGCATTAAACTGCTAAAAGCTGGTTAGATGGAACAGAAAATGGGCATTCTGGATCTAAACCGCCACAGGGGCCTGAGAGCTGAAGAGCACCAGGTTTGGTGGACAAAGCTACTGAGATGCCTGTTCATCTGCTGACTTCTGTCTAGGCTCATGGATGCCACCCCCTTTCATTTCGGCCTAGGCTTCCCCTGCTCACCACTGAGGCCTAATACAAGAGTTCCTATGGACAGAACTACATTCTTTCTCGCATAGTGACTTGTGACAATTTAGACTTGGCATCCAGCATGGGATAGTTGGGGCAAGGCAAAACTAACTTAGAGTTTCCCCCTCAACAACATCCAAGTCCAAACCCTTTTTAGGTTATCCTTTCTTCCATCACATCCCCTTTTCCAGGCCTCCTCCATTTTAGGTCCTTAATATTCTTTCTTTTTCTCTCTCTCTCGTTTCTCTCTTCTCTCTCCTCTCCTCTCCTCTCTCTTCTCCTCTTCTCTCTCTCTCCCTCTCTCTCCTTTGTCCAGAGTAAGGATAAAATTCTTTCTACTAAAGCACTGGTTCTCAAACTTTTTGGTCTCAGACCCCACTCTTAGAAATTGAGGATCTCAAAGAGCTTTGCTTATATTTTGTTCTTTTGATACTTACCATACTAGAAATTAAAGCGAATACATTTTTAAAATAAATACACATGCACACATTACATTAGCCATGGGAGCAATAATGTCACCACACACACTTCATGAAGCCTCTGGAAAACTCTACAGTATACTTGTGAGAGAATGAGAGTGAAAGGGACAAATAACATCTGTGTAGCAGTATTATGAAAATAGCTTGACCTCGTGGACTTCCTCAGAGGGTTGGTCCCTGGATCACACTTTGAGAACCATACTTGTCCTGAAGTATTGGAGTTCATGTCTAACTTCTTCCCAGGGCATTATGTACAGTGCTTTTTATTACTGTGGGGAGAGGGCAGTGCTAAATAAATTAATCACTACTGATAGTCTTCATGGCTCAGGGTTTTCCTGCGGCCCTAGGAGTAGTACATAAAATGGAACACTACCCTGGGCATATCAGAGCAGCAGCCCTGGGGCAGGGATGGAGACTGGGGGGTGGAACTAGTCATACACTCAGGCAGAGGGGATGGGGCTTCTCTGGGGGAGGGAAAAGGGAACTGTGCCACAGCCAGGAGAGAAAAGTTTATGGGGAAGTTAAGAGTGAGATGGGAGGACAGGAATAGGCTGTCCATTCTCAGCACGCTGGAAGCAAGGGAAATGGGCCACCTACTAGTCCTTCCCTCTTTTTTTTTTTTTGTTGAGACAGGGTCTCGCACTGTCACCTGGGCTGGAGTGCAATGGCGCGATCTCAGCACACTGCAACCTCTGCCTCCCGGGTTCATAGGATTCTCCTGCCTCAGCCTCCCAAGTAGCTGGGATTACAGGTGCACACCACCACACCCGGCTAATTTTTTGTATTTTTAGTAGTGATAGGGTTTCACTATGTTGGCCAGACTGGTCTCGAACTCCTGACCTCAGGTGAATCTGCCTGCGTCCCAAAGTGCTGGGATTACAGGCATGAGCCATTGTGCCCGGCTATTCCTTCCCTCTTCACCCAAGTTGGGGGCTCGGAGGGGCTGCAGAGTTGGCACTTGTGGACATCTTCAGACCCTGGCATTACTGAAGGAGCTGTTGCCCTGTGTGCGTCCTATAGCATTTCTGTCCCTATGTCTCAATACTGTATTTTTATCTGTGTGTGCACGCACTCTGTGTGTGTGAGAGAATGTGTGTGTGTGTGTGTGTGAGAGAGAGAGAGAGAGAGGTGTGTGTGTGTGTGTGTGTGTGTGTGTCAGGGTTCTCCGTTTGTGTCTGTTTTAGTCCAGGGTAGCCTTTTGTGTGTGCCTTTATGCCAAGTGCTCCAGATGGTGATTTACAGGGGTAAAATGACCCCTGGTGGCCAAATCAGAGAACTGACCCAGATTCCTCAGGGATAGCCATGAAATCTGGGCCTTTCTCCATCTGGGTGGAGATTGGAGCCTGGAGCCCGGCACTTACCTCCAGCCGCTCTGGAAGAGGCCTGGTGATTAGCACCTGCTCCATCTCTCTTCATCTTCAGGGTTCAAGACCTGTGCCCTTCCTGTCCTGAGAGCACTGGCAGCGCCAAACCTCGTAGTCCAAAATCTTAGCACTTTGCCCTATTCAAACAGAATCAAACACAATTTTTAAAGATTACTTGAGTACTTTTATAGGCAGGTACGTGAGTTCCAAAGTAATTACAACTCACGGCATGTATCACTTTTCAACATACTATATAATTTATTTATTCTAATTTTTATAGTTTATCATCTCCGCCACCCCGTCCTATATCCTAGGTAGAATGTAAGTTCTGTGGGGGCATGGATTTTTGCTTGATTCTCTGATGATCCCCAGCATCTAAAACAGTGCCTGGCACAGAGAAAGTGCTCAGTAAATATTTGTTGAATGAATGAACAGTCAGATCTTGCTGTGAAGTAGTTTACAATCTAGTGAGAACCATAGAACAAGTAAACAAAAACTATAATGCCAGGCAGAAAACACAAGAATGCAGGGTAAGGTGCTGGCAGTTGGTTTAGTGGGCAATGGGAAGCCCACGGAGGCTCCTGAGTGAGGTTTTGCTCACACTGACAAACTGTGTGGAATAAACTGTAGGAAAATGATGGGGGGGGAAAGTCTAAAGAAACGAAAGACTGGTCAGGGGGCCATTACAATAGCCCAGGACAAGTGTGGCCATGGCCTGTGGAAGAGCTAGATGGCAATACATTGTCTCTGATGTGAAATCTCTGGTGTCAAAGCCCTGGTGGACTATTTCCCCCCATTCAGATATCCAAAGGCTTTCCATCAAGAGAACAGAGAGGCAAGAATAGATTAGGCCATTTTCATAGGGTTCCCCAAGACTAAGAGAGCAATATGAAGTCCAGAGCCCTCACCCCATGCCCTGAAGCTGCTCTATTTAAGGTCTATGAAAATCCAAAGATAGAGAAGGGGAAAATCTTAGACAGACGGGAATGAGCATTAGCAGTTTTTGTTGTTGTTGTTGTTTTTGAAATGGAGTTTCACTCTTGTTGCCCAGACTGGAGTGCAGTTGGTGGTCTCTGCTCACTGCAACCTCCGCCTCCCAGGTTCCAGCTATTCTCCTGCCTCAGCCTCCTGAGTAGCTGGGATTACAGGCGCCCGCCACCATGCCCGGCTAATTTTTGTATTTTTAGTAGAGACAGGGTTTCACCATGTTGACCAGGCTGGTCTTGAACTCCTGATCTCAGGTGATCCACCCACCTCGGCCTCCCAAAGTGCTGGGATTACAGGCGTGAGCCACTGCACCCGGCCTTTTAGCAGGTTTAAAAAATACTCTTCTGTATGCCAAGATTTCAAGTTAGCGCTTAAGATGCATTATCTTCTTTATTATATTAAATAATATAATCTGAGTTGGAGATGATGTTCATCCCTTTTACAGATGAAACACCCTGGAGAATCTGAGGTCTTAAGGTCACACAACTAGAAAGTGGCTCAGTCTGTAATTTGGCTCCCAAACTCCTGCTTTTTGCAGTATACCTCTCCTTCCTGGGACTTTCTTTCCTGTTACATACCACCCCGGGTTTCCTTCCTTCTCCTCCCCTCCTCATGTAGCCACCTCTTTCAACTGCCTGGCTTGCCTTGAATCTGCTGCATCATCTTGGTCCTCCTCTTCCCAGTTCTTCCTCCATGCCCCTAATCCACTTGCCCTACAGCACACCCGCCCCTTCCCTCTCCGTTTGTCTCAGCCCCCTGTTTATTGAACACCATGTGGCTGTAGGGGTTGGGGAGGTTGAGAGCTGGCTCACTCAAGGTTCTAATTGTGTTGGGCCCTAAAATACACCACATCGAGGGCCCACACACAGGCAGAATGCCTTAAGACTTCAGGCAGTTGGCCATGACTCCCCTCCCCCAGCCTGTGATGTACCCTACATCTCCAAGGCAGCACTCCTGATTGTGTACACTGAGCAGGGACCATCCCTTGGTTCACCCTTCCTCAAAGTCTGTCTCCTCGGTAGGATGGTCCCTCCACATGGTGAGAGGAGCTGGGAAGAGTAACAATCATTATTATTATTTTTTTTTTTTTGAGATCGAGTCTTGCTCTGTCACCCAGGCTGGAGTGCAGTGGCACGATCTCGGCTCACTGCAACTTCTGCCTCCCAAGTTCAAGTGATTCTCCTGCCTCAGCCTCCCGAGTAGCTGGGACTACAGGCACGTGCCACCACACCCAGCTGATTGTTTTTATTTTTAGTACAGACAGGGTTTCACCAGGTTAGCCAGGATGGTCTCCGTCTCCTGACCTCATGATCCGCCCACCTCGGCCTCCCAAAATGCTGGGATTACAGGCATGAGCCACCGCTCCTGGCCTTAATTTTTTTTTTTTTTTTTTTTTTTGAGACAAGGTCTTGCTCTGTCATCCATGCTGGAGTGCAGTGGTGCCATCTCGGCTCACTGCAACCTCCCCCTCCCAGATTCAAGTGATTCTCCTGCCTCAGCCTCCTTAGTAGCTGGAATTACAGGCGTGCGTCACCACGCCCAGCTAATTTTCGTATTTTTAGTAGAGACGGGGTTTTACCATGTTGGCCATGCTGGTTTTGAACTCCTGGCCTCATGTGATGTGCCTGACTCTGCCTCCCAGAGTGCTGGGATTACAGGTGTGAGCTACCACACCCGGCCACAATCATTAATCTTAAAACAAATTTAGGAGAGCCAGGGCAGAGGTAAGGGATATCAAAGGAGGGCAGAGATTCTTCCTTCTTGGTCCTCAACCATCCTGAAGATGGAATTCCCTCGAGGCTGCCACCTGGAGTCCCATGGAAGAAACGGGGAACGGAAGGTTAATCTCACACAGGAAGGCCCTGGACAAGTTGGGGTAATTCTCACCATGTTGTCCTTGCCAGAGGAGCACGGAAAGTCCTGGAAGGTGAACTTTCTCACTCAGGGTTTGGGGAATCCCAAAGGCTCCAGAACTTTGGAATCAAACAAATCTGGGCATTAATTTCAACTCTCTCACTTCTTGGCAATGTGGCTTCAACAAATTTCTTGACCTCTCTGAGCCTCTGTTTTCTCCCATTTCTCTGTGAAATGGGGCTCATAATATCCACTTATTGGGTTATTGTGAGGGTCAAGGAGCCCACCTTTGAAAGGTACTCTAGATGCCCCATAAGTGGGAGCTCCTTCTTTCCAACAAGAGCATGGGGAGGCGAGGCCATTGATCAACTCTGCCAGTGATGCCCAAGGGGAGTGTTTCCCGAAGACCTGAAGGGCTCTTTCCTCACCCAGACAGAGCTCTGCCAGCAATCAGACGTAGGACCACGGGAGGTGGTGAGCAAGGCAGGCTGGGCAGGTTTCCACGGTGCTAGGTCAAGCAGGCAGTCTTTAGGGGCAGCGACTGGCCTGTTGCCCTCTGGGGGCACTCTCTCCCCACTAGGCCCATGTCCATCCCACAGACCAAGGAGGAGGTAGGAAAGTGCAAGACAGGGGGAAGCTGGCTGGAGAACCAAGCAATGGAGAAAGGGCAAGGGAGGAGGCTGGAGGGGAAGCGAGGGCCCAGGCAGGCACGGGGTGGGGCTGGGAGAGGGGCCCAGGGCAGGAGGGCGGGAGAAAGCCTGGGAGGGAAAGCGCCGACCAGGGAGGGAGGAGGGACAGGGAGGGAGGCCTGCGGCGCTGACACAGCCTCGATGTGTGGAACTGGCTGGGGTTTGGCCCACAGGTCAGGCGTCTGGCAGTATTATGGGATGGAGAGGCCTTAGGAGACAGGGAGAGTATTATGGGCTGGAACAGCCTTAGGAGACTGGGGAATATTATGGGTTGGTGAGGCCCGGCTCCAACTGGAGGCGGGAGGAAGGGGTGCGGGGCGGGAAGGGGGGGTGGTGGTGGAAGGGAGTATTATGGGCTGGAGGCCTCCTGCGACCAGAGGCAAGAGTATTATGGGCTGGCAAGGCCTTCGGTGGCCAGAGGGGGGAGCAGCGGGGGATGGCACCGGCTGCATGTGACTGAGGGGGGGCCAAGTTGGGGGGGGTGGTGAGTGGGGGTGGGGGAGCTTATTATGGGATAGCTCTTTGTACCTACTGCGGGGACTGCTTCTCCAGAAGATATTATGGGATGTCGTGTGTGGGAGGGGGAGTGGGGCTGGGGGGATTATTATGGGATGGTGGTGCAGAATGGGGAGGGCCTGAGGAGCTCTTCTCCAGCCCCCCCACCTCCTCAACCCTTACTCGCCTACCATCCTTTCTAAGGTCACCGTCCTCTCTCAGACTCCCCAAGAGGAACACCTGAAACCCATCTCCCTACACACACAGACTTTGGGCACCTCAACCCATCCCGGGCTTCTCCCCTAACTAGCAGCCACCTCCGGGGTGCTGAGGAGAAAAGTAGCCCCTGGCGAATGGGGAGAAAGCCCTAAAGCAGGGTGGTGGTGGCCAGTGGATCACACCTTCCACCTGCACGACGGCCTCCTCTGCACCCTAGCCCCTTATACCACCGTCCTTCCCCTTCTCCCTGCATCCCACAAAGTGGGGGCCCTGGATCTTTCTCCCCTCCCCCCTCCCCTCCATTTCCTCTCCAGCTCCCTCCACAGCCGTAACCAGTAAAACAGGCGGCCAGCTATTATGGGATGGCTGCTCCCAGCAGCTCTGCAGGGAGGGGGCGGTCACCGCGGAATGTCTCTTGTGGGTGGCTATTATGGGATGGCCGCCTCTCTTTTTTTGGGGGGGTAAGGCTAGCGAGGAGGATTATTATGGGATGTGCCCTGCACAGCTGGGTGGGGCTGTCCAGGAGAGGTGAAACTCTAGGGAGGGGTGGGGAGGGGGAGGGAAGGAAGAGGGAGGGAAGGAGCTGGGGAGGGTAGGGTGAGCCCTGGAGTCGGACCTGAGGCCTGGCAGGAGTAACTGGCTGGAGAGGTTTCTTTGGTGACAGCTGTTTGAAGGGGCCCCTGGGGCAGGCTCCAGCGAGCCAAATCTGAACCCTGGACACCTGGGTCCTTTAAACAGCTTGTGCGCTACAGGGTTGCCCTGTGAGTCCGGGGCCTGCAGAGCTGCACTGCAAATGAGAACTGAGATGTTCTGGCCGGGTGGCATACCAAAGGGAGTAGTAGTCATGGATGGCGATAGTACCCGTCTCCCTTCCATCTTTGTCTTCCTGGGTTTGAGCCTGGGGACCATAGCTCAGGTTGGGGGATTGTGCACGGAGCACTTTGCTTAGGTTGGGGGGTTGTGCACGGAGCACTTTGCTTAGGTTGGGGGGTTGTGCACGGAGCGCTTTGCTACCTTGCAGTCACACCCAAAAAACAGATAGTAGGTTGCCTCCTGAGATACAAACACCTGGCATGTCACCCCCAAGCCCCACGTGATCTGCATCCTGTCTAGCCTTTGGAGTGCACTGTCACTGTGGCTTTGCTTCCCTCGTTGTCTCCCAAAATCCCCTTTTCAGACAGAGCAGGAGAACACTGTGGCCCCTTGGACCTCTTATGAACAGAGTTTTTCAGGTTCACACAAAACAGAGGTGTAAGGAGAGGAATTATAGAGCAAATGCTAAAAACTCCATGAACAACCCACTCTGAGTGTTGTTCTAGGTTCTTCTGTACCATGGGATGAAAACAGAACTCTAAGGTAACTGGCTAGAGAGGCTGCCCTCCTGGGTGCATTAATTAGGAGATTATGCCACCCTTAGTCTCCCTGGGCCAGTCATGCTAGTGGTTTATTTATAATTTATCTGGGAGGGTAGCACGGGGCTAGAGGAGGGAGGGGAAGCGTAGAAGCATAAGGACTACAAAGCAACACACCAGCACACACCTCCGAGCCCTTTCTGGAACTCAAGAAGAGAGGAAGGGATTTTAACTTTCTCCTTGTTGTGGTGTTAGGGAGAGGTGGGGAGCAAGAGCAGCAAAGGAAGAAGTGGGTAG
This sequence comes from Homo sapiens, assembly GCF_000001405.40. NCBI lineage: Eukaryota > Metazoa > Chordata > Mammalia > Primates > Hominidae > Homo > Homo sapiens. The sequence continues at coordinate 6,611,893 of NC_000012.12, read as the reverse complement.
AACCTACAGGAATAGGGACACAGGGTGAGTAGTGGACAAAGGATATATGGATAAATAAAATGTGGATATTTTTAGTCACAGGCAGGAGGCTGTGACTACCCAAACGCTCTCTTACTGGTTTATATGGACAGATCACTGTGGAAATGAGAGTATGGGTATGGGCAGATGGAGATATTGCAGAAGGGAATTTGAGGCCCAGAGACAGGCTGGATCCCCTGGAGAAATGAGGGTAGAAGAGCGCACAATAGGCATCTGGCAGCCCTCTGTAGGAAGGAGAAACTTCCCTGAAAGGAGGTGTCCCCACATCATGGTATCTGAAAAGAGCTGCCTCCTCACCCCCCATTGTGGAACACAAGTTTCATTCTTAGTACTCAGAGTAAGTATGGGAGAGGGCTTGGGTAAGTAAATGGGGCCCAGTCTTGATGTCGAGAGCATTTAACGAGGGAAACTGGAAGCCTTGCAGAACGGGGGAGAATGGCCCGCTTGCCACAATGAGTGCAGCAAGAGGGTGGGCCAGGGAGCTGAAGGGAAGGTTGGAAAAAGAAAACACCTACTTCAAAGGTGACAGGGAGCTTTTGACAGGACCTGATGTCTTTGATGCCAAAAACTCCAGTCCTAAGATGAGGAGAGTTAAATGTGGAATGCTAGTGGGTCTACAGAGTCAGCCAGGAGCTAGCGGAAGACTTGTCTGCATCCCTGGTGCTCTGCTCAGGAGCAGGGGGATTGTAATTCCCTGAGGCAAGCTCTTGCCTTCCCTGAACTCATTTCTTTGTACCAGTTCTCCAGTCCCTTGGATCCTAGAGAAGGGGAGAGCCATCTGGCCAGGCCTTCCTCTAGGAAAATGAGATGAGAAGGGTAATGCAGAGATGGCATGAGGTTCATCCCACTCACTACTGGTTAGTAAAGGGCCCTTTCTACAAGGAAGTCCAAGTTTCTTTTCAACTCGTCCCACTTCCATAGGTCTTGGACCCATGCAAAAAAGGTACATGAGCAGAGGGAGACATTATCCTTGGCCTGGGGTTAGGGCAGCAAGGCAGTGGTGCTGGGACATTGGTTTTCACTCAGGTCCTGAATCTCTGGGAGTCAGGAAAAGGGAAAAGTGACAGGCTGATGGGTTAGGTTTTCTGAGGGCCAAAGGGTTTTAAGATTGGGCTCTTTCCTGGCCAGGCGCAGTGGCTCACGCCTGTAATCCCAGCACTTTGGGAGGCCGAGGCGGGCGGATCACCTGAGTTTGGGCGTTCGAGACCAGCCTGACCAATATGGAGAAACCCCGTCTCTACTAAAAATACAAAATTAGCCGGGCATGGTGGCACATGCCTGTAATCCCAGCTACCCGGGAGGCTGAGGCAGGAAAATCACTTGAACCTGGGAGGCTGAGGTTGCAGTGAGCCGAGATCGCGCCATGGCACTCCAGCCTGGGCAACAAGAGCGAAACTCCGTCTCAAAAAAAAAAAAAAAAAAAAAAATTAGGCTCTTTCCTGAGGTGGGAAGATCACTTGAGTCCAGAAGTTCAAGATCAGCCTGGCAACATAGTGAAACCCCGTCTCTACAATAAATTTAAAAATTAGCTGGGTGTGGTGGTGTATGCCCGTGGTTCCAGCTACAGGTGGGAGGCTGAGGTGGGATGATCACTTGAGCCCAGGAGGTTGAGGTTGCAGTGAGCTGTGATTGCGCCACTGAGACCCTGTCTCTCAAAAAAACAAAAAACAAAACAAAAAAAATTCGGTTATTTCAGCTTCTAGGATTGGGTCCATAGGGTGGCTGGAGGGTATGCATAATAAGGGAAGGAGATGGTATACGCTGGAGGGCTACCTTGGGGCATAATTCAATGTAGAAGGTTTCCTGGACTGCTGACTTCTTTTTTTTTTTTTTTTTTTCTGAGGCAGAGTCTTGCTCTGTTGCCCAGGCTGTAGTGCAGTGGTGCAATCTCAGCTCCCTGCAACCTCTACCTCCTGGGTTCAAGCAATTCTCCTGCCTCAGCCCTTGAGTAGCTAGGATTACAGGCACGTGCCACCATGTCAGGCTAATTTTTGTATGTTTAGTAGAGACGGGGTTTCACCATTTTGGCCAGGCTGGTCTTGAACTCCTGACCTTGTGATCCACCTGCCTTGGCCTCCCAAAGTGCTGGGATTACAGGCATGAGCCACCATGCCCCGCTGGAATATTGACTTCTATACAGGCAGGGGAAGATGGGGAACATTATACAACTAAAGATTTTTTTTTTTTTGAGGTGGAGAATGTGGCCCCAACAAGATGAGGATGGAGGCCATTGGAGATACTATGAGACTTCAGGATATAAAATGGGAAAGTGCCTGAAAAATATGGGACATTGAGGATAAGCAGGATTTGGTGTTCAAGAATGAGGGAAACAATGCTGGTATATTGTGGAGTCTCTTAAGAAGGAAGGACATGAACATATTATAGGATTTCAGTATTAGGAATGCTGGATGGATGAACATTGCTTTCCAAGAAAAATCCCCTAGTAAGTAGGGAACAGATAGGAGATCATGTTGACTATGGTCTATACCCATAAATCCTTTAAGTATCATCTTCCAGCCTCTAGAAGGACCACGATAAATCTTATTGGGATATGTTCTCTCTTGGAACCAGTGGGATTTTATTTTCTGTAACAGGAAATTGGGAAACAGTGCTCAGCAGTTCTCCCTTGGCACCATTCTGTCGTGTATCATAGTTTGCTTGGTTGCTTATGCTTTTTGAAGGGAGGCCCCCTGGTCTTCCTTGATTCTCCATGGTGCGGAGCTCGGCCTTGCTAGGTACTCTGTCAACACAGGTTGAATGAACATGAGTAGTGGTGAGTAGCGGGAGGGCAGGCCTTCACTCTTGGTGTGTATAGAGCAGGAACCTGAGTTCACATCGTGATGGGATGTCCATCCCCAGGAATGGCCTGGGGGTGTTGGTGAAAGATCCCTGACCTGGGGATGTGGTGAGGGGGAGGATTGCTAGAATGTTGAGAGATAGTCTTTGGATGGGAGTTGGTAATTATTATGGGATGCTGTAGGGTGAATTAGACTTCATGTAAATGTTTCATCTGTCAGCTTGGTATTTTGGTTGGTTGGTGTTCCTCAAAACTTAGGAGCTGGAGGTAAGCATCTGGAAAATACCTAGATTTTGGTGGGACTGGGTGGGGCCCTAGGTGGGCTCCCAGCCCCCGAGTGTCTGGAAATGATGGTATGAGGGAAGCTGGGGTCCCAGACATCAGGAGGCTTTTTGCCAGGATACTACTTTGGCCCAGAAAGGGATTAAGGTGTGTGCAAGTGGGGGCGGGGACAAGGAAGCGTGGGTAGCCTGCCTGGCCCTCCCTGCTCTGGGTGTTAGAATAGACTGACAGCGCCTGGAGATGGGGGTGGGAAGAATATGAATATTATGGGATGCCTGGCTCGAAGGGTATAGGGGTGGTAGAGTGGAGATGAAGCATTATGGGATGTGACACTGGGTTGTGTTGGGAGTATTATGGTATGTTTGGTTGACCACGGGCTCCTTGCAATTATTATGGGATGTCAGGATGTGGGTAGGAGAGTAAAATTATTATGGGATAGCTTTCCAGTGTTAGAGGAAAAGAGATTAGATGTCCATCTGTGGGGCGACAGTAGGGCTGTTGATCATTATGGGTTATCTTTTTGATAGAGGAGGGGTACTTACTATAGGCTGTGGAGCTAGAAGAGGGAAGGCTGGGGGTGATGTGAGCCTCTAGACCCTGGCCTGCAGGGACTGAGGGCAGCTCTAGGGGGTTAGTTATTATGGGATGTCAGTATAGAAAGTGGGAGACTGATTATTACGGGATGTGTGTGGGAGGAGGCCGAGTGTCCGTTGTTGTAGTATGGGGGGGGGTGAGTTTCTGACTATTATGGGATATCAAACTGGGGGTGGATGAAGGATGGTTATTATGGGATGTCTGTGGGGGATGGGGCTGAATATTATGGGATATGAGGCATAAGTGCTGCGAGGGGTGCTTATTATGGGATGGCCATGGGGAGGGAGGGGTGATGAATTATTATGGGATGTTAGCATTAGGTCCAAGAGTGAAGAAGAAGTTGGCAAAGGATGTCTATTATGGGATGTCTAAGAGGGTTAGTTGCAAAAGGTCTGCAATATTTTGAGATGTCAGCAGTCTCTGGCATATGTGTATGAAATGTGGGGGGGCAGGGTGTGTGTGTGTTGTGTGTGTGTGTGTGTGTGTGTGTGTGTGTGTGTGTGTGTGTGTTGGGGGGGGGGGTGTCCGTGTGTATTATGGGATGGCCAGGAGGTGGGCGGTTGCCCAGGTGACGCGCGCGCGCCCGCTGCGAAGGGGGCGTGGCCAGTGGTTGCCTGAGCGACGAGGGGGCGGGGGTTGCCCGGGAGACCTGGGGAGGAGGGTGGCGGTAGTGGAAGGGGGGGGTTGGAGTTGGTTGAGGTTATTATGGGCTGTCCGTGGGGGGGCGGGGCCTGTGCGGTGGGATTTCCCGGCCGGTGTTTCAGGCCCTTTAAGAGGCGACGCTGGAGCCGGAGCCATTTTCCCCCCTTCGGCCGCGGCGAGGAGGAGCCGGAGCGGGAGTGACACCGAGCCGGACCCAGCGCGACCTGCGGCGGCTCCGGGGTGAGGAGAGCGCGGGGTTCCCAAAGAGACGCCCCTCACGGCCCTACCAGCCCCGAGGGTCATCCCGTCACCCGCCCCTTCCTCAGGCGTCTCCGGACCCGCGGACCGCCCCTTGCCCAGAGGAGCCGACCCTTCCTTTCCTGGCCCTGCAGGGCGCCCGGCCTCCTCCCCAGCCCCCGCCCTAACCCTGCCGGAGTCTTGCTCCCCGCGACCCCCCGCCTCCGGCTTGGTCTCCCACAATGCCCGGCGCCCACCCCCTCGCCCTTTGATCACTTGCCCCCCGGGACACGTGGCCCGGCCCCCTTCCCGGTGGGACGCTTTCGCCCCCCGCGTCCCTGCCTCCGGCCCCCCGCAGCGCCCGAGCCTCCACGCCCCCTCGTCCCCGCAGCTCTTGAGGAGAACCTGAGTTGTCCCAGAGGACAGCCTTTGGAGAGCTGCCCTGTCTGGGGACTGGCCCCTCCCCGGGCGCAGGGAGGCGCCCCCCCACCCCCAAGTGACCTTGTGTCCCCGAGCGCCTCGCCGCCTGCGGCCTCCCCTGGCCCCCCCGCGCCGCTGCCACTCGGACCCCCTCCCCCGTCACACCCCGCTCGGTCCAGCCCCGCGTCTCCCCTCCCCGCGCTTGCACCAGCCTGCCCTCGGAGGCGTCGCTCCCTCGCTCCGTGGGGGCGCCTGCCGGGGAGCCGGCTTCCGGGCTGCCCCCGAGGAGTGTGGAACTAAGTTCAGCCTGAGCGGTTCGGGTGCCCTGCTAGGGTGGCTGGGGTGGGGGGCGGAAAGAGCGGGTGGGTGTGGGGGAGGGGGACAGTGCGCGTCACTGACTGTTCTGTGTTTCTCCCCCCTCCCCCGCACAGTGACTCGGGCCAGTGTAGAGGTCCTCAGGCCGCCGGCAGGAGCAGCTGGGCCAATTCCCTGGCCGGGAGCGGAAGGGGATGGCGTCGGGCCTGGGCTCCCCGTCCCCCTGCTCGGCGGGCAGTGAGGAGGAGGATATGGATGCACTTTTGAACAACAGCCTGCCCCCACCCCACCCAGGTAACATCTTCCCCAAGGGCCCATGGCGGGAAGGAGACATCTGGGGCTCTCCCGAGTGACTCCTCTGGTGAGGCAGGGCTGTGTTGCTCCGCTGTCTCTGTGCAGAGCCGGAGGTGGAGGGTATCCGAAGGGAGTGGTTCCCTTCTGCGGAGCTCTGGTGTGAGGGGGGTGGAAGCCATGTGCCTCCTGGGCACGGAGATGCCAGCTTGCTGCACTCTGTCTTGAGGAATGCTCTGCAGTTCCCAGTTGAGGGAGCTCTCTGGGCTGGCAGGCATTACCTGGTATGTGGGTCCTCGGAGGAATGCAGGTAGCTGGGACCCCTGGAGGCTTGTGGTGGTGGTGGTGGAGGGGGGCGTTGAGGATTCTGTTTGAAAGACCAGCCGGGCATCTGTGCTAGTAGGATCCTGTGGTTGCTGCTGTGGAAAGGAAAGAGGGAGTGCTGGTTACACTCTATCTGATTATTTTTAGCTTCTGATCGGTTACCGGTTTTCTGTGCTGTCTGAACTGTGTGAAGTTTGAATCGCGCTCCTCAGCAGGATCTGGAGTGCTTAAAGCAGCCAGGCAGATTGCTGGAATGTTTTGAGTGGGGAAGTGATGGGGGCTCGGGGAGGATGTAATAGCCTAGTGAAGAGGGGCAAAAGAAGGGAGGGCACTCCTCCTCCTGGTGAGTGGACATAGTTTTGGCTTTTTTCCTAGTGGCTTCTGTCTCTATGAGGTAGCCTGCGGTTTAGGCTGGCAGTGTGAAGTGTCTGTGTAGGTGTGCTAGGGGTTACGCTATCTGTGTTTTGGGGTGGCTTCATGAACTGGCCAAACCCGTATGGTTGTAACCACCCTGTCTGATTGGGGGAACTGTTGTCTATCCTCAAATGATGGTTGATGTCATGCCCCTAAGCAGATGTCTTTCTCTTCTGTGTCCTTTTTCAGAGCCCCTAGCTGTGTCACCTACTCATCTCCTTGACCTTCATGTTTTCTAGTTTAATTTTTTTTTCTACATGTCATTTCTTCATTCCTTCTGCTTCTAGTTTTCTTCTCATTCTGGAGCCTGCTGATCCTGTTTTTGTTTCTCATCCAGCATCATTCACTTCTGCCTTCTCTCTTCTTAGCTTCAGTGGAAGTTGAGGTGGTCTGGGAGAGATGCTTTCACATTTGGCACTTTTTAAGTTGGAATTCTTCACTTCAACCTGAGGCCATTTAGGAGAGGGGTTAGTGTTGTCATGGAGTCTGGGCTGTTGGGATGAGAAACTTGGTTTCATCCTTGTGTAGAGTAGGGGGCAGATTTCCATGCCCTTGCCCAAGGTGAGGGCGGAGTTGTGGTGCTGGTAAGGGGACCCTGTCCTTCTGAGAGGGGCATGAGAAACAGTAGTGCTGCCTAAACATTCTGGGTTCCACGTCTTGGCCTCCCATTGGCCACTTGGGCTGGGGCTGCCTTTCATGTTGACCGGGAGCTGCGCAGGAGCTGTGAACTCTGTCCTGAGCTGTAGCATGACCCACTTTTTCCACTTGCCACACCCCATTCCTGTCCCTTTCCTAAATCTTCTCTATATCTCAGTAAGTTTGCGGTTTGCCATTTCAGCATATTATTTGCCTGAGAAGTTTGGGGGGCTCCATGTGCATGGAAGGATGTCCCCTTTGCCTCCATGGGTTGTCTTTGTCTCCACTTCCAGCTTTTATGGGGGTGGTGAGATGTAGCTGATGGGGGTTGGGGGTTGACTTGGGGATTGGTGGGGAAAAGTCCTTAAGAAAATGATTCTTTCTGGTGAAATCCAGGCTGATGTTGCATTCCCAAGGGGGAATGGGAGGGGCGTTCTTGTGCCTGGTCTTATTCTGGGCTGAGAAGCAGGGAGGCTGATGGTGCTTTGTCCAGCCTAATGTCTCATTCCCTAGTATCTGTCTAGCTCAGGAAGTGGGGAGCCAGAGACATTTTAGGGCTAATTTTGGGGGTTAAGAGCTAAGAACATGTCAGGGATTGAAGGAGGGATATTATTTTCTTTTTTATTTTTGAGATGGGGTCTCACTCTGTCGCCAAGGTTGGAGTGCAGTGTGCGATCTTGGCTCACTGCAACCTCCGCCTCCCGGGCTCAAGCGATTCTCCTGCCTCAGCCTCCTGAGTAGCTGGGATTACAGGCACCCACCACCATGCCTGGCTAATTTTTGTTTTTTTAGTAGAGACAGGGTTTCACCATGTTGGCCAAGCTGGTTTCGAACTGACCTCAAATGATCTGCCCGCCTCAGCCTCCCAGAGTGCTGCGATTACAGGCATGAGCCATTGCACCCGATTGGGATATTCTCTTCTACCACTGTCTAGGTCCTGCTCTGTTTTTTTGTGCAGACATTCCCATATGTTGGATAGGAATCTGGGTGGGAGTGGTGAGGAAGCTGAGCTTCAGAGACTTCTTGTGGGCCTCCATTCCTCAAACTAAATCTTTTGGGTATCAGAAATTTGGGGAGAAGGTTGTATGCGCTGACCACAAGTCCACTGAGCCTTTGTTAAATCTCAGCTCTGATGATTGAAAAAATAATTATGATTGAGGGAGTGATCGAGTTCTTCTCTTAGTATTACCTTCATGTTTGTCTCGCTTTCCTTGGGTTTCCTTGCTTAGGATGTTAGGGTGGGCTCTTGTGAACTGTTGTCATCCCAGAGTAGGTGGCATTTGGACCTGGGGCCAGGTAATTTGGGGAGGCTTCTATGAGGGCAGTCTCCCCCCCCGCCACCCCACCTCTCTCAAACCCACCCCCTCCCCTGCCACTTCCTGTCTGTCCTATGTTGGCAGCTGGGTGCCCTGGGCTGGCTTCTGCGGTCAGGAGCCATTTTCCCTCTCCTCAGTGGGTGAGGCACTCCCTTCTTCTCTCCACTCCTTTCTCTACCCACCCCCCTTTGGGCGGGGGTGGCTTGGGAAGAGGGAGAGAGGAGGGAGGAGGGAGTCGGAGCCAGTGTGAATGTCTGTTACAAAGGAAGCTGCCTCCTGGTCTTCTCTGTGTCCCTTCCCACCTATCCTTGCCCAGGAGCTTTCAGTCTTACCCAGGCTTTGTGTGTGCCTCCAGCCAGGGGAGGAGGTGGAGCCAGATGGGAGGAGGCTTGCTGGGGGGCGGGTGTAGGGGAGATGGTGACAGCTGGGCTGATTCGGGCCCCTAGGGAGAAGAGGCTGCTGACCCAGGAGAAGCTGAGGAGGAACATTAGGGTTGGAGATGGGGAAAGGAAATTGTATTTTAGAAGTGGGCATGAGATTGAGCTGGCACCTGAACCTAGGACTTGGAGGTTCTGGTTAATTTGAGCAGTGATGACTTCAAAGTGGTTAGAGAAGGGTGTGGTTTCCGAGACCCCTGAACTGATCCTGTTCTGGGAAGGTATATTCTATAGTTTTTGCCTTCTGAGTAGGATCTTTCATTCTCATTCCCTGGTTTATAGAATAACTTGGTGGCCAGTTACAGGAGGCCTAAATCTAGTTCTCTTACTTGGTGAACTCTGAGCAGCTCAGTTCAGCTGTACTGGTGAACATCTAGAGGACTGGTAGGAACGGGAGAGAGGAGGCAGGGGTCTGGACAGCTGCCCGAGGTGGGCCTGGTCTGGCCTGGCAGGCCTATTTCGGGTATATACAGCTCTCTCTTTGTCTGTTTTTGTCCTGGGTATCAGCTTCCTCCTGTACAGAGTATAGCAGTTCTCTTCAGAGGAATCTGGGACAAGAGGTGGGGAATAAAGTCTAAAGCCTCTGGATTAGGGCCTAACCTTTTGCTATTGATCTTTTCCCTGCCTACCACTCTTTGCCAAATATATGTAGAAAATGAAGAGGACCCAGAAGAGGATTTGTCAGAAACAGAGACTCCAAAGCTCAAGAAGAAGAAAAAGCCTAAGAAACCTCGGGACCCTAAAATCCCTAAGAGCAAGCGCCAAAAAAAGGAGGTGAGTGGGTGACTGAATGTTACGGGGAATCAGAGGAAGAAGGGAGGAGCTCTGAGAAGGGTTGAAGGGCTGAGGGCATTTGTTTCTTTCTCAGAAGTGGTGGGCCATGTTCTGGGGATGAGCCTCAGGGCTGTCCTGAGGTCAGCATGTGTGTAGCATGTGTGTGTCTGTCTCCCTCTTCCCCCCTTGCCCTGCTCCAGCGTATGCTCTTATGCCGGCAGCTGGGGGACAGCTCTGGGGAGGGGCCAGAGTTTGTGGAGGAGGAGGAAGAGGTGGCTCTGCGCTCAGACAGTGAGGGCAGCGACTATACTCCTGGCAAGAAGAAGAAGAAGAAGCTTGGACCTAAGAAAGAGAAGAAGAGCAAATCCAAGCGGAAGGAGGAGGAGGAGGAGGAGGATGATGATGATGATTCAAAGGTGCCTGGACCTCCATCCTCTTCTTTGTACTGTTAAACTTTTGTCTTTTTGTTTCCTAGACACCTTACTGCCCTTTAGAACACTTTCTCTTCTTTTCCTCTTAACTCTGTTACTCTGATTTTTCCACACAAATTTGCTTAGCAAGTGTGGGCACTAGGTGGCAGGTACTTACTTGACTTTGCTCTTTCTGCAGGAGCCTAAATCATCTGCTCAGCTCCTGGAAGACTGGGGCATGGAAGACATTGACCACGTGTTCTCAGAGGAGGATTATCGAACCCTCACCAACTACAAGGCCTTCAGCCAGTTTGTCAGGTAAAACAGAAGGGGTTTGGGGAAGGGGGAGGAGAATCTTTCTGTTCTCTCTTCTTACTTCTCTTTCTTTTTTTATTCTTAAACCTTTCCCTCTGCTCTTGTGCATTTCTCCACCAGACCCCTCATTGCTGCCAAAAATCCCAAGATTGCTGTCTCCAAGATGATGATGGTTTTGGGTGCAAAATGGCGGGAGTTCAGTACCAATAACCCCTTCAAAGGCAGTTCTGGGGCATCAGTGGCAGCTGCGGCAGCAGCAGCGGTAGCTGTGGTGGAGAGCATGGTGACAGCCACTGAGGTTGCACCACCACCTCCCCCTGTGGAGGTGCCTATCCGCAAGGCCAAGACCAAGGAGGGCAAAGGTGAAATGGGGTTCAAATGGGAGTGGGGGTGTCTAGTGTGGGCTTAAGATGTCAAAGACAGCATGGGAATGCTGGTCTGTCAGCCCTAAGGTAGGAGATAGGAGGGAGGAATGAGTCTTGGATTTTGGAGGGAAATTTGGGAATCTGAATGTGGGGAAGCAAGCTTAGGTGGAGAAGATTTTATTTTCCCCATCTTTGGTCTTGTGGTATATATTTGGATATATCCTGATTTTAGGTCCCAATGCTCGGAGGAAGCCCAAGGGCAGCCCTCGTGTACCTGATGCCAAGAAGCCTAAACCCAAGAAAGTAGCTCCCCTGAAAATCAAGCTGGGAGGTTTTGGTTCCAAGCGTAAGAGATCCTCGGTGAGAGCCCAGCCCATCGCTTTAGGGAGGGTGCCATGTCTAATAGAAAGGATGTGACCTTCTATCAGAACCTGTCCTTCATAGTAGGCACGTAAGAATGTGGGGCGTTTCCCACAGAACAAGATGAGACTAGGCTCCCTGTATAACGGTGCTTGCTGGGATTCTGGTGTCCCCAGTGAGAGAGTACTCCCCTCTCTGCCACTCTGTCCTTCCCCTTGGCTTGAACGTCTAACCTTATTCTTTTTCATCCTGCCAGAGTGAGGATGATGACTTAGATGTGGAATCTGACTTCGATGATGCCAGTATCAATAGCTATTCTGTTTCTGATGGTTCCACCAGCCGTAGTAGCCGCAGCCGCAAGAAACTCCGAACCACTAAAAAGAAAAAGAAAGGTGTGTTTCTCTTCTGTATATTTGTGATGGGATGAGGTGGGAGTGATTGGGGAAGAATCTCCCTAAGGAGATAGGGGTCGGGGGGTGGGGGGAGGTAGTTTTTTTCCAATAACTGGGCTTTCCCTCTTCCTTGCCCAGGCGAGGAGGAGGTGACTGCTGTGGATGGTTATGAGACAGACCACCAGGACTATTGCGAGGTGTGCCAGCAAGGCGGTGAGATCATCCTGTGTGATACCTGTCCCCGTGCTTACCACATGGTCTGCCTGGATCCCGACATGGAGAAGGCTCCCGAGGGCAAGTGGAGCTGCCCACACTGCGTGAGTGTCTGGCCATTGTGGCCCCTTGGAACCCATGAGAAGAAGGGTGGGACAGTAAAGCTCTTCGGGGCCTGGATGGAAATGGAAATGCTGGTGCTGCGGGTTGTGAGCTTTGGGAAGCATTCAAAGGAATGATGGGCACTGGCTTCAGACTGCGGTGGGCGGGTGGGGGTAATAATCTGAATCTGTGGTCCTTTACTGCAGGAGAAGGAAGGCATCCAGTGGGAAGCTAAAGAGGACAATTCGGAGGGTGAGGAGATCCTGGAAGAGGTTGGGGGAGACCTCGAAGAGGAGGATGACCACCATATGGAATTCTGTCGGGTCTGCAAGGATGGTGGGGAACTGCTCTGCTGTGATACCTGTCCTTCTTCCTACCACATCCACTGCCTGAATCCCCCACTTCCAGAGATCCCCAACGGTGAATGGCTCTGTCCCCGTTGTACGGTGAGTGACTGATCTCAGCCGGGGCAAAAAATGGGAAAGTGTAGTCTTTTCTATGTAGGCTATTGTGAGGCTGGGGTGCAGGAGAGGAACTATGAGCTTTTCAGCCCTGAGAAAGGTATTCTCCTTCATCCTATAGTGTTGGGATACTTTTGTCCTGGGAAAATATAGGACTAACTTCAAACTGAGGAGTTGATGTTTTGCCAGCTCTCTTAAGAGGAGATGAAGCAATGTTCTTCTAGCTGAGAACATTTGTCCCTGTGTTGACACCCTGCCTCAGGGTCTTGGTAGCTTACAATGTTTTCAATTTTTTTGTTAAAAAAATTTTTTTTTTTGGAGACAGGGTCTCATTCTGTCATCCGGGCTAGAGTGCAGTGGTGCAGTCATAGCTCATTGCAGCCTCCAACTCTTGGGCTCAAGTGATCCTCCTATCTCAACCTCTTGCTGAGTAGCTAGGAGTACTGGTGCATGCCACCACATCCAGCTAATTAAAAAAAAAAAATCTCTGTTGAGACAGGGTCTCACTATGTTGCCCAGGCTGGTCTTGAATTCCTGGTCTGAAACCATTCTGCTCCCTTGTCCTCATTAAGTGCTGGCATTACAGGTGTTTACCACCATGCCAGCCAGTTTAGAATGTTTAATAGGGCCACTTACTGCTTTAGATTGCTTAAGGGAGGAATTCTGTGCTCTAAGTCTGTTGATTTCCTGATTGTTCTGGCTTATTGTTAAAGTCTAACTACTGGCTCTGTTAAGCAGATAGGAGTGATGGTGGCACGCAAATCCTGGACGATGTCCAGAAATGGAGAGGGAATTCTATTACAGGTTGAGCACCCTAATCCAAAAATGTGAAATCCAAAATACTTCTGGTCCCAAGCATTTCACATGAGGGGTCCTCAACCTGTATTTTCTCCCTGGAGGAGTCCTGGGATTAGATTTTATTTGAAATGAGATCTTTTTTTATTTTTTTGAGATGGAGTCTTGCTCTGTCCCCCAGGCTGGAGTGCAGTGGGGCAATCTTGGCTCACTGCAAGCTCTGCCTCCCAGGTTCAAGTGATTCTCCTGCCTCAGACTCCCAAGTAGCTGGGACTACAGGCGCATGCCACCACGCCCAGCTAATTTTTGTATTTTTAGTAGAGACGGGGTTTCACCATGTTAGCTAGGATGGTCTCGATCTCTTGACCTCGTGATCTGCCCGCCTCGGCCTCCCAAGGTGCTGGGATTTCAGGCATGAGCCACTGCTCCAGGTCTGAAATGAGATCTGAATCGTCCTTTGATGAAGTTGAGACTGTGGGCTGTCCCTTCTCCTCCCATGGTTATGATTTGAGATTAAGTTGTCTCTTTTTCTCTCAGTGTCCAGCTCTGAAGGGCAAAGTGCAGAAGATCCTAATCTGGAAGTGGGGTCAGCCACCATCTCCCACACCAGTGCCTCGGCCTCCAGATGCTGATCCCAACACGCCCTCCCCAAAGCCCTTGGAGGGGCGGCCAGAGCGGCAGTTCTTTGTGAAATGGCAAGGCATGTCTTACTGGCACTGCTCCTGGGTTTCTGAACTGCAGGTAAGTTTAGGATAGTCTGGAGATGTAGGGGCTACGATGAAGAGGATAGTGACAAAAGAGCCTTGTGGATAGAAGGAATGAACACAGCTTCTTGGTGGCTGATTTTCTCTTTCCGCTCAAAGCTGGAGCTGCACTGTCAGGTGATGTTCCGAAACTATCAGCGGAAGAATGATATGGATGAGCCACCTTCTGGGGACTTTGGTGGTGATGAAGAGAAAAGCCGAAAGCGAAAGAACAAGGACCCTAAATTTGCAGAGATGGAGGAACGCTTCTATCGCTATGGGATAAAACCCGAGTGGATGATGATCCACCGAATCCTCAACCACAGGTACCAGCTGAGCACACGGGAGACGGGCAGTCTCCGTGGGAGAGTCCTGCTAAAGAGATTGGGAAAATGGCTGTCACCAGTAACTTAGACTTGGAAGACACTGGTTTTTTTTGTTTGTTTTTTGTTTTTGAGACAGAGTCTCACTCTGTGCCCAGGCTGGAGTGCAGTGGCGTGATCTCGGCTCACTGCAACCTCTGCCTCCCAGATTCAAGTGATTATCCTGCCTCAGCCTCCTGAGAAGCTGGGACTACAGGCGCAAGCCACCATGCCCAGCTAATTTTTTGTATTTTTAGTAGAGACAGGGTTTTCATTCTGCTGGCCAGGCTGGTCTTGAACTCCTGACCTCAGGTGATCTGCCTGCCTTGGCCTCCCTAAGTGCTAGGATTAACAGGCGTGAGCCACCACGCTCAGCCTTATATATTTATTTTGAGACAAATTTTAGCTGTGTTGCCCAGGCTTGAGTGCAGTGTCGTGATCACTGCTCATAGCTGTCCCAAACTCCTGGGCTCAAGCAATCTGTCTGCTTCAGCTTCCCAAAGTGTTAGGATTACAGGCGTGAGCTACTGCGCCTGACACTTCATGTTATTATCTTTATTTATTTATTTTATTATTATTGTTTTTTTTTGAGACAGACTTGTCACCCAGGCTGGAGTGCAGTGGCGTGATCTTGGCTCACTGCAAGCTCTGCCTCCTGGGTTCACGCCATTTTCCTGCCTCAGCCTCCCGAGTAGCTGGGACTACAGGCCATCGCCACCATGCCTGGCTAATTTTTTTTTTTTTGTATTTTTAGTAGAGACGGGATTTCACTGTGTTAGCCAGGATGGTCTTGATCGCCTGACCTTGTGATCCGCTCACCTCCTCCTTCCAAAGTGCTGGGATTACAGGCGTGAGCCGCCGCACTCGGCCTATTTATTTATTTATTTATTATATTTTTTGAGACAGAGTCTTGCTCTGTGGCCCAGCCTGGAGTGCAGTGGTATGATCTAAGCTCACTGCAACCTCCGCCTCTCAGGCTCAAGTGATTCTCTGCCTCAGCCTCCAGAGTAGCTGGGATTACAGGCGTGTGCCACCACGCCTGCCTAATTTTTTTTTTTGAAATGGAGTCTCGTTCTGTCGCCCAGGCTGGAGTGCAGTGGCGCAATCTCAGCTTGCTGCAACCTCCGCCGCCCGGGTTCAAGCAATTCTCCTGCTTCAGCTTCCCGAGTAGCTGGGATTACAGGCACCTGCCACCATGCCCGGCTAATTTTTGCATTTTTAGTAGAGACGGGGTTTCTCCATGCTGGCCAGACTGGTCTTGAACTCCCGACCTCAGGTGATCCGCCTGCCTTGGCCTCCCAAAGTGCTGGGATTATAGGCGTGAGCCACCGCGCCCGGCCTGATGCCTGGCTAATTTTTTTTTTTTTTTTTAGTAGAGACGGGTTTCGCCATGTTGGCCTGGCTGGTCTTGAGCTCCTGGCCTCAAGCGATCTGCCTGCCTCAGCTTCCCAAAGTGCTGGGATTACAGGCGTGAGCCACTGCACCCGGCCAACACTCTATGTTAATTATTAACTGACTGAATTCTGGTGTTTGAGCTCTAGGAAAGTATAAATTAGAGATAATTTTTGGTCAGAGACTGGTACAGTAGAGGCTCTGAAAACGTGTGATCTGTGGCATACCTAGAGGTCTGGTGTGAAACAAACGGTATTGCCAGTTTTTGAGAGGAAGTGAGGAGGGTTGCCTTTTCTGGCTCTGAGGGTTTTCTCTCCTGGACTTGCAGTGTGGACAAGAAGGGCCACGTCCACTACTTGATCAAGTGGCGGGACTTACCTTACGATCAGGCTTCTTGGGAGAGTGAGGATGTGGAGATCCAGGATTACGACCTGTTCAAGCAGAGCTATTGGAATCACAGGTGAGTGATTTTGGGTGAGGCATAGAGTTGTTTCTTTTTTTTTTTTTTTGAGATGGAGTCTTGCTCTGTCACCAAGCTGTAGTGCAGTGGCGTGATCTTGACTCACTGCAACCTCCGACTTCCTGGTTCAAACGATTCTCCTGCCTTAGCCTCCTGAGTAGCTGGGATTATTTGCATACGCCACCACACCTAGCTGATTTTTTTTTTTTTTTTTTTTGAGACGAAGTCTTGCTCTTGTCCCCCAGGCTGGAGTGCAATGGTGCGATCTTGGCTCGCTGCAGCCTCCGCCTCCTGGGTTCAAGCAATTCTCCTGCCTCAGTCTCCCGAGTAGCTGAGATTACAGGCGTCTGCCACCATGCCCAGCTAATTTTTGTATTTTTAGTAGAGACGGGGTTTCACCATGTTGACCAGGCTGGTCTCGATCTCCTGACCTCAGGTGATCCGCCCGTCTCAGCCTCCCAAAGTGCTGGCCTCCCAAAATGCTGGGATTACAGGTGTGAGCCACTGTGCCTGGCCAAGTTGTTTCTTCTATAGAAAAGGATTTTGGGCAGCTGTGTGATGTCTTTCTTCTTTAGGGAGTTAATGAGGGGTGAGGAAGGCCGACCAGGCAAGAAGCTCAAGAAGGTGAAGCTTCGGAAGTTGGAGAGGCCTCCAGAAACGCCAACAGTTGATGTGAGTGGGGGTGGAAGGGACTGTAGTTTGTTGGGTAGGACAATGTATCTTTGCTGCAGTCTAATGATGGTACTCTTAAGTAATGAAATGCAGATAGTAACTTTGTAGCTGAGATTACTTCACAAAGTCGGCTTCCCCACTTCTCCACATCTCTATATATCAGAAAGCACTAGGATTACTTTCTTCTTTTGTCATCAGAAAAAAAAAAAGGAGGTATATTTTGAATGATTGAAGAAGTGTTGTCTGGGGGGAGGGGCCACATAGCCTAGCTTTTATGCACTTACATAGGAATCTGGCTTAATTCAGGCTCAGTTCCTCTGGGTTTTGTTTGTACAGTGTAATTTGAGGGTGATTAAAGTTAAAAAGATGAATCTAAGAGGGACATAACGATTATTTACCTGGTGGATCCTGACTAGTAGAATTATTGTATTGGTAGGGAGTCTGTGACGTGCTTTTCCTCAGTGATCTGTAGGATCAAAATCAGGTCTGGTTAAGCCCTGTTTCCTGGAGGACCCTAAACTGAACATGAAATTGCAGTAATCATAGGGGATCTCTTCCCTCCGAATTTTCCGGAGCTCTTCCCCAAGAGGATCCGTGAAGACTAGTGAGGAGGAAGCAGCTGCTCTATTAGGGGAGGAGGGGAGTTCCTTGCCAGCTCTTGACTTCTCTGTTTCATCCTTCAGCCAACAGTGAAGTATGAGCGACAGCCAGAGTACCTGGATGCTACAGGTGGAACCCTGCACCCCTATCAAATGGAGGGCCTGAATTGGTTGCGCTTCTCCTGGGCTCAGGGCACTGACACCATCTTGGCTGATGAGATGGGCCTTGGGAAAACTGTACAGACAGCAGTCTTCCTGTATTCCCTTTACAAGGAGGTAAGGAAATCTGGGGTGGATAGTTTTTTGTGTGGGTGTTTTGTGTTTGAAGCCTTAACTTACACTGAGTAGAGAGATAAGGGAATAAAAAAATTGGTCTCTGACCTTCAAGAACACTGTGGATAATAGATAAACACATGTACACATGTGTTTAGTAGATAGTAGATAAATGTGATAGTGGATAAACACATGTACACAGCGGAAGATTTGAGGGCATGGAGCCCTGGGTAGGATTAGCAGTGGATCCATAGAGTATCAGTTCTAGGGGAATGATTGTGTGTTGAGGGAAGTAGAATTATGAGTAGAATTAGTATGGAAAGGCTTGGCTGGACGCAGTGGCTCATACCTGTAATCCCAGCACTTTGGAAGCCCGAGGTTGGTGGATCACCTGAGGTCAGGAGTTCGAGACCAGCCTGACCAACATGGCGAAACCCCGTCTCTACTAAAAATACAAAATTAGCCGGATGTGGTGGTGCACGCCTGTAATCCCAGCTACTTGGGAGGCTGAGGCAGGAGAATCGCTTGAACCCGGGAGGTGGAGGTTGCAGTGAGCTGAGATTGCGCCATTGCACTCCAGCCTGGGCAACAAGAGTGAAACTCCGTCTCAGAAAAAAAGTATATAAAGACTTAATGGGAGAGGTAAGACTTGTAGTTATGGTGGGACCTTGGGTTTTTGGAAAGGAGTGGGCTGGGCACTTGTATAGAGGAAGGTGAGAGCAGGAGCAGCAGCGCAGGTGTGTCAGTCCTTGGCTCAGCTTGAGGGGGCAGCAGGGTGGTGGGTGTTCGCTGGGGTTGCAGTGTGCTGGGGCCCTCAGTCCTGACTCTCCTCTTTTTTCTCAAAGGGTCATTCCAAAGGCCCCTTCCTAGTGAGCGCCCCTCTTTCTACCATCATCAACTGGGAGCGGGAGTTTGAAATGTGGGCTCCAGACATGTATGTCGTAACCTATGTGGGTGACAAGGACAGCCGTGCCATCATCCGAGAGAATGAGTTCTCCTTTGAAGACAATGCCATTCGTGGTGGCAAGAAGGCCTCCCGCATGAAGGTATCTCAGGGGAGGGAAGCCACCCTAGAGAAAGAGTTGTGGCTTCTGGCTTAGTTTACCTCCTTGTGATCTGGTCCCTGGTGAGGCAAAAGGGTAACCCTGGGAGGAGGAAAACATTCCATCAGTCTCCTGGTTGTGCTTACACAGAGGAACTGACTAGTAGTGACCAAGTTGCCTTCATGTGCAGAAAGAGGCATCTGTGAAATTCCATGTGCTGCTGACATCCTATGAATTGATCACCATTGACATGGCTATTTTGGGCTCTATTGATTGGGCCTGCCTCATCGTGGATGAAGCCCATCGGCTGAAGAACAATCAGTCTAAGGTGAGGGCTGAGGGAGGGATGTTGGAGCCCCCACTTTGGGTTTTTTCTAGTACTACCAATTCATTAAGGGGAAAACTTGTAGATGGAGAGGAGAGGGGAAAATTGTCTCTGCCTTCCTTCCTTGTATGTGACAGCCCTTGGTGGCCAGGCCTTTAAAAAGAATGTGAGGAGTGGGATGCTTAACTATTGGGCAGTGAAAAACTTGAAATTTTGTAGAGATTTGCTAGAGCTCTGTTTTCATTGGATTTCACCTTTCTCCATCTGCTTCACCAGTTCTTCCGGGTATTGAATGGTTACTCACTCCAGCACAAGCTGTTGCTGACTGGGACACCATTACAAAACAATCTGGAAGAGTTGTTTCATCTGCTCAACTTTCTCACCCCCGAGAGGTTCCAGTAAGTATGTGTTTATCTGTAATCGGCTCATAATTGTGCCTCTCATTCTTCCTGTTGCCCATTTCCTGTATCACTTTTCTTTCTTCCTTTCTCCTTCTCCAATAACTTTTTTCCTTTTTCTTTCTGAAGCAATTTGGAAGGTTTTTTGGAGGAGTTTGCTGACATTGCCAAGGAGGACCAGATAAAAAAACTGCATGACATGCTGGGGCCGCACATGTTGCGGCGGCTCAAAGCCGATGTGTTCAAGAACATGCCCTCCAAGACAGAACTAATTGTGCGTGTGGAGCTGAGCCCTATGCAGAAGTGAGTTGGGAGGGACAGAAGCAGACTCCATTTAGACATCTGCCAGTCTGCAGAGTGTTTCCTATTCCTCCCCCACTCAGCTTCAAGGCATCTGGTGACAGGAGCAAGCAAGGCCTGAAGAAACCTGATGCTAGGGCGCTGGAGCGCATAGTTCTTACTTATTTTAGGTTATACCTTTCCTTATTTAAAATGGTGGTGGTGGTAGTGCTTGTGCGTTAGGTGTCCTTAGTTCCAAAGTGGGATGTGTTGGAAGAAAGATCTCAGTTGTTGGCACTGCATTATTAGTCATTGAAAGGCTCTCAAGTCTAACCTGTCTTTCTACCTTGCCCATGTAGGAAATACTACAAGTACATCCTCACTCGAAATTTTGAAGCACTCAATGCCCGAGGTGGTGGCAACCAGGTGTCTCTGCTGAATGTGGTGATGGATCTTAAGAAGTGCTGCAACCATCCATACCTCTTCCCTGTGGCTGCAATGGTATGTAGTGCCATCTCCTGTTCCTCCCTGGGTTGGGTCTTCTCCATGTGGGCTTTCTTTTAATACTTTTTTCTTTGCATTTGTTCTCAGGAAGCTCCTAAGATGCCTAATGGCATGTATGATGGCAGTGCCCTAATCAGAGCATCTGGGAAATTATTGCTGCTGCAGAAAATGCTCAAGAACCTTAAGGAGGGTGGGCATCGTGTACTCATCTTTTCCCAGGTATCATGTGGACTGGGAGCTTTAGGGAACAGTCATAGACAACCCTTAGTGACCTAAGGAAAGGGATTACCATCTGACTCTTCCATAATTAAACCGTGCTTCTTTTGCAGATGACCAAGATGCTAGACCTGCTAGAGGATTTCTTGGAACATGAAGGTTATAAATACGAACGCATCGATGGTGGAATCACTGGGAACATGCGGCAAGAGGCCATTGACCGCTTCAATGGTGAGAGAGAAGGAGTTGTTTAGTTTCAGGAATCCTCATTTGCTTATATCTTTGGACTGTAACTTCTTGTGCATCTCCTTTTCTGTGTAGTTCTTTTGGGACTTTGTCATTTGAGATGGAGTAAAGCTTTTGAATGTCTCAATTGGACGAATGTATTGGACTATTCCTAGGAGATTTTTTCTTTTGGGGTATTTGTTCTTTCTGCTAGAAAGAAGAAAGCATTGTATCTCGAGGGCAAGCAAAGGGTCAGGACTTGTTCAAGCTCAAATAGCAAGTTACTAGCAGACTTGTCTGCCTCAGTAGACGCTACTAGGTTTTTTTTTTTTTTTTTTTTTTTTTTTTTGAGATGGAGTCTTGCTCTGTCGCCCAGGCTGGAGTGCAGCGGCACGATCTTGGCTCACTGCAACCTCCGCCTCCCGGGTTCAAGCAGTTCTCCTGCCTCAGCCTCCCAAGTAGCTGGGACAACAGGCGTGTGCCACCACGCCCAGCTAATTTTTGTATTTTTAGTAGAGATGTGGTTTCACCATGTTGGCCAAGATGGTCTCGATCTCCTGACCTCATGATCCGCCCACCTCGGCCTCCCAAAGTGCTGGGATTACAGGCACGAGCCACCACGCCCAGCCTGTTTTGTTTTGTTTATTCGAGATAGGGTCTCACTCTGTTGCCGAGGCTGGAGAGCAGTGGCACAATCATGGCTTACTACAGCCTGGACACACCCCCAGGCTCAAGTGATCCTGCTGCTTCAGCCTCCCAACTAGCTGGGGCTGTAGGCTTGATCCACTGTACCTAGCTAACTAAAAAAATTTTTTTGTAGAGATGGGGTCTTGCCATGTTGCCCAGGCTGATCACAAAGTTCTGGGCTCAAGCAATCCTCCTGCCTTGGCCTCCCAAAGTATTGAGATTATAGGCATAAGCCACTGTGCTCAGTATCACTACTCCTTGTTTAAAAAAAAAAAACTTTTTATTTTAATTTTAGACTTAGAAAAAAGTTGCAAAACAGCAGAGAGAGTTCATGTATACTGTTCAACTAGCTAGCTTCTCTTAATAATAACTTACGTAACTGCAGTACAATGATCAAAACTAGAAAATTAACATTGGTATTGTACTATAAATGACAGAACTTCAATGAATGTCACCAATTTTTCTTGATGTCTGTTTTCTGTTTCAGGATCCAATCCCAGGTCCCGTGTTCCATTTAGTTATTGTGCTTCCTGCTATCTGTGACATTTCTTTATTTTCTTATATGATACAGATTTTTTTTCTTCTTCGGGATGGAGTCTCACTCTGTTGCCCAGATTGGAGTGCAGTGGCGCGATCTTGACTCATTGCAACCTATGCCTCCTGGGTTCAAGCAATACTCCTGTCTCAGCCTCCTGAGTAGCTGAGATTACGGGTGTGTGCCACCACGGGCCCAGATTTTTGTATTTTTAGTAGAGACAGGGTTTCACCATGTTGGCCAGGCTGGTCTCGAACTCCTGACCTCAGGTGATCCGCCCGCCTTGGCCTCCCAAAGTGCTGGGATTACAGGTGTGAGCCACTGTGCCTGGTCAATATAGATACTTTTGATAAGCACTGTTCAGTTATTTTGTAGAATGTCTCTTAAGTTTGGGTTTGTGTGATGTTTTCTCTTGATTAGATTAGACATTCTGGGCAAGAATGCCACAGAGGTGATGATGTGTCCTTTTCTTTTTTTTTTTTTTGAGACAAAGTCTTGCTCTGTCACCAGGCTGGAGTGCAGTGGCCTGATTTTGGCTGACTGCAACCTCTGCCTCCCGGGTTCAAGCCATTCTGCTGCCTCAGCCTCCCGAGTAGCTGGGATTACAGGCACCCGCCACCACGCCCGGCTAATTTTTGTACTGTTAGTAGAGACAGGGTTTCACCATGTTGGCCAGGATGGTCTCGATCTCCTGACCTTGTGAACCACCCGCCTCAGCTTCCCAAAGTGCTGGGATTACAGGCGTGAGCCACCACGCCCAGTCGATGATGTGTCCTTTTCAGTTCATCATACTGGGGGACGGACATGATGTTCATATGTCCCCTTACTGGTAATGACTTGATCACTGGTTAAGGTGGTGCCTGCTGAGTTTCTGCAGTGTAAAGTTTCTATTGTTCCCATTGTGATTGATAAATAGCTTGAGGGAGATATTTGAGACTATGTCAGTGTCCTGTTTCTCCTTAAACTTTCACACCGATATTAGTATTCGTCAGTGGACCTTGATTACAATGATTATTACTGTGGTGTTTGCCTAATGAGGTTTTATATTCTGACATTCTTTCTTTTTTACTTCTGCCTCCCGGGTTCAAGCTATTCTCTTGCCTCAGCCTCCCGAGTAGCTGGGATTACAGGTGCCTGCCACCACACCTGGCTAATTTTGTATTTTTAGTAGGCAGGGTTTCACCACGTTGGCCAGCTTAGTCTCGAACTCCTGACCACAGGTGATCTGCCCACCTCAGCCTCGCAAAGTGTTGGGGTTACAGGTGTGAGTCACTGCACCTGGCCTATTCTGACATTTTTCTATAAGAGTTAGGGTCTTGCTCTGTTGCCCAGGCTGGAGTGCAGTAGCACAGTCAGAGCTCATTATAACCTTGAACTCTTGGGCTCAAGTGATTCTCCTGCCTCAGCTTCCTGAGTAGCTGGGACTACAGGCGTGTGCCACCATTCCCAGCTAAATTTTTTTTTTTTTTTGAGATGGAGTTTCTTGCTCTGTTGCCCAGGCTAAAGTGCAGTGGTGCAATCTCTGCTCACTGCAACCTCTGCCTACCAGGTTCAAGCGGTTCTCCTGCCTCAGTCTCCTGAGTAGCTGGGATTACAGGTGTATACCACCACGCCTGGCTAATTTTTGTATTTTTAGTAGAGACAGGGTTTCACCGTGTTGGCCAGGCTGGTCTCGAACTCCTGATGTCAAATGATCCACCTGTCTCTGCCTCCCAAAGTGCTGAGATTACAGGCATGAGCCACTGCCCCCGGCTTAATTTTTTAAACTACATTTATGAATTGGAATTTAGGAGACACTTCTAATGGTGTTTTTGGTTCTTTTATTAGCACCGGGTGCTCAGCAGTTCTGCTTCTTGCTTTCCACTCGAGCTGGGGGCCTTGGAATCAATCTGGCCACTGCTGACACAGTTATTATCTATGACTCTGACTGGAACCCCCATAATGACATTCAGGTGAGCAGAGGCAGCAGGCAGCCTTAATAAGTAACATGTTATGCTAGAAAGGCATAGTGGCCTCTATGAGGGCTCCACCATCTGGAATTAGGTTTTTAAGTGAGAAACAACAGATTCTTTTTGTGTTGTTTACCTTATTGTAAGCCAGAGTTTGGTTAGCTGTGATCCTATTTTGGGTAACATGATAATAGAGGGTGGTGTCTGGAGGCAGGGGTGCAAAAGGAAGTTTCCTATGAATGTAGGCTGTGGACCTTGCCTTGTACTGAATTTAGAATATTATGTGGAAGTCAGGATAAGAGTGGCACCAGGAAAATACAATTTCTGGCTTTATTTCCTGTTCAACTCCAGGCCTTTAGCAGAGCTCACCGGATTGGGCAAAATAAAAAGGTAATGATCTACCGGTTTGTGACCCGTGCGTCAGTGGAGGAGCGCATCACGCAGGTGGCAAAGAAGAAAATGATGCTGACGCATCTAGTGGTGCGGCCTGGGCTGGGCTCCAAGACTGGATCTATGTCCAAACAGGAGCTTGATGATATCCTCAAATTTGGCACTGAGGAACTATTCAAGGATGAAGCCACTGATGGAGGTGAGGTAGTCAGGAACTTACGTTTTGGTGTGGGGCTTGGCCTCTCTAAAGGTTAGGGAGAATCTTTGATACCAAGGGTCTTGTGGGACTTGCTTTTTCCACTGCAGCTGCTGAAACTGACTTTGGGGATGTGGGCCCTTGATTTTTTATAGGAGGAGACAACAAAGAGGGAGAAGATAGCAGTGTTATCCACTACGATGATAAGGCCATTGAACGGCTGCTAGACCGTAACCAGGATGAGACTGAAGACACAGAATTGCAGGGCATGAATGAATATTTGAGCTCATTCAAAGTGGCCCAGTATGTGGTACGGGAAGAAGAAATGGGGGTGAGTATGAATCCAAGGCAATCCTGTGCTTGGTAATTGGTCTGAAAATTGGCATTGAGACCAAGGTGGTATTTGAGACAAGTGGAAAATATCTGTAGGCAAATTCTTATGTTGATGAATTGATCCTCTTCCTTTGAAAACAAAGCTGATAACATGACTAATCAGATTTTCATCTTTGCCTTGGTTGTCAGAAAACTTACAACCAAATATCATGCTCACAACAGTTATTTTGGCTCTTTACCAGAATGTCATTTTCTCCTATGTGTTTTATTAAACCTTACAAATGAAATTTTGAATGCTACCTCATCTCTCTAGAGAAAAGGCAGAAGATCCTAGGTAATCTATCTCTTTGTGTTTTCTGGTTTTTATTTAAGAGACAGGGTCTCTACCAGGTGCAGTGGCTCACATCTGTAATCCCAGCACTTTGGGAGGCCGAGGCAGGCAGATCACTTGAGGCCAGGAGTTTGAGACCAGCCCGGCCAACACGGTGAAACCCCGTTTCTACTAAAAATAAAAAAATTAGCCAGGCACGATGAAGCACACCTGTAGTCCCAGGTGTTCGGGAGGCTGAGGCAGGAGAATTGCTTGAACCCAGGAGGCGGAGGTTGCAATGAGCTGAGATTGCGCCACTGCATTCCAGCCTGATGACAGAGCCAGACTGTGTTTGAAAAAAAAAAACAACAAAAAAAGAGACAGGGTCTTGCTCTGTCACCCAGGCTAGAGTGCAGTGGCACAATCATAGCTGAGTGCAACCTTAAACTCTTGGGCTGAAGAGTGACCCTAGTAGATGTGTGCTACCACACCTGGTTAATTTTTTAAATGTTTTTAGAGATGTCTTGCTATGTTGCCCAGGATGGTCTTGAACTCCTGGCCTTAAGCAGTTCTCCTGCCTTGACCTCCCAAAGTGCTGGAATTACAGGTGTTAGCCACCACACCAGGCCTCCTTGTGTATGTATGTATGTATGTATTTATTTATTTATTTTGAGATGGAATCTCACTCTCTCCCCCAGGCTGGAGTGCAGTGGTGCGATCTTGGCTCACTGCAAGCTCTGCCTCCCGGGTTCATGCCATTCTTCTGCCTCAGCCTCCCGAGTAGCTGGGGACTACAGGTGCCTGCCTCCACACCCAGCTAATTTTTTTTGTATTTTTAGTAGAGATGGGGTTTCACTGTGTTAGCCAGGATGGTCTCGATCTCCTGACCTTGTGATCCACCCACCTCTGCCTCCCAAAGTGCTGGGATTACAGGCGTGAGCCACTGCCCCTGGCCTTATATATTTTTTTTTTGATACGGAGTCTTGCTCTGTTGCCCAGGCTGGAGTTCAGTGGTGCGATCACAGCCTACTGCAACCTCCACTTCCTGGGTTCAAGCAATTCTCCTGCCTCAGCCTCCCAAGTAGCTGAGATTACAGGTATGCACCACCATGCCCGGCTAATTTTTTTATAGTTTTAGTAGAAACGGGGTTTCACCATGTTGGCCAGGATACTCTAGAACTCCTGACCTCAAGTGATCCGCCTGCCTCGGCCTCCCAAAGTGGTGGGATTACAGGCATGAGCCATTACGCCTGGCCTCTTTGTGTGTGTGTTTTTTTTTTTTTGAGACAGAGTCTTGCTTTCCCGCCCAGGCTGGAGTGCAGTGGCATGATCTCGGCTCACTGCAACCTCCGCCTCCCGGGTTCAAGCAGTTCTCTTGCCTCAGCCTCCCGAATAGCTGGGACTACAGGCACGTGCCACCACACCCAGCTAATTTTTTGTATTTTTAGTAGAGATGGGGTTTCACCATGTTTTTTTAAAGATTAGAATTGGGCCAGACGTGGTGGCTCACGCCTGTAATCCCAGCACTTTGGGAGGCCAAGGCGGGTGGATCACGAGGTCAAGAGATCGAGCCCATCCTGGCTAACACGATGAAACCCCGTCTCTACTAAAAATACAAAAATTAGCTGGGCGTGGTGGCGGGCGCCTGTAGTCCCAGCTATTCGGGAGGCTGAGGCAGAGAATCACTTGTACCTGGGAGGCAGAGCTTGCAGTGAGCCAAGATTGCCCCACTGCACTCCAGCCTGGGGGACAGAGCCAGACTCCGTCTCAAAAAGATTAGAATCGGTATATACCTTTTTATTCTCCTCCCTTCTTTTTCTTGGTCTTTTATAGTAAAAAAAATAGTATGTGAGGAATGTGTGTGTGGCTTGTTTTAATGTTTTTCTCTCCTAAATGATATAGAGGGGTATGAAATGGAAAAATAAAATTTCCTTTTTCTTGTCC
The DNA here is from genome assembly GCF_000001405.40 of Homo sapiens. Lineage (NCBI taxonomy): Eukaryota > Metazoa > Chordata > Mammalia > Primates > Hominidae > Homo > Homo sapiens. The sequence goes on along the minus strand of NC_000012.12, from coordinate 6,585,127 downwards.
TCTGTAAACCACTCAGCTCCGGGTTCTTTCAGTTGGCATTGGTTCTGGTGGTCTTTGTCATCTTTTCTCATTCTTCCACCTCAGAACCATCCCCCTTGCTGTGTTTCCCTGATGCTTACCTGTGATTTTGTTCTCGAAGGTAATGCGTCCAACCTCAGTTTATATGTAAGTGTGGCTGAATGGTCTGACATAGGTCTGTGTACCGTAGTGTTCAATCAGAAACGACCCTATTGATAGAATGCTCACATTCCTTTCAGTGGCAGTGAATGTAATAGAAGTGATTGATGGGAGAGCACATGCTAAGTGGATCATCCTTGCTGGTGACTACATAAGTATACAAATTGTTCTTTGATTAGTGACTATAGCTGCTGTTGACTTCTTTTAAAATATTTTTAAGTTTTATTTTTAATAGATAGAATTTACATAGTTCAAAATACACAAAAGGGCCAGACACGGTGGCTCATGCCTAGAATCCCAGTACTTTGGGAGGCTGAGGCAGGAGGGTCGTTTGAGCCCAGGAGTTGGAGACCAACTTGGGCAACATGGTAAAATTCCGTCTCTAAATAATAAAAACATTAGCCGAGTGTGGTTGCTCACGCTTGTGGTCCCAGCTGCGTGGGAGGATTGCTTAAACTTGGCAGTCGAGGCTGCAGTGAGCCGTAATGACGCCACTCTACTCCAGCCTGGGCAACACAGCTAGACCCTCTCTCAAAAAAATATATATATATTTATATGTACACACACGTATCTCTTTTCTCTCCTGTCCTCTAACAATTTAGTTCCCTTCTTGGGGACAACTAATGTTTTCAGTTCCTTTTATATCTTTCCAAAAATATTTTATGTGTATACAAATTATACATATATTCATACACATATATGTACACTCACATATATGTACCCAAAGACTTTTTTTTCCTTGTAAACATAAAAGTAATACCAATGCAATGTAAATGCTACATTGGTTAGGGAATAATGACAAGAAAAAAGTCTGTAAATGTTGAGTACAGACATAATTTTGTTTTTTCTCTGAATATTTTCCATCTATGGTTGTTTGAATCCACAGGTGCGGAACCCGTGGATACAGAGGGCCGATTGTAATTTATTTAATTAGTTCCATAATGATGGGCTTTTAGGTTGTTTCTAATGTTATGCTATTAGCAGCTGTTTAATTCCAATATAAGGGATGTGGAATCAGTGAGTGGTCCTCAAGTGTCTGAAAAAAATTCACTTTTAGAGGAGTATCAACGTTTTTGGGACATAAGAGGCTATATAGAATTCTTTTCGTTCTGCAGACAGTTGGTAAGCTTTTATGAAGTTTATGAAGAATAGAAAGGCTTATAGTCATCCTCTCCTTCCTTCTCTCTTATGAAAATCTTTTACAGTACTTCAGAAGTTTCTCCATTCTGCCTTGCTAAGGCTCTGACCTCTTTTCTTTTTGCTATCTTTCAATTGTATATGCATCAGTGCAAGGGGTTAGAAGAAAGCATTCTGTCTCTTCATCCTTACCTGTGATAATAGCTCTATCCCATGTTTTTCTTGAGTTATGCTGACTGCTAATCTATATGTAATTATGAGGAGCTGTGTACTCTCAATCAAATTTCTTCTAAGTTCTTAGGTCCAAACAGGCACACCAAGTATTTAAGAGTCCAGTCATGAAAAGGAGCTAGCAGAGTGGGAACTGTGAGGACCAGGGGTAGCTGGTGGTGCTGACTTCAGCACTCCTGAGTCCTGGCCCTCCCTCTGTCCCAGGAGGAAGAGGAGGTAGAACGGGAAATCATTAAACAGGAAGAAAGTGTGGATCCTGACTACTGGGAGAAATTGCTGCGGCACCATTATGAGCAGCAGCAAGAAGATCTAGCCCGAAATCTGGGCAAAGGAAAAAGAATCCGTAAACAGGTCAACTACAATGATGGCTCCCAGGAGGACCGAGGTGTGTGTGGCCGGCCCCGCCCCCCACCCATGGGCCGTTCCACTAGAGCAGTGGGCCCCGCTCATCTGCCCTCTCTCCCTCCAGATTGGCAGGACGACCAGTCCGACAACCAGTCCGATTACTCAGTGGCTTCAGAGGAAGGTGATGAAGACTTTGATGAACGTTCAGAAGGTGAGGGCTGTGCTTTTTTTGTTGCTTTTCTAAATGTTGCTTTGTTTAATATCCTACCTGTGTCACTCATTCATCTTTTTCTTCTTGCAGCTCCCCGTAGGCCCAGTCGTAAGGGCCTGCGGAATGATAAAGATAAGCCATTGCCTCCTCTGTTGGCCCGTGTTGGTGGGAATATTGAAGTAAGTGCCATACGATTCTAAGGAGGGGTGAGTGTCAGATATTGCATCTTTGGTGGAATGCGACCTGCTGCCTCTCACCTGGGTTTCTTCTTCCCCTAGGTACTTGGTTTTAATGCTCGTCAGCGAAAAGCCTTTCTTAATGCAATTATGCGATATGGTATGCCACCTCAGGATGCTTTTACTACCCAGTGGCTTGTAAGAGACCTGCGAGGCAAATCAGAGAAAGAGTTCAAGTGAGTTGAGGGCTGGAGTGGACTGATCTAGAGCAAGGGCTTCTGCTATCTATCTGGTCATTCCATGGTTCTAGGCCTAGCCGTGCAGGGAAGTGGGCTATTTTCTCTGTTGAAGTTGGCAGGTGAAGCTGTTAGTAATGTGTTCCTAGCTTCCCTGGAAGAGAACCTGGGTCTTCTTGTGGGGTCTAGAGATCAGCCTTCCCGTGCAGTGGTGGGCTTTACCTCAAGGTGGAGCCATAGTTATTGCCTGTGATAATGCCTCACGAAGGGATGGAAAAGAATCTAAGAGTCAGCATGATCCCTATTTAACTCTTTCTCTACTTCTTTACACAGGGCATATGTCTCTCTTTTCATGCGGCATTTATGTGAGCCGGGGGCAGATGGGGCTGAGACCTTTGCTGATGGTGTCCCCCGAGAAGGCCTGTCTCGCCAGCATGTCCTTACTAGAATTGGTGTTATGTCTTTGATTCGCAAGAAGGTGAGCCCTGAGCCTCTTGCCATTGTTTCTAGGGGGCCAGGCGCAGTGGCTCACACCTGTAATCCCAGCACTTTGGGAGGCTGAGGCGGGTGGATCACTTGAGGTCAGGAGTTAGAGACTAGCCTGGTCAACATGGCGAAACCCCATCTCTACTAAAAATACAAAAATTAGCTGCACGTGGTGGCGGGCACCTGTATTCCCAGCTACTCAGAAGGCTGAGGCAGGAGAATTGCTTGAACCCGGGAGGCGGAGACTGGAAGGCCAATAGGAAAGGAGCCTGTAGCTGGAATTGGGTCTTCAACTTCTTGTCCCATTGCTACAGGTTCAGGAGTTTGAACATGTTAATGGGCGCTGGAGCATGCCTGAACTGGCTGAGGTGGAGGAAAACAAGAAGATGTCCCAGCCAGGGTCACCCTCCCCAAAAACTCCTACACCCTCCACTCCAGGGGACACGCAGCCCAACACTCCTGCACCTGTCCCACCTGCTGGTAAGTCTGCCTGTCCTATCATTTTCTGTCCCTCTCTTTTTGTCCTGGCCTATTTTTCTGCTCCCCTGTGCTCAGTTCTAACAGGGTAGTCTGGCAGGACACACAGCAATTCCCTCTCAGTTTAGGAGGGCCGTCCTAAGAATAGGGCTGGCTCTTAAAGGCACGAGAGGACAATTTAAGATGAGACAAACTGGGAAGAAATGACCTTCTCTCTGATCTAGTACCTTCTTCCTAATTGATTGTCTTTTATTGTTCTGCAGAAGATGGGATAAAAATAGAGGAAAATAGCCTCAAAGAAGAAGAGAGCATAGAAGGAGAAAAGGAGGTTAAATCTACAGCCCCTGAGACTGCCATTGAGGTAAGAGATGGGGTGACTGAATGCCATACTAAAGACAAATGTGTAAGTCCAGTCTTCCTTTTAGTTGCTGGCCTGTCTGCTTCATCTGTTTTGTTTTTGTTTTTTTTTCCTTTGAAGTGTACACAGGCCCCTGCCCCTGCCTCAGAGGATGAAAAGGTCGTTGTTGAACCCCCTGAGGGAGAGGAGAAAGTGGAAAAGGCAGAGGTGAAGGAGAGAACAGAGGAACCTATGGAGACAGAGCCCAAAGGTAAAGGTATCCACATTTTTTTTGTTTGTTTGTTTGTTTTGAGACAGTGTAGTGCTGCCGCCAGGCTGGAGTGCTGTGGCGCGATCTTGGCTTACTGCAACCTCCACCTCCCAGGTTCGAGCGATTCTCCTGCCTCACCCTCCCGAGGAGCTGGGATTACAGACAGACGCCATCATGCCCAGCTAATTTTTGTATTTTTAGTAGAGACAGGGTTTCACCATGTTGGCCAGGCTGGTCTAAATCTCCTGACCTCATGATCCACCTGCTTTTGCCTCCCAGATTGCTGGGATTACAGGCATGAGCCACTGTGCCTGGCTTTTTTTTTTTTTTTTTTTTTTTCAAAGGAGTTTTACTCGTTGCCCAGGCTGGAGTGCAATGGTGCGATCTCGGCTTACTGCAACCTCCGCCTCCTGAGTTCAAGCGATTCTCCTGCCTCAGCCTCCTGAGTAGCTGGGATTACAGGCATGTACCACCATGCTCAGCTAATTTTGTATTTTTTAGTAGAGAGGGGGTTTCTCCATATTGGTCAGGCCAGTCTCCAACTCCTAACCTCAGGTGATCCACCTGCCTTGGCCTCTCAAGGTGCTGGGATTACAGGCGTGAGCTACCATGCCTGGCCGGTATCCATATTAAGCACTACAGATCCCTGTGTGAACCATGGTCACTCGTGAATTTTTGCTGGGGCTGTAGAGATATCAGGAGGAAGCGACACACTGAAGAATCCTGCACCCTTGATTTTAGGTGGCAGGTTTTCCCCTAACTTAAGGTATCTCTTATGACTTTATTTGTTGTTGTTGTTGTTGTTGTTGTTGTTTTCGAGATGGAGTCTCACTCTGTCACCCAGGCAGGAGTGCAGTGGCACGATCTCTGCTCACTGCAACTCCCGCCTCCTGGGTTCAAGCGATTCTCCTGCCTCAGCCTCTGAGTAGCTGGGATTGCAGGCGTGCCACAACCATGCCCACGTAATTTTTTTTTTTTTTTTTTTTTTGAGACGGAGTCTCGCTTTGTCGCCCAGGCTTGAGTGCAGTGGCGCCATCTCGGCTCACTGCAAACTCCGCCTCCCGGGTTCACACCATTCTCCTGCCTCAGCCTCCTGAGTAGCTGGGACTACAGGCGCCTGCCACCATGCCCGGCTAATTTTTTGTATTTTTAGTAGAGACGGGGTTTCACCGTGTTAGCTAGGATGGTCTCCACCTCCTGACCTCGTGATCCGCCCGCTTTGGCCTCCCAAAGTGCGGGGATTACAGGCGTGAGCCACCACGCCTGGCCAAAATTTTTTTTTTTTTTTTTTTTGAGACGGAGTCTTACTCTGTCACCCAGGCTGGAGTGCAGTGGCACGATCTTGGCTCACTGCAACCTCCGCCTCCTGGGTTCAAGTGATTCTCCTGCCTCAGTCTGCTGAGTAGCCACCATGCCTGGCTAATTGTTTTTTTTGTTGTTGTTTTTTTTTTTTTTGAGATGGAGTCTTGCTCCGTCGCCCAGGCTGATGTGCAGTGCAGTGGTGTGATCTTGGCTCACTGCAACCTCCACCTCCTGGGTTCAAACAATTCTCCTGCCTCAGCCTCCTGAGTAGCTGGGATTACAGGCATGCGCCACCACGCCCGGCTAATTTTTGTATTTTAGTAGAGATGGGGTTTCACCATGTTGGCCAGGCTGGTCATGAACTCCTGACCTCAAGAGATCCACCCATCTCGGCCTCCCATAGTGCTGGGATTACAGGTGTGAGCCACCACGCCTGGCTAATTTTTGTACTTTTAGTAGAGACAGGGTTTCACCATGTTGGCCAGGCTGGTTTCTAACTCCTCACCTCAGGTGATCCACCCACCTTGGCCTCCCCAAGTGCTGGGATTACAGGCATGAGCCACCGCACCCAGCTAATTTTTGTATTTTTAATAGAGATTGGGGTTCACCTTGTTGGCCAGGCTGGTCTTGAACTCCTGACCTCAAGTGATCTGCCTGCTGCTGTCTCCCAAGATGCTGGGATTACAGGCATGAGCCACCATGCCCAGCTGACATTACTGTAATTGCAGACATTTAGATGTGGGTCTATCCAATTGGATAATAGTGTGCAACAGAGGAGAATGTTCTTCCTTTAGGTATAGTCTCAATAACATTTCTTCCCCTAGGTGCTGCTGATGTAGAGAAGGTGGAGGAAAAGTCAGCAATAGATCTGACCCCTATTGTGGTAGAAGACAAAGGTGGGTGTTTGGAGAAGTTGATTGTGGTTCAGAAGAACTCTAAAACCAGAAGCAAGGACTGTATCTGCCCTGCCTCCCTGTCCATACTCATCTAGCCATTTTATCCCAAGATAAAAGACTGTACCTGTCCCCACATTTAGTTGTCAGTGGGCCAATGGCACCATTTTCTGGGTCTGAGAGACACCCAGGTGGAGAAGGGGTGTAGGTGGATGGATTCTTGTAGCATACAGTGTTCTGGGTAAGGGCGATGGTGCTGGGCTTTGGCTGGAGCTGACATTTTTCTTCCCCATATTCTGTAGAAGAGAAGAAAGAAGAAGAAGAGAAAAAAGAGGTGATGCTTCAGAATGGAGAGACCCCCAAGGACCTGAATGATGAGAAACAGAAGAAAAATATTAAACAACGTTTCATGTTTAACATTGCAGATGGTGGTTTTACTGGTATGGAAATGAGGGGCCCACCAGGGTTAGAAGGATCTGATGTGAAATTGGGGTTCTTGTCAGAAACCACGGTACAGGGACTTTACCTCTTTACCTCTGTTTGATGAGGGAATGCCAAACTGATAGTGGGTTCTGTGGAGAAAGCCAGAAGCAAATTATATGAAATGGATCCAGGGGTAGGGGATGGTGGGGGACAAGAATAAGTAGCTTTTTCAATTCTCACAGATGTTTGCTTCCCCCCACCCCCAACCTTCCCTAAATTCCTCCTCAGAGTTGCACTCCCTTTGGCAGAATGAAGAGCGGGCAGCCACAGTTACCAAGAAGACTTATGAGATCTGGCATCGACGGCATGACTACTGGCTGCTAGCCGGCATTATAAAGTATCCTTTGCCTGAATCTGTACTGAGGCTTTTGGTGAAAGGTTCTGAAGGTCTTTTAGTTTGAGGTTCTTACTTTCCTTGTTTTGTTTTTCCTGAGCACTTTTCCAATAGCCATGGCTATGCCCGGTGGCAAGACATCCAGAATGACCCACGCTATGCCATCCTCAATGAGCCTTTCAAGGGTGAAATGAACCGTGGCAATTTCTTAGAGATCAAGAATAAATTTCTAGCTCGAAGGTTTAAGGTGAGCGGTTGGGGAGGAATATATTGCTTAAGTGACAAACTTGAAAGTGCGTAACGTCCTGCAGCAGAGGGAGTCTGTCCATCCAGCGCACTGTTCTCACTTTCTTCATTCTATGGAAGGCTTTGCTCCCAAGTAACTTACACATTAGGGTTGAAGACACACAGAATTGAAAGTTAACTAACTGTACATGAGCTGTAGGTGACTATGTGTCCAATCAGTGACACACTAGTGCAGAGGGGTTTGTTTGGGGAACACTGCAGATTGGAGTATTCAGGAAAGATATAGAGGTGGGATTGAATTGCATCTCTGAAGATGTAGAGCTATTAGTCAGTGGGCTGCTGGTTGTTTTTTTTTTTTTTTTTTTTTTGAGGCAGAATCTCTGTCGCCCAGGCTGGAATGCAGTGATGCAGCCTCTGCTCACTACAACCTCTGTGTCCTGGGTTTAAGTGATTCTCCCGCCTCAGCCTCCTGAGTAGCTGAGATTACAGGCGCCTGCCACCACACCCAGCTGTTTTTTTTGGATTTTTAGTAGAGATGGGGTTTCACCATGTTGGCTAGGCTGGTCTCAAACTCCTGACCTCGAAGTGATCCACCTGCCTTGGCCACCCAGATTGCTGGGATTATAGGCATGAGCCACCATGCCTGGCCTGGTTCTTTTTTCTGGGCTAAAAAGTGCCTGTGTGGGCCAGGTGCGGTGGCTCACGCCTGTAATCCCAGCACTTTGGGAGGCTGATGCAGGAGAATCGCTTGAAGTCGGGAGGTAGAGATTTCAGTGAGCTGAGATCGTGCTACGGCACTCCAGCCTGTGCAACAGAGTGAGACTCTGTCTCAAAAAAAAAAAAAGACGTGTCTGTTGTCTCGTACGCTGAGTATAATCGGGGAAGAAATGGTACACTAATAAGCCTTCAGGTATTATGTACTAAGCAATGATGTGCCCAGGGATAAAAAGACAAAGCATGGTATCTGTTTTCAAGGAGCTTTCAGTTTCAAGTAGGAGCACATGTGTAATCAAATGAATGCCATTCTGCATATCAGGAGAGAGATTGCTGATTGGCATAAGAAAGTTCTCCAGAATCGCTTGAACCCGGGAGGCGGAGGTTGCAGTGAGCCGAGATCGCACCACTGCACTCCAGTCTGGCGACAGAGCGAGACTCACCTCAAAAAAGACAAGAAAAGAAAGTTCTCAGAGAGGCAGACACAGTGGCTAATCTCAGCATTTAAAAGAGCTGATTGCTTGAGTCCAGGAGTTCAAGACTAGCTCGGGCAACATGGCAAAACCCCATGTCTACAAAAAATACAAAAATTAGCCAGTTCTGGTGGCGTGCACCTGTAGTTCCAGCTACTTAGGAGGCTGCAATGAGCCTAGATTGTGCCATTGCACTCCAGCCTAGGCATTGGAGTGAGACCCTGTTTTGTTTTGTTTTTTCCTGAGACAGTGTCTTGATGTGTTGCCAGGCTGGAGTGCAGTGGCAAGATCTCTGCTCACTGCAACCTCTGCCTCCCGGGTTCAAGCGATTTTCCTGCCTCAGCCTCCCGAGTAGCTGGGACAACAGGCGTGTGCCACCACGCCCAGCTAATTTTTGTATTTTTAGTAGAGACAGGGTTTCAGCATGTTGGCCAGGATGGTCTCGATCTCTTGACCTCATGTTCTGCCCGCCTCGGACTCCCAAAGTGCTGAGATAACAGGCGTGAGCCACTGTGCCCATCCAAGACCCTGTCTTAAAAAAAAAAAAAAGTTCTCGAGAGGGAATTGGAGTAGGGACGGAACTCACAAATGGCTTTATGGAGAAGATGGCATTGGAATGAAGTTTTGAAGAATGCGACGGAGATTTTTTTGGTAGAAACAGAAGGGTATCTGAACAAAGGGATTAGGTTGGGCAAAGATGTGAGCCAGCAAAGCTTAGTATGTCTGGAAATAGCAGATAGCCCAGTTGAGCTGTAGGGAAACATTTGTGTTGGGTGATGGTGGGAGGTAGGTTGGAACGAGAAAGGTGGACGGGCTAGAGGTCAGTAGGTGGGTTCTTGGCACCAGATAAGAGAGTTTGGACTTTACGCTATCGTTAATGGGCAGCCACTGAAAGTTTGTGAGCAGAGTTTTGATAGGACCAAGGGAAATGGAAACAGCATTCATAAGATTATAAAACTGTCATATAATCATGAGGTGTTAAGGGTCTGGGCTGTGATGCTGGTTGTGGAAAATGAAAAGGGTAAAGATAAAGGAAACAACACCAAAGAATTTATTGGACTTAGTGACTTACTGTAGGGGTCAGCAAACCTTTTTTTCTCCCCCCAAACCAAAAACGGTTAATAAAACCCTTTTTTTTTTTTTTTTTTTGAGACAAAGTCTTACTCAGTTGCCCAGGCTGGAGTGCAGTGGCGACATTTCCTGGCTCACTGCACCCTCTGCCTCCTGGCTTCAACCGATTCTCCTGCCTCAGCCTCCTAAGTAGGTGGGATTACAGGCATGTACCACCATGCCTGACTAATTTTTGTATTTTTAGTAGAGATGGGGTTTTGCCATATTGGCCAGGCTGGTCTCAAATTCTGGACCTCAGGTGATCTGCCCGCCTTGTCCTCCCAAAGTGCTGGGATTACAAGTGTGAGCCACTGCACCCAACCACACCTTTTCTATTAAAGGGCCAGATAGTCCCTTTGTGGGACATGTAGTCTCTGTTGCATATACTCAACTCCATCTTTGTTGTGTGAAAGCAGCCACAGGGGATACATAAATGAATAAGTTAGGATGTGTTTCAGCGTTTCATCTATGGATATTACAATTTGAATTTTGTATAATTCTCATGAAGTGGCATGAAATAGTCTTGTTTTGACTTTTTGCCAACCATTTTAAAATGTAAAACCCATTCTTAGCTCTTGAGCCATATAAAAACAGGTGGTGGGGCAGATCTGGCCCACAGGCTGTAGCTTGCCAACTCCTGACTTACTGGATTTGAGGTACAGAATGAGTGAGACTGAAAATAACATTTTGAGCCTGAGTCACTGAGAAAGTTAAATTGTCATTTAAGAAGAGAGGGAGCAGTTTGTAGAAAAGAATGATATCGAATTTTAGACAAGTCTTTTGGTATTTCTCACAAATCAGCACCCCTCCCACTACCGACCCCCATCACCATACACTAGTGGGATCAGAACCAGTGCTGAAGGTACATGTTTGAGAAGCATCAAATCATCTGCATAGAACTGCTGGCTGACACTAGGAGAGGAGAAGGGTATGAGAAATCTTCTCTTATGTTGAGTCATATGTTTTATGAATATATTTTTTAAGTAATTAAAATCTTTTCATAAATTAAGAACCAACATTCTGCCTCTTGGGATATATTTCAAAGAATCTTTAATACAGCTCCATCAGATGACATGTGCATGAGTGTTTTTGCAGTATGATTTTTGGTGGTGGGGGCCTAGAGGCAACATAAATGTTCAGCATTAGGAGAATGCATAGGTGAAACATGTATTCATATCATGGGGCATTAAACAACAGAAGCAACAAAATTCATGTGCATACAACATAAGAGTACCTTTTAAAAGGTATGTAGTGGGAGAAGAAAAAGCATTTTATAGATACAGAAAACATCATTCTGTAACTTAGAAACATACATAGGAAACAGAAACAGTTTTTAAAAACCTACACAAAAAGCCACAGTATTACTACATTAGAAAAGTTGCTTTTCAGAGGAATGGGAGTGAGATGGCGATAAGAGGAAATAAAAAACAAAAATATTTTTAAATAGCAAAATAACCCCTTTTTTTTTGAGACAGTTTCCCTCTGTCACTCAGGCTGGAGTGTAGTGGCGCGATCCTGGCTCACTGCAACCTTTGCCTCCCGGGTTCAAGCATTCTTCTGCCTCAACCTCTTGAGTAGCTGCAGTTACAGGTGCGCACTACCATACCTGGCTAATTTTTGTGTTTTTAGTAGAGACGGGGTTTTGTCATGTTGGCCAGGCTGGTCTTGAACTCCTGACCTCAAGTAATCTGCCCGCCTCAGCCTCCCAAAGTGCTGGGATTACAGGTGTGAGCCACCGTGCCCAGCCAAAACATGTTTTTGAAGAGTAGTTGATAAAGAGTAGATGATAAAAAGGAAGATGCTTAACTGTGTAACTAAATGAAAACATAATATGGGTATGTATATAGTATGATCTCAGTTATGTAAAAAACTATGCACAAAAAAACCTAAAAAGAAAAATATCAGGATGTATTTCTAGAAGGTGGGATTATCTGTTGTTAAAAATTTTTGATATTCTATTTTCTAAATTGAGTTTTTATCGCTTTTGTATAAGAGAACCTAAAGGGTAAAGAGTTTTAAAAATGAGGACATTGAAAAAGGGAAAGAAAAAAGTTACAAGGCAAAGTTAAACTACTTGGGTGTGGGAATGAGCTGTCCATGAAGTTCTTCATAGGTTCTTATTACCATCTGAAACAATGAGAGGTGAGCTGAGAGGCCAGTCAGAAGTGAGTAAAGTGAGTTATCAGTCGAACTCCCGTTTCCTCTTATCCCTTGTCCAGCTCTTAGAACAAGCTCTGGTGATTGAGGAACAGCTGCGCCGGGCTGCTTACTTGAACATGTCAGAAGACCCTTCTCACCCTTCCATGGCCCTCAACACCCGCTTTGCTGAGGTGGAGTGTTTGGCGGAAAGTCATCAGCACCTGTCCAAGGAGTCAATGGCAGGAAACAAGCCAGCCAATGCAGTCCTGCACAAAGGTAGCCAGTGGCTCCCCTGCCTCCTGCCGATTCGGCCTCCCTGATCTGACTGCATCCTAATGTACATATATTTGTTTTCAAACTTTCAGAGCTCCTTTGTCTGGGAGTTTAGGAGGTGCTAGGGATCTTTGCCATCCTTGGGAGGTTAGTATCTTAGAGGCAATCAAGGACAGTAGTTCTTTGCCTTTTTTTTTTTTTAAAGAGATGGACTCCTGGCCGGGCGCGGTGGCTCACGCCTCTAATCCCAGCACTTTGGGAGGCCAAGGCAGGTGGATCACGAGGTCAGGAGTTCGAGACCAGCCTGGCCAACATGGTGAAACCCCGTCTCTACTAAAAATAGAAAAATTAGCTGGGCATGTGGCGCAACGCACGCTTATAATCCTAGCTACTCAGGAGGCTGAGGCAGGAGAATCGCTTGGAACCCGGGAGGCGGAGTTTGCAGTGAGCCAAGATTGTGCCATTGCACAGGCTATCAGCCTGGGCAACATAGTGAGACTCCAGAAAAAAAAGAGATGGGCTCTCACCATTTTGCCCAGGTGGGTCTTGAACTCCTGGATTCAAGTGATCCTCCGGCCTCAGCCTCCTGAGTAGCTGGGACTACAAATATGTGCCACTGTACCTGGCCACCTCTTTTTTTTTTTTTTTTCTGAGATAGAGTCTAGCTCTGTTGCCCAGGCTGGAGTGCAGTGGTGTGATCTTGGCCCACCACAACCTCTGCCTCCTGGGTTCAAGCAATTCTCCTGCCTCAGCCTCCCGAGTAGCTGGGACTACAGGCATGCGCCACCACTTGTGGCTAATTTTTGTATTTTTAGTAGAGATGGAGTTTCACCATGTTGGCAAGGCTGGTCTCAAACTGACTTCAAGTGATCCACCCGCCTCCGCCTCCCAAAGTGCTGGGATTATAGGTGTGAGCCACTGTGCTCCGCCCTGGCCACCTTTTTTTTTTGGAGGTGGAATTTTGCTCTTGTTGCCCAGGCTGGGGTGCAATGGCGTGATCTCGGCTCACTGCAACCTCCGCCTCCTGTGTTCAGGTGATTCTCCTGCCTCAGCCTCCTGAGTAGCTGGGACTACAGGCATGCCCGGCTAATTTTGGGTTTTTTTGTTTGTTTTTTGAGATGGAGTTTTGCTCTTGTTGCCCAGGCTGGAGAGCAATGGCGCGATCTCAGTTCACCACAATCTCCGCCTCCCGGGTTCAAGCGATTCTCCTGCCTCAGCTTCCCAAGTTGCTGGGATTACAGGCGCCTGCCACCATGCCCAGCTAATTTTTTGTATTTTTAGTAGAGATGGGGTTTCACCATGTTGGCCAGGCTGGTCTTGAACTCCTGATCTCAGGTGATCCACCGCCTCTGCCTCCCAAAGTGCTGGGATTATAGGCATGAGCCACTGCGCCCCAGCTAATTTTGTATTTTTAGTAGAGATGGGGTTTCTCCATGTTGGTTAGCCTAGTCTTGTACTCCCGACCTCAGGTGACCCGCCTGCCTTGGCCTCCCAAAGTGCTGGGATTACAGGTGTGAGCCACTGCACCCGGCCACCTCTTTTAACTTTAAACATATTCAGGTTCTTGAGATGGAAAGCAAAGCAGAATAATACAGTGTCATTTGCGATACTTTAGAGGTAACTTCAGGTGATAAAAGATCCCTTCAAATTCTAGACCCCTTTCAACATTTTGTTTCTAATTAAAGTAAAAGGTTATGAGGAGGCGGAGGGTGAAATAAGGAAAAGAATGCTGTTATAATGGAGGTGGGGAGACAGATTCTGAAGGTAGAGAAGAGAAAAAACGAATAAGCTCAAGAAGAGGAAATACAATAATAGTAAGGGATAGTGAAGGTTTAGGTGACTTTAAAAAGCACAAAATCATGGACAGTTGGAACTGGAATATGAGGAGTAGGAATTTGAACATGGTGGAGGTCAGGTCAGATGACAGAAGACAATACATCACAGTTACTTGGTCACTGAGAAGTGATGGGGGGCTGGTCCACTAGGGTAGAGGGAGCTCAGTCTGGGCCACCACAGCTCACCACCTCTTTTTCTCCCTATGCAGTTCTGAAACAGCTGGAAGAACTGCTGAGTGACATGAAAGCTGATGTGACTCGACTCCCAGCTACCATTGCCCGAATTCCCCCAGTTGCTGTGAGGTTACAGATGTCAGAGCGTAACATTCTCAGCCGCCTGGCAAACCGGGCACCCGAACCTACCCCACAGCAGGTAGGACCATTTTCTTCTTGACACCACCTCTTCCTGCAGAACCATTCTGGAGCTTGTAACTTTGCTGTATGTCCCTAGCTTTACATACTGGGTGGGTGGCCTATCAGTGAATTCCCTTGAGATTGGGTGGATTCCTATCATCTGGAATTCTGACTCCTCGGGTCTCCTTCTCTAGGTAGCCCAGCAGCAGTGAAGATGCAGACTGATACCACCTCCACCGCTGAGCAGTGACCTTCCTCACTTTCTCTTGTCCCAGCTTCTCCCCTGGGGGCCTGAGAGACCCTCACCTTCCTTCTGCCCATCTTCCATGTTGTAAAGGAACAGCCCCAGTGCACTGGGGGAGGGGAGGGAGTGAGGGGCAGTGGTGCCCTTCCTGCAGAAGAGACATGCAGCAGTAGCGCTGGCGCCATCTGCAGGAGCTGGCGGGCTGGCCTTCTGGACCCTGGCTTCTCCCCACTGTAACGCCTGTTACACACAAACTGTTGTGGGTTCCTGCCAGGCTTGAAGAAAATGATCTGAATTTTTTCCTCCTTTTGGTTTTATTTTGTTGGTTTATTTTGTGTTTTCTTTTCTCCTTTTTGGGGGGTATTCAGAGTGGGCTGGGCCCCTGGGCGAGACACAGCTACCTCTGTTGGCATCTTTTTAATACCAGGAACCCAGCGGCTCTAGCCACTGAGCGGCTAAATGAAATAAAGTGGAAAAAAAAAAAAAGGAAAAAACCAAAAGCATAAAAAACCACAGCAAATTTCTTGATGAAAATTGAAAATAAAAGTTTCCTTGTATTTTAGTGCTCTGGTTCAGTGTGGGTGTAGGTGCAGGTGGATGAGTGTGTGCGGCAGGAGCCTGGCACCTGTATAGTTGAAAATTAAGGGCTACGTGGTGTCCTGATACCCCACTGAGTAACTGGGTTCTGTGTGTGGGTGCAGTATGTGCCTTGCCAACGTTGACTTCCACCTGTGGAAAATGAGAGGCTGCAAAACTGCGGGCACCGCCGCTTAATGGCTCTGTGACCTTGAGCAAGTTGTTTAACTTTGGTGGGATGCAGATATCTCATGTATACCTCATACGGTTGTCAAGTTAAACCAGTGAAGTACATGGAACGGTTTTAACACCTAACCACTACCTTAATGTTAGTTTCTAGGAAGGCTGAGGGGGGTTTTCTTGCTAAGTTGTGCAAAATTGGGATGCAATTTGTGGAAGAACACAGCCTCAATCCCACACCCCCGGAGGCCCGACCTAACGTCCTCCAACCTTGAAACCCTTGTAGTTCACCCCTTCTCATGTCCCAGACCAGGTCAGCCTTGCAACCCGTTGTTTCCCAACTAATTGTAGACCCACCTGAAAGCGAGTTCCGGCGAAGAGGCCCCCTGCGAATGAGGTGCAGTGCAGCACCTTAATTGAGGGGCTGAGCAGGGGTCAGCATCAAGGAAGGTGCTGGGAGGGCGGGGCACGGTGGCTCACAGCCTGTAATCTCAGCACAAAGGTGGGGGCAGGAGGATCGCTTAAGCCCAGGAGTTCTAGACCAGCCCTGGCAATATAGTGAGACGCCACCCCCTACAACCCGTCTCTATAAAAAGATTTTTAAAAAAGGGGCAAAGAGGAGGAGGTAAGTGGCATGGAATTCCACGGTTTTTTTTGTTTGTTTGTTTTGAGATGGAGTCTCGCTTTGTTGCCAGGCTGGAGTACAGTGGCGCGATCTCAGCTCACTGCAACCTCCCCCTCCCGGGTTCAAGCGATTCTCCTGCCTCAGCCTCCCGAGTAGCTGGGACTACACGCGTGCGCCAGCCACCATGCCCAACTAATTTTTGTATTTTTAATAGAGACAAGGTTGGCCAAGATGGTCTCGGATTTCTTGACCTCGTGATCCGCCCGCCTCGACCTCCCAAAGTGCTGGGATTACAGGCGTGAGCCACCGAGCCCGGCTGGTTTTTTTGTTTTTTTTTTTTGAGGTGGAGTTTCGCTCTTGGTGAGGCTTAAGTGGCACGATCTCGGCTTACTGCAACCTCCGCCTCCCGGGCTCAAGCAATTCTGCCTCAGCCTCTCGAGTAGCTGGGATTATAGGCGCCCGCCACCACGCCCGGCTAATTTTGTATTTTTAGTAGAAGCAGGGTTTCACCATATTGGCCAGGCTGGTCTCGAACTCCTGACCTCAAGTGATCCACCCACCTCAGCCTCCCAAAGTGCTGGGATTACAGGCGTGAGCCACTGCGCCCAGCCTGGAATTCCGTGATCTTGACGCTGGACTAGGGCAGTGGATGCGAGGGAGAGGGCTCCAATGTCGGGCCCTGGTTCGAGGAGAAGGTGCGGCTTTCACCCAACAGAAACCGGCCGTGAGGCTAAAAGCCAACTCCATGAGGGAAGGTCGGTCAAGCTCAATGGTTTCGTCACATTGCTCCCTCCACCCGCCGCGGGTGTAAGCTGCGCGTCTCCTTCGAATTGCCCCCTACTCGCCGCCGCCGGCTCCGCTGGCGTTCCCAGGGCGAGCGTAAGTTCCGGGTGCGGCGGCCGACTAGGCGCAACAGGAAGAGGCGGGGCCGCGAGGCTAGCGCTACCCGTGCGCCTGCGTGGAACGATTCTGTGGCGAGTGCCGGCCGAAAGCTAGGTCCGGATTGCACGTGGAGGGCCGCCCGAAGGGCACTCTCGGACATTAACCCGCATTCTGGTGGGTCTAGAGGAAATTGGGGGACGAAGAGTGGCAGCACTGACCTGGTCTGGGACGTGGGGAGAAGGGTGCGCTACCTGGGTTTCAGGTGGGAGGGCGTTCGGTCGGGCCTCCAGGGGGATAGCGGGGGTGCTTGAGTCGCGGGTGCTGAGTCGGGAGTGCTGAGTGAGTTGCGGGTGCTGAGTTGAGGCTGTGCCCTTTCCCACTATAATACGCCAAGCGTGCGTTCTGCCGTTCCCTCCGACACGCGCGACGCCACCTTCTCCCATTTCTGCCTGCCACAGTACCATGGGGCGCAAGTTGGACCCTACGAAGGAGAAGCGGGGGCCAGGCCGAAAGGCCCGGAAGCAGAAGGGTGCCGAGACAGAACTCGTCAGATTCTTGCCTGCAGGTAAGGATTAGTTGTGGCCTCCTGATCCCTCAGCTTTTGCAGTATTCTGTATTATAACCTCTTCTCTTTTTTAGTTTCTGTTCATTTTATATTTAAGTGGAATCTTCTCTGTATGAGTTACTAGGAGGTATGAATGAAACAGCCGTTTAGATTGTAGGGAACTGTTTAGGTCGTAGAGATGTGAAGACACGGACACAACTATTATTCATGCAAGGGAAAAGTGTGATTTAAAACAATTGTGAGTTCAGAGGAAGGGGGAGCCCATGCAGAACTGTAAAAGTTTTTGTTAAGCTGGGTTTTGAAAAATGGGTAACATTGTAGCAAGAGGAAGTAGTGAAGGGGAGGGGTCAGTCACTGATTTGCCTTTTGGAAGGGGTGGAAATGGAAAAGCACGGATCTGGCTGCTTCATGCCGAGTAGTAGTATACTGTGTGGAAGACTGGTGGGAGGTAACACTGGACCGGGAGTTTGTGTTGGGCATTGGATAAAGGATGCAGTTTATTGAGATAGTAGGAAGTCCTGGGCACTGTATTAAACTTGTTGGTCATGTTATATCGCTTAATCATCTTAGAGTCCTGTGAGAGAGGCACTATTAAGGAAACACTTTGGGAGGCCGAGGCAGGTGGATCACCTGAGGTCCAGTGTTCGAGACCAGCCTGGCCAACATGGTGAAACCCTGTCTTTACTAAAAATACAACAATTAGCTGGGTGTGGTGATGGGAGGCTGAGGCAATAGAATCGCTTGAATCTGGGAGAAGGAGGTTGCAGTGAGTTGAGATCACGCCATTGCACTCCAGCCTGGAAGACAAGAGTGAAACTCCATTTCAAAAAAAAAAAAGAAACTTGTATACAGTTATTAAATAATAACAGGGCTGAGATTTAAATGGACTCCTTTTAATTAGTGTACTAATTCTCTTACCATGTTTATTTCCGTTCCCATTTATTTTTAATGTCCCCTGTAACTTGTTCTGCCTCGTTTTTCTTTTTTAAACAGTAAGTGACGAAAATTCCAAGAGGCTGTCTAGTCGTGCTCGAAAGAGGTAAGTGTGGGTGTCAAAACTTAAGTAGGTTAAATTGGTACTGCTCATCTTTGACCACAGAGTTAATTCTAGACTCTCACATTTCCCTATGGTGGAAATGGCAGAGCCTGGAAGTATCTTCCCATTTCTTCACTCCTTGAATCTCTTGTGTCTTTTCAGGGCAGCCAAGAGGAGATTGGGCTCTGTTGAAGCCCCTAAGACAAATAAGTCTCCTGAGGCCAAACCATTGCCTGGAAAGCTACCAAAAGGTCCGTGAAACTAAGAGCTGGATGCTACATGAGGAGTCCCTTTGGGTCCTGGGTAGGGAAGAACTCGCTAAACATTTCCGGAGTGAAAGGAACAGCCAAAGGACATTCTGAGGGGTAGAAAGTACAGGCTCCCAGGGTGTGGGGCCAGGGAATGTGTGGCTGCCATTAGTCCAGGACTCTTCAAACCCTTAGGGATCTCTGCAGGAGCTGTCCAGACAGCTGGTAAGAAGGGACCCCAGTCCCTATTTAATGCTCCTCGAGGCAAGAAGCGCCCAGCACCTGGCAGTGATGAGGAAGAGGAGGAGGAAGACTCTGAAGAAGATGGTATGGTGAACCACGGGGACCTCTGGGGCTCCGAGGACGATGCTGATACGGTAGATGACTATGGAGCTGACTCCAACTCTGAGGATGAGGAGGAAGGTGAAGCGGTGAGATTCATCTTTTTGGGCATTCATAGAAGGATCCTTGCTATTTAGTTTCTTTCCCAGATTCTTGAGACTGTTTCTTAGTGGCAAGGATAAGCCTGACTAGAGGAAAGGGGTTTTTGTGCTCCATCACTGTTTCCCTACTGCCTTATATCCTCCCAGTGCACTACAAGTTTGAAAGAGCTGTAGGATAGAGCATTTAAAAAAATCTAGAAGGCTGTCTTGGTGTAGGTATGGGAAGGTGGACAATGGTGTGCTCCACTGATGGGCACAGAAATGCACTTTTTATAAAGCAGTTATCTCAGAACTTTGAAAAATTTGTTCCTTTTGGCTGGGTATGGTGCCTCACATCTGTAATCCCAGCACTTTGGGAGGCTGAGGCAGGAGGATTGCTTGAGCCCAGGAATTGGAGACCAGCTTGGGCAACATAGGGAGATCCCGTATCTACAAAAAATTAAAAAATTGGCCTGGCACAGTGGCTCATGCCTATAATCCTAGCACTTTGGGAGGCCAAGGTGGGCGGATCACCTGAGCTCCGGAGTTCGAGACCAGCCTGGACAATATGGCGAAACCCCATCCCTACTAAAAATATGAAAATTAGCTGGTGTGGTGGTATATGCCTGTAATCCCAGCTACCTGGGAGGCTGAGGCAGGAAAATTGCTTGAACCTGTGAGGCGGAGATGGCAGTGAGCCGAGATCATGCCATTGCACTCCAGCCTGGGCAACAAAGTGAGACTCTGTCTCAAAAAAAAAAAAAGTTAAGTTAAAAAATGGTTTAAAAATTAGCTGGGTGTGGTGGCGTACGCCTGTAGTCCCAGCTTCTCAGGATGCTGAAGCGGGAAGATGACTGGAGCTTGGGAGGTTGAGGCTGCAGTGAGCTGTGATCTTACCACTGCACTCCAGCTTGGGTGACAGAGTGAGACTGTCTCAAAAAAAAAAAAAAAAAATAACTGCTTCCTTTTGACATAGTAATTCCCTATTAAGGAAGATGATCCAAAATGTCAGCAAATAGTTCTTTACTGAGGTGCAGGAAGTTATTATACAATTAGTGTGTGGATGTATTATTAGAATCGTATAGAATAAAAAGAGAAGGTCCCCATGTGCACCCCCTTCCTACATCCCCTTGTATCTACAGGGTCATTATTAGGTTTGCAGGCACCATGTGGATCATAATGCCAAAAACTCAGGAAACTTCCAAAATACACAATATGCTTAAGTAAGTTATGGTTCATGCATATGATGCAGTTACACTGGTCATTATGTCTATGAAAATGCCTGTGATGTAACTGAAGTCTAAAAAGCAAGAAACAAACTTGAAAATGGATTATGTGAAAAATACAGAGTAAGTAAAAAAAAAAAAAAAACGACAAAATGGGCCAGGCACGGTGGCTCACACCTGTAATCCCAGCACTTTGGGAGGCCGAGGTGGGCGGATCACCTGAGGTCAGGAGTTCAAAACCAGCTTGGCCATCATGGTGAAACCCCATCTCTGCTAAAAATACAAAAAATTAGCTGGGCATGGTGGTGCGCGCCTATAATCCCAGCTACTTGGGAGGCTGAGGCAGGAGAATCATTTGAACCTGGGAGGCGGAGGTTGCAGTGAGCCAAGACGCGCCATTGCACTCCAGCCTGGGGGACAAGAGCGAGACTTCTCTCAAAAAAAATATGGCAGAATGGTAGTCAAGGGCCATTTTTGTCCTTCTTTATACATCCAGGTATTTTTCAAGTTTTTTTTTTTTCTTAATGGAAAAGTGAAAAACATAATAGTAGAAAGAAAAATGTAATGAACCCTTTAATTTATTACTTAGGTTTTTTTTTTTTTTTTTTGAGATGAAGTCTTTCTCTGTTGCCCAGGCTGGAGTGCAGTGGCTCGGTCTTGGCTCACTGCAACCTCCACCTCCCGGGTTCAAGCAATTCTCCTGCCTCAGCTTCCCAAGTAGCTGGGATTTACAGGTGTGTGCCACCATGCCCTCATTACTTAGTTTCAACAGTGAGCAATGCTGCGCCCATCTTATTTTCATTTCTTTGCTCCTCTATTTCCTTCTGAGAGCAAGTGTTGGATTTTTATTTAGCGAAAAAATAAGATATAGAGATAGAACTGCTACAAGGGCTGATGGAAGGGCAGGCCTGTATTAATAGCCCTTGTCTCTCTTCAGTTGCTGCCCATTGAAAGAGCTGCTCGGAAGCAGAAGGCCCGGGAAGCTGCTGCTGGGTGAGTTTTGGAAGCTATTGGGATGGAGCATAGGAAGCCACTGGGGTGGGGAAGCTGTGAGGAAGGAGGAGGTATCTGTTTTGGTCTGTGAATCACTCTGTTCCTGGACCTGTTTCTAGGATCCAGTGGAGTGAAGAGGAGACCGAGGACGAGGAGGAAGAGAAAGAAGTGACCCCTGAGTCAGGCCCCCCAAAGGTGGAAGAGGCAGATGGGGGCCTGCAGATCAATGTGGATGAGGAACCATTTGTGCTGCCCCCTGCTGGGGAGATGGAGCAGGATATCCTTGCAGGGCAGAGTGAAGAGTTAGGAGGAAGGTGGTTGGGAGAGGGATTTCCAGGCCTTAGGACATCATGACACAGTTCCTTAACAGGCCCACATGCCCAGGCTCCAGACCTGCAACGAGTTCACAAGCGGATCCAGGATATTGTGGGAATTCTGCGTGATTTTGGGGCTCAGCGGGAGGAAGGGCGGTCTCGTTCTGAATACCTGAACCGGCTCAAGAAGGATCTGGCCATTTACTACTCCTATGGAGACTTCCTGCTTGGCAAGCTCATGGACCTCTTCCCTCTGTCTGAGGTACTGGATTGCCAGAATGCCTCTTTTGCTTTTCTTTTCTCGCCTCCTTACGCTGTGTAAGGAAGATGTTCGGCCCCCTTGCTCCCCTCTTCTGACTGAGCTCCTTAGCCAGCCTCACTTATTCCCTGCTGTCTTGCCCCGCAGCTGGTGGAGTTCTTAGAAGCTAATGAGGTGCCTCGGCCCGTCACCCTCCGGACCAATACCTTGAAAACCCGACGCCGAGACCTTGCACAGGTGAGGGGTGGCCTTTGAGGCTCACTCATCTCAGAAGGGAAGTGACTTCTGCCAACTCCAGAGATTCCTCTGTGCTACCCTGACTGGGTGGGGCCTTAGGACCTAAGCATGATCCTGGGGGGGCAAACCCAGAGGCCTGATGTCTCTGGCAGGATAGGATCTGGGGGCCTAGGACCTCTGTGGAATGGGAAGTTCATACTCTGCTCCCTGTGACTAGGATGATGAGACTTCAGGATGAGCGTGCTGCCCCCAAGGAAATTGGAGGGAGATCATTGAGGAGCTGGGGAAATATGATTCCTGACTGCACAAAAAAGACACATATGCACAGTCAATATTTTAAACTCATTTCCAAGGGTTCAGGGGCCCCAGGTTAAAGACCCCTGTTGTAAAGTCAGTTGTTGGGTTATATGTGTTGTATATTTCCTGGTGTGAAGAAAACCTAATAATGTAATGTGGTATAACCAATGTCATTAAATTTTTAGTATAGTGGAGGGGCTCAGCCTCTTAGAAAATCAGATGCCACTTCTAGGAAATAAAGTAACAGGAGGTGGCATCCTGCTCCATTGGGATGAAGTTCAGATCTTGAGTTAGGAGCCTGAGGTTAAGAAAAAAGGGCACCATAGGATGGAGTGGGAGAGAGAAACTGCTCAATGACTCCATGATGACTGTGTTTGGAGTAAGCACTATAGGAGTTGTGGGGTATGGGCCATGTTTTTATGAAGCATGTGTTTAATGTCTTCATCTGTCTTCTGGGTAGAGTAGCCTATGAGGTTATTAAAATCTTCATCCCTACCGGGCGCGGTGACTCAACGCCTGTAATCCCAGCACTTTGGGAGGCCGAGGCGGGCAGATCACCTGAGGTCAGGAGTTAGAGACCAGCCTGGCCAACATGGTGAAACCCCATCCTATGAAAAATACAAAAATTAGCCAGGCATGGTGGTACATGCCCGTTGTCCCAGCTACTCAGGAGGCTGAGGCACGAGAGAATCGCTTGAATCTGGGAGGTGGAGGTTGCTGTGAGCCGAGATTGCGCCACCTCACTCTAGCCTGGGCAACAGAGTGAGACTCCATCTCAAAAAAAAAAAAAAAAAATCTTCATCCCTTTTCAGGCTCTAATCAATCGTGGGGTTAACCTGGATCCCCTGGGCAAGTGGTCAAAGACTGGACTAGTGGTGTATGATTCTTCTGTGCCCATTGGTAAGTCTCCCCCACCCAAGAGCCCTTCTACCTCTGTCCCTGTCCCTACCGCATGTCACAGGGTGGTCCTTCTCCACAGGTGCTACCCCCGAGTACCTGGCTGGGCACTACATGCTGCAGGGAGCCTCCAGCATGTTGCCCGTCATGGCCTTGGCACCCCAGGAACATGAGCGGATCCTGGACATGTGTTGTGCCCCTGGAGGAAAGACCAGCTACATGGGTATGAGAGGGGCAGGCAGGTGGGATTCATCGGGCTGTCTTGCTTTTGAAAGTAGATGGGGTTGCTGGGGTTGCTGACTCACTAGTGCTCATGGAACACAATGTGCAGGTAGCTAGCAGGGTGGTGAGGACCAGTTTCTGGAGTCGGCCTGGGTTCCAGTGTGCCACTTACTACCCATCTGACTATGGATTCTCTTTTGTCATCCATAAAATGGGATGGTAATTGTGCTTGGGTTGGCCCTTGTATTACGCTTGGATTGTGAGGGTTAAAATGATGCGTTTAGAAGTCCTTGGCAGTGTTCAGCACATAGTCAGCAGCCATAACTTTTATTAAGCTGCTGTCACTTAAAAGAAGTAATTTAGTATGTAGGACCACATAGGTGTTTGGTAAAAATGGGAAAACCACATCGGTAGACTTGCCGATCACCAGGGGCTAGTGCAGAGTGGATCAGCCTATACAGTAGGCAGGCTTGTTGGGAGCGAAGTTGCCTTGAGGTGATGACACTTCTCATGTGGATTCCTGGACAGGAGGGTGGGAGCAAGTGTGGAGACAGTGGAACTGGCTGATCAGCACTGTTACTGCCCTCTCTTTAGCCCAGCTGATGAAGAACACGGGTGTGATCCTTGCCAATGACGCCAATGCTGAGCGGCTCAAGAGTGTTGTGGGCAACTTGCATCGGCTGGGAGTCACCAACACCATTATCAGCCACTATGATGGGCGCCAGTTCCCCAAGGTGAGACTCGAGCTGTGTGTCTTCTGAGGCTTCTTCCGGTTGACCTTCTCCCTTCCTGACCTCAATGTTTAGACTCGACCCTAGTAAATATTGCCCTGCTGGTTGCAGAAGAGACATATGATTCATCTGTATCTTTTCTCCAGGTGGTGGGGGGCTTTGACCGAGTACTGCTGGATGCTCCCTGCAGTGGCACTGGGGTCATCTCCAAGGATCCAGCCGTGAAGACTAACAAGGTGAGGAGTCAGGTGGTGGGCCCCTGAGAGGCCTTGGCTGGGTCTCGTAGAGCTGGAAACTGAGATGGGGACACCCTCTGGGCTCCCCTCTCCTCCTGAGGCTGCCTTTGGGTCTCTTTTTGGGACAGGATGAGAAGGACATCCTGCGCTGTGCTCACCTCCAGAAGGAGTTGCTCCTGAGTGCTATTGACTCTGTCAATGCGACCTCCAAGACAGGAGGCTACCTGGTTTACTGCACCTGTTCTATCACAGTGAGACCTCTGCCATGGCAGAGCAGGGGAGGCTGGGCTGGGGGGCTCTTTGCCCCTTAGAGCTCCCTTCAGCTCCAGCTCTGCTTTTTCCTCCGTTCTTTGTCTTCCCCCCACATCCAGGTAGAAGAGAATGAGTGGGTGGTAGACTATGCTCTGAAAAAGAGGAATGTGCGACTGGTGCCCACGGGCCTAGACTTTGGCCAGGAAGGTTTTACCCGCTTTCGAGAAAGGCGCTTCCACCCCAGTCTGCGTTCTACCCGACGCTTCTACCCTCATACCCACAATATGGATGGGTTCTTCATTGCCAAGTTCAAGAAATTTTCCAATTCTATCCCTCAGTCCCAGACAGGTAAGTAATCTTTTTCTTCCCTTCGTCACCACCTTTGCTCTTTCCACCTTTCAGGAGGCTTTATGGTGTGACAAGAGGAAGGGAAAGGAAAGATTCATGCATCCCTTACTCCAGCCTTTGCATGCTTGGCTGAGAGAACCCTCTCATTCCAGCTAGAATTGCTTTTGAGTGCTGGACCCCATGTGAACAGGCTAAAGTGTTCATATGGATGGAGGCCTGTTCCTTTATTCTGCCAAGTGGCTGCAGTTGTTCAGCACTAAATGCATTCCAAATGCAGGTTGTGGTTTCTTTTCCTTCTTGGCACAGGGTGGACTTACTGGTACTGGACCTCTGCTGGTCCAGCAATCTCAGCACTGGGTTGGAACAGAGCTCCACAGAGCTTTGTCAGCAGTTCTCTGAGCCCTTCACACTCATTGCAGATTGTTTTCTCAGCCATCTTGAGGAGTCTGGCCTGGATCTCAAGGGAAGGGTGGGGTTTTCTGAAACAGCCTTGAGAGCACTGCTTACTGGGATATAACCCTGGGTTTAGTTGGAAGAGGGAGAGAAGTGCTACTTTAGAAATAGTAGAATTTGTCTGGGCGTGGTGGCTCATGCCTGTAATCCCAGCACTCACCTGAGGTCAGGAATTCGACACGGTGAAACCCTGTCTCTACTAAAAATATAAGAATTAGCTGGGTGTGGCCAGGCACGGTGGCTCACGCCTGTAATCCCAGCACTTTGGGAGGCCAAGACGGGTGGATCACGAGGTCAGGAGATCGAGACCATCCTGGCTAACACAGTGAAACCCCCATCTCTACTAAAAATATAAAAAATTAGCTGAGCTTGGTGGTGGGCGCCTGTAGTCCCAGCTACTCGGGAGGCTGAGGCAGGAGAATGGCATGAACCCGGGAGGCGGAGCTTGCAGTGAGCTGAGATTGTGCCACTGCACTCCAGCCTGGGCGACAGAGTGAGACTCCGTCTCCAAAAAAAAAAATTAGCTAGGTGTGGTGGTACGTGCCTGTAGTCCCAACTACTCAGGAGGCTGAGGCAGGAGAATCACTTGAACCTGGGAGGTGGAGGTTGCAGTAAGCCGAGATCACGCTATTGCATTTCAGCCTGGGCAACGAGCAAAACTCCATCTCAAAAAAAAGGAATAGTAAAATTTGCTATAACTTAAAAAGTACATATTTTAATTATCCCGCACTTCATCACAATTCACATGGAAAGAAACTTCTCTGATTTAAAAAATAAATAGGCCAGGTGTGGTGATGGCTCATGCCTATAAATCCCAGTACTTTGGGAGGCTGAGGTGGGAAGATTGCTTAAGACCACGAGTTTGAGACCTGTCTGGGCAACAAAGGGAGACAGTAGTTCCAGCTACTCTGGAGGCTGAGGTAGGAGGATCCCTTGAGCCCCAGGAGTTTGAGGTTGCAGTGAGCTATGATGGCACCACTGTACTCCAGCCTGGGCAACACAGTGAGACTCTACCTCAAAAAAAAAAAAAAAAAGATAAATAAAGCCTAGTGCTTCAAATTCATTTAGAAGACCCTGCGAGGCCGGGCGTGGTGGCTCGCGCCTGTAACCCCAGCACTTTGGGTGGCTGAGGCAGGTGGATCACCTGAGGTCAGGAGTTCAAGACCAGCTGGTCAACATGGTGAAACCTCATCTCTACTAAAAATACAAAAATTAGCCGGACATGGTGGCGCACGGTTGTGATTGTCCGGAGGCTGAGGCAGGAGAATTGCTTGAACCCAGGAGGCAGAGGTTGCAGTGAGCCGAGATCACACCACTGCACTCCAGCCTGGGTGACAGAGTGAGATTCCATCTCAAAAAAAGAAAAAAAAAACCCCAAAACCCTGAGAATCACCTCTTCCTTACAGCATCTTGTTACTTCCTGTCCTCAAGAGGGCGCAGCTTCCTGTAGAAACCTTTTGGCCCAAGGATAGGCAGTGATTTTTTTTTTTTTTTTTTTTTTTTTGAGACGGTGTCTTGCTTTGTCGCTCAGGCTGGACTGCAGTGGTGCAATCTCAGCTCATTGCAACCTCCACCTTCCAGGTTCAAGCGATTCTTGTGCCTCAGACTCCCAAGTAGCTAGGATTACAGGTGTGTACCACCATCCCTGGCTAATTTTTGTATTTTTAGTAGAGATGGTTTCACCATGTGGGCTAGGCTGGTCTTGAACTCCTGGCCTCAAGCAATCCACTTGCCTTGGCCTCCCAAAGTGCTGGAATTACAGGTGTGAGCCACCACGCCTGGCCTATAGGCAGTGATCTTTTAATACAAGGTTCAACTAGGACTTGAGTAAAGGCCAAGTTATATTAAGTAATGGGAATTTAGGTAATCTGCTCTTAGGCACTGACCTAATTGTGTGGAGCTCCTGCCCAGGAAATGGCAATTCTCATATTTTAATATGAGAATATTAAAATATGGTGATAAGGCCCATTTTCTGACACCATCTGTTTAATTTTAACCCCAGGAAATTCTGAAACAGCCACACCTACAAATGTAGACTTGCCTCAGGTCATCCCCAAGTCTGAGAACAGCAGCCAGCCAGCCAAGAAAGCCAAGGGGGCTGCAAAGACAAAGCAGCAGCTGCAGAAACAGCAACATCCCAAGAAGGCCTCCTTCCAGAAGCTGAATGGCATCTCCAAAGGGGCAGACTCAGAATTGTCCACTGTACCTTCTGTCACAAAGACCCAAGCTTCCTCCAGCTTCCAGGATAGCAGTCAGCCAGCTGGAAAAGCCGAAGGGATCAGGGAGCCAAAGGTGACTGGGAAGCTAAAGCAACGATCACCTAAATTACAGTCCTCCAAGAAAGTTGCTTTCCTCAGGCAGAATGCCCCTCCCAAGGGCACAGACACACAAACACCGGCTGTGTTATCCCCATCCAAGACTCAGGCCACCCTGAAACCTAAGGACCATCATCAGCCCCTTGGAAGGGCCAAGGGGGTTGAGAAGCAGCAGTTGCCAGAGCAGCCTTTTGAGAAAGCTGCCTTCCAGAAACAGAATGATACCCCCAAGGGGCCTCAGCCTCCCACTGTGTCTCCCATCCGTTCCAGCCGCCCCCCACCAGCAAAGAGGAAGAAATCTCAGTCCAGGGGCAACAGCCAGCTGCTGCTATCTTAGATGGTTGAAAACTAGACGGGTGGCTCACTGCCATTGTCACCAGGTTGGAACTCTTGCCTCTGTGAGGATGCCTTCTCTACTGTGCATACCCATGAAATTTAATACACATTTTAAAACCTCTGGCCACTGAGTATTTTTGAGGGAACTGGGTGCTGCCTTTGCCGCTTTAAGGGTAAAGATGGGAGGTGGGACTGGGATCTTCTGAGGAGAGGGAATGGTTGGGTGCTACTGAGAAATAAGGTCAGTTTTAGGCTCCTGCATCCTTGGGTTTTCCCAGGAAGGGAAAGCCCTGGAGTCAGAGCTAGGGGTGATTGAACTCCGGGGAGAGGAGGGCAATAGAAGTGTAGGGGAAGGCGGGGCACACTAGCTCATGCCTGTAATCCCAGCACTTTCTGGGAGGCCAAGGCGGGTGGATCACCTGAGGTCAGGTGTTCGAGACCAGCCTGGCTAACATGGCGAAACCTCGTCTCTACTAAAAATACAAAAAATCAGCCGGGTGTGGTGGCGGGTGCCTGTAATCCCAGCTACTCGGGAGACTGAAGCAGGAGAATCGCTTGAACCTGGGAGGCTGAGGTTGCAGTGAGCCAAGATCGCGCCACTGCACTCCAGCCCGGGCGACAGTGAGACTCGGTCTCAAAAAAAAAAAAAGTCGTGTAGGGGAGATGGGCTTGCCACCAGAACCCATGGGGTACTGGAGGTCCTGGGCTTTACGCCACCCCGGCTGGAGTCCAGGCGGTGGCTCCCCTCATCACAGGGCTCGGCCTCAGACCCGGAAAGGTCCAGGGTCCGGCCTCCAATTGGAGCCTGTCATTGGCTTCCCCTCGGCCCGCCCCCTGACCTCTGCCCCGCTGCCGAGCCGCCTGATTGGTCGGCTCTGTCCCGCCGGCGCCGCATTGGCTCTTCTGGCTCGCCTTCCATCCCTGCTCCTGCACCGGTCTGCATCTCCCAGCAGAAGGCGCAGCCATGAATCCGTTATTCGGCCCCAACCTCTTCCTCCTGCAGCAGGAGCAGCAGGGCCTGGCCGGGCCACTGGGGGACTCACTGGGAGGCGACCACTTCGCCGGGGGAGGAGACTTGCCCCCGGCGCCTCTCTCGCCGGCCGGCCCTGCTGCCTACTCGCCGCCCGGGCCGGGCCCGGCCCCGCCTGCCGCCATGGCCCTCCGCAATGACCTGGGCTCCAACATCAACGTGCTCAAGACCCTGAACCTCCGGTTCCGCTGCTTCCTGGCCAAGGTGCATGAGCTGGAGCGCCGGAACCGGCTGTTGGAGAAGCAACTGCAGCAAGCGCTGGAGGAGGGTAAGCAGGGCCGGCGGGGCCTGGGTCGTCGCGACCAGGCAGTGCAGACCGGCTTCGTCAGCCCCATCCGGCCCCTGGGGCTGCAGCTGGGCGCCCGGCCGGCCGCTGTCTGCAGCCCTTCGGCGCGCGTGCTGGGCTCGCCCGCGCGCTCCCCGGCCGGCCCCCTCGCGCCCTCCGCGGCCAGCCTCTCGTCGTCCTCCACCTCCACCTCCACCACCTATTCCTCGTCGGCCCGCTTCATGCCCGGCACCATCTGGTCGTTCTCGCACGCCCGCCGGCTCGGGCCGGGACTGGAGCCCACTCTGGTGCAAGGGCCTGGCTTGTCGTGGGTGCACCCGGATGGGGTGGGCGTCCAGATCGACACCATCACGCCCGAGATCCGCGCTCTCTACAACGTGCTGGCCAAAGTGAAGCGGGAGCGGGACGAGTACAAGCGGAGGTAGGGATTGGGAAAGGGGGACAGGTCTCTCTGTGTCATACCACTCACAACGGGCCGCGAGTTGGTGTGGGTTCCGAAGAATCAGGGGTGAAAAGAATGAGAGTAAAGTTTGTGCTGTGTAATGAGGAGCTTGGAAGCAATTGGATGCAGGGAGACTAGAATCCGCAGAGAATGCAGAAGCCCTGCTCGTGACAGGAAGAAGGACGCTGGGAGCGGAACACGGGGGGATTCCTACTTTTCCGGCTTGTCTCTGCCATCCAGGCTTAACTGCGGGTTTTGTGCGGTGTGAAAGGGACTGGGGCTCTGCCCTACCGGTCTCAGCCCTGGGGCAGGTTAGGGATATAAACTTCAAAAGTAGGAGGCAAGGATATAGCGTAAATTTGGGAGACTAAATTGAGTGAAACTGGAAGGGGCTGGTGAGGGAGGGGCTGTACCTTGCAACGAGTGATTCTTTCACACCCCAAGGTTTCCCAAAGAATATTGATGGAAACCAGGTACCTGCTGTGGTTTCATAGGAAAAGCTCCGGGACCTCAAGCCATTGCTTGAGTAGGTCAACAAACTGGGAAAAGAAAGAGTGAAGGGAATTCACTAGGGTGAGGGTGGAGAGCAGGGCTGACAGGGGAATCTTGGCAGTATAAAGCGCCAGTGGGGAGGGAGAGTGGAGAGCCAGCAGGGGACTGAGCAG
The DNA here is from genome assembly GCF_000001405.40 of Homo sapiens. Lineage (NCBI taxonomy): Eukaryota > Metazoa > Chordata > Mammalia > Primates > Hominidae > Homo > Homo sapiens. The sequence continues at coordinate 6,554,570 of NC_000012.12, read as the reverse complement.
GGAGAAGCTGGGATATGGGCCCTCCCTAGGACCGCGAGGCCGCGGGGCGGGCCCGGTGCATTCTGTGGATGAAGATTTGGCTGTCTGAGAGGAGCCCGGCCCCAAGGGGCAAGGGAAAGGGATGTGATGCCAGGAGTGCTGGCTGTATACCAAGTGGATTCCTTAGATGGCTGATAACCAAGCCGATAGGACAGGAGTGAGAGCAGAGGTAGTGTCTTGCAGACTCCAACCCAAGCCTTGAGGAGGGAGCGGGTGACTGACAGGCTTTGGTTTGGCGGCCTCCCCTCTCATCTCAGCTATTATGACCCCTTGTGGGCGGGCCTGGGAACTACCTATGCAGCCCAGTGTGGCGGAGATTCAGCACTGGGTGAGGATTGGCCGAATGTTCTAGGAAATGACCGCTGGGTCTAGGGGCGACCTTCAGGGATCTCCACCCTGCTGGAGTTTACCAGATCACAGATCAGCAGGCTTTCTTTTTTTTTTTTTCCCATAAATGATAATATTTTATTATAGAAAAAGCATCCCAAATACAGGATTTCGTAAACACTGGTAGGTGAACAAGTGCAATTTTAGAAGTAAATGCAAAGTAAAGAGGCAAAACCTACAAGCATTTTGCCTTCAGAAGAAGATGTAGTGTTCTCCTGCACTAGTGATCCCACCCAGAACACAAATGTGGCTCTGTCTCCCGTGAAAGCATCAGATTTGCTTTCTGAGCTCAGTATGCCCATTTCAATAATTGCAAAGTGATGGCAAGAAGTGGCGTTGAACACATGACTACAGACCCTTGACTTAAAATATTGAGACAGGGACTTGCTCTGTCATCCGGGCTGGAGTGCAGTAGCGTCATCACAGCTCACTGCAGCCTCATCCTCCTGGGCTCAAGCAATCATCCTGCCTCAGCCTCTTGAGTAGCTGGGACTACAGGTGTGCACTACCATGTCCATGCCTGGCTATTTTTTTTTTTTCTTTTTGCGTTGTCCAGGCCAGTCTCAAACTCCTGACCTGATCAGCAGGCTTTCTGAGCTTGAGTCCTGTCCTCGTGCTGGCTTCCTTAGTTGTGGTCCATGTTATGTGTCCTTGGGAGTTTCAGTTGTCCTGAAATCATCGTTCTGCCACCCAGAACCAGCCTGCTCTGCCCCTGCAGGAGTTAACTACGCGCTCAGCAGTGGCACAGGCACAGTTCTGGAATACATCCATAACCACAGGAACAACTGCTGTTCTCAGGAGCATTTTTTTTTTAAACTGAAGGAGCGTTTGTCCTTGGTCCAGCTGTCCAGGACAGGAAGGAGTTATTCCTTGGGGACTGATTAGCTCATCGCTCTGCAGCACGCTGCTGTGTAGAGAGCCTTAGCTGGATTCGGATGGTGCGTGATACTGGCAGTGACTCTTCTTCCTCCCTAGATTCCCTGCCCTCATTCTGGTCTCTTTATAGCAACACTGTAACTCCTGTCTTCTGCCTGGAAGGCCTGGGATGGCTTGAGCGCTACACTGGGAGGTAGCTAAAGGCCTCCTGCGTTCTATTTTCAGCTCCCCTGCCTTGTGCGTGACCTTTTTTTGAGCCCCCATTTTCCCAACATAGGAATGGTCCCTGCTTTCTCTCTTCAACCCAGGGATACAGTTTTTTGGAAGAGAGATATTTGGTCCATGCAGAACACATGGATATCGCTCTCAAATTCTGCCCATGTTAAGGGAACCTTATAAGTGAGACCAGATGGAAATGGAGGTGAAAATGAACCTGTCTGTGTGAAGTCTGGCCAAAGAACAAATAGAACTGTAGTGGGCTTCCAGATGATTCATTTGTAGATTTTTTTTACCCTGTAAGATTTCCTTAGGCTTAACCTTTAGCTATAACTGCCTTACTTAAGTTTCTTCCAGGCTCTGTTGAGCTCACTGTCAGATAGCCCCTCCTGCCCTCTTTCACACATCTTGTCCAGGGTTAGCGTGCCCTTGACAGGCTTACTGTCTCCCTCCAGGGACTCGTGGGCTCCCGGCGCATGAGGGCACCACAGTTCATGCCTTCACATCATAGATGAAGAAACCAAGACCCAGAAAAGATAAGGGTCTTAGCTAAGAAAACATAATCTGATGCGACTGGTTCCCTTAGTGGCCTGACTGTATGCATGAGAATGCCAGGGAGGAGGGGAGAAGCACCTACGGGACACACAGGGAAGGGGGCTGGGAGCCAGGAAGGCTGGGAGCTGGGCTGTGTGGGGAGCCAGCAGGGTGGTGGCTGGGCTGGCTGCCTCCTCCTGCTCTGCCCAGCAGGGAGGGGCAGTCGAGGTGATGTGGAGGAGTTATTATTAGGAATACTGCAGTGCGGCTGTGAATGAGGAGATGGGACCCAGAGGCTGACACAGGAAGGAAGATGGAGGGAAGGGGAAGAAAGGGCTTCACCCAAGGCTTCAGAAGCTGCCCACTCAGATTTTAATTTTCTTGCTGTCTTCTTGGCCCCTTCCTAACCACCTTTCTTGTGTTGAAGTTTCTCTCTTGGTGCAGTTCCCCTCCCTTCTCGGGTTGACAGAAGTGATGAGCTCACAGGAACAGGATTTGAGATGTGCTGCTACGCCAGCTAGACTGCAGGGCCCTGGAATGCCGGGCGGGTCCTAAGCAGCACGTTGCCCTGGCTTCCATCTCTGTGATGGAATAGAATATGCACTGCCTGCCATGGCTGATGAGACATGACAAAGCTGGCTCTGGGAAGCATGCCCTACCTAGGACCCTGCCCTGTGGCCCAGGGTGTCGTCCGGCCCACTTGCAGTCTTAATCTCTGAATTCTGGGCCCTGGAACAGGCTGTGTCTAGTTCTCATTTGCCGTACTCACCGGGCCCCTTTACATACTCTACTTTCTCTTTCCCTCTGGGTTTGAGTGCTAGTAACCCCAGGCTCGTGTGTCCACTGCTGTCATGCTGCTGTGGGACTTCCGGCCTCTGAGCCAGTCTGGTCACCTCTCTGTGACTCCCTTAGAGGAGGCTCTGGGTGGGTAGTTTCTGGAGCTAGTGGGGAAGGACTTTGAGTGTCTCCTACCAGGCTCTTGACCCACTCTGTTGATACACTATGTGTCCTGCAGATGCTTTTACAGGGTTAAATGATACCACAAGAGGCAGGGCAGCGGGCTCGACGAGCTCTGTTCTGGTGCGGGCAGGAGGCGGGAGCCCGGATCTGTGCGACTGAAGGTGGGAGACTGGGCCGGGTGGACCTGGTGGTCTGGTGTGGGCAGGAGGTGGGCAATGAGGCCAGCCGGACAGCTGGCTGAGCTGGGGCCTGAGCAGGGATGGGCATCACGGAGGACCGGAGCCTCAGCACTTGCCCAAACAGAGCTCCTGGTGCACAGCCCGGAGGTTCCGGGAAGGCAGCTGGCGAGCTCGACGCCCATCAGGAAGCACAGAGCCGCGTGACAGCTGCAGTTGGTCACCAGCTGGCTGGCCAGGCATTCCTGTGCCCTGCTCCTCCCCATCCAGGGAACCAGAACTGGGGTCTGAGGCCTGAGCCAGAGAGGTGGGGACAGGGAGCCATGGGGGCAGGGAAGGACTCTGTACCTAAGCTCTCTCCGCCCTTCCCATGTCTGTCAGGTGGGAAGAGGAGTACACGGTGCGGATCCAGCTGCAAGACCGTGTAAATGAGCTCCAGGAGGTGAGGGTGGCGCCCCACTTGCTGCTGGTGCTTCCCTGGGTACCCCTGTCTGCCCATGACCCTGCTGCCGTCTCCCTGTCCCTCCTTGGCATCTTTATCTTCCTCCCACCTCGGCAGTGCCACCAACATCAGGGTTTCTCCCAACTGCAGGAAGCCCAGGAGGCTGATGCCTGCCAGGAGGAGCTGGCACTGAAGGTGGAACAGTTGAAGGCTGAGCTGGTGGTCTTCAAGGGGCTCATGAGTAACGTGAGTGCAGCCCCAGGCTTCCCGAGGGTCGAAGTGAGGCTTCTGAGGCCAGAAGAGTAGGCCCTTCTAGTGTTGGCCTGTTGGCCTCCCGTCCACGGCTCCTCCCCTTCTCTTTGCTTTCCTTCCCTTTTTCCCCTAGCCACCCCTAACTCCAGAGAAAGACAAGCAACAAAAGTCTCGGTGTTGCGTCACAGAGGTGGCGCAGCTTCTGAGGGCCTGGGGTTGCAGAGCAGTTAGTGAGCAGCTTCTGGGGTGGAGGCTCTGCAGCTGGCGCCGGGGCGCTGGGCCGATTCCTCAGCCTCTGAGGCCTCACCTTTGGCGTGGGGAAATAAACGCGTGCGCTCTGCAGGAGTATTGTGAGGGTGGTCATGTACTCGGGACAGTGCCCAGCATGCAGTGTTAGCTGGAAGAGTGTTAGCTGTTGCGATTATTATAGTCCTTTCTCCACTCTTATAATTCCCAGGAGTCTCTTTCTCTCTGGGAATGTAAGTTCTAGGAGGATGAGGACCGCTAGTCGTTCCAGTGAGCCCCCTGCATGTCCCAGGCACTGGCCATGCCCTCCAGGGCTTCCGTTTGGCCAGGGAGCAGTGGCCCGAGCCGCCCCATGCCCAGCATATTCACACAGTGCTGTGGGGAGGCCACCGCTACCCAGGAAGAGGGGTGCAGTCAGCTCAGGGAGACTCCACAGAAGAGGCACCGGTGCAATGTGGTGGGAAGGATGAGGACCTTGCCAGGCCTAATTCGTCCTTGTCTGGAGAACTGGGCGCCTCCTCACTGTTCCCTGGGCTCCCTGGACAGAACCTGTCGGAGCTGGACACCAAGATCCAGGAGAAAGCCATGAAGGTGGATATGGACATCTGCCGCCGCATCGACATCACCGCCAAGCTCTGCGATGTGGCTCAGCAGCGCAACTGCGAGGACATGATCCAGATGTTCCAGGTGAGGACGGAGCTGCCCTCTGCTCTCAGGGGTGGGTGGGGCAGGTGGATGCTTCCGTGGCGGCTGGCCTGGAACGCAGGCCCTGCCTCCTGCTTGGGGAGCCTTACCTGGCAACTGGGGCCCTCACGGGGCTAGACTGGGGGGTAAGGAGCAGCATCAGGAGGGGCATCGTGGAAGCTGTCTCTAACGCCGTCTCTCCCTTCCCCCTCTCTCTCCTCTGTCTGCTTCCTCTCCTCTCTTCCTCTCATCTTCTCTCTTGCTTCCTCCACAGAAGAAGCTGGTTAGTTTGATCTCACGCAAGCTTATTAATGTCCCAGTCCCAGTTTCTAAGCTGCCTAGGCCTCCTGGCCCTCAGTTTGGGCCCGCTGGGCTCTTGAGCACGGATTTTTTTCTGCCCTTTCCCTTTTCCTTGCTCTTCCCCCTTTTTCTCTCTATCTCTTGTTCTCTTGACTGCATTTCTTTCTCTCCCTTCTCCCCCGGCTTTCCAGATCTGGATGTGATTCAGGTTCTCTTTTGTACACATTGCACACTCATCCTCCTTGCGTCCTAAAGCTTTTTTTTTTTTAGTTGAGTCATTTAATCAAAAAGACTTTTTTTAGAAAAAAATTTCCTCTTGAGCCATCATGCACATCTGACTGCAGCCCCAGCGAGCCCTTCCTTCCTTGTCTGACTGCTCTTCTTCTCGATTTCTTCTTGTTCTGCCTTCTCGGTTTGCAGCCCTGACCCCCGCTGTGTGTCTGGCCCTTGGTGACTGTCCGTGTTTCTGTTCCTGTCATTGTAACTGTGACTTTTCTCTCTGTCTGCCCCCCCTTCCTACTGGTTCATGCTTCTCCCCCATTCCCACCCTCTCTGCCCGGCCTCCCGCTCCCGCCCTTTCTCCTCATGCACCCGGCCTCGTCTCTGTAGTCTCTGCACTTGTCTCCCATTAAGGTCCCATCCATGGGGGGGCGGAAGCGGGAGCGCAAGGCTGCCGTCGAGGAGGACACCTCCCTGTCGGAGAGTGAGGGGCCCCGCCAGCCCGATGGGGATGAGGAGGAGAGCACAGCCCTCAGCATCAACGAGGAGATGCAGCGCATGCTCAACCAGCTGTGAGTCCGCAGGCCGTGCTCCCGCAGCACCGACGCCACAGCAGCCCAGGAGGCCGGAGCTCCCCAGTCCCCCGCCAGGACGAGGCCCCGCCCGCCCTGACACCCGGGTTCCCTGTCTCTAGGAGGGAGTATGATTTTGAGGACGACTGTGACAGCCTGACTTGGGAGGAGACTGAGGAGACCCTGCTGCTTTGGGAGGATTTCTCAGGCTATGCCATGGCAGCTGCAGAGGCCCAGGGAGAGGTAACCTCTGCTCCCGGCCTCAGGGCCCTCTGGCTCTGCCTCTCCAGCCTGAAGCCCACTCCCCCGCTCCTCTCCTTGCTCTGTCCCCCCATGTGGCTGTCATCCTCTACCTGCGTCTCCCCTCTTCCTTTATCCTTTTGCTTTTCTTTCTCCAGTTTCTTTAACCAGACTTCCTCTCTCTCTCTCTCCCTGACTTGGCCCTTTGGAATGCGTCCCATCCCATCCCTCCTTGGCTGGCCTCCCCCGCTTCCCTTTCTACTCCAGCAGCAGGAAGATAGCCTGGAGAAGGTGATTAAAGATACGGAGTCCCTGTTCAAAACCCGGGAGAAGGAGTATCAGGAGACCATTGACCAGATAGAGGTAAGGGCAGGAGCGGAAGCCAGGGGCGTGGTGTCCCAGAGGGTTTTGAGTGGGGCTGCAGGCGCAGTGGCCTCATCCCTGCTGCAGGACCCTAGAGACCAAGGTCTTGGGAGGAGGAGTGATCTCTCAGCTATAGTCCTCCTGGTGGGCTCTGAAGACCTCAGGCTCTGGAAACAGACAGATATCGGTTCAAATCTCAGCTCTGTTACTTACAACCACCCTGAACTTGTAATAAGTTACTTGTTCCCTCTGAGCCCCTCCTTTCCTTTCCTTTCCTTTCCTTTCTTTCCTTCCTTCCTTCCTTCCTTTCTCTCTCTCTCTCTCTTCCCCTCCCCCTCTATCCCTCCCTCCCTCTCTCCCTTGTCTTTCTGTCCTTTCTTTTTTGAGACAAGGTCTCACTCTGTTTCACTCTGTTGCCTAGGCTGGAGTGATCCTCCCACCCCAGCCTTCTGAGTAGCTGGGCCCACAGGTGTGTGCCACCATACCCAGCTAATTTTTATTTGTATTTTTTTGTAGAGATGGTGTCTCCCTGTGTTTCCCAGGCAGGTCTTAAACTCTTGGGCTTAAGTGATCCTCCTGCCTCGGCCTCCCAAAGTACTAGAATTAGAGACATGAGCCATGTGTCCAGCCCTACACCTGTTTCTTTTTCTTTCTTTCTTTCTTTCTTTCTTTTTTTGAGACAGGGTCTTGCTCTGTCACTCCAGGCCCACTGCAGCCGTGATCTTCTGGATCCAAGCAATCCTCCTACCTCAGCCTCCCAAGTAGCTGGGACCACAGGCGTGTGCTACCACGCCCGGCTAATTTTTTGATTTTTTTTACAGAGAACAGGGTGTCACTATGTTTTCCAGGCTGCCCTCAAACTTCTGGATTCAAGCAGTCCTCCTAACTCGGCCCCACAAAGTGTTGGGATTACAGGCATGAGCCACTGTGCCGGGCCTTTTTATTTGTAAAATGAGGAATTTAATAATACCTCACCTATAGGGTTGTTTAGAAGATCAGATGAAATAATGCATATATAGAGCTTAGGGCAGTGTCTGGCTCATAGCGAGTGTAGCATAGTGGGGACTGTTTTATTATTATTAACACTATCAGTGCCATGGCACTCAGAGATGGACTGGGACTTTCCTGTTTCTTCCACTCAGCCTTTGAGATAACAGAGAAATCTCCATGCTTTTTCCCAAGCCTTGAAGTACCTTCTAGAGGTACCTAGAGGCAAGTGGAGCTGGTGCTTTAGCTCAAACTCTAGGCTTTAGGAGCTGCAAGAAGGATTTGTGGAGGCCGGGCGCGGTGGCTCACGCCTGTAATCCCAGCACTTTGGGAGGCCGAGGCGGGAAGATCACGAGGTCAGGAGATCGAGACCATCCTGGCTAACACGGTGAAACCCCGTCTCTACGAAAAATACAAAAAAAAAAAATTAGCTGGCCGTGGTGGCAGGCACCTGTAGTCCCAGCTACTCGGGAGGCTGAGGCAGGAGAATGGCGTGAACCCGGGAGGCGGAGCTTGCAGTGAGCCGAGATCGCACCACTGCACTCCAGCCTGGGCGACAGAGCAAGACTCCGTCTCAAAAATACAAACAAAGGAAGAAGGATTTGTGGAACCACAGAATGGAGGTTGCTGTTGCTGTGGGAGGAGGGATGGACGGGACCCCCGTGAGCTCTCCTGGCCTGGTGAGGTGGTCCTTTCCCGACGCTCTGACTTTGGGAGAGGCATGGAGCCTTCTCTGCGTCTCAGCCTCTCTTCAGGCCCACATGGGAGATTCATACGTAGTCCCCCCTTATCTTCAGGGCATGTGTTCCAAGACCCACAGTGGATGCCTGAAACCAAAGATAGCACTGACCTCCTGATAGCTTGGGTCCAGTTGCTGTCAACTGGAACGTGTTTCTGTTCATGTCTCCCACCCACACATTCAATGCCTTTTCTATCTTAACTAAGCACTTAGCGTGCGCTGTGGCGGTACCTTTTGCAGTTCGAGGTGTGACAGCAAAACTGGCACAAATTTCTTTTTCCTTCTTTACAATTTCACGGATAGAAGATTCATTCTTACTGTAGAGCTTACCAACCTCAGCATCGGATTCTTTTTCTTATTAAGTTGAAAACTTTTACCTTTTCACTTAAAGGGAGCATATTTTGGCTTCTCTTTCACATATCCAAATTGCCAGCATCACTACTCTTGTGCTTTGGGGCCATTATGAAGTAAAAATAAGGGTTCCTTGAACACGGGCACTGCCATACCACGACAGTCAATCTCATCACTGAGATGGCTCCTAAGTAACTAATGGGCAGGCAGTATAGACAGTGTGGATCCTTGGGACAGAGGGAGGGTTCATGTCCTGGTCTGGATAGAGTGAGGTTTTTTTTTTTTTTTCCGAGACGGAGTCTCGCTGTGTCACCCAGGCTGGAGTGCAGTGGCTTGAACTCGGCTCACTGCAAGCTCCACCTCCTGGGTTCACGCCATTCTCCTGCCTCAGCCTCCTGAGTAGCTGGGACTACAGGCGCCCGCCATCACGCCCGGCTAATTTCTTTTGTATTTTTTAGTAGAGATGGGGTTTCACCGTGTTAGCCAGGATGATCTCGATCTCCTGACCTCATGATCCGCCCACCTCGGCCTCCCAAAGTGCTGGGATTATAGGCGTGAGCCACCGCGCCCGGCAGAGAGAGTGAGATTTTATCAGGCCACTCAGAACAGCGTGCAATTTAAAACTTAGGAATTGTTTATTTCTGGAATATTTCATTTAATATTTTCAGATCAAGGTTCACCTTGGGTACCTGAAGCCGTGGAAAGTGAAACCAGTGGATAAGGAGAGAGTGACTTTATTCTTTTCATTTATTTATTTATTTATTTATTTTTTTGAGACGTAGTCTCGCTGTGTCGCCCAGGCTGGAGTGCAGTGGCGCGATCTCAGCTCACTGCAAGCTCCACCTCCCAGGTTCACGCCATTCTCCTGCCTCAGCCTCCAGAGTAGCTGGGACTACAGGCGCCTGCCACTACGCCCGGCTAATTTTTTGTATTTTTTAGTAGAGACGGGGTTTCACCATGTTAGCCAGGATGGTCTCGATCTCCTGACCTCGTGATCCACCCGCCTCGGCCTTCCAAAGTGCTGGGATTACAGGCGTGAGCCACCGCGCCCGGCCTTGACTTTATTCTTATTGCTGTCACATTGGAGGTGTTTGAGAAGGAAGTCGAGAAATTATTTTCCTATATACTCATTCTCCCAACACACATCAAACTGTCCTGCTCCTGCATCAAACCTGGTTTTCTTGGCCAGGTAGATGAGGTTTCCTGGATTTGTGCTGCTAGCTAAAGACATGGCAAGGGAAACCAGTACTCCCCACCCTCCCGTCTACCGCGGCTCACTGTTTCCTCCTCCTGCCTGACCTGATTCTTGTCTCCCTCTTTTGGATGGTGGATTTAAGGTTTGTGTTTTCACTGTGCCTTCAACCAACTAGGGGCCTTTGTGCGGCCATCTTCGTGAGAAGAGATCTCGGGCTGCCATCTCTCCCTAGTCTTCCCTGGACCTCAAGTGCCCAGTGTAAAACATGATCTGAAAGAACGAAAATAATATCTTAAATGGAATCATGCCTTTTAAGCTATTTTTGGCTGGGCGTGGTGGCTCTCGCCTGTAATCCCAGCACTTTGGGAGGCCAACGCGGGCAGATCACTTGAGGTCAGGAGTGTGAGACCAGCCTGGCCACCAACATGTGAAACCCCGTCTCTACTAAAAATACAAAAAGTAGCCAGGCATTGTGGTGGGCACCTGTAATCCCAGCTACTTGGGAGGCTGAGGCAGGAGAATTGCTGGAATCTGGGAGGTGGAGGCTGCAGTGAGCTGAGATTGTGCCACTGCACCACAGCCTGGGTGACAGAGCAAGATTCCATCTCAGGAAAAAAAAAAAAAAAAGTATTTTCAAATCATCTGACTCCTCCTCTCTCCCAGTGCAATGACTTTAGGCAGCAGTCCCCAACCTTTTTGGTACCAGGGACTGGTTTGTGGAAGACAGTTTTTCCACTGACCCGGGGGAAATGATTTTGAGATGATTCAAACATTACATTTATTGTGTACTTTATTACTATTTTTAAAAATTATTATTATTATTTTTAGAGACAGAGTTTTGCTCTTGTTGCCCAGGCTGGAGTGCAATGGCGCAATCTTGGCTCACTGCAGCCTCCGCCTCCCGGGCTCAAGCAATTCTCCTGCCTCAGCCTCCCAAGTAGCTGGGATTACGGGCATGTGCCACCACGCCTGGCTAATTTTGTATTTTTAGTAGAGATGGGGTTTCTCCATGTTGGTCAAGCTGGTCTCGAACTCCCGACCTCAGGTGATCCACCACCTCGGCCTCCCAAAGTGCTGGGATTACAGGCATGAGCCACCGCACCCGGCCTGTGCACTTTATTTCTATTATTATTACATTATAATATATAATGAAATAATTATACATCTCACCATAATGTAGAATCAGTGGGAGCCATGAACTTGTTTTCCGCAACTAGACGGTCCCATCTGGGGGTGATGGGAGATAGTGACAGATCATCAGGCATTAGATTCTCATAAGGAGCACACAGCCTAGATCCCTCGCATGCACAGTTCACGTAAGGTAGGGTTCAGGATCCTGTGAGAATCTAATGCCGCCGCGGATCTGACAGGAGGTGGAGCTCAGGCTGTAATGCCAGTGATGGGGAGCAGCTGTAAATACAGATGAAGCTTCACTCACTTGCCCACTGCTCACCTCCTGCTATTTGGCCTGGTTCCTAACAGGCCACAGACAGGTACTGGTCCGTGGCCTGGGGTTTGGGGACTTCTGCATTAGGGGAACCGTTAGGAGGACTTGCTGACCTCAGGAGTACCCAAGGTGCCTTTATCTTTGTGACCTTTGATCTCTCAGGGTCACTAAGATGGAGCAAGGTAAAGCCAAGGCCCAGAGTGGTGGGCGGGAGGCAGTTCTTCCCCACCGCTCCTCACCTCTCTCTGTCTCCTCCCGTCCCACCCCCAAGTCTGTTCACACAGCGAGCCTGCAGTTTTCAAGGTGGCTTGTCAAGGACATCTCCTGACATGCACGTTCACCTCCTGACCTTGTTCCTGCTGTAAATTTGTGAATTAAGTGGGGACATAGACATATGCAGAGACTACTGGTGGCAGTACTAGCCTTGTATTTCAGTAGAATATATTTGGTTCATTTCCTTCTTCCCAGTCTCCCTGAGTGATGGTTCCAGAACCCAGCTCCCTGCACTCCGGTTCTTCCAAGGTGGAGAAATTGGGGTGTAGGCAGCTGATCTGAACAAGGGCTGGTGGCACTGTATTTTCCCCCTGGGTTGAACAGTCACCGTGTCCTGCTCCTCCCACTACTGTGGGGCCCCAGCTGTGGATCCAAGCCTGCCAGGGAAGCTGTCCCCACTAGGGCTTCTCACCCAGCCAGCCGCCATCTCACCCCAAATGTCACTGTCCTGACCATCTCTGCTGTCTGGCCCTGTAACCTGTTTCCTTCTTTCTCTAAGTTCCCACCCTCTCTGTCCAATCCACATTATGGCAGCTGGTATCCTCCCCGTTCTCTTCACTCAGGCAGTCACGAACGTCATCTCCAGGAAGTTTCATTTTGCTTCCCCTTGCGGCCCCTGCCCTTTGTACCCAAAACAAAGAGAGGCAGTCGACTGTCCCTGGCACTGAGTTTGTGCTGCCTGGGCCCTGCCTCTCCGCCTGCCTCAGAGTGTGGGCTGCAGAATGGGCCCGGGGAGGGAGACCGGATTTCTTTGATTCTGAGCCCCGTGTTTTCCACGTGTGACATTTCTGAAATCAGGACAGGTCTCAGAATCAATGGCACCTCCAATATGGGAGTCTTCCTTTTAGTGTCTGAAAATGGCTTTTAGGTGAGAAAATAAAGTGATAAGGAGAGAATGGTAAGAGGATTGGGCCCCTTTCAGCAGTTAGCCAGGCTTGTATGCCACGGGTCACAGAGAGAGTTAATTCCCTTCGAGGTCTGGGTCTGCCAGGATGAGGAAAACCTGTCGCTAACCCTTACGGGAGCTCACAGTGCAGTGAGGGGACAGCCCAGGACCAGCGCAGTACAGGGGATGAGGGGTGAGCCGGGCCCCATAGGAACCTGTGTGGCCCTGGGAGCCTGTGGATCTGCTCCATCCCGCCCACACTGACTTTCCTCACCACTCTTATCAGTCTTAAAAGAACACAGCCTGCAGCAGTACCTTTGCATTCCTCCATAGGCAAAGATTTCCAGGAAAAGCAGAGGAAACAATGGTGTATTCGCTGCCTTCTGCCTTGGTCTGGTTTATTTTAAAATCTGAGCCTTCAGTAATGGCTGCCTGGGCCCCCGGCCCAGCCACTGCTCTTGGCGTGTTGGCCTCCTGGCGGGGGCAACAGAGGCGCTGTGAACGCCACCTGTTAACCCCGATGGCCCTGCCTGCCCCACCACAGCTGGAGTTGGCCACGGCCAAGAACGACATGAACCGGCACCTGCACGAGTACATGGAGATGTGCAGCATGAAGCGCGGCCTGGACGTGCAGATGGAGACCTGCCGCCGGCTCATCACCCAGTCTGGAGACCGGTAGGCGCCTCCCCTGGGCATGGGGCCTTCCAGGGGGACACAGCGGGGAGAAAGGTTGGAACACAGCCCCAGAGACCCTCAGGCAATGACTGGGTCACATCTTGCTGTGGGGCTGCCCTTTGGGAGTTACCTGGTGGGGCTGGCCCAGACCCACAGCTCTCTCCCTTGGCAGTTGGATGAGCTATGTCCATTCATGACGGGAGGGCTGAAACCTCCCAAGGCCACCAGCTCTGGTGGTTCCCCTGGTTAGAGGCAGTTTAAAAACTGGCAAGGAACAGAAGGGTTGTGGGGGCAGATTTTTATCTAAAGTCAGGGCCATGATTTGTGCATTTGACCCTGTGTAAGTTACACCGCAACAAGAAAGTGAATTTTTAAAAATCACAAAAATACTGCAGATAGACATAAAGCCAAGGCCCTAGAGTCAGGGTGCTGGAGGCTCAGCAGCTTCTCTCCTACTGTGACTTCAGCTATTTCTTTTTTTTTTTTTTTTGGCTCACTACAACCTCCGCCTCCCAGGTTCAAGTGATTATCTTGCCTCAGCCTCCAAGGCGCCCGCCACCACACCTGGCTAATTTTTGCATTTTTAGTAGAGATGGGGTTTCACCATGTTGGCCAGGCTTGCCTTGAACTCCTGACGTCGTGATCCACCCGCCTCTGCCTCCCAAAGTGCTGGAATTACAGGCGTGAGCCATCATGCCTGACCTCAGCCTCTGAGTTCCCAAGACACAGGCGGGGCCCATTTCCCTGTCAGGGTGGGTTTGGAGAGAGTTCAGTCCCTGCCGCTCCCTCGCCATCCCGCGGCCCCGCCCTCGCTTCCGGTACTTCTCACGGGCTGCCAGAGGGTGAGGCAGCAGGAGGAGGAGTGCCGTCCGTCTTCAGGATTCCTGCCTGCCCCAAGGTTGACAACTGGTGTTTTTTTCTAGAAAGTCTCCTGCTTTCACTGCGGTCCCGCTTAGCGACCCGCCGCCGCCGCCAAGCGAGGCTGAGGACTCCGATCGCGATGTCTCATCTGACAGCTCCATGAGATAGAGACCTGCCTCCCCCTTGCACCCGAGGCCCTCGCAGCAGGGAGCTCAGCGAGGCAGAGGGTGGGGCTGCACAGAGGGGAACATCAGCTGCAGCTCTGCACCAGGCCGGTCCCTGGGGACTGGGGCGCTCCTCCCTCAGGCTTTCTCCCTCAGTCTTGGCTTCTCCAGGGCTCTGGGGTGTCTGGAGCTAGGCTTGGCCCTACCATTCTGGGGCCATTTCCACCACAGTTGGGGCTCTCCTGCCTTCACGCGTGGGTGTCTGCTACTTCCCCATCTTTAAAATGCTGCCAGAGCGATTGCGGCCCCTCACCTTGTCCACGTATCAGGAATGTGAATGTGGGACCTTTCCTCCATCCCTGTTGTCCGGAGCCAGCTCACTGTCTTCCACACTGGTGCTAACTGGCCCAGGCACTGGAGTGGAATAGAATGCAGCTGGAGGCTACGCATGGCCTCTGCAGCACACGCAGCTGGAGAGGGCTTCTGTCCCTGTCAGCGGCAGAGGGCGTTGGGGCTGGCCGGGGCACCTTGTCCCTGCTATGGTCCACGTGCTCACGCTGTCCACCTGCCAGGTGGAGTGTATGTGGCTGTGGCCCTCCCTCGTGGAGGTGCCGTGCTTTAAAGAGGCCTTAGTGCCCGGGATGGGCACAGTGTTTTGAAGGGAGGTGGGAGCTCTTGCTCTCCTGGTCACTGCAGAATGACAGAGAAGGTGAAGCTCCATGCATGTGTGCGCGGGTGTATGTGCGCTCAGGGTCTCTGTTTAAGTATCAGCTAAAGATGTGCTTCCTCCGTGTCTGTCATACACTGAGACCAACAGGCTACAGTGTCCCTGATTCTTGGAAAAGCCTGGAGAAGCTGGGGAGATGCGGTTCACAATGCCTCGGTATAGGAGGCTGTGTTGAGCTGACATTCAAATGGATTCTTTAATAATAATGAAACTGGCGAGTATTTATTGTGCACTTTGGTGTCACTGTCTCAAGCACTTCCTAATATTCACTAGTTTGAACTCTGAGGTAGGTACTTTTTTTTTTTTTGAGATGGAGTCTCATACTCTGTTGCCTAGGCTGGAGTGCAGTGGTGTGGTCTCAGCTCACTGCAGCCTCTGCCTCCGGGGTGCAAGCGATTCTCCTGCTTCAGCATGCCTGTAGCTGGGACTATAGGCATGTGCCATGAAGCCTGGCTGATTTTTGTAATTTTAGTAGAGACGGAGTTTCACCATGTTGGCCAGGCTGGTCTCAAACTCCTGACCTCAGGTGATACACCCACCTTGGCCTCCCAAAGTGCTGGGGTTACAGGCGTGCGCGCTCTACCGAGGTATGTACTTTTGTCTCCACTAGGTAAGCACACGTGCAAAGTGAGGCCCGGGAGTAACTGCCCAAAGCAACTGAGCCGTTCAGTGGCAGAGCCAGGGGTCTGGACCTAGGTCCCAGCTACACGCCTTGCCCCTACCCAAGTTCCCCTAAGGACGATGATGGAAATAAGTCACCCTGACACATCTCAGTTCATCTTCCTCAAAACTATGCGAGGTGGGCATTTTTACCGATTTTTAAACATTATATAGTCCTTACCGCCTTGGGCATGGTTTTAGGTACTTGGTTTACCTAGATGAATCCTGCTTGAAGACCTTAGGGGCTGGCCACGATGTCCTCAGATAAGACACGAGGGCACAGAAAGCAATAGAGCACGTGCTCAAGACCTCACAGCTGCGGAGGCCAAGCTGGAATTGCCCGCTGCAGCTCAGCTCCAGGCTGAGCTCCACTAACCAGTCAGCGTCAGAGCCCAGTGCGAGCCCTGACTTCCTCCACCTGTCAGCCTCCCTGGGGCTGCCCACAGAATAGCTTCTTCCATGTTTGGCCAACAGCAGATAGCCTAGGACTGGAGCGAGGAGAGGAAAAGGCCTTGTTCTCTGAAGTAGTGGTGCCAGCTTCCTGTAGCACTCAAGACGTCTGAGCGGGAAGCAAATGGTTCTCGAAGCAAGCAAGGCTGTTTGGAGGCCCTACCCTCAGTCTGAGGAGAACATACCAGGTCCCTCCCCAGCAAGAATGTCTCACCTTGACACAAGCCCAGCTTCCCTCCCCTCTGCCCCAGACCCTAGAATAAGACAGGACAAGTAACTGGTTGAGCACAGGGTACTTTATTGATGGTACATGACAAGGTGCGGCTCCCTAGGCCCCTCCCCTCTTCAAGGGGTCTACATGGCAACTGTGAGGAGGGGAGATTCAGTGTGGTGGGGGACTGAGTGTGGCAGGGACTCCCCAGCAGTGAGGGTCTCTCTCTTCCTCTTGTGCTCTTGCTGGGGCTGGTGGTCCAGGGGTCTTACTCCTTGGAGGCCATGTGGGCCATGAGGTCCACCACCCTGTTGCTGTAGCCAAATTCGTTGTCATACCTAGAAGATGAAAAGAGTTGTCAGGGCCCTTTTTCTGAGCCAGCCACCAGAGGGCGCCAGACCCTGCACTTTTTAAGAGCCAGTCTCTGGCCCCAGCCACATACCAGGAAATGAGCTTGACAAAGTGGTCGTTGAGGGCAATGCCAGCCCCAGCGTCAAAGGTGGAGGAGTGGGTGTCGCTGTTGAAGTCAGAGGAGACCACCTGGTGCTCAGTGTAGCCCAGGATGCCCTTGAGGGGGCCCTCCGACGCCTGCTTCACCACCTTCTTGATGTCATCATATTTGGCAGGTTTTTCTAGACGGCAGGTCAGGTCCACCACTGACACGTTGGCAGTGGGGACACGGAAGGCCATGCCAGTGAGCTTCCCGTTCAGCTCAGGGATGACCTTGCCCACAGCCTTGGCAGCGCCAGTAGAGGCAGGGATGATGTTCTGGAGAGCCCCGCGGCCATCACGCCACAGTTTCCCGGAGGGGCCATCCACAGTCTTCTGGGTGGCAGTGATGGCATGGACTGTGGTCTGCAAAAGGAGTGAGGCCCTGCAGCGTACTCCCCACATCACCCCTCTACCTCCCTCCCCACCTTGAAAGGAAATTATGGGAAAGCCAGTCCCCAGAACCCCCAACCCCAGGGTTGCACGCAGCCCCGGCAGGGAGGAGCCAGTCTTGGATGAGAAAGGTGGGAGCCTCAGTCCCATTCCCCAGCTCTCATACCATGAGTCCTTCCACGATACCAAAGTTGTCATGGATGACCTTGGCCAGGGGTGCTAAGCAGTTGGTGGTGCAGGAGGCATTGCTGCAAAGAAAGAGGGAGCGGGGCGCAAGTCAGGGGAGCGTGTCCATAGGGTGCCAGGCTGGCCGCTTCTCCACGGGCCCTGCCTTCCTCACCTGATGATCTTGAGGCTGTTGTCATACTTCTCATGGTTCACACCCATGACGAACATGGGGGCATCAGCAGAGGGGGCAGAGATGATGACCCTTTTGGCTCCCCCCTGCAAATGAGCCTACAGCAGAGAAGCAGACAGTTATGAACCCGGGTCCTGCCTTTGCAGGGCTGAGTCAGCTTCCCCTCCCGCGGGCCCTCCTGCACTCACCCCAGCCTTCTCCATGGTGGTGAAGACGCCAGTGGACTCCACGACGTACTCAGCGCCAGCATCGCCCCACTTGATTTTGGAGGGATCTCGCCTATGGGGGTGGGGGGGAGATGGGGACAGGACCATATTGAGGGACACAAGGTTACCATATACCCAAGGGAGCCACACCATCCTAGTTGCCTCCCCAAAGCACATTTCTTCCATTCTGTCTTCCACTCACTCCTGGAAGATGGTGATGGGATTTCCATTGATGACAAGCTTCCCGTTCTCAGCCTTGACGGTGCCATGGAATTTGCCATGGGTGGAATCATATTGGAACATGTAAACCTGGGGGAATACGTGAGGGTATGAAGGGGCTGCCCATCAGCCAGGTGGCTCCTCCCACACCAGCTTTGGGGCTCACCATGTAGCACTCACCATGTAGTTGAGGTCAATGAAGGGGTCATTGATGGCAACAATATCCACTTTACCAGAGTTAAAAGCAGCCCTGGTGACCAGGCGCCCAATACGACCAAATCTAAGAGACAAGAGGCAAGAAGGCATGAGGAGGGGAGGCTCCTCCAGAATATGTGAGCAGCCCTAGGCCACCTCCCCATTAAGAGGGCGAATGCAGCATCTCCTTACCCCCAGGAGGGCCCAAGAGGTTGAATTTTATCTCCCTTGAGCTTCCCTGCCAGGCTGGCCTGGCTTAAGGCATGGCTGCAACTGAAGGCTCCAGGGCTGCCCAACACCCCCAGTCATACGAAGCCCTTCCAGGAGAAGCGGCCATGTGGGGCACTGCCACCCACAGTCTGGGCACAAGCTTTGTACATGGTATTCACCACCCCACTATGCCACCCCAGGAATGCTTGCTGCTGCCTAGCTCAGCTGCACCCTTTAGGGAGAAAACGCTTGTACACTCAGCATCATCAAACTCAAAGGGCAGGAGTAAAGGTCAGAAATTAACTGGACAGGGCAAGCCCACCCCTTCTCTAAGTCCCTCCTACAAAAGGGACAGAGACTGGGGCGGGTGGGAAGAGGGGAAGCTGTATTTTAACCCCCTAGTCCCAGGGCTTTGATTTGCCAAGTTGCCTGTCCTTCCTAGCTCTTTTCCAGAAATCAGGAGTGGGAGCACAGGTAAGTGCATGTGTGTGGGGAGAAGGGATGGGAGAGAGCCCCAGCCCAGGCCCCCAGCTACAGAAAGGTCAGCAGCTATATTTAACCTCAGACCAGGGTGCGGTGGGAGATCTGGTTTCCGGAAGACGGAATGGGGAGAAGGGCAGGTTCCCCGAGGCGCCCAGACACCCAATCCTCCCGGTGACATTTACAGCCTGGCCTTTGGGGTCGGGTCAACGCTAGGCTGGCAGGGGAAGGGCGGGGCCGTGAGGTGAGCCGGCGCTGCAGGAAGGGGCCACCACCAGAGGGGCCATTTTGCGGTGGAAATGTCCTTTTCCAACTACCCATGACTCAGCTTCTCCCGGCTTGGCACCATGCCACAGCCACCACACCTCTGCGGGGAGGGGACACAAGAGGACCTCCATAAACCCACTTCTTTGATTTACCAGAGAATAATCTAGGAAAAGCATCACCCGGAGGAGAAATCGGGCCAGCTAGCCTCGCTCCACCTGACTTCCCCGCCACACGCGACTCCACCCATCGAGGCAGGAGCGCAGGGTTAGTCACCGGCAGGCTTTCCTAACGGCTGCCCATTCATTTCCTTCCCGGTTGCAACATGGCGGCCGCTCTACCGCAGGCGCAGCATCCGGACAGGGATGCACCCGCTGCGCACTAGCATCCCGGGGCCTGCGGTGCCGGAGGCCGTGGGGGAGGGGCTCCTCTGCGACACGTGACCCCGCAGAGCGCGAAAGGAAAGAAAGCGTCCCCCACCTAGGGGTCCGGGTCGGGATCTCGGGCGGGAGTAGGGACCTCCTGTTTCTGGGGACTAGGGGAAGGAGGCTCCGGGCAGATGGCGCCGCAAGGGCGGAGCTGCACAGGGCGCCACAGCCTGGGTGCGGGGCTCCGCCAGGTCCGAGCGCTGACCTTGAGCTCTCCTTGCGGGGAACAGCTACCCTGCCCCCATACGACTGCAAAGACCCGGAGCCCGCAAGGCTCGTAGACGCGGTTCGGGGGCGGTCGCAGCCCAGGGCCCCCCAGCCACCCGCGAACTCACCCGTTGACTCCGACCTTCACCTTCCCCATGGTGTCTGAGCGATGTGGCTCGGCTGCGCGGAGGGAGAGAACAGTGAGCGCCTAGTGGCCCCGGCCGACACACACGCCTCCCCTCCCCTCCCCCACCAGGCCTCCATGCCCAGCCCGCGCCGCATCACGTCCTCCGCCCGCCCCTGCAATGCGGAGGCCGCCCGGGCCCACCCCGCAGCGGCGCGAACACATCCGGCCTGCGCCCGCCCCTGCCGCCTTCAGGCCGTCCCTAGCCTCCCGGGTTTCTCTCCGCCCGTCTTCACCTGGCGACGCAAAAGAAGATGCGGCTGACTGTCGAACAGGAGGAGCAGAGAGCGAAGCGGGAG
This sequence comes from Homo sapiens, assembly GCF_000001405.40. Taxonomy (NCBI): domain Eukaryota; kingdom Metazoa; phylum Chordata; class Mammalia; order Primates; family Hominidae; genus Homo; species Homo sapiens. The sequence goes on along the minus strand of NC_000012.12, from coordinate 6,534,506 downwards.
GCTGCGGGCTCAATTTATAGAAACCGGGGGCGCGGCGGCAGGCGGTGACTCGGACCCCGCCTCCCGCCAGGCTCAGCCAGTCCCAGCCCAAGGTCTTGAGGCCTGAGCTACGTGCGCCCGTAAAACCGCTAGTAGCCGGGCCCTACTTTCTCCCCGCTTTTTTTTTTCCGCAGCCGCCTGGTTCAACTGGGCACGCACCGAGCGTGTGGGCCCCGACGTAGGGGGGAAGGGACTGAGATTGGCCCGATGGGAGGTGATCGGTGCTGGTTCCCAGGACTGGACTGTGGGCAGCAGGACACTAGGGAGTCAAGGACGGGGACCCTTACACGCTTGGATGAAACAGGAGGACTTTGGGAACGACTGAGATGGGGAATTGGAGCCGGAGCCCAGCACCGCTCGCGGCTGCACGCGGCCTGCCCCCTCCCCTTTCTTTCTTTCAAAGGCTGAGAGGCGGGAAAGTTGGGGAACTTCTCCTCGAGGCTCTGCGGTAGTGACACCGGACTGCTCAGGCAAAGGCCTAGGAGGGGCCCATGGGCCTCGGGCGGGGGCCCGTGGTTCCTTCCCAGCCCCCACTTCCCCCTCCCCATCTCCTGGCTCCTGGCATCTCTGGGACCGAGGCCTGGGCTGGGCACTGGGCACTGGGCACTGGGGGCCTGGAGAGGAAGGAGGCTCGGGAGGCGGCTTGAGGGGGAGGGGGAGGTTTCTGCACGGAAGGTCACGATGTCCTGCAGCCCTGTAGCCTGGACCTGATAATTAGGGCAGACAATCCCGGCCCTGTGTGCACCAGCGGCTCTCTCCGGGCTGGGGCCCCAGGCGGAGGACAGGATGGCTGGTGGGGGCCCAGAGGCCTCCCACAAAGGCACTCCTGGAAACCTGTGGGCTGTGCTGCCTAGGGAGAGAGACAGTGTGCCTTTCATTCCATCCAGCCTGGGGCGAAGAGCGGGACGTGAGGGCGGAAGTCCCTCCCCGCCCTGGGACGTGCAGGCGAGCCAGGAGCCAGGGACTCCCTTTCACTGGCTGCGCCGGGGGATATTGAGGGCAGGGTGAGTCAAGAAGAGGGAAAAAGTGGGAAAAGAGGTCTTGGGCACACGGTGGGAACAGGTCCCCTGCCCCCTCCCACAGGGGATCCATTCTTCTGGTAGGAGGGCAGAGGGCCAGGTTTGTGAGTGTGGGATGGGAGGGTGCTGAACACTTGTAAGGAAGGGGGTGGGGTGGGGTGGCCTTGGCCCATCAGCAGGTGCATGGGAGGGGGATCCCGGGCCTCTTTGCTGGCCCAGCATAACCTGACACCAGCCCCCTGCCCTTCTAGCTAAAAGCCGGTTGCTAAGTTTAGCCTGCCTGGTGATAATCTTTGCTTAAAAAGCACCCACAGGACTCCAGTCCCTGACCCTGCCTTTCTGGGATTGCCTTTCCTGCTGGGACCCAGAGCCAGGCTGTGTCCTCGTCTGGCTGCCACTGGCATGGTTGGTGCGGGCTTTTCACAATGACCACCCAGAGCAGAGTAGCAAGAGCAAGGCAAGAAGGTCCCTAATGGTGAAAGGGGTGGGGTGGGGGAGTGGAGGAAGCCCCACCTCTGACTCAGCTATTCCTGCAACCAGGACCGTTAACCCTTTCTCATTGAGAGCATTAAGAGCACCTCCATGCTCCTGCACCACCCAAGCGTGATCTTCCCCTCTGCCTCATGCTTGTCATTTTTCATTACTGTCTTCTCCCCGCAAAGAGGGAGCTCAGTGCCCAGGGAGCACTACTGACGTAGTGTGCTGTTGTCATGACAGCAGAGGCACCAGTGTGGTCACGACAGCCAGCTCACAGCCTCCGGTTCGAAGGTGACTCAGCAGAGAAGACTTGAGGAGCTGGAGAGGGGTGCGCAGGCTTCAGGGGGCAGCCCGCCTGCAGCATAGCTCACGCCCTCTGCAGACCCGGGAACAATGAGGAATGCTGGGAGACAGGTCTTGTCTCCTGCAGAGCTGGAGGGGATCATGATCTGAACTTCCACGAGCCTGGGCCGGTCTGCTGCCAACCTTTGGAGATGGGATTAGGGAACACGAGTGGGGGTGGGGTGAGGCACACGGCAGAAAGCAACCCTTGGTCTAGAGCAGGTTTTCTCAACTGTGACGCTATTGACATTGTGGGCCGTGTGATTCTTTGTTGAGGGGCCATCCTGTGCACTGCAGGATGTTGAGCCACATCCCTGGCCTCTTCCCACAAATGCTGGTAGCATTCTTCCCCTATAGGCTATGACAACAAAACAGGCCCCAGGTGTTGTCAGATGTCCTCTGGCAGACAAAATTGCCCCCGGTTCAGAAGCACTGATCTGGAGCCTAGGCACTGCATAATTCTCCCCAGAGAGGCTGTCTGGTCACTGTGCAGGGTCCAGAGGTTGAGAGGGGAAAGGTGGCAGTGACGGGGCAGGAAGCTCATCTGCCATCCCGGGACAGGCCCTAGGACTCTGGGCTCACTCATCTCTCTCTGCACTGATAACCCTCTCTCTGCTGCATGAAACTGGGCTAATGTGAAAGATGAAACAAAGACAAGCTTAGGAAAAAATGTCTAAAAGTATATAAAAACATTTATTCATTAGAAAACAAGGAGATTGGCAAACATATATTCCAAAGTTGAAGCAGCTCAACGCAGTTCAGTTAGGCTAATTTAAGAGAAAGCCTTGCATTTTAAAGAGCGTGTAGGCATTTTTTTTTTAATTTGAGATGGAGGTTCGCTATTGTTGCCCAAGCTGGAGTGCAATGGTGTGATTTCGGCTCACTACAACCTCCGCCTCTGGGTTCAGGCGATTCTCCTGCCTCAGCCTCTTGAGTAGCTGGGATTACAGGCGCACGCCAATACGCCCGGCTAATTTTTTATTTTTAGTAGAGATGGGGTTTCTCCATGTTGGTCAGGCTGGTCTCGAACTCCCTACCTCAGGTTATCCACCCGCCTTGGTATCGCAAAGTGCTGGGATTACAGGCGTGAGCCACAGTGCCCGGCCTTTTTTTTTTTTAAAAAAAAGAGACAGACAAATATTTTACAAGGGAAACAGAATTCGAATTCCAGGTCACCCTACAGGATACCCTGCACAGGGAGGACAGGAACAGACTTCCTAGGATCTGTGCCTGCGAGCCGATGCTCTGAGAATGGGAGTTGTTTTCTTGGGTGTCTCGTCTTCTGTCATCTCTGCTGAAAGATCTATGCAAAGAATTAAAGGAATAAGAAAAAGCTGAGTCACAAAGATGGTGAAAAAATAGATATCAGAGAACAAGTGAGACAATCCCACACCGCACAGAAGAAATAAAATCCAAGCTGTACAGGAGAGGCCCTTCTGCGGCAGTGGGGCAGAGCATCTACACTCAGGCCCCCGCAGCAGGTCCTATGGAAACCAGCCCTCTGCACCCTAGCTGTGTGCCTTCTCGGCCGGGAACAGGCGGGAGCATCATACCTTCCTCACTGGACTCATCACTTGAGAAGACAACTTTGGGTTTCTTTTTGGAAGCTCGCTGCTGGGTGTTTGGATGCCGACGGGTAGTACGGCGGGGCTCTGGTGTGACAAAGTCATTGTCTGAGGCTGTAGAAGCCAGAGGCTGGTACCTAGAACCTAGAAAAGGCAGGAAAACGTGATTTAAAAAAGAAGAAGAAACAAATCACTGCAGGAGGGGAGGGCCCAGTCTGGTCTCGCCCGCACAGGCTGCCTTACGTACCAGTGGATGGTTTCTTGGCTGATGGCGCTCTCTGGCTACCTGCTTGGCCAATCTCAAGCTCCTTGATTCCATCCAAACCTCTGGTATGACAGGCCCGAAGCTTCTGCTCAAATTCATCTATTATAGCCTGGAGGGAGAAAAGGAGATTCAGAGCAGGCCTGAAAACAGTTACTTCTGATTAAAAAGAAACAAGGCCATGGAAGACATGGAGGCCTTAAACGCACATTACTAAGAAGCCAAGGTGAGAAGGCTCCATACCGGATCATTCCAATGATACATTCTGGAAAAGACAAAGTGATGGCAACAGTAAAAAGATCAGGGGTTGTGGGGAGAGAGGGATAAATAGGTGGAGTGCAGGGGATTTGTAAGGCAGTGAAACTCTTCTGTATGATACTGCAATGGTGGGTACATGTCATTACGTGCAGTGAACTCCAAGGTAAACCATGACTTTAGGAGATGATGTGTAAGTGTAGGTTCAGCTGTAACAAATGTGCCACCCTGGTGCAGGATGTTGAAGGTGGGGAAGGCTGTGATGTGTAGGGGCAAGGGGTAGAAGGGAACTCCCTGTACTTTCTGCTCAATTTTGCTTTGAACCTAAAACTGCTCTGAAAAATAAAAACTATTAAAAACAAACAAACAAGAATTGGATGAGATGCTGCTTTGGTTGTGTTTTTGGAGTAATAAAAAAAGAACTGGAGACAAAGATCTGGTCTTAGGTCACTCTGGCAATTTGGTTGCAACCCAGCTGGGGATAAGGAGGACGGGAAGGTGACTGCAAGAGCCGTATGCTGCCCAGGGCCGGCAGATGTCTTAGCCAGCCCAGAACCCAACAGGCATTGAAGTGTCCTGTGCTGCTCACCTTGCCCTCAGGCTTGGCCCCACGTCGCAGCTTGCCTACAACTGACAAAAAAGCACTGAAGATGGACTCATCTGACAGTTTGTCTCCAAAACAGTCAAAATTGTCAAGCATCTTACGGAGGCCTCGCTCTGTGAGGGGCAGCTGTGACACACAGTAGGCCAGGTCTCGCTGCTGCCGCTCAGTTCTGCAGATAGGAAGGGCTTTGTGAGGAACTGGGAGATCCAGCTAGTAAAGGCTCAACCTTCCCCATCAGCCTCCCCAGTCCCAGGGATGCCACAGTGGGGGCATTGAAGGGGTGAGGGATGGGCCTTTCTCCCCTGCAGGGCCCCGCTCAGCACAAAGAACCCTCAGGGAGGGCAGCATACCGGGATGTGCGGAACCGCTGACACAGCTTTTCCACCAGGCTCTCTGTCTGCTTGTCCTTGGTGATGTAGGAGAGGAGCTGTCTGCAGGAAGGGGAGATGAGGATGTTCGATGGCCCAGGGCCAGCTCTGCCATCCACTAAGACCAACCCTGGACCCTCCCCCAGCACTCGTCTTCTCTGATGTTCTCTGCCACGGCCCCTGTCTGCCTCACCACTCCCCTTGCCCTGTCCCATTCAGCAGAGAGGGACCCCACCCCGCCCCCGGCTCAGGAATTTTCACTGTGAATGGAAATTAACAGGAGCAGCTGCTAGGGAGTGAGTGCTACTGTATGTCTGCCACCATGTTAGGAACTTTATCGTATTTAATATTTTCAAGAACTAAGGGTTAAGTATCATCAGCCTCAAAAGAAGAGGAAATAGGCACAAAGAGAGGCTAAGTTATTGCCGAAGGCTGTACAGCTAAAGAGTAGCCGAGGTGGAATTCAAATACAGGTGTGTCTGATTCCTAAGCCCGTGCTATGTGGAAAATGTGCCCCAGGGCCCGGGGAGCAATACTTCATGATGGTGTGGAAAGGCTCTTCCTCCACCCCCAGCTCGGGGTCTGACAGGCGGCTGATGATATCTGGAAGGAGATTATAGATTGCGTTGCCCTGTAAGACAGAGAGAGCCATGTTAAGGAGATGAGGTGACCTACAGATTCCCTCTGCAGCCAGCCCTCAGTGCCTCTCTGCCTCTCACCTTGTGGGAGAGCTCATTGAAGAAGTTCTTGGCCAGGGCAGCAATCTGAGGCTCGGGGTCGATGAGCAGCACCGCCATCTCGCTGACCTGCCCCTTCACCTTCACCATGTCCTTGAGGATCAGGTGGGTCATCACCAGCCCCGCTGTTTTCCGCACTTGCTGAGCAGGGTCCCGGAGACTAGGAATGGAATTGCGGGTCATGGGGACCGAGACCTCCGGGCTACACCCTAACACTGGTAGAAAAGGCCCTCAGCAGGAATCAATTATCCCATGCTCTGCCACTCCAGAAGCAGTCAGAAAGCTGTCTAGAGTTGAAAGCTGGAGTGGGGGAAAGAGGTGAAGCTTCTAACCAGAAGTGTCAGTCCCACTGGGGTGACTCTTAGCCAGGGGCCTGTACAGGTCAAGTATCAAGCAGATGTTCGCGGTGATGCCAAAGCCTAGGGGAAGAGCCCTGGTGATTCTCACACTGACTCTCAACAGACTCCGGGGCTCCTGGGAACTGCCACCACGTTGTGAGGGGTCTCTTACCGAGCATACAGATGAGGAGTCCAGGGGTCCACCAGATTGGGAAAGCGGATGGCCAGATCCCCAGTGGCAACCATGAGGTTAGACCGGACAATGGGAAGTGGAGACTTTTCCAGCATGGTGAACAGAAGACGAAGCTGGGAGTCGCAGAAAGTGGCACTAAGAGCAAGAAGAGGATCATTAGGGAAGCCATTTCATCCCCATCTTCCTTGAGAAGGGGGTACCAACCCCACGGCCTACCTGATCATGCAGAACTTGCCAAGGGCAAGTGAAGCAGCTGCAGAGAGGTCTGGGTTGCTATAGAGGCCTGGGTTGTTACAGACTTTAAGCAAGAGTGGAACAAAGGCAGCCAGTGTCTGTTTGCCTGTTGGAAGAGTAACTGCAGGTTTGGGACAGGTTATCTTAATTGGGAAGAAACTGCTGAGTGCAGCCATTTTTCTTACCATCCAACAGTTCCATCTCGCAGATGCCACGGATTAGTTCTGCCTCTGTGTCATCTGCTGTTGCCCCAACCAGCCCCAGCTCCTCCTCCATGGTGGTCTCAGAGCTCGTATTCTAAAGGGAATGAAATTGGGGATCATGGATAAGCAGAGACAACATTTTTGATTCCAGCCCATACTTTGTTTTGCATGAACAAAGTGAGGAAGGGCAAATTCTACAAAAACATTTAGAGAATTGTCAAATGTGTCTGTAAAGAGAAAGGATTCCTGAATTAAGCAGGGGAACAATGAGGTCCCCATTTGTTTTAAGTTGCCAAAGCGTGTTTCTGCACCTCTTCCTCATGGAAGACATCGTTTCCTATATATGGTAAACAGATGGATCACGCCAGACAATGGTTCAAAGTCACAGAGGTCAGACTTTTCTCCAGCGCTGCAAGGCTCTGTGTCTTATTTGTCTGCAAGACATCATTGCCTCTAGTGGAGGGAACACAGGGCCCCATCCGGGGCCAGGCCAGCAATGGAAGCTGATGGAAAAGGCCGGCGGGTACGTGCGTGTTCTAACAAACCCTGCCTCAGACACAAAGCCTCTGTTTTATGCTGAGGTCTCTAACTCCACACTCTGCATTTACCTAAATCTTTCCTTCCTGGGTGATCACTGACAGTTTCGTCATTGTTCACACGAACCTTTCCTACGGTAGTAGCCACAGAGAGGCAGAAACTCTTCGCTTCATGTAATAGCAGAGGAGCAGAGATTGCCGGAAGGGGATCAGCTCAGTTCTGAGCTGAGGTATGAAATAAATCTGGGAAGTGCTGAGGACATTCACACACCTTCTCCTTGGGATCTTTGGTCTTGTGCTCCTGTTCTTCCCGGAGAACTCGGCGCCGGCAGAGCTCTCCACTCACTGCCTGCTCCAAGTGGACCAGCTGCTGCAGAGCCACATCCCCAGCCAGGGACAGCAGGTTCATCAACAGGAAAGTGGGGAGCATTGCGGGGGACTCCTCTGGAGGAGAGGGAGAGGGAAGGTGGGGCAAAGAGACATTTTTAAGTCCCATCAAACCTGAATCCGATTTTTACTGATCTTCCCCTTGCTCACGTGCTATTCAAACTAGTGAAGTAGTAAGAGTTGGGGGTGGGAACTGGCCCAACTTCAACTTAGACAAAAACGACACAGTGTACACTAAGGGTTGTTGCAGATAGTGGTGGTGGCAGTGGCTCCTGGCCCTGCAGGGAGAACAGAAGCTGGCTGCCGCAGTGGGTCAACCCCTGCCCACTTACTCGGGTCCTCCTGACTGGTTCTCTTCTCTTCTAGCTTCTCCAGGGCCTGTTTTGCACAGCCCTGCAATATCTGGGCACAGATCACTTCGGGGCCCTCTGCCAGTTGGTAAATGAGGGTCACTGCCACCTCTTTGAATGGGATCCAGAGTGGGTCTGGGTGGACAAAGCCTGCAGAGGAGGAGGGAGAAGTTGTTTACTGCAACAAAGGGCCCAATTCTGCCCAAGGCCTTCCCTGAGAGCTCACCTTTTGTGACTGTCTCCCGCAGTCGCTCAAACAACCTGTGTTCCTGAGGCAGCCGGAAGGGGGGGTGACGTTTGCCCAGAGAAGGCTGTGGAGAGCAAGACAACGTGGGTGTGTGTACAGGGTGGACACGAGAATCTCCACTCTCCTTAGTTTGGAACCACCCCCACATACCTTTCTCCTGTCCGAGATGTTGGCAATGGCATGGCACACCTGCTGGGCCAGCCTGTAGTCCTGTGGAAACTTCTCATCCAGCCCTATGCTCACCAGTGTGTCTAAATTGCTTCCCACAATTTCTGGCTTTCCTCTAGGGGAAGGAAGCCACAGAGTTAAAGGCAGTCATGGATTGGACTCATCGGGGGAGAAAGGGCCAATAGGGGTAGGTACCAGCACCTCATGTGGTGTCTAGAGCCGTGGAGCACTATAGCGTGGCTCTGCCGCAGGGCCAGCCTCTTGGGTCCTGTTGCTTTACTGAATCCCACTACTACTAGGCAGGAGGGCTGGTCCTCTCACTATTTGCTTTTCCATTTAGGTGGCGTTATAACTCACAGCAGAGCTCAGTTGGGCCTCACTGTGACAATGTCACTGAAGGAAAAGGAGCCCTCTCAGAACCTTCCTTTGCTCTCCCACCCCATTGCCTGCTAGATTTGAGCCTCACCGTGCCATCATGCCAAGAAGCATGACAGAGGAACAGCGCTCCAGAGGACAGCAGGCGACCTTCTCGGTGGCCCGCTCCCACAGCAGCTGGGTCACTGCTGGTTTCAACTCATCCTTCTGCACAAACTCACAGAGCTAAAGAGAAAAGAAAAAGGGCTCAAGCCAAAAATGAACAATTCCTTGATCTTTGGTCTGCTTTTCTGAAGATGATATTGCGAACCTGAAGTAGACAAAAGTAATACTTAGGAAGAGAAAAAGAAAAGAGGAGGTTCAAAATGTACAGCAGGGTCTTGAGAGGCTTTCCATTCTCTACTTTTCTACTCTCATGCCTTCAAAACTATTTTATTCAAGTGACATATCGAAACTGACCTTTTGAGTTCCACGTGGGTCCATAGTTCTAAGTCTGGAGATTTCTAACAGGTTTTCTTGCCGTTACCACAAACTCAACATGTCCAACATGGAAGCCATCATCCTTCCTTGCCTTTTCATTTTGCCAGTGGTATCAACACTCTATCAGTAATATGTGCTTAAAATTTCGGTCATCTAATTTTTTTACAAATCAGTCACTATTTTTCCTTTAAAAATTTGTCTTCCATTAAGCCCATTCTGCAGTGATTTCTCCAATCCTCAAGTCCAGCCCCTCGTTACTGCCCACTGCAGCAGCCTCCACGGGCCTTCCTTCCCATGGGTTGGTCTCCTCAGCCTCTGCTTCCCCACGTCCCTTCTGTTGCACCCCAGTTTGCAGGTGCTCTCCCCTGCCTCTTGTAGGGCTTTTGCCGGTAACTGACCTATGACATCATGGCCAATCACCACCACCAGGCTCTTTTCTTTTCCCCAGTGAGGAGAAAAATGTGGCTGGCAGGAGCACGCTTCCCAGCGCCACCTCCACTCTCTGTGCCCGCAATGCAAATGCTACAAAGCAGAATGTCTCACTAAAATGCTGGGTGCCTGGCTAACACAGTTAAAGTCCTAGACTCCTGAAGTCATTCAGGGACTTCCACAGTTTAGTTCCAACCTACATTCACAACTTTATTATCTTTTCCAGATTTTTTTTTTTTTTTTTTTTTTTGAGACAGAGTCTCCCTCTGTCGCCCAGGCTGGAGTGCAGTGGCGCAATCTCGGCTCACTGCTACCTCCACCTCCTGGGTTCAAGCAACTGTCCTGCCTCAGCCTCCCAAGTAGCTGGGACTACAGGTGCCCACCACCACACCTGGCTAATTTTTTTGTATTTTTAGTAAAGGTGGGGTTTCGCCATGTTGACCAGGCTGGTCTCGAACTCCTGACCTCAGACCTCAGGTAATCTGCTGCCTTGGCCTCCCAAAGTGCTGGGATTACAGACGTGAGCCATCGCGCCTGGTCTTTTCCAGATAATTTGAACCAGAACACAGTCTTCTTTGTTCTACAATGTGAACTGTGCTCTTTCTTGGGTTCTGTTTGAAATGCCCTCCCTCCTTGCTCTGATTCTCTAAATCCTACTCATCTTTCAAGACCCAGCTTAAGTCCTACCACCTTCAGGAAGCTTCCTTGACCATTCTACCCCAAACCGCTCTCTTTCCTACTCTGTATCCCTCAGTAGAACACAGAAGTTAAGAGTATGTTTTCTAGAGCTCTTATTGCCTGAGTTTGAATCTCAAACTTTGCCACTAACTAGCTGTAACCAGCCAAGTTCAGTAACTTCTCTGTGCCTCAGATTTCTCATTGTAAAATGCAGATAATGCTACCTCACAGGGCTGTCGTGAGGATTAAACAAGTTACTGTGAGTAACGTGTGAGTGCCTGTCATATATTCAATACCATATAAGTGAGGTTGTTATTATTGCTATGACAACCATTACCCGTACAACTCATTCTGGCACTTTATTATCTACCTGCTGCATTGTTCTAAAAATGTTCTGTGGTTTTTCACTACCAACTAGACTGTTGGTTCCTTTAAAGTTGGGAACATGAAAGCAAATAGTCTTATACTTCTTTCTGGAGCTAAGTAAATTGCTAAATACATAGTAATAACTCAATAATACTTGTTGCCGGGCGCTTTGGCTCACGCCTGTAATCCCAGCACTCTGGGAGGTTGAGGCGGGTGGATCACGAGGTCAAGGGTTCGAGACCAGCTCGGCCAACATGGTGAAACCCCGTCTCTACTAAAGATACAAAAAACTAGTCGGGCATGGTGGCACATGCATGTAATTCCAGTTACTCGGGAGGCTGAGGCAGGAGAATTGCTTGAACCTGGGAGGCGGAGGTTGCAGTGAGCCAAGATTGTGCCATTGCACTCCAGCCTGGGCAATGGGGCATGACTCCGTCTCAAAAAAAAAAAAAAAAACAACCAAAATACTTGTTGAATGAATAAAGAAAGAGAAAGCAGGAAGCCTTACAATTTCCTCAAGACACTGAATGGTCCCAACCGAGGCATCCACTAGCAGCAGAGAGAGATTCTGAATCAAAGCCTGGGCCTTGGCTCTGTGGGAACAGCAGAGATCAGCGGTCACTATAAGATTGGGAAGCTGAACTTGGCAAACAGTGATTAGGGCTATCCCACCACAGTGCTACAAAACTGCTCTCCCTGGAAACCGAGCCCCACCCTAAGCCCCACTATGATGGACTGCCTATGGATCTGGAACTCCCCTGGAGAAATGCACCTCTTCCTTTAGGAGACAAGGGAAGTCCTGTGAGAAGCTGACCTTGGAAAAGTCAGCAAAGGCAAAAGCACCCCATATACCTGGCAGAGTCCCCTTTGGGGTTGAGGTAGAGTTGGCGGTAGGCATTAAGCACGGCTTCCCGGACACCAGGCTCCTTAGACCAGATGAGAGGCAGCATACGGCGCACCCCAAACAGGGCCTGGGGTACCCCAAATTGGAAGACCATCACAAAGAATTCAATCACCTCCTGCACCACTGAGAGAACATGTACAAATGTCACCTATCTACTTCACAAAACTCCCCCAATACCTAACGACAGAACCTTTCTGAATGTAGCAAGATGCAAATGGAGGCCTTCCGCATTTTCCCTGAGAATGTCGACTCCTCCTATGATGCCTTATCATGAAATACTATATGCATTAAAATGTATAAGCTGTAAGTGGCTAGAGGAAGCAAACAGAAAAAAAGAACCCCTGCCTTTTTTTTTTCTTTTCTTAAGACACAGGTTCTTATTCTGTTGCTCCGGCTAGAGTGCAGTGGCATGACCACAGCTCACTGTAGCCTCAAACTCCCGGGCTCAAGCAATCCTCCTGCCCAGCCTTCCGAGTAGCTGGAACTACAGGTGCGTGCCATCACGCCCAGTTAGTTTTTGTTTCTTTGTAGAGATGGGGTCTTGCTATGTTGCCCAGGCTGCTCTCGAACTCCTGGCCTCAACCTGTCTTCCTGCTTTGGCCTCCCAGTTTTGTAGGGATTACAGGCATGAGCCATCGCGCCCAGCCGAGAACCCCTGCCTTTTAAAGGAGCAGATAGATATATCAATAAAATATGGAAAAGAACTCCAAGATCCATGGCCGGGTGCAGTGGCTCACACCTGTAATACCAGCACTTTGGGAGGCTGACGCAGAAGAATTGCCTGAGCCCAGGAGTTGGAGACCAGCCTGAGCAACAAAGGAAGGCCCCATCTCTATTGTTAATAAAAATTTAAAAAATTAAAAAATCCAAAAGAACCCCAAGGCTGTCCTTATAGAAAGGGACTCTGGCATACCTGTAGTTGTGTTTTCATACATCATCTTGCTGATGATGCCAATGGCCTCTGTAATCTTCCGGGAGAAGCTGTAGGCATCCTGCAGATACTGTACCAGCATCTCCTGCTTCACTAGTTCATCATTTCCCCTGGATTCCTCAGGATCCGACATATTGGGTTTATTTTTACAGACAGTCTGTCCTGTGACCATGTTTCCTGTAGACTCCCGGGGATTCTTTTCTTGTGTGGAAGCTGCTGGGCCTAAGGAGTTAGAGAAGTACAGGATGGTTTCGTTCAAGGGGATACAGGGGAATCCAACAGCTGTCAACATTCCTGGATATTTACTTATTTATTTTCCTTCTTCTTTTCTTTTGAGATGGGGTCTCACTCTGTTGCCTAGGCTGTGCAGTGGCAATGATCACCGCTCACTGCAGCCTCAACTTCCCCGGGCTAAGGTGATTCTCTCACTTCAGCTCCTGAGCAGTTGGGACTACAGGTGCGTGCCACCGCACCTGGCTAATTTTTTTTTGGTATCCCTTGTAGAGATGGGGGTTTCGTCATGTTGCTCAGGCTGATTTTCAACTCCTGGGCTCAAGCAATCCTCCTGCCTTGGCCTCCCAAAGTGTTAGGATTACAGGCATAAGCCACGACATCTGGCCCTGGATATCTCTTTTCACAATGTGAAGATATGAAATTAAAACTTACTCTAAAATATCTAAATTTCTCAAAAACCATACCTAAAGACCGCTATGGTCTGGACAGTCACCCTGTGACTATCAATCTTAGGCCCGTGGGCTGCTTCCATTCCAGAGCAAAAGTAATGCCAATTCATCTCTGGGCTCTTCAGCACCAGGTTCTGTTAACCAGGCCAATGATGGCATAAAGTTAATGCTCAGTAAATACCAGTTGACATGTGTTATTTATTGACTGAAGAAGGAAAATGATTACCTTTGAAGATAAGTCCTAAGATATTCAAGAGCCTGGTCTCCTCTGACTCCTCTGGGTCTATATGACTGAAGGGTTCGGACTCCTGGAAGTGGCCTGTGGCTTCTCGAGTGAGAATGATGGCCTTTCTGAAAGAACACCAGCCTGTCAGTACCCAGAAGAATGTCACTGCAGCCGTTTGTAAGGGAGCTTACCTCATGATTCTATCAAGTCCCTGGACCTACTGCCCAGAGAAAAGGAGCACTTAACATGCTTAAAAAGTTGTTACAGCACCTACTAAGGGGTAGGGCTCAAAACACTTTGCCTATTTTTTTCCCCTGACTGCTCATCTGCAAACACTTTTCCTATTTCTGAACCTACAAGGCATTACTACAGTCTTCAAAAAAACTCCAATAAGGCTTTTTAAAGTTTTAAAATCATAAACCTACTCCAAACACCTGTTTAAAAACTTTCCTAAGTTTAGAAACAATAAACTTTCAATAATTAGTTAATTCAGGCACATCCAGACAATAAGATTCTATGTAGTCATAAAAAATAATGGGGACACGTGAGCCCAGGAATTTGAGATCAGTCTGGGCAACACAGGGAGACCCAACTATACAAAAAGTAAAAAAAGTTAGCCGGGTGTGATGGTGTGTGCCTGTGGGTGTGATGGTGTATGCCTGTGGGTGTGATGGTGTGTGCCTGTGGGTGTGATGGTGTGTGCCTGTGGGTGTAATGGTGTGTGCCTGTGGTCTCAGCTACTCGAGGGAGCTGAGGTGGGAGGATCACTTGAGCCTGGGAGATCAAAGCTGCAGTGAGTTGTGATCATACCACTGTACTCCAGCATGGGCAAAAGAGTGAGACACTCTCTCTCTCAAAAAAAGAGGAGAGTGGGAAACTATTTATGTATAAATATATATGTGTATATATATATATATATTTTTTTTTTTAGAGACAGAGTCTTGTTCTGTCACCCAGGCTGAAGTGTAGTGGCATGATCTTGGCTCACTATAACCTCTGCTTCCTAGGTTTGAGTGATTCTCATGCCTCAGCTCCCCAAATAGCTAGGATTACAGGTACGTGCCACCATACCTGGCCAATTTTTGTAATTTTAGCAGAGATGGGTTTCGCCATTTCGCCACGTTGGCCAGGCTGGCCTCAAACTCCTGGCCTCAAGAGATCCACCAGCTTTGGGCTCCCAAGGTGCTGGGATTACAGGTGTGAGCCACTGCACCTGGCCATCTATAAATTTTTTTTTTTTTTTGAGATGGACTCTTCCTCTGTCACCCAGGGTAGAGTGTAGCGGAGCAATCTCAGCTCACTGCAACCTCTGCTTCCTGGGTTCAAGCAATTCTCCTGCCTCAGCCTCCCAAGTAGCTGGGATTACAGGCATGAGCCATTGCACCCAGCCATAAATATTTTTAAAAACCACTGAGACACATAGTTAAGTGAAAAAAACAAGATGGTAGATCAGTGGGCAGAGAATTCTATCAGTCATATAAAAGGGGGAAAAAAAGAATACATGTTTGACTGCTTGTCTACATGTTATCTTCTTGCCACGTTGCCCAGGCTGGCAAAGGCCAGGCCTGGTGGTGTGTACCTGTAATCCCAGCTACAAATTATAAATAAATTAACCAGGCTACTCAGGAGGCTAATGTGGGAGATCGCTTGAGCCCAGCAGGGTTGAGGCTACAGTGAGAGGCTGCAGTGAGCTGTGATTGCGCTACTGTACTCCAGCCTGGGCAACAGTGAGATTCTGTCTCAAAAACAAACAATCCTTTTCTAATTGACAGGAGAAAATACTAGAATGCTTGGTGGAACATGCACTTATAAAACTATAGTCTCTATTTTTGCTTTAGCAAAATAAAAAGAGAGACACTAAAGTAACATAAGGGAGTCATAGGGCAAACAAGCCACTCTCTAGCCTTCTAAAAACAGCCCAAGCCGGGCACGGTGGCTCAAGCCTGTAATCCCAGCACTTTGGGAGGCCGAGGCAGGCGGATCACGAGGTCAGGAGATTGAGACCATCCTGGCTAACACGGTGAAACCCCGTCTCTACTAAAAATATAAAAAAAAAAATTAGCCGGGCGTGGTGGCGGGCGCCTGTAGTCCCAGCTACTCGGGAGGCTGAGGCAGGAGAATGGCGTGAACCCAGGAGGTGGAGGTTGCAGTGAGCCAAGATCGCACCACTGCACTCCAGCCTGGGCAACAGAGCAAGACTCCGTCTCCAAAAAAAAAATTCAGCCCAATTAGGTAAGAAGTAAATAAATAACAAATAACTTGTGGCTGAGGTTTAAGAATACTTGTTGGCAGCCGAGTGCGGTGGCTCACGCCTGTAATCATGGCACTTTGGGAGGCTGAGATGGGTGGATCACCTGAGGTCAGGAGTTCAAGACCAGCCTGGCCAATATGGTGAAACCCTGTCTCTACTAAAAATAAAAAAATTAGTGCGGTGTGGTGGTGCGCGCCTGTGGTCCCAGCTACTTGGGAGGCTGAGGCACGAGAATTGCTTGAACCTGGGAGGCAGAGGTTGCAGTGAGCCAAGATCGTGTCACTGTACTGCAGCCTGGGCAACAGAGTGAGTGAGACTCCATCTCAAAAAAAAAAAAAAAAAAAAAAAAAAAAAACTTGTTGACGGCTGTAAGGGCTTTTGTTGTTAAGTTCTAGAGTCACAAAAACACTAGGAGAAATCTTTTCTCTAAGATCAGGATTCATACTAGGTTTGAAGATTAAGGTAGTATTAAGCATGTTTGATATTATTAGTTCATGAAATTTAGAATTAGAAAGTCCTTAGAGATCATAAGATCTAATCAATTTCTTATTTTATAGATAATGAAACCGAGGCACAGAAAGTTAAGCAACTTATTCAAGATCATACAACTAGAACTTATTTATAGGTGCTCTTCTTCAATTGAAGGAGGACTCATGTTTGATTATAATACTGTTAACATTTAATTGTTTCAGTAGTTTTTTTAAACATTTATAAAGTAGAAACACATGCTTAATTGTGGACTAGGCCTATGGTCAGACCATTACTACATGAAAACATCTACCATCACCTGGTGGCAGCATATCTGTGTGCAGTTAATTTAAAAGACACATTATGTAAGTTTCTCAAAGGTTAACTCTAAACATAAACAGATCACGAAGAATATCCCATTCTTTTGCCTACTTGTAACTAGCTTTGGCAAGCAGTTGATAGATGCGTCCTTTCACATCTTCAGTTGTCTCTGTATTGGCAATTTGCTCAGGAATCTCCTCCTCTCCCTGGGGAAGCTGTAGAAGCTGCTGCAGGGTAGACTTCAACTCTGGCAGCATGGCTTCCCACTCCTCCTCTGGGTCCAGCACTGCAGCTAAATGAGAGTGTCACTTAGTCTCTTTCACTAGAGTTTCTGACTGCAAGGAGAAGCCTGTCTGGCATTAGGACTCCAAGGCAGTAACTACTTACAAGCTGCTGCAGTTCGCCTCTGGGCCCTCATCTCTTGTAATTTCTGGGTCTCCTTCTGCAGTGGTCCGGCAAGGTCAGCATCACTAAGCTATCAGGTAAAATGAATAGCAGGGTCAGTAAATGACATAATTTCATCCCTGTTTCCATTTAATTCCTTCTCTTTTGGTGGACCAAGTCTACTTACCTTGCAGGAGAAAGGATTATTGGCTAGAAAACTGGCCAGCAGCTGGATGGCATTTTTACATACTAGCACTGACTTGTCTGCCAGACGTCCCACAGCTAAAGCCACCACTGCCTGGAAACGTGTCAGGGGGAGAGCCTGTGTAGGGTAGGAAGAGAAGAATCTGCTCAAGTCCCACATCATCCATTTTGTTCAAGATGATCTTTAAGTATACTCTAAACTGAGCTACCCACTCACTCTAAAAACCCTTTCTACAGAATATAGATTAGGAGTACTCCTTGTAGTGGTAAGACACATTACAGTCCTTAAAGGGAGCCAGATATCCTCGTCCTTGGTAGAGGAAGACTTTTACTACTGATAATAAAAATGTGAATTCTAGACCTCTTTGGGGCAGATATTTATCTTCAACACTGGATTCCTCTTTACACTGGTATATGGAGAGGTACCATATGTTTTTGCCACATAGAAGTTGGTTACCTTCTGCTGGACAATTCGGGTGAAGAGCTGCAAAACACGGCTCCGCACAAAGGAGTTGACATCATGGCCATGGGCTTGTAAAGTATCCAAGAACTGGTCTCTGGTGTCTCGGGCTGCTGCTTCCAGTTGATCGCCACTGAGAACCTGCAGCACCATCTCCGCCATGGCTGCCAGCACAGCATTACGCATCATGTAATTCTAAGAGAGAGAAGCATAGAGGGGTCAAACCTTTAGTCAAGGCGAAGCTTGCTTGTGCTTGGCCATAACTTTTTCCATTAACTGCCTAGGTATTCACTCCCAAGGTCACAGGAGAAAGCTGAATCCCAAAGAGGACTTGTTGCTCAGAGAATGCTAGAACAAGGGCCAAAACCAATTTTTCCTCATAGGGCTCACACAGGAAAGCATGGTAGTAGCTGAATAAAAAAATCACATCCACTCACCAACACACATTTGAAAAGCATTTATTAACTACCCTTCAGCTGAGGTCTCAAAGCCTTTGTTATTGTGGTTGTTTGTTTGTTTTTGAGACGGAGTCTTGCTCTGTTGCCCAGGCTGGAGTGCTGTGGCGCCATCTCGGCTCACTGCAACCTCTGACTCCCGGGTTCAAGTGATTCTCCTGCCTCAGCCTCCCAAGCAGCTGGGATTACAGGTGCCCGCCACCACACCCAGCTAATTTTTGTATTTTTAGTAGAGACAGGATTTCACCATATTGGCCAGGCTGGTCTCAAACTCCTGACCTCGTGATCCACCCTCCTCGGCCTCCCAAAGTGCTGAGATTATAGGCGTGAGCCACCGCGCCCGTCTGTGTGGTTTTTTTTGGTTTTTTTTTTGAGACAGAGTCTCGTTTTGTCACCCAGGTTGGAGTGCAGTGGTGCGATCTCGGCTCACTGTAACCTCCATTTCCCAGGTTCAAGCAACCCTCCCACTTCAGCCTCCCGAGTAGCTAGGATTACAGGTGCGCGCCACCACACCCAGCTAATTTTTTTTTGTATTTTTAGTAGAGATGGGATTTCACCATGTTGGCCAGGCTAGTCTTAAACTCTTGACCTCAAGTGATCCACTCACCTCAGCCTCCCAAAGTGCTGGGATTACAGGCGTGAGCCACCACACCTGGCCTCAAAGTCTTTAATCCTTACTAATAAATATCCCCTCCTTTCCCTCCCACTCTCCTTCAGATGCTTTACTGACAGAAAATGAGACAGAAACATGGAAATCAGCCTTAAGAGTGCCAGCAAGTCCAATACATAATCTAGTGGAGAGCAGGGTTAAGGTTTTGCCAGGCTAAGAACCAGAGAATAGGGTCTTGCACAAAAAGTTAAAGTAAATGAGATGAACAAGTGGACTGTCTTTGTCCTTGACATTCACCTAGGAGTGCCCAACATCAGTATGGGAATCAGCCAGGTTAGCATTCAGGCATAAAAGAGAATTGAGAGAGATGACATGGGTTGATTTGAGAAAGTTCATTGTTTGAGGAAGCAAGGCAAGCCAGCTGGTGGGAAGACGCTTTATCCTGAGGAACAGATGGGACTCAGAATCAAAGCTGAAGGCTAAGCATGGTAGCGCCTGCAATCCCAGCACTTTGGGAGGCTGAGGCAGGAGGGTTGCTTGAGACCAGGAGTTTGAGACTAGCCTGGGCAATATGGCAAGACCCCACCTCTACAAAAACTAAAAAAATTAGCCAGGCATGGTAGTATGTGCCTGAAGTCCCAGCTACTTGGGAGGCTGAGGTGGGAGGATTGCTTGAGCCCAGGAGATCGAGGCTGCAATGAGCTATGATCATGCTCCAGCATGGGTGACAGAGCCAGATCCTACCTCCAAGAAAAAAAAAAAATCAAAGCTGAGTTGCTCTTACTAGACTTAAGCTGCAGAAATGTCATCTCCCTTACCAGAACTGGATAAAAGCAATGTGAATTGAAAGATTAACAGATTAATAAAGAGCTCCTTATTCAACAAACTTGACCTGCTTCTCTACAGAAAGGAAATGTCACAATGATAAATCTAGACAACTTGTCAAAGCTACTTTCTTGTTCTGTTAAGAAACAGCCTTTCAACACTGGACTTAAAATCCCCAGAAAAAGCTCAGTGACCCCTAGTGGACCACCTACTTCTCCATCCAGGTGATCTAGCAAAATGCACATGCTGGACATCAGGATAGCTGGGACACGTTCTGCTAGTTCTGTCAGGAATGCTGCAAAGCCCTTTGTCCCTGAAGGGTCTCGACTCAGCTCTTGGGGACACTTTTGTCCAATCTCTCTACACAGGGAAGAAAACACAGCCATAGCAACATAGATCAATTATTCAGTTCCCAGTAAGGGAAGGTAAGACAGGTATCTAATATCTGAAGGAATCTACTGTTGCACAGATAATGTATTTCCAATCTTTCTTTATTCCCTCCCCAAGGAAAATAAGCATGAGAAACTTCGAGAAGGAAGAGTCACCTTACAATCTCTCCCACTATGCTCTTCATTCCATAGTCAGTTGCCCATAGACTCACGGCTGCAACCAGTACAGGTGCCAGGTGTTCAAAGTGCTGCAGCATCTGGATGATCTTCACTGTAGCACCTGTGGAAGCATTAAACATGAGAAATTATGGGCAATACAAAAAAGGCGGGGCAAAGCGACTGGTAACTTACTGAGCATATGGTTATAACGGGTCAAGGCTACACCAAGCAGGTGTGTTATGGCTTCCCGAGTGGGGCGGTTCTTCTGGTGATTAATGGTGGGATTCTCCAGAAGGCGGTAGCAACAGCCAGTAACCAAACTGAGAAAGGAAGAGTTTGAGATGATGAAAGCAGCTGTCTGAATCCAATTGTATCAGAGCCCTGCCTCATTCATTCTATCCCTACTGCTCCCAAAGTCAGGGTTTTCTTTATTCTAGCCATTACTTTCTATAACAAGTTGCTTTGCTTTGCTGACCCCAGTTAGGTACTCCTTCCTTCAAGATTACCAACTTTCAACCAGTTGTGATGCTGACAAAGAACCTAAATATATCATAAAAATATGATAGAGTTGGCCGGGTGTGGTGGCTCATGCCTGTAATCCCAGCACTTTGGGAGGCCGAGGCAGGTGGATCACGAGGTCAGGCATTCAAGACCAGCTTGGCCAACATAGTGAAACCCTGTCTCTACTAAAAATACAAAAAATTAGCTGGGTGTGGTGGTGGGCGCCTGTAATCCCAGCTACTTGGGAGGCTGAGGCAGGAGAATCCCTTGAACCTGGGAGGTGGAGGTTGCAGTGAGCTGATATCATGCCACTGCACTCCAGGCCAGGCGACATTGCGAGACTCCATCACAAAAAAAAAAAAAAAAAAGACAAAGTCACCAATGACTTCTCATTCCTAAATATAACGACTGATTCAATCTGCATCTCAAGTGGTCTTTCACAGCTGCATGTGATACAGTTAATCACTCACTTTCTCCTTGAAATATATGCTTTATCTCGCTTCCAGGACACAAGAACAAGACTCCTTTCTCAGTTTCTTTGGCTAGTTCCTCCTCAGACTCTTTTTTTTGAGACAGGGTCTGCCTCTGTTGCCCAGGCTGGAGTGCAGTGGTGCAATCACGGCTCACTGCATCCTTGACCTCCTCATAGCTCAGGTGATGCTCCCACCTCAGCCTCCACCATGCCCAGCTAATTTTTCTATTTTTTGTAGAGACACAGTTTCACTATGTTGTCCAGGCTGATCTCAAACTCCTGGGCTCAAGTGATCCTCCTGCCTCAGCCTCCCAAAGTGCTAGGATTATAGGCGTGAGCCATGCACCCGGCATCCTCACTCTTAATGCTGGAGTGCCCTAGGGTACCAGTCCTTGGATTCCTGCTCTTTTAGCTACACTTACTGATTTGGTAATTTCATTCAGTCTCACGGCTCTGAATACTATTATATTCCCAAATGTGTTATCTCTAGCTCAGACCTCTCTCCTGAACTCCAGATCTATATATTCAACGTCCAAATCTGACTTTACGTGGCTAATAAACACCTCAAACTTTGTATGTCCAAAACAGAACATCTGATCTTCCTCCCAAAACACCTATTCACAGCCTTCTCCCTATCTCAGTTACCATTAACTCCAGTCTTCCAAATGCTCAGACCAAAACCCGGGAGAGTCATCCTTGACTGAACTCTCCCTCCCACCTCACACCCAGTCTGTTAGCAAATCCTGTAAGCTCTACCTTAAGGAAAAAGTATAGAATCCAACTACTTCTCCCCATCTCCACTGCCACGCCTTGGTCTAAGAGACCATCATCTCTTGCTTGAGTTATTGGAACAGCCTCTTAACTGGTCTCTTGCTTCCCCTTTCCCTCCATAGTCGATTTCAATACAACAGCTAGGATGGCCCTGTTGAAGTACAAGTCAGGTCACCTCACCTCCCTGCTTGTGGCTCCCCAGTGGCTCCACTTCATTCTGAGGAAATGCCAAAGTCACCATGATGGCCCACAAGAACCTGCGGTCTGGCTCCCCACTGCTCCCATGGCCTCACGGCCTAACCCTCGTACCTGCTCTCAGCTGTCAGCTCTCTGGCCTCCTTGCTATTGCTCGTACGTGCTGGACATGCTCCCTCCTCAAGGTCTTTGCATATGCTATTCCTTTTCCCTGCCCTTGCTATTCCTCCACATATTCTCATAGCTCTCAGTCACCTCCTCTGGGTCTTTGCTCAAATGTCACCATCTCAAAGAAGTCTTACTAGAGTAGCTTGTCTGTCTGTTTGTCTGTCTGTCTATCTATCTATCTATCTTTTTTTTTTTTTTTTTTTTTGGAGATGGAGTCTTGCTCTGTTGCCCAGGCTGGAGTGCAGTGGCGCGATCTCAGGTCACTGCAAGCTCCACCTCCCGGGTTCACGCCATTCTCCTGCCTCAGCCTCCTGAGTAGCTGGGACTAGAGGCGCCCGCCACCATGCCCGGCTAATTTTTTTTTGTATTTTTAGTAGAGACGGGGTTTCACCGTGGTCTCGATCTCCTGACCTCGTGATCCACCTGCCTCAGCCTCCCAAAGTGCTGGGATTACAGGCGTGAGCCACCGCGCCTGGCCCTATCTATTTTTTTTGAGACGGGATTTTGCTCTTGTCGCCCAGGATGGAGTGCAATGGTGCGATCTCAGCTCATTGCAACCTCCCTCTCCCAGGTTCAAGTGATGCTCCTGCCTCAGCCTCCCAAGTAGCTGGCATTACAGGCACACACCACCATGCACAGCTAATTTTCATATTTTTTTAGTAGAGACAAGGTTTCACCATGTTGGCCAGGCCGGTCTTGAACTCCTGACCTCAGGTGATCCACTCGCCTCGGCCTCCCAGAGTGCTGGGATTATAGGCGTGAGCCACCGCACCGGGCCTAGAGTAGCTGATTTAAAATCACAACCTTCTTCCATCAAACTTATTTTACTTATTTTAAAAATAGACTTCTGGCTGGGCGTGGTGGCTCACACCTGTAATCCCAGCACTTTGGGGGGCCAAAGCAGGGAGATCACCTGAGGTTAGGAGTTCAAGACCAGCCTGGCCAACATGGCAAAACCCGTCTCTATTAAAAATACAAAAATCAGCTTGTGGTGGCGGGCACCTGTAATCCCAGCTACTCGGGAGGCTGAGGCAGGAAAATTGCTTGAACCCAGGAGGTAGAGGCTGCAGTGAGCCGAGATTGAACCACTGCGCTCCAGCCTGGGCGACAAGAGTGAAGCTCTGTCCCCCCACAAAAAAAAAACAAAACCAAAAAAACGGCATATCTATCAACAGAGCCTCACTCTCACAGCTCAGTATTATCTGTAGCCATCCTCCCTACCCACCTGACAAATTCTTCTTCAATTATTGAGTGGTTCCACAGGTGACGGATGTCCAACTGAAGTAGCTGTGTTAAAAGCTGAAGAATTGGTTGCCTCTCTTCTTCCCAGTCAAAGCCATGGGCTGCCTTGGTCCGAGCTTTCTTACCCTAAAAAGGATCATGTATACATTGAGGAAAAAATAAGGGAAAAAAGTGGGTCAAGATCTGTCAGTCTGAGTGCCCAAACAATCTAGTACCAAGACAACATAGAAGGTAATACGGAAGAAATATTACAAGTTCCACAGCGCTACTTGTCCAGGAAGAAAACGTGTGACACTTTTGAGTTCTTTCTCCTAAATTCTCAATGAGGACAGAAAGGATTTGTGGATCATTGGATTCCCTTCTTTTCCATCTATTCCCCTATCTCCCCAGACCCCATATAACGTGAGCCCAAAACTCCAAATTACCTTCCCACCAAGGTCCAGGTCCACAAGGTTTGTCTGGCTGGCCATGGTCTCAAAGGATTCCAGGAGACGTATCAGAGCATAACAGTTCATTTTGAGGGCATTTAGATGGGCGTTTCTATCTGATCCACTCAAAGTTGTATCATCCAGGATAGCTGGAAGCTCCTGGGAGTGGCGGGATACCACTGTGAGGGGCAGAATCTTGGAGTCAGTTTCACTCACTTCTTTCATATACCCCAACTTCAAAACACCCAGCACTTGCAGCCATCAGATTACCAAAGATCTGTGTTTCATCTCTCAGTGGCCATAACACAAGCTAAGTCCTTTAGGACCCTTGGCCCTGATACCCTGAACATGCCCTGTTCCTACTCTCTCACTCCAGTTACCACAATTTCTCTCCAGCAACTGGAAGAATCACCCCTATTAAAAAGAGGTAGCTCAAAAGTAGGAAAAAGTTCTTGTTGGTCTGCCCTTACAGTGAACACACATAACTCTGTATCGCCCACCAAGATTACAGACCTTTAACAGGCCAAAGGTCCCTGGGCTTAGCCAAACCAACTGAATCACAACAGCCTTGATATCATCATGTGGCTGACAAAATGTAGGAAAAACAAACAAACAGACAAACAAACAAACGATAACAAACACCTTCCATCCCCTACCCCCTGACCCATAAACACCTTTTATCAGGAATTGCAGAGTATCTTCTTTGAGGCCAGGATCTATACTTCGAAAGTGACTATGAGGGAAAGAAAGTGTGGGGGTGAGACAGGAAGGAGCCTGCAGAGCCCCTTCTAACAGATCAGATCTAACCCGTGGAATCGAATGTTTAAAAATACACGTGAAATTGTTCAACTGAATAAATACGGTGGCAAGCTGGGTACATGCTCATCAGTAGAGATATCAATATCCAGAGGCATTTATCAGTGAACCTATAACTTGGAATTTCAGGACTAACATGCACAGTTAGGACAAACAGTCACCAGTTCTTTTTAAAGTACCAGTTGGGTGTTTCACTTACTGCAAAATGCTGTAGATAGTATCAAAGTGCTGCAGCATAGCCAGGGGCCCCTGAGCTCGAAAGGCAGCCTGAAAAGCTATGAAGATGGAAAAAACAAATCAATTTGGAGGGAAGAGAAACCTTTTCAGTAAATTCTATCCATGGCAGAAAACTAGGTTTATTGCTTTTATTGGTAGAATCACAAAAAAGAGACAAACAGTTCACTTCAATGTAACCTATAATGACGATGAGAGCCGGGCATGGTGGCTCACGCCTGTAATCCCAGCACTTTGGGAGGCTGAGACGGGTGGATTACCTGCGGTCAGAAGTTGAGACCAGCCTGGCCAACATCGTGAGACCCCATCTCTACTAAAAATACAAAAAATTGGCTGGGTGTGGTAGCAGGCGCCTGTAATCCCAGCTACTAGGGAGGCTGAGGCAGGAGAATTGCTTGAACCCAAGAGGTGGAGGTTGCAGTGAGCCAAGATCGTGCCATTGCACTCCAGCCTGGGCAACAAGAGCAAAACTCCGTCTCATCTCAAAAAAAAATAAAATAAAATAATGATGATGATATCTTATATTTGTGTTACAATTAAAGCCTTGTTTGAGCTTCACCACACCTGAGCAAAAGCAGACAGTACCACGCCTACTTTACACCTTAGAGTAGTTATATGACTTGTCCAACTTACAGTAGTTAGGAGGGAACACAAACTCAGGATCTTTTAAAAAAAAAAAAAAAGTTTATCCTATTTGTGTCCTTTTTCTGCTTCAGGATCCCACAATGCACTTAGTTGTCAGGTCTCCTTCCTCTCCTCCAGTCTTTATCTTTCATCATCTTGACACTTCTTTGAAGAGTACTTGTCACTTATTTTGTACAATGTCCCTCAATTTGGGTTGGCCTGTTTTCTCGCGATTATATTGAAGTTATGTATTTTCGTAAGATTACAGCAGAAGGGAGGGTTGGTCCTCAGGCATCGTATCAAGAGGTGCATGAAGTGAATGTCTTATTACTGCTGATGTTAACTTTGATCACTTCGTAGTGTCTGCCACATTTCTCCACTGTAACATTATTATTTTCCCCTTTGCAACCAGTATTTTTGTGGGAAGATACTTTCAGACTACGTAAATGTCCTGTTTCACATCACATTTTTGCCCACTAATTGAAGCATCCATGAATGATTCTTGCCTGCCACAATTACTGCTGTGGTGTTTACTAAATGGTGATTTTCTATCTCTATTATTCCTTCTACATTTACTAATGGGAATGCTATTGTAACGATTAGCTGTCCCTTTCCCTTTATTTAGTTATTCACTTATTTATAGCAGAATGGACTTAGGGATATTTGTCTTATTCTGTGCTTTAATCCATTACTATTACTATTTATTTTCCTGCTCAAATTGTCCCATACTTGGTCTCTGCGATCTCCTTCAACTTGGCCTGTGTCCTTTGAACATGCTTCCATTTTTTTGTTTTTTTCAAGATAGGGTCTTGCTTTGTTGCCCAGGCCAGAATGCAGTGGTGCAAACATAGCTCACTGTAGCCTTGACCTCCTGGGCTCAGGCGATCCTACTGCCTACTCCCTACTGCCTCAGCCTCCCACGTAGCTAGGACTACAGGTGCGTGCCACAACGCCTGGCTAATTTTTTTTATTTTTAGTAGAGACGGGGTTGCACCATGTTAGCCAGGATGGTCTTGATCTCATGATCCACCTGCCTCGGCCTCCCAAAGTTCTGGGATTACAGGCGTGAGCCACTGCGCCCGGCCCAGCTAATTTTTTTTTCTGTTAATTTTTTGTAGCGACAGGGTCTCACTTTGGTGCCCAGGCTGGTCTCGAACTCCTGGGATCAACTGATCTGCTGCCTCAGCCTCCTGTGGGATATGATGAGGTTTCTCTTCAAATAGCCTGATCAATCCTCTATTCTTTAATTCATAGCACTCCCCCACAACCTTTTTTCCTTTTTCTCTTTTTTTCGTTTCTGCCTTTGTTACATGCCTGGACACGCCACAGTACCAGGCTTATCAGTACCAGCTCACATTCCTTTCCTTATTTGGAAAGAAGACTAGCTTTCCTTTATTACTATTTCTTTATTTTCTTTCTTACTATTTCTTACTATTACTATTCCTTCCCTTATTTGGAAAGAAGACTAGCTCTCTAGATCATTGCAGACACCCCTTCACCTTTTCCCCTCTCTCCCTTATGTGCCCACCTTATCTAAAGAAAGTTCAGATGTTTAGCCAATTGGGCTAATTGTGCAACCCGACCCCGGCAAATGGGAAAAGGGTACAGGGGCAGGACTTGCGTCAGGAATAAAGGCTCTCGTGCCCCTTTGTTCAGGTGTGCTTTCACGGCGACTGGCCAAGGAGAGGCACCCCTCTGCAGAGAAGTAAAATTGCTTTCCTAAGAATCCTTTGTTTGAATGTTCATTTTCCTTAGGATTTTGAGTGTTATTCCCAACACTCCCAAAGTACTCGGATTAAAGGCATGGGCCACTGCACCCAGCCTCCCTTCATTTTTGTTCCCTGACTGTCTTGTATCATGAGATGGGCTGGGCTCAAGCCTGTAATCCCAGCACTTTGGGAGGTGGAGGCAGTAGAATCGCTTGGGCCCAGGAGTTCAAGATCCGCCTGGGCAACATGGTGAGGCACCATCTCAAAAATAAATAAATAAATAAAATAAAAGATGTTCTGGGCTCATCTTGTATTTTCCCTGGCCCAGTCCTGTAATCAACCATTCTTGGTGGAATCCTGGCTATTACGGAATAATGGTATGTAGAAGCCAAATTCTAGGCATTACTTGCACTCATTTCTATTAGAGTATTACTGCCTTTAGGCCCTCTCACTGGAGAAAAGTAAGGCACCTATGTATGTCTACAATTAATCTTCGAACAATACGATTTGAATTGTGTAGGTCCACTAATATGCTAATTTTTTTCAGTAAATATACTGGAATTTTTTCTTTCTTTCTTTTGAGACAAAGTCTCACTCTGTCTCCCAGGCTGGAGTGCAATGGCACAATCACAGCTTACTGCAGCCTTAAATTCCTGGGCTCAAGCAATCGGGCTGCCTCAGCCTCCTGAGTAGCTAGAACAACAGGTATGCTCTACCATATCTGGCTAATTTTTTTTTAAAGCTACATATGTCATGAACGCATAAAATTTATGTAGATCCTAGTCTATTTTATCATTTACTACCATAAAATATATATGTCTTTTTTTTTTTTCTTGAGACGGAATCTCTCTCTGTCGCCCAGGCTGGAGTGCAGTGGTGCGATCTCGGCTCACTGCAAGCTCTGCCTCCTGGGTTCACGCCACTCTCCTGCCTCAGCCTCCCGAGTAGCTGGGACTACCGGCGCCCGCCACCATGCCCGGCTAATTTTTTGTACTTTTTTAGTAGAGACGGGGTTTCACGGTGTTAGCCAGGATGGTCTCGATCTCCTGACCTCGTGATCCGCCCACTTTGGCCTCCTGAAGTGCTGGGATTACAGGGGTTGAGCCACCGTGCCCGGCCAAATATATATGTCTATTATAAAGTTAAAACTTATCAAAACTTGATGCAGGCTGGATGTGATAGTTCACACTTGTAACCCCACCACTTTGAGAGGCTGAGGCAGGAGGATCACTTGAGGTCAGGAGCTCAAGACCAGCTTGGGCAACATGGCAAGACCCCATCTCCACAAAAAATAAAAAATTAGC
This sequence comes from Homo sapiens, assembly GCF_000001405.40. Taxonomy (NCBI): domain Eukaryota; kingdom Metazoa; phylum Chordata; class Mammalia; order Primates; family Hominidae; genus Homo; species Homo sapiens. Next base: position 6,506,120 of record NC_000012.12, on the reverse strand, counting down.
TGAGCACAGTGGGGTGCACCTGTAGTCCTAGCTGTTCTGGAGGCTGAGGCGGGAGGATTGCTTGAGCCTAGGAAGCTGAGGCTGCAGTGAGCTGTGATCACACTACTGCACTCCAGGCTGGGTGACAGTGAGACCCCATGTAAAAAAAAAACACCAAAAAACCTCACACACAAACACAGACAGTACATGACATCATTCACAGCCCAAGAGAAACGGAAATAAATATAAAGATGCAATATTATTTGTTTTTGTTTTTCTGAGACAGGTTCTTGCTGTCACCCAGGCTAGAGTGTAGTGACACAATCTCAGCTCACTGCAACTTCTGCCTCCCAGGTTCCAGCGATCCTCCCACCTCAGTCACCCTGGGAGCTGGGACTACAGATGCATGCCACCACACCCGGCTAATTTTTATATTTACCACACCTGGCTAATTTTTGAATTTTTAGTAGAGACAGGGTTTTACCGTGTTGGCCAGGCTGATCTTGAACTCCTGATTTCAGGTGATCCACCTGCCTAGGCCTCCCAAAGTGCTAGAATTACAGGCGCGAGCCACCACACCTGGCCTAAAGATGCAGTATTAAATCATAACTGCATAAAATTCACTTCAGTACACACTGTAGTACTGTAATAATTTCATAGCCGCCTCTTGTCGATACTATGGTGAGCTCAAATGTTGCAAGTATCTGCTTAAAAACTCTGAGATGTTAATCATCTTCCAGTGAGCAGTTCGTCTCTCCAGTAAACTGCATATGGCAGACCGGGCACGCTGGCTCACACCTGTAAATCCCAGCGCTTTGGAGACCGAGGCGGGTGAATCACTTGAGGTGAGGAGCTCGAGACCAGCCTGACCAACATGGGGAAACCCTGTCTCTACTAAAGATACAAAATTAGCCAGGCATGGTGGTGCATGCCTGTAATCCCAGCTACTTGGGAGGCTTAGGCAGGAGAATCGCTTGAACCCGGGGAGGCGGAGGTTCCAGTGAGTCGAGATCATGCCACTGCACTCCAGCCTGGGCAACAAGAGTGAAACTCTGTCTCAAAACAAAAATTGCATATGGCAGCAAGAAGTGATCTCCTGTGGTTCCTCAGGTATTTTTCATGTGTCTAAAGCAGTATCATAAACCTTACATAACACCATGGGACCCATAATGAAGTGCCACTAGTGATGCTGGAAGTGTTCCCAAGAAGCAGAAAAGAGTCATGACATTACAAGAAAAGCCAAATTGCTTCATATGGTACCATGGACGGAGGTCTGCAGCTGTGGTTGCCTGCCATTTTACATGATTCATCATGTAAACTTATGGTGTCGATAAATACAGCACAATACTGAACATGTATTTTCCTTATGATTTTCTTAATAACATTTCCTCTAGCTTGACTGCAAAAATATAGTAAATAATATACATAACATAAAAAACATATGTATTAAGGCTCGACGCGGTGGCTCACACCTGTAATCCCAGCACTTTGGGAGGCCGAGGTGGACAGATCACTTGAGGTCAGGAGATTGAGACCAGCCTGGCCAACATGGTGAAACCCCATCTCTACTAAAAATACAAAATTAGCCAGGTGCAATATTGCATGCCTGTAGTCTCAGCTACTTGGGAGGCTAAGGCCGGAAAATCACTTGAACCCAGCAGGTGGAGGTTGCAGTGAGCCGAGATCGCGCCACCACACTCCATCCTGGGCCACAGAGCAAGACTCTGTCAAAAACAAAACAAAACAAAATAAAAAAACTGTTATGTTACTTGTAAGGCTTCTGGTCAACAGTAGGCTATAAGTGTTTAAGTTTTGGGGCAGTCAAAACTTACATATGCAGATTTTTGACTGCACAGGGGTTGTCATCCCTAACCCCCACGTTGTTCAAGGACCAATGGTATATATATATATATATATCTATATCTATATATATATATATATATATATATATATATATATGTATATATATATGTCAAAACTGAATGAGATAGTCCATGCAAACCAGTCAGAACAACACTTAGCACGCTGTATGGTTTGAATGTGCCCCTCATAATTCATGTGTTGGAAATATAATCCCCAACATGACAGTGTTGGAAGGTGGAGTCTAATGGGAGGTGTTTAGGTTATGAGGGCTCCACCCTCACAAATATATATACATATTTTTGAGACGGAGTCTCGCTCTGTCGCCCAGGCTGGAGTGCAGTGGCATGATGTTAGCTCACTGCAACCTCTGCCTCCTGGGTTCAAGCAATTCAGTGCCTCAGCCTCCCGAGTAGCTGGGATTACAGGTGCCTGCCACCACACCTAGCTAATTTTTCTATTTTTTAGTAGAGACGGGGTTTCACCATCTTTTTTAAAAAAAAAAAAAAAATAGATGGAGTCTCGCTCTGTCACCCAGGCTGAAGTGCAGTGGCACGATCTCGGCTCACTACAACCTCCGGCTCCCAGGTTCAAGTGATTCTCCCGCCTCAGCCTCCTGAGTAGCTGGGATTACAGGCACGCGTCACCACACCCGGCTAATTTTTTGTATTTTTAGTAGAGACGGGGTTTCACCATATTGGCCAGGCTGGTCTCGAACTCCTGACCTTGTGATCTGCCCGCCTCGGCCTCCCAAAGTGCTGGGATTACAGGTGTGAGCCACCGTGCCCAACCCCTCACCGATATATTCATACTATTATAAAAAGGGCTCTGGGGAGTGGGTTCACTTGTGCCCTTCTGCCTTCTGCCCTGTGACAATGCAGCAAGAAGGCCCTTGCCAGTTACTGGTGCATTGATTTGGGACTTCCCAGTCTCCAGAAAAAAATGTGAGCCAATAAATTTCTTTCATTATAAATATCCAGTCTCAGGCATTCAGTTATAACAGCATATTTTTCTCAGTCCATTTTCTATACATCGTATTTCCATTGTTGAGCTTGTATCACATATTCACTTCTCTGTCATGCTTTTTAAAATTTAGCATTACAGTAAGTGTATTAGAAACCTTTGTAGGCCAGACGTGGTGGCTCACGCCTGTAATCCCAACACTTTGTAGGCTGAGGCAGGTGGATCATCAGGTCAGGAGTTCGAGACCAGCCTGACCAACATGGTGAAACCCCGTCTCTAATAAAAATACAAAAAAAAAAAAAAAAAAAAAGCCAGGTGTGGTGGCATGCGCCTGTAATCCCAGCTGCTCAGGAGGCTGAGGCAGGAGAATCGCTTGAACTGAGGAGGTTGCAGTGAGCCGAGATAGTGCCACTGTATTCCAGCCTGGGTGACAGAGTGAGACTCCGTCTCAAAAAAAAAGCAACAACAACAACAACAACAAAAACACCTTTGTAAACAATTTTTTTTGAGACAGGGTTTGTTGTGTTGCGCAGGCCGAAGTGCAGTGCAGGATCATAGCTTACTGCAGCCTCAAACTTCTGGGTTCAAGCGATCCTCCTGCCCCAGCCTTCTGAGTAGCTGGGACTACAGGCAGTGCCACCACACTCGGCCTTATATCTATCTTAATTTACTATTCCCCTATTGTTAGATACTGTGATACTTGTAACTTATTCCACTAATTAACAACAACAACAACACATACTCCCCTGGCAAATCTAGGTTAAACCAACTTTCTGGTTACTCCATTCATGTGACCACACAAATAAAAATGGCCTGAGAAAAACACAGAAACAAGCTGACTAGTCTTACGTTAAACTCATGACTACTAACCTGAAGTGGGCATTCGTACTCCCAAGTCTATTCGTTTTCTTCTAGGCAATTATTTCACACCTATCCTCTGCTCATAACACCATGACCTTCTTCCCAAACTCACTCTCAGTTAAAGGCTTTCCCTTCCTATTGAGGAAACAGAAGCAGACAGAAGAGAACTTTCAACTGCCCCAAGCTCTATATTTACCTGCACTAGTTGCATCTATGCCCATACATACACTCTGCCTTTTTTTTTTGCTACTGTGGATAAACTGTCCATGTTCTGATAAAGCCATCTCCTCCCCGTGTACCAGATCACGTACTCTCTTACCTACTAAAGGCACTGCTCCAACAACTGTTCCCTCTTCCTTCTGCAGCATCAGCTTTTCCCTCTCTGATCATTCCTACTCAATATAGACACACATAATGCTGCCCATCTTAAAAGAAATACATTATGTAAATTCATCATCTCTAATCTCTGTCATTCCATTTTCTTAAAAACCTATTCCTAGCAGGCTTTTGCCCCCACCATCTCCTGAAACAGCTTTGTCAAGGTTACCAGTGACTATGACATCAATAAATCCAGTAGTTAATCTGCAGTTGACCTCTCTTTTGTTTTTGAAACACTCTCTTTATTTAGCGTCCATTTAGCTCCTTCATTCGCTTTCTGCCCCAATGACTGCTTCTTAATTTCTTCTACTGGTTCTTCTTCATCCTCCTAGCCTCTAAATGCTGGACTGTCTCAGGTCTTGGTCTTCAAACTGCTGCTCTTCTCCATCTACACTCACTGCAATCTCATGGCTTTAAGTGCTGTCTACACGCTGAGTATTAAATCCTAAATGTGTATCTTTAGCTGACAACCTCTCCCTTGAACTCTGCACTCACATAACCAACAATCTAAACCTCTCCCTCCCATATGCTACCCCATCTCAGTAAATGGCAACTTCATTCTTCTAGTTGCTCAAGTCAAAAAGCCTTGTAAGGCCGGGTGTGGTGGCCCACGCCTGTAATCCCAACATTTTGGGAGGCCGAGGCAGGCAGATCACTTGAGGCCAGAAGTTCAAGACCAGACTGGACAACACGGCAAAACCGCATCTCTACTAAAAATACAAAAATTAGCCAGGTGTCGTGACCCTGGGAGGCGGAGCTTGCAGTGAACCGAGATGGTGCCACTGCACTCCAGCCTGGGCGAGAGAGCGAGACTCTGCCTAAAAAAAAAAAAAAAAAAAAAAAAAAAAAAAATTAGCCAGGCGTGGTGGTGCACACCTGTAATCCTAGATACTCAGGTGGCTGAGGCATGAGAATTGCTTGAACCTGGGAGGCAGAGGTTGCAGCGAGCCAAGATCACGCCACTGCACGCCAACCTGGGTGACAGAGCCAACAGAGCAAGACTGTCAAAAAAAAAAAAAAAAAGCCTTGTAATCATTCTCATCTCAGATTCCTTTACTAACCCTATAATCCAATCCAATCCATCAGCATTCCTGTAAAAGCTCTACTTTGAAAATATATCCTGAGTCGTTTTATCACCACTTCCCCTGCTATCCCTCCAGTCCAATCTACTTGGTATTACTGTATTAGCCACTTAACTAGTATCCCTGCTTCTCTCCTTGCCTCTTATAGTCTCTGCTCAACACAGTCGCCAGTGAATCTTTTAAAATGTCAGACCATGTCACTCCCATGCTCAAAACCCAATGGCTTTCAAGTTCATTCACACTGAAGTTCAAGTTTTTGCCATGATCTACGAGGCTCTAGAGATCAGTGCTTCTCAAGCTTATAATTGCATCCAAATTGCCTGGGGGAATCTTCTTAAAATACAGATTTCCTGATTCAGCAGCTTTGACATCCTGGGCCTTGACATCCTGCATTTCTAATAAGCTCCCAGATCATGAGATCCTGATATTAACACTGCTGATCTGAGGACCACATTTTGAGGAGCAAGATTCTAGAATAATCTGTACCACTTCCTACCTAATCTCTTTTTCCTAGCTTAATGCACTCCAACTCTATTGGCATTTGCCCACCTCAAGGCCTTTGCATAGGCTTTTCTGTTTGCTTGGAATGCTCTTCCCTAACAATCTGCATAGTTTATTTCCTTACTTTCTTAAGGTCTCTGCTCAAACGTGACGTAACAGCAAGCCTTCTCTGATGATCCAACATGAAATGACAGGTCCTACTATCTTCTTCTTTATATTATTTATTTTTAAGCTTTGTATAATTAATTTTAGAGACTATGTTGCCCAAGCTGGTCTTGAACTCCTGGCCTTAACAATCCTGCTTCTGCCTCCCAAGTGGTTGGGATTACAGGGACAAGCCACCATTCCCAGTACACTTCTTTTTTTTTCTTTTTTGAAACAGGGTCTAGCTCTGTGGCCAGGTTGCAGTGCAGTGGCATGATCATGGCTCACTGCAGCCCCTGCCTCCTGGGCTCAAGCAATTCTCCCACCCCAGCCTCCCAAGTAGCTGGAACTACAGGTGTGCACCACCACGCCTGGCTAACTTTTTTGTAATTTTGGTAGAGATGGGGTTTCACCATGTTGGCCAGGCTGGTCTCAAACCCCTGAGCTTGAGCAATCCAACCACCTTGGCTTCCCAAAGTGCTAGGATTACAGGTGTGAGCCACTGCGCCTGGCCACACTGTCTTCTTTATTTTTCTCTTTGGCTCTTACAACCATCTTACACACAGTGGTCCTCACCAATCTGTGTTCTCACTTTCTGGGGTTTCAGTTACCCGTGGTCAATCTCAAGTCTGAAAATATTAAATGAAATATTCCAGAAATAGGCTGGGCACAGTAGCTCACGCCTATAATCCCAGAACTTTGGGAGGCCAAGTTGGGCAGATCACCTGAGGTCAGGAGTTCGAGACCAGCCTGGCCAACATGGTGAAACCCCAGCTCTACTAAAAAATACAAAAAAAATTAGCTGGATGTGGTGGTGGGCACCTGTAATTCCAGCCACTTGGGAGGCTGAAGCAGGAGAATTGCTTGAACCTGTGAGGTGGAGGGTGCAGTGAGCCGATACCTTGCCACTGCACTCCAACCTGGGCGACAGAGCAAAACTCCGTCTCCAGAACAACAAAAAAACCCCCCAAGAATTAGCCAGGCGTGGTGGCACTTACCTGTAGTCCCAGCTGCTTGGGAAACTGAGGCAGGAGAATTGCTTGAGCCCAGGAGGTGAAGGTTGCAGTGGGCTGAGATTGAGCCACTGCACTCCAGCCTGGTCAACAAAGCAAGACCCTTATCTTAAAAAAATAAAAAGAAAGAAAGAAAGAAATATTCCAGAGATACACAATTCATAAATTGTAGGTTGTGTGTCATTCTGAGTAGCATAAAATCTGGTGCTGCCCTGCCGCCTCCTGCCTGGGATGTGAACCATCCCTTTGTCCAACATATCCACACTGTATATGCAACCCTACTCACCCATTAGTAGCCACCTTGGTTATCAGATCAACTGTTGCAGGGCTTCTGTTCAAGGAACCTTTATTTTACTTAATAATGGCCCCAAAGTGCAAGGGTAGTGATGCTGGCATAGTTACAATTGCTCTATTTTATTAATATTATTGTTAAACAGGCCAGGCGCAGTGGCTCACACCTGTAATCCCAGCACTTTGGGAGGCCGAGGTGGGCAGATCCAAGGTCAGGAGATCGAGACCATCCTGGCCAACATGGTGAAACCCGTCTCTACTAAAATACAAAAAATTAGCTGGGTGCGGTGGCTCACGCCTGTAGTTCCGGCTACTCAGGAGGCTGAGGCAGGGGAATCTCTTGAACCTGGGAGGCGGAGGTTGCAGTGAGCTGAGATCACAGCACTGCACTCCAGCCCGGTGACAGAGCAAGACTCCGTCTCAAAAAAAAAAAGAATTGTTGTTAATCTCTTACTGTATCTAATTTGTAAATTAAACATTACCATAGGTAGGCAGGTAGAGGGAAAAAACCATAGTATATACAGGGGTTGGTACTATTCCAGTTTCAGGCATCTAATAAGGGTCTTGGAATATATCTCCTGGGATAAGGGTCCTACTGTACTACATATTTACTTGTTTATTACTTGTTAAGAACCTTGAAAGGAAGAACTTTGTCATTTTGTCTGTTTTGTTTACTGTTGTATTATCAATGCTTAGAACAATGTCTGGCACACAGCACATGATCAGTAAATACTTGTTAAATGAATTAAATGATTTGATCTTATTTATAGGAGAAGTTGTATTCAGGATTCTAAACACCAAAATCATCAAAGCAATGCAATTGTTTTAAAAAGGACTCTTGGCTGGGTGCAGTGGCTCACACCTGTAATCTCAGCACTTTGGGAGGCTGAGGTGGGCAGATCGCTTGAGCTCGGGAGTTTGAGACCAGCCTGGGCAACATGGCAAAACCTCGTTGCTACAAATAACACAAAATTAGCAGTGCATGTTGGCACATGCCTGTAGTCCCAGCTACTCGGGCGGCTGAGCCCGAGAGGTTGCAGTGAGCTCGGATGGAGCCACTGCACTCCAGCCTGGGCAACAAAATGAGACCTTGTCTCCAAAAAACAAAAGACTCTTTAAAAAAAAAAAAAGTGGCTGGGCGCGGTGGCTCACGCCTGTAATCCCAGCACTTTGGGAGGTCGAGGCGGGTGGATCATCAGGTCAGGAGTTGGAGACCAGCCTGACCAACATGGTGAAACCCTGTCTCAACTAAAAATACAAAAATTAGCCGGGCGTGGTGGCATTGCCTGTAATCCCAGCTACTTAGGAGGCTGAGGTAGGAGAATCACTTGAACTCGGGAGGCGGAGGCTGCAGTGAGCTGAGATTGCGCCACTGCACTCCAGCCTGGGTGACAGAAGGAGACTCAGTCTCAACAACAACAACAACAAAAAAGTGACAGGAACAAGATCATGTCCTTTGCAGGGACTCAGCAAACTAATGCAAGAACAGAAAACCAAACACTGCATGTTCTTACTTACAAGTGGGAGCTGAACAATGAGATCACATGGACACAGGGAGGGGAACAACACAATGGAGCCTGTTAGAGGGTGGAATGGGGGGAGGGGGAGCATAAGAAAAAAATAGCTAATACATGCTGGGCTTAATACCCAGGTGATGGGTTGATAGGTGCAGCAAACCAACACAGCACGTTTACCTATGTAACAAACTTGCACATCCTGTACGTGTACTCCAGAACTTAAAAAAAAAAAGGTGACCATTTAAAAAAATGATGCATCATTATAATAAGTGAAGAGTAGTTTGTCATAGTATGCAGCATGTTCAATTGGTGACACATATATCCACATGATATGGACAGAATAGTATACCTGTGGACACTGTTGGTTTGCCATCCATTAGGCAACCTCCACACTCTGCCTTCTTCCTTGCTTACCAAATGGTTGATATGCTCAAGTTTAGGGAGGCTCCTAGGTAATAAGCTTGATCAGTTAAACCAGTCTGGGTAATTCTATTTCTCTTACCTGTACAGTCCTGTGCCCTGTAACATTTTGGTAAACAATAGACCACATATGCGACAGTGGTGTCATAAAAATATAATACAGCTGAAAAATTCCCATCGTCTAGTGACTTCTTGGTGACCTTGACCCTGTGTAGGCCTAGGCTAATGTGTGTAGGTGTTTTAGTTTTTAACAAAAAAGTCTGGCCGAGCATGGTGCCTCATGCCTACAATCCCAGCACTTTGGTACATGTCTGTGGTCCCAGCTACTTGGGAGGCTGAGGTGGGAGGACTGCTTGAGCCTGGTAGATTGAGGCTGCAGTGAGCTGTGATCAGGCCACTGCATTCCAGCCTGCAATCCCAGCACTTTGGGAGGCTGAGGCGGGAAGACTGCTTGAGCCCAGAAGTTCGAGACCAGCCTGGGCAACATAGGGAGACACTGTTTCTACAGAAAATTTAAAAATTAGCCAGGTATGGTGGTGCATGTCTGTGATCCCAGCTGCTTGGGAGGCTGAGGTGAGAGGATTGCTTGAGTCTGGGAAGTTGAGGCTGCAGTGAGCCGTGATCATGCCACTGGACTCCAGCCTGGGCAAGAGAGTCTTTACCTTGTCTTTCAAAATAAAATAAAGAATAAAAAGTACAAAAAGAAAATTCCTTTTTCCACTTCTGGACATTAGAGGAAGAAGCTGCCATCTAGACTGGTGCAGTGGCTCACGCCTATAATCCTAACACTTTGGGAGGCCAAGGTGGGTGGATCATGTGAGGTCAGGAGTTCAAGACCAGCCTGGCCAACATGGTGAAATCCCGTCTCTACTAAAAATACAAAAATTAGCCAGGTGGTAGTGGCGTGCACCTGTAATCCTAGCTACTTGGGAGGCTGAAGCAGGAGAATCGCTTGAGCCTGGGGAGGCAGAGGTTGTGGTGAGCCGATATCGCATCACTGCACTCCAGTCTGGGCAACAGAGTGAGACCCTGTCTCAAAAAAAAAAAAAAAAGAAAAACAAAAAGAAGTTGCAATCTAGCAACCATGAAAGAAAAGCCAAGAGGAGACAAGCTAGGACCATATTGTCGAGCTGCTGCATTAACCAACCCTTCTTCTTGTAGGTGATAACAAAGGAATTGGTTATTATCTCTATATTTACAGATGACGAAACCAAGGCACTGAGACAATTAAGTAACTTGTCTAAGGTCAGAGTGGTAGAACCAGGATTCAAATCCAGGCAGCCTGGCTCCAGTCTTTAATCTCTATACCTCTCCAAAGCAAGCTAACTGCTACAAGACCGCTCCCAACAAGTACAAGGACATTATGAAGTCTTTCTGGTAATGCAAAAGGTGCTTTTGATCATTTACAGGTTTCAGTAGGTGACTGCACTGTACATATATTGCTCAGTGTTGCAGTGGTACATATATATTATGGGTTTTTGTCCCCATAATTGCACATCCAAAAAGACTCCAAAAAGGTATTACCAAAAACAGGTCGAGTTAAGTCCGAGACATTCTGAAAAAGCGATCCACTCCTATAACTCTTAAATCCACCAGGACTTAATTTTGACACACAGTAAGGGGTAAAGATGGAAAATAACTTTTCCCCAAAGAGTAATCACATACACCAAGACTGTTTTTGACTAATCCAGAAAAGGAAGTTAATGAATGTACTCTTTGGGTCATGCATCCCATGCAATTTTAGGATAAAACAGCAAAATAGGAAAAACATGTTTCTTGCTCTTATGATGCTTCCTGGTGTAGTGGAACAGAAATGACAATGTAGCAATTCCATGTGAGATGGTCCTTTGAAAGAGCTAGGTACAGTGACAGCTATGGACTCTTACCTCTAAGCTGTGGTGGAAGATGTTTGATGGACAGTACCTCTTGCACAACATACTGATTCACCCCTCCACTTTTCAACAACTCCTCTGGGGATAATGGCAGATGGAACTCATACATTTGGGGAGCCATTCTACTCCTACAGGCTCACAGGGCTAGAAACCAAACAGTGAAAAAGTCAGGGTCTATATTCAAGACCTGTCTTCGTATCTGGTTCTATTACTTTCCCATCCCCAACATATATAATGGCTTTTAGTTTTATAGCAAGCTAGTAACATCATCTGGTTTTGTTAGTTCCCCACCCCCAACATATATAATGGTTTTTAGTTTTATAGCAAGCTAGTAACATTATCTTACGGGATCTGAGATTGACCCTGGACTAGAAACTAATTCTAGTAGTGACTTTGGCACTTGGTCTTGACACTTAAACCTCTGGGCTTTATCTGTAAAAACAGGGTTACTAAACTCTGATTACTTCACAAAGTTGCTCTGATGATCAAACAAATCAAGCAGTACGAAGGTGTTTAAAGAACTATAAAGTGGCATATTAATGTGCAAAGTACTATTATTTCCATTTTTATGTGCAAAGCTCCTTAAGTATAGAGAGAATGGTCTGATCTCGTCTGAGGCCAAAACAGTGCCCCAGCATGGGCTAGTGGGCTTCCTGCACCAGAATGGTAAGAGCATTAACAATGATGATTTATTTATCCTGTGCCAAGTCTGTTAGGCTGTTTGCATGTATCATATCTGATCTAAGTATCCTAACCTCAATCCCATGAGGTGCATAATAATACAAATGAGTTTACAGAGCGGAAATTGAAGTAAGAAAGTTAAGCGATTTGCTTAACATCTTCCGTTGCGGATCTGTTAAGCGATTTGCTTAACATCTTCCGTTGCGGATCTGTTAAGCGATTTGCTTAACAACTTCCGTTGCGGATCTGTCAGACTTACAGTTTCTCACACATCGCGCCCCAGGGATATACTTACTAGGCCTATTGTATTTTGCCCAAGACTGGGTCACACTGCCATGTACTCGACTTTCCTACTCTTTTACGACCTGCAACACCACATCTTACCTGGGGATCTCACCCGCGGCTCTGATTCCGGCAGTCAGGCTGAAATGAAAAGGAAAAAACACGCGTGCACAACACGCACCAATTAGCAAGGCAGTTTTCAAGTCGGCGGAGAATCCGGCCAATCCCCGGCAGGCAGAGGCAAAGGGCCGCCTCTGAGTCTGGCAACGCGCGGGCAAAGCCACAAATACCGAGTTCAAATCTCAACGGCTGCAGGACGGCCAATCGCGACGCCCGCCGGAGCGGCCGGCCAATCACAGCGCCGCCCGGGGGCGGGCCAAGGCTCCGGCTCCGGCCCCCGCTCCCACCCCCGGCCCGCCTGCGAATCCCTCCTTGGCCGCAAGGTCCCCCTTTGCCCAGTCGGCGGGGAGGAGGCCGTATTTCTGCTGGCCAGAGACGTCGCGTCCCTGGCTGGGCATTCAGTCACCCCCAGGAAAGGAGGCAAGTCCACGCTGGGAGTTAGAAGGCATCGCCTCTAATCCAGGTTTCGCCATCTCCTCTGCTAAGTGACGTCCAGCAAGTCACTTCACTTTCAGGACCTCAAATCTCCTCCCCAGTAGTAAAATAGGGGTAATAAAAACAGCTACAGCGGAAGACTGTTGTGAGGCACAGAGAAAGGGCTTGGTCATTGGAAGCGGGTTCCAGGTTCTCAACCTTCATTTCCTTCACGGTTGAAGGACGCCAAAGAAAGCGGAAAGGGTGAATTTTCTTGAAATCTCAGTTTTGGGGAATCTTAGCGACGAGTCGCGGACCTCAGCTTGTCCGGCGCTCCAAAACTTCCGGCAGGCGGACCGGAAGCACTGAGGCGGGAAGGGTGGTAGAGGCCCCTCCTGCCGGAACCCGGGGGGCGGGGCTCGTGGCTGTTGCGGATGGGGCGTAGGTGGGCGGTGCGCCCACAGCTGCCTGGGTAAGGCCCAAGATGGCTGTCTTCGCCTTAGTACTCGTGTGAAGTTGGCGGGGACGGTTCCTGTCATCTTCTTGGGCTTATTTGGTGTGCTGTTGAAGGGGGGAGACTAGAGAAATGGCAGGGAACCTCTTATCCGGGGCAGGTAGGCGCCTGTGGGACTGGGTGCCTCTGGCGTGCAGAAGCTTCTCTCTTGGTAAGTGGCTGATGTAGGCACCCCGATAACTGCTTCGTAGTATAATAGGCGGCTCAGATTAATTCCCTCCCTTCCCCATCCCCAGGTGTGCCTAGATTGATCGGTATAAGGCTCACTCTCCCGCCCCCCAAAGTGGTTGATCGTTGGAACGAGAAAAGGGCCATGTTCGGAGTGTATGACAACATCGGGATCCTGGGTAAGACTTGACCTTCGACGTGGTACACAATTTCAGAATGGCAATTAGGCTGTAACGACTATCTTTTCCTCCTGTGTAGAGAGTGGTACTGTGCTCAATAGTAAGAGCAAACACTTATGTAGCTGTTTACATTGTGTTTGGCACTGTTCTGAGTCCCCTCGTATAATTTTTACTTCATAAGTAAAAATAAACAGTTTTTCCAAAGTTAATAAATGGCAGCATCAGAATTTTAACCCCAAGCAGTCTGGCTCCAGAGTCTGTGCTATTGTTCTGTACTGTAATGTTCCTTGTCTATAGGTGCTGCTCAGCAAGATGCAACCGTGGGTTGAAAGCTTAGCTGGTGTAGGATGAGTTCTCTTGTCTTGGATCTAATGTGTTCTCTCACATTACACAGGAAACTTTGAAAAGCACCCCAAAGAACTGATCAGGGGGCCCATATGGCTTCGAGGTTGGAAAGGGAATGAATTGCAACGTTGTATCCGAAAGAGGAAAATGGTTGGAAGTAGAATGTTCGCTGATGACCTGCACAACCTTAATAAACGCATCCGCTATCTCTACAAACACTTTAACCGACATGGGAAGTTTCGATAGAAGAGAAAGCTGAGAACTTCGGAAAAGGCTCATCTGTCACCCTGGAGAAGGGAAACTGTACTTTTCCCTGTGAGGAAACGGCTTTGTATTTTCTCTGTAATAAAATGGGGCTTCTTTGGAATTTGATAGCCACATACTTTTGTTTTCCTCTAGATGCTGCCTCTACTCATGTAGACTATGAAGTCTTGACTCATCCTAGATCTTAGGATCTTAGGTTTGGGCTTCACACCACTTGCCTTTTACAGTCTAGCTATACCTAATTCCTTTAAAAAGAAAAGTTGGTGAGAATGTTATTGGCGCTTTTTGACATAATGCTGTTATGTTAATAGTGTTTCTAAAGAGCCTTCCACACTGAAATGAAATATAAGAGAAAAATGGAGTCATACTTCTGTACTACTCTCATAAAATATTTATTAGGCATATTCTCTGAGTAGGAACTATAGGAAAAACAAAAAAGTGTGAGGTGTCCTTTCCATTTAAATATGAAACATTAAGTACCATATGAATGGTAGAGATGGCGGATACTAAGCCTGACTGGTCATCAGTTTTCTGGGTGTTTTAACATTTCAAAAGCCTAGTCCTAACCCCTAAAGATTGATCAGTAGAGCTGAGTTGAGTCTAGGGCATCTATGTGTTTTGTTCTTTTTTAATAATAATTTTTAAGAATTACAGCTGGGCAGAATGGTGCCCACATGTAATCCCAGCATTTTGGGAGGCTGAGGTGGGAGGATTGCTTGGAGACAGGAATTTGAGACTGGTCTGGGCGACATGGTGAAACTCCGTCTCTACTAAAAATAAAGTGGCTGGGTGCGGTGGCTCCTGCCTGTAATCCCAGCACCTTGGGAGGCGGAGGGGGGCGGACCACGAGCTCAGGAGATCGAGACTATCCTGGCTAACACAGCCCTGTCTCTACTGAAAATACAAAAACAAACAAACAAAAAAATTAGCCAGGAGTGGTGGCGGACACCTGTAGTCCCAGCTACTCAGGTGTCTGAGGCAGGAGAATCACTTGAACCTGGGAGGTGGAGCTTGCAGTGAGCCGAGATCGTGCCACTGCACTCCAGCCTGAGCAACAGAGCAAGACTCTGTCTCAAAAAAAAAAAAAAAACAACTTAGCTGGGCATGGTTCTGCATGCCTGTAGTTCCAGCTACTCATGGTTCTGCGTGCCTGCAGTCCCAGCTACACAAGAGGCTGAGGTGGGAAGATCACCTGAGCCCAGGAGTTTGAGGCTGCAGTGAGCTGAGATCATGCCACTGCATTCCAGCCTGAGCAACTGGGGTGAGACTGTCTCAAAAAAAAAAAAAAAAAAAAAGTGAAGTTAGGGCTGGGTGCAGTGGCTCACACCTGTAAGCCCAACACTTTGGGAGGCCAAGGCATGAGGATTGCTTGAAGCCAGGAGTTCAAGACCAGCCTGGGCAACATAGCAAGACCCCATCTCTATATTTTAAAAAACAAAAACTCCATAAAAGTGAAGTTAGATTAATAAATACTTGTTGCGGGGCATGGTGGTTGGAGCACACTTATAATCCCAGCTACTCTGCAGGCTGAGGTGGGAGGATCCTTTGAAACCAGGAGTTGGAGGCCAGCCTTAGGAACATAGCAAGACCCCATCTTCAATAAAAATAAAAAGCACTTGTTAAATTACAAGTGGGTTTTGGATAAATGGATTGATGGGTATATATGAAAACATGATCCTGGGTCTTACGGAAATGTTTAGGAGAGTCAGTTTTCAGAGGGGTGGCTGGAAGGAGCTATGCATAAGAATGGAGAAGTTGATGTGAAATGTGAGTGGCTGTATACTTTACATGATTTGGTGGTGCTAGAGTGGAGAAAATAAAATATTTGGGACTCTGCTAAGTGCAAGGTGCCCTGAAGAAGATATCTACATATCCTGGTAGAGTATCTGATTGTTAGGGAAGAGGAAATTAATAGGTCAATAGGCATTTATAGAATATTTCCTGATTCAAAGATACAAAAGGTTTTGTTTTCAAGGACAGAACAATCTTGTTTGTGGTATGAAACAGTATATAACGTTTTCTTTGAATAAATATTGAATTATTATGTGCAAAGATATTTGGAGGAACAAAAATCACCAAGGTAGGGTTGGTTCCTACCTCTAAGTAGTCTTCATTCTACTTAAAAGATGTCCGGTGGCTCACACCTGTAATCCCAGCACTTTGGAAGGCCTAGGTGGGCGGATCACGAGGTCAGGAGATCAAGACCATCCTGGCCAACATGGTGAAACCTCGTCTGTACTAAAAATACAAAAAAATTAGCCAGGTATAGTGGTGTGTGCCTGTAATCCCAGCTACTCGGGAGGCTGAGGCAGGAGAATCGCTTGAATCCGGGAGACAGAGAGGTTGCAGTGAGCTGAGATTGCACCATGCACTTCAGCCTGGGCAACAGAGGGAGACTCTGTCTTTAAAAAAAGAAAAAAAAAAAAAAAAAGACGTCTGAAGGATGTAAAGTTACAAGATGGTGGACCAATGTGATACTCTGCAGAATGTGCAAATGGTCCACATTTTTTAGATTACATCATGACAGAGAACAGAATTAACATAGCCCTGATGAAAGACCATGACTGTATACTGTTGTTCATCCCCTCCGTGGTGGACTGCTTCTGACCAACATGCTTTAGAAAAGAATGTTGGTTGGGCATGCTGGCTCAGGCCTGTAATCCCAGCACTTTGGGGGGCCAAGGTGGGCGGATCACCTGAGGTCAGGAGTTCGAGACCAGCCTGACCAACATGGAGAAACCCTGACTACTAAAAATACAAAATTAGCTGGGCCTGGTGGCACATGCCTGTAATCCCACCTACTCAGGAGGCTGAGGCAGGAGAATCGCTTGAACTCGGGAGGTGGAGGTTGCAGTGAGCCAAGATCGTGCCATTGTACTCCAGCCTGGGCACCAAGAGCGAAACTCTGTCTCAAAGGAAAAAAACAAAAAAGAAAAGGATGTTCGCCAGGTGCAGTGGCTCACACCTGTAATCCCAACACTTTGGGAGGTTGAGGCGAGAGGATCAGCTGAGCCCAGGAATTCGAGATCAGCCTGGGCAACATGGTGAAATGCTGTCTCCACAAAAAAAAAAAAAAAAAATTAGCCAGGCGTTGGTGGCATGTGCCTGTAGTCCCAGCTGCTGTGGAGGCTGGGTGGAAGGATTGCTTGAGCCTTGGGGGTCGAGGCTGCAGTGAGCTGAGCTTGTGACACTGCACTTCAGCCTAGGCAACAAAGCAAGACCCTGTCTCAAAAGAAAAAGAAAAAGAAAAAAGAAAAACAATGTATTTGCTAAATCAGTGGTCACAAACCACAAATGTGAGGCTATGTTAATCTGCTCCAATAAAGATATCCCATCCAGCAGACAATTAGCACTGGGATTCCCACTTGGTTAAATTGGCAGCAGCTTCATCCAGTTTATACAGGGGTAAGACTGGAAAAAAGAAAAAAAGAAGAGATGTGTATGTAAACAAAATGTAAATTTAAATATGATAATGAAAGCGAGTCCCATGACAGGTTTTTTTTTTCTTTTTTTTTTTTGCTGAGGGGGATGATCAGAAAAGGTATTTGTTGAAAAGATGGCATTAGAATGAGCTCTTGAGGCCAGGAGCAGTGGCTCATGCTTGTAATCCCAGCACTTTGGGAGGCCGAGGTGAGCAGATCACTTGAGGTCAGGAGTTCAAGACCAGCTTGGCCAAAGTGGTGAAACCCCATCTCTACTAAAAAAATACAAAAAACAAATTAGCTGGGCATGATGGCACATGCCTGTAATTCCAGCTACTCAGGAGGCTGAGGGGGGAGGATGGCTTGAGCCCAGCAGGTGGAGGTGGCAGTGAGCTGAGATCAGGCCACTACATTCTAGCCTGGGCAACATAGCAAGATCCTGCCTTTAAAAAAAAAAAAAAGGAAAAAAGAATTCCACCCAGTGCAAGAGGCAGATGAAGAAGCATAGTTATGAAATCCAGTATGTCATGACATTTAAAGTTTGTTAATAGCTATGTGTATAGGTGTGGAGAGGAAGAGACACCTATCTTTTCCTGAGGAAGCAGGAATGGGGACGAGAAGGGCTTTAGAGAAGAGGTGACCACTGAGTTGTCTTAAGGGAGTGGAGGCTAGCAGTTTTTCCAGGCAGTTGAAGCAGAAATAAAGGCCTAGAGTCAAGAAACAGCATGGTGTGCATGAGAAAGCTATGAGTGGTATTTACTGGTGGAGCTACTGCTTGTGGTAAAAGACAGGGAAAGAGATGGGAAGCAAGAGTCAGATCCTGAAGATTGTAATGATTATTAAAATTTAGCCTTTAGGGGGCCGGGCGCGGTGGCTCACGCCTGTAATCCCAGCACTTTGGGAGGCTGAGACAGGCAGATCACGAGGTCAGGAGATCGAGACCATCCTGGCTAACACGGTGAAACCCCATCTGTACTAAAAATACAAAAAATTAGCCTGGCATGGTGGCGGGCACCTGTAGTCCCAGCTACTTGGGAGGCTGAGGCGCGAGAATGGCGTGAACCCAGGAGGCGGAGTTTGCAGTGAGCTGAGATCGCACCACCGCACTCCAGCCTGGGCGACAGAGTGAGACTCCATCTCAAAAAAAAAAATTTAGCCTTTAGTAAAATGGTGCAGCCACTTTGGAAAAGTGGCAGTTCCACAAAAAGTTAAGTGTAGAGTTACTGCATGACCCAGTAATTCCACTCCTAGGTTTATACCCAAGAAAACTGAAAACATATGTCCACACAAACACTTGTACATAAATCTCCTTAGCAACATTATTCATAATAGCTAAAAAGAAGAAACAATCCAAATATCCGTCAGCTGGTGAATGGATACACAAAATGTGGTCTATCCATACAATAGAATATGGAATATTATTATTATTATTATTTGAGACAGAGTCTCGCTCTGTCGCCCAGGCTGGAGTGCAGTGGCCCGATCTCGGCTCACTGCGAGCTCCGCCTCCCAGGTTCACACCATTCTCCTGCCTTAGCCTCCTGAATAGCTGGGACTACAGGCACCTGCCACCACGCCCGGCTAATTTTTTGCATTTTTGGTACAGACGGGGTTTCACCGTGTTAGCCAGGGTGGTCTCGATCTCCTGACCTCGTGATCCACCTACCTTGCCCTCCCAAAGTGCTGGGATTACAGGCGTGAACCACCACACCCAACCAGAATATGGAATATTATTTTTTTAACTTTCTTTTTAACACTCCTTCCTGCACACTGACAATGGAATATTATTAAGCTGTAAAATGAGGTACTGGCCAGCGTAGTGGCTCACACCTGTAATCCCAACACTTTTGGAGGCCAAGCGGGAGGGGAGGATCACTTGAGGCCAGGAGTTTGAGACCAGCCTGGGCAACATAGTGAGACCCTGCCTCTAAAAAATAAAAAGAAAAAAATAGCTGGGTAGGTTGGTGAGTACCTGTAGTTCTGGTGAGTGCCTGTCGTCTTAGCTACTTGAGAGGCTGAGGTGGGAGGATGGCTTGGGCCCAGGAGTTCAAGGCTGCAGTGAACTATGATCACATCAGTGCACTCCAGCCTGGGAAACAGAGCAAGAGCCTATCTCTCTCTCTAAAAAAAAAAAAAAAAAAAATAGGGCCAGCCACGGTGGCTCACGCATGTAATCCCTGCCAGCAACAAGAACAAAACTCTGTCTCAAAAAAAAAAAAAAAAAACAACGGGTGGTGGCTCACACCTGTAATCACAGCACTTTGGGAGGCAGAGGTGAGCGGATCACTTGAGGTCAGGAGATCGAGATCAGCCTGGCCAACATGGTGAAAGCCCATCTCTCCTAAAAATACAAAAATTAGCTGGGCATGGTGGCGGGCACCTGTAATCCCCAGTTACTTGGGAGGCTGAGGCAGGAGAATCGCTTGAACCCAGGAAGCGGAGGTTGCAGTGAGCCGAGATTGCGCCATTGCACTCCAGCCTGGGTGACAAGAGTGAGACTCCATCTCAAAAACAACAAAACAACAACAACAACAAACCCAAAAATTAGCCGGGCGTGGTGGCAGGCGCCTGTAATCCCAGCTACTCAGGAGGCTGAGGCAGGAGAATCGCTTGAAGCCGGGAGGCAGAGGTTGCAGTGAGCTGAGATCGCGCCACTGCACTCCAGCCTGGGCAACAGAGTGAGACTGTCTCAAAAAAAAAAAAAAAAAAAGAAAAGAAAAGAAAAGAAAGAAAAAAAAAAGGCATCCTCTTCTTGTTCTAAATCTTAAATGGAATACATGTCTATTAAATATTTGTTATGAATCTCTAGTATATAACTTTTACCAAGTTAAGATATTTCCTTCTGTTCCAAGTTTAACATTCGTTTTAATTATAGATTTGCATTTTTTAAAATTCCTTTTACAATATCAAATGAGATAATCAAAAAGAACTAAAACCTCATCTTTTATAACAGGAATCTAATTGATTTCTACAAAACTGATAAAGTGGCTGGGTACAGTGGCTCAAGCCTGTAATCCCAGCACTTTGGGAGGCTGAGGCGGGTGGATCACCCAAGGTCAGGAGTTCAAGACCAGCCTGGCCAACATGGCAAAATCCCATCTCTACTAAAAAATACAAAAATTAGCTGGGCATGGTGGTGCATGTGTGTAATCCCAGCTACTTGGGAGGGTGAGGCAGGAGAATTGCTTGAACCCAGGAGGCGGAGGTTATAGTGAGCTGAGATCATGCCACCGTACTCCAGCCTAGGCAATAGAGCAAGACTCCATCTCAAAAATAAATAAATAAATAAATAAATAAATAAATAAATAAATCTGATAAACTGGTTGGGCACGGTGGCTCACGCCTGTAATGCTAGTACTTTGGGAGACTGAGGCGGGAGGATCACTTGAGCCCAGGAGTTTGAGACCAGCCTGGGCAATATGGCGAAACACTGGCTCTACAAAAAATACAAAATTAGTCTAGTGTGGTGGGATGCGCCTCTAGTCCCAGCTACTCGAGAGGCTGAAGTGTGGCTGGGCGCGGTGGCTCACACCTGTAATCCCAGCACTTTGGGAGGCCGAGGTGGGCAGATCATGAGGTCAGGAGTTTGAGACCAGCCTGGCCAACACGGTGAAACCTCGTCTCTACTAAAAATACAAAAAAATTAGCCAGGCGTGGTGGTGGGTGCCTGTAGTCCCAGCTACTTGGGAGGCTGAGGCAGGAGAATTGCTTGAACCAGGGAGGCGGAGGTTGCAGTGAGCCAAGATTGCACCACTGCACTCCAGCCTGGGCAACAGAGCCAGACTCTGTCTCAAAAAAAAAAAAAAGAGAAAGAAAAGAGAGAGGCTGAAGTGGGAGGATCACCTGAGACCAGGGAGGTTGAGGCTGTTGTGAGCTATGATTGCACCACAGCACTCAAGCTTGAGTGACAGAGTGAGACTCTGTGTAAAAAAAAAAACAAAAAAACAAAAAAACAAAAACCACCACACTGATAAATCATAATATTATTTCATATTATGATGATAAGTACCAGAAAAAAACAGCTAGGCCTAGCAAGGTGGCTCATGCCTATAATCCCAGCACTTTGGGAGGCTGAGAAGAGAGGATCACTTGAGCCCAGGAGTTTGAAATCAGCCTAGTCAGCACGACCCCCATCTCTACAAACAAACAAACAAATAAATAAAAATAGCTAAAAGAAGTGAAAGTCTCTGATTCTGGGAAGCTAGTCTAGAGGGTAGGCTGGGGTGAAGAAGAGGATTGCTGTTTTTGTCACATAACTTTCTCTTCATTTTGATTTGATTTAATACAAAGTAAAGGTAATTTAGAAACAAATCTTCAAGTTTCCCACTCCACTTTTAAAAATTAAGAAATGATAAACATGCCATACAATTCACTCATTTAGTATACAATCAAATGGTTTTTAGTATATTCATGAGGTCGTGCAACCATCACCACTACCTAATGTCAAAAAATTTAAAAAGTTATTTATTTTTAAATTTTTAAATAAAAATTACATATATTGATGGTATACATGATGTTTTAAAATATGTATACATTGTAGAATGACTAAAATAAACTAATTAAAGAATTCATTACCTCACATACTTTTCATTTTTTCTGATAGGAACACTTAAAATCTACTCAGCAATTTTCAAGTATACAATACATTGTTATTAGCTATAGTCACTGTGTTGTACAATAGACACTTGAACTTATTCCCAAGTCTAACCAAAACTTTGTATCCTTGGACCAATGTCTTTTTTTTTTTGAGACAGAGTCTCAATCTGTCACCCAGGCTGGAGTGCAGTGGTGCGATCTTAGCTCACTGCAACCTCTGCTTCCCGGGTTTAAGTGATTCTCCTGCCTCAGTCTCCTGAGCAGCTGGAACTACAGGCGTGTGCCACCACGCCTGGCTAATTTTTTGTATTTTTAGTAGAGACGGGCTTTCACCATGTTAGCCATGATGGTCTAGATCTCCTGACCTCGTGATCAGCCCGCCTCAGCCTCCTAAAGTGCTGGGATTATAGATGTGAGCCACCGTGCCCAGCCCAGGCCCTTTGACCAATATCTTACCAAACCTGCCCCCGCCCTCCACTTCCAGAACATTTTCCTTACCCCAAAAGAAACCCCTTACAAGTCATTCCCCCTTTTCAACCACTTATCCCATCCCCAGGTACTTTTTTTTTCTTCTTTGTTGAGATGAAATCTTGCTTTGTTGCCCACTGCAACTTCTACCCCCAAGGTTCAAGTGATTCTCCTGCCTCAGCCTCCTGAGTAACTGAGATTACAGGCACACACCACCATGTCCAGCTAATTTTTGTATTTTTAGTAGGGACAGGGTTTCGCCATGTTGACCAGGCTGGTCTTGAACTCCTGACCTCAAGTGATCTGACTGTCTTGGCCTCCCAAAGTGCTGGGATTACAGCCATGAGCCAATGTGTCCGGCCAATTAATCTATTTCCTTTCTCTTTCTTTTTTTTTTTTTTTTTTTTGAGACTGAGTCTCACTCCGTCGCCCAGCTAGAATGCAAAGGTGCAATCTTGGCTCACTGCAACTTCTGTCTCCTGGGTTCAAGCAATTCTCCTGCCTCCTGCCTCAGCCTCCCAAGTAGCTAGTATTACAGGCACGAGCCACCATGCCCAGTTAATTTTTGTATTTTTAGTAGAGACTGGGTTTTGCCATGTTGGCCAGGCTGGTCTCGAACTCCTGACCTCAAGTGATCCGCCCACCTCTGCCTCTCACAGTGTTGGGATTACAGGCTGCATCTCTGAATTTGTCTATTTGGACATTTCATATAGATGGAACAATATTCCAGTCTTTTGTGACTGGCTTCTTTCATTTAGCATAATGTTTTCAAGGTTTATCCATGTTGTTGCATATGTTAGTAGTACTTCAGTTTTGGGGTTTTTTTGCTTGTCTTAAGAAATGGGGTCTTTCTCTGTCACTCAGGCTGGAATGCAGTGGTACCATCACAGCTCACTGCAGCCTCAAATTCCTAGGCTCAAGCAATCCTGTCTCAGCCTCCCAAGTAGCTGGGACTATGAGTACAAACTACCATGCCCAGCTAATTTATTTTTTGTAGAAACAGGGTCTTGCTAGGTTTTCCAGTCTGTTCTCTAACTCCTAGGTTCAAATGATTCTCCTTGCCTCAGCTTCCTGAGTTGCTGAGATTACCGGTGTGAGCCACTGGGCCTGTCCTACGATGGCCTCTATCACTGCTGCAATTTAATTTAGTATGGAAATACTCAATGCTATTTAAAAAAAATAGATATGAGGAATGAAAGCGAAGAGATCAAACTGTGATTATTTACAGATAATTTGATTGTCATTGACTAAAACAGACAGGAATTTTTTTTTTTTTTAGACGGAGTCTCACTCTGTCCCCCAGGCTGGAGTGCAATGACATGATCTAGGCTCACTGCAACCTCCGCCTCCCGGGTTCAAGTGATTCCCCTGCCTCAGCCTCCCGAGTAGCTGGGACTACAGGTGCGTGCCACCACGCCCGATTAATTTTTTGTATTTTAGTAGAGACAGGGTTTCACCATGTTGGTCAGGCTGGTCTCCAACTCCTGACCTCGTGATCTGCCCACCTCGGACTTCCAAAGTGCTGGGATTACAAGCGTGAGCCACCGTGCCCAGTCCAGATAGGAATCTTTTTTTTTTTTGTCTCCTTTTGTATTTAATATTATTGAAGACTCTATTAATGTCTTAAAAAACACAAAAAGTTCTTGAACATACATTTATTATCTGGAGGAATGAATGCACTCCAAATGCTTATTATCAGAACTCTGGAAAAAGACATATAAATTCTCTCCAGTATTTTAAAAATTGGTATCTAAATTTCATTTTGAACTAGGTTAGTTACCTAAGCTATCTTCATTCAGCTTTTAAAACTGAAAAAAAATTTAAGTTTCAAATATAATAAAGACTTAAGTACATATTCAACATTTATTTTCTATTACACTTTTCTGGCCAAAAGGAGTTGAAGAGTTTTTTTCCTTATCTTACTTATGACAAACGTTGTCAGATTTAAAAAAAAAAAAACAAAATATAACAGAATAGTAGTTGTGAAGACTAACTCTATATGAATGGTTTTAATCATAATGCAGTTAAAATAACATTTAATATAGATTCATTTCACTGGATGATGTCACCTTTTAAAACACCAGTATTTCTCATATCATTTCTGTATGGTCTTGACACATTCTTATATCTTCTTCAACATGACTTCTTCACTTTTTTCTCTAGAGTTTTCTTGAATTAAAATAATGGCTTGAAGAAGATCATATGAGATTTAGTGGCCCTGTGATATTTCTTAAATGCTGGGCAAAGCTGGTTGATAATGTAACTCATTAAAATGAGCTGTATTTTCAGTGCCCCAGGCTGGCCGGGCAGTCTGATAGAAGGCCTTAGTTCCTCTTGCAGATAAAGACTAGAGTCCATTCTTCCACTAGTCCAGGGCAGTGGCCTAAAAAATACAGAAGGCCCGGTGCGGTGGCTCACACCTATAATCCCAGCACTTTGGGAGGCTGAGCCGGGCGGATCATGAGGTCAGGAGTTCAAGACCAGCCTGACCAACATGGTGAAACCCTGTCTCTACTAAAAATACAAAAAAATTAGCCAGGCGTGGTGGTGCACGCCTGTAATCCCAGCTACTCAGGAGGCTGAGGCAGGAGAATCACTTGAACCAGGGAGGCGGAGGTTGCAGTGAGCCAAGATTGCACCACTGCACTCCAGCCTGAGCTCCGTCTAAAAAAAAAAAAAAAAAAAAATGTCCAGGAAAGGCATTACACGGAATGCCATTGTTTAGAAGAGATTTGGATTTAATGGTGTTGTTATAGGTAAAGTATTTCCGGAGCAAAAATCTCATTCATTCAGTGTTTGGGGGAAGGTTAAACTTTATAATCACAGTTGCCTTTCTCTGGGGAAAAGATTTATTTTTATTTTTATTTATTTTACTTTAAGTTTTGGGAGAAAAAGGTTTCTTTAATTTGCTATGATCACTTCCTCTCAATTTCTTTTTCTTACAGTCATGCATACTCTGTAATCTAAATTTCTTAAGTTTATTTAAAAATCAGAGGAAAAAAACCTAAGGAGATAAAAACGAGCACAAAGTAAACAAAGAAACAAATAATTTTGCCATTATACTTTCTCCTGGATAACTGCAGATATTTCTTGTCATTTCCATTCTGTTTCAACACTACAGAACAATATACTCATGGCCCAATGGTGAAGCAATGTGCACATGAGTGACAAAACATGGGAACTAGAAAAGGAATATAAATGTAAATCAAGCTTTTAAAATCCCAGTAATGCAACAACTTCTTTCCTTATTTATTGGATCAAAGTCCATTCCACATGAATTCACATTTTGGTTCCAGGAGGCCATGCACCATAAGCCCTAATAACAAAGACCACTATTTGTAGAGCCTGTGACCAGTATCTACTGGTGGCAAGCTTGCAAAAGTCTTCTGGAAGACTCATAAGATTATGTTGTACTTGTTTTCTGGATTCGGGGGACCATGGAAATAGAAAATGATAGAAACGAGGCATGCTTTTGAGGTTTCTTGGGCTGGGTAGTAGAAAAATAGGTGTTTTCCTGTGGGATTTTTTTGCAGCTGAGAATACTTCGTCATTTTCCTCAGTCTTTAAGGGAGTGGTAGGCTTTGACAGTCCAGCTGTTGACAAAATCTGTCTTCTTAAACTGAGCCTTCTTGTAGGCATGATGGAGTTCCGTGTGTGCCTACAGAGAATACAGGAGGATGGAAGCAGCTTTACTTGCTTTGTTGGAGGCATAGGCATCGCCTGCACTGATGGTCATAATTTTCTGGATGCCCCCGGTATTCGGAAGGCGCTGTGCATTCTGGTAACTGTTTTGGATTACGTTGTTCAACATGTAACAGGCAGAGGCTGTAGTTTCAATGAGAAGGTCAGTACTCGGGACTGTATCAGGAATGATGGAGACCAAACTGGGGAGAGTTTCTTTGGCAATTTTATTCTGCAGAGAAAGATTCTGGGACAGATTCCTCAGCAGCAAGTTGGCTGTCTTTTTCACACTTGGGTCACTGACATGCACCATCTTTCGGGTGTGCTGCAGGCCATTTTCCTTCTGGACGACTGTCTGAGCCACTGATGTCGGCATTGGTCCACTTCCGGCTGTGAGGTTCTGGAGAGCGCCTAAGGAGGCTTCCTGTGTGTAGTTTGGGACACTCTTGGCGATCAAGGACAGATACATCCTTATCACAATGGAGTGTCACAGCCACTCCACGCCCTTGGGGTTGCTCTTTTCCTCTGGCATCGGCATGTCCTAGTATTGCTCTTTTAGTTTCCTGCTTCGACTGCCAAAACATCCAATACTTTTGTTGTTAGTCTGGACATTTGGGTTTTGAATATAGATATTCTGGGAATATTTCTCTGGGAGCTCTACCTCCAGCTGGTAGGAGAGGTTATGAAGAATGTGCACACAATTCTCCGTGGCCTTGTCATCTGGCTGGTAATCCGCAATGGTTCCTCTGACATAATGGACCAGTGAGTCAATGAGTCGGTCACATCTTCTCATTGCTTTTCTCCTATCAGGGCCAGCAGCACTCATGTTTCTTAGACATCCAGTGGGTTGTAGACTGTGTCAAAATCGAGCAAACCATTCGCTTTTGGGTAGTCTCCTTCAGGCCATCCAGAAAAGGAGATGATTATATTCTCGGTCAGCATAAGCAATGCTTCTGTTATCATGAGATTCTTGAGTTTGTCATTAGATGACAAATTCCACAGCAAACCTGTTAGTTGTTTTTTAGTCTCCAAGACTCTGGTTTGCTTCAGCACCTGGAGCAGCCGAGTTACCCCATTTAGTTCAGCCACCTCCAATTTGTTGTCATTGTCTTCAAATAGTAAGTTTCTCAAGGCCCCCCACACAGCTCGCTGAACATCTTCATTCTGAACTTTTAGGAGCTGCAGAAGCTTGGGGATGCCACAAAACTGGTTAACCCTCTTCCCAGCTTCAGATTTCTGGAAGCACTCGTGCTGTATGAAAGTGGCTGCGGCAGAAATCCTGGACGGCGGCATCTGGTCTGCATCGAGCATACTCCCTGCTCGCTCCAGAGTCATCTCCATGTCTGCATTCCCCAGCTGGGAGTCAGTGCTTCTCTGGGTGAGAAGATTCCCACTTCCCCCTGCCGCTGCCTGGCCGACGGTCAAGTGCGCTCTCCTCCCGCTGGAATCCACGGCAACACTGGGCCCAGCTTTCCTCGGTGTGCGGGTGCTGTGGAAGGAGCTCCGGTGCCAGGAGGACCTGGAAGCCCTGTTCTGAGTGAGGGGCCGCAGGGGCACCAGCGGCCTGACCTGGCCGACGGTGAGCCCTGCCCTCAGGTAGTTCTCTTTCTCCAAGAGGTTGCCCATGCTGCGGCTGGTCCCTGGCCTGGGGTACGTGAGCAGGGCCGGGTTGGCAGGGATGCTGTCAAAAACGGTGTCACTAACAGAGCCACGCTGGTACTGCCTGTGGTGTCAAAGTGGTGCTGCCTGCTTGTGGTGCCAGTACGGCGGACCCCCGCGATCTCAGAACGATCATATCTCGGTGGCACCAGGAAGGCGGCCCGCCTGCTTTCTTGGTGGTGCAGGGTGTGCCCAGCCTGGCTTCTCTGGCTGTACTGGTAATCGCTGTGCGTGTAGTGAGCCCTCTCCGGGCTGCTGTCAGGAGAAATCTCCAGTCTCCTCAGAGGATGCCTCAAATACCTTTCTTCCACGGACTTCTGGGAGCTGTACTGTGCTGTTCCTCTTCCCCAGCGACCTTCATAAGTGGCAGTTGTGCCAGCCTTTAGCATGTAATAGGTTTTAGGAACAGGGGAACGGCCTCCAACAAAATCATTTTCAACCAAGTGTAGGTTGTAGACATACTCAGGAACACTGCTGGTTCGGTGAAGATTTCCGTTGCCCACGGAGCTGCGGCCCTTCCGGGCGAGGATCTGCTGCACCTGCTCCTGGATCCGCAGGCTCTTGACTGGCTGCCGCGGCCGCTGCTCCCAGCCAGCTTCAGCTTGGCCTCAGAGGGCAGCGCCAGGCTGGAGCTGTCCAGTTGTCCCAGGATCTGCTGGCCCAAGATGGTCCGGATGTAGCCGTACTCAGCTGGGGCCCCGGGGGCTGCCATGGGGCCGGTGGGGGCGACCCAGCCGCTCGCTTGCCTTGGGACTCGCGGGTGAAGCCGCCGCAGAGCTGGGGGCTCTCCAGATAGGAATCTTAAAAAATACAGAAGGCCAGGCATGGTGGTTCACGCCTGTAATCCCAGCACTTTGGGAGGCCAAGGCAGTCGAATCACGAGGTCAAGAGATCCAGACTATCCTGGCCAACACGGTGAAACCCCGTCTCTACTAAAAATACAAAAAATTAGCTGGGCGTGGTGGCGCACGCCTGTAGTCCCAGCTACTTGGTCGGCTGAGGCAGGAGAATCGCTTGAA
Organism: Homo sapiens; assembly: GCF_000001405.40. Lineage (NCBI taxonomy): Eukaryota > Metazoa > Chordata > Mammalia > Primates > Hominidae > Homo > Homo sapiens. The sequence continues at coordinate 6,477,407 of NC_000012.12, read as the reverse complement.
CCTGGGAGGCAGAGGTTGCAGTGAGCCGAGATTGCATGACTGCACTCCAGCCTGGCGACAGAGCAAGACTCTGTCTCAAAAAAAAAAAAAAAAAAATCAGATGCGCATATTTGTAGGGGTCTATTTCTGCATTCTCTCATCGGTGCCATCGATCTATGTGTCTGTCCTCCCACCAATACCACACTGTCTTGATTACTGCAACTATATAGTAGTAAGCATGAGATAGTTATTCCTCCTATTTTATTCTTCTTTGTTCTTCTATAGATAAAATCTATTTATGAGTTGGCCTGAGAGTAAAGACTATTTAAACACGAAAAACTAAGTGAAAGCCAGTAACCAGGGAAGTTGCTGAGTCCCAAAGACTATTTTGCTCTGAGGGTATTTGCTATAAAGTTTAATATGAGCGTAGCAGCCTCACAGGCTACCACTGTGGCACAGGAAATAAAGCCCAGGGCTTACCCAAGGTTGGAAATCTAATAGAAAGTCCTTACCATAAAGTCAGAACCCCAAAGGACTATATCCTCATCTAAGAATGAATTACGAATATACTAGAACCCAAACTGCCCCAGAGCACTCCGTGGAATGTTGTTTGTCTGGAACCCAGGTGCCTGCTGGAGTTCTTTTATTTTTTTCTTTTAAGTATTTGCAGAGAATGTATAACCACAGGCTGTGGTGTTTCTGCCTGAACTCTTTGTTGATCCTAAAAAGAAAATGGCAAGAATTTAAAGTGGTTTTGGATTGACAGTACCACCAAGAACCCAGCAGAAGCAATGCAGATCCTTTCTGGATGAACTCATCTTTAATCTAGGCCTCGGGGAATTTCCACAGATACAGTTCCAAGAAAAATAAATTGTGGTCAAAAATTCCAAACAAATAAGGAACAAGGCACCAAGAACAAGAACCAGCAGAGATGGAGACAGGAAATAAGAAAGATAATTAGAAAATTAAGCCAAATAGTCCAATATCTAATTAATAGTCCGATGTCTAAAAAGAGAAAACAGGATATGTGAGGGAGAGGGAGAAAAAAGGGTGTGTGTGAGATTGATTTTAAAAGAAATACAAGACTCGCGCCTGTAATCCCGCACTTTGGGAGGCTGAGGCTGGCAGATCATCTGAGGTCAGGAGTTCGAGATCAGCCTGGCCAATATGGTGAAACCCCGTCTCTACTAAAAATACAAAAATTAGCCAGGCATGGTGGCAGGCGCCCGTAGTACCAGCTACTCAGAAGGCCTCGCGAGGTGCCGGGATTGCAGACCAAGTCTTGTTCACTCAGTGCTCAATGTTGCCCAGGCTGGAGTGCAGTGGCATGATCTCGGCTAGCTACAACCTCCACCTCCCAGCCGCCTGCCTTGGCCTCCCAAAGTGCCGAGATTGCAGCCTCTGCCCAGCCGCCACCCCGTCTGGGAAGTGAGGAGCGTCTCCGCCTGGCCGCCCATCGTCTGGGATGTGAGGAGCCCCTCTGCCCGGCTGCCCAGTCTGGGAAGTGAGGAGCACCTCTTCCCGGCCGCCATCCCGTCTAGGAAGTGAGGAGCGTCTCTGCCCGGCCGCCCATCGTCTGAGATTTGGGGAGCGCCTCTGCCTGGCCGTGACCCCGTCTAGGAGGTGAGGAGCGTCTCTGCCTGGCTGCCCCGTCTGAGAAGTGAGGAGCCCCTCCGCCCGGCAGCTGCCCCATCTGAGAAGTGAGGAGCCCCTCCGCCCGGCAGCCACCCTGTCTGAGAAGTGAGGAGCGTCTCCGCCTGGCCGCCCATCATCTGGGATGTGAGGAGCCCCTCTGCCCGGCTGCCCAGTCTGGGAAGTGAGGAGCACCTCTTCCCGGCCGCCATCCCGTCTAGGAAGTGAGGAGCGTCTCTGCCCGGCCGCCCATCGTCTGAGATGTGGGGAGCGCCTCTGCCCGCCCGTGACCCCGTCTAGGAGGTGAGGAGCGTCTCTGCCTGGCAGCCACCCCGTCCGGGAGGGAGGTGGGGGGTCAGCCCCCGCCCGGCCAGCCGCCCCGTCCGGGAGGGAGGTGGGGGTCGCCTCTGCCCGGCCACCCCTTCTGGGAAGTGAGGAGCCCCTCTACCCGGCCACCACCCCGTCTGGGAGGTGTACCCAACAACTCATTGAGAACGGGCCATTATGACGATGGCGGTTTTGTGGAATAGAAAAGGGGGAAAGGTGGGGAAAAGATAGAGAAATCAGATTGTTGCTGTGTCTGTGTAGAAAGAAGTAGACTTGGGAGACTTCATTTTGTTCTGTACTGGGAGGGGTTCTTCTGCCTTGGGATGCTGTTGAGCTGTGACCTTGCCCCCAGCCCTGTGCTCTCTGCGGCCTGTGCTGTGTCCACTCAGGGTTAAATGGATTAAGGGCGGTGCAAGATGTGCTTTGTTAAACAGATGCTTGAAGGCAGCATGCTCCTTAAGAGTCATCACCACTTCCTAATCTCAAGTACCCAGGGACACAAACACTGCGGAAGGCCGCAGGGTCCTCTGCCTAGGAAAACCAGAGACCTTTGTTCACTTGTTTATCTGCTGACCTTCCCTCCACTATTGTCCTATGACCCTGCCAAATTCCCCTCTGCGAGAAACACCCAAGAATGATCAATAAAAAAAAAAAGAAAATGGCCAAAAGACATGAACCAACATTTCATCAAATAGGATAATATATACAAGGCAAACACTTTAAAAGATATTTGATATCATTAGCCATCAGTGAAATAAGAATTAAAACCACAATGATAGCACTGAACACATATTAGAATGGTTAAAATAAGAAAAATACAGCTGGGCATGATGCCTATAGTCCTAGCTACTTGGGAAGCTGAAGTGGGAGAATTGCTTGAGCTCAGGAGTTTAAGACCAGCCTGGGCAACACAGGCAAAGGCAGTTTCTTATAAAACTAGAGATGCAATTACCTTACTGCCCAAGCATTGCACTCAGGCATTTATCCCAGAGAAATGAGAATTTATGTTCACACAAAACCTGTATGAAAGTTCACAGCAACTTTATTTGTAATAGCCCAGTGCTGAAATCACTCCAAATGTCCTTCAGCAGGTAAATGGTTAAATGTACCACGGAATATTAATCAGTGGTGAAAACTAATGATACACACAATAACTTGGATGGTTGAAAAAGTAATGATACACACAATAACTTGGATGAATGAAAAAAGCCAATCTTGAAAGGTTACGTGATATAGAAAAAAGCATGACTACATTTACATAAGGCTCTTGAAATAAAGTTACAGAGATGGAGAACAAATTAGTGTTGCTAAGGTTTAGGGATGGCGGTGGGTTGGAATATAAAGGGGTAGCACATGGGAGCCTTGCAGTAATGTGAAAATGCTGTATCCTAACTGTGGTTGTGGTTACACAAATCTACACATGATACAATTGCATAAAACCACTCAAACACACACGAACACAAAAAGAAGTGTTTGGTGGTACATGCCAGTTTGGAAAATCGGTGAAATTTGAATAAACTCTGGATTTTGCTAATGATAATTTCCTGGTTTTAATATTTTAATAATTTTAAACTGTATTTATACAAGATGTTACTGTTGGGGGAACTGGGTAAAGGGGTTTAGGGGAACCTCCCTGTATTGTATTTTTTTTTTTTGGCCACCTTATATGAATCTATAATTACTTTAAAATAAAAAGTTTAAGGCCGGGCGCGGTGGCTCACGCCTGTAATCCCAGCACTTTGGGAAGCCGAGGCGGGTGGATCATGAGGTCAGGAGATCGAGACCATCCTGGCTAACACTGTGAAACCCTGTCTCTACTAAAAATACAAAAAATTAGCCGGGCGTGGTGGCGGGTGCCTGTAGTCCCAGCTACTCAGGAGGCTGAGGCAGGAGAATGGCGTGAACCCAGGAGGTGGGGCTTGCAGTGAACCGAGATAGCGCCACTGCACTCCAGCGTGGGCGACAGAGGGAGACTCCGTCTCAAAAAAAAAAAAAAAAAGTTTAAAAAATGCCACCCCCTCAACCCCGTTTTTTTGAGACAGGGTCTCACTCTGTTGCCCAGGTTGGAGTGCAATGGTGTGATCATGGCTCACTGCTTTCTTGACCTCCTCAGGCTCAGGTAATCCTCCCACCTCAGCCTCCCAAGTAGTTGGAACTACAGGTGTGTGCCACAATACCCAGCTATATTTTTTTGTATCTATTTCTTGTAGAGACAGGATTTCACCATGTTGTCCAGGCTAGTCTTGAACTCCTGGGCTCAAGTGATCCTCCTGCTTTGGCCTCCCAAAATGCTGGGATTATAGGCGTGAGTCACCATTCAATGATTTTAAGTTTTTTTTCAGGGGAAAGTTGGTGGGAATAAATAGGCATTCATGCTGCCAGAAATATTTCCTCCCATTCTTTTTTCTTTTCTTTTTCTTTCTTTCTTTCTTTTTTTTTTTTTTTTTGAGACAGTCTCATTCTGTTGCCCAGGTTGGAGTGCAGTGGCAAGATCTCGGCTTACTGCAGCCTCCGCCTCCCGGGTTCAAGTGATCCTCCTGCCTCAGTCTCCCGAGTAGCTGGGACTACAGGCGTCCATGCCCAGCTAATTTTTGTATTTTTAGTAGAGACGGGATTTTGCTGCGTTAGCCAGGTTGGTCTTGAACTCCTGGCTTCAAGTGATCCGCCCTCCTTGGCCTCCCACATTGCTGGGATTACAGGTGTGAGTTACTGCGCCTGGCCCTTTTTCTTTTCTTTTGGAGATAGGGTCTCATTTTGTCACCCAGGTGGGAGTGCAGTGGCGTGATCTCGGCTCACTGCAACCGGAACATCTGGGCTCAAGCTGTCCTTCCGCCTCAGCCCCCCAAATAGCTGGGACTACGGGAGTGAGCCACCACGCCCGGCCCCATTCTTTTTGTCTTTGGGGGCTTATAATTTTTTGCAAATTTTCCCAAATTGTCATTTTTCCCCCTAACTTGCCATTTTGATGTGGTTTCAGGAGGAGAATGGGATAAACACATATGATGAATGCATTATGTTTCCAAGTGCAATTGTTTCCTTAAGAAGACTTGTGACATTTGGATAGATAACTTTGGTGGACTTTTTAGAGAATAGATGTAAAGGATGGCAAGACTGGAAGCAGAATGATGTATCATTGATCTTAGGAGGCACTTGGGTTTTTTGTGTGTGCTTGTTTGTTTGTTTTTTTGCATTTCAATATCTTCTAATTGGGATGTTTCACTTTAGCTATTAGTCAGACAGCAGTCAAACTATATTTGTCATACCTGCTCATGAGCATCAAAGCTTGCCAAATGGGTGTCTGAGGCTTGGAAGAAAACTCTAGAGCCTGGAGAGGAACACTCTTAGGAAATGCTGCATCACCAAAGCCCTTATGAAATGCACAGAGGACTACATTGCGTGGAAATTAGTGGACATCCAAGACTGAGTCAAAAAAGTGAATCATTAACAATCAGTCTCTGTGAAGTTTTAGGGATAGTTACCATGTTATTGTTTTCTATTTCCCTTTTTATGCATGCACAAGAGTGAAATATAGAAATCGGTATGTATATAAACCCATATTTTCAATACATGTAAAACAAAAATGCTAAGTGGTAAGGAAAGCATTTGTCACAGATAATTTGCAACCTTTTTTCTTTTTTTTTTTGAAACAGGGTCTTGCTCTGTTGCCCAGGCTGGAGTGCAGTGGCGTGATCTCGGCTCACTGCAACCGTCGGCTCCCGGCTTCAAGCGATTCTCTTATCTCAGCCTCACGAGTAGCTGGGATTACAGGCGCCCGCCACCATGCCTGGCTGTTTTGTATTTTTAGTAGAGACAGAGGTTTCGCCATGTTGGCCAGGCTGGTCTCGAACTCCTGATCTCAGGTAATCTGCCTGACTCGGCCTCCCAAAGTGCTGGGATTACAGGTGTGAGCCACTGCGCCCGGCCTTGTAACCTTTTTTCTTAGCGGGACATAAAATAATGGTGAATTTTCCAACTGATGGAGTCCAGGAAAGGGATAATAGTGAGCAGAGGGGAGATAATCACTGGAATGCCAAGAAGGAAAAATCAACTCGATTTGGCAGATTACTGGGGGAGAGGTAAAGGTGAAGGGGAGGAAATCTAGGATGGTTTCCACGTTTCTGGTCTGGGCAACTGAGTCGATGTGGTAACCTCGACTGGAGCAGGTTTGGGAGGGAGTTCAATTTAGGAAGGCTATGTTGAAAGAAACGAATGAACGAAAGCTTCGTGCTTGCTTTGGTGGGACGGAACCCCGCATCCGGTATCTGGCACCAGGAGCTTGTGGCTGTGTCTCGAGGCTCCTGCACCCTCTCAGAGCGTTAGTTAGAGGCGGGGCGGTGGTGCGGAGCGAGGGCCAGAGCAGGGCACCAGGGCTGGGCGCGCACCAGGAAGCCGCCGCCTCCAGCTGAATGCGCGAGTCCCGGCGCGGGGTGGGGCAGGGGCGGGCACGGTCTTCAGTAACTGCCTAGCGATTGGTTGGGAGGCACCACAAATGCCTAACAAACTGCTGAAGCGCCCTCCGAAGGGACAGACCTCATCTCCACCCCGCCCCGTCCCTCCGCCAGACTGGAGCGCAAACTATGGTCGCATTGATCACTGAAGGATCCTCACAGCAACCGCTCCTTTCCGGAGTCGGATGAGAGGAGAGTTGTGACTGGCAATTGGCAGGGGCGGGGCGGGCTAGGCCTGTAGCGCTGGGCGACCGTCCTGGGCATGGATTGGGCCGCGGGGTTGTCACCGTTATCCGGGAGGCGTGGTCAGCACTAATAAAGGCGGAGGCCGGCGCGGCAGCTGCAGTAAGTTCCAGCGCAGCTAGACCGCGGGGTAGTCGGCGCGAGGCGGAGCTTGGCAGTTCCGTCCACTTCAGCCGCAGCGTCCCTCACCGGGTGTCTCGCCGCAGCCTCCGGAGAGGAACAGACCCTCACTCTCTCTGTCAGAAAAATGTGAGTTGACTCTGGTGTGGGGGCTCGGCACCTCCTTGACAACTCTCGCCCCAAGCTCCCGATTCTGCGGGACGGAAAATGGCGCAATGCAGCAGCTGCAGCAACGCGGGGAACTACCACCGCGCGCCGCTTCCGGACCGGGCCACCCCCAGGGAGGGGGGCCAGCACCCCATTCTCGCACCAGCCACAGCTAGCACCCCACGGGCGGGGCAGGGGCGCAGGGGTCCCACAATCATTGCACCCTCTCCTCTCGTCTGAGTGGCGCCTCATTCTGGTTTTGGTATAGTGGAGACTCGGAGAGGGCGGGGGCTGGGGGTGGTGGATGGAGACAACTGGGCAGGGGACTCGAAAGGTATTTCTGTCATCTGGCTAAATCACTACTCAGCGCCTCAGGAAAGACAGTCATGGGTGCAACTGCCAGTTGGTAACTTATGTTGCCCTACAATCTCTGGATTTGTTTACCCCTCACCCAAAGTGTGATGTCTAGCCCCCCTCATGGCAGTGAGCAAAGCTGCAGAAACTTATCTGCCAGTTCTCTGGCACCAGGTGAGCAGCTCAGAAAGACTCAAGGGGTAGTGGGATAGTGGCCTGTCATCCCAAGCGGCTGTTCATACCAAGGCCATTCGTATAGGAGATGTTTTTCTATCACCGAGTCTTACCAAATAGTTGGAGGAGAAATAGGGAGAGCTGAGCTTTCCCCCTTTCCTCCAACACACACAGTTTAGTCTCCAGCAGTCTTCAACATCACCCCCTTCGCATGATCTTGAGGGAAAACTACGGCTAAACAAACGAAGTACTTCTCTGTCAAGACCTCAATATGTCTAATACAGATTTTTCTTTCTGATTACTACCCTGGCCTGGTCCTAGATGTATTTATGTTGCTTCTCTAAGTGACAAAAAAGGGAAAGATTTACTTGTGTTACATAAGGGTTGTAATTATCCCTAGATATTTTACTGTTGAGTGTTTCCAACTCCCAACAAGTAGTAAGTGAAATTGGCCTTGCAAATACTTCATAGCCATTTCACTTTTTCTTTTTGATTTCTATGGTTTTAACCAGATATGAGTGTTCTATGCATTTTGGGCAAGCCGTAGAATTCCAGTTGTTTTCATTTTGGGGAGGGGGCTTCCAGATAGTATCTACGTGGGATGAACAGAAGGCAACAGAAAAATCGTGGTGGCTAGCGGGGCATCACGAGGTCTCTGACCTTAATCTTGTCATTGGTGCTACCATCCTGGACTGCTTCCAACACTGGCTGCTACCTACTCATTGAATTTTCTGCCTTAAGTCGAGAGCTAGATTGCTTAGCTAGCTCAGTGGCAGGACAAGAGTCTTGTGGCTCCCATGACTTTGTGTCTATCTTTGCTTTACCTCCTTTGCACCTTAGAGGGAAATGGAAAAGTGATTCTTCAAATGGGGAATGAGTCAGGTGTAATCTGCTACCATAGCCTCTCTGAGGAGTTATTCTCTATCTTTTTAGACTAAAAGAAATTCACTTAATCAAGGAGAATGAGCTTCTGGGTATTAGTTCTATTGTAATTAGTCAAATAATTTCCTTTTAGGTGACTTTGTGGTTTCATTTTTGTTGCATTTACTCTTGGACTGCTCCTGTGAAGTATGTTTGGTGAGATTCTGCTTCTGTTTGAGGAGTTCTTACTGTAATTTCTATTCTCCATCAAATTTGAGAGATCTCCCCCCTGCCTGTGGGTGCTTCCTTGGCCGAGAACATCTCATGACTTAGGTTATACTTCTGGGAATTCTTTAGGAGGTGAGTTTAGCCTCCATGTTTTGGGACATGGAGAGGAGTTTGTCTTGAAGACCACACACTAACTTTGAGTGGTACAGAATGAGAGAACATTCTCTGTGTGTATAGTACAGTAAACCAAGATCTCTCTTTGGGATGTAAGTAACCAAGGGAGTCATCTGAGACTGTCAAATCCAGAAAAGGAAGGGACAGAATGTCTATAATGCATGCACATTGAGGACAATTTCTAGCATTTTTGCTTCCTGTCTATGCTCTTGGAACAGTTTCCATAACTAATGTAATTGCTTTGGGCCCCAGATTCTATCTAAGTGAAACCCCCATTTTCTCTGCCAAAAACAAAGCAAACAAACAGTCCTGACTCACTCCACCTACATAGACTTTGCCTTTGGTGATTTTCCAAGCTGCCCTTATGGCAGCCCTGATTTCCTCATCTTGTGTGAAGCATAACCAATAACTGGGCATATAAACCAATAACCATAACCAATAACTTGAATATAAAAAGGGGTGAGCTGACAGACATTACAGTGTACAGCCTCCCTCCTGGCTCCCTTCACGGACTGGCATTGAGTGTCTGTGGCTTTTCCAGGCGCACGGTGCAAGCTACCAGTGGATCTACCATTCTGGGGTCTGGAGAATGGTGACCTTTTTCTCATAGCTCCACTAGGCAGTGTTCCAGTGGGGACTCTGTGTGGGGGCTCCAACCCCACATGTCCCTTCTGTACTACACTAGCAGAGGTTCTCCATGAGGGCCCTGCCCTTGCAGCAAACTTTTGCCTGGACATCCAGGCGTTTCCATACATCTTCTGAAGTCTAGACGGAGGTTCCCGAACCTCAGTTCTTGCCTTCTGTGCATCTGCAGGCTCAACACCATGTGGAAGCTGCCAAGGCTTGGGGCTTCCACCCTCTGAAGCCACGGCCCGAGCCCTGCATTGGCCCCTCTCAGCCACAGTGGGAGCGGCTGGGACACAGGGCACTAAGTCCCTAGGCTGCACACAGCATGGGGACCCTGGGCCTGGCCCACAAAATAACTTTTTCCTCCTGGGCCTCCAGGCCTGTGATGGGAGGGGCTGCTATGAAGGCTTCTGACATGGCCTGGAGACATTTTCCCCATGGTCTTAGGGGCTAACACTAGGTTCCTTGCTACTTATGCAAATTTCTGCAGCTGCCTTGAATTTCTTCTCAAAAAAATGGTTTTTTTCTTTAGTACTGCGTCTTTTCTTCTGCCAGATACCCTAAATTATCTCTCTCAAGTTCAAAGTTCCACAAATTTCTAGGGCAGGGGCAAAATGCTGCCAGTCTTTTTGCCAAAACATAACAAGAGTCACCTTTGCTTCAGTTCCCAACAAGTTCCTCATCTCCATCTGAGACCACCTCAGCCTGGACCTTATTGTTCATATCACTAACAGCATTTTTGTCAAAGCCATTCAACAAGTCTCTAGGAGGTTCCAAACTTTCCCGCATTTTCCTGTCTTCTTCTGAGCCCTCCAAACTGTTCCATCCTCTCCCTGTTAACCCAGTTCCAAAGTCGCTTCCACATTTTTGGGTATCTTTTCAGCAACACCCCACTCTACTGGTACCAATTTACTGTATTAGTCTGTTTTCATGCTGCTGATAAAGACATACCCAAGACTGGGAAGAAAAAGAGGTTTAATTGGACTTACAGTTCCACATGGCTGGGAAGGCCTCAGAATCATGGCGGCAGGTGAAAGGCACTTCTTACATGGCAGCAGCAAGAGAAAATGTGGAAGAAGCAAAAGCAGAAACCACTGATAAACCCATCAGATCTCATGAGACTTCGTCACTATCACCAGAATAGCACCGGAAAGATGGGCCCCATGATTCAGTTACCTCCCCTGAGTCCCTCCCACAACATGTGGGAATTCTGGGTGATACAATTGAAGTTGAGATTTGGGTGGGGACACAGCCAAACCATATCAGCGGGGAAATGCCATTTAGGACAAGGCTAGGCCATATGTCCCTGTAGCCATCATGGCAGAGGACTTGTTTGAGTTGAGTCAAAGGATAGCCCCAGATGAGATGTCTTGATGCCATCCTGGATGTCCCTGAACCCCATCCAAATGTTGTTGCAGAGTCTTTCATCTTTTACTTCTTGCCTCTATGGTTTGTCTCCCTACTTCAGATTGCCAAGGAGCAAGAATCCATTCTAGTTTTGTATAGCCTAATCATAATTGTTTAAGTGGTTTGGGGTGAGGATGCATGTGAGTCCTTTCTTTTTGTCTGTTTTTTTAGAGATGGGGTCTCGCTATGATGCCCAGGCTGGCCTCGAACTCCTGGGCTCAAGCGCTCCTCCCACTTCAGCCTCTTGAGTAGCTGGGACTACAGGTGTGTGCTACCACGCCCAGCTCCTTTCTTGTCTTGGTCACTTTGTGTACTCTGCACATGTCTTTCCACAGGTCTGCTCCAGCTCAGCCACCTGCTGAAGGGACAGAAGGGACTGCCCCAGGTGGGGGTCCCCCTGGCCCTCCTCCTAACATGACCAGTAACAGACGACTACAGCAAACCCAGGCACAAGTGGAGGAGGTAGGTAGATAGCTGTTTCTCTGAAAGTTTCCAAATCTAGGAGTTTGGAAACAAAAGGGAACTTCTTATCTTTTCTCCTTTTTTCGTAGGAGAATAGTCAAAGGCCCTGAGAGGCAAAGCACCCTTTAGAGTTGCACAGGGCCAGACTTGTGATTCTCTGGTTGTTGTCCTTTCCTCTGTCTCTGGCAGGAAGCTTAGCTGCTTTGTTTCTGTGCCCTCCTCAGGTGGTGGACATCATACGTGTGAACGTGGACAAGGTCCTGGAGAGGGACCAGAAGCTGTCAGAGCTGGATGACCGAGCTGATGCCTTGCAGGCAGGAGCATCACAATTTGAGAGCAGTGCTGCCAAGCTAAAGAGGAAGTATTGGTGGAAAAACTGCAAGGTGAATTTTCTTGTCCCCTCCTCCATCTTTTCCTGGGCTTCCACTGGTAGAAGGCAAGAAAACCCTCAGCTTCTACATTTCTTCCCTCTAATGGTGCAGGATCTCTCTGACCAGCATAACGCTTGGGAGGAAATCTGGAAAGCCTCCTCTTGAGATTGCATTACCCAGAATTGGCCACCAGGGTAGGCTAGAGTATTTAGAACCGCTATCAGGGAAAAAGTGATACCCTGAGGAGTTTGGAATGGTTAGTTAAGGAGCTTTACCCCAAAGGAGTTGCCTGCAAAAAATTTCACCTGTCTCATCCTCAGACACACCCAACATCAGCACAATGGCTCAGGCATATATACATACACACACACACACACACACACACACTATATATACACATATGTATATATACATATATATACATTTATATATATATATACATATATATACATTTATATATATATATACATATATATACATTTATATATATATATACTTTTTTCTTTTTCTTTTAAATCAGCTTTCTCAGATTGAAATATATATTTTTAAATAACTGCAACTTTTGAGAATGAGCTGAACACTTCACAGTGAAAATTGAACTAATTGGTTAAATATCCAGAGTCTGTATCTCTATTGGAATGCCTTCTAAAGCCCCAAGACACCAGGAACTAAGCAAAAAGGAGCTCAATGCAGGTCCTGTGATGAATCTGAAAAGCTACAGACATACTGTGGTTATGATCCCCTGGGAAGCAGAAGGGTAGGGCCTCTCTAAGAGGCCTGCAGGTCTCCTGGGTGATGGGTGGTTTTTTCCATTGTCCCAAGGATGGAAGGAATTCTGTTTCCCACTAGAGATGTGGCTCTTTTCCTCATTCCTGAAATCCAAGGGCTCATTTTTTGTCCATGTTTCCTCAGATGATGATCATGCTGGGAGCCATCTGTGCCATCATCGTGGTAGTTATTGTAAGTAAGTATCGCTGAAGTTGCTGGTGGGGTGAAGAGGTGGGAAGGTCCTGGAGTCTTCTCCCTGCCTGCCTGCCTGCCTGGGGAGTGGGGCTGCTCTGACTGAGGTATGGAGACCGCTGCTATGGGATCGTCACCTGGTTCGGGACGGGGGAAGGGCAGAGACAAGGGATTTCTTTGATGGACAAGCCTTCCCCCTGCAACGCATTGCAGGGAGATGGCGCCTCCTGTTCTGAGGAAGTGGGGCTATGCTGTGTGTCACTGGCTTGGGTTGGAGGGAGACCATGGGGATGGGGCACTTAACAATGGAGAGACCTGAATGTCTGGTAACTTGGTGTAATTCACCCTCTTGTTTTCTCCTGTCTCTTTCTCTTTTCCGTCTGGGACTTCCTGATTCCTGTGTCCAGTCTACTTTTTTACTTGAGAATGTACCACCCCTTCCCTGTTGTCCATTGCCATCCACATTCATGTCCTCTGCCCTCTGTTTGCTCTCTCAACACACTTCCCCACCCACCGTCCTCCATTCCAGCCCAGGCTTCTCCATCACCCATTCCTCCTTTTTCGTTGCGTTCATTTGCACTCTGTCCCTCAACACTAGAAATGCTGCTCGTGGCACAATCTAAGTCATTACCCGAAGAGCAACAGCTGGCGCCTCCTCCCTGCCTGCTTTTTCTGTACTCTCAAGTTCCCCCAAAGCCCCAAAGAGTTGGAGGCCAAGGGAAGGGGCAGGGAGGGGAGTGGCTGAGGCGAAGTACCCATGAAGCTGCCCAGACTTGGGAGGAGAAGAGTATCGGTGCCCATGGTGACTTCTAGAAAACCTGGCCACTGGTAGGAGCTAGGGAGGGGCTGGGAAGATGGCAGCTCACTCAGTACTGCCTGGTCATGTGGAGCTTTCCTTCCTGGACCAGGCCTGAAGAGGGTCCTGGGGGTGGACCAAAGTCCAACTTGGTTTCAGTGCAGTACCCTTTTCGAAAGTAAAAACTTGTTTTTTGTAGTTATTTCTAATCTGTTCGTCCAGGATTTTCCGTGTCTTTGGGGATCTTACAACTTTACTTTGTTCTCCAGAGGCCTGGAGAACACTTAGGGATTGTGAAAATAGCAGGACTTGTTTCCATCCTAGAAGCAGTCCCATGTGCTTCTAGCTGGAAGGAGCTTTCTCTTCTTTACATTTTCTACAGCATTCTGTATGAGGGCACCAAATAAATCCATCTAGCTGGTAGTTTTATCTAGCCAAATAATTTAACCTAGCTCCCAGTTAATTGTTGGCATAAAGAGAGAGATTGCCTGTTAGTTATAGAGAAACAGTGAGTCAAGTGCTTAATTTGAAAGTAACAAGCTCAGAGGAAGCCACTCCTTGCCCTCGTTAAAGAGGGTCCTGTTCCTCTCTTCCTGTTGATGAAGGAGCGTGAGGGTGTTAGCAGTGTGAGATCTTTGGACACCCATGGAATCCTTTCCTCCACACCACCCGTGCACTTGCCAAAGACAGGGATGAGGCAAGTGGTTCTTCCTGGGGCCCGGCCGATCCTCAGGATGCAGAGAAGTCATGTAGACCCACCAGCCCCACCTTGGGGGGAGGCGTGCCAGCCTGTGTCAGGTGTGCTTGTGTATTGCTGTGCTGTCATGGGGCCCTCTCCTTGAGAGCCGCCTCTCTGTTCTTCCTGTAGTATATTCCCCTTTGAACCACCCTTTCCTGTCTGAATTCTACTTTGCCTCCTTTCTCTTCCTCCTCTTTGCATGGTTTGTGTGTATAGACAGTGGAACCTGAGGATGGGATCTGCTCAGCCTATCTTCGGGGCAATTGCTGAGCTTCAGGATGGGCTATTAATGTGGGATAAGCCCAGGTGCAAGGGGAGGAGGGCAGGCTGGGAACAGAGCGGAGAATGCCCATGGCCCTTTATTCCTTCTTCCCTCGGTCCACGAACAGGAAGAGGCTGAGGCCATGCTGGGCAGGGTCTGGATGCCCACTTTCCATGCAGCAGCATTTCATTGCTCAAAACCATCCTTCCTTTCCTTTCGCCCTTGTTTCCCACATTCCCTTCGTCCTGCCCAAGGGCGGGACTGAAGAGCTGGAAGAAAGCAGTCAGTACCCTCCCAACGGCCCCCCTCGAAGGTCTCCACTCTCCTCTGGGCTCCTCCTTGCCTAATGCAGGGGGTCACCGCTGGAGAAGAACCACCACTGTCCTCGATGTGTCCCAAGCCTGGAGCGAATCCGTCCTCTTGGCTCTCCCAGCCCTATCACAGGAATCATTCCTGGGTTTCTGTCCCTCTGAGGCTCACCAGGTGTAGTTGGCCTTGTTCTTTGGGGGTATTAGCCCTTCTACTTTCTTTCTCACCCACCCTGTACCCTCTTCTGTGTGTCTCTGCTATCCCCCTTTCCTCCCACCACCCATGTGCATGAGCAAATGTGCAACAAAACCCTGGGACTTTGCAGTCAAATGAAGCTGAGCTTCCCACATCCCGTTCTTCGGTTTGCCATGAGACGATGTGGGGTTTCCACTGTGTGTCTGTCATCACCTCTTTGTCTTTTTTTCCTAACCCTGATCTCATACTTGTATAGAGTAATAACAACAGTTGTACTTCCACCAAAGGCATGTGGCATATTTACCAATGTCATGTATTCTGAACAAAGGCAAAAAATACAAATTCCTACCATTAAACTGGCTTGGTTGTTGTTTGGGTTGGAGTAGCTGTGGGGGCTTGGGGAAGGGTGTCGTTTCTTTCTAGTAGTCTCATGTCGCTTTAGGTCAGCTGGGCTGGCTTACACGCGCTGTGCGGTCTTCATGGAGATGGGAGCTCTGTGTGTCAGCACAGGAAGTGGTCTCCCAGCGTTCAGCCTGAAGCAGCCCAAGTCCTGTAGGTGCTGGTAAGAGGAAGTGAAGACAGGAAGTTGCGTGGGCATCTCACACTGGCAAACAAGCACAGGTTCCCTCAGGCCTCTTCCATCTGCCTCCTGTGCTCCTTCCTAGGTCCTTGGCCTGCTTGTCCTGTCCCAGGGGATGTGCCCAGATAAGGCTGTCAGTGAACACCCCCTTACCCCCTTTTCCCCATCATCCTCACGTACAGTTTTGGTATGCTGAGTTCCACCGTATTGATTAGGCACATTTTAGAAACGAATAAAAAGGAGAAGTCTCTCCTTGCAGCTGAGGGAGTGAGGCATTTGCAGGTATCCTGAACCTCCCAGCAGTCACCCGAGGGAGCAGAACCCTAATTGCAGCTGAGGTGCAACTGAGATGGAGCCACGGGGGTGCCTCTGAGGGCCTTTGTTTCATACTTAAACACTTTGCAAGTTGGAGCCGCTAGGCTTGGTGACAGGGCTCAGTTGGGACCAGTGTGGAGAAAGACAGGAAAGTGGAAAAGCTTGGTCGCAGCAGACACAAGGGCCTTTTATTTTGACAGAGCTGAGTTTGGGAGGGGTAGCCCAGCCCCAACCCATGCCTCATTGTCCCTCACTTGTTCCTTCTCCATTTCCTCCAGCTTTGTTTTCCTACCGTCACACCACCAACCTGGCTCTTTGGTCTTATCCTCCATCTGGACATTCTGCCTTCTTCTTGTCCCCTCACTTCTTCCTGTTCTCTGCCTTGGTGCATGAGCCCAGGGTGCACAGTGAAGGAAGGCAGAGGCCTCTGCAGAGCCAGGCCCAGTGCCCCATGAGCTGGTGCCACCTTCATGTATTTTTAGCTCTGTGACTTGACTTAGAGTCCTTCTGGGAGCACGTGACTACTCTTTCTTTCTACTCTGAGGCAGGAGAGTGACAGACTTTAGTGAGGTAGCTAGGAGAAAACGAGGGAACACGACTGGTTTCATTTTCATTTAGGGCAAACTCAAAAGCAGGAGGCTGTGATGGGTGGGTGGCTGGAGCTTGGGGCATCTGGGCTTCCACCCTGGTCTGGGCGGGGGGGTGGTTAGAGTGGGTGAGGTGGGCCAGGGCCAGAGCCAAGGGCACCCAGGCTCTTACCTTGCCGTCTCTGAAGCCCCAGGAACATCAGTGCAAGAAGGAAGAGACTGCTGGCAAAGATGACTCCCAAGGCTGTTCTCCGCTCTGTAGGTGAGAGCAACGTGGGCGGGGATCATCGTGCGCAGGAATCATGAGCTGAGCCCTCACCTGCAGTGTCCACCCCAGGGAGGAGGAGCTAAGGATTGTGTGTGTGAGTCCCTGGTTGAGGAGCCTGGAACAAGGCACTCAGCAGCATTTGTTCTTATTCAAGGTTGCTGGATACTTGTGAGTTACTCCACACAGAATTCTCTACCTCTTCCCACCTAAGGACAAGGTTTTAAAAATTGCTTTGCAAGTGAGATTTAGGTGGGTTTATTTGTTAGCACTTAACTTGCCTGGACACAGTGGCTCATGCCTGTAATCCCAGAACTTTGGGAGGCTGAGGTAGGTGGATCACCTGAGGTCAGGAGTTCGAGACCAGCCTGGGCAACATGGTGAAACCCTGTCTGTACAAAAAATACAAAAAATTAACTGGGCATGTTGGTGTGCGCCTGTGGTCCCAGGTACTTGGGAGGCTGAGGTGGGAGAATCACTTGAGCCTGGGAGGCAGAGTTTGCAGTGAGCTGAGATCGTGCCACTGCACTCCAGCCTGGGCGACAGAGTGAGACCCTATCTCAAAACAAAACAAAATAAAACAAAGCAAAACAAAAAACCACCAGTTAACTGGGATTTTGTAAATAGTTGGGGAATGATGTGAGCTGAAGTGAAACCTCAGTTTTGGGGAAGTTCACAGTCTAATGAGCAACCAAATAATGCCCAGTGCTCCTGGATGTTTCCACTTCAAGTTGCGGGTTCTTTCCTGTCCCTTTCCTGCTTAAAACCTCTCGACAGGCAGGGTGCGGTGGCTCATATCTGTAATCCCAGCACTTTGGGAAGCCGAGGCGGACAGATCACCTGAGGTCAGGAGTTTGAGACCAGCCTGGCCATCATGGCGAAACCCCATCTCTACTAAAAACGCAAAATTAGCCAGGCGTGGTGGTGCGCGCCTGTAATCCCAGCTACTTGGGAGGCTGAGGCAAGAGGATGGCTTGAACCCAGGATATGGAGGTTGCAGTGAGCTGAGATCATACCACTGCACTCCAGCCTGGGGAACAGAGCAAGATTCTGTATCGAAAAAAAGTAAAATAAAATAAAATAAATAAATAAATAAATAAATAAATAAATAAATAAATAAAACCTTTCAACAGCATGCTATGGCTCTCAGGAAGTTCCAGCTTGAAGGCCCAGTGAGATCTACAGGGTTTAATTAAGCCCGTAAGGGGAATCCGGTTGCCTGTTTTTCACATTCTCTCTTTACCATTGATTGATAGGTGACCTTGGGCAAATTCATTGACATCTGCAAGTGCCAGTTTACTCACCTGTAAAATGGGAGTCATGATCCATGAAATCATACATTTAAGTGCTTTCTACACTGCTTGATTCATGTAAATGCTCAATAAATAGAATTACCTCCGAAGCTTCAGAGCCACTTTCCCTTTTTCCCATATACCCTAAGCTCTAGCTGTGCTGAATTACTTGCAATTCTCCAAATTCTCTTTAGGCTGTTTTATGATTTGGCTTTCATATATGCTATTGTTTCTATCTTGAGTGTTCCCTTCCCTCTAAGCTAGTTAACTTGGCTCAAATGCCATCTTCTCTGTCTACTTAGTCTTGTCTCTATTACTGGACTAAGCTCCTGGAGGGCATGATCAGGAATTATTCATCTGTGATCTCCAGCCTTAAGCACATTGCCTGACACCCTGGAGGCTGGAGTATAATGAAGTCTCAGGGGATGTGTGGTAGAAGCTGTGGCAGCTGCCGCCTTGGGAAAATAGTCAGGAGCAGAGGCAGGAGCATGAAGCCAGGGCTGCGAACAAAGTGGATGGGCAGCAGAACAAGGCCATAGATGAGCTGGGGCAGGAGAGCCATGAGCCCTAGTGTGGAGGTGGGGAAAAGGAGGACACTCCCAGTACCTGGTGGGACAACCTGGGTGCTGGCCCCAAGGGGCTCCTCCAGAGAGATGTGTGTGACCTGGCAGGTGTAAGTGGCACCTGCAGAGCCAGGTTCTGCGGTGAGAGAGGAGGAGATGCTGTAGGTGCCTGCCACGCTTTGCCTGAGGCTGGAGAAGGAGGCACCAGAGACTTGGGCTGGGGATCCACCCAGCTCCTCTCGGGTCCACGTCACCACCACATCCAGAGGGTAATAGCCAGCAATGTCGCAGATGAGGGTGGGCAGCAGAGCTTCGTTTGCCAAGCTCAGTCGTACTTTAGGGGAAGCTGGAGAAAGAATGAGGAATAAGATTACACATGGATCTAACTGGGGACAGCGGAGGAGCCTGAAGCCTTTTCTTCCTGCCAAGATGAGAGTAGATTGTGGAGGCTACAGTGTCCCTTGGTGGTGTACCAAGGCGGGGGTGTGTGAGGGGCCCACCTGGATGCAGGCCGTAAGGGGGCAGGGTTACATTTTCCAGAAAACAGATAGTAAAGCCAACTAAAGATTGGCTGGCTTCTTACTGTCATTCTAAGCCAGTTTTTTTTTTTTTTTTAAGATGGTGTCTTGCTCTGTCGCCCAAGCTGGAGTGCAGTGGCATGATCTTGGCTCACCGCAACCTCCACCTCCGGGGTTCAAGCGATTCTTCTGCCTCAGCCTCCTGAGTAGCTGGGACTACAGGCGCGCACCACCATGCCTAGCTATTTTTTGTATTTTTAGTAGAGACGGAGTTTCACCGTATTGGCCAGGCTGGTCTTGAACTCCTGACCTCGTGATCCGCCTCCCAAAGTGCTGGGATTATAGGTGTGAGCCACCGCGCCCGGCCTCTAAGCCAGAGATTTTAAAGGATAGCAGTGATAATGGTCAGAACCGCTTCCACTGCTCTGCCTTGGTTTGCTGCTGCTGCTCCTCAGGATGTGGTCCAAAAGGACTGGGGTGATGGAGACAGCCAGCCACAGCAGGGCAGCAGGATCCTGGGCTGGAAATCTCTTGGTGGAATTATCCTGGAGTCCAACGGGACTCCTTATCTGATGCCATCTGTGCTTCCATGGTGAAGATGGCATTTAAGTTGTGGGATTGAAGCCTGCTTCTCAGGAAATCATTCTTGCATTTGGGTCCCAATCTGGAAACGCTCCCAGTAGACATGTTATATCCCCTTCCCTGGGATAACCATGTCCTGGCCTCACCTTGGATGTTGAGCTGGATGATCTGCTGAGCTCGGTACAGAGAGGTGGTGATCTGGCAAATGTAGGTCCCCTCGTCCTGTATAGTGAGGCCGGGCAGGGTGAGGGAGGCATCCCTGGCCATGCCCAGTTGTGCAGGCTCCAGGGTAGCGCCCTTCCGCACAGCCTGCCCCTGCCCTGCGGTCCAGCTGTACACCAACTGACCCCTGCCCTTGTGCTGCAGTCGCCACTCCACACTGATGAGGTCCAAGCCCGGTGCCATGGAGAAGCCACAGTCCAAGGAGGCTGAGGACCCCAGCAGGAAGCTCAGGGATTGGGTCTGTGTCATCACCTGGAACTCCACTGTGAAGAGGAAAAGAGGGGTGATTTGTGGGCTACTTCCTCCTTGAGGTCACCTGATCTCCAAGCTGTGGGCATGTTGTGGGCATACACCTGCCTCTTCCTCGCCTGACAGGCCGGTTGAGCTTATTTTCCATCACATGGAACCACAAAGAAATGGGGCTCTGGAAAGGTAGCATGGTACACATGATGGCCATCACCATTTTGGGATCACTTACTCTAGGATAATTTAGTGAAAGCTATGGATCTCCCACCAGGAAAAATACACATGCAAAATTAAGAGTTACCATCAATCTTCAGGTAAGAACTACTAGAGTAGCAGAAAAAGCTCTGAAACCCTGGTTGTTCCACTTACTGGCTCCGTGACCTTTGACAAGTCACTTGGTGTTACCAAGCTCACCTGCTTAAGCAAGGATGCTGTGAAGACTAGAAACAATAGTTTAAAAAGTACGTGGTGGCTGGGTGCGGTGGCTCATGCCGGTAATCCCAGCACTTTGGGGGGCCGAGGTGGGTGGATCACCTGAGGTCAGGAGTTTGAGACCAGCCTGGCCAACATGGTAAAACCCTGTCTCTACTAAAAACACAAAAATTAGCCGGGCATGGTGGCAGGTGCCTGTAATTCCAGCTACTTGGGAGGCTGAGACAGGAGAATTGCTTGAATCCGGGAGGTGGAGGTTGCAGTGAGCCAAGATCGCGCCATTGCACTCCAGTCTGGGCGACGAGTGAAACTCCGTCTCAAAAAAAATGTAAAAAACAAAACAAAACAAAAAAACACACGTGGTATTGGGAAGCCCAGGCGGGTGGATCACCTGAGGTTGGGAGTTTGAGACCAGCCTGACCAACATGGAGAAACCCCGTCTCTACTAAAAATACAAAAATTAGCTGGGTGTCGTGGCGCATGCCTGTAATCCCAGCTACTTGGGAGGCTCAGGTGGAGAATCACTTGAACCCAGGAGGCGGAGGTTGTGGTGAGCCAAGATCGAGCCATTGCACTCCAGCCTGGGCAATAAGAGTAAAACTCCATATCGAAAAAAAAAAAAAAAAGCATGTGATAGTAGTATCTGTGCCAAACATGCTTAACCTAAATCCAGTCATGAGGAAATGAGGAAAACAATCAGACAAATCTAAATGTTGGGATACTCTACAAGACCACTAGCCTGGACCCTTCAAAAATGTCAATTCTATGAAACATGTTCTAGATTAAAACAAGGAACAGCACAACTAAATGCACTGCATGATTCTTGTTTGAA
Source organism: Homo sapiens (assembly GCF_000001405.40). Lineage (NCBI taxonomy): Eukaryota > Metazoa > Chordata > Mammalia > Primates > Hominidae > Homo > Homo sapiens. The sequence continues at coordinate 6,456,158 of NC_000012.12, read as the reverse complement.
TTGTGTACTTAGAAAAAGCAGTAAAAAAAAAAATATTGGGACAAGTGGAGAAATTTGAATTTGGAGACATTTAATTATTTTTTAAAGAGAAGGGTCTTAGGTTGGGCACAGTGGCTCACGCCTGTAATCCCAACACTTTGGGAGGCCGAGATGGGTGGATCACCTGAGGTCAGGAGTTCAAGACCAGCCTGGCCAATATGGTGAAACCCCATCTCTACTAAAAATACAAAAATTAGCTGGTGTGGTGGCGGGCGTCTATAATCCCAGCTACTTGGGAGACTGAGGCACAAGAATCACTTGAACCTGGGAGGCAGAGGTTGCAGTGAGCCAAGATCATGCCACTGCACTCCAGCCTGGGAGACAGAATGAGACTGTTAAAAAAAAAAAAAAAAAAAGAGGGTCTCGCTCTCTATGTTGCCCAGACAGGACTCAAACTCCTGGGCTCAAGCAATCCTCCTGCCTCAGTCTCCTGAGTAGCTGGACTACAGGTGTGCACCACCATGCCCTGGACTTTATAGTTGAGACTATTATCATATCAATTAAAAAATATCTAAAAGTATGAAGATCTGTGGCATACTAGGCAGTCGTGTGGGGAGATAGGGACAGTCTGCCCTAGCAGAGAGGAGTATTTTATCACTGATAATATTCAGAATTGCCAGTGTCGGGAGATGGTGAGACTATAAAGCCATCTGACTTTTAGCTGATTTTATTTTTGTTCTGAAATATTTTACAGTCTGCACTCCCTTATTGCCTGCGCTACGGGTAGACTACTTCCCCACTTTGGTTTGTTTCTGACATGATGGCTTTGTAACTATGAAGGATTACATCCTTGTCCTTCATTGTAAACTAATACATGCTATGGATGTATTTGGGGTTTAAACATGCGTTTCGGGGTTCAAACATGCGTTTGGGGTTCAAGTGTTATCTTCTGCAACTTACTCTCAGTTCAGAGGAAAATACACACGTACACATATACACACATGAGGAGTCGGGGGAGAGAGAATGTGGCAAATTGTTAACAACTGGTGGATCTAGGTGTAGGGTATATAGGTGTTCATTATATTATTATTTCACCTTTTTTTGTAGGTTTGGAATAAAAAGAGAGAAATACCTACGCATGCCAGGAGTATGGTAGACACTGGACAGACATGAAGACCTTTTTCTAATGGGTCAGGATAGATTTAGGTTGGACCACAGAGAGGTTAGAGTGTTCTGGGGTTTTCCAAGGATAGGACGGTTGCCCCTAATTTTCTCTGGACTTGGCTGTTTCTTCTTGGAGACTCAAAGAAGCAGGGCACAGAGTATTGGATTAATGGGCTCTGGGGAACCCTGTCATCATGTTCTCAATTTCTTGTGCCCTCGAGGATGTGCTGAGCTGGAGAGGGCAAGTACTGGGTTTACTAATAAGATCATGAACAAATGATGCATCCCTGAGCTTTACCCCTGAAGCACCAGAGCAGCCTAGCATTTCACTGGGAGAAAACCGGGTTTTGGCTCGATAAGACTACAGTGGACAGCACCCATGTACAGAATAGCATCATGTGTCTTATTTCCTCATGGCAGCCCAGTGAGATGAGAACGATCTCCATTTTGGAAATAACACAGGTTGTCTGTGTGCCTGGGGACGTTCAGGTAGGGGCTGCGAAGCATTCTCTTGTGGACTCAGGGTTTTTGTTGTTGTTGTTGTTTTTGAGACGGTGTCTCACTCAGCTGCCCAGGCTGGAGTGCAGTGGCGCAATCTCGGCTCACTGCAACCACCGTCTCTCAGGTTCAAGTGATTCTCCCGTCTCAGTCTCCTGAGTAGCTGGGATTACAGGCACCTGCCATCATGCCCGGCTAATTTCTGTATTTTAGTAGAGAGGGGGTTTCACCATGTTGGCCAGGCTGGTCTTGAACTCCTGACCTCAGGTGATCCACCTGCCTTGGCCTCCCAAAGTGCTGGGATTACAGGCATGGGCCTTCGCACCTGGCCTGACTCAGGGGTTTTTAGGAAGAAAGGACCAAGGCCTAGGGGTGCCCTGAGGTGACCAGTGTGGATGGAGGTGGATTTGTTCCCTTTCTTCTTCTGTGCCCCATATCTTACCACTTTAGAAAAGCAAAACTTTCTGTGACTTGCTTTTCTTTTCTTTTCTTTTTTTTTTTTGAGATGGAGTTTCGCTCTTGTTGCCCAGGCTGAAGTGCCATGGTGTGATCTCGGCTCACCGCAACCTCTGCCTTCCGGGTTCAAGCGATTCTCCTGCCTCAGCCTCCCTCGTAGCTGGGATTACAGGCACCCGCCACCATGCCCGGCTAATTTTGGTATTAGTAGAGACGGGGTTTCACCGTGTTGACCAGGCTGATCTCAAACTCCTGACCTCAGGTGATCCACCGACCTCGGTATCCCAAAATTCTGGAATTACAGGCGTGAGCCACCACACCTGGCCTTGCTTTTCATTTTCTTACCTGCAGTTCGCACAGTCCCCTGGGGGCTCAGTGGCAAGTTCAGCGTCGGGTGCCAGAGCGCCTCATTCTTGGTGACCCTGGGAGTCTTCATCACCAAGGAGATGCTAGGTCCCCCTCCAGAGACCTGCATGTTGGCCATGAACCAAGCTGCTGTCTTAACAGTGGTCTCTGTCATCTGGAGAAAGTAGCGGGAGATCTCACAGGTCACCTCCTTCCCACTGCAGTCAGCATGGAGCAAGGCCTCGGCCTGGGGAATCTGGACCAGGTCCACTGGGGAGAAGCAGGGCACACACAGAGGGCAAATTAGCGTGAGAACACCAGGGCCAACGGGAGGCAGTATGTGTGGCTGTAATCGGGACCTGGGCTGTCCTGGTGGAGGGAGCCCGGGAGGACCAAGGACACAGGTGGAAGGCTTTTACCTGAGGCCTCAAAGATAATAGGTGGGTCATCTTGGGCCAGTGTGCCCCCTTGGAAATCGGTGAAGTCCTCCAGGGAGCCATCGTCCAGCACTGGCACCTGCTTCAGCACAAGGGAGGCCCTTGCCCTGTCCTCACTGCTGGCGAGAGCTCCACGGTGCGCACCGTCCTTCGCCAGGAAGCAGTCTAGGACCACGTCCACTGCCCGCCACTGCCCCTCTGCTGGGTGGGGCTCTGCAGACAAAGGCTGGGGTGAGCACCGCCTTCCCCAGAAAGCTACTCCACACTTGCTTCCTGCCCCCGCCCTCAAGCTGTGGAGTCATCAAAGGGTAAAAGTTGCCATCCAAGATCCTAGCTGTTTCTGTGTCCCTCTATTCTCCCGTCATCCCCAAACCAGCTTTCTGGAGAGCACCTGCTAGTCCAGGCAAATACTTCTTGGTGAGAGTTAAAGTCCTGGATTTGCCTTGCTCAGAGGAGTTTATGCTTGCATTTCCAACTGTTGAATAAAAGACTATCTTTTCAGTCAAAGGAATTCTCAGAAAACAAGCAAGTGCCACCGCAGAGAGAGGAGACTGGACAGTTACTGTTGCTGGGGCACTGACAGCCTGCACTGCTTTCTCCCATTTCGGGTAGCCTTCCCCTCCCCCGCCTTCAAGGTCACCTTCCAAGTGATTTCCTCACCTGGGGAGTCCTTTCCTCTTCTGAAGTGTCAGCTCCCAGGCCAGTGCCCTCTCTGTAGGACAGTGGCTCCTGACCACAGCCACAGAGGCAGCCCCTCTTTAGCATTTTCCCTGTGGAGTCCCCACCCTCCCTCCACACACACTATTGGTTCCTTCCTTTGCCAGCCGCTGAGCCTTTCCCCTGTTGGGCTTAGAAGGCGATGGGGTCATCCCCGGCCCCTTTGCTCTTCTGGAATCTCGGGGAGGGTGGCACCCTGGGGCTTCAGTAGCTCTTCTCCCAGCCAGCTCTCCCCGACTCCCAGACTCACTGGTTTCTGCTGCTCCAGATAGAGCCAGGCAGAGCAGCAGGCACCAGCCCTCCTGTGTGCCCATGGAGGCTGCTCTCGAGTTCCCTCCTTGCCCACCGCCCTTCTCCACAGTCCTACGCTGCTTGCGAGGCCCGGCGGAAGAAGGGGGCTCTCCAAGCACACCTGGCAGCCTGCAGCCTTTAGGTTTCTTCCCTGTTCCCTCTGCTGCCGACTTTTCTTTCACTTTCACTTAGAGCAAGATGGCAGCCCGCGTCCCTGTGTGAAGCCGTCTGCAGCAGCTGCCAGAGCCCTGCTTGCTGTTTCCTTTCTCACCACCCACCTCACCCGGAAATCCCCTGGTGATTTCAAGACCTGACCTCTGCACCCTTTTGCTCCCCACCTGTCCCAAAAAAGTGGAGCTATAACTGTGGGAAAAGGGGATCTGAAGTCAGACACAGGATCCACAGTAGCCTGGGGACCTTTCTCACCCCCGCCCTTAAGCAGGCCCCAACATAACCGGCTGAGAAACCTCCTCTGCCAGATCCTGACCTGAGCCAGGAGGCGGCCAGGAAACTGGATTTTGGGACTGGGATTTCAGAGAGGAAGCTGGAGAGCTGCAGGGTGGTCATCTGTCACTTTATTTTGCCCGTCTTGTAGCATGTGGGTCTTTCGCAGCAGGAAGTGTGTTTTACAACCAGAGCCCCCGCCCTCCTGCAGCGCAGGCGCAGCTGGCTGGGCTCCTGCTTCCCACTCTCCACCTCATCCATATTTGTCCTCGTCCCTGCCAGTCTCGAAAAGGCACTCTGTCACGTGTACACAGGAAAGGGCCCTGACAAGAGGATGGGACTGCAGTTGTGGCTGCCAGGTCTCACTCTCCCTTGGATGGTCGGCGGGGTGGGGGTGGAGGCCAGGGCTGTAGTGCAGCTCCCGCAGGTGCTGGCTCAGGGGGAGCAGGCAGGCTCCGGTTTTCGGTAATCCTCCTGGATGGGGATGGTGCTGCCCTCCTCCTCCCTGGGGCAGCTGTAATGACAAGGCTCTGCAGGCTCCACAGGACTTTCTCCTTTGTCTGCAGAAGGAGATCCGATGAGTCTTGGCCAGCAGTGGGGGCAGGGGGAGACGGGAGAAGGAGATGGGTAGAGGCGGGTGCGCTTGGGGGAGGGGTGTCAGGAGCACGCCAGCTAAGGGGAGAGAAGGGGTAGGACCAAGGCTGGTGAAGTGGAGCTGGTGGGTTTCAGTGAGATTCCAGGCGTGGGCAGTGGGGTTGAGCCAGTGGGGTGTGGTGCAGGGGCAGGACCGGAGGCCTGTGTTCTGTCTCTTACTTGATCTATATTTCCTTCGTTGATGGAGGAACAGGGCCCCGGCCAGGGTGAAAACAAGGAACATTCCAGAGAAGATCACAAGGATGCGAATAAAATCGGAGCTGCACAGGGATCTTTGGGCTGTAATAGGAGGGGACACACAGGGGTTAGGGGAGGGTCTAGCCCTTGGCTCCCTCAGCCCAGCCCTCCTGTCACCTTGCCTCTCCCCTTTCCCCCACCTTATTCTATCCCACCCGCCACCGTTGGCCAACTCCTCTCCTAAACAGTGGACTCTGCTTTTTCCCCTCCTCTTATCCCTAATCCTAGGAGCTTTCTGTCTGGCTTCCCTCCTGGCCCCTCGTGTATGCATTCTCTCTAGCGGTGGGGATTAAGGAGAAAACTCACGTGGCCAGTGGGTAGAGAGAGTCCGGGCAGGCAGCTGCCTGAAGTCAGCCAGAGTCTGCATGTGCCCAGCTGTCCTGGCCTCCAGCATCTCTGGAAAAACAGAGACAGAATGAGTAGCAGCAGGGGACCCCATAGGGCACATCTGAAGGCCTGAGAGGTGCTGGATGGGATGGGAAGGCAGAAACAGGCTGACCTTATCTAGGGGTAGGAGTGGGGAGTACTGGTTGGGGTATCACCGCTACCCCACGTGATGGCACAGAGAGTTGCCTGGAACTTACCACTGACATAAGGTAAGTGGGTGGGCTGAGGGTGTGGGCTCAGGGCCTGAGACGACCGAGCGGTCAGCGAAGGGTTTGGAAGAGGATCACACTCGGTGCACTCCTTGTCCCTGCACTGCCAGCCATTGCGACAGGCACACTCAGCATTGGCAGTGATGGTGCAGTTGCGAACGAGAAGACCTGGGGGAAGAGAGGCCCAGGGAGCATAGGACACTCAGACCTGTGGAGACCTTCAAGGTCCACTTGCTTCATCCCCCAACCCCCATCCCAGGCCCACCTCTAGGGACGTGCTTCCCTTTCCATTCCCACCCCTGCAAAGGCCTGCCCTTTGCTCACGGTCCCCCAATGCCTTTGCCATTATTATTGTTATTAAAGAAGAAAGTTGGACCTTTCAGAAGGAAGATTCATGGGTTCAGACATAGAAACCATGAAAAGTAGAAAGAGCTTATATGACTTTCTCTTGTACTCCCTGATACATTTTTTATTTTTTATTTATTTTTTTGAGATGGAGTCTCGCTCTTGTTGCCGAGGCTGGAGTGCAATGGCGTGACCTTGGCTCGTTGCAACCTCTGCCTCCCGGGTTCAAGCAATTCTCCTGCCTCAGCCTCCCAAGTAGCTGGGATTACAGGTGTGTGCCACCACACCCGGCTAATTTTTTGTATTTTTAGTAGAGACGGGGTTTTACTGTATTGGCCAGGCTGGTATTAAACTCCTGACCTCAGGTGATGCACCAGCCTCAGCCTCCCAAAGTGTTGGGATTACAGGCGTGAGCCACTGTGCTCGGCCCCAATACTTTAATAACTTTTAATTAAAGTATAATATACGTACAGAGAGGCACGCATGATTGTAAAGCTTAAGAATTTGTACAAATTTGGCTCACAGGCATAACCAGCAGCAGATCAACAAATATAAAATAGCCGGGTGAGGCAGGGAATTGCTTGAACCCGGGAGGTGGAAGTTGCAGTGAGCCGAGATCACGCCACTGCACTCCAGCCTGGGCAACAGAGTGAAACTCCGTCTCAAAAAAAAAAAAAAAAGAAAAGAAAGAAAGAAAATAGCCAGGTGCAGTGGCTTACGCCTGTAATCCCAGCACTTTGGGAGGTTGAGGTGGGTGGATTGCTTGAGCTCAGGAGTTTGAGACCAGCCTGGCCAACATGGTGAAACCCCGTCTCTACAAAAAATACAAAAATTAGCTGGGTGTGGTGGTGCACACCTGTAGGCCCAAGCTACTGGGGAGGCTGAGGTGGGAGGATCGCTTGAGCCCGGGAGGTGGAGGTTACAGTGAGCTGAGATCATGATACTGCGCTCCAGCCTGGGTGACAGAGTGAGATCCTGTCTCAAACACCACCAACAAAAAACAAAACAAAGTATATTAGGGATTCCCAGGGGCTGGGGCTGGGGCTGGGGTTGGTTGGGGGGAAGAAATGGGGAGTCATTGCTAAGGGGTACAAGTTTCTCTGGGGTAACGAAAATGTTATAGAATTAGATAGTGTTGATGGCTGCACAACCTGTGGATACACTAAAATAAATAAATAATAAATAGTTACTTGATTACAGTTACTTAGCCTTTATTTTGTTTGTTTGTTTTTTGACAGAGTCTTGCTTTGTCGCCCAGGTTGGAGTGCAGTGGCACGATCTCGGCTCAGTGCAACCTCCGCCTCCTGAGTTCAAGTGATTCTCCTGCCTCAGCCTCCCTAGTAGCTGGGATTACAGGTGTGTGCCACCACACCTGGCTAATTTTTTGTATTTTTAGTAGAGACGGGGTTTCACCGTGTTAGCCAGGATGGTCTCAATCTCCTGACCTCGTGATCCGCCCGCCTTGGCCTCCCAAAGTGCTGGGATTACAGGCGTGAGAATTTGCCTTTAAAATATACATTTTGCTCAAGTGTAGAGGTCCGATGCTGGGTGGCTGGGTGTTAATTATCCTGGGGGCGGGTGTGGTAGGGCACTAGCTGGGCTGGGCTGGGCTCGCTGGCGGCTGGTTTGAGAGGAGGGTGATTCAGAGGAAGGCAGTGACACCCAGATGTGGGACAGGCTGCAAGAAAGCCTGGTGGGCCTTAGGGCAGACACTTGTGGGGACCCGGGGAGCCCTAGGTGCCCTGACAGGTGGAAGAGGGGTGCAGAAAGGGAGGATGTCAAAGAGAGAATGTCAAAGGTCATAACCAAACCTAACAATTTTCTTCTACTTATGCCTTTTGTCAGGACAAGGAGAGGGACAAATTCCTTCTTGGCATCCTTATGGCCCTGTGACCTGCTAATGAATGCTGACTCTGAGTTGCTACTAGAATTTGGTTTCCTTGTGGCTTCCCAGGAATTGTGAGCCATGTTGGATAAGGACCTGCAAGGGAAGAATGAGGAAGCCTGGGACAGTGCAGGAGGGGAGAGCACTGGTGGTAGAGAGGAGTGATGACAAGGGTCTCCGCCAAAAGGGAAATGGAGGGGTTAAAGAAGCTGCTGGGGAGGGTTAAAAACAATGTGTTCTCACTCGTAGGTGGGAATTGAACAATGAGAACACTTGGACACAGGAAGGGGAACATCACACACTGGGGCCTGTCGTGGGGTGTGGGGAGGGAGGAGGGATAGCATTAGGAGATATACCTAATGTAAATGATGAGTTAATGGGTGCAGCACACCAACATGGCACATGTATACCTATGTAACAAACCTGCACATTGTGTACATGTACCCTAGAACTTAAAGTATAATTAAAAAACAAAACAAAACAAAACAAAAACAATGAGGTGCTATTGTTTTAGTGGTGAGTATCCGGAGACCTGGGAGTTCTATTTACCAGGTATAACCTGGGCTCAAAATTCCAGGCTGACTTCAGGCATGTCCTCATCTCATAGATGCCAGCACTAAGGCCCAGAGAGGGCCGAGCTCATTCAGCCCACCCATCTTCTCACCCCTGACTGCATTTCCCGGGGGTCCTTCTGCAGCCAGGTGCTGCTGTGGTACTTTGGGATCTATTGGCTGAGCTCCCAGAGAAGGGTCATGGATTGGGCTAGTTTGGAACAAGTGAAGGGACTGAAGATGGGCTCAGTATGGGGCGAAGACCTTCAGGAAGGGTCTGCAGAGTGAGTAGGGGGGTTTTGACTAGGAAAAGTTCCAACCCTGCCGGGGCCGCTGTCAAGAGAAAAGCATCTATTACAGTTACATTTTTAAGTTAAGTAGACTGAAGAATATTTCTTGTGTATTAAAGACGTTCCTTTTTGGTTGATTTGCAATGGAAAAGCTTTTGTTTTCTTTTTTTTTTTGGAAACAGGGTCTCACTCTGCTCACTCTGTCTCCCAAGCTGGAGTGCAGTGGTACAGTCACGGCTCACTGCAGCCTCCACTTCCTGGACTCAAGTGATCTTCTCACTTCAGCCTTCTGAGTAGCTGGGACTACAGGTTCGTGCCACCACGCCTGGCTAACTTTTTGTATTTTTAGTAGAGACAGGGTTTTGCCATGTTGCCCAGGGTGTTCTTAAACTCCTGGGCTCAAGGGATCCGCCTGCCTTGGCCTCCTAAAGTGCTGGGATTACAAGTGTGAGCCACTGCTCTGGCTTTTTGTGTGTGTGTGTGTGTGTGTGTGAAAAAGGGTTTTGCTCTGTTACCCAGGCTGGAGTGCAGTGATGTGAGCAGCCTGGACCTCTTGGGGACCTCTTGGGCTCAAGTGATCTTCCCATCTCAGCCTCCCAAGTAGCTGGGACTGCAGGTGCACTACCATGACCAGCCAATTTTTTTAGAGACAAGGTCTCACTATGTTGCCCAGCTGGTCTCAAGCTCCTGGGCTCAAGTCTCTACAAAATATGCAAATACCCTTCTGCCTTGGCCTCCCAAGTGCTGGGATTATAGGCATGAGCCACCACATCTGGTGTTGGTTTTTGTTTTTGTTTTTACGGGACCAGGCACTACAGCTCACACCTGTAATCCTGGCACTTTCAGAGGCTGAGACTAGAAGATTGCTTGAGCCCAGGAGTTCAAGGCTGTGGGGAGCTATGATTGCACCACTGCACTCCAGCCTGGGTGACAGAGCTAGACCTTGTCTCTAAACTAAACAAAACAAAACCCAGTACCAAGAGACCCAGTGACACCAAACACGTTTTGCAAGTAGGTAGTTTAATAGTTACAGTTACCTGGTTCTAAAAAGTGTCTTGCTAGAGAACATTTGTTCAAAGGGGCCACTTTAAAGCCTGCTATTCTAGTGTATACTGGCCGTAGTTTCTGAAATTGTAGCGAAGATGGAGAAATAATAACAGCATTCATAAGCACAACTGCAGATATTATACTTCTTAGTTTAAAAAAAACCTTTTTTTTTGGAACTATAAAATAAAAACACAGGCTACATACATACTCATTTTCTCAAATTGGCTTTTGTGCAAAAAAAGGTTGTTACCTATTGGGTTGCTTTGTTATTTCCTTAGAAAGATGTATTCCAAATTCCCAATGGCCAACCTGCACATGTGCACTCTGGGAACACAGTCAGTTTATTGGTTGGGGGTTGCTTGCCCGAAATCTGGGGTCATAGAGCCACTTCTCTCATTTTATTGTCTTGATCCTATCCATAGACCCGTTCTCACCAATCCCTCAAATTCTATTTATCCCTTTCCTGGAATACTAGATGTCTGCCCACGTTAATTCATGCCCCACCTAGGGTGCCGCATTTCCCAGCATTGGCTCCACTTGCTGTGAGCCTTGAAGAAGGCCAAAGCTTTGGCCCCGTCATCCTCCTTGCACCCCCAAACCCGTCACCAGCCTTGCTCCCCCAGATGCTTGTCCATCGTCCCCACCTACACACCCTTGCCCACCTCACCAGAGTTACAGTGCCGACAGCTCTCACAGTGGGGCCGGGTGTGGTGGTCAGGAGAGAAGGAGACCCCCGGTATGCAAGGATCACACTGAGCAGCCTTTCTATGCTGGTCACAGTCCTTCACGAGGAATGTTCCTGGGAGGAGAGGGTAAGGGATCAAGGCCTGAGAAGGGCTGGTTCTCTGCCCTCTTCAAGGTGGTGCCTCCCCACAGCTGCAGGATTTCCCTCCTTGCTTGAGCTCAGTCTCACCCTGCGCCTATTTACTGTATTAACCCCAGTCCTCTCTCTTTCGCCACTCACCTGGCCCTTACCAAGGCCCCCTCTTACCTGGCTCACACATCTGGCAGCACAGCTTTCCCTGAGCCCAGTAGTGCCTCTCTGGGCAGCTCTTGGGGGCTGGAGTAGCTGAGAGCCCCACCAGGGTCCCCAGAACGCACAGCCACCAGGGATGTGGCCGTGCCATGGTCCCTGCCCAGGCGGCTCCTTTCTGTGCCCAGTTGCTGATGCTGGCCTCTGGAGTTAGCACCTCCAAGCTGGGCGCTGCTGTCTCTTCTTTGCACCCCCTGGGCAGTGGCTGCTTCAGGTGGCAAGCCAACCTTTGAAGGCAGAATCTCTATTGTGGCTGTTTTTTTTTTCTCTCTCATAGCAGCAACCTCCACCCCCTTCCCCTTCCGTGTGCTGGGGAGAGTATTAAAGAGCAAACTCTGTGAGACCTGCTGCTCTTCAAACATGCTTCCTCCAACACATGAGCCTTCCTTAGTTTCCGCCTCTCCTGCTCATGAAGCACGTAGCCCACTGACTCCTGCTTCTTTGACAAAAAGGTGATGGACACACAGTTGCTCACCCCTCCTATTCATGCACTTGTGCACAAAGGTGCCCACGTTACCCCCCCCCACCCACCCCCCCGTCCACAGTTTACAGACGAATTCGCAGGACTCCTGTCTCCCATACCTGCATCCCTCCTTTCACAGACAACAGTTGAAAGAAGGAAGGAGAACCAGAATTGAGCACAGGTCCACAAGCTCTTATCTGAAACTTTGGGGGTCAGATAAGTTTTGGAATTCAGAATTTTTCAGGTTTATACAGAAACCAGCACCACAAAACACCCTTGGGGAGTTGGGGTAGTCTCATAATCAAACGCAACATTTCTGCAGCAAAACTATTGAATATTTACACCAACTGGGAGGAAGCTTAAATAGCCTTGTCTCAATTGAGGTCTGGTTTGATGGCCAAACGAGTTTGCTACAGAATGCTCAGAATTGCAAGCAAGGGGTGTAGAGCTGCCTCTCTTCTGTCACACTCTGACCGATCACCTATGCTCTCCTTTAATCCTCATGTCAGTCTCTGATGTGGGTGCCACCTACTGCCCACATGGCCTTCCCTCTCAGACCCTTGCTCACTCCTCACTTTTGTGCCATCTTTATCCTCCCCTTTCCCACCTCTGGCTGTGTCAGTCACTGGTGTCCTGGATCGCCTGGAGCATCTTCTCTCCTAGCCTTGGGCACTTGGGATTAAAGGTAGCTTCCTACGGGGGTCATCTCTTTTTTATTTTCCCAGTTCTCCCAGCAAGACTGATTTCGGGATATTGGAAACAGCTAGACTTTTCCCTCTTTGAGTCATGGGGACACACACGGGTCAACAGCCTCCTCCACTCTTTCCTCAGCAACCGATATGTGGAGTGGCTTATTTCCCCAGGAAGTTTTTAATTTAGGGGCTTTGCCGTTGTTTCCACACTGTTCATAAATGTCACACTGCTGTGGTCACACCTGTCAGATCTGTTCTCTATCTCACTCTGTAGTTTCCTTTCTCCTCATTTTCTCCATTCTCTTGTCTTTTCCCAGCCCCCTCTGCAGCTCTTCATGGGGGTCCACTCAAGTCAGAAGCCACATTTGGGTGTGATTCAGAGAGCTGTTTATGCAAAACCAGCTTTGTCACCATCAGGCAAGGCACCTGAATTCCCACCGCAGAGAGTGTTGTGGCCGTGAGGACTTTTCTGTCACCAGCCATTTCCAGGTTGTGGTAAATGTGTTCACTGCAGGCATGGGGCAGTGGGGTGGCTAGCTGACTGCAGGCCCTGGGAGGGTGGATGAGACCCTCAGAAGAATCATGAGGAACTGGGGACCTTTAGGAAGAAACTTGTCGAACAGGGACTTGCAGTTCGCTGAGCCTAGCAACCTTGAACCGACTGGGAACTGCTCACTAGCCTAACGCTGCTGTCCTCTGGGCCAAAGCCCATCTCCTCTTTTCTACATATCACTTCTCCAGGGGGTCAGAGCAGGAGCAGGGTCTGCCTGGCTTTCCTGGAGGGCCTCGGCCAAGAGGAGGAAGGCCAGGTTTCTGGACGTTTTTCTTTCCTAGGCAAATAGAATGAGCTCATCTCCAGCACTCTTTGCATCCACTTCTGGTGAGCCTTCCCCATCCTAGGCTGGCTCCCTGGACGGGACCTTCCTTTTTTTTTTTTTTCCTCCCTCCATTTCACTCTGTCACCCAGGCTAGAGTGCAATGATGCAATCTCAGCTCACTGCAACCTCTGTCTCCCAGGCTCAAGCCATTCTCACGCCTCAGCCTCCTGAGTAACTGGGATGACAGGTGCGTGCCACCACGCTCAGCTAATTTTTGTATTTTTAGTAGAGATGGAGTTTTGCCACGTTGGTCAGGCTGGCCTCAAGTTGATCCGCCCACCTTGGCTGGGATTACAGGGGAGAGCCACCGCGCCCAGCTTATTTTTTGTATTTTTAGTAGAGATGGGGTTTTGTCATGTTGGCCAGGCTGGACCAGAACACCTAGCCTCAGGTGATCTGCCTGCCTCGGCCTCCCAAAGTGCTGGGATTACAGGCACGAGCCACCATGCCTGGCTGGGCCCTTCCTTTTGTCTAGAGGCCCTGGGATGCAGCCCGCTGACATCTTCCTTGAAATCTCACACAACCACTTTCTCTTTTGGGGTCAGCCTCTCCCCCATGCCTGGCTGGGGCATAAAAACATATGGTATTTTCTCAACAGCTCCCTGCTTTTCTTTCCTTTCCAGAAACAGGCCCACAGCAGCCCTTCTTGAGAACTCTGAGGACTCTCATGACTTTTTTTGGTTCTTTTTTTTTTTTTTTTTTTTGAGAAAGGGTCTCTCACTGTTGCCCAGGCTGGAGTGCAGTGGCATGATCTCAGCTCACTGCAACCTTTGCCTCCCAGGTTCAAGCGATTCTTATACATCAGCCTCCCAAGTAGCTGGGATTATAGGCACCGGCCACCATACCCGGCTAATTTTTTGTATTTTTAGTAGAGACGGGGTTTCACTATGTTGGCCAGGCTGGTCTCAAACTCCTGGCCTCAAGTGATCTGCCCTCCTCGGCCTCCCAAAGTGTTGGGATTACAAGCGTGAGCCACTGTGCCTGGCCTCTCATGACTTTTGAGAGGGCCTGACCAACCCTCCACCTGGCCCAGTGACTGTAGCCTAGATGTCAGCCAGGGGCACCCTGCTCCTTAAAATCTAGATAAGATGCTCTTTGCTTCCCACTCAGGGCAAGTCCTGGGCAGGCTGTCCACCTGCATGAGTTCCAGTAGGTTGGGTGTTCTTGTGGCTGCCTCTGGCTCTGATTTCTCTTTCAGCTAAAGTCTTGTTCTTGCCTCCGTGTCTCCTGTCTGTTCCCTTACCTGTACCCTGCCTCAGGCCCAAATTGTTGGACACAAGACTTGCTTAAAGTTTCCTCTAAACCAGCTCTAAACAGAAGGCTGTTAGGTGTGGCAGACTTTGTCTTTTTTCTCCAATTTTTATGAATCAATAACCTGTTAAAGCGCTCAGCAGGACCAGTCTCTGCAAGACCTTTCCTTAGGAGGAAGTTCTGTTATGGGACAAAGATGTCCGCAATCACTGTTCCTGACTTAGGCTTCCTGAGTCTCATCACCTGAAGCTCTGAGTTTGTCTGGCCCTCTTTGTCCCCTGCTCCCCATTGCTTCCTCCCCGACTCCCACTTTCTTCGATGACCACCACCAGCACTGCTGCCCCCACCACCTTAAAGCCTCCTTCCCAGCAAGGCTTTGAGAGGCCACCTGGTCAGGACAGTGAGTTAAGCTCATTAATGAGGTTCTGGGTCCTCGCAGCTCTGTAATTTTCATTTCTGCACCTCCCCAGTCTGGGTGACACAGGAGACTGACCAACTATGGGTATTTCCAGCCTCTGCCCACTCCTCAGAAGCCCAGCACAGCTCCCAGTGTCTCCTAGCACGTAAGGCACTGGCTAAACATTGGATGGTCCAGCTCAGCTTTGTGCTGTAGCGGCTCTGTCCACAATTATAAAATGGAAACGTCAGAGGGCTCAAGGCCCCTTAGACCTCCTCATTCATTTGACAAGCGTTTTTTGCACATTCATTTTGTGTTAGGAACCAGCCAAGTAATGGGGCACAAAGATGAAAAACAAACAGACAAATATGTGGTTTCTGCCCTGACGGAGTTGACACACCAGTGTGAGAGTCAGACATCGATCATATAATCTCAAAGACAAATGTAAAATTGGCCAGGTGAGGCGGCTCACACCTGGAATCCCAGTCACGTTGGGAGGCCGAGGCGGAAGGATTGCTTGAGCCTAGGAGTTTAAGACCAGCCTGGGCAACAGAGTGACACCCCGTCTCTACACATAATAAAAATAAATTAACTGGGTGTGGTGGCACGTGCCTGTGGTCCCAGCCACTCGGAAGGCTGAGGTGGGAGGATCACTTGAGCCCAGGGGGTCGAGGTTGCAGTGAGCCATGATCATGCCAGTGCACTCAAGCCTGGGAGATAGAGCAAGACCTCATCTCACAAAACCCAAAAAACAAAACAAAATTAAAATTAGTTAGTAATGGTCATTATTGCTATGAAGGAGAGAGTTGGGGTGCAATATAGGTGTCTATACCCCTAATAGGGGGATTTAAGGGGTAGGGAGTGCCTCATCCAGGAAGCAAAGTTTAACAGAGATATGTGGGATCTGGCAGCTCTCCACCTACATGAGAATTATTACTTCCCTTGGTTTCTGTGACACGATTCTATTTTCCTTGCTTTGACCACTTGTTTTTTAAGTGCTATTTTTTATTTTTTTATATACAGATTATATACAATAGGGATAATCTGTTCCTTGAAAGCCTGGTAGAACTTGATTTGCTTGTGTGTAGCTGTTTCACTGTTATTATTATTATTTTTTTTAGGCTGTCTTGCTCTGTTGCCCAGGCTGGAGTGCAGTGGCATGATCTTGGCTCACTGCAACCTCCTCCTCCTGAGGTCAAGTGATTCTCCTGCCTCAGCCTCCTTAGTAGCTGGGATTACAGGTGTGCGCCACCACACCTGGCTAATTTTTGTATTGTTAGTAGAGACGTGGTTTCACCATGTTGGTCAGGCTTGTCTCGAACTCTTGAGCTCAAGTGATCCACCTACCTTGGCCTCTCAAAGTGCTGGGATTACAGATGTGAGCCACTGCACCCGGCATACTTTGCCATTCTTTTTCTAATGTATTGGATGCTTAATTAATTTAGAAATTTCTTATTTTCTAATATATGCATTTAAGGCTATAAACTTCCCTTGAAGATCTACTTTAGCTACATCTCATCAGCTTTGCTATATTGTTTTTTTCATTATTGTTGATTTGCTTTTCCCGTTATTATTTATTTTTACCTATATTTCATTTATAAATGCATTACAAATTTTCCAGATCTGTGGGGCTTAACTTTTTGTTGTTTATTATTTTAATTTTAAATTTATTGTGGCCCGAGCACTCTGTCTGTGTAGCATGGCAGGCAGCACGTTGGTCCCCCGAGGACATCTGCGCCCCTGAACTGCATGTTAATATGGCAAAGGGGAGTTAAGGCTGCAGATGGAATCAAGGTTGGCCTTGCAATGGGTGATTATTCTGCATTATCCAGGTAGACCCAGTGTAATCACAAGCATCCTTGTAAGTGGCAAAGAGGCAGAGGAGACAGCGCCAGAGAGGCAGCTGCATGAGAAGGATCAAGATGTTGCTGACTTTGAAGTTGGAAGAAGAAGGCCATGAGCCTCAGTATGTGGGCGGCTTCTAGAAGCTGGAAGGGGCAAGGAGATGGATTTGACCCTTCAGCCTCCAGGGGCAGCTGTACCTGCCATCACTGATTGTAGCCTGGTGAGGCCTGTTTTAGACTTCTGACCTGTAGAGCTGTAACATAATACATTTGGGTTGTTTTCAACCACTAAGTTTGTGGTAATTTGTTGTAGCAGCTGTAGAAAATGAATACATATGAATCCTCTGGCATTTGTTTGAGATTTGCTCTATGGCCTAGTATGTGGTTGTAAATGTTCCATCTGTGCCTGAAAAAATGTATATTTCTAATTCAGTAGTCTCTGCTTTTTTTTTTTATTTTGTACCCCATCAATAAAATGATTTTCAGCATGTATCCCCAAATAAACAATATTTTATTTATTGATTGATTGATAAACAGACATGTTTAATGATAGCTTGCTTTTCACAGAGGTGACTTCGGAGACTTCTAATCTATAATCCAGGAGTATATAACCATGCAGCACAGACCAATTAGTCACATGTAAAATAAACTAGATTCTTACCACAACTACCCTGTAAACATGGCAACTATTCTTTCCAAGAGGACCCTAATCTTATGTGAAAACACCTACTGTGGGGGAACCAGAAACCTAGCTATGTGGCCAAAAGTAAAAACCAAAGGAAAAAATAGCAATTCAGTGGTTAATTGGTGAAAGCAGGGAATTTGTGCCCTTTACTGTGCTGCTGCTTTGGTCTTTTTCCTTTTGCTCTTTTTGTCCCTCTTCTCAGCCCGTCCATGTTAGCTCTCAGTAGGTTTGAATAAGCCATCTGAAACTTACTCACTTCCTTGGAGTTCACCACAGTGCTCATCTTCTTTTTCCCATCGATAGCTCTTAACAGACACTTGTTGTCTGAGGGCTCAAAGCCCTCCACAGAACCTTTCTTTGGAATGGGTTTGGTTCGACCATCATACTTCTTCAAGGTGATATAGACGCTGCCCAACGTCCGGCACTTCTGGTAGAGTCTGGTCAGCTCCGTCAGGAATTGCTTGCTCTCCAACGACATCACTGCGGCGACGCTGGCTCGACTCCCCACAATATTTTAAATAAATTAATCATATATTATATACTCAAATAGGTTCTATGTAAGTATATGTAGACATTCTAAAGTTCTAAAGGATGAGATCGAATTACATAGTCACATACAGAAACATAAAAAGGATGAGATTGGCTAGATGCAGTGGCTCATGCCTGTAATCCCAGCACTTTGGGAAGCTGAGGTGGGAGGATCGATGAGCTCAGGAGTTTGAGACCAGTGTGGGCAACAACAACAAAATAATAAAAGTAAAATAAAAACAATGAGATAAGGATAGGAAAAACAATTTTTAAAGATATCACATTTACTTATTTGCAACATAAAAGATCTAGTTGCTCTCATTAAAATATTAATAGGTAACAAAATTTTCCACAATATAATAAAACATTAACAGTAATATATTTAGTAAGAGCAATATGATTTAATGTGTTTTGTTATTAAAAAACTTTCCTCAACACTTTATATAGATTGATCTGAGTCTAAGCACAAATATTTGATTTTTATGACTGACTTAGATGAAAAAGTTTCTCTAGGTCAGACTGTTTCAGGTGTGTTTTCTAATTTTGAATCAAAAGTGCATCTTCAAGCCCATCACAGTGGCTCACACCATAATCTCAGCACTTGGGGAGGCTGAGGCAGGAGGATGGCTTGAGGCCAGGAGTTTGAGACCAGCCTGGGCAACACAGTGAGACCCCACTGTACTCCAGTGCCGGTGACGGAGTGTGACCCCATCTCCATTAAAGAGAGAGAGAGAGGGAAAGAAAGTGCATATTCAACAGGCTTTTTCTGTGGGCCACCTTGGTGGTTGGGTTGAGTACATGTCCCTTCAGTGTTTTTGCAGTTGCTTTTGTCAGACGCCCCAGGGATGTCACTGGCTTGAGACCAGTTTTCATGTTCTTTTCTTGGGGATAAAGGAGGTTTCCCAACCACGTGGGTAATATAAATTTTACCCCCATACCTGGCCGAGCACAGACCTATAGTTATGTTTTTGTTGTTGTTGTTGTTTTTTTTTTGAGACGGAGTCTCGCTCTGTCACCCAGGCTGGAGTGCAGTGGCGCGATCTCGGCTCACTGCAAGCTCCGCCTCCTGGGTTCAGGCCATTCTCTCGCCTCAGCCTCCCAAGTAGATGGGACTACAGGCGCCCGCCACCACGCCCGGCTAATATTTTTGTATTTTTAGTAGAGACAGGGTTTCACCGTGTTCATCAGGATGGTCTCAATCTCCTGACCTCGTGATCCGCCTGCCTCGGCCTCCCAAAGTGCTGGGATTATAGGCGTGAGCCACCATGCCCAGCCTCTTTTTTTGTTTGTTTGTTTGTTTGAGACAGGGTCTCCCTCTGTTGCCTAGGTTGGAGTGCAGTGGCAACACAGCTCAATACAGCCTCAATCTCCTGGGCTCAAGCAATCCTCTTGCCTCAGCCTCTCGAGTAGCTGGGACCACACCTGGCTAATTTTTTTTTTTATTTGTTATCTTTTTGTAGAGACAAAGTCTTGCTATGTAGCCCAGGCTGGCCTTAAATTCCTGGGCTCAAGCAATCCTCCCACCTTTGCCTCCCGAAGTGCTGGGATTACAAGGCGTGAGCCTGGTCACACTTTCTTTTTTGGGACTTGTCACACTTGTGATTTTACGTGATCTGTGATTTATAGGATTAATTTTGATCTGAGGTAAAGCTAATTTCTGAAATCAGATATTATGTAAATTGTTAGGTGTAAGGTTTGAGTGCTGACTACTGAGGTTTTCTGACTCTCAGTCTATGTAGCCAGGGAAGGGCAAGACCTATAAAAGGAATTTCTCAGATACCAGGCAAGGGGAGAAACAGTGAGGGAAAGATGTCGCTATGAAGGGAGCAGTCTTGACCTGGAACTGAAGGGTGGTTCCAGGGCCCAAACCCACTGAGACAGGAGGATCCTGGGATAGGTGGAGAGAGCTTGACTTTCACAACCAGACAGGTTGGTGGTCCAAATGCCTCTCTGCCGGCTACTACCCGCATCATGTCCAGCATGTCCCACAACCTCTTGACTGAGTCCTCATCTGCTTGAGGATAGTGTCGTGCACTTTGCAGCATGTTGGGACAATTAAGGGTAACAATAGAAATGAAATGTCTGGTCTTGTCTTGTTTGGGTACTCAATAAATATTCATTCCTCCTCTCTCTTCCTTGGTATTTGAGGCTGCAAGTCCCAAGAAATGGGGTTGAGGGAACAGCTAGTTAACCTGGGAACGAAACCAAAGGAGTGTGAAAGAGACAGAACGACTCACTAAATTGAACAAGCTGTGCATAGGCGATATGTCTGCTCTGTATGTATTATTCATACTCGGTTCTTCATCACGCAGAATCATGATTTCACAAGGCGACGGGACGTTTCCTCTCACAGTAGGCTCCTGGGCCCCTGGCATTTTTTTTCTTTCTTTTTTTGAGATGGAGTCTCACTCTGTCACCGAGGCTGGAGTGCAGTGGCAAGATCTTGGCTCACTGCAACCTCCACCTCCCAGGTTCAAGCAATTCTCCTGTCTCAGCCTCCCAAGTAGCTGGGATCACAGGCATGCGCTACCACTCCTGGCTAATTTTTGTATTCTTAGTAGAGACGGGGTTTCACCATGTTGACCAGGCTGGTCTGAACTCCTGACCTCAGGTGATCCACCCGCCTTGGCCTCCCAAAGTGCTAGGATTAGAGGCGTAAGCCACTGTGCCCAACTGCCCCTGGCATTTTCTACTCGCTTTTTTTTTTTTTTTTTGAAACAGGGTCTTGCTCTGTCACCCAGGCTGGAGTGCAGTGGCACCATCTCGGCTCACTGTAGCCTCGACCTTCTGAACTCAAGCAATCCTCCTGCTTCAGCCCCCCAAAATATCTGTGACTATAGGCATGCGCCACCAAGCCCAGATAATTAATTAATTTATTTTTTTTGAGATGGAGTTCCGCTCTTGCTGCCTAGGCTGGAGTGCAATGGCGCGATCTCTGCTCACTGCAACCTCTCCCTCCTGGGTTCAAGCGATTCTCCCGCCTCAGCCTCCAGAGTAGCTAGGATTACAGGCATGCGCCACCACGCCCAGCTAATTTTGTATTTTTAGTAGAGACAGGGTTTCTCCATGTTGTTCAGGCTGGTCTCAAACTCCCGATGTCAGGTGATCCGCCAGCCTTGGCCTCCCAAAGTGCTGGGATTACAAGCGTGAGCCACCGTGCCCTGCAAGCCCAGCTAATTTTTGTATTTTTTGTAGAGATGGAGTTTCACCATGTTCCCCAGGCTGGTCTCGAACTCTTGAGCTCAAGTGATCTGCCCACCTTTGCCTCCTAAAATGCTGGGATTACAGGTGTGAGCCACCGTGCTGGGTGGCTGGGCCATTCTTGCTCTTCTGAGTGACTTCCCTTGCTCACCAGATGAGGGAAATGGCTCATGGAGCCAGTCTGGTGATCCTCCCTGTGGCGGGGAGGGAGGCACGCCCCACTTTCCCCAGCTGTTTCTGAGCCTCATGACTGTGAGCCCTGAGAGGGACCTAAGACCTTTGTTTCCCCTGCTAGTCCGTGGTGCGGTGTCTGAGCCTGAGCTCTTAGGGCAGCTTCCTTCCTAGGGCCGTGCTGGAGCCTGCTAGTACTGCCTAGCCAAAGCCCGATCCTTACATTTTCAGGAATTTTGTGAGGTTACTCGTTGGTAGCTTGAAATTGGCCAGCTGGCCATAGTAGGAATACTTACAACCACATACATCAGCAAACGCCATAGATCAAGGGCTTCCCACTCCGAGAGCTGGCTGTTAACCACCGCACCACCACTACTGACTTACTGGGGTGAGGCCCAGTCATTACTTTTAGTCATTTTTTGGGTCTTGGAGAGACAGAGTTCTTTCCTATCTGGGCTCCTGTCCCCTCCTCCTGGCTTCTAGGTAGAAGGTCCTGTGGGCCTATGGGGAGCCCCCATCTTACTGCTCCAGCCAGCTTAGGATTTCAAGCCAGCAGGGCTGGAAAATGATTCCAACCTTCGGCTTTACCCTCTCACTCTACAGCTATCAGAACCGTGGGGTGCAGAGGTGAAATGACTTTCCCTGTGTGGCAGAGCTGGGAGAGAACCCAGGTCTCCTGAACCCCAGTCTACTGTTGACGAGCCCCTACAGAGTGGACGCCTCAAAGGTGCTCATTTCCTGTGCCGATCTGACTGTGTACTCACAGTACCTTCCATGCTCAGCCTGCAGGCATGGCTCAGCCGCCCTTCCTGCCTGTCTTCTTCTGGTCTCATAGACCGTTCCCTGCCCTTTCACTCTATGAGCCCATCCCAACTGCTTTCTCTTCTTTTTTAAAATTGAAATTTAATTATAAAAGCAATATTCATATCACCTCCTTATAAAAAATTAAACCAGCAAAATCCATCATTTTCATCAGTAGGTAAATGCACTAAGAGTGCTTGTACCTGTGCCCCAGGAGACATATGCAAAAATATTCAAGCACTACTGTTTGTAATTCCAAAAGAAAAAGCAAGCAAGCAAGCAAGCTGCTGTGGTGTCTCACACCTGTAATCCCAGCACTTTGAGAGATGGAGGCGGGCAGATGGCTTGAGCCCAGGAGTTTGAGACCAGCTTGGGCTACACGGCAAACCCCCATCTCTACTAAAAATACAAAAATTAGCCGGGCGTGGTGGCACATGCCTGTAGTCCCAGCTACTCTGGAGGCTGAGGCATAAGAATAGCTTGAACCTGAGAGGCGGAGGTTGCAATGAGCCGAGATCGCGCCACTGCAAAAGAAAGGAAGAAAAGAAAGGAGAAGGGAGGAAGGGAGGAAGGAAGGAAGGAAGGAAGGAAAAAGAAAGAGAAAGAAAGAAAGAAAGGAAGAAAGAAAGAAAGAGAAAGAAAGAAAGGAGGAAAAGAAGGGAGGGAAGGAGGGAGGAAGGAAGGAGAGAACGGTAGTTGGATAATAAATTGTTGTATATTCACCCAATGGAATGCTTTAGAGGAATGAATATGAACCACCTGCATGTAGCCATGTAGATTAATTTGCATGAATGTCAAAAATATAATATTGTACATCGTGAATGTACTTCATGCCCCCTGAATTATACATTTAAAAATAGTTTAAATGGTAAATTTTATGTATATTTTACCACAATATAAATAAATAAATAGATAGAAAAACATGTTAAGTGATAGTGCACAAACACACAGAAGCAAGGCATAGAAAAGTACATACGATTCCATTTATAAAGTTCAAAAACAGGCAAAATGAAGCAGTTTGCTGTTCAGGGTGCACACAGATGGTAGAACTAGAAAGGAAAGTGAGGAAGTGATAGACACAAGCCAGAGCTGCTTCCCCCGGTGAGGAGGGAAGGTGTGATCAGGGCGCTTCGAAGGTTCTACTAATCTTCTGATCTGAACGTGGGTTTTCAATGTGTTATTTTTATGTACTATTTTACATATCTTAGTTCACAATAAAAAGTACAAATTATATTTTAAAAATTGGAGGTGAAAATGAAAAAAAATGGAAAATTATAGAGAAGACTCAGGTTCCCTTTGATCAATCTCCTCCCCCAATCCCTGGTCCTCTCCCTACCTCCTTAGTGTAGGCACTGTTTTCAGATTATTGAGTATTCTTCCAGAACTTTCCTAGACAAAAAAGTTATGTGTGTTGTTGTGGGTGTTTTTTGTTTTTTGTTTTTGTTTTTGTTTTTTGACAGAGTCTCTGTTGCCAAGGCTGGAGTGCAGTGGCACATTCTCAGCTCACTGCAGTCTCCACCTCCTGGGTTCAAGTGATTCTCCTGCCTCAGCCACCCAAGCAGCTGGGACCACAGGTGTGCACACCCGGCTAATTTTTGTATTTTTAGTAGAGATGGGGTTTCACCATGTTGGCCAGGCTGGTCTTGAACTCCTGACCTCAATTGATCCAGCTGTCTCAGCCTCCCACAGTGCTGAGATTACAGGCATGAGCCACTGTGGTAGGCATATGTTTATGTTTTTAAAAATTATTTTCTTTCCTTCTTATTTTTTGAGGTGGAGTCTCGCTCTTGTTGTCCAGGCTGGAGTGCAATGGCATGATCTCGGCTCACTGCAACCTTCACCTCCTGGGTTCAAGCAATTCTCCCATCTCAGCCTCCCGAGTAGCTGAGATTATAGGCGCCCCCCACCACATCTGGCTAATTTTTATATTTTAGTAGACATAGGGTTTCACCATGTTGGTCAGGCTGGTCTTGAACTCCTGACCTCAGGTGATCCGCCCATCTCGGCCTCCTGAAGTGCTGGGATTATAGGCGTAAGCCACTATGCCCGGCCTGTTTGTTTGTTTGTTTGTTTTTGTTTTTGTTTTGAGACAGAGTCTCGCTCTGTCACCAGGTTGGAGTGCAATAGCATGATCTTGCCTCACCGCAACCTCCGCCTCCCAGGTTCAAGCGATTCTCCTGCATCAACCTCCCGAGTAGCTGGAATTACAGGTGCATGCCACCATGCCCAGCTAATTTTTGTATTTTTAGTAGAGATGGGGTTTTGCTATGTTGGCCAGGATGGTCTCGATCTCCTGACCTCGTGATCCACCTGCCTCAGCCTCCCAAAGTGCTGGGATTACAGGCGTGAGCCACCACGCCCGGCCAGCCTGTTTTAAAAAATTATTTTATTTTCTACTTAAAATGTTATTAAGCAATAATCAAATATTTCTTACTCTGATTTCTTGGCCCCACTCCTCCTGAGGATTCTCTGCTTGAATTTTTCAGAGCAAGGGCGACCCCTGTCTTAGGAGAGGTAGGAGAGTGCCTCATGGACAGCATCTGGTTGTTCCTTCTCCCTGGCAAGGGGCCTGCCTCTCTTTTTCATACCTGAGATGACCGACAGCAGTAACATCTGACTTTGTCTTTTCCTTTCTTATTTGGGGCATCGCAGGCTACCTATATTTGCTGAAGGAAATCTTACACAAAGCTGCGATAATTCTAGCACAGAGCAAGAAATAGAGCCTAAGGAACAAACCACCCATTTTCTCTCCACTCGGTAAAAAATTATCTCTGGGAAATGAAATAGCCCAAGTCTGGCAGTTCCATGTTCTTCTTCTTTTTGTGTTTTAGAGACAGCCTTGCTTACTCACCCAGGCTGGAGTGCAGTGGCACAATCATGGCTCACTGTAGCCTCGAATTCCTGGGCTCAAGAGATCTTTCTACCTCAGCCTCCAGAGTATCTAGGACCAGAGGTGCACACTACCACGCCTGACTGATTTTTAATTTTATGTAGAGACTGGGTCTCTTTATGTTTCTCAGGCTGGTCTCAAATTCCTGGCCTCAAGAAATCCTTCCACCCCAGCCTCTCAAAGTGCTGAGATTACAGGCATGAACCACTGCCCCTGGTCCATGTTCTTCTTATATTGCTTTTCTAAAGTACTTCTTTTTGCAGATAGAGAAAGGCTTGTTAACTGGCCTCATGACTCAGCCTGCCAGGCACAATTGTCCATCGGCCCCAGCACAGTTGTATTTTTGTGTTTGTTTTGTTCTTTCCATAAATGATATACAGTATGTATCCTACGATTTGCTTTTCGTGCTTTTAATCCAGTTATATGTCTTGGAGATCATTTCATTTTATACTTCTAGAACTACTCGTTTCGTTAAATAGAGAATGGATGTGCAGAGGCTTTTTAGCCATTCTCCTGGTTCCCGAATACTTAGGTTGTTCCCAACAATGCACTATCGTAAGTGGTGTTGCATAAACATCTCATACTTCGCTGTGCATGTGGGAGTGTCTCTCTAGAATAAGTGCGGGGCATCGGAATCGCTGAGTCACAGGGTGTGCACATTTTTCACTTTAACAGATGCTGGCGAGTTGCCCTCCAGAGTGGCCCTACCAATTCACACTCCCACCAGCAGTGGAATGATAGCACATATTTCCTCACGTCCTGCCAGGCTTTCGTATTAGCAAACTGTTTTTGAGCATCTCATTGGAGGAAAGTGCTGTCTCATTGTTTCAGTGTGCACTCTTCCCATTCCCGGGGAGGCTGAGCGTCTTTCCATGATCGCGCTGTTTGTGTTTCCTCTTTTGTGACCAAGGCCTTTTTACCCTTATGTCACCACCAGTGTTCTGAAGTCCACCCTTGGCTCTCCCCCACAGCAATCTTGTCCTCCAGACCCAACCTGCATTGCCTCTGCCAATCACAGGGGTGCCAAACATGGTATACACTTGCCATCTGCCCTGGGGGCTGAAAAAAGCCTCGTGGTGACAGGGGAGATCTCTGCTGTCCCTCCCTTACTAATGTCAGGGGACTTCAGACCTCCACAGAGGGTGTGTCCTTTACCTCACTTGTCACACGGCAGCTGGGACTTGCGTGACCCCTAAACTCCTTCTGCTTCAGCATTTGATGACCCCCCAAACTGCACTGACCTCCAGCCCAAACTGAAGGGATCCCTGGTGCCTGTTGACTTTTACTGAGATGAAATGAATCATTTTAATAATTTAAAAATGTACAATTCAGTGGCTAGACTTTTACTGAGATAAAATGAATCATTTTCATCATTTAAAAATGTGCAATTCAGTGCTTTTACTATATTCACAAAGATGTGCAAATATCACAGATACATTTCTATTTTTGAAAAAGTTATAACTACCCTAGTTGGTGTGAAGTGGTATCTTATTGTGGTTTTGATTTGTATTTCACTAAGACTAATGATGTTGAGAATCTTCTTATGTGCTCATCGCCATTTGTATATTTTCTTTGGAGAAATGTCTGTTCAAGTCCTTTGCCCGTGTTTAAATTAAATTATTTGTGTCTTTTGTTGCTGAGTTGCAAGAGTTTTTTTTTTTTTCTTTTTGATATTATGAATTCTAGACCTTACTAGATAAGTGATTTGAAAATATTTTCTCTGGCCCGGGGCGGGGGCTCACACCTGTAATTCCAGCACTTTGGGAGGCCGAGGCGGGCAGATCACGAGGTCAGGAGATCGAGACCATCCTGGCTAACACAGTGAAACCCCGTCTCTACTAAAAATTAAAAAAAAAAAAAAAAAAAATTTAGCCAGGCGTTGTGGCGGGCGCCTGTAGTCCCAGCTACTCGGGAGGCTGAGGCAGGAGCATGGTGTGGAACCCGGGAGGCAGAGTTTGCAGTGAGCCGAGATCGCACAACTGAACTCCAGCCTGGGCGATAGAGCGAGACTCCGTCTCAGAAAAAAAAAAAAAAAAATTTATCCCATACTGTGGGTTGTCTTTTTACCTTCTTAATAGTGCCCTTTGATGCATAAAAATTTCACATTTTGGGCCGGGCATGGTGGCTCATGCCTGTAATCCCAGCACTTTGGGAGGCCAAGGCGGGCGGATCACGAAGTCAGGAGATGGAGACCAGCCTGGCCAATATGCTGAAACCCCGTCTCTTAAAAATACAAAAAATTAGCCGGGCGTGGTGGCGGGCGCCTGTAGTCCCAGCTACTCGGGAGGCTGAGGCAGGAGAATGGCGTGAACCCAGGAGGCGGAGCTTGCAGTGAGCAGAGATCACGCCACTGCACTCCAGCCTGGGAGACAGAGCGAGACTCCGTCTCAAAAAAAAAAAAAAAAGTTTCACATTTTGATGAAGTCCAGTTTATCTACTGTTTCTTTTGTTGCCTGTGCTTTTGGCATCATATTTGAGAAACTGTTGCCGAATCCAAACTCATACAGATTTTCACTTATATTTCCCTCTAAGAGTTTTATAGTTTTAACTCTTAAATTTAGTTCTTTGATTTATTTTGAGTTAAATTTTTTATCTGGTTTTAGGTAGGGGTCCAACTTCATTCTTTTACTTGTGGATATGCAGTTGTCCTAGCACTGCTTCTTGAAAAGACTATTCTTTTCACACAGAATGGTCTTGGCACCCTTGCTGAAATTAATTGACAATAGATGTATGGGTTGATTTCTGGACTCTAAATTGTATTCCATTGATCTGTATGTCTGTCTTTAGGTCAATACCATGGTTTTGATTACTGTAGCTTTATAGTAAGTTTCGAAATTGGGACTTCAACTTCGTTCTTCTTTTTCAAAATTATTTTGGCTACTCTGTGTCCCTTGCATTTGCATGTGAATTTTAAGATCAGCTTGTCCATTTATGCAAAAAAGAAGGCAGTTAGAATTTCGATGGGGATTGCATAGAGTCTGTAGATGAAATTGGGAAATATTGTTACCTTCAGTCCATGAACACAGATGTCTTTCCATTTATTTAGGATTTCTTTAATGTCTTTCAACAATGTTTTCTAGTTTTCAGTGTATGAGTCTTGCACTTTCTTTGTTAAATGTATACCAAGTTTTTTTTTTTTTTTCTCGAGACAGAGTCTCACTCTGTTGTCCAGGCTGGAGTGCAGCGGCCCAATCTCAGCTCACTGCAGCCTCTGCTTCCCAGGTTCAAGCGATTCTGCAGCCTCAGCCTCCCGAGTAGCTGGGATTATAGGTGCCTGCCACCACGCCTGGCTAATTTTTTGTATTTTTAGTAGAGACAGGGTTTTATCATGTCGGCCAGTCTGGTCTCGAACTCTTGACCTCAGGTGATCCGCCTGCCTTGGCCTCCCAAAATGTGGGAATTACAGATGTGAGCCACCGCACCTGGCCAATGTATGCCTAAGTATTTATTCTTTTTGATGCTATTGTAAATTGAGTTGTTTTTCCTAATTTCATTTTTTTTTTTTTTTGAGATGGAGTTTCGCTCTTGTTGCCCAGGCTGGAGTGCAATGGCGCAGTCTCGGCTCATTGCAATCTCCACCTCCTGGGTTCAAGTGATTCTCCTGCCTCAGCCTCCTGAATAGCTGGGATTACAGGCATGCGCCACACATGCCCAGCTAATTTTGTGTTTTTAGTAGAGACTGGGTTTTACCATCATGGTTAGGCTGGTCTCAAACTCCTGACCTCAGGTGATCCCGCCTGCCTCGGCCTCCCAAAGTGCTAGGATTACAAGCATGAGCCACTGTGCCCGGCCCCTAATTTCAATTTCATTTTCTTTCTTTCTTTTTTTCTTCTTCTTTTTTTTTTTTTAGACAGTGTCTCGCTCTGTCACCCAGACTGAGTGGGGAGTGCAGTGGTGCAACCTCGGCTCACTGCAGCCTGCACTTCCCGGGTTCAAGTGATCCTCCCACTTCAGCCTCCCGAGTAGCTGGGACTACAGGTGCATGCCATCATGCCTGTCTACTTTTTGTATTTTTTTGAAGACATGTGGTTTTGCCATGTTGCCCAGGCTGGTCTGGAACTCCTGGGCTCAAGTGATCCACCCGCCTTGGACTCTCAAAATGATTACAGGTGTGAGCCACTGCGCCCAGCCCCGAATTTCATTTTCAAGTTGCTCTTTGCCCATGTAGCAGTTGACATTTGAAGAAGGCAGTTGTTTTCTCCAGAGTTGGAAGGTGGCACCTTGAGGTGTAGGCGTGTTGCTATGACACCCTGTGGGCCGTTGCTGGGGCTCTCTTGTGACTTTTCTGAAGTCACGGATGGAGAGTTTGACTCTGTGACACAAAGGGAAACATGTCTGACTAATCTTTCCCACACTCCCTTTGCCTCTGATGGCTCCCTCGGCTAGGAGAGGAGAGGAAGAGAGTGGGTTGGTGGGGCCTCACCCTTTATTACAGGTGCTTCCTCTGACCCTTCTCTTCTGCAGGATTTTTGGGGCAGCTACTGAAGGGACAGGCACTCCCAAAGGGCAAGGGCTGTGGCAGCCTTCTCTTTTACCCATAAGTTGGCCAGAATTGATGCTGTCTACTTGTTTTTTTTGTTTGTTTGTTTTGTTTTGTTTTTTGGGAGATGGAGCCTCCCTCTGTCACCCAGGCTGGAGTTCTCTCACCCAGGCTGGAGTGCAGTGGCGCGATCTTGGCTCACTGCAACTTCTGCCTCAGCCTTGGGTTCGGGTTCAAACAATTCTCATGCCTCAGCCTCCCAAGTAGCTGGGACCCCAGGCACACACCATCATCCCTGCTTAATTGTTTTGTATTTTTAGTAGAGATGGGGTTTCGCCGTGTTGGCCAGGCTGGTCTTGAACTCCTGGTCTCAAGTTATCTGCCCACCTCGGTCTTTCATTGTGCTAGGATTACAGGTGTGAGCCACCGCACCCGGCCTGATGCTCCCTACTTTGATGTGCATAGAGGAATGTTGCAGGCCACAGGCATAGGCAGGGTCCTGGTGGCTGGTGATGTCAGAGAAGCCTGGGGGGGAAGTCCAAGGATCAATCAGCTGGTGAAAATCTGAAGGAGCGGAGGATGATTCGAGTAAATCTGTGCTGCTTGGCCTGCGTCCAAGGCCGTCTCTCTGCTCAGTCACTTGCTGGCTGCCCAGTTGCTCAGGCTCCGTGGGTTTGTTTCCACTGTCACATGGGGATGCAGATGCTGGCCTCGGAGGGCGGGTGTGAGCAGCCATGTTTGGTAACTCGGGTGAATGCCCTGCTAGGACTTGATGCAGAAGAGGTGCCAGTCAGTGTTCACTGGAGTATGACTTGATCACCAGCAACTTCCTTCTTGACTGGGATAGGGCAACATGAGAGCTGAGAGTTCCTTAAGTGGGGCCGTGCTCAGAATGGAAGGGAAAGAGTGAAGAAATCTACTAGGAAGAGGTGTATGGGAGGCGTATGCGACAAATCTCACCTTTATGAGAGCTCAGCTAGTCAGTGGGAGCTTTAGGTTGAACGGTGTGGGTGCTTCTAGGGCTGAGGAGACCCCATCATATTTTCACGCCAAAGGAATGGGGTGGGCCGGATGGGGAGAGCTGCAAGAAGCAGGATGTTGCAAGTTTGTGTGGTTTGTTTGTTTCTTTTGTTTTGTGAGACAGGGTCTGGCTCTGTTGCCCAGGCTAGAGTGTAGTGGTGTGATCACGGCTCACTGTAGCCTCGAACTCCTCGCCTCAAGCAGTCCTCCCACCTCAGCCTCCCGAGTAGCTGGAACTACAGGCGCACGCCATGAAGCCCAGCTAGTTTTTGCATTTTTACTAGGGACAGGGTTTCACCAGGTTGTCCAGGCTGGTCTTGAACTCCTGGGCTCAAAGCGATCTGCCCGCCTCAGTCTTCCAAAGTGCTAGGATTACAGGCATGAGCCACCATGCCCGGCAATTATACATTTTAAATATTAATATAATAATGAGGCTAATCTATAATACTTCTATGTCAAATTGTTTAAAATTTTTTTAATTTTTTTTTCTGTAGTTTCATGCATTTCCTATTTAAGTATTAATATATGTCAGATTCTTTTAAGCATTACAAAAACTTTAAGTACCAAATGCATGCAGTGGTTAAAACCTGTTTGAAACTTAGCATGAGTTTGATTTGCTTCATCACTTTTGATTTTTATCAGTTAAGGTTTGACCAGAGAGTCAAAACCACTATGAGTGTTATGGAATAAGGAACTTATTTTAGAGATTAGACCTTAATCAATCATGGCAGCTGGGGAAGGAGTCTTTGGAGGCCTCCGTATCTGTGGTGGACCTGAGGTCACTATGGGTCAGTTGGGAGAAGCACTGGATGTGAAGTGGGGGCAGGGCAAAGGCCATCCGGAGCCTGCGTCTGTGCCTCACCACCACCCACCCCGATGGTATGGGTGTCTGCAGAAGGACCTAGCACTCCTTGCCACGGAGTTGCACTTGTGTGGCCAAGAATTAGAGAAGCTGAAGGAGGCGATCTGACGGGAGCTGGAAGAGCTGCCAGTCTGGCTGCCATCCGTGCAGACAAGGTGAGCCAGCAGATGACTGTCACCCCATGCTGGCCTCAGAGCACGACGGCCGCTCCTATTCTGTTTTCCTACCTCTCAAATCTTACATTTCTCTTGTGGCCAACCCTCACCCAGAACCATACAGGGATTAATTTCCAAGAAATATGGTTTCGTCTTAGCTAAGTTGAGAGGGTAAAAGCCATCATAAAGATTGATTCCAAACCTTCTTGGGGTTAAAAGAACACTCGTCCCCAAGGGGAACGGTTTTACTCAAGTGGGCAGTGTATGACCGTGATCTGTGATTACCGTCTCAGGAAGGCTAACCTTATTTATTTGCCAGATTTGAGGCTAGGAAGCCAGACTTGGGCCTGCGTACATCTATATAGTTCTCAGTTTAGTACAATGTTCCCTTAAATGTTTCAAACTACATTATAAATTTAATAGTTCTGAGTTTGTCTAAGTCTATACCCTTTTTAAAAATTAAAAAAATTTTTTCGCATTGACAACTAATCAAAAGAAGAGTCCATATGCTTCTGATGGGTTTAGATTTGCAACCTGCCTCCTGGGTCCAAATCGTACCCCCACTAGAGTATCTGGAAGTCTGGAATCTCCACCCTCAAGCTGCAGCCCTTCTTGGTGCCTCTTCCTTTTGGCCTGGCTACTGGATCCTTTCCTTATTCTTTCTGTCCGAGTAGGTCACCACTCCATAGCCATATGCATACCTCTGCAGGGCTCTGCTCACAACCCTGAAGTCATGCTCATGCCTGTGAGCACTGGACAGGATCCTGCACGGCCTCAGGAGGAACTCCAGGGAGTGGAGAACAGAAGCGCATGCCACGTTCACGCAGGGTCAGGATCTTACCCATCCAGGGCAGAGATTTTCCCCAGGGAGGAGGGATTACAGGTGCATATGCTGGCACCTGTAATCCCAGCTACTCAGGGTCACCTCTACGGGAGGGACTGAAGCCAGCAAGAACCATACACAAACTCTGTCCTAAAAGGAGCTGGTGAAGTCCCCTGGGGAAGGGGTAGAAGGGCCTTGGGGCCAGTTGCATAACTGGGACCTTCAAGCTGTGGCTCCCTGCCCAAGGAGCCTCTGCTATCCAGTCATGCGCTTGATTCCAATGGAGGCAGGAAGCGCGTCGTCCCATCTGTCTGGGCTTTGGGTGCCCTCTTGTGGCAGAATAGTGATTTCGCTCTTCACACTGTCTCACGTGGCCCTCTCAGGAGCCCAATTAGGGCTTCAAGGCTGTTATTTTGAAGATACGTTTATCGCAGCACTGTTTACAAGAGCAGGGATATGGAATCAACCTAGGGGCCCACCAATGGATGATTGTATAAAGAAAATGTGGCATATTTATACCATGGAATACTACTCAGCCATTAAAAAGAATGAAATTACATCTTTTGCAGCAATGTGGATGGAACCCTTAGAGGCCATTACCTTAAGTGAAATAATTCAGAGACAGAGTCAAATACTGCATGTTCTCATTTATAAGTGGGAGCTAAATAATGTGTGCACATGGACACAGAGAGTGCAATAGTAGACATTGGAGATTTGGAAAGGTGGGAGGGTGGGAGGTGGGTGAGGGATGAGAAATTTCCCAATGGGTACAATGTACACTATTCGGATCGTGGTTATACTAAAAGCCCAGACTCCACCACTACTCAATATATCCATGTAACAAAACTGCACTGTACTCCCTACATCTATAAAAAGAAAACAAAATGGGATTCTAACAGAAAAAAAAGGGACATAAGGGCAGAGGTGCCAGGCGTCGGGTATCCTCCCAGGGCTTCTCTTGTGTCAGCACAGCAGGCTGGGTTTCAGCAAGTTCAAAGAATTTGAGGAACCCCCTAAGGGAGGGCCACTGGTGGGGGCAGAGGGGTGATCCCAAGTACTCCTATCTGTGACTTGAAGAATCTATCTTTAACATAACCTAAAAGAATATACCAAAGGCTGGGCGTGGTGGCTCACGCCTGTAATCCCAATACTTTGGGAGGCTGAGGCTGGCGGATCACGAGGTCAAGAGATTGAGACCATCCTAGCCAACATGGTGAAACCCCATCTTTACTAAAAATACAAAAATTAGCTGGGCATGGTGGCAAGTGCCTATAGTCCCAGCTACTCGGGAGGCTGAGGCAGGAGAATCGCTTGAACCCGGAAGGCAGAGGTTGCAGTGAGCCGAGATTGCAGCACTGCACTCCAGCTTGGGTGATAGAGCGAGACTCCATCTCAAATAAAAAAAAAAAGAAAGAAAGAAAAAAAGAATGCACCAAAGTATGACCTGATCTTGTTTTCTTTTTAAAATTAAAATAGGGGCCGGGTGCGGTGGCTCACACCTGTAATCCCAGCACTTTGGGAGGCCGAGGCATGCGGATCACGAGGTCAGGAGATCGAGACCATCCTGGTCAACATGGTGAAACCTGTCTCTACTAAAAATACAAAAATTAGCTGGATGCGTTGGCACGTGCCTGTAATCCCAGCTACTTGGCAGGCTGAGGCAGGAGAATCGCTTAAACCCGGGAGGCAGAGGTTGCAGTGAGCTGAGATCATGGCATTGCACTCCAGCATGGGCAACAGAGCAAGAATCTGTCTCAAAATAAATAAATAAATAAATAAATAAAATTAAAAAATTAAAATAGGGACAGAGTCTTGCTATGTTGCCCATGCTGGTTCCAACTCCCCTGGCCTCAAGCAATCTTCCCACTTCAGCCTCCCAAAGTTCTAGGGTTACATGAGTGAGCCACCACGCCTGGTTATGATCTGAACATAAAAGCTCCTGTGGCTGGGTGCGGTGGCTCACGCCTGTATTCCCAGCACTTTGGGAGGCCAAGGTGAGTGGATTACCTGAGGTCAGGAGTTCAAGACCAGTCTGGCCAACATGGTGAAATCTTGTCTCTATTAAAAATTAGCTGGGCGTGGTGGCGGGCGCCTATAGTCCCAGCTACTCGGGAGGCTGAGGCAGGAGAATGGTGTGAACCCGGGAGGCGGAGTTTGCAGTGAGCCAAGATCACGCCACTGCACTCCAGCCTGAGCGACAGAGCGAGACTCCGTCTCAAAAAAAAAAAAAAAAAAAAAAAAAAAAAAAAAAATTAGCCAGGTGTAGTGGCAGGCGCCTGTGATTCCAGCTACTCGGGAGGCTGAGACAGGAGAATCGCTTGAACCTGGGAGGCAGAGGTTGCAGTGAGTCAAGATCGCGCCACCGCACTCCAGCCTGGGTGACAGAGTAAGACTCCATCTCAAAAAAAAGAAAGAAAGAAAGAAAGAAAGAAGGAAGGAAGGAAGGAAGGAGGGAAGGAAAATGCACATGCAGGCTGGGTGTGGTGGCTCACACCTGTAATCCCAGCACTTTGGGAGGCTGAGGCAGGCGGATCACTTGAGGCCATGAGTTCGAGACCAGCCTGGCCAACATGGCAAAAACCCATCTCTACTAAAAGTACAAAAATAAGCCGGGCATGGTGGCAAGCACCTGTAATCCCAGATACTGGGGAGGCTGAGGCAGGAGAATCGCTTGAACCCAGGAGGCAGAGGTTGCGGTGAGCAGAGATCACACCACTGCACTCCAGCCTGGGCGACAGAGCAAGACTCCATCTCAAACAAACAAACAAACAAACAACAACAACAAAAAAAATAGTGCACGCATGCATACGATATTGTGAATAGAATTTTAAGGAGTTTGTGAACTTTGGGGATGCATGAGCCCATATGGTTTGTAAAAGTTCCACTTCTAGATCTCTGGTCCTATTAGTTTCTCAGGGGCTTGAAGCCCTCAAACAGAATTGCTACTCTCTGAGGAGGTTGACAATGTCCACTTAAGGACAGCCTCTCTGGAGAGGAAGAAAGGACACAGGGTAAAATTTCTTCTCATCAGAGAAGTAACGTTAGCGTTAGCCTCAAAGATGCGTAAAGAGTTGCCTTGTGTCAAGAAACAGACGTTTCTTTTTTGAAAATATCCGAGAAAGACAAATAACAGAGATGGGTAATTTACATAATTTCAAGACAGAGATTGTCTCCAAATTGCCTAATTTGAGGAATCTGAATGAGATGAAAGACAAGACACTCTTTGGAAGGATTTCCTAAAGCAATTCTTCTTAAACTCTATTTTTGGCTGATCTCAGATGGTCTCTGAAAGTTTCCAGAGGCAAGGCAAAACATTTAAGAGCTTCCAAAAACTCATACCAAACTGCTTCTAGAAGAAAACTCAAACAAATTGATTCATGTTCTTTCAAGACACACCTTTAAAGGGATTTTCTTTTGGTGGGTATTGCTTATTTACTTAACTAATATTTACTTAATGCATACTGGAAAAGAGTATTTTAGAGTTGGCAGGAACTTCAGGCATCTTGTTCTGATTCCTTTATTCTCAGACAAGCAACATGAAAGCTAGAGAGGAAAACTGTCCCTCATTCTTTCAACAAGTTTATCAATCACTTCCTATGTGTTAGGAACTGGGCTTTGTATAAGAAATAAAAGAGGGCCGGGCGCAGTGGCCCACGCCTGTAATCCCAGCACTTTGGGAGGCCGAGGCAGGCGGATCACAAGGTCAGGAGTTGGAGACCAGCCTGACCAACACGGTGAAACCCCGTCTCTACTAAAAATACAAACATTAGCCGGGCGTGGTGGTGCATGCCTGTAATCCCAGCTACTCAGGAGACTGAGGCAGGAGAATCCCTTGAACCCGGGAGACGGAGGTTGCAGTGAGCCGAGATTGCGCCACTGCACTCCAGCCTGGGCAACAGAGTGAGACTGTCTCAAAAAAAAAAAAAAAAAAAAGGAAAAGAAATAAAAGATGAAAATACATTGAGGATAATCTCATGAGGTAAGGAGATATGTAGGGGAAACCACAATTCCTTTTTTTTTTTTTTTTTTGAGATGGGGGTCTCATTCTGTCACCAAGGCTGGAGAGCAGTGGCAAGATCTTGGCTCACTGCATCCTCTGCCTCTTGGGCTCAAGCGATCCTCCCACTTCAGCCTTCTGAGTAGCTGGGACCAAGTGCACCACCACGCCTGGCTAATTTTTTGTATTTTTGGTAGAGATGGCGTTCTGCCATGTTGCCCAGGCTGGTCTCGAACTCCTGGGCTCAAGTGATCTGCCCGTCCCAACCTCCCAAAGTGCTGGGATCACAAGCATGAGCCACGCACCTGGCCAAAAGCCACGATTCGAAAAAGATAATTGTTTTAATGGAGGCTGTTTAAAAAGCAGTGGAAGCTTAGCAGAGAAACCAGCGAAACCTGTGAGGGTATCTGAAGATGACTTCACGGAGGCGGTAGCAGCTGAGCTGTGGCTTGATGGATGAGGAGGGGTTTGCTGGGTGGACCAGCGTGTTTGCTCCAGGCTATGTTGAAATAGTATGCAGGTTGGTCAGGGCAGTATGGTGCCAGTCAAGGGATGAGTGGGGTCTGGAATCTAGCCTCACGAGGGGGATGTGGCACCTTTTCCTAATTTCCACAAAGGCACAATATGGGCTACCAGTCTTGAGAAGTGGGTGAGGGCATGCAAATGTAAAAAAGTAAGGTGTGTTCTGGGATCTACTAGTTCTTGAGAAGCACAAGTTCAGAACTGCTGAAGAACAGAGTGAGAGGTGATGAGTTTGCCCAGGTAATGGGGCCAGGTCATGAGAGGCTTTTCTATGACCGTGTGTAGTGGGCAGGTTGGGAATGGAACCTGGATGCCTTCCTTCCTGGCCGTTACTCTTCCTGTAGCACCAACTGCCCCTGGCCTGGACGCTGAGCTCTGTGCTGGGTGCTGGGCAGGATGCGGGGATGAATATGCATAGGCCTTGCCCTCAGGGGTTTATAACTAGGGGTTTATAATATGCAAGACCCATGGATTAATAGTGATAATAAAGTAGAATGTGATAAGTAGCCAAATAGAGGGACAAGGAGGAGTACTGGGCACACGCACAGTACCCGGAAGTGGTGGGCTCAAGGCCACACGCCATAAGCCAGGAATTCAAGGTCAGGTCTGTCTAGCCTCAAAGCCAACGTTCTCATAGGTTTCAAAGGCTTTAAAAGTGCTCACACTCTTTGACTTAGCATTTCCACTTCTAGGAGTCTATCCTAAGGAAATAAAATGTGTGCAAAGATTTAGTTACAAGGATGGTCTGTGAATTATTTTTCTTTTTTTTTTTTTTGAGACAGTCTCACTTTGTTACCCAGGCTTGAGTGCAGTAGCGTGATCTCAGCTCACTGCAAATTCTGCCTCCCAGGCTCAAGGGATCCTCCTGCCTCAGCTCCTTACAGGGATCCTAAGGGATCCCTGCCTTACAGGTGTCTGCCACTATGCCCAGCTAATTTTTTGTATTTTTAGTAGAGATGGGGTTTCACCATGTTGGCCAGGCTGGTCTTGAACTCCTGACCTCCAGTGATCTGCCTGCCTTGGCCTCCCAAAGTGCTGGGGTTATAGGCTTGAGCCACCACGCCCAGCCGTGGCTTATTTTTATCTAACTTCTTTTGCCCAACATAATGTTTTGAGATTCAGCCATGTCATTGTGTGTACCTGTGTGTTACTACAGCGGAATATAGTAGGTCACTATTGTATGAATAGACCACAATTAATTTATCCAGTCACCTGTTGATGGACATTTGGGTTGTTTCCAGTTTTTGACTATTATAAATAAAATCTGCTGTGAACATTCTTATACAAGTATTTTGGATATTTGTTTTTCTGTCTCTTGGATAAATACCTAGGAGTAGAATAGCTTGGTCATAGAGTAAGTGTATATTTAGCTTTATAAGCAATCCTAAAGAGTTTTCCAAAGTAGCTGTAACATTTTAAACTTGCTGCGGTGTTATGATGTATATTGGATATCATCCACGGTTCCTGGCTCATAACCCCAAAAGCCCCTGTTACAGTCTTTTGTTATAATGTTGGGTGCGTTGGGCCTCAGGGGCAGGCCTCTGACCTCCTGCCCTCTTTTTACCTGTTCCAAGGCAGGACTCTAATGTTCCCCCTCCTTTCTGATTGTGGGTCTAAATACCTTCCAGTGAGAGGGTCCCACCCTATACCCTGGGAGAAGGAATGCTGATGTCTTGAAGCGTCCATAAAAACCCAAGATGACTGGGTGCAGAGAGCTTCTGGGTAGCTGAGCATGTGGAGGCTCCTGGAGGGTGATGCCCCCGGGGAGGGCATGGAAGCTCCATGCCCGTTTTCCCATACTTCACCCTGTGCATCTCTTCACCTGTATCCTCTGCAATATCCTTTATAATAAACCTATAAACATAAGTAAGTTCCCTGAGTTCTGTGAGCTGCTTCAGCAAATTAGTCGAACCCAAAGAGGGGGTCATGGGAACCCCAACTTGAAGCCAGTTGATCAGAAGTTCCAGAGGCTTGGGCTTGTGACTGGTGTGACAGGGGGCAGTCTTGCGGACTAAGCCCTCAAGCTGTGGGAGACAGCGTCGGGAAGACAGTGTGGGAACTGAATTAGAGGACAGCCAGCTGGTGTCTGCCACTTGGTGTGTAGGGAACCCCCTGCAACACATTTGGCTATAGAAGTCTTCTTCTATGTTGAATGTTGCAGTGTGAGAGTAGAGGAAAAACACAGTTAGAGGGAGTTTCCCCCACACACTTGCACCAGCAATTTATGAGAGTTCCAGTTGCTCCATATCTTTGCTCATATTTGGTATTGTCAACAACTGGACCTCTGTCATTGTAAAGGAGGATGTTGAGTTTTTTGGTGAAGATGGGTTCCATGTCATCTGTTGACAGCAAGAGCATGATGAGGTAGCATCTGGAAATTTGCATAGAGGAGGTGTGAGCACTCATTGCATGGAGGGAAGGAGCAGGTTGGTCACTGGGATGTAGCAGGATCGCCAGGCAGTGTTAAGGCCCTGGTGGGACCGTAAACTTGAAGTCACAACATGTGAGACTGTCCGTGGTACTCAGAGATTCACTGCAAATGTGAAGAAGGAAATAGTTCAGTTCATCCAGAAGCGGGATGTTTCCATAAAGGTGTGATTAAAGTTCAGAAAAGCAAGGGACTTTATAGTATCAACAAAAGTGACAAAAACAGTGGACTATAGGATGTAAGATGGACAGAAAGGGAAGTGAAAATGGAAGGAGCTGATGCCTGCAAACCAAGCAGAGGAGGCAGAGGACTGGCAGTCCTGAGCGAGGGGCTGAGGCATAGTGGGAATGGTTGAGCAAGAATTGAAGGTTGTGGTCAAAGAGTTTCCACATCTGAAAAGTGGAGGAAATGGCGAGTTGTAATGAGGATTAAAAGTGATAGAACTTGTGCTTCATATGCTGTTACACATTGTATCAATGTTTGTTTGTTTCAATAGTCTACAAGCTTCTTGAAGGTAGGAATCATGTCGCAGACATTCCTGTCCCTAGCATGGCACCTGATGCCAGCAGGTGCTTAGTGAACCTATGAGTGAATCTCTTAGAAGGATGAAGGAAAGAACTGATTTCCCTATAAGACTTTAGTGCTGTGAGAATTTTCTGGACTCTCTCGTTTTAATTTTCTGGACTCTCTAATTTTATTTTTATTTTTATTTTTTATGTTTTTGAGACAGAGTCTCTCTGTGCTGTCCAGGCTGGAGTGCAGTGGCACGATCTTGGCTCAGCACAACCTCTGCCTCCCAGGTTCAAGTGATTCTCCCCTCTCAGCCTCCCAAGTAGCTGGAATTACAGGTGTGCACCACCACACCCAGCTAATTTTTTGTATTTTTAGTAAAGACGGGGTTTCGCCATGTTGCCCAGGCTGGTCTTGAATGCCTGAGCTCAGGCAGTCTGCCTGCCTTGGCCTCCCAAAGTGCTATGATTACAGGTGTGAACCACCATGCCTGGCCAATTTTTTTTTTTTTTTTAATTTTTAGTAGAGACAGGGTTTCACCATGTTGGCCAGGCTGGTCTTTAACTCCTGACCTCAAATGATTCACTCGCCTCGACCTCCCAAAGTGCTGGGATTACAGGAGTGAGCCACTGCACCCGGCCTTTCTTGATCTTAATTGATCTAACAGGCAATAGTTTGTTCAAAATAATAATAGCATCGTGTATTTGGTCATATATATATATGTTACACATAAGTAAAATGAATGATGGTAGTAATACAAAGGATGGGGGAAGTAATTAGGATTATTTTGTTATTATAAGGTACTTGCACTACATGTGAAGTAGTATGGTGTTATTTGAAAGCAGACTTGGATTAGTTTTAACTGTATATTGTAAACTCCAGAGCAATCACTAAAATAAAAGAAATGGAAAAAAAACAAGTATAGCTGATATGCTAAGAGCAAGGAGAGAAAATGGAATAATACAAATGCTCACTTAAAATTACAAAAGCCAGAAAAAGAGCGGAAGATAAAAGTAGGAACAAACAAGAGCAACAATGAGAAAACAGTAACAAATATGATAGGTATGAATCCAACTATGTCAATAATCACCTCGAATGTCAGTGGGGTCTGAATGCATCAATTAAAAGACAGAGACTGTCAGAATGAATTTTTAAAAAGCCCCAACTATATGTTGTCTACAATAAACCCATTTTAAATATAAAGGCACATACAGACCAAAAGTGAGTGGATGGAGAAAGATATAGTTAGCATTAATTAAAACATAGTGGGGCTGGGTGCAGTGGCTCACATCTGTAATCCCAACACTTTGGGAGGCTGAGGCGGGTGGATCATGAGGTCAGGAGTTCGAGACCAGCCTGCCCAACATGGTGAAACCCCATCTCTGCTAAAAATACAAAAATTAGCCAGGGCTGGTGGCGTGTGCCTGTAATCCCAGCTTCTTGGGAGGCTGAGGCAGGAGAATTACTTGAATCCGGGAGGCAGAGGTTGCAGTGAGCTGAGATTGCGCCATTGCACTCCAGCTCTGGGAGACAGAGCAAGACTCCATCTTGAAAAAAAAAAAAAAGGAAAAAAAAACAACAGTGGGCGTAGCTATATTAATTTCAGATGGAGCAAATTTCAGAGTAAGCAAAATTATCAGGCAGAAAGAGGGGCATTAGTTTCAGATGGAGCAAACTTCAGAGTAAGCAAAATTATCAGGCAGAAAGAGGGGCATTACATAATGATAAGGGGGTCAATTCTGCAAGAAGACATAATCCTTGCTGTGTTGCACCTAATAACAGAGCATCAAAAATACATGAGGCAAAAATTGTTACAATTGCAAGGAGAAATGATGAATCCACTATTAGAGATGGAGACTTCAACATCCTTCTTCCAGAAATGGACAGATCCAGCAGGCAGAAAATCATTAAGGATGTAGTTGAAATCAGCAACACCATAAATAACTGGATATAATGAACATCTGTAGACTGCTTCACTCAGCAATGCATTCTTCTTACAGTCACATGGAACATTCACCAAGATAGACCACACTGTGGACCATAAAGCACACCTTAACAAATTTAAAAGAGTAGAAATTATGCAATGCCTGCTCTCAAACTACAATGAATTAAAGTAGAAATCAATAACAGAAAGATAGCTGAAAAATCTCAAAATACTTAGAAATTAAACAATGTGATTCAAACAACCCGTGGGTCAAAGAAGAAATCGCAAGAGAAATTTTAAAATATTTTGAACTAATGAAAATGAAAACACAACTTATCAAAATTTGTGGGATACAGCGAAAGTAGTGCTTAGAGGGAAATTTATAGCATTGCATGCATTATAGTAGGAAAGAAGAAAGATTTATTATACAATCAACTACCTTAGAAACTAGAAAAAAAAGAGTAAACTAAATCCAAAGCAAGCAGAAGAGAAGAAATATAACGATTAGAACAGAAAGCAATAAAATTGAGAACAGGAAATGAGTAGAGAAAATCAACAAAACCAACAACTGGTTCTTTGAAAAGCTTAATAAAATTGGTAAGCCTCTAGTGAGACTAACCAAGAAAAAAATCAAGACAGAAATTACTAATGTCAGAAGTGAAAGAGGGGACATCACCACAGAGCCCATAGAAATTAAAAGGAGAGGACCGGGCACGGTGGCTCATGCCTGTAATCCCAGCACTTTGGGAGGCCGAGGCTGGTCGATCACTTGAAGTCAGGAGTTGAGACCAGCCTGGCTAACATGCTGAAACCCCATTTCTACTAAAAATACAAAAAATTAGCCGGGCATCTTGGTGCGCACCTGTAATCTCAGCTACTCGGGAGGCTGAGGCAGGAGAATCCCTTGAACCTGGGAGGCGGAGGTTGCAGTGAGACGAAATCACACCATTGCACTCCAGCTTGGGCAACAAAAGCGAAACTCCATCTCAAAAAAAAGGAGAATAAAGACCAACTTTGTGTCCACAGATTTGATAACCTAGATGAAATGGATCAATTCCTTTAGGATACAATCTGCCAAAACTCACACAAGAAGAAATTGACAATCTGAATAGGCCTATATCTATAAAGAAATTCAATAAATAATAACCTTCCAAGACAAAAAGCATCATGCCCAGATGGGTTCACTGGTAATTCTATCAAACATTTAGTGAATAAATTATACCAATTTTCTACAGTCTCTTCCAGAAGACAGACACAGAGGAAATATCCTAAATCATTCTATGGGTCCAGCATTACCCTACTACAAAAACCAGACAAAGACATTACAAGGAAATACAACTACAGACTAATACATATATATTTTTGAAGCAGAGTCTTGCCTCTGTCGCTCAGGCTGGAGTGCAGTGGCACGATCTCCACTCACTGCAACCTCCGCCTCCCTGGTTCAAGCGATTCTCCTACTTTGGCCTCCTGAGTAACTGGGATTACAGGCACCCACCACCACGCCTGGCTAATTTTTGTGTTTGTAGTAGAGACGGGGTTTCATCACATTGGCCAGGCTTGTCTTGAACTCCTGACCTCAGGGGATCCCCCTGCCTCAGCCTCCCAAA
Organism: Homo sapiens; assembly: GCF_000001405.40. Classification (NCBI taxonomy): domain Eukaryota; kingdom Metazoa; phylum Chordata; class Mammalia; order Primates; family Hominidae; genus Homo; species Homo sapiens. The sequence goes on along the minus strand of NC_000012.12, from coordinate 6,413,057 downwards.
GTGCTGGGATTACAGGGCTTGGTCCACCACGCTCAGCCCCAGTAGACAATTATGGCAAGTTTTCAGGATACAAGGTTAATACACAAAGGTCAATTGCTTTCCTAGATATCATCAATGAACAAATAGACTTTGAAATTAAATACACAATACCAAGTATATTAGAAGCCTCCCCCAAAAGAAACACTTAGGTATAACAAAATATGTACAAGATCCACATGGGGGATGGGTACAGTGGTTGACTCCTGTAATCCCAGCACTTTGGGTGGCCAAGGTGGATGGATCACCTGAGGTTAGGAGTTCTAGACCAGCCTGACCAATATGGTGAAACTCCACCTATACTAAAAATACAAAAAATAGCCGGGCGTGGTGGCAGGCGCCTGTAATCCCAGCTACTCGGGAGGCTGAGACAGGAGAATTGCTTGAACCCAGGAGGCTGAGCTTGTAGTGAGCAGAGATCGTGCCACCACACTCCAGCCTGGGAGACAGAGTGAGACTCCATCTCAAAAAAAAAAAAAAAATCATCTATATGAGGAAAACTACAAAATTCTGATGAAAGAAATCAAAGAAAATAAATGGAAGGATATTCCATGTTCCTGGAGAAGAAGACTCAATATTGTCAAGATGTCAGTTCTTTCCAACTTGATCTATAGATTCAATGCAATCCCAGTAAAACTCTTAGCAAGCTATTTTATGGATATTGCCAAACTGATTATAGAGTTTATATGGAGAAGCAAAAGATCCAGAATAGCCAACACAATATTGAAGAAGTTCAAGACTAGCCTGGCCAACATATAGTGAAACCCAGTCTCTACTAAAAATACAAAATTAGCCAGGCGTGGTGGTGCACGCCTGTAATCCCAGCTACTTGGGAGGCTGAGGCAGGTGAATCACTTGAACCTGGGAGGCGGAGATTGCCGTGAGCCGAGATCGAGGCATTGCACTCCAGCATGGGCAACAGAGCGAGACTCCATCTTAAAAAAAAAAAAAACATATCTGAACATTTCCTTTCCCTGCTTAAAGTCCTTTAGTGGACTTCTGGTCCAAACTGAAACGATGGCAAGAGTGTTGCTCCCAGCTATGCAACAAGAAAAGAGCTGGAAAAGCTGCACATGAATGACTTTTCTGGATCTCCTAAGAGAATTGAGGTCACAGGGCAGACAACCTGAAACCGAGAGAGAGACAGGTACCTACAGGGGGAAACAGTACCTGAGCATTCCTTACTTAAGTAAGAAAATTAAGCTGGACATTTTTAACAATTAATAGTGGCCTACTGTTGGTGATTAAGAGAGTATGAAGTCCCTGGAAGCTGCAGACAAAGGGAGTCTTGCGCTTTCTTTCAGGCTTTTCTTTCAGGACCCCCATCAATCACCCACAGGAAGATAGGTGAAATGGGAGAATTCTGACACCCTCTGCTCCATGGTGCTTGCTGGGGGTGGGGAACGGAACAGCAGCTATGGCCAAGACTCCATTCCTTTAGGACAAGACTTCATCTGCAAGGGGAAGGTCATAAAAACTTACAGGCAGGCCGGATGCTGTGGCTCATGCCTATAATCCCAGCACTTTGGGAGGCTGAGGTGGGTGGGTCACTTGAAGTCAGGAGTTTGAGACCAGCCTGGCCAACGTGGCGAAACCCCATCTCTACTAAAAATACAAAAATTAGCCAGGTGGTGGGCACCTGTAATCCCAGCTACTTAGGAGGCTGAGGCAGGAGAATCGCTTCAACCCATCACGCAGAGGTTGTAGTGAGCCAACATCGCACCACTGCACTTCAGCCTGGGGGACAGAGTGAGACTCTGTCTCAAAAAAACAGAAAACACAAAACTTATGGGCAGAGGGCATTGGTGGAAACCCACTGAAATTAGGGGAAGGGAACAGGGGAAAAAAGAAGAAGTTCTTCCTTTTAGTGAGGACCGGAATAATTGCCAGGCCAACCATTATACCTGGAGGAAGGGCAATTATGAAGGCCACACTCCCAAGATCCAGGTTCATAGTGCCTACCTAAGGCTGAGCCTCAATCATAACACAAGGGAACACATAACCTCCTTCATAGCCTACCACCACATGACAGGCCTCCAGTGAAAAATAATACAAGAATGTATCTGGGAGAACTTGCAAGAGACAGACTTTATTTAGGGAACAGTGCAAAAGGAAGATACAAATCCAAGAGACAAAAACAAGGCACCACTAGAGGAATTTTAAGCCCCTGATGCACTGAGGATAATAATATATGTTGGTGCAAAAGCAAACTTCAAACCCAGCCCTCCTGACTACATTAATGGAAATCTCTATACTAGAGAAGTAGCAGAAAGAAATGAATGCTTATCTTCAAGAATACAAAATATTTATGTCAGTATCTGTTGTGTTATACAGCATATCCAGCTTTCAATGAAAACCACAAGGTATACAAAAAGGAAAGAAAAAACACAATCTGGACTGGGCATGGTGGCTCACACCTGTAGTCTCAGTACTTAGGGAGGCCAAGGCAGGCGGATGACGAGGTCAGGAGTTCAAGATCAGCCTGGCCAGTATGGTGAAACCCCTCTCTACAAATACAAAAATTAGCTAGGCATGGTAGCGCATGCCTGTCAACCCAGCTACTGGGGAGGCTGAGGCAGGAGAATTGCTTGAACCCAGGAAGCAGAGGTTGCAATGAACAGAGATCATGCCACTGCACTCCAACCTGGGTGACAGAGCAATACTCCGTTTCAAAAAAAAGAAAAAGACACAATCTAAAAAGACAAAAAAAAAAAATCAGAACCAGACTCAGATATGACATCAGACATGGAATTTAAAGTAACATGATTATGTTAAAGGATTTAATGGAAAAGGTAGACAACATGCCAAAAGAAGATGGATAAATTCAGCAGAGGAAACCATAAGAATAAAATGGAAATGCTTGAAATAAAATCGTGGTGACAGAAATGAAGAACACCTTTGACTGGTTCATCAGTAGACTCAGTATAGCTGAGAAAAGAATCAGTGACCTTGGGTGTAGAGGTCAATAGAAATTTCCCAAACTCCCTTTCCAACTTGGACATGGCAGAATGGCTCCCACAAAGAAGGGTGGCGAGAAGAAAAAGGGCCGTTCTGCCATCAACGAAGTGGTGACCCGAGAATACACCATCAACATTCACAAGCGCATTTGTGGAGTAGGCTTCAAGAAGCGTGCCCCTCGGGCACTCAAAGAGATTCGGAAATTTGCCATGAAGGAGATGGAAACTCCAGATGTGCGCATTGATACCAGGCTCAACAAAGCTGTCTGGGCCAAAGGAATAAGGAATGTCCGACACCGAATCCATGTGCGGCTGTCCAGAAAACGTAATGAGGATGAAGATTCACAAATAAGCTCTATACTTTGGTTACCTATGTATTTGCTACCACTTTCAAAAATCTACAGACAGTCAATGTGGATGAGAACTAATCGCTGATAGTCAAATACATCAAATAAAGTTATAAAATTGCAAAAAAATAAAGAGGAATTACCCAAACTGAAGTGCAAAAAAAGAGTGGGTAAAAAACAAAACAGAACAACAACAAAAAAGAAAGAAAGAAGACACCATCCAAGAATACCAAATGAGTTAACATGCCCATAATTGGAATTCCAGAAGGAGAAGAAAGACTTGGACAGGATTTGTCTAATCAGACTTAGTTAAACAAACAAACAAACGAACAAAAAGAATAAGACAGGAGAAACATTTGAAGAGATAATGGCTTAGAATTATCCAAAATTAGTAACAGACAGAAAAGCACAGATCAAGGAAGCTCAGAGAACACCAAGCAGGATAAATACCAAAACAACACAGCCCCTCACCAAACCCATGCATCTAGGCATATCATATTAAAACTGCTGAAAACCAAAGAGAAAGAAAATCTGGAAGTCAGCCAAGGGGGAAAAAACATAATATCTTACCGAGGAGCGAGGATAAGAATTACAGCAGACTGCTAGTCAGAAACAATAAAAGCAAAATGAAATGGAGTAATATCTTTTTTTTTTTTTTTTTTGAGATGGAGTCTCGCTCCATCACTCAGGCTGGAGTGCAGTGGCATGATCTTGGCTCACTGCAACCTCCGCCTCCCGGGTTCAAGTGATTCTCCTGCCTCAGCTAGGTGCCTGCCATCATACCCAGCTAATTTTTGTATTTTTAGTAGAGACGGGTTTTCGCCATGTTGGCCAGGCTAGTCTCAAACTCCTGACTTCAGGTGATCCACCAACCTTGGCCTCCCAAAGTGCTAGGATTACAGGCGTGAGCCACTGTGCCTGGCCCAAATTAAGAGTTTTCTATTTTTATTTTTATTTTTTTAGAGACGGGGTCTCACTACGTTTCCCAGGATGGTCTGAAACTCCTGGACTCCAGTGATCCTCCCACCTCAGCCTCCCAAAATGCTGGGATTACAAGCATTAGCAACTACACCAGGCCAAAATTAAAAGTTTATCAGACAAACAGAAACTGAGGAAGTTGATTGCCAGCAGACCTACTTTATAATAAATGTCAAAGCAAGTTCTCTAAGAAGAAGAGGCTGGGTGTGGTGGCTCACGCCTGTAATCCCAGCACTTTGGGGGGCCAAGGCGGGTGATCACTTGAGGTCAGGAGTTTGAGACCAGCCTGGCCAACATGGTGAAACCCTGTCTCTACTAAAAACACAAAAATTATCTGGGCGTGGTGGTGGGCGCCTGTAGTCCCAGCTACTCAAGTGGCTGAGGCAGGAGAATTGCTTGAACCCGGGAGGCGGAGGTCGCAGGGAGCCGAGATTGTGTCAGCCTGGGTTGAACAGAGTGAAACTTCGTCTCAAAAAAGAAAGAAGAAGAAGAAATATAATCAAAATCTTGGATCTATACAAAGAAACAACGTACTGTAGTTTATAGAATACCATTTACAATAGCAGCCCCCATGAAGTTTTTAGGTATAAATATAACAAAATACGTGGGAGATATGTGTGCTAAAAACTACAAAATACTGACGAAAGAAATCAACATGGGGCCGGGCATGGTGGCTCCTGCCTGTAATCCCAGCACTTTGGGAGGCCGAGGCGGGCGGATCACTTGCGGTCAGGAGTTCAAGACCAGTCTGGCCAACATGGTGAAACCCCGTCTCTACTAAAAATACAAAAATTAGCCCAGTGTGTTGGCACACGCCTGTAATCCCAGCTACTTGGGAGGCTGAAGCAAGAGAATTGCTTGACCCCAGGAGGCGGAGGAGGCGGTGAGCCAAGACTGCACCACTGCACTCCAGCCTGGGCGATGGAGATTCCGTCTCAAGAAATAAATAAATAAATAAATAAATAAATAAATAAATAAAAGAGAAAGAAAGAAAAGAAAAACTGAATGCTACAAGTTCAGCCCATTACTAACCAGTTCCAGACAAATTGGCTTTTTTCTTTTTTCTTCTTATTTTCCTCTGGCTTTTCCCCTCATTTTAAAAATGGAGAGGTAATCGTGCCTCTCATGAGCGAATAGTTTTAGTATGCTTAGAACACTGTCCTGTACATAGTAAGCATTCAACATATGTTGGCTAATACTACTGAAGCCAATTGTAACAGTAGTATTAGAAGCCGTAATAATATTACCCCAGTCAAATATGTCCATAATTGGCAATAGGGAAAGAATTGCTGCCACTCAGCAGTATTTGGAGTATTGAATGTCATTGTTTACTTTTTCTGGAAGGAGCGTGACCTAAGACACTGATCTAAACTGAATGTGCATGGCTAATGGTGTGGATAGACAGAGATTTTAAGTGGGCAAAAGTGAAGGTTGTGTTGACAAGAAGTTTCAGGAAACAGTGATGTGGATGAATTTCCCAGAACGGTCCCAGAATATGAGAATAATGTCCCACGTGAATGCTAATCGAAATTCCCACTCTTCAGAGGAGGCTATCAGCAATCAGGTACACATCAACCATATGGCTGTCATGTAGTCTCTTCGTATCACCCCACTTACTGCCCAAGTGATTTATTTGTAAACAATGTGGCCAGCGTGGTGGCTCACGCCTATAATGCCAGCACTTTGGGAGGCCGAGGTGGGTGGATCATCTGAGGTCAGGAGTTTGAGACCAGCCTGGCCAACATGGTGAAACCCCATCTCTACTAAGAATACAAATATTAGCCGGGCCTGGTGGCGGGTGACTGCAATCCCAGCTACTCGGGAGGCTGAGGCAGGAGAATCACTTGAACCTGGGAGGTGGAGGTTGTAGTGAGCTGAGATCACGCCATTGCACTCCAGCCTGGGTGACGGAGTGAGACTCTATCTCAAAAAAAAAAAAAAAAAATGTGACTAGGGTGGCAGGCAGTGGTAGAGGTTATACTTGAGCTCTATAGTATAGACTTAGCTCACCAAGGCTGACCTCTGGATGCTGATGCTGCTAAGTGTCCCATATGTCAGGGGAAGTATTCTTGTATTCTTGCAAGTATTTTGTCATGGATGGGGCAGGGATTTGTCTTCACTGAGATAAACACTTACTCTAGATTTGGATATGCTTCACTTACATGCTATTGCTAGCAGGACCATCAATGAACTTACTGAACACTTCATACCTCATATCTCACAACGTCTTTTTGGACCCATTTCTATAAGTTATACAAAAAGGGTAAGGTAATGCATGGATGACCATGGGACTCAGTAGTTCTAATGTGTACCACATTCCTTATAAGTAGAAATCTCAATTTTTGGAAGCCTCAGTTAAAGTGGCATGTAGTCATTTTGCACCCTCTTGGAGTACTGTTCAATTTTCGACATTGTATATGTGCTTAATAGTGACTAAGAATAGGCATAATTTCTTCTGTAGCCAAAATGCATTGGTTAAAGAAAGGAGAGGTAGGAGTGGAGTGGTGCCTCTCCTATTACACTTAACAGCCAACTCGAGAAAGTTATGCTTTTCATGTTTGCAACTCAGGGCTCTCTGCTGCCTTGAGTTGTTTTAGAACTCCTTGTTTTAGAAAAGGAGGAGTACATGCTGCCACCAGTCGTCACGGAGATGCCTCTGTTTATCGATTTACTAAAAAGGATTTATTTTTGTATGACGTTTAAAGCAGTTTAAATTACATTCATTTGCTGACTTAGAGAACTGTGGGAAGTCTTGACTTATGGGAGTTGGGCTTTTGGACTTCTCCTCTGTTTGCCAGTTTTCTTTTTGTTTCTGTCTCCCCTTTTCTTTCCCCCGTCTGTCTTGGGCTATCTCTTTTTAGGCGCATAGGCAAGGAGCTGTGACCGACAATTTGAATGTTTTTAAAAATACTCTCATAAAAAACACACCTTTGGCCGGGCGCGGTGGCTCACGCCTGTAATCCCAGCACTTTGGCAGGCTGAGGCAGGCGGATCACAGGAGGTCAGGAGTTTGAGACCAGCCTGGCCAACATGGTGAAACCCGGTCTTTACTAAAAATACAAAAATTAGCAGGGCGTGGTGGAGCGCGCCTGTAGTCCCAGCTACTCGGGAGGCTGGGGCAGGAGAATTGCTTGAATCTGGGAGGTGGAGGATGCAGTGAGCCGAGATTGCGCCATTGCACTCCAGCCTGGGAGACAGAGTGAGACTCTGTCTCAAAAAAAAAGAAAACAAAACATTTTTTTCTGCAATACTTTTCAAAGAATGGTTTAAAAGCAATGACAATCCATGATCAGTGAGAATTTTCACTCAGATTATGGTCTCTCAATTCCTTTTTCAAAGAGCAGACAGGCTACTTGGAGACTTGGGTAAATTTATGGATTATAATAGATTTAAGAGGAACAGCCATCAGATGCCATATTTGGAGCTGGTGGGACCTCATTCAGACAAAATCAGTATAAAAAATATTTCAGACAATTCAGGATTTCCTTTCTTTAAGGGCTAGGTATTGGATAATGTTATAAGTCATTTTTAAAATTTTCTTAGGTGTGAAATCTTAGTGTATTTTCTCTATATTCATATCTGTTAGGATGTTTGTGAAAATATTCATGATTAAAATCACATTTTTGAGATTTCATGTTTGGGATATTTTTTAGACTCCCTCATCCACCATTGTGGGTGCAGATAATGAAACAAAATGGCAAGTTGTTGGTAATTTTTGAAGCACGTGTGACGAGCCCTGGGAAGTGCAGTATTCTCTATATTTTTGTGTCTACTTCAGTATGTCCATGACCACTCCCTTTCCCCTCCAAAAAAAAGTTAAAATTTAAAAAAAGCTGGCTAAATTAAAAAAAAGAAAAGAAAAAGGAAATCAACAAAGATATAAATAAATGATTAGGTGTAGGCTGGGTGGGGGCTGGGTGTGGGCTGGGTGTGGGCTGGGTGCACCTGTAATCCCAGTGCTTTGGGAGGTTGAGGCAGGGGGATCACTTGAGGCCAGAAGTTCGAGACCAGCTTGGACGACACAGAAAGACGCAGTCTCTACACAAAATAAAAAATTACTCAGGCATGGTGGCATGTGCCTGTACTCTCGGCTACTTAGGAGACTGAGGTGGGAAGATCACTTGAGCACAGGAGTTCAAGGTTGCAGTGAGCTATGATTGCACCACTGCACTCTAGCCTGCACTCTAGTCTGGGTGACAGAGTGATACCTCGCCTCAAAAAAAAAAAAAAAAAGGTATAAATAAATAGAAAGATATACTGTATTCATAGATTAGAAAATTCAATATTGTAAATATGTTAATTCTCCCCAGTTTGATCTATAGATTCAATGCATTATCAATCAAAATCATAGGAAGCTTTTTTTTGATAGAAATTGACAAACTGATTCTAAAATTTATATGAAAAGGGAAAGAAATGAAAAGGAACTAAAAAAATAGTAGGAGAAATTACTCTACCACTTATTAGACTTATTAGAAAGCAATTAGTGTGGTATTAGCGAAAGAGTAGACAACTTAGGTGAATAGAGCCAATAGAGAGACCAGAAATAAACCCACACAAATAATGTCAACTGATTTTTGACAAAGATGCAAAGGCAATCCAGTGGTGAAAGAACAGTCTTTTCAACAAACAGTGCTGGAAAAATTAGACATTCATATGTAAAAACAAAACCAAAAAACCTCAACACGTACCTCACACTTACACCAAAAAATGGCTCATAAACTTAAATGTAGAAAGTAAGACATCTAGAAAAAAGCACAGGAGACCCTGTGTGTGTGTAACCTTAGGTTTGGTGATAAGTTTTCTGGTACTGGAAACACAATTCATAAAGAAAAAAATGATGAATTGTACCTTATCACAAATAAAAACTTTTGTTCTGTGAAAGATAGGTTGAGAAAATGAATAGACAATCCACAGCCTGGGAGAAAATATTTGCAAATAATGTATCTGATAAAGGACTTCTATCCAGAATAAATAATTCTTCTTTTTCTTTCTTTCTTTCTTTCTTTTTTTTTTTTTTTGAGACAGAATCTCACTCTGTCACCCAAGCTGGAGTGCAGTGGCGTGATCTTGGCTTACGGCAACCTCTGCCTCCCGTGTTCAAGCGATTCTCCTGCCTCAGCCTCCTGAGTAGCTGGGATTATTACAGGCACGTGCCACCACACCTGGCTAATTTTTGTATTTTGCGTTTTTTTTTTTTTTTTTGAGATGGAGTTTTGCTCTTGTTGCCAAGGCTGGATTGCAATGGCACGATCTCGGCTCACCACAACATGTGCCTCCCCGGTTAAAGTGATTCTCCTGCCTCAGCCTCCCGAGTAGCTGGGATTACAAGCATGCTCCACCATGCCCGGTTAATTTTGTATTTTTAGTAGAGACGGGCTTTCTCCATGTTGGTCAGGCTGGTCTTGAACTCCTGACCTCAGATGATCCGCCCACCTCGGCCTCCCAAAGTGCTGGGATTACAGGCGTGAGCCACCATGCCCGGCCTAATGTTTGTATTTTTAGTAGAGATGGGGTTTCGCCATGTTGGTCACACTGGTCTCGAACTCCTGACCTCAAGCGATTCAGCCGCCTAGGGCTTCCAAAGTGCTGAGATTATAGGCGTGAGCCACTGCACACTGCCGAATGATCCAATTTAATAACAAGCAAAATATCTAAAGAGACACTTCAGAAAATAAAATACCTGGATGGCAAATAAGCATATGAAAGTTGGTTAACAGCATTTGTCATTAGAGAAATGAAAATTAAAACCACAATGAGGTACCACTGCTCACCTACTACAATTTCTAAAACACTGCCACCAACCACCAAATGCTGGTCTTACTAGAATTTCTAAAACACTGCCACCAACCACCAAATGCTGGTCTTACTAGAATTTCTAACACACTGCCACCAACCACCAAATGCTAGTCGTGCTACAATTTCTAAAACACTGCCACCAACCACCAAATGCTGGTCTTACTACAATTTCTAAAACACTGCCACCAACCACCAAATACTGGTCTTACCAGAATTTCTAAAACACTGCCACCATCATCACGAGGTCAGGAGATTGAGACCATCCTGGCTAACATGGTTAAACCCCACCTCTATTAAAAATAAAAAAAATTAGCTGGGTGTGGTGATGGGCGCCTATAGTCCCAGCTACTCAGGAGGCTGAGGCAGGAGAATGGCGTGAACCCGGGAGGCGGAGCTTGCAGTGAGCCGAGATCGCGCCACTGCACTCCAGCCTGGGTGACAGAGCAAGACTCCGTCTCAAAAAAATAAATAAATAAAATAAATAAAAATAAAAAATAAAAAAAAACACTGCCACCATCACCAAATGCTGGTCCTACTAGAATTTCTAAAACACTGCCACCAACCACCAAATGCTGGTCTTACTAGAATTTCTAAAACTGCCACCAACCACCAAATGCTGGTCTTACTAGAATTTCTAAAACACTGCCACCATCACCAAATGCTGGTCTTACTAGAATTTCTAAAACACTGCCACCATCACCAAATGCGGGTGAAGATGTGCAACAGGAACTCTCATTCATTGCTTTTGGGAATGCAAAATGATATAGTCACTTTGGAGACAGGTTGGCAGTTGCTTTTTCCTTTTTCTTTTCTTTTTTTTTTTCACTTTGTGAGACAGTCTCGCTCTGTCTCCCAGGCTGGAGTGCAGGGTGGGATCACATCTCACTGCAGCCTCGACCTCCCGGGCTCTAGAAATCCTTTCACCTCAGCCCCTCAAGTAGGTGGGACTAGAAGCACACATCAGCACACCAGGCTAATTTTTGTATTTTTTTTTGTGAGACAGGGTTTAGCCATGTTGCCTAGGCTAGTCTCGAGCTTGTGGACTTAAGCGATCTGCCTGTCTCAGCATAAGGAAAGACAGAAACTGTCACAGATCAGAGAAGACTAAATATTAAGGGATCATAATCACTAAGTGCAATGTGGTATCCTGGATTGGATTCTGGAACAGAAAAAGGATTTAAGGAAAAAAACTGGTGAAATCTAAATAAAATCTGTAGTTTAGTTGATATGTTAATTTCTTAATTAGTTTTGACAAATGTATCATGGCTATGTGAGATATTAACATTAAGGGCAGCTGGGTGAAAGGTATACCAAAACCCTCTGTACTATCTTTGCAACTTTTCTGTAATTCTAAAATTTTTCCAAACTAAAAACTCATTAAGAAAAAAAACCCAAATGAGCCAGGCGTGATGGTTCATGTCTGTAATCCCAGCACTTCGGGAGGCCGAAATGGGCAGATGGCTTGAGGCCAGGAGTTCAAGGCCAGCTTGGCCAACATGGCGAAACCCCGTCGCTACTAAAAATACAAAAATTAGCCAGGTGAGTGGGCGCCTGTAATCCCAGCTACTCGGGAGGCTGAGGCAGGAGAATCGCTTGAACCTGGGAGGCAGAGGTTGCAGTGAGCCAGGATAGCACCGCTGCACTCCAGCCTGAGCGACAAGAGGGAGACTCCATCTTAAAAACAAACAAACAAACAAATACTAACTGATGGGGATATAAGTCAAAATAGGAAAGTGGATATCTCTGGGATGTCATATGTCTGCCAGAATATAAACTGGAACTCAAGCAGTAAGCATGACTGAGTGGAAAGTGGCATGAAGTTATCTTCTAAGGAAGTAAAATGTTGCATATCTTCTGTGATGGTAACATGGGTATATACCTATGTAACACTTCTTCAGGCTATACACTTAAGATTAATATACTTTATATACTTTACAGGCCGGGTGAAGTGGCTCATGACTGTAATCCAAGTACTTTGGGAGGCCAAGGCAGGTGGATCACTTGAGGTCAGGAGTTCGAGACCAGCCTGGCCAACATGGTGAAACCCCATCACTACTAATAATACAAAAATTAGCCAGGTGTGGTGGTGCACGCCTGTAGTCCCAGCTACTAGGGAAGCTGAGACAGGAGAATCTCTTGAACCTGGGAGGCAGAGGTTGCAGTGAGCCGAGATTATGCCACTGCACTTCAGCCTGGGCAACAGAGTGAAAAAAAAAATATATATACACACACACACACACACACACACACACATATTTTATATATATGTGTGTATATATACACTATATACACATATTTTATATGTATGTGTGTATATATACACACACACACACATATAACATATATATTTATATATATATACTTTACTACACTGGAAAAAAATTTTACTGGTTTCCTATTGCTCTTAGGGTAAAGTTCAAAATTGCTGTAGTCTGTAAGTCTGAATGACGTGTTACCCGCCTACTTCTCTAGCTTCATCTCTCTATTCCCAAGTTCCAGCCAAACTATTCTTCCTATCACAGGGCCTTTGCACGTACCATTTAACCCACCAGCAGAGCTCTCCTCTCCAACACCCCTTCAATTTGGCTAGCCCTTATTTATTCTTCAGGTTGTATCTTAAATTTCCTCAGGGAGGAATTTCCTCATCTCCAGACCTAGAATCGGTCACTGGTTATATGTTGTGCTTCTCTTTTGTAGCACTTGTCTACAAAAGCAATAATTGTGATTATTTTACAAGCTCCAGAAGTTTATGTATCAGGTCTGTCTCGTTGGCTGTTGTATCTTAAGATGACTAGTACATAGTAAATTCTCACTTAATGTTTACCAAATGTTAATTTGAATGTGAGGCTCAGATTAAACAAACTAATACCCAAGGCCATAAAATATGAGCTGGGACCCACGCCCACCAATAAATCCTGTTGACTCTATCTCTAAGGCATATCTCCAACCTTCCACCTTTCTCCATCTCCCTATTGCAGTAGCCTTTGATCTGGTCTTTCCGTTTCTATTATTTATTCATTATCCATTGGATTATTATGAAATAATAAGATATGGATACTTCCTTAGCATAATAAAATAAATATACGTATTTCAACTGCTGCTTAATGAGAAAATACTGGAAGTATTGCCCTTAAAATCAGGATTGAGACAGAGCTGTCCATTACTATTTACTATTGTTCTGGAGGTACTATGAGATGCATTTAGATGAGATTTAAAAATATTAGGGCCAGGCGCGGTGGCTCACGCCTGTAATCCCAGCACTTTGGGAGGCCAAGGTGGGCAGATTGCTTGAGCCTAGGAGTTCAATACCAGCCTGGGCAACATGGCAATAACTTGTTTCTAGAAAAATTATTATGAAATTAGCATTATTTGTAGGTGATAACCTAAGAAAATTAATTGAAAAACTGTTATAGGCCAGGTGCGGTGGCTCACACCTGTAATCCCAGCACTTTGGGAGGCCAAGGTGGGCAGATTGCTTGAGCCTAGGAGTTCGGTACCAGCCTGGGCAACATGGCAATAACTTGTTTCTAGAAAAATTACTATGAAATTAGCATTATTTGTAGGTGATAACCTAAGAAAATTAATTGAAAAACTGTTATAGGCCAGGTGTGGTGGCTCACACCTGTAATCCCAGCACTTTGGGAGGCCAAGGTGGGCAGATTGCTTGAGCCTAGGAGTTCGGTACCAGCCTGGGCAACATGGCAATAACTTGTTTCTAGAAAAATTATTACAAAATTAGCATTATTTGTAGGTGATAACCTAAGAAAATTAATTGAAAAACTGTTATAGGCCAGGCGCGGTGGCTCACGCCTGTAATCCCAGCACTTTGGGAGGTCGAGGTGGGCAGATCATAAGGTCAGGAGATCGAGACTATCCTGGCTAACACGGTGAAACCCCGTCTGTACTAAAAATACAAAAAATTAGGCGGGCGTGGTGGCGGGCGCCTGTAGTCTCAGCTACTAGGGAGGGTGAGGCAGGAGAATGGCGTGAACCCGGGAGGCGGAGCTTGCAGTGAGCTGAGATCACACCACTGCACTCCAGCCTGGGTGACAGAGTGAGACTCTGTCTCAGAAAAGAAACAAAAACAAAACAAAACAAAAAAACTATTATAGATCATGAGGGAATTCAGTAGGTGGCTGGGGAAAAAGAAAGAAAACAAAACTAAAAAATCCCATTTTTATAGCACTTATAAAGGTAAAACACCAAGGAATGACTATAATGAGAAATGCCCATATTAAGGAAACATTAAAATGCTACTGAGGACACAAAGAGGAGGGTATCAACAAATAGAAGGGTATATCATGTTCTTGAAAAGAAGACCCGGCCCGGCACGGTAGCTCATGCCTGTAATCCCAGCACTTTGGAAGGCTGAGGCAGGTGGATCACTTGAGGTCAGGAGTTCGAGACCAGCTTGGCCAATATGGTGAAACCCCATCTCTACTAAAAATACAAAAATTAGTCGGGCATGGTAGCATGCACCTGTAATCCCAGCTACTCAGGAGGCTGAGGCAGGAGAATCGCTTGAACCCGGGAGGCGGAGGTTGCAGTGAGCCGAGATCGCACCACTGCACTCCAGCCTGGGTGACAGAGCGAAACTCTGTCTCAAATTAAAAACAAACAAACAAACCCAACACACTAATTGATTTGTAAATTCAATACAATCTCAAAACACATCCTCAAAGGAGCCTTTCTTTTGGAGGGGGAGTGAACTAAATAAACAGGTCCTAAAATTCATGTGGAAAAGGAAGAAAATATAGTTAGAAAAATTCTTAAAAACAGAGAATAAAAGGAGCTACTGGCCCTAATAGATATTAAAATATAAAGCTAAAACAATTGAAAGACTGTAATGTTGGCAAATTGAAAAGACGGATCAATGAGAGAGAATTGAAAATCCAGAAGTAAATTCAAACTTGCACAAAAACTTGGCTTATCATAACAGTAGTTTTAAATTAGTGAAGAAAAAATTATTGTTCAATAGATGACTGGAGATAAAAAGATAACATTTGAAAACTAATAGAAATATAGGAGGCCAAGTGTGATGGCTCACACCTGTAATCCCAGCACTTTGAAGACTGAGGCAGAAGGAGCTCAGGAGTTTGAGACCAGCCTGGGCAACATGGTGAAACCTCATCTCTACAAAAAATTTAAAAAGTAACCTGGCGTGGTGGTGTGTGTCTGTAGTCCCAGCTACTGGAGAGAGGCTGAGGTGGGAGAATCACTTGAGCCTGGGAGGTGGAGGCTGCAGAGAGTTGTGATTGGGCCACTGCACTCCAGCCTGGGTGACAGAGCAAGACCCTGTCAAAAAAAAAAAAAAAAAGAAAAATAGAGATATGAACAGTCAGTAGAAAATAAATTACAACTGGCTCTTTAACATATGAAATGTTCACTCATATGAAATGAAATACTCATTCACAGTGAAGTGAAAAACTTCACTCGCAATAAGAAATCCAAATAAAAATTACACTGAGATAACTTTTTTTTTTCTATCTTTCAGTTTGGCAAAGATCAAAATATTTGATAACACATCAAAGTTGGTGTTTATGTAAGGAAATGGACACTTAAAAATTTCCGATGTTCGGCCGGGCACGGTGGCTCATGCCTGTAATCCCAGCACTTTGGGAGGCCGAGACGGGCGGATCACAAGGTCAGGAGATCAACACCATCCTGGCTAACACGGTGAAACCCTATCTCTACTAAAAATACAAAAAAATTAGCCGGGTGTGGTGGCAGGCGCCTGTAGTCCCAGCTACTCAGGAGACTGAGGCAGGAGAATGGCGTGAACCCGGGAGGCGGAGCTTGCAGTGAGCCCAGATTGCGCCACTGCACTCCAGCCTGGGTGACAGAGTGAGACTCCATCTCAAAAAAAAAAAAATTCCGATATTCCATCTCTATGGAAGACAAATTAGCAACATTTATCAAAACGAAATGTATGTACCTTTTAACCAGGAAATTTTATTTCCAGCAATTTTTTTTGTAGCAGTACTTCCACATGTGCAAAATGACATAGGTTATTACTGTAGTGTTGTCTGTAATAGTAAAGGTTGGAGATGAATTAAAAATTCTCAAAAGGGATCCAGTTAAATGGTACAGCCAGGTGATAGAATACCACACAGATAGAAAAATGAATGAGAACTTTTTTTGGTACTAATATGGTATTATGGCCAAGCTCTTTTAATAAATGAAAAAGGCAAGGGGAAGAACTTACAGAACATCGTGTACAGTAGTCCACCCTCCTCCAAGGGGGATACATTCCAAGGCCCCCAGTGGATGCCTGAAACCGTGGATAGCACTGAACCCGATTGCTGTCAGTCAAAACACGTTTCTGTTCATGTCTTCCACCCAGAAATTTGATGCCTTTTCCAACTTAACTAAGCACTTATCATGCACCATGACTTTTGCAGTTTAAGGTGTGACAGCAAAACTAGTTTGAATTTCTTTTTTTCTGCTTCACAACTTCATGAATAGAAGGTGCATTGTTATGCAGATCTTAGCAAAGTCATCAAAGGAAGCATATTATGGCTTCTCTTTGGCATATCTGAATGACCAGTATCACCACTCTTGCACTTTGAGGCCATTATGAAGTAAAATAAGGGTGACTTGAACACAAGCATGCAATATCTCAACAGTTGGTCTGATCACTGGGAAGGCTTGTAAGTGACTAAGGGGTAGGGAGCGTCTGCAGGGAGGAGATGCTGGACAAAGGGAGAATTCATGTCTTGAAGGGACAGGAGTAGTGTTACCAACCACAGGGCCTTGGGGGTTGTTAATGCAATAGAAGTTAACATGAGGCCAAAAGAGTTTTCCCAGACAAGGCTTTATTAGAGCTTATGCAGGGCATAAGGGAGGCAGCACGAGAGAGAGAATTCTCTGGCTGGCTCCTGGAAGAGACTCAAGAGAACTAAAGGAACTAAAGGAGAATTAAAGGAACTAAAGTGGGAAGGGAGTGAGTTTGAGCAGGTAGAGATGAGGAAATTTTGGCACCTGTTCAGTTTGATAACATGCTTCTTTATGCATCGTGTGTCTCATTAGCATGTTAAGTCTCCACCCCGGTGTGATTTTTAGTATTATAATGAAGATAAGGCAAAGGAGCGCTCATTCTTCTGGTCCTGTGGTATACATACGGGAGATAGGGTTAACTCCTTTGAGTAAGATTCAAGGTGGGAGCTGCTTATTTTAATTTCTACAACTAGTGGGTTTGGCACCTGGAGTAAGATTTATGGTGGGACGTTGTTCATCTTAGTCTCTCTAAGGGTCTGCGATGAGTGGGTATAGTACCTTGAGCAAGATTCATGGTGCAAGGTCTGGACAGTCTGGTTGGGGTCCTCACTGGCCACACACCCCCACCCCAGCTTACAATAGAGGTTCTTGGTAGGGCACGAGTGGGGCCCGAGTCCCATCCCTACTCTGTCTCAGTAGGACAGCTTGAGGTTTCATCATGCTGTTCAGAACAGTGCACAATTTAAAACAGATGAATTGTTTCTTTCCGGAATTTTCCATTTAATATTTTTGGACCACAGTTGACAGCAGATAACTGAAACCATGGAAAGCAAAATCACAAACAAGAAAAAAAAATAACAAACAAGGGGGGACTACTGTAGTACCATCTGTAGAAATAAAAAAGCAAAGGAATCTATTTATATATATTTGTTTGAATATGCATAAATTACCTCTGGAAAAGCATCAGAAACAGTAACATTGGTTGCTTCCAGAGCAGGGACCTTGGTGGTTGGGGGATAGGAGTGAAAGAGAGACATTTCACTGTTTACTCTTTGATACTTTTTGAATTTTGACCCATGTGAATAAATCAACCATCCGAAAGAGAGGAAATAAATACAATTAAAACTAAAAAAGAAAAGGAACACCAAACACTATGATTTACACAAATGGGAACTTTTTTTTTCTCTCATAAAAAGAAGCCCAGGAGTAGGTGCTGTGCTTACTTACTGTTGATTTGGGTCTCAGTGATGCCTTGGGAGCCAGGTTCTGTCCTTTCTTCCAGGTCCTCAGAGGACTGGCTTTTTATCCCCGTGGCGGTTTCCTCATGATGGTAAGATGGCTGCCACAGCTCAGGAGTGATGTTGTCACACGCAAAATCCCCAAAACAAAAAATAAGGGCCAAGGCAAACCAAAAACTTTCTCCTAATGGTGCTTTATACCCTGGAAAGGAAGACTTCCCTGTGCATGTCATTGTACAATTGCAAAGAAGAATGAGTTTATTGGCTCCTGGGATTGGGGGAAGGGCCTCTTCTCCTGATGTCACGGAATCTCTGCTCTAGTACAAAAATGCGGTTCTGTCCTTAGGAAATGTGCAGAAGTCTGTTGGACAGGCAGCAGAAAGAGTCCACCACAGCTGTCTATGTGAACCGCTTTATCTTTTGAAAAGGGAAGTTCTTACTGACCCTTGTTGGGCTGACCCTGCCGGTACTCACAGTGCTTCCTGCGGGAAAAGACTAGAGTGAGTCTCCTGTGAAGTCTCAGACTGGTGGGGAAGCCGAACGCCCACCTCCCATCCACTGTGTCCACTGGAGAAACCGAGCATCCAGGGACTCCTCTGCGTGTGGCACTGTGCGGGCTTGGGGAGGAGTGGCGTGGTCAGAAAGCAGCCATCCCCTTACCGTCCTCATGGTTTTTCTTGGCTCTGCCATCCCAGGGGATGCAAAGCTTCACTCCAAGTTCTGGGATATTCAGGGTGGTAAACTTGCCACAGGATTGTTGCTAGTTGAAATTCTGTTGGGGAGGAGAGAAGCCGGAGAACTCCTACTTTGACATTGTGTTGATGCCACTCTCAAAAAGGGAAATTCTGAATTACCCCATCCTCCCCCATCTCCCTGTGCTACTGCTCTGTCCCCAGTTCCATCCACCTTTCTTCTGGACTACAGCCTTGGCCCCCTAACGGGTGTCCCACCCCCGTGTTGATGTGGGTTGGACTTGGTGTTAGCTTTCTCCTCCCTGTGGTAGAGGATTAGGGTTCTCACAACCAACAGTTACCCCATTGTCAACTGCCATTGCATCCTGTTGCATCTTTTGAAGACCACCATCAAGAGGCTGTCTTTGTTGGTTTTCTGCCAGCTTTTCCTTGTAGACAGGAGCTCCCCTCTACGTGGCCTGTGCTCTGTGGATGTGTCCTGGAGCCTGTACTGACTCCACACTGGCAAAATAGACATGGGTAATGCTGTGGGTGGAACTGTGTCTCCCTCCAAAATCCACGTGCTGAAGCCCTAACTCCCAGGACCTCAGAATGGGGCCTTATTTGGAGACAGGGGCTTTAAAGAGGTGACTAAGTTAAAATGAGGTCATCAGGATGGGCCCTAATCCACTAAGAGAAGATTAGGACACACTCATGCACAAAGGCAAGACCATGTGAAGACATAGGTGGCAGGAAGGCCACCATTAGCAGGCCAAGGACAGAGGCCTCAGAGGACACCAACCTTGCCAACACGTTGACCTCTGACTTCCAGCCTCCAGAGCTGTGAGAAGATAAATCTCTGCAGCTTAAGCTATCGAGTCTGCAGTACTTTGTTATGGCGGCCCTAGAAAATTAATTTAGGCAGCCCAGGTGCAGTGGCTCATGCCTGCAATCTCAGCTCTTTGGGAGGCTGAGGTGGGAGGATCACTTGATCCCAGGAGTTTGAGACCAGCCTGGACAACATAGCAAGACCCCACTTCTTAAAAAAGAAATTAAAAAAAAATTAGCCAGGTGTGGTGGCACGCATCTGTAGCTCTAGCTACGTGGGAGGCTGAGGTAGGAAGATCATTTGAGTCTAGGAGCTGAGGCTATATGAGCCACGATTATACCACTGCACTCAAGCCAGGGCGACACAGTAAGACCCTGTCTCTAAAAAAATACAGGCAGGTATAATTATAAATTTGAATGGTGTCACAAAGGGCTGTGCTTCAGCATCATTTCTTTCAAAATATTTTCCTCCTTTTATTTTGTTGAAAAAAATGTATAAAATTTGTTTTTTATCTAAACACATTAGAACAATTATTAAGAATTCATGAGGTCTGGCCCCAGCATATTGCAGGGGCAGGAGGATTTAACTTTATTTAAAGATACAGCTCACCATTATTTACTTTTCAAAAAAGGAAGTTGGATGTGATATTTTCACAGTCAACCTTAAATGACCCATCCACTCCATTGGATCAGACGCCTTCTGAGGTGTGTGTTTTGCAGCCGCCCCACCCTGATGAGCTCCAGCGACAGAGTTCCTCATATCAGACCCATGAGAGTGGCCTTTTATGGAAGGAGCAGCCGGCTGGCAGCAGCTCCCTAACAATCCTGCAAGCTAAGATCCTCTCGACCGAGCACAGGAGAGAATTCAGGGGCAGGGAGGGGCAAACATTTACTAATAAGAGGGCTTGAGAAGATTTAAAGTCCTTTTTGGGGGTAAAAATAAAAGAAGACAAAAAGAAACCAAAAAAGTAAAAATCATAAATACTCTTTCTGAACCAAAAGGAGGCCAGCCTAGATTTCTGTTCACCAACAAAATGTGAACTTGGCCTCTCTCATTTTATGTCTAAAGTGCACACCTCAGGTCAGGCACGGTGGCTCTCACGCCTGTAATCACTGCATGTTCAGAGGCCAAGGCAGGAGGATTGCTTGAGCCCAGGAGTTCGAGACCAGCCTGGGCAACACAGGGAGACCTGATCTCTACTAAAAATACAAAAAATTAGCTGGGCGTCGTGGCACACACCTATAGCCCCAGCTACTTGGGAGGCTGAGGTGGGCGGATCCCTTGAGCCAGGAGTTCAAGGTTGCCATGAGCCATAATAGTGCCACTGCACAACAGCCTGAGTGACAGAATTAGATCCTGTCTCAAAAAAAAAAAAAAAAATTGCACACATTTCCCTTCAATCAACCTTGGAGAACATTTTTCACTTCGCGTGTGGCTAGATGTTTGAGAGTTGACTGAAAAGTAACACCTGCGGAACATGCAAGAGATCTGATTATTTGAGAAGGCCAGACCATTCTACCCGTTCAAAGAAATTCTGGAAGGGCGTGGTATATGAAGGCTTTTTTTTCCCCAAGAGGCCTCTAAAAGCCAGACGAACTAGGTGCAAATCCCAGCTTTGTCATTTGCAGCTGAATTGGGAAAGTTACCGCTCTGTGCCTCAGTTTCCTCATTTGTTAAATGGGAATCATATCTACCTTAGGGAGTTATTGTGAAGATTAAGTAAGTTAGTACTGTAAAGCATTGAGAACACTGCCTGGCACGTTGTCAGCCATCACTGACGAGACTGTTATTACCTGGACTATACTCACCAGCTCCTCACTGAAATATCTTTATGGGATTATATTTTAGTGTCTTGACCTTTGTCTTTGAGATTGTCTCCATGGAATAGTGTTTCTGTATAAATCCCAAGAAAATAAATTATCTAGGTCCCATTCTTTTTATTTGCATGTGGTTACAATATAAATACACTTGCCATTTTCCTCCCCTTCCAAAACTCTTCCCCATACCTAGGAATCCTACCCAACCCCCTAGTTGTTAATGACTCCCTTTCCTCTCCTCTAGGAGGGGAGGGAAGGAGCGTCCTCCCTATAATTTCATCTTCATGCAGGGTCTACCTCAGTCCACGTGAAGTGTGGAACCCCAAAGGGTCTCTGAAGCTTGGGGATGAGCACCACGAATCCTTTAGAGGGGCCCGTGACGTCCTTGCAGGTGACCGTGTGGCGGCTCCCTCGGTGCCGTGCTCCGGTGCGGCGTGCCGTAGTGGGCAGCAGTTGGTATCATGTGCCCTGTCCGTGCCTGAGGCTGAGCAGCCCCAGGGGGTGGGTGGGTCTGCCGGGAGGCCTCAGGTTTGCTCAGGCAGTAGGGAGAGTCCTGTGGAGGGCACCGTACCCAGCCAGTGCCCACCTGCTCTCAGAGGTGTCTGAGCCTTAATCCCTTAGGGCTCTGCTTCCCCGGGCCCTACTCAGGCCCCTGTGAATCCCACGTGGGCAGGGCAGCCTCAAGGGAGAAGGTGCCCTTGTGCCCCCCTTCTTCTGCCTTTTCTCAGACTCAGTCAGTCATGGGTGATAAATTGGTTCCTTGGGCCCCTGTTAGAGGGTGTGGCACCACAGTGCTCTGTCTCCGCTAGGTGCCAAGCCTTGCCATCTTCCTGGTGGGGTGTAGAGAGCCCGGGAGGGCCAGGGTCCCCCTCTTCGGGAATGGGGTATGGAGGTTCGGGGGTAGCTGGGAGGTCTCCAGGACCCGGTGGTCCCCCCAGTACTGGTCCATTGTAGATGTAGATGTTGCCAGTGATAGTCATAGACCCGCCGGTGACATGAATGCCATTGGTACCTGTAGGAAGGGAGGCAGAGTGTTGAGGAAGGAAGGCCCCCAGTTCAGGCCCGCTGCTTCTTGAATTCTTGCCTTCTTCTCGCCTTTCCCCTGGCCCCGCCCCTCTCCTGCTTGCTGCTGGTTTATTGAGCTTCTGTGTTCATTTCTCTGCTTCTGGGTTTTCCAGTCTCTTCCCTCTTCTCTAGTTGTGACACTGACTGGCAGCGGAGTCTCTGTCTGCCTCTGTTTTGGTCTTTTTATTTCATCTGGCCCACAGTCTCTCCCTGCCAGCCATCCCTCCCTCCCCATCCTTCCTCTCTTCTCCCTGCCCCAGGCTCACCGTGGGCCACCTGGCTCTGCTCCCCGGGTTCCAACTGCGGCTCCCTGGTCAGGTCCAGAGGACTCTGCTGTTGCGGCACCCCTGCCTCCAAAACTGGGGCTGCGGGGAGCCCAGTGGATACTGGGGAAACATCTCCAGAAATGGGTAGCAGTGGCTGTACCAAGTCAGGGAAGTATGGATGGGCCTTCGGAGGCTCCCAGCTTCCAGCTACAGGATTGGGTCCCTCTCCCTGCAGGAAAGAGATGGAGACCCAAACAATGATGAGGGCCCCAGACCCTTTTTTCTCTCTCCCTCCCTCCCTCTTCTTTCTCTCTTTCTCTTTCTTTCTTTCCTTCCTTCCTTTCTCTCTCTCTCTCTCTTTCTCTCTCTCTCTTTCTTTCTTTCCAGACAGGGTCAGGGTCTGTCACCCAGGCTACAGTGCAGTGGTGCAATCATAGCTCACTGCAGGCTCATGAACTCTTGGACTCAAGTGATCCTCTAGCCTCAGCCTCCTGAGTAGCTGGGACTGTCTGGCTAACTTTTTTTTTTTTTTTTTTTTGAGACAGAGTCTCACTCTGTCACCCAGGCTGGAGTGCAGTGGCATAATCTCAGTTCAACTGCAACTTCCGCCTCCACGGTTCAAGCAATTCTCCTGCCTCAGCCTCCTGAGTAGCTGGGATTACAGGTGCCTGCCACCACGCCCAGCTAATTTTTGTATTTTTAGTAGAGATGGGGTTTTGCCATGTTGGCCGGGCTGGTCTCAAACCCCTGACCTCAGGTGATCCACCCGCCTTGGCCTCCCAAAGTACTGGGATTACATGTATCATGGATCGGCATGTTTGGGGGTGGTGCGGGTGCCCTCCTGTTCAGAGACCAGGATTGGGCAGGCTTGTGCGTGCAGGATGGGAGCTTGGGCGTGAGCCACTGCACCTGGCCCTGCCTGGCTAACTTGGAACAACATTTTGGGTAGAGATGGGGTCTGGCTGTGTTGCCCAGGCTGGCTCATCTTTCTTTAGTTCCCACACCCCACCGCATGCTTTGGCAACTCACCACTTGCCTCTGCTCCTCCCCATGCCCCCTGCCTCAGGGTCTTTGCACTGGTTGCTCCCTCTTCCTGGAGCACTTTCTCCCCAGATAACCCCATGGCTGGCTCCTTGCTTCTTCAGCTCTCCGCTCAAATATCAGGTTCTCAGAGAGGCCTTCACTCTCCACTCTGTCTAAAATACCCCCATCCTTTGCCACTGTCACTCATTGACCCCTTCCCTGCTTTGTTTAGCAATTATACCACCTGATATATAGTTTAACTTATTCTTGCTCCATGGGCATGTGAACTCCAGGAAATGAGGTACTGTGTTTTGCTCACTGCTGTACGCCCAGTGCCTAGGACAGTGCCTGGTACGTGGCATGTTCAGTAAATCATCAGTTGAATGAATGAATGAGTGTGGAGTCAGCCTGCATACTCTCTTCCTGTCTGCTCCACCTTGTACCCTCATCACCTCTTCCCCTTCTTGCTGCCTTCTCAGCCCCCGCCATTACCTGCGGACGCCTCTTGAGCAGCGATCCTGCAATGGAGAATGAAATGGGTGTAGGCTCCCCGGCAGGCCTCAGACCTAGCCTTTCAGCCTCCACATCCCAGCACAATGTGTAGCAACTTGACCACCCGGGGGCCCAGAGGAACAAGCCACTGTCACTCTCATCTCCAGCCTCAGAATAAGCAGCTGGATGAAGATAAGGATGTCTATGTTGGGGGTAGGCATTGGGAGTCTTGAGGGTGTGGAGGGTTGCACCGGGGAAGTTGAATATTCCTCCCTCCGGCTCCCATTGCCAACCATCCACTGCATCCAACCCTTTCCTACCCAGTTTCCTGCAGAGAGAAGGGTGGCTCTTCCAGATGCAGGAGAAGACGGTGGCAAGGAGCAGAAAGAAGGCCAGTGGCAGCAGAACGGCCAGCATCAGCATGGTTCCTGCCAGGACAGCAGACAGGAGGGTGATCACAGCCCCAAGAAGGGCAGAGGGGAGGAGGAGAAGGAAGAGCTTTCCAGATCCCTGGGCAACCCAGACAGAGAAAAGGGAGCAGCTTTTTTCCTTCTAGACACAATGCAGCTCCTAAAGGCAGAATGAGAGAAACTTCCCTTGGGTTATAGAGAAGGGGAACTAAGTTGGACTTGAGGACCTCTTGGCAGCCAGGAGAGACTGTATCATGGATGGGCATGTTTGGGGGTGGTGTGGGTGCCCTCCTGCTCAGAGACCAGGATTGGGCAGGCTTGTGTGTGCAGGATGGGAGCTTAGGCAGTTGATTTTCAAGGTCTGGAAGTGGGATTGGGAGACAGTAGGGAAGGGTGGGACTTGGAGTTGTAAACAGACACAGGCTAGAGCCACATTTCTGTGGCCTCAGCCATTGTACAGAGGGGCTGCTGTAGAGGAGCTAGGGTTGCCCTGCTGTACCTGTACCTGTGGGGGTGTTTACAGGGGTGAGAGAGTAGGGAAACTTGCTTCGGAACTGCCTGTGGCCGCCTGGTAGAGCAGGGCTTGCAAGTTCTCCACCCCCTTGCTCAGGGCAGGTTCTAGGAGGGGAAGAGAAAGAGAGGCTGGAGTTCGGCTTCTCCAGCTGTGATCTGTAGCAGTGGGTAATTTCTCTTTCTCTGGGTACCAGTGCTGCCAGCAATAGCATGGAGCCTCCAGTGTCCGTCAGCTACGCCTGGGGAAGGGCGGGAGGACTCCCGCATTTCTATGCTGGGCATTTTGCCTCTTCTCATTCATGTAAATCTGTAGCCTAAGGGAATATGGGATGGGAGGCCTGGGGAGAAACTGGACTGGGAGTCTGGGCCACGGTTTCCTGCCCGGCTGTGTGACTTTTAAGTCATTTCACTTCTTTGGGCATCAGTTTTTCATATATAGGATGAGGTTAGCTTACATACTCTCTAAAATTCCAGCTCTAAAATGCCAGTTGTATTTGATACATAGTTAAAAATTAACAGGGCACAGAAAAATACTTAGATTGTGGAATGAAAAAATCAGGTTACGAAATATTAAAATTACTTCACTTTTAGTAAACAACAACAAAACCCAGTATGTATAAACATGCATAGAAAATGTCCGGGAGGATATATACCACAATGTAACGAGTGGATATTCTAGGTAGTGGCTCTGTGGGTGAGTTTTTAGTTTTGCTTATCTGAAGTCTCTAATTTTCTATAGTGCATGCATTATGACATGGGCTCTGGAGTAAGAAAACCTGAGTACAGGTTCTAATAACACCAGTGACCACCTGTGTGGGTGATCTTGAGTATATCACTTAACCTCTTTGAGCCTCGGTTTCTTCCTTCAGTCCATGAGGATGATAATAGAATCTACTTCATAGCATCATTAAGAAGATTAAATGAGTTAGTAAATGTAAAGTGGTTACAGAGTGCCCAACACACACAGTGAACCTTCTGCCAATTAGTGATGTTACAGTCATTAGAAACAATAGTCATCTACTAGGCTAGCAAGCCAATCAGTCCACAGGAAACAGTCAAGAAAGAGTCAAATGGGAATCTTCTGTCTAATAATAAAAGTATATAGTCTAATAAAGAGGTGTTTGGTCTAGTTAATGGATTGTGTGAAAAAAAAAAACGGATTGTGTAATGTTGGTAAGCCCAAAATGATGACAATAGTAGTTATCATTACATCTCAGTGTGGGATGTGTTCCTTGACATAGTATTACAGTATATATAATTTTAAAAGTGTGTGTGTGTGTGTGTGTGTGTGTGTGTGTAAACTAGCCTAGAGATACTCCAATTTTTTCTGTAAGGAACTTTCTTCTTGCCCAATTCTGGGAGGGAAGTGTTCATCTTTTCCCCATTTTTTTTAAGATGTGGAGCATTAAGGCATTTTCAGAGGCGCCCCCCCCGTGTCCCTCAGCCCTGGTCCCTCACCTGACATCTCTGGGGGCAGTGGCTCTAATGGATTTTTGCAGGTTGTGTCGGACTGGGCAGTGCCTGGAGCTGCCTCCACCAGACCTTGGTTCTCACACCTGCAGAGGAAAAAAAGATGATGACCTTTTCACGCCCTGGCCCACCAGTGTCCCGACTCCACTGGGCAGGCGGGGAGGCTGAAAGTGGTGAGTCGAGTCCGTGGTGTCAAGGATAGGCGCTGGGGGTTGTTAGCAGCTGAGGCTTCTCAGAGGGTGGAAGGAGCTTGGGTGGGGCTGCACTCACCTGGTGTGGGGCTGGCAGCGGGCGCTGGGGGAGGAGGTATTCTGGAAGTGCCCGGCCTTGCAGGGGACGCAGTGGTTGTTACCCTTCCCAACTTCATCTGGCAAGAGAAAGGCAGGCCAGCCAGGGTGAATGGGCAAAAGGGAGGGGCCCTTTGCCGGCCTGTGAGTTTCCTTTAAGCCTCAGGATGCCCATCCACCCCATTGCGTAGCTCTCACCTTTCCCAAGCTCTGCTTTGCTGCCTTTTTTTTTTTTTTTTTTGAGACGGAGTCTTGCTCTGTCGCCCAGGCTGGAGTGCAGTGGCGCGATCTCGGCTCACTGCAAGCTCCGCCTCCCAAGTTCACGCCATTCTCCTGCCTCAGCCTCCCGAGTAGCTGGGATACAGGCGCCCACCACCACGCCCGGCTAATTTTTTGTATTTTTAGTAGAGACGGGGTTTCACTGTGTTAGCCAGGATGGTCTCGATCTCCTGACCTCGTGATCCGCCCACCTCGGCCTCCCAAAGTGCTGGGATTACAGGCGTGGGCCACCACACCCGGCCTACTGCCTACCATTTTGCCCAAGCTTCCCAGTACTGAGAAGAACCACCTCCTGTGTCCCCTGCACCTGTCCCAGTTCCATGTCCCTCCAGAACCCTTCTGTGAGCCTCTGCATGGAATGAGAAGAGGAATTTTAAGCCAAGGATCTGGGGGGTCGCCGTGGACACAGTACCATATTCCCTGCTCCCACTTGAGATCCCTGGCACCCAGCCTCCTTTTCACATCCAGCCCCTCAGGGACCTCTGACCTTTGAGCTCGGCTTCAGTGCCAGGCGGGCAGTCAGAAAGTAGCTCGCAGTGTGTACACTCGAGGGCCCAGGCAGCACAGAACATTCCCGGCTGGCAGCGGCACTGGGTCTTCCGTTTGCTTGTGCAGGGGGCAATCTCCTCGAGGCCCATCACTGGCGGGGAGACGGGAGGGCTCAGGGAGGGGCCAAGCTCCAGGGGATCCAGCCCCCCCGCAGGCACATCCCCACTCACCTGGGTCACAGGGGCGGCACAGCTGGCAGATGGTCAGGTAGTTCCAGTGCTCGTTGTAGGAATTCTCGGCACATGTGGCACAAACTGTGTCCCGGATGCGGCTACATTTAGCTGAGACATAGGTGCCTAGAACGTGAGTGGAGCAGTAGAGCCTCAGGAGACGAGGCTCCACCCTCACCTCCGCTGCCTGTAGTGTGACCCTGGCCTTTCCCTCGGTCTCTCTGGCCCCCCATCATCCTGCCAGTGGCCCTCCGGCTCCCTCTCAGTGAGGTAAGGAAAGAGGAGGCCCAGTGGGGAGGGCCAGTCCCATCTCCTCCACGTGATGTCCAGGGTTTCCCACGCTCGTCTCCAGCAGCCAGTTTTCCTGGGGGACAGTGCCCACCTTCCCTCTGAGGCCGCGAGGGGGCTGGAGCCCCCGTGACCCACTTCCGAGGCCCAGGTTCGTCCTGCCATTGCCTCTCACCTGGCGGGCAGCGGGAGCAGCAGATGCGGTGCTGGGGCTCATAGTATTCCTTTTCCTGGTCCCTGCAGGTCTGGTTCTCCGACGCATATGGAGGCACCTTCAAAGGGAGATGGAGAAGAGGAGAGAAGAATTAGTCAGGGGTCAGCTTGGGAGGGCAGAGGGAATGGAGCGACGGCTGCCCAGATCCCTCTTGCCCACCCTCGCCCACTCCTACCAGGCCCCTTCCTCACCGCCTGGGGCTGCGATGCTGCCAGGAGCCCGAAGAGGCCCAGCACCAGAGGCCCCCAGGCCAGGCCGGGGGCAGAGGTGGCCCAAGGCAGGAGCATGGCGGCCACTCGGCCAGGCGGCCAGCAACGTGGGGGCCTGGGAGGAAGGCAGGAGGCCCGACGTCCTGGGCAGCGGTGGCGGCGGCTGCCCGAGCCCAGAGCCTGGGACGGGACTCAGGGCCGATGTGCACCCCAGGGCCGGGAGCGGCCAGGCCGGGCCTCCAGGGCTCCCATGGCGGAGCTCAGGAAGTGGGAGTGGAGCGAGCTGGCCGCGGGGCGGGGACAGGGAGCGCTGGGAGCCAGGCCGGCCTGTCGCAATCGCAGCCCAGGGAAGAGGAACAGGCTTGTCTGCCTCGATGCGGGGCGGGAGGGGCGGCCGGGAAAGCACGTGAGGGCCGCGGGGCCGGAACCGGCCTCCTCCCTTCTTCGGAAGCCCGATCGGGAGAGCGGACTGCGGACAGCCCTGGCCCAGCCGAGGGAAGGGCGGCGGGCCCGGGGTCAGCCCTTGGACAAGCCTCGCAGGGAGAGCAGAGGGAGTTCCAGAGAGCGCAAGGGACAGCTGGGTGCGGGATCTGGAAAGCGAGGGGCCCAGGACGGGCAGTCATGGAGAGGGCAGGGCGCGGGGACTGCAAGGCCGCAGAAGCAGCTCTGAGACCGAGGAGAACCGGCTGGCAGATGCCCGGGTTCCTCCCCCGTTGTCCTGCCCTACTGTGGGAGTTTTTCAGACAAATTACAAGGGACTAGCAAATCAGCCAGCCCCCCACGCTACCAACCCAGCCCAATCCGCACAGGAGTGGGCACAGGTCACCTAGGAGACCCTTGAGAGCTGTGCAGCTTGCCCTGCTCCCTGTCCTCAGGGAACCTCCCTCCCAAAGAGAGGGGGAGGATATGCGGAGGGGAGTCCTGGGGCCAGCAGGCTGGACCTGGGCACTCAGTCCCTCTGCTCTGGCTTCTTTGCCCATGAACCTTCAAACCCCTTAGAACTGGAGAAAGCTGAGAGCCCACGCAGTCCAGCCCCCTCACCTTAAGCATGGAGAGGGAGGCTAAGGGTGATACATAAGGGAACCGGGATTCCAGGGTGGCCTGGTCTCGTTCCTGCCCTGTTTCATCCTCCCATCTCCCTCAACCCAACACCCCACCCACCCGTGGAGTTACTTGCAGCTGCCCCCTTTTACACGTGGTTCTCTGGTCCCCAAGTTTCCGTCTTCCTAACTCCCACCTGTCCTTGAGGCTTCACTGAGGCTCTGGAAGGCAACCTCTGCCCTAGGTTGCACAGTCCCCGTGAAGACTGCCCTCTGTACCTGGCTGTCTTGTTTGCTTCCCACCAGGCTGTGAGTGCCACCATGGCCCAGGCTGAATCTTCAAGTCTGTGTTCCCCATGCTTAGCAGAGTCTGGCACATACCATGTGCCCAATAGGTATTTATGGAATAAATGAGTGATGGCCACATCACAGAGCCAGTCCACCGCAGAGCCAGCTACAATCTGGGTCTCCTGATGTCTAGGTCCCAACTCATTCCAGCAGTCCTGCCAACTCCTTGTGGCTCAGGGATGTCTCCCTTGGGATGAGGGGCTAACCTCTCTTGAGATAGGTCACTTGGGCACTATCCCCCTCCCTGAAGGACTCTGTTCAGCACTCGTCCTTACACTGGTCTGTCTAACTTCAGGTCTGATGTCTGGACAGGTGCAGGTGATGGGAAGTGTGCATGGGGAGGAGAGGTCACAAAAGGGGGAAAGGACCTGCCTAGGCTGTAGGCATTTCACTCTGTGAGGCTCTCTCCCCTCACCTGGTGCAGGCAGCTCACCGTACAGATGGGCCAAAGATGGCTGGAAAGGGCAGAAGTATCAGAACAGCATGCACTGCGCGGGGCTGCTGAGCCTTCCAGGGCCCTAGCGCTGGGGGCTGGGATGAGAGTCCCTGCTGAGCTCTTAAACGCGTAAAGGAATGTGTGTGTAGCGACCCTAGGTCCTTTTTTCTCTCTCTTCTTTTTACTTTTTACTGTGGAAATTCCACATGCAAGATAATATACCAAAAGAGAAAAAGTAATATTGGGAGTCTCCCATATACTCCTTACCCAGCTTCAACTCACTGTCAGTTTCATTTATTCTGTATACCCCCTCCCCCACCAACGCACACACTCTTCAAATCCCTCATTATTATTTTGAAGTAAATCCCAGACATCATATCATTTCATTTGAAAATATTTCAGGATTTTACCCTAAAAGACAGGGACTCTTTCTCTATTCTATTTTTCTTTTTTTCCCCACCCTGTCTTATGCTGCTGAGACCCTTTCTTTTAATAGAGGTGTAACATATAATACAATGAAACCGTAAGGTACACTGATCTTACAGATACAGCTCAGAGAGTCTTCACTTTTGTGTATTCTTGCATATCCCCCAACTGGTCCAGAACACCTCTTCTCTTCTCTTCTTTTCTCTTTTCCTTTCCATACAGAGTCTCGCTTTGTCGCCCAGGCTGGAGTGCAGTGGTGCAATCTCGGCTCACTACAACCTCTGCCTCCCAGGTTCAAACAATTCTCTGCCTCAACCTCCCGAGTAGCTGGGATTACGGGCGCCTGCCACCATGCCTGGCTGATTTTTGTATTTTTAGTAGAGATGGGGTTTCGCCATGTTGACCAGGCTGGTCTTGAACTCCTGATGTTGTGATCCACCCGCCTTGGCCTCCCAAAGTGCTGGGATTACAGGCGTGAGCCACGGCACCCGGCCCCAGAATGTTCCTTGCACTACAAATGTTTGCTACATGCCCTTCCCAGTCAAAGCTTCCTGCTTCACAGGTAACCACTATGTCCAGACCCCTTTTAACCCCAGCTGG
Organism: Homo sapiens; assembly: GCF_000001405.40. Lineage (NCBI taxonomy): Eukaryota > Metazoa > Chordata > Mammalia > Primates > Hominidae > Homo > Homo sapiens. The sequence goes on along the minus strand of NC_000012.12, from coordinate 6,381,586 downwards.
CTGGACTGTATGTTTCTTTCTGCTGCCAGCCGTAAGCTGGCGCTTCAGCCCTCATGGACTCTCTACACCCTAAGGAACGAGCCCTGAGATCTGGGTTTTGATCCTGGCCCCATCACTTTATCTCTGTGTGCCTCTTTATTGTGTCAGTCAGCTACTGGTTTGCTTGCAGGTCTGTGGGATGGAGGTGGGATGGGAGGAGTGAAGCAGCCAGGCTATTTCTCTCCTCTCTGCTTTCTGGCTTCACCTGCAGTTGGTTGTCTTCCTTCCTTCCCCACTTCCATAATCCCATCTCCTACCAGTAGTCCACACTATTTAGTTCCTGCCAAATGGCTCTGGAGGCTTCTTGGTCTTTGATGCTACATCACCCTGCCATCTTTCCAGGCCTAGAGATGGTAGCTGCTTCCCGCTCTGCTGTTTTCTGAGCTGCCTCCCATTGTCTTCTCAGCTCCTCCATCACCCATGTACCAGTTAGTTCTCTGTGTTAAACTTCTTCTGTTTGAAAGACTTAGAGTGTTTCTTGTTTCCCAGCTGGATCACGAAAGACAAATCTTACCAATAAATGGCTACTATAATGCCCAGCCATCCCCAGGAGGATAAAGGGAGACTCCAGGGGTGAGAAATCCACAGGTTCACCGCGGGCAGGGCATTGTCTTTACTCCTGTCCTTTTGTGTTTTTCACCAGAGCCTCCTGAGACTGATTTCCACTGGGCAACACCAGACCCAGACCGAGCACCCCAGGACGCCTAGAAGGTGTGTGAGGGTGGGACTCTTCTCCCAGGCCTTCTTCCGAAGGAGCTGCTGAGAGAGCCTTCTTTCCACAGGCCCATTAGGCATCCAGAAAGGGGGCTGATGGAAATGGATTCTTCTTCTTCTTCTTCTTCTTTTTTTTTTTTTTTTGAGACAGAGTCTCAGTCTGTCGCCCAGGCTGGAGTGCAATGGTGCAATCTCAGCTCACTGCAACCTCCGCCTCCCAGGTTCAAGTGATTTTCCTGGCCTCAGCCTCCCAAGTTGAGTAGCTGGGACTACAGGCATGCGCCAACAGGCCCGGCTAATTTTTGTATTTTTAGTAGAGATGGTGTTTTGCCATGTTGGCCACAGGCTGGTTTTGAATTCCTGGTCTCAAGTCATTTCGCCCACCTTAGCCTCCCAAAGTACTGGGATTACAGGCACGAGCCACTGTACCCGGCCAGGAATGGATTCTTCTAAATACTTTTTCTTTCTCTCTTCTTCTCCACTCTGCTCTTAGCTGACTAGTGCTCTTGGAAATGGTCTGGCAAACACCCAGAAGTGCATAACAGATGAGGGTTGTCCTTTTCCAGAGTATTTGCATTTTCAGTGGTGACAATGCCTTAACCCAGTCTTTTCAACGGGGGTGACTTTGCCCCCCAGAAGTCATTTGGCAATATTTGGAGATGTTTTGGTCACAATGACTCAGGAGGTGCTACTAGCATCTAATAGATGGAAGCCAGGGATGCTGCTGAACATCCTGCACAGGATTGTAGATAGGACAGAATCATCCTGTCCCACCACAAAGAATGATACAGCCGAAAATGTCAATAGTGCCAAGGTTGATAAACCCTGTCTTCAATCAAAGTGATAAACTTCTAGTAGTGAACTTCTTTTTTTGTTTTTTTTTTTGTTTTTTTTTTTTTTGAGACAGAGTCTTGCTTTGTCTCCCAGGCTGGAGTGCAGTGGCACGATCTTGGCTCACTCCAAGCTCCACCTCCCCGGTTTTATGCCATTCTCCTGCCTCAGCCTCCCGAGTAGCTGGGACTACAGGCGTGCACCACTTATGCCCAGCTAATTTTTTTTGTAATTTTAGTAGAGACGGGGTTTCACCATGTTAGCCAGGATGGCCTCGATCCCCTGACCTCATGATCCACCCGCCTCGGCCTCCCAAAGTGCTGGGATTACAGGCGTGAGCCACCATGCCCGGCCAACTTCTAGTAGTGAACTTCTAAGTAAACTGCCAGGGGACTAGATGAAGAGTGGCATTTTTCTGGTCCATCATTTTAAATGAAAGAGAAATCTGTACCACATAAGGGCAGCTGAAAGGACTGTTGTCTTCCACAGTGGGCAGCCCCCAGTGTGAAGTGGCTAATTAGCTCCAAGTAGTAAGAATAAAGAGTTGCATTTAACTAAGTAACTGATTCTTATCCTGGAAAGGATAGAAGTGAACAGGGAAAAGTGAAGAAAATTTAGATAAATTAATAGACCACAAATAAATGGGTTGTCAGAGGAAGTTAGGATGTTTGAAGTTTTGCAGATGCTTTTTCGTAGCATATCCCGCTCTGTCAAAGATAAACTAGGAAAGACGCCAGTTCTGCTGTCTTCTGCAGACTGGGTCAGCAAACAGTGACCGCTAGACACTGAGGTCACCAAGATGAATACGCCTGGTCTCTGTCCTTGTGTTGCGGGAAGTCAGGGACCCCAAACGGATGTATACGTACAAACACACATACATCAGGATAATAGTAAATAATAATAATAAATAATAGTAAACAGTGGTAAGTGCAGAGATAGGCTCTCCCTAGGAGGGTGGAGTGATTACTTCCGTCATCTCCTGTCCGCGGAGAACAAGAGGCAGGAAGACCCTTTGCACTCATAACCCTCATCCCATGGCAGCCCCTCTGGTTTCACTTCTCTCCCTGCAGCCGTGCATATTTTATGGCCACACCACAGGGTTAGAGGATAGCTGGTGTTGGGAGGGGAAGGCAGCCCTGGGTTGGCGGGAAGGGCTGGGGCTCTGGGGGAGTCTGGGGGTAGTCCTGGGAAGGCAGGGGGTCCTTCCAAGACAGAGTCTACAAAGCTCTTGACTTCTTATAGAACAAAACTGTACTTCTCTCAAAGTCAGAGAAGGAGAACTGGGCTTGGAAAGGAGTGGCCTGGTTTTCAGTCTGACCCCACCCCTAACTCCTGGGTGACTGTGGCCAAGTCACTTTGCTTCTGTGGGCCTCAGTCCCCTCATGCATGAAGCAGGGGGCTAGATGCAAGGTCAGCTGGAAAAAGTCTTTGTCCATCTGGGTTGCCTTACCCACCCCTTCTTGCCCTTTCATTTTCTCAGGTAAGATCACCGGGGCCCATAGAGGTCAAGTGCCTTTCTCAAAGTCACATAGTTTAAAAGCAAAAATAGGGGCTGAGTATGGTGGCTCACACTTGTAATCCCAGCACTTTGGGAGGCTGAGGCAGGAGGACTGCTTGAGCCTAGGAGTTGGAGGCTGCAGTGAGCCATGATCATGCTGCTGTACTCCAGCCTAGAGGATAGTGCATGATCCTGTCTCTAAGATAAATAAGAAAATAAAAGCAAAAATGGAAGTTGTAGAAACATACCTATAGCATGGTCTCTGTCATAAAAAAGAACTATATATTTTGTTTTTTAAAAATACATGTAAGTTTATAAAGGCACACAAAAAGATATAGACAGATATACAAATTATGGTGGCTCCCCTTTGGGGAGGGAAAGGAAGGGGACTAAGGGAAGCTCTATATACTTCTGTATTGCTGAAAAATTGTACTGTGACAAAAACATATTTGTGTATTATTTGTACACTTTAAAAGATCATCTTTAAAATGGACTTCTGACCAAAGTCCAGGTCTCAGATTTCTATTTTCCTCACAACACCAAGCCTGTTCTAGCCCGCTCCAGGTCTAGAATGCTGCAGCACTAGGCTCGCATTGCCACTCCCATACCCGGCAGGACGTGGCAGGGTCACCACCCTTTGGCTCAGCCCAGACCAGGCATTGCAATTCTTCTCACAGAGCCCTTGATATGAAAACTATTTGCCATGCTGCCTTAAGCTAGTGGTTGGATTTCAGGCATGAGCTGGCAAATAGAAAAGGCAGGGAGGTGCTTTTCAGAACCTTTGAGATCAAACAGCCAGGGTGCTGAGCACCTTATTGCAGGGAGGACCATGCCCAATGTAAGGACCTGGCTCAAGGGAGACTGGAGTTTCTAGGGGTCTCTGGGATATGTGGGGCAGTGGGGACAGTGCAGAGACCTTTTCACAGAGCCAAGGAGATAACCCAGCACCCAGAGAGCAGACGAATCCACGGGCTCTGTGTGGGAGTGAGGGAGGCCTTCCCGGCTTTCACATCCAGGTGCACCTGAGCCCCGATCCCCCATGAGTCTGTCTCAGGAAGTAAATGGCAAAAGCGCTAAGTAGATAGCCCCAGAGGAGGAGGAGAATTCTGAATTCTGTTTATAGCTCTGCTCCTATTTTGTTTTCTAACCTCAGAAAACTGATTTATCCTTGGGAAGGGTCAGTTTCTTCATTAGGACAATGAAGAAAAATCCAGCTGTCCCTTCCAAGGGGAGGTATCATGAGCAGTATCAAGGTAAGCAAGGGAACCTGGTTTGGAATCCTGGTTGACACCGGCTTTCACTTTAAGAAGTCGCAAGAGACTGCCGCAAGAGAGGAAGCCACAGACCAGGTTGGACCCTGAGCCTGGAGTACTGCCTTTTCTCTTCTTTGCCTGCTAAACTCCTTGCTTGTCAAGATTCAGCAGAGATGACACCTTCTCTGGGAAGGCTTCCTGAGTCTCCTGCAGTGAGCCCCTAGGCTCCCCTAGCCCTTGGCTCTTATGTCTTATCTCTGAGAAATCTGAGATCTGCACTTTTGTTAGAAGTCCGTTTTAAAGACAATCTTTTAAAGTGTACAAATAGAAACCTTATCTTATTGTATTGCAGGCCTATCTCCTCCCCCGGTGTGTATCAATGCTCAGGCTGGGCCTTTGTCTGCTGGCTTGTGGAGGGAGGCAGGACAAGCCAGTGACCACATTCCTGCACTCTGGGCTGCCTCCTGTGGGGCCCGTGAGGAAGCGGCAGCCTTCCCTGCCGCGTGCAGGGCCTGGGTTGTGTGGGTGGCTCTCCCGAGTCTCCTCCAGCCCTTTTTGGGTCTGATTCTCTGACCCTCCTCTCTCTCCTTGCTCACCACTTGGCACTCCACTCCTTATCCTTTTGCTGCATTAAGTTTGGAAAGAGATTTTGGAGAAAATATAGCCCATCAACGAATTTCTCCTCCTCCCAGGGCCTGTCTAGGCGTGTGCCATGCCCACCCTCTTCCTTTCCAGCGCTGGCCACATCCTCCCTGCACCTTCAGTGCCTGCTTTCCCTGCCTCTTCCTGGGCTCCGGGTCTGTGTCCACAGTGTCCTGCGTGGCCCTCGCGCTGCCTCTGGTTGCCCACATTCCTGCAACTCTGTGACCACAGCAGGGGCGATTACACATTCCTGGCCTGGCAGCCAACAGTGTAAAAAAGAACAGAATGTCCTAGGGCCCCGCCTAGCCCCCAGCTTCACCTGGGCCCCTCCCGGGTCTGGACAAGGTTGGAGGGGGTGGCGAGGAATCAGCAGGAAAGAGGAGGGACCAGGAGGAGGCAGACGCATCCCACCTGAGTGCGCTGCTCCCACTTAGTGAGCGGGGAGGAGACCTGCAGAGACCTCTTCTCTCTTCTCTGCAGGGCCTGAGGGTGAGGCTGACCTGTGGGTGCCCTTGGAGGGCTGCCCACTTGCTGAGCCTCTAGCTCCTGGAAGCACACTTGGGACTCCCCCCTTGCTCTCCTTCCTGGAGACAGACTCCCTTTGGTGCTGGCTCCTTCTATTTGCCCCCACCACTGCCCCCCACCTGCCTCTACTCACTCAGTGCCCCTCCTCCATCCCTATCTCTCTGTCCTTCGCTGTCCCTCTCTATTGTCTCCCTCTTTCTGCCCTCCTGTCCTCCCGGTTCCCCACCCAGGCCCTCTCAGCCTGGCTGGCCCCTTCTCCTTGTGTTGCCCTCCTAGCTGTGGGCTCAGGATCCTTCTACTTGTTCAGATCTTTGCCCCTCACCTGCCATCCTGTCCCCCAGCCTCCTTGCCTGTCTGCGTCTAAAGCCCCTGCCCAGAGTCCGCCTTCTCAGGTCCAGTACTCCCAGTTCACCTGCCCTCGGGAGCCCTCCTTCCTTCGGAAAACTCCCGGCTCTGACTCCTCCTCAGCCCCTCCCCCCGCCCTGCTCACCTTTAATTGAGATGCTAATGAGATTCCTGTCGCTTCCATCCCTGGCCGGCCAGCGGGCGGGCTCCCCAGCCAGGCCGCTGCACCTGTCAGGTGAGGGGGAGGAGAGGTTTGGCTGCCAGATTCAACTGGAAAGGAACCAGTCCCAGTCCAGCCGCAACCTGGGAGTGGGAAGCTGGAGGCAGCCCAGACCTCCTGGAGCCCTGCAGTCCTGGGGCAGAGACAGAATCAGGACACAGCTCGAGGTCAGGGCCAGAGGCTGGAGCTGAGGGCCTAGAGTGAGAGGGGGCAAGGCAAGGGGGGGAGAGGAAGAGAGGCAGGATTAGAGAGAGGAGGCAGGCCAGAAAGAGGAGAGCAGGAGAGACCCAAAGAGAAACAGAAGGCAGATAGAGAGGGAGTGAGAGGCAGGAGCTGAGACACAGATCCTGGAGGAAGAAGACCAAAGGAAGGGGGCAGAGACAGAAAGGGAGGTGCTAGGACAAAACTCGAAAGGTGGCCCTATCAGGGAAGCAGAGGAGAGGCCGTTCTAGGGAAGCCCAGCTCCGGCACTTTTGGCCCCAACTCCCGCAGGTCTGCTGGCTCCAGGAAAGGTGGAGGAGGGAGGGAGGAGTGGGAGAATGTGGGCGCAGGGTGGGACATGGGCATGGCCAGGGGCAGCCTCACTCGGGTTCCAGGGGTGATGGGAGAGGGCACTCAGGGCCCAGAGCTCAGCCTTGACCCTGACCCTTGCTCTCCCCAATCCACTCCGGGGCTCATGAAGGGGAACAAGCTGGAGGAGCAGGACCCTAGACCTCTGCAGCCCATACCAGGTCTCATGGAGGGGAACAAGCTGGAGGAGCAGGACTCTAGCCCTCCACAGTCCACTCCAGGGCTCATGAAGGGGAACAAGCGTGAGGAGCAGGGGCTGGGCCCCGAACCTGCGGCGCCCCAGCAGCCCACGGCGGAGGAGGAGGCCCTGATCGAGTTCCACCGCTCCTACCGAGAGCTCTTCGAGTTCTTCTGCAACAACACCACCATCCACGGCGCCATCCGCCTGGTGTGCTCCCAGCACAACCGCATGAAGACGGCCTTCTGGGCAGTGCTGTGGCTCTGCACCTTTGGCATGATGTACTGGCAATTCGGCCTGCTTTTCGGAGAGTACTTCAGCTACCCCGTCAGCCTCAACATCAACCTCAACTCGGACAAGCTCGTCTTCCCCGCAGTGACCATCTGCACCCTCAATCCCTACAGGTCGGTTAGTCCCTCTGCCCCTTCCCTGGTGCCTGCGCCTGGAAGGGTGGTCCAGGGTGCTGAGGTGCTCACTGGGCAGGCAGAGCCTCAGACCTGAGGGTGGGAACTGACACCCCTGTCCCAGGTAGAGCTCACTGCTGGCAAAATGAGGAGCCTCCAGCTTACTGGACTGGCGTCCCTGCCCAGTGGAGCCATCCTAGCACCCCAGGCTCACCCAGAGTGTGGTTGTTGGAGCAGCATTGCCCTCCCCTGCCCTCTCTTCTCCTTCCCTCCCATTCCCTTCTCCCTCCTGCAAGTGGGAGGGAGTGCTTGCAAAAGGGCAGGGGTGTGCTCAGCTGCATCCCTTTTCTGGAGCAAGATGCCAGCAAAGTATAAGACCTCGTCCACCTCAGCAGGAGAGTCTGATGGAGGGGTGAGGCTAGGTGAGGGGAGGCGAGACCGTGCAGGTGCTGTGGAGGTGGTGCTGTCAGTCTTTGTTTAGAAGGGGAATTTATTATGGAGAAAGCAAAGAGGGGGATCGTGGAGGTTAGGGCTGCAAGTGAGCCCAAAGGCTGGGGGCAGGGGCCTTACAGAACAAGGAGAATGGGTCAGGCTAGAGAGCAGCTCCTTGTGAAGCTCTTCCCCCAAAAGACCCAGGCTAAAATGCTGCACTGTTGACCTGCCCAGGTGCCTGACCTTTACGTGCTTGGGTGTGTCCTGAACTTTTGGGTTTCATCGGTGCTCTTTGCCAATGTTGGGTCTGGAAACCGGAGCAGGTGGTAAGCGTGGAGAAGAGAGGAGGGCAGGGCTGAGTGCTTTTGTATACCTTTTATTTGTATTCACTCAGCCATGCCACACCTTGGGAACACCTGCTTCAAGCCAGACACAGGGCTAGGCACCTGGCAAAATGGATTCATGAATAATTCATAAGCCCTTTATTGAAGGCCAGGTAGTTTGCTGTGTTGTGGAGACAGATAAAATAAGATAGCAGAGACAGGCATATAAGCCAGTAACTGTGGCACACTGGGATAAGTATGATAAAAATGGTGAGTTAGTGTACCTTCAAGGAGTGCAAAATCTTTATGGGTGTGGGTGTGAGTGTGTGTGTGCACATATTGGTATGTGTGCGATTTTGGATGCTGGGGATTGGTCATGCTGTGGGTGGAGGCCCCTTCGTATATTCCATCATGTCCAAAGGTGCGTTACGGACTAAGAAAGGGTGGGACGTCCTGTCCTGGAGAGAGAGAGAAAAAAAAAAGCCAGGTCATTTCGTTGATTAACGTCTGTATAATGTCCCAGGTAGGGACCATTTCCTTAGGAAGCTGCCGTGTGCACAGACGCTGCGAAGGTGTCTTGGGTATCTCATTTCATTCTCACATCTTACAAGCCCGGTGCTATTGTTATCCCTATTTTACACTTGAGGAAACTAAGGCAAAGAGAGGCAAGTCACAACATCACAGAGAGAGTGACTGAGCTGTGACTCATCCTGTTTACGCCTAATCCCAAAACTCTGCCTCTTTTTAATACCCAAGATGTGGGGCTTTGAGTGAATGAAACTTCCAGTCAGATGTGGCTTCCGCCTCATTTCAGAGCTCTCTTGGGTCCTTCCTCTTAGCCTCATTTTTCTCCCCCTGCTGCCTGCAGACATCTTCACCCCTTTAGGCCTTGGTGGAGGGGAGGGACCCAGCAGGAAGGGGAAGGACAGCAGGCGGGGCAGTGGGCACTCAATAAATATTTGTGGTTGAAAATATGTCAGTGAGAGATGGAAAGGGAGGGCAGGGGTGAATCGGGTGAGGCCTGCACAGTTCTTAGGTTCTGCTGGATGCGGGGCCCTAGACAGTCCAGGAAAAAGCCGGGGAAAGGAAGCCATAAGCCCTGCCTCTGGGGCCTGCAGGCTGGGAGGCAGCCATCTGCCCAGAAAGAATCCCTCCTTCTTGAAGGGCTGCTGTGGGAGTCGGGAGGGAGAGAACACCTAGGAGAGGAGAGGAGTCGGGGAAGGGCTCCCCAGCACAGCGGGAGGAGATGCAACACCCACCAAGCACTACACACTTGACCTTGTAGTCACATTATGTGCTACACCCTAAAGCTGGGTGCTTTATAGACACTCTCTCATTTAATACTGACAAGTCCAGGGAGGTGGGCAGTATTATTCCCATTTTTTTAGATGAGGAAATTAAGGCTTGGCAAGAGGAAATAATTTGAGCAAGGGAACATACATTATTTATTTATTAAATTAAAAAATAACCGCTGGGCATGGTGCCTCACGCCTGTAATCCCAGCACTTTGGGAGGCCAAGGCAGGCATTGAGGGATCTGGGATGGAGCTCAAACAAGGTTGTTTAAAAGAGCCCCTCACTTGAGGCCAGGAGTTCGAGACCAGCCTGGCCATCATGGTGAAACCCCCGTCTCTACTAAAAATACAAAAATCAGCCAGGTGTGGTGGCGCACGCCTGTAGTCCCAGCTACTTGGGAGGCTGAGGCAGGAGAATCACCTCAGGAGGCCGAGGCTGCAGTGAGCCGAGATCACGCCACTGCATTCCAGCCTGAGCCACAGAGTGAGACACAGTCTCAAAGGAAAAAAAAACAATAATAATGTTTGTATATATTTATGGGCCAGACTTTTTACAAATGAATCTAAATCAAATGATTCTGCTTTAAATTATTTAATTCTCACAACACACCTTGGAAGTAGGTCTCATGATGACTCTTATTTTATGGATGAGGAAACTGAGTCCCAGAGAGTTAAGTAACTGCCTCAACTTCAGACAGACAACAAGTGGTGAAACTGGGACTCAAAAATCATCCCCCGCCCCCCGCCCCACCCCCACCCCCACCGTCCACCCTCACCCCCACCCCCCGCCCCCCCGCCACGCTCCAATGGAAAGCCAGGGCATCTCAGGTTAGCAGCTGAGTCACAAACCTAGTGTGTTTGATTTCAAAGCTCTTTTACCCATTACACTTTAAGTAGGGATCAGGCAAAGACCTCCCAGGGTCGGGGGCAGCTGGTGGGAGCCCAGCGGGCAGAGCAGCAGTCATTGGAGGACAATTTGTCAGGCGTGCAGGAGGGAGGGATCCAGGGCCACTCCTACTCAGGAGAGTGGCAGGGAGGTAAACAGGTTAATGAGCCCCTGTGAGTGAATCACCGGGAGCGCAGTGAATGACTCCTACCGAGGAGATCGGTTGATGAGCTAGAGGAACTGGAGTGAGGCAGAGCTGCCCAGGGCTGCCTACCTGCTGAGGGTCGCCACCAGCAGAGGGAGAGGAGGAAAGTGGACATGCAGGACTCTGTGCTGCTTTCTAACTTCAAGGAAAGGGGACAAAGCACTGAAGACCTTTCAGACTAAGCAAGGAAGTGCTGAGTCCGAAGGGAAGGGTTGGCCACTGCAGCCCCTTTCTCTCTGGTCAACAAAGGGCTTCTTCACTGAAAGGAGAGGGCCAGTCATACCTACAGTCATGGAAAACAGAGCCCACAGACATATTTTTCATCCAGTCCCAGGAACGGTTTAGGCTGGACCCAAGAACTTGGGGTTCTTGAACAATGAAGGAGGTCATGGTAGCTTCTTTCCTGGAAATGGCACAGCAGGAGGCCAGGAGTGGGTGAAGCAAGGGGCAGTTTCCCAGAGAGAGCTCCTGTGGGGAGGATGGGAAAGCCCTGAGCTAGGGAGGCCGTCCCTGCCTGTGGTCCCCAGACGTGGCGGGCAGACCCTGCATTCCCTGGGCAGTCTGGACACCAGGCTGTGCTCAGCAGGGCTGGCAGGAAAAAAAGCCTGGACTGTTGAGAGTTGACATCCCTCTAACCCTGCCATGGTGGTTGGATCCTTCTCATCCCAGGTGGGATGGGGCCTAGGCGGCTCCCACGGCTGTTAGGATGAGCATGGGCTCTTCTGTGAGAGGAGGCCACCGGGGTAAGAGGGAGGGAAGAGGAGGAGAGAGCAGAGTGTCAGCCTCCAAGTCTCCCAGGGTCCTTGCACCCTGCTGCTCCGTCCTGGACACGGAAGAGGGGCTAGAGGGGAGAGGGCCAGCTGCAGGGAAAGGAGATTTTGCTGCCTGATCCCAGATGCTTCAGAGCTGGGAGGCAGACACAGTGGAAAAAGCAGGGGCCGTGGAGTGAACAGGCCTGGGTTCACATCTTGGCTCCAGTCCTTCCTGGCTGAGTGACCCTGGGGAATTTGCCTAGTTGATAGGCCTCAGTTTCCTCAACTGTAAAATGGGGATAATAATGCCTGCCCGATGGAATTGTGTAAGGGTTGACTCACCCTCCAATGTAGGGCTGCCTGCCAGAGCAGATGGGAGTGAGGGCAGTGAGCATGACCTGAGGAGGAGGTCAAGGCCAGAAGGGCTGGACTGTCTGGAAGAACCCACTGTGGGCATTCTTTATCCCTTCCCTCCAGCCGCTGGTCTCCTCAAAACAAGATCGGATGTCTTCAATGTGCTTTCTGTTTAGTGGTCAATTCTCTTAGCTCTAGGTGTCAACTCAAAGGCTCTGCCTCCTGCTATAGGAATTTCTAGTATCACGGGGTCATGGAGGGAGAGATTTTTTTTTTTTTTTTTTTTTTGAGACAGAGTCTTGCACTGTTGCCCAGGCTGGAGTGCAGTGGTGGGATCTTGGCTCACTGCAAGCTCCGCCTCCCGGGTTCATGCCATTCTCCTGCCTCAGCCTCCAGAGTAGCTGGGACTACAGGCGCCCACCACCATGCCCGGCTAATTTATCATACTTTTTTAGTAGAGACGGGGTTTCGCCGTGTTAGCCAGGATGGTCTCAATCTCCTGACCTCGTGATCCACCATCCTCGGCCTCCCAAAGTGCTGGGATTATAGGCGTGAGCCACCGCGCCCGGCCATTCCGTCTTATCTTATGCCAAAAAAGAGGAGCAGTAGACCTTTTGGGAGAGTGAAGGTGGGGCCCTATGGAACCCAGCCTCCTCTGGAGGCCTTGTCACAGGTTTGTGTGTGTGGGATCAAGGGCTGGGAGCCCAGGCTGTGCTCAGTGGGGGGGCTCATCAGTGAGGCCAGGCAGGAGGGAGGCGCGTAGGGTGGCAGGAGGGAGGTGCGTAGGGTGGCAGGAGGGAGGTGCGTAGGGTGGCAGGAGGGAGGTGAGTAGGGTGGCAGGAGGGAGGCGTGTAGGGTGGCAGCATGGAGGAGGAAGCCGGGCACAGAGATGGCATGGGGGCTCCCCAGGGGAGAGGAGTGTGGCCAGAGAAGTGACAACCAGATTGAAGTTGGTGATGAGAGAGAGGGAGGGGCAGGAGGCAGAAGGGACTTGAGCCAGCCTGGGGAAGGAGTGGAAAGGGAGGCCCAGCCAGGATGTGGTGGAAATAACTCCAGGCAAGTGGGGGATCTGGATTCTTCCTGTGTGACCTTGAGAAAGGCAAATTCGCTTTCCTGGGCTCCTGGCTCCTCTGTGTCTTCCTGATAGTCGATGGTCTCTTCACTTTGTGTCACTGAGTATTTTCTCACTTAACCCCCCAAGAGCTTCATGCGGTAGGCAGATCTAGTGTTATGCCCATTTTACAGATAAGGAACTCAGACTGAGAGTCAGAAAGGCTGGGTCACTTACCCCGAGTTACACAGACAGAAAGTGTGTGGCTGGAACACCAGGCCCTACATCTCAGAGAGGTTCTGGCTTGGGTGCTCTTTCTGGGGCACCATGTGGCCCTCCTAAAATAGCCAGAGGTAGCAGGGACGGACCAGAGGGCAGTGTGGTGGTTGGAGTGCTGTCTGACCCATTTGCTAGCTGTGCCAACTGGAATAAGTCATCATGCCTCAGGTTTTTCACCTGGAAAAGGGAATGACAATTGTGTTAGCTAACAGTGGCTAACGGTATACTGTGTTACACTGAAGATTAAATCATGTTAAATAAGTTTTAGCCTAAAGTTGCCTCTTTACATTTTTAAAGTTTGTCCTAAAGGTTTCTTCATGCATAGTGAACTGCCACCTAACTAGATATGTAAACACACTATAACCTACCTTTATAGCAATCACAGAGTTTTGGCCAATGAAAGGCAGCCCACTTGTCAAACCTTGTCCAAATAAGGCAAACGCCGGGGGTGTAACCAATCCGGGTGTTTCTGTACCTTACTTCCGTTTTCTGTGGGTCACTTTCCTTTTCCTGTCCACGAATATTATCGAATCATGCAGCAGCCCCCAGAGTCACTGTGAATCTATTCTGGTTGGGGGCGGGGGGCACTCGATTCGAGGTTCATTGTTTGCTCAGTGAAACTCAAGTTAAATTTAATTTGTTTAAAGTTTTTCTTTTAACAATTAAATAATGTACATTCTAATACCACAGTGCCTGGCTCATAATAAGTGCTCGATAAACGCTAGCTATGCTTGCCATTCTTTTAATTATAAATAACGAGCAAGTCTCTTAGAATGCCAAACACACCTTCAACCAGAGCTACATTTTCTCCTGTGAGAAGTTCAGGGGCTGCCAGAGCTGATGCCTAAGGCCCAGCCAGCTAGACTTTTCTGGTAGAGATGGAAATAGAGCTGAATGGAAGAGGAAGTGAAGATCTGGACTAGACGGTGGTTAATGTAGCTGCACGTTAGGACCACGTGGGGGCTCTTTCAAACAACCTTGTTCTGGCTCCAGCCCAGACCCATTAAATCTGAATCTGGCAAGTAAGACCCTGCACTGGTATTTTTTTCTTTAAGTGAGGCATAATTGATGTACAATAAAATGAACAAATCTTGAGTGCCCACTCAGGTTTGACAGTCGAGATGTTGAACACTCCCATTACCCGGTGCCCCCTTTCCATCAATTCCTCTTCCTCTCCCACTGTCATTTTCTGAATGCTATCTCTATCAACTGGTTTTGTCTGTTCATAGAATTCGTATAAATGGGATCATACAGTATGTATTTTCTTGTATGTGTGTCTGACTTATTTTGCTTAATGTTTCTGGAATTCTTCCCTGTGTTTTTTGCACGTATCAGTTCCTTTTTATTGCTGAGTGGTTTTGATGAGCCTATTCTGGTTGAGGGGCTGCCTGATTTGAGCATCGTTCTTTGCTCAAGTCAACTCTGTTAAATTTAATTTTGCCTAACGTTCTTCTTTTAACAATTAAATAATGCACATTCTAATACCATAGTTCCTGGCTCATAGTAAGTGCTCAATAAATGCTAGCTATGATTGCCATTCTTTTTTATTTTTTTAAGACAGGGTCTTGCTCTGTTGCCCAGGCTGGAGTGTAGTCACACGATCACGGCTCACTGTAGCCTCAAACTCCCAGGATCAGGCAATTCTTCTGCCTCAGTCTTCTGAGTAGCTGGGACTACAGGTGTGCACCACCACATCTGGCTAATTTTTGTATTTTTTGTAGATACAAGGTTTCGTCGTGTTGCCCAGGCTGGTCTCAAACTTCTGAGCTCAAGTGATCCACCCACTTGGCCTTCCAAAATTCTGGAATTACAGGTGTGAGCCACCATGCCCCGCAGATTACCATTCTTTTAATTAGCAGTAATGAGCAAGTTTTCTAGAATGCCAAACACACACCTTCAACACACCTTTGAGTTGCTTCAGGCTTTTTGGCTATTATAAATAAAATGGCTATGAACATTCATGTACAAATCTTTTTCTTTTTTTTTTTTTTGAGATGGAGTTTCGCTCTGGTTGCCCAGGCTGGAGTGCAATGGCGAGATCTTGGCTCCCTGCAACCTCCGCCTCCCGGGTTCAAGCGATTCTCCTGCCTCAGCCTCCCGAGTAGCTGGGATTACAGGCATGTGCCACCACGCCCGGCTAATTTTGCATTTTTAGTAGAGACAGGGTTTCTCCATGTTGGTCAGTCTGGTCTCGAACTCTTGACCTCAGGTGATCCACCCACCTTGCCCTCCCAAAGTGCCGGGATTACAGGTGTGAGCCACTGCACCCAGCCTCATGTACAAATCTTTATGTTCTAATGTGTTTCGGGTGCGGCCTAAACACCGTAAATTAAACACAGCTCACTGTAAATCCCTACATTCCTTCTTAATATGTTCATCAATTGATGGACATTTGGGTTATTTCTACTTTTTGGCTATTAGAAATAATACTGGTATGAACATTTGTGCACATTTGTGTGTGTATGTTGTGGGGGCATATGCTTTCATTTCTCTTAGGAGTGGAATGGATGGGTTATATGGTAACTCTATATCTAACTTTTTGAGGAACTTCCAGATTGTTTTCCAAAATGATCGTATCATTTTATATTCTCACTAGCTGTGTACAGGGTCAGAATCTTTTAAAAATGTAGGTCTGTTCGGCTGGGCGTGGTGGCTCACGACTGTAATCCCAACACATTGGGAGGCCGAGACGGGCGGATCACGAAGTCAGGAGATCGAGACCATCCTGGCTAACATGGTGAAACCCCGTCTCTACTAAAAATACAAAAAATTAGCCGGGCGTGGTGGCACGCACCTGTAGTCCCAGCTACTAGGGAGGCTGAGGCAGGAGAATGGCGTGAACCCGGAGGCGGAGCTTGTGAGCCGAGATCACGGCACTGCACTCCAGCCTGGGCAATTGAGACTCCGTCTCAAAAAAAAAAATGTAGGTCTGTTCATAAAGTGCCTACTACATACGGTTGTTCTAGGGATTATTTGTTAGATATTTTTCTTACAAGAGAATTTTGCCTACCCCAAGGTCAGGAAGATATCTTCCATCTTCTAGAGTGTTTATGGTTCTGAATTTCATGTTTACGTTATGATCCATCTTGAATTAATTTTTGCCTGTATAGCATAAGGTAGAGATTGAGGGTCATTTTTTTTCCAATACAGTATTCAGTTGTTCTAGCAGAACCTGCTAACAAATTTTATTTTCTACACTGAATTGAATTGGTGTTTTGGCCAAAAATCAGTTGACCATCTATGCATGAGTTTATTTCTGGACTCTATTCTATTCCATTGATCTATTGTCTCTCCTTACCAAGAACCGCATTGTTTTGATTACTGTGGCTTTATAGTAAATACTAAAGTCAGGAGGAATACATTTTCCAACTTGGCTCTTCTTTTCTAAAATTTTCTAGCTATTCTAGATTGTTTGCATTTCCAGATAAGTCTTAGAAGCAGTATGTCAATTTCTTTAAAAATACCTGCTGGGGCCGGGTGCAGTGAGTGGCTCACGCCTGCAATCCCAGCACTTTAGGAGGCTGAGGCTGGTGATTGCTTGGGCTCAGGAGTTGGAGTCCAGCCTGGGCAACGTGGTGAAACCCCCTCTCTACAAAAAATATAAAAATTAGCTTGGTGTGGTGGCACACTTTTGGTCCCAGCTACTAGGGAGGCTGAGGCGGGAGGATTGCTTGAGCCCAGGAGGAGGCTGCAGTGAGCGGCGATTGTGTCACTGCACCCCAGCTTGGGTGACAGAGCAAGATCCTGTCCAAAAAAAAAAAAAAAGCTGGAATTTTGATAGGGATTGTGTTGAATCCATATATATATATATCTCCACTTATTCTGATCTTTGATTTATTTCAGCAGGGATTTCAATATATTTTTCAGTCTTGCACATCTTTTGTTACATTTATTTCTATGTATTTGATGTTGTTTATGTTATTTAATATTGCTGTTGTATTTCTGGTTTTCCAATTTTCTGTTGCCAGCATGTAGAAATGCAATTAATTTCTTTTTGAGACGGAAATGCAATTAATTTTTTTTTTTTTTTGAGACGGAGTCTCGCTCTGTCTCCCAGGCTGGAGTGTAGTGGCGCGATCTCGGCTCACTGCAAGCTCTGTCTCCCGGGTTCACACCATTCTCCTGCCTCAGCCTCCCGAGTAGCTGGGACTACAGGCGCCCGCCACCAAGCCCGGCTAATTTTTTGTATTTTTTTTTTTTAGTAAAGACGGGGTTTCACCGTGTTAGCCAGGGTGGTCTCGATACCCTGACCCCGTGATCTGCCCACCTCGGCCTCCCAAAATGCTGGGATTACAGGCGTGAGCCACCACACCCGGCCTAAATGCAATTAATTT
Organism: Homo sapiens; assembly: GCF_000001405.40. Classification (NCBI taxonomy): domain Eukaryota; kingdom Metazoa; phylum Chordata; class Mammalia; order Primates; family Hominidae; genus Homo; species Homo sapiens. The sequence continues at coordinate 6,364,457 of NC_000012.12, read as the reverse complement.
TTTTTGTGTATTTGTTGTGTACCCTGCAACCTTGTTCAGTTTGTTAGTTCTATATTTGTTTTGTTTTGGTAGATGACATCCCTCAGGCCCTGCTACTCTGGACTTTCATGATGGAGATGGTAATAGGAATTGTATTAAGAAGGAATGTAGGGATTTACAGTGAGCTGTGTTTAATTTACGGTGTTTAGGCCGCACCCGAAACACATTAGAACAGTCTTTGGAGGAGGGAGGCGGGGTGGGTGGGGCATCCTGTATTTTTAGAGTTGGAGATTCTAAAAGTTCAGTTGTGAACTCTTGATTTCGGTGCCAAGCGGCACTCAAGCCGAAAGGCCACCGACACTCGCCTGCGGGGATCAGGGCGGGATGACCTGGGTACCGCGGTCACGCCAAGGCCGAGGCCCTCACCCTTCCCCTCTTTGGGAAAGGGCAGACAAGTTCCGGGTTCCCTTCTAGGTCCGGGCGAGGGGGAGAGCGCCCCACAGACGACAGGCGCCTCCTGCCTCTCTCCTTCAATAAACAGTCCACAGTGTCCCGGCTGGGCTCGCCGTGGCCTCCGCCTTCCCGGCGGACACACCTGTTTACCCTTCACCGCCGGACGGCCAGGAGGCGCCACGACGACCCCAGCCCCGCCCAGGCTTCTCCGGGATGGACCGGCCTCCCGGGGCACAGATGAGGACCCTGACCCCGGAGGGGCCAGACACTCGCTCCAGGGCCCCTGGCCTGACCCTCTTCCCCTCGCCCCTTCAGGTACCCGGAAATTAAAGAGGAGCTGGAGGAGCTGGACCGCATCACAGAGCAGACGCTCTTTGACCTGTACAAATACAGCTCCTTCACCACTCTCGTGGCCGGCTCCCGCAGCCGTCGCGACCTGCGGGGGACTCTGCCGCACCCCTTGCAGCGCCTGAGGGTCCCGCCCCCGCCTCACGGGGCCCGTCGAGCCCGTAGCGTGGCCTCCAGCTTGCGGGACAACAACCCCCAGGTGGACTGGAAGGACTGGAAGATCGGCTTCCAGCTGGTGAGGCCCGCAGCGCCGAGGGGCCCGCCCCGCCCCTCGCCGGCCCCTGGCCCCGCCCACCCATGGGCTCCGCTCCTTTCCTGACCCGCCCGCGCAGCCCAGTGACACCACGCGGGGCCTCGTGGGCTCGCGGGCAAAAAAAAAAGTAAATAAATACAAATAATAACTAGATAATTAAAATAACACCTCTTGGTGCCCAAGCTTTTGGGGCCTCCTCCCTGGGGTCCTATGTAGAAGCATTTCAGGGGTAGGAAGTCAAATTTATTATGGAAAATGAACTTTTATTATTATTATTATTATTATTGTTTTACTGTTTCTGGTCCTTGATTCAGGAAGGAAAATGCAACTTTCTGAATTCCAGTGCCCACTAGTGGGACTCAGTTAGGACCCTCCAGCGTGATGGAGAACTGGGCTAACAGCCCAAGATAGAGAATAAGGAGACAGTAAAAAAAGGAAACTTAGCTGGGGGCGGTGGCTCATGCCTGTAATCCCAGCACTTTGGGAGGCCTAGGCGTGCAGATCACCTGAGCCCAGGAGTTTTAGACCAGCCTGGTCAACATAGTGAAACCCCATCTCTACAAAAAAAAAATACAAAAATTAGCCCATGTGGTGGCACAAGCCTGTAGTTCCAGCTACTTAGGAGGCTGAGATGGGAGAATTGCTTGAACTCGGGAGATGGAGACTGCTGTGAGCCTTGATCACACCACTGTACTCCAGCCTGAGTGACAGAGTGAGCTCGTCTGCCAAAAAAAAAGAAAGAAAGGAGCAAGGGAAAATGAGGGAGGAGCCAAGGAAAGGAGACAGGGAAGTTCCCATTAGTAAGAGTGGGCTGGGGACTGGAGTCCTAGTCCCAGCTCTTGCTGGGACAAATCTCTTGATCCCTCAGTCTTCCCATCAGTGAAATGGGAGGGAAAGTCTTGCTCCTTCCACCCTAGGCAGGGGAGGTATAAATGAACCAAAACCGTGTGTGTGCAGCTACTGGTCTCCTTTCCTGGCCTGCAACTCCCTTAATCCCATGCTCCCCTGGTCCATGCTCCTAGGGACTTCTGCTTCTCTTCCACTTCTGTCTTTCCCCACTCCTGGCTTCCGACTCCTGTCCGTCAGTCCTCAGAACCCCAGATCACTCATTCTTTGCCCTTGGCCCTGCCAAGGGGCTTATCCCCGGCTGCGTGTCCCCTCTGACTCTAGTCTCTGTGTCCAGTGCAACCAGAACAAATCGGACTGCTTCTACCAGACATACTCATCAGGGGTGGATGCGGTGAGGGAGTGGTACCGCTTCCACTACATCAACATCCTGTCGAGGCTGCCAGAGACTCTGCCATCCCTGGAGGAGGACACGCTGGGCAACTTCATCTTCGCCTGCCGCTTCAACCAGGTCTCCTGCAACCAGGCGTGAGTCAGTCCTGCCTGGCTCCTTGCTCTCCGCGGGGTCCGCTTCCCTGGGTCAGCCTCACGCCCTGCATGGGCAGGGCCCAGGAAATGCTTGTTGACTAAAAAAATGCCAGTGCCAGCAGGCCAGGGGGAAGCACTGGCTTTGGGCCCACACCCTGCCCCAGAGAGCGCCCTACGAACTCCTGCTGCTCCCTGCACTGCTGGATCTGAGGGAAGTGGCCTCACAGGATGCCTTGGGAAGACTGGGGCTTTGAGAAACCAAAGGCTGGAAGCATGGATCTTGGTCTTTTTTGTTTTTCTTTTTTTTGAGATGGAGTTTTGCTCTTGTTGCTCAGGCTGGAGTGCAATGGCGCGATCTCGGCTGTCTGCAACCTTCACCTCCTGGGGTCAAGCAATTCTCCTGCCTCAGCCTCCTGAGTAGCTGGGATTACAGTCATGCGCCACCACGCCTGGCTAATTTTTTTATTTTTAGTAGAGACGTTGGTCAACGTCCATGTTGGTCAGGCTGGTCTCCAACTCCTGACCTCAGGTGATCTGCCTGCCTTGGCCTCCCAAAGTGCTGGGATTACAGGCGTGAGCCACCATGCCTGGCCAGGGTCTTGGTCTTTCTAAGGCCCCTTTCTCCCTAGCATCAAAGCTCAAAAGGGCCTAGGAGATCATCTGTCTCATACTCTGTTCCCTGAGCTGAGGCTGGCAGTAGTAGTGAGGTGGAGTGGCATGGGTTGAGGGACTAAACCTAAGTTCCCACTCTAGCTCTGTCACTTCCTGGCCAGGTGACTCTGGATGTATCACATCATCCTTCAGAGCCTATTTCTTAGATTGTAAAATGGAAGTAAAACAAAAAATGAGATTCATTCAGTGTTCGTTCAACAAATAGTTTTGACTATCTGGGCTATGTGCCAGTCACTGTTCTAGGCATTTGGACTACATCAAAGGAAAAACTATATAATCCATGCTCCTTTGGCACTTTTACTCAAGTGACGAAGATGATGACGATAACACTCATCTCAAGAGCTGTACCAAGTGTGTGAGATACAAACGTGAGGGCACTTTATAGACCACAGTAAATGATGGGTTTCATTACTCTTGTACTCAAACAGGTGAAGTGACTTGCCCTTGGGAATGGGCCGGCCCTGGCTAAGGATTCTTCCCACCCCACTACCCCTCGGGTATTCATTCTGTGAGGACCCCTGTTATAATGTCCTTGCAAGCAGCTCATAGCAGCTGCAGGTTCTCTGAGGGCTGGGAGAGGCTGAGGCGAGGGGGGGGTCCCCTTCTGTAACCTCTGGCCCCCTCCTCCCCTGCCTTCTCCTCCTGCTCGTTTATTTTCCGGAGCCATCTCCCTGCCTCTGCCTGGCTCCACTCTACAGGGGGCATTCCCTCCCCTGTTGCTGAAGAATGGCCACAGGGCAAGGTGTCACTTCTTACCCTTCACACACACTCTGCCCAGTACACGATTTTGTTCTGTTTTTAGTCTTTGCATTTGTTTGAGGACAGAAACTACCAGCTGGGAAGTAAGATGGTAGCAACACCTAAGCCTGAGTCCGCCCACACCTGTCACCAAGTTCCTCTAACTGTCACCTGGACACCTGTGCTTTCCCTATGCCCTCACCCGATGCCTCCCTTTGCTCTGTGTGCCTGCCTCCCCATCAACAGAAAGTCCATGGACACCTGTGCTTTCCCTATGCCCTCACCCGATGCCCTCCCTTTGCTCTGTGTGCCTGCCTCCCCCTCAACAGAAAGTCCATGGTTCATCTTTATCTTGGCACTTAGGCGCTTAGGTCAGCTCAGAGCCTCATTGCTCGCCTGGGTTGTTATACCCACCACTCCACCCTACTGCGTTCTTTTGCCTCCAAATCCTCCCTTCCTTCTGCAACTACAGGAACCTTTGTACTTCAACCTTACTTCACGTCACCACATGTAACTATTCCAGTTAGTCCTGTGTGTTAGTCCATTTTGTGTTGCTATAAAGGAATATCTCACCGGGCACGGTGGCTCATGCCTGTAATCCCAGCACTTTGGGAGACCGAGATGGGCGGATCACCTGAGGTCAGGAGTTAGAGATCAGCCTGGCCAACATGGCGAAACCCCATCTCTACTGGAAATATAAAAATTAGCCGGGTGTGGTGGCACACATCTGTGGCCCCAGCTACTCAGGAGGCTGAGGCAGGAGGATTGCTTGAACCCAAGAGGTGGAGGTTGCAGTGAGCCGAGATCGCACCACTGCACTCCAGCCTGGGCGACAGAGCAAGACTCCATCTGAAAAAAAAAAAAAAAAAAAAAAAAGGAATATCTGAGTCTGGGTAATTTATAAAGGAAAGAGGTTTAATTGGCTCAGGGTTCTGCAGATTGTACAAGCATGGCACCAGCATCTGCTCAGCTTCTGGGGAGGCCTCAGGAAACTTTTACTCATGGTAGAAGGGGAGGAGAGGGGGCAAGAGAGAGAGAGACCAGGCACTTTTAAACAACCAGCTATCGGGTGAACTAATTAATAGTGTGAGGATTCACTCATTACTGTGAGGAGGGCACCAAGCCATTCAAGAGGGACCCACCCCTGTGACCCAAACACCTCCCAGCTAGGATCACCTCCAACATGGGGGATCACATTTCAACATGAGACTTGGAGGGGACAAACATCCAAACTGTATCCTCCTGTTTAAAATCGTTCAGTGTCTCTCACGGCCTCCAGCATCAAGTTGGTACTCCTTAGCATGGCTTTCTCACCCCTTTCCTCCCCGATAACTACACCCTTTTCCCCCACCCTATAATCTTTTTTTAATAACACTTTTATTGAGATATAATTTACAAACCATAAATGTATTCTTTTAATATGTATAATTTAGTGATTTTTAATATATTTGGAGTTGTGTAACCATTACCACTACCTGTTTTTAGAATATTTTCCTTACCCCAAAAAGAAACCCTGTACCCATTAGCAGTTCTTCCCCATTTTCTCCCCTCCTCCAAGCCCTGAGAGCCACTCTTCTGCTTTCTGTCTCTATGGATTGCCTGTGGTGGACATTTCACATAAGTGGAATCATACAATATGTGGTCTTTTGTGAGTGGCCTCTTTCATTTAGCATAACGTTTTCAAAGCTTATCCATGTTGTAGCATGGATCAGAACTTCATTTTTATGGCTGAATACTATGATATTGTGTAGATACACCACCTTTTTTTTTTTTTTTTTTTTGAGACAGGTTCTCACTCTGTTACCCAGGCTGGAGTACAGTGGCACAATCAGACCTCACTGTAGCTTTGATTTCCTGGGCTGAAACGATCCTCCTGATTCAGCCTCCCAAGTAGCTGGGACTACAGGCTCATGCCACCATGCCCAGCTAATTTTTTTTAATTTTAGTAGAGACTAGGTCTCACTATGGTGCCCAGGCTGATCTCGAACTCCTGAGCTCAAGCCATCCTCCTGCCTCGGCCTCCCAAAGTGCTGGGATTATAGGTGTAAGCCACCACGCCCGGCCCACATTTTTGCTTATCCATTCTCAGTTGATGGACATTTGGATTGTTTCTACTTTTTGGCTGTTATGATTAATGCTGCTATGAACATTCCTGTACATGTTTTTGTGGATCCTGTACATGGATCTATGTTTTTATTTCTCTTGGGTGTTTACCTATGAGTGGAACTGCTGGGTCATGTGGTAACTCTATATTTAACATTTTGAGGAGCTACCAGACTTTTCCAAATGGTCACACCATTTAACATTCCCAACAGCAATGTATGAAGGTTCTAAATTCTCTACCTCCTCCTCATGCTGTTGTCTGTCTTTTTGACTTTAGCCATCTTAATGAATCCCTGTAATCGTACTAGTGAGCTAATACAGCTCTTACTAAGGCTAGACACCATTCTAAGCATAATTTCATGCTCAACACCCCTGTGAGGTTGATATTTTTATTATCCCCATTTTACAGCTGAGGAAACTGAGGTACAGAGAGATTAAGTAAGTAACTTGTTTGGTCCCACATCTAATACTTGTTAGAGCCCCAGGATTCAAATACAAGGAATTTAATTCTGGAGTCTGTGCTCTTTTTTTTTCTTTTGGAGACGGAGTTTCACTCTTACTGGCCAGGCTGGAGTGCAATGGCGCAATCTCAGCTCATGACAACCTCCACCTCCCAGGTTCAAGTGATTCTCCTGCCTCAGCTTCCTGAGTAGCTGGGATTACAGGCATGTGCCGCCGTGCCCGGCTAATTTTGTATTTTTAGTAGAGATGGGGTTTCACCATGTTGGCCAGGCTGGTCTCAAACTCCTGACCTCAGGTGACCCCACCCGCCTCGGCCTCCCAAAGTGCTGGGATTACAGGCGTCAGCCACTGCGCCTGGCTGAGTCTGTGCTCTTAACCATCACATTATACTGATTCTCATAGGCCACTATAGTAATGTGCTTAGTGTGTATCTCTATGTGTTTTTGCAAAATCTGTATTTAATTTATATAAATGGTATTGTGTTATAGATCTCATTTCACCTCTTACTATTTTTTTTTTTGAGACAGAGTCTCGCTGTAGTGTGCAGTGGTGCAATCTCAGCTCACTGCAACCTCCCAAGTTCAAGCGATTCTTCTGCCTCAGCCTCCCGACTAGCTGAGATAATAGGTGCCCACCACCACGCCTGGCGAATTTTTGTATTTTTGGTAGAGACGGGGTTTCACCATGTTGGCCAGGCTGGTCTCAAACTTCTGACTTCAACTGATCCACCTGTCTCAGCCTCCCAAAGTGTTGGGATTACAGGCGTGAGCCACTGTGCCCCACCACTTTTTTTTTTCGAAGCTCTATGTTTTAAAACCCATCCGTGTTTCTCCACCGCTGATGGAACTTGTGCCTGCTTTCCATGGGGGCAGCACCCACCATTATACTTGTCCCCTCTCTGTGTGCGAAGGGCTCACCAGCCTTCAGGACTGGCCACCTCTGTAGCCTCTCCTTCAGTCCTTCCCTGCATCTAGCCTGGGCTCTAGAAGTGCTGACTTCCCAGTACATCCTAGAATGTGCACCAGTATGTCACGCCTCTGTGCCTTTGTTCTTCAAGGCCAGTGGAATATCCCGGATCACCTAGTTCCAATCTCCTCATTTTACAGAATCATCCTACATTTTACAGAGGAGGAGAATAAGCTTAGAAACAATGACCTGCTTGAGACCGTACAACCAGAACCCCACCCTTTATCTCTGGCCAGCCTCTTCTCCCTCTTCTCTTTAGTCCTCCTCTGCTGCTCACTGGCCGAAGTCCCCTTTCCGTCTTTGCCTGGCTCCCGTCGCTAGCTCCAAGATGGCAGGGTAGCAGAACACAGATCCTCTCTGTGCCGTGTGGCACATGTGCTGTGCTACAACCCACACAGCCTCCCTGTTCTGGAACCTGTGATTTGCTGTGAAATTGCAGTCCTACTGCAGCTGTGTTGCCTCTGTGATTGCTTTCTCTCTGTCCCCACACCTGTCACAGATGAGTTTTGGACCTACCATTCTGAGACATACTGATGCAAGAGGCTCCCAGGAAACACTTGGTACTGATCTTCCTCCCCTCAGCTCCGTGCTCACCACTGGTCACACTTTCTCCTTTAACCCTGCTCCCCTCCTCCCCTTCATTCATTCATTCATTCATTCATTCATTCATTCCTCACTCAACAACTATTTATTAATCATCTCCTCTATCTCCTAGATGACAGGATCTATGCAACTAACCCAGAGATGACACAGAGATGAATGAGATGTGGCTCCTGTCATCAAGGAGCTCATGATTCAATGGGGAACTAACACTTAGATGCATGGGCAGTTAGGGACATGCAAGAATCTTTGTAATGCAACAAGAGAGAAGTTACAAGGCAGCACGGAAGTCAATGCCGGTGAACCCAGATGGCCTGGTGAGAGGAGCCTGGACTAGAAGGTAGATGTGTGACCTTGGGCCAGCTGTTTGAGCTCTCTGAGCCTTAGCTTCCTCCTCTGTGATATGAGGATGAGACTCTCACAGGCTGTTGGTTGGAGTGACTGAGGGAGTGTGAGTAAAGCTCTCAGCATTGTGCCAGCACATAGTAGGTGATCAGGAAACAAATGGCTCTGAAAGGCACAAGTCCTGTAGGAGTTTAAGAGAGTGGACATTTCTCTCTGCCTCATCTCCCTATTCCCTGCACCACCTACACTTTCCTCTCTGACCCTACTCTCTCTTTCCTGATAAGGAATTACTCTCACTTCCACCACCCGATGTATGGAAACTGCTATACTTTCAATGACAAGAACAACTCCAACCTCTGGATGTCTTCCATGCCTGGAATCAACAACGGTGAGAAGCTCCCTGCTTGCTCCATGGCGCCCTCTGCTTCAGCCACTCACCTGTACTTACCTTGAGCTCACCTCCTAGAGCTGCTGGGAGGGGTCCTGCCTGCTGTCTCTCCCCAATAGGTGCCACATAGTCCGTTCCAGGCATGAGAGGAATCCCGTCCCAGGTCTTCCTCCTGCCTCCAGATTCCAGCTCAGGGGTTGCCAGGTCCCTTTGCGGGTCTTCCTGAACTTGCTTCTCTTGCAGCTTTAGAGACTGGGCAAGGAAGGGAGAGTGGATTTCCATCTCCTAACTCTTTTCTAGGATTCCCGCCTCTGCCAACTCTGCTCTCTCTGCACCCCTAGGTCTGTCCCTGATGCTGCGCGCAGAGCAGAATGACTTCATTCCCCTGCTGTCCACAGTGACTGGGGCCCGGGTAATGGTGCACGGGCAGGATGAACCTGCCTTTATGGATGATGGTGGCTTTAACTTGCGGCCTGGCGTGGAGACCTCCATCAGCATGAGGAAGGCAAGGATGCTGACTGGGAGGCCTGGAAGGAGCGCCTCAGATTGCAGAGGGGCAGCGGGGAGGCATGGGAGGCTGGAGAGGGAGAGCATGTGGGGTGGGCCTTGAGCATGTGGAGGTCTTCAGGAGCAGGAATGAGGGGCAGAGGGGCTGGCACTGGGAAGTAAAGCCCTGCAGGGTGGACCCTGGGGGACAAGTGCTGAGAAGGCATTCAAGGCATGCTTAGGGTTTCTGGGGATGCTCTGGGCCTAGTGGCCTTGAAATGAGCAGTGGGTGGGCATGGGGGTGGCTGGAAGCATGTATTGAGAGGGCGAGGCCAGTAGGAGGGGCTGGCAGGTGTGAGATACAACCTGGAACTGAGGGAAGGCAGAGAACCCAGAGGCACTTGCTCTGTCCTCTGATCTCTTGGTGTATGTGGGTTCATAGGAAACCCTGGACAGACTTGGGGGCGATTATGGCGACTGCACCAAGAATGGCAGTGATGTTCCTGTTGAGAACCTTTACCCTTCAAAGTACACACAGCAGGTGAGGCCCAACCTGATTCCGTGGCAGCCACTCCCAGCCACTGCCCTGGCTGGCCCTGCAAAGCTGGAGGGGTTGTGTATGTGAGAGAGAGAGAGGGAAACTGGGGGGTGGTGGAAAGAGGATGGAGGCTCTGTGCAGAGAACTGCTGAGTTCAGGCCTGAACCCCCTCTCCTCTCCACCCTCCTCCCTTCCAGGTGTGTATTCACTCCTGCTTCCAGGAGAGCATGATCAAGGAGTGTGGCTGTGCCTACATCTTCTATCCGCGGCCCCAGAACGTGGAGTACTGTGACTACAGAAAGCACAGTTCCTGGGGTGAGACTCCAGGGAGCCCCCACCCTGCCCCACTGACCCCAGTACTCACTGAGGCACTTTTTCCTCTCAGTCCCCTGTTTGTGGGGATGACTTCTGGCTCCCACCTGCTGGGATGAATCCTTCCTTGCTCTTGTTTTTCAGCCTTTAGTCTCTGCCTCTGTCAGTTTCCCTCTCCCTCAGTCTCTCTCTCTTTTTTTCTATTTTTTTGAAATGGAGTCTCGCTCTGTCACCCAGGCTGGAGAGCAGTGGCGCGATCTCGGCTCACTGCAAGCTCCACCTCCCGGGTTCCCACCATTCTCCTGCCTCAGCCTCCTGAATAGCTGGGACTACAGGCACCCGCCACCACGCCCAGCTAATTTTTTGGTATTTTTAGTAGAGACGGGGTTTCACCCTGTTAGCCAGGATGGTCTCAATCTCCTGACCTCATGATCCACCCGCCTCGGCCTCCCTCTCTCTTCTATCTCTGTTCCTCCCTCTCAGTGTTGCAGTCTCTCTGTTTTGGCCTTTGTGTGTTTGTCAAGGAATTGTCCCATTTAAAAACAACCTGCAGGCCGGGCGCGGTGGCTCACGCCTGTAATCCCAGCACTTTGGGAGGCCACGGCGGGCGGATCACGAGGTCAGGAGATGGAGACCATCCTGGCTAACACGGTGAAACCCCGTCTCTACTAAAAATACAAAAAATTAGCCGGGCGAGGTGGCGGGCGCCTGTAGTCCCAGCTACGTGGGAGGCTGAGGCAGGAGAATGGTGTGGACCCGGGAGGCGGAGCCTGCAGTGAGCTGAGATCACGCCATTGCACTCCAGCCTGGGTGACAGCGAGACTCGGTCTCAAAAAAAAATAAATAAATAAAATAAATAAATAAAAATAAAAATAAAAACAACCTGCAGCAGAAGGAAGGAAGAGCACGTGAGAAAACCTCCAGCGGTTCCTCAATGGCTCCTAAGGTTTCAGTGCATGCTCTGCCCACAGCTTCCCTGCTCAGTGCCCAGGGCGCTTAGCTGGGCAGGCTCTGGAGGGGCTGGGTGGGGTACACAACACTTCCCTGGGGAGCAGGAAGAAAATATTAGAAGATACATGGGTCTGTCTCATTCCTTCACATTTTCCATCTTATGTGCTTTAGAATGGACATACTGTATCCATTCAATAGTAGAGGTATATAATTTATAAATCAAATACATGTATTGGACCTGTTTAAGATTTTTTTTTTAACTGAACAAGGGCACAATCAGTAAAGTTTGGAGCACCTTGGAATCTCCTCCTTATCCTGGTATAGGACTAGACAAATCTCTTTCCTTTTGACTACAGTTGAGTTGTTTGGCAGGGAAGTCGTGTGCCAGGAAGCTGAGAGAGAAAGAAAATCACAAAAAGAAAATATGTAAGCTGCAAGGGTTTGCATTCCTGGAGTTCATGCTCTTCCCTGGCACAGCTGGCCTGTTCCCCCTGCAGTTCCTCCTCCCAGGGCTCTCCCCTGGGCCCAGCTGTCCCACAGGGTGGGCGGAGGGCCATCACGGGAGGGGACATGGTAGTGGGCACTGGAGACACAGAGGCCCTCAAAGGCAGCGGATTGTCTCACCCCAGAGTTCAGCGTCCATCCCTACCTTGTTCCTGTCTGTGGTGACTTTTCCACTTCTGTCCTTCCCTGGGCTGGCTCCGCAGTTCTCTTCTGCCTGGACTTTCCAGTCGTGGCCTCCTGGTTCCTGTCTCTCTGACCTTAGAGGATTGTAGCACATCAGAACTGGGGGAAACCCAAAGGCCATCTGGCCTCATCTCCTGTCTCAGATGAGCAAATTAAGGTCCAGGGGGAGGATGTGACACGTCCCAGGGTATACAGAACTGGGATGGAGGAGATGCCACCTGTGATTTCTCCCTCCCCTCAAATAATTATTTCTACTTTGTGGGTTTGCACATCTGTGAGTGAAAAATAACAATATTGATTGCTGAGAAGTTGTGAGGATGAGAGAGGAAGTAAGGCTAAAAGCACAGTCTGTTGCATTTCCTAGGGCTTACTTCCCCGGAGAAGAGGGCCAGCTGCTTCCCCTTCTTCCTAAAGATCTCCAGCCCTGGTAGGGATTTGGGTCAGAAATGAAGAAGGACTTCAGACTGAGGAACTAAAAGTAGCAATAATGACAAAATAACCTTACTTAGAATTTGGGAAATAGGGGAGGAGGTGAATCTACAGTTCCATTATTATTATTATTATTTTGGTAATAGCTTTATTGAGATAATTTATATCCCATACATTTCACTCATTTAAAGCATACAGCTTCATTTTAGTCAAATTTTAGTTTTAATTTTACGTTTTAAGTATAGTCCCAGAGTTGTGCAATCATCATATAATCAGTTTTGGAATATTTTTAGTGTTCCCAAAAGAAACCCTGTACTCACTCAAGCCAGGCACAGTGGTTCATGCCTGTAATCGCAGCACTTTGAGAGGCCAAGGTGGGCAGATCACTTGAGCCCAGGATTTCGACACCAGCCTGGGCAACGTGGCGAAACCCTGTCTTTACAAAAATTAGCTGGGCATGGTGGTGCACACCTGCAGACCCAGCCACTTGGGAGGCTGAGCTGGGAGAATCACCTGAGCCCAGGAGGTCAAGGCTGCAGTGAGCCATGATCAGGCCACTGCACTCCAGCCTGGGCAATGGAGTGAGACCCTGTCTCAGATAAATAAATAAATAAACCTTGTACTCATTAGCAAGTCCCAAGCTTCCCTCCCCTCCTCCACCACTGCCAGCCCTTGGGCAACCACGATTCTTTCTTTCTCTCTCTATGGATTTGCCTATTCTGAATCTTTTTTTTTTTTTTTCTTCTGGAGACAGAATCTCCCTCTGTCGCCCAGACTGGAGTGCAGTGGCGCGATCTTGGCTCACTGCTACCTCTGCCTCTCAGGTTCAAGCAATTCTCCTGTCTCAGCTTCCCGAGTACCTGGGACTACATACAGGCGCATGCTGCCAAGCCCAGCTAATTTTTGTATTTTTTAGTAGAGATGGGGTTTCACCATATTGGTCAGGCTGGTCTCAAACTCCTGACCTCAGGTGATCCGCCCACCTCAGCCCCCAAGTGCTGGGATTACAGGCATGAGCCACTGCGCCCGGCTATTCTGAATCTTTCATATAGATGGAATCTTAGAGTGTGTGACCCTCGTGTCTGCCTTATTTCACTTAGCATAATATTTTCAAGGTTCATCCGTATGGTAGCAATAGCAGTGCCTCATTCCTTTATATGGCTGAATAACAACACTCCCTTGTATGGATAGACCACACTTTGTTTACCCATTTATCAGTTAGTGGACATTTGTGTTGTTGCCACTTTTTGGTTATTGTGAATAATGCTGCTGTGAGCATTTGTGTACAAGTTTTTGTGTGGACGCATGTTTTCCATTTTCTTGGGTATATACCTAGGAATGGAATTGCTAGGTCATATGGTAATCTATGTTTAACCTTTTTTGAGGAGCTGCCAGGCTGTTTTCCGAAGTGACATCACCATTGTACATCCCTAGCAGCAGTATAAGAGGTTTTCAGTTTCTCCACATCCTGCCAGTTCTTGTTATTGTCTTTTTAAATTTTTATTTATTTATTTATTTATTTATTTATTATTTATTTTGAGAAGACTCTCACTCTGTTGCCCAGGCTGGAGTGCAGTGGCACGATCTTGGCAAACTACAACCTCCACCTCCTAGGTTCAAGCAATTATCCTGCCTCAGCCTCCCAAGTAGCTGGGATTACAGGTGTGCACCACCACACCCGACTAATTTTTGTATTTTCAGTAGAGACTGGATTTCACCATGTTGGCCAGGCTGGTCTCGAATTCCTGACCTCAGGTAATCCACCTGCCTCAGCCTCCCAAAGTGTTGGTATTACAGGCGTGAGCCACCGCACCCAGCCTATTGTCTTTTTTTAAATAACACACATCTTAATGGGTGTGAAGTGGTATCTTATTGTGGCTTAATTCCCTTATTCTTATACAATTATTGTTCCCATTTTTCTTTTCTTTTTTTTTTTTTTTGAGACGGAGTCTCGCTCAGTCGCCCAGGCTAGAGTGTGCAATGGCGCGATCTCGGCTCACTGCAAGCTCCGCCTCCCGGGTTCACGCCATTCTCCTGCCTCAGCCTCCCGAGTAGCTGGGACTACAGGCGCCCGCCACCACGCCCGGCTAATTTTTTGTATTTTTAGTAGAGACGGGGTTTCACCGTGTTAGCCAGGATGGTCTCGATCTCTTGACCTCGTGATCCACCCGCCTCGGCCTCCCAAAGTGCTGGGATTACAGGCGTGAGCCACCACGCCCGGCCTGTTCCCATTTTTCTTTATGGCGTTTATGTTTTTGTCCATAGCATATATTTCCTTACACTGGTGTATCCTGTTTTGTTTTTCGCCTGACTTAGCTTATTTTCTTTCTTTATTAATTTATTTTTTAGGCCAGGTGCGGTCGCTCACACCTGTAATCCCAGCACTTTGGGAGGCCGAGGCGGGCAGATCACGAGGTCAGGAGATCGAGACCATCTTGGCTAACACAGAGAAACCCCATCTCTACTAAAAATACGAAAAATTAGCCGGGCGTGGTGGCGGGCGCCTGTAGTCCCAGCTACTCCGGAGGCTGATGCAGGAGAATGGTATGAACCCGGGAGGCGGAGCTTGCAGTGAGCCAAGATTGCGCCACTGCACTCTAGCGTGGGCAACAGAGCGAAACTCCGTCTAAAAAAAAAATTAATTTATTAAAAATTTTTTTTTTTAGAGACAAGGTCTCACTCTGTTGCCAGAGTTGGAGTACAAAGGCACACTCATAGCTCACTTGCAACCTTGAACTCCTGGCCTCAAACGACCCTCCCACCTCGGCCTCCCAAAGTGCTGAGCCACTGTCCCTGGCTTAGCTTAATTTCTTAAACGCTTCTTGGTACTGCCACTCATAAGGCATCATTATAATGCTAAATAATGCTCTTGTAAAGTGGGTACCCAGGGATCTTGGGAGACCTCTTGGGTGTGGGGTAGAGAAAGCTGAGGTGCCCTAGGAGAACAGGCATCTCTCTGTACCCACAGGGTACTGCTACTATAAGCTCCAGGTTGACTTCTCCTCAGACCACCTGGGCTGTTTCACCAAGTGCCGGAAGCCATGCAGGTTAGTGTCCCCTTCCCCGGGTACAGGTTGGGTAGAATACAGGTTACCGAGCCAAGCATTTGGGAGAGCTCTGCCCCAACACTGAGCACCTTTCTCCATCCCCAGCGTGACCAGCTACCAGCTCTCTGCTGGTTACTCACGATGGCCCTCGGTGACATCCCAGGTAGAGTGTGGGGAAGGGATGGGTGGGGGATGTGTGTGCCCATGTAATGCTGTGGCCTTCTCTGGGTATTATGTGTATGAGTGTGTTTGACACAACCCTATCCCTGTAAGCCTGAAGCATATGGGAGTGACCTTGATGACACCCCCATTCTTTCCTAGGAATGGGTCTTCCAGATGCTATCGCGACAGAACAATTACACCGTCAACAACAAGAGGTCAGTCCTGCCCTGGTCCCAGCCACAAGAAGGGAATCTTTGGGAGGGAAAATAGACCTAAGAAGAGGGATCGATATGGTTGATTAGAGGAAGGTCCAGGAAATTCATCCTCTACCATTTCTTCCCACCCTCTGCCCCACACCTAAGAAATGGAGTGGCCAAAGTCAACATCTTCTTCAAGGAGCTGAACTACAAAACCAATTCTGAGTCTCCCTCTGTCACGGTAGGTCGTGCCTGGATGGAGCCTGTGATGCTCTGGGGGTCTTACTTAGCAGGGCGGCTGTCGGGGAAAACCAAAAGGTTGTCTCTGTGGGCCAGAAGGCTCTGAGTCTCAAAGGCAGGGGACCAAAGAAGAGGGTCAAGGGAGAGGTTGGGAGGGTTGGAAGAAGGAGCTCGGCCGGGGCATAAGGTCTCTGGGGGTGGTGGGAGGGACAGGCATGCTAGATGCTGGGGTGAAGGCGCTTGACCCATGCCCCCATTTCAGCTGCCCCTAACTGTGGGCCAGTTATCAGTTTTCTCTGGGTGACACTGGCCAGGAGCAGAGACAAAGAGCCCAGGGGGCTGCTGAGAGGCTGAGAGGACTCGGGGGTCTTCAGGGATGAAGGGAGACAGCTTGGTGAGGAGGGAAGGGGGCTCCTCTGCCAGAGTCCATCCAGAACCCTCTGTCCCATCGTCAATGTACCTCTCCTCTCACAGATGGTCACCCTCCTGTCCAACCTGGGCAGCCAGTGGAGCCTGTGGTTCGGCTCCTCGGTGTTGTCTGTGGTGGAGATGGCTGAGCTCGTCTTTGACCTGCTGGTCATCATGTTCCTCATGCTGCTCCGAAGGTTCCGAAGCCGATACTGGTCTCCAGGCCGAGGGGGCAGGGGTGCTCAGGAGGTAGCCTCCACCCTGGCATCCTCCCCTCCTTCCCACTTCTGCCCCCACCCCATGTCTCTGTCCTTGTCCCAGCCAGGCCCTGCTCCCTCTCCAGCCTTGACAGCCCCTCCCCCTGCCTATGCCACCCTGGGCCCCCGCCCATCTCCAGGGGGCTCTGCAGGGGCCAGTTCCTCCACCTGTCCTCTGGGGGGGCCCTGAGAGGGAAGGAGAGGTTTCTCACACCAAGGCAGATGCTCCTCTGGTGGGAGGGTGCTGGCCCTGGCAAGATTGAAGGATGTGCAGGGCTTCCTCTCAGAGCCGCCCAAACTGCCGTTGATGTGTGGAGGGGAAGCAAGATGGGTAAGGGCTCAGGAAGTTGCTCCAAGAACAGTAGCTGATGAAGCTGCCCAGAAGTGCCTTGGCTCCAGCCCTGTACCCCTTGGTACTGCCTCTGAACACTCTGGTTTCCCCACCCAACTGCGGCTAAGTCTCTTTTTCCCTTGGATCAGCCAAGCGAAACTTGGAGCTTTGACAAGGAACTTTCCTAAGAAACCGCTGATAACCAGGACAAAACACAACCAAGGGTACACGCAGGCATGCACGGGTTTCCTGCCCAGCGACGGCTTAAGCCAGCCCCCGACTGGCCTGGCCACACTGCTCTCCAGTAGCACAGATGTCTGCTCCTCCTCTTGAACTTGGGTGGGAAACCCCACCCAAAAGCCCCCTTTGTTACTTAGGCAATTCCCCTTCCCTGACTCCCGAGGGCTAGGGCTAGAGCAGACCCGGGTAAGTAAAGGCAGACCCAGGGCTCCTCTAGCCTCATACCCGTGCCCTCACAGAGCCATGCCCCGGCACCTCTGCCCTGTGTCTTTCATACCTCTACATGTCTGCTTGAGATATTTCCTCAGCCTGAAAGTTTCCCCAACCATCTGCCAGAGAACTCCTATGCATCCCTTAGAACCCTGCTCAGACACCATTACTTTTGTGAACGCTTCTGCCACATCTTGTCTTCCCCAAAATTGATCACTCCGCCTTCTCCTGGGCTCCCGTAGCACACTATAACATCTGCTGGAGTGTTGCTGTTGCACCATACTTTCTTGTACATTTGTGTCTCCCTTCCCAACTAGACTGTAAGTGCCTTGCGGTCAGGGACTGAATCTTGCCCGTTTATGTATGCTCCATGTCTAGCCCATCATCCTGCTTGGAGCAAGTAGGCAGGAGCTCAATAAATGTTTGTTGCATGAAGGAATGTCTGGAGAGCTGGATGGGGCATCATGAAGAGGGTAGGGGGTGGATACAAGTCATCACCCAAGCTTCTGGGAGGTCCTGGGGCTGGGAGAGGGTACAGACTCCCATGCCCCTTGGCTGCACCATGGAAGTGACCATTCTTCACGGGGTCTTAAGAGGGACAAACGTTCTGGTGAATTCCTCCATGGGTGTTGCTGAGCGTCTGCTATGTGCCCATGGCCATGTTAGGGTGGAAGGGGGAAGACATGATGCCACCCCTTCAGGGGACCTACCTCACAGTGTTTGGGGAGACTTGCCCTCTCCACTGTCTGAACCTCCTTTTCCTTCTCTGCTTTAGTCACCATCATCACTAACCTCCCCATCCCCCACTCCACTTGCTGAGTCCCACTTACCACCTGGCGGCAATGAACCCTCATCTGCCTGCCTCCCATCAGCTGTCTGGTGGTGGTGGAGGATGATGAGGCTCAGGCCAGTTTCTCCTGGAAATGCAAAGCCTTATATGGTCTTATTGGTACATGATTGCAGAGAGGGGCACAGGGAATCCTCCCAGCTTTAGTAAAGGAGAGACTGAGGTCCAGGGAGGGGCTGAAGGATGTGCGAGTGGAACTCCAGCTCTCCGATCCTTGTTTCTCCCCCACTCCAGCATAAGACCTGGAATCCAGAAGTGACCCTTTCTCACCATCTTTGGGGATTCTGTCCCTGCCACCTTAGTCTTATTCATCTTAATTGCAGTCTCCCTGTTCTGAGGAGCCAAAGGAGGAAGAGACTTTCGGGGAAAGAGGAGAAGGAGCTGGTGACAGGGGTAGGAAGGTAGACAGGGTCATGACCTGAAACGGTGTGACGACTGCTGACTTCCCTTTCCTGGACTTGAGCTGATGAAGGGGAAATGGTGTTGCAGTCTCCTCTGTCAGAGCCCTCAGGTGCAGACGGCACTTGTCTGCCCCCTCAGCCTCAGCCTTGGCCCACCTGGTCCCCAGTGCCCTCTCCTCTGGCTGGGGCAGGAGGACCTGCCGGACATAGCCAGATGTATTACGGATGACTGCAGTCAGCTCCCCCAGGCTCCTGCTTCTCTTGCCTCCTGCTTTTTTCCCCAGAGCTGTCTCCTTATCTCCATTCACTTGTCTATGGGTTACTCCTGGACCCTGGGGTTAGGAGTTGGAATCAGGCTGTTAGCGATAAAAGGGTTCAAGTTGACTCATTTTCCTTATCAGGCTTAGTAGTTGAAGTGACTTGCTGAGCTTCATAATTCTTAGAGAACCTGCCATGAACCCAGCTCCCTTTCTATGACTCACCCTGCCACCCTGTGACACATAGAGTCTGAATGGCAGGTCTGGGGCTAGAACCCACGTCATCTGGACTTGGAGTCCAGTGACCCTTTGGGTTAAGCATGTGTGTGTGTGTGTGTGTGCCATGATGCGGGAGGAAGGTCCCTGCTCTCTGTAGCTGTTTTCTTCATCCTTTGCTCTACAAGCCCTAACAGCCGATTCTGTCATCCCTAGTCTGCCCCTCTCCTGTTTCTCCATCTCCTCTGACCATGATTTTTTTCTGTCCCTGGAGGGATGATGGTCTCATTCTCACCTCCTCCACGAAACGTGTTAGCTTTTCATATTCCTAGATCCACTCACTTCTCATCATCTTTTTTTTTAAACAAAATTTTATTGAAAAATGTAATATGACGTGTCAAAGTTGTAAAGTTATTGAGTAAATAAGCATGTATCCTAAATATTGAAAAATATTCTCCTTTTGTACCAGGCTATGTGTCACGGCTTTGGCGCTTTGCACAGACTATTAGAAATACCTTATAACATTAAAAATAGGACATTGAGGCCGGGCGTGGTGGCTCATGCCTGTAATCCCAGCACTTTGGGAGGCCAGGGTGGGTGGATCACCTGAAGTCAGGAGTTTGAGACCAGCCTGGCTAACACGGTGAAACCCCGTCTCTACTAAATACAAAAAATTAGCCGGGCATGATGGCACATGCCTATAATCCTAGCTACTCGGGAGGCTGAGGCAGGAGAATTGCTTGAATCCGGGAGTCAGAGGTTGCAGTGAGCCGAGATTGTGCCACTGCACTTCAGCCTGGGCAACAAGAGTGAAACTCTATCAAAAAAAAAAATAGGACATTGAAGTTGGTTTCTTTTTTTGATACAGAGTCTCGCTCTGTCACCCAGGCTGGAGTGCACTGGCAGGATCTCGGCTCACTGCAACCTCTGCCTCCTGGGTTCAAGCAATTCTCCTGCCTCAGCCTCCTGAGTAGCTGGGATTACAGGCACGCGCCACCACGCCTGGCTAATTTTGTATATTTAGTAGAGACAGGGTTTCACCATGTTGGTCAGGTTGGTCTCGAACTCCTGACCTTGTGATCCGCCCACCTCAGCCTCCCAAAGTGCTGGGATTGCAGGCGTGAGCCACCGCACTCTGCTTTTTTTTTTTTTTTTTGCCGCCCTCTCACATACCATACTCCCCTGTATCACTTATCCTTCTGAAGTTGTTATTAATCATTAATACAACTAGCTGGGCATAGTGGTGTGCGATGGTAGTCTTAGCCACTCGGAAGGCTGATGTGGGAGGCTAGCTTGAGGCCAGTAGTTCTAGGTTAGGTGAGCTATGATTGCACCATTGCACTTTAGCCTGGGTGAGAGCAAGCTCCTGTTTCAAAAAAAAAATTAATTGCTACCACTTACTAAATGCTTAATATATGGCAAACACTTGCCAAACACTTTATATGCTTGATTTAAGCATCAAGCTAGCTCTGTGAAGGGTACCAGCAGGTTTCCCATTTTTTAGATGAGCAGACCGAGGTTCTTCTCGCTGCTTCATACTGGAAACTTGCACTTGATTCTGAGGCTCCTGCTTCTTCAAGAACACTGCTTTGGGTTCGCTTCTCCTGTCCCTGGGGTCTCCCTTTGTGATGGTGGTGAGCTGCTTCCTTTCTGAATCCAGCTTCAACCCTACAGTTCTCCAGAAGCTGGACGATGGGGTGGAGTAAAGTCAGCTCCCCCCGCAGTGAGGGACACTGAAGCTCCATTCTCATCTGCGGATCACAGAGGGGAAGCCAGGAAGAGCCAGGGGACGGTGGACTTGGGGCTGGGAGGTCATCTCAGAGGGATAAGGGGTGAGGAGCTCTGGTTTCAAGTTCCAAAGCCCTAGGACCTCCCTCTTCTCTGTCTGCCTGCATTTCTAGCAGCCTCAGCAGCTGCAGGCCCTTGGGCGGGGCTGGATGTAGGGAAGGTCATTGTACCAAGAAGATAGTTGGGTAAATGTGGTACCTTTGTTGTAGGATTCTCTTGGGAGATGTCTGCATCAATGAGGATGGCATAAAGTAACCAGAGTCAGGATGTGGGGTCTGACTCAGTGACAGAAAAAGTGGCAGTGTGTCTCTCATAGCCAAAGGGGCCCTTGGACCGGCAGTCGGGAGTCTGGGGTTCTCTGTTGGCTCTGCCTCCTGGCACATTGGGTTTCTGGACCTCAGTTTTCTCCTCTATAAAACCGGGCAGTTGGGTGGGCACGGTGGCTCACACCTGTAATCCTAGCACTTTAGGAGGCTGAGGTGGGCAGATCATTTGGGCCCAGGAGTTCAAGACCTGCCTGTGTAACATGGTGAGACCCTGTCTCTACAAAAAATACAAAAATTACCCAGGCGTGGTGGTATGCACCTATAGTCCCAGCTGCTTGGGAGGCTGAGGTGGGAGGATTACTTGAACCTGGGAGGTCGAGGCTGCAGTGAGCTGCGATGGTACCACTGCACTCCAGCCTGGGAAACGGAGCGGACCCTCAAAACAAAAACAAAAATGAAAAACAAGCAAACGAAGAAATAAAAAAACCTAGGGGGTTGTAGTCGATGATCTGTAAGGTGAGTTATAATTGATGTATTGGAATATTTAGGAAAAGGGCACTGGGAATATGCTAGGAACACCTGATGGAGGTATCTTTATTTCCACGGCAGCTTCGTGGATACGTCTCATTGATTCTCATGGCATCACTTTCCCCATGTAGGTGGGCAGACATTGTTACCCCTGTTTAATAAACAAGGAACCAACAGAGGCTTAGGAGAGGAGTTGCCTGATGTCGCATGATTGGTGGCAGAGCCAGGATCAACAGTGGGGCAGGGTGGGGGGACCTGGCCAGGCAGAGACTGGATGAGACCTGGGGTGAGGAATGGCAGGCACCCAGTCAGGGCAGAAAACGAGGGTTGGGACTTACTTTGAGTTTTGGATTGGATCAGTAAATTCCCAAGAAAGAGGGAGACTAGGAGGCTAGTGAAGAACTCTGGAGTAAAGGGGAGGATTACTAAGGGACATGGAGTACCTATCATGTGTCGGACGCTTATCTATATCTCTCCCATCTGAACAAATCCTTACAGGAACCCCAGGAGACAGGTTATCTCCACTCTGCAAATTGGAAAACAGATCCAGACAGTTTCAGTTATGTGTCTGAGAAGTTCATTTATGTGTCCAAGACACATTCTTAGCTAAAAAGCTAAGCATTCTGAATTGGAACCCAGAGAATTTGACTCCCAGACTCTGGATCTTTTCACTGCTGTGATCCATCTGGGAAAGGCTAGTGATGTGGGCAAGGGGCTTATTGCCCCTTGGTGTTTGGTTGGGAGTGGTCGGATTGGTGGGTTGGGGGCACAAGGCAGCCAGATCTGGGACTCCTGTGCTTGTGACTGGACTACAAAGAGTTAAAGAACGTTGGGCCTCCTCCTCCCGCCTCCTGTGGCCTCCTCCTCCAGCTCTTCCTGTCCCGCTGTTGCAACACTGCCTCACTCTTCCCCTCCCACCTTCTCTCCCCTCCTCTCTGCTTTAATTTTCTCAGAATTCTCTGGACTGAGGCTCCAGTTCTGGCCTTTGGGGTTCAAGATCACTGGGACCAGGCCGTGATCTCTATGCCCGAGTCTCAACCCTCAACTGTCACCCCAAGGCACTTGGGACGTCCTGGACAGACCGAGTCCCGGGAAGCCCCAGCACTGCCGCTGCCACACTGCCCTGAGCCCAAATGGGGGAGTGAGAGGCCATAGCTGTCTGGCATGGGCCTCTCCACCGTGCCTGACCTGCTGCTGCCACTGGTGAGACCAGGGACAAAGGGAAGAGTGGGCTGGTGGGCGAGGCACCTTCCGGCTGGCGTGGGCCCTCTCCGGGAGGGGGCCGAGCCTCTCCTGCCCGGGCCTGGTCCTGGCGCCAGCCTCAGGCCTGCAGGTCCTAACCTCAGCCACTGCCAGTGTGGGGTTCCCCATTCATCCGCCTTTTGGAGTAGGGGCTGCGCTGAGGCAGGGGAATGGGAGAAGTTTGAAAGGGAGAGAGTAAAAGGAAGCCCTGGCCCCTGACAGCGGTGGAAGTTTGTGGGCGGCCAAGGGAATGTGGGCAGGAGATAGGCCCAGGGTGGGGCAGATTTGGCGGGGAAAAGAAGGGAGTGGGAGTAGGAAGATTAGTGCTCGGGGAGTCCAGACGGTTCTGAATTCTGTCCCTCCGGTCAGCTGGCTGGCCTGGAGGGTGTTGGGCCGTGGGGAGGCGAGGCTGCCTGTGGAACTTGGTGGAGCACACCCTGTAGGGCAGGATTTTGGCGGCTGGTGAAGTGGGGGAGTGAGTTGAGGAGTGGGGATGGGCTGGTGTGGTGGGTTTGGGATGCTCATGGTGGGAGGTATTTGAGAATGGGCTGGGACACTGGATGGGGCAGGGCAACCCAGTGGACAGTGTCCCCAGTGCCCTGGCCAAGCCCCGGCCTCTCACCTGGGGACATTCTTTACCCTTTTGCCTGCTGCTAGGCAGGTAGCCGCTGTGGGACTGAGCCTTCCCAGGGAGCTAGTCCTACCCCCACCTGGTCAGTGTCCCTGGGCCTGTCCTCCAGCTTCCCCTCCCCGCTGCTTCTCACAGACCTAAACAACAATCCCTTGGTTTCTTATTCTACAGTTCAGTTTGGGGAAGTTGGTAGAAAGTTGTTTTCGTCACTGGAAAATGTCCCTTTCTCTGGCCTCAGCCTTGTTTCAATGTATCCTTGATCGTCCTCCACGTCTTGGTCCGGGAATCATCCTGTTCAGATGTCCTGGGCCCATCTAGTCAGGCAGATTTTCCCTGCCCTGCCCGGCCTCTGAAGGCTGCGCCTACCTCCCCTCTCTTTAGTGCCTTATACTCTTCCTCTCCTACCATTCCTTTCTTCCAGCAATCTCCCCAGACTCTCCTCAGACTTCTCAGAGCCTCTTTTTTTGAAATCTTTTCTCGCTAATCCTCCTTCCCCTCCTCTCTGCTCCGCTCTGGTCCCGGCCCCAGGTCCCCAGGCAGCACGTCTCTGGTCAGGGTCTCACTCTTCTTCTTCTGCCTCCTCCTGCCTCCTTAGTCCCACCCGCTCTTCCCTTCTTCCCACTGTCCTTCCCCCACGGTCTCCCCACCAGCCAGCTGCCCTGACATCCTGCTTCTGTTTTCTGTTTGGGGGCGGCCCCTGGCTCCCTCACATACCTCCTGCATGAACAAGAGCAGCTTATATAACCTAACCTTCCATGCCTTCGTTTCTTTATCTCCAAAATGGGTGTCACAGTCTTGACCTCATACTGTTGTTTTGAAGATTGAATAGACTGATACATGTTAAGTGTTCATTTGATTTATTAAGTGTGCGCTCTGGGCTAGACACTGTGATAGGTGCTGGGATTACAGCAGAGAACAAAATCCCTGCCCACAGCTTTGACAGTCCATCAGGGGAATAGGTTGTAGCAAATAGAAAGCACTCAATAAAGTTTTTATATTGCTGTGACTAGTAGTAATTACTGGGTGGCTACCTGTGTTGGGAAAACAGAGGGTAAAGGTAGCCTGAACAGGTAAAGGGAAGTGCCTGCGTCCTGGGGTGCTTCAGCCCAGGTGGGATTATGTCTCCTAAGGGACAGAAGCCTGGCCTGGAGCTGGAGGAAAGGGAAAACAAAGGGAATGCAACATCCTTCTGAATTTCTCACCATTCAGTGGGCAATGCAGAGCTCACAGTGTGTGTGTGTGTGTGTGTGTGTGTGTGTGTGTGAGAGAGAGAGAGAGAGAGAGAGAGAAGTGGGGTAGGGGAGTAGGGAAGAATGATACAGGAGAGACTGTGGCAAAGCAAACAGGATTTTGCTGCTCTCAAAGAGCTTACAGCCTAGTAACCAAGATGGCTTACAGTGAAAAATGATTTCAGAGCAATCCCGAGGAAAATATCCACAAATGCATTGTGATGTGGTGTCCTGGAGCACCAGTTGGGAGGAGGAGGAACTGGGGAAGGAGGTGAGCCTTAGTCCACTGCCTTTCCTTGCTTAGCAGGTCTCAGCTCCTGCGCTCAGCTCCAGAAAATTCAGGAGCTTCCCCACGCTGCTTCAGTGTCCTTCACTGTGCAACTGCAGCACTCCCTGTATAGATCTCAGTGCCTACAACTGACTGTCTTTGACTCAAGTGAGAGCTCTTGAGAGCACGAGCTGTGTATTATCCACCTCAGCATCCCTAGCACCCATACGGGACCTGTCACATTAACTGTGCCCCTTAACTATTTGCTGAAGGAATTAAGGAACAAGAGATGTGTCAGATGGGATGGCGGAGGGAAAGCCTCATAGAAAAGTGGATGTGGAGCTGACATCTGAAGTCACTGCCTGTCAGGGTAGCTATAAAGGAGGGAAGCAGAGTTGGATACTGATGTGAGGAAGAGGAGAGGAATGGAGAGATGGGATTTTGTGTTGATGGGCAGGGTGGCAGGAAGCCAGACACCTTGGTTCGGGAGTGGAAAAACCATGTTGAGAAACACTAAGAAATGTGAATGGGAGAATTAGAGGGAGTGGGGGAGAGGATGGAGGAAGAGTGTTGAATATGGTTCCAGGTGGAGGAATTCATTCATTCGTTTATTCAGAAGCTGTTCTCCTAGGGCACATTCTGTGCCCAGACTGTGATTAGAAGTGAGGTGAGGCATCTCAGATGGGTGCTGTGGTTCATGCCTGTAATTCCAGCACTTCAGGAGGCCGAGGTGTGTGGATTGCTTGAGTCCAGGAGTTCGAGACCAGCCTGGGCAACACAGCAAAACCCTGTCTCTACAAAAAATACAAAGATTAGCGGGGCATGGTGGGGCGTGCTTGTCATCCCAGCTATTCGGGAGACTGAGCTCGGGAGGACGGCTTGGGCCCAGGAGGTGGAGGTTGTAGTGAGCCCTGACCACACCACTACATTCCGTCCTGGTGGTGAAGGTTGCAGTGAGCTATGATTGTGCCACTGCACTTCACCCTGGGTGACAGAGTGAGACCCTGTTTCAAAAAAAAAAAAAAAAAAGTAGTGAGGCATCTGTGGAAGTCTTCAGATCATTTCCATGACCATGGAAATGCTGTTTGGAGCCAGGCCCTGGAGATGGAGAGGAAGGTTCACACACTTGTGCGTGCAAGTTAAAGCCTGAATGAAGATTTAAAAAGTGTGTAGGACGGATGGGAGCAGGAGAGAGGCTAGAAGACACTTGCAATAACCCAGGTGTGAGGCAACCCAGGAATGCGGAGAGGACCGAGAGATCACAGGGGGAGGCCTCGCAAGATGAACTGACACATGGGATGGCGGCAGGGATAGGGATGGGGCCCTGGGGAGAGAGCGTGGCAAGTTCTCAGCATTCGTCCGGGAAGTCGATGGTGTGTCATTTGTCTAGGTGAGGAGATGGATGAATTCCGTCTGGGGCATGTTAAGGGTCAGGGAAATGGTCATGTGGAAGGGTGCGCCTACCAAGCTGGAGGAGAGGTGCTGCAACTTCTTTCTGCCTTTGTATCATTCAGACACACTGTGTTCACTCATCAGTGGTTCTCAAAAGGAGAGGAGCACACCAGACTCTTAAGTAAGGGTGTGTGTGCTTGTGTGTGGGGAGGTGGGGGGATGGTCTGAAAACTCTCCCCCGGAGATAAATATATTCCTACCAGGGGTGCTGTCTCCTCACCTCCCTCTTTGGGAATCACTGGCTTCTACTAGAGTGGAAGACAGATGTATCATTAGATCGATCAGTTGATCCATATTTATCTGCTCCCAGTCTGGAGGTCTGGTTCTGGGAGCTGAGAGGACACCAGGGGAGGATAAGACACTTTCTGACCAAGACATTTTTTGATCTCTCATCTTATAAGGTTCGTGGTCACTTTGGGGAGATCATATCTGTCACCCAACATAACCATATTATGATAAGAGCCAAAAGTAGATAGGGTCAGTTCACGTGCTTCGAGTTCACAGGGACTATGGGTCTAAGGAGCCGGGGTGGAGGAAACAGACATCGTCAATGGTGGCTTCACGGGAGGGAGATGGGATCTCAACTGGGCCCTTGGAGGAGAAGCTGCCACGACCTCCCCCAACACCTTGACATTAAATGAACAGACACATGAATGAGGGGGAAAGGAAGACTAATTGGGTCCCTGCAAGGTGGCTGGATCGGGGTCAGACCACAAGGCCGATCTCAGCGTCGCCTCCCCACTCTGCAGCCCCAGCACAGGAAGTCACACTTTAAAGCCTCCTCTGGCGGAAATTGTGGGGGAGTTGGAGGGGTGTTGGGCCACCCCCTCAACTGTCTCTCCACAGGCACCCCAGCTTCCTGCCCTTCTGCTCCAGGCTGGAGTCTGGGCCTAAAGAGCTCACCTCCTGTTTCTCCTGTTTTGCTTCATTTACGCAACTGCTGAGGACTGGGCTTACTGGGGCCAGCTGGTGCCAGCAGTGGTGCCCAGTGGTGGGGAGTCTGAGGGCCCTGGCTCCTAGGGATCAGAGAGGGCTGACCTGGAGCATTCTGGGGGCCAGGGGAAGCCTAGGAAGCAGGGCTGGTTCTTCCATCCGGCATCCCTTCTTGCCTGCTCCCTCGTTCCTGGAAGTGGGTGTTCAGGGCTCTGGAGGCTTTCCTGTATTGCCAGTGGGCTTGGGGAGGGTCTGTGGAGACTCAGAACTGGCCTTGTTTCCTAAGGATTGTCTGGGGACCCCAGGGAGGCCCCCAAACCCAGCACAACTGGTCAGAACCAGCCAGGCTGTGGGAATGCGGTGAACCCAGGGTGGGAGGGCAGCCTTGGCTTGCT
The DNA here is from genome assembly GCF_000001405.40 of Homo sapiens. Classification (NCBI taxonomy): domain Eukaryota; kingdom Metazoa; phylum Chordata; class Mammalia; order Primates; family Hominidae; genus Homo; species Homo sapiens. The sequence continues at coordinate 6,336,828 of NC_000012.12, read as the reverse complement.
TCCTGCTGGGACTGGGGAGTGTTGGGGGATGGAGTGAGAGCTCACGGAATGGGTTTAGCTGTTGGAGACTTGTTGAACTGGGAGGAGGAGCTGGGGCGGGGCCTCAGCTAAAGGCCGCTGAGGGGCTAGGAGGAGCCAAGTGGCCCTCAGGGAAGGGAGGGCACAGACCTGATGGGCGGAAGCCAGGGTCGAGGGAGACTTCCCTTCGGGATGGAATGGGGAGAGGGAGGCATTTCCCGGAACATGTGGGCCAAGTGGGACAAGGGTCTGTGGCCTGGCTCTTTGCATGGGGAGGGGATGGATGGGGGTTGAGTGGGGATGGGAAGGAGGGACTTGGCCATAGGAAGAAGGGATTAGATGGAGTCCCACTTGCATGCAGGCTGGTGCCTTCTGCCTTTCTGCTGACTCATGACCCTTGAGGAGCTGGGGAAGCTGCTAGTTCCCTCTCCCCTCCCTAGGTCTCCCTCCCTCTGGCCTGAGTCACTGGGGCGGAGTTGCTGGGAAAAGATTTCCCTTTCCCGGATCTGACTTAACCCCCAGAGTGCTGGAAAGAGAAGGGAACACGTGGCCTGAGAAAGCCTCTCTCCCTCCCTCCCTCCAGGGAGGCTCATCCCCCACTGGCCAGAGGTCCCTGAAAAGCTCCCTTTAAGGCTGTCTGGGGCTGGCGTCCCCCAGTTCTTCATCATGACTCTGCCTCAAGCCCCCTGGATGGGATTCAAAGTACCAGTGACCTTAGGTGCTCCAGTGGCTTCTTCGGGGAAAGGAACCACACTTTCAGGACTGGGAAGTTCTTCCCATCACCACCCCAAACCCTTCCTGTTGCCCTGGAAGCCCCAGTCCTGTTCTCAGCAGAGGTGGCACGGTGTTGGCTGGTGCGGGCAGGGGAAGGTTGTTGTCCTCTGAGCAGGGGCACACGCCTCCACCTGCGGGGGCTGCTGTTGTGTTTCTGTGTGTGGCTTCCCCTGTTTGCGGCTGAGGCTTGAACTTCCGGGCCTGCACAGCTTACAGCTGCAGCGTCTCCCCGTGGCTGACTCAGGGTGACTGGCCTCCTGCTCCGAAATGTGGAGTTGGTGAGGCTGGGTGGCTGTGGGCTGCCTGACCCTCCTTCCCTGCCCTAGGGTTTCTGTGATCTGGTGAGTCAGTTGCTCCCCAGTGTTTAACAGACATTGAGGACACCCTCTTATCTTTACACAAAGTGTCTCTTATAGTAGAAAAAAAAAATGAAGCCCAGGGAAAACCAGAAATGAAGCTGGCAGAGATCAAAGTCCAAGTTAGAGCTAAATATTCACTCCTGGCTTTGCTTTCCTGGCACTGATGCCGGAACAGGACAAGCCATTTAGCTGCTGTGGGGTTGGCCTGAGACTGCAAAGCACACCTTCCAGAATGCCATGGTGTGCAGGGGGCTCCAGGACTCCCCAGCACGCCCTCAGCTCTGACCTGACAGTCATCCAAGCTGGGTCGCTAGCCTTGGCCAGCTCTATTTGCCTATGTCCTGCACACCTTTGCCCACTCCTGCCCCCGTCTCAACTTTGTCCCCCGTCTACCCATGCAGGATCCCCAACCTTTCCCTTTTACTCTCCTCCCCATTTGTCCTTGCCAACCCCGGGTGTTTGTAAATTTTGAGGTGGAGGGGATGGGCCAGGGAATGTGAGGGCGGAGGCAGATTGAGGTTTGATACAAACATGTAAATAAACTTCCTTCTTCTGTCCACTCCCCAGGAGTGGTGCTCACGGGAACATCACTCGCCCCCACCGCCAGCTGACTTTTTCAGAAAGCTTTTCATGGTGTAACATATTCCTGGGATGTGCATAGATCCTCATTGTTTACCTCTGTGAATGTTCGCAAAGCGATCACACGGTGAACCCAGCACCCAGATGGAGAAACACCGCCCCAATCTTTAGGGCTGCTTGTTGGAAGAAGGGGCCATCACTGAAGTAACCTGCCAATTCCCAATCAAAAACACATCCTTTCAACATCTGCCCTGTGTCCAGCACTGTTAGCTGCTGTGGGGGATTTCACAGTAAGGATAAAATACAGGGCTGGGCTCACGCCTGTAATCCTAGCACTTTGGGAAGCCAAGGTGGGAGGATCACTTGAGCCCAGGATTTTGAGACCAGTCTGAGCAACGTAACAAGACCCTGCCTCTACTAAAAATAAAAAAAAATTAGCTGGGCATGGTGGTTCACGGCCGTAGTCCCAGCTATTCAGGAGGCTAAGGTGGGAGGACTGCTTGAGCGTGGGTGGTGGAGGGTGCAGTGATTGCATCACTGCACTCCAGCCTGGACAACAGAGCAAGATCCTGCCTAAAAAAAAAAAAATACAGCTTAGATCTGGGGCCTACTAGCTTTGAGTTGAGGGAACAAAAATGAACACACAGGACAACTAGAGAACAATTAAGCATCAGATTGTATGGCCCCAACTGTCTAAGTTTCAAGGAAGAACTCTAAACTTAGTGAGTGGCGTGGCCTGGGCGGAATGTTTCACTGAGGAAGGACTTGAGCCAGGGAAGTTTTAGATCTGCTACCCCTAAGCTTCCCATCCCTCCCTCTCTTGATGGTGTCTCCTCTATCTGATTCTTCCCCAGGTGCTCCTGGAGCTGTTGGTGGGAATATACCCCTCAGGGGTTATTGGACTGGTCCCTCACCTAGGGGACAGGGAGAAGAGAGATAGTGTGTGTCCCCAAGGAAAATATATCCACCCTCAAAATAATTCGATTTGCTGTACCAAGTGCCACAAAGGTAGGGGCAAGTGGAAACGGTGAATGCCCTCAGGTCTGGGGTGCTGCTTCTTTCTCTGCTTCTTCCAGTTGTTCTTCCCTAACTTTGCTGTCTCTCCTGGGCTGGGATTTTCTCCCTCCCTCCTCTCCTAGAGACTTCAGGGAATCGGCCCTGGCTGTTGTCCCTAGCATGGGGCTCCTTCCTTGTGTTCTCACCCGCAGCCTAACTCTGCGGCCCCATTCACAGGAACCTACTTGTACAATGACTGTCCAGGCCCGGGGCAGGATACGGACTGCAGGGAGTGTGAGAGCGGCTCCTTCACCGCTTCAGAAAACCACCTCAGACACTGCCTCAGCTGCTCCAAATGCCGAAAGGGTGAGTGTGCACAGGCAGGAGAGTCAGGCGGGTCTTGAGTGGTGTGTGGGTGCCTGTCTATGTGCAGGCTGGTGGGTGTGGGCAGGAAGGTGTGTGTTTTGGTGGGACACTGCATGGATGTGAGTGTGTATTACAGAGACACACACTTAGGGGTATGTCAGGAAGGGGATGCAGGGACAGGAGGATGCAGGACTCATACCCCATCTTCTCCCCTCACCAGAAATGGGTCAGGTGGAGATCTCTTCTTGCACAGTGGACCGGGACACCGTGTGTGGCTGCAGGAAGAACCAGTACCGGCATTATTGGAGTGAAAACCTTTTCCAGTGCTTCAATTGCAGCCTCTGCCTCAATGGGACCGTGCACCTCTCCTGTGAGCGCAGCTCTCCTGAGGCCAAGCCCTCTCCCCACCCCAGGGGTTGGCCCCTTCCCCATGCGGTGGCACTTCCTTTCCTTCCCCCTCCTGTATTCTGTGGGTCTGACAACCAACTCCTCTCTGGCCGCCCCCACCCTGTCCCTCGTCACTTCCTCTGTCCTGTGGGGTGGGGGTGCAGGCGCTTCTCCTTTAGCTGTGCCGCACTTCTCCCTACAGGCCAGGAGAAACAGAACACCGTGTGCACCTGCCATGCAGGTTTCTTTCTAAGAGAAAACGAGTGTGTCTCCTGTAGTAAGTGAGTATCTCTGAGAGCTGCTGGGCACTGGATGGTGGCATGGGTTGGGACGGGTGACTGGTGGGAACCATTAGCTGGGCAACAGATGCCAGGATGCCCCAGAGTGCTCAGGGTCCTACTGGCTGAGTAGGAGACACTTCGTTAAGACACCAGGCAGTCCTTCCCCTTGCTCTTCAAATCTGAAGAAGTCTTTGAGGATGGAAGATCATGCCCCAAGGGCTGGCAGCCCTTCCAACTCAGATATGTAGATTCTTGGATCTACGATAGCTCATTGGTTCTAGGACATACACTCTTATAGCTCTGAAATCAAACCTCCTATAACTGGTGACTCATCATGGTTGAATTGGCAGCTCTGTTTGCGTCTGGGTAGTAATGTAAAGAAAAGTGCCTTTTATTCTTGATGGCGTCTTAGGTTTGATGCAATATGGTATTTCCTCATTAGTCACTGTCCAGGCCTCCTTACTCCTGGCTCCACAGAGGCTGTTCTTGTCACTCACTTGCAAAGAATAAACTCTGAGGGCTCTCAGAGTTTGAACCCCAGCATAGCCACTTACTGGCTATGTGACGTTGGGCAAGTTTCTTAACATCTCTGAGCCTGACTTTTCTTTTGGTGTTTTTTTTTTTTTTTTTTTTTTGAGACAGGGTTTCACTCTGTCACCCAGGCTGGAGTGCAGTGGTGCAACCGTGGCTCAGCCTCCACCTCCAGGGCTCAAGCCATCCTCTTGCCTTAGCCTCCTGAGTAGCTGGGATTAGAGGCACACACCACTACACCCAGCTAATGTTTTACTTTTTGTAGAGACAGGGTCCTACTATATTGCCCAGGCTGGCCTCGGACTCCTGGGCTCAAGCGATCTTCCGCCTCAGCCTCCCAAAGTGCTAGGATTACGGGCATGAGCCACCACGCCTGGCCTGGGCCTTAGATTTCTTATATTTAAAGTAAGCATAATGACATTCATTTGGTGAATTTGTGAGAACCAAAAACAAAGAAACAAACAAAACCTACAACACGTCTGACACAAAACTATTTATTTTCCATTAATCTTCTTTTTTTTTTTTTTTTTTTTTTTTGACACAGAGTCCTGCTCTGTCGCCCAGGCTGGAATGCAGTGGCGCGATCTCGGCTCACTGCAACCTCTGCCTCCCAGATTCAAGCAATTCTCCTGCTTCAGCCTCCCAAGTAGCTGGGATTACAGGCACGTGCCACCATGCCTGGCTAATTTTTGTATTTTTAGTAGAGATGGGGTTTCACCATCTTGGTCAGGCTGGTCTCAAACTCCTGGTGATCCACCTGCCTCTGCCTCCCAAAGTGCTGGGATTACAGCCGTGAGCCACTGCACCCAGCCGGCTTCATCTCTTCTTGAAATCACTTTTATACCATTCTATGTGGTTCTCACCATGAGCTTGAGTGGTGGGCTAAAGTGCCTCTCCCTGCTTTCAGCTTCCTGCTGGGAACTCACTCTCTCAAGTTCCTTCCAGCACCACCCCATAGAGTTCCCATCACTCCACACTGTCCAGTGACAACTCCCAACATGGAAGATCTGCTAGTTCTACAGGGTGCTCTCTGGCTGCCCCAGTAACATGTGTTTTTAAATTTTTCACATGCATGTTTGACCCCGACTCCCCGAAGTCAGGTACTGTAACTAGCAGTGTCATTTAAGAAAAAGCCCTTTAACCTCTCTTTGCCAAAGGATTCTTATCAGCAAAACAGTGATGAAACAACAATCCCATAACAGCTAGCTGGCTACCTTCTCAAGCACTTATTAAATGAGGCATAATGATTTTGCTTAATCCTCAATCCTGAGAGGTGGGCGATCCCTGTGGTGATGAGGAAACCGAGGCTTGGGGGTTAATGGCTTGCCTAGATTCACACTGCTAGCCAAGGAATGAACTGGAATTTACACCCTGACCCTGACTGCTTTTCACATTTTCTACACAGCCTTTTCAAGATCCCTGCCAATTCTAAAATTAAATGATTCTATGATTAACTGTGTTTCATTCTTCTGCATCAGTTCCCAAAACAAATTATATCAAGAGACAGCAAAAATATTTGTAAAGAAAGGATGTCCAACAATCTGTGTGGTTGTTTTTCTGTGTTCCTCCAATGGTAGGGCCTCTGTTCACCAGTGCCGTCTCTTCTTTTAGCTGTAAGAAAAGCCTGGAGTGCACGAAGTTGTGCCTACCCCAGATTGAGAATGTTAAGGGCACTGAGGACTCAGGTGAGGAGAAGTGACCTGGTGCCCATGCTCACCTGCCCTCTCCCTCTTCTTGCCCCCACCCGTCCATCCATCCCACCCATCCATCTATCCCTGCGGCCCCCCTCTGCCCGCTCCTCTGACCAACACCTGCTTTGTCTGCAGGCACCACAGTGCTGTTGCCCCTGGTCATTTTCTTTGGTCTTTGCCTTTTATCCCTCCTCTTCATTGGTTTAATGTATCGCTACCAACGGTGGAAGTCCAAGCTCTACTCCATTGGTGAGTGGGGGCTTTGGGAGGGAGAGGGAGCTGGTGGGGGTGAGGGAGGACATGGGTGGGTGCGATGGACATGTGTGGAGGGAGGTGAGGAGTGTCCCCTCAGTTCATACCGCTGGGGACTCTGGGCAGAAGGTGGCCCTGGATGGCTGGGGAGATGTCGAGCTGCATCAGTAGCTCTCTCGTCCCTGGGGCCACATAGGCCCTGAGGCATGTCACCACAAGTCCCCACTGCCAGCTGAGTCCAGGGTGCCAGGGCTGAGAGAGGAAGTGAAATTTATGATGCTTTCTTTCTTTTTCCTCAGTTTGTGGGAAATCGACACCTGAAAAAGAGGTGAGATGAAATGAGAGAGTTACTCCCAAATGTCCCTGACCATTCCTTATAATTGCCTAATGCTCAGATCCCCTGGAATCATCCTTCACTTTCCGGGGGCTCGCCTCATTCCCTCTAAGTCCCAACCCCCACGTAGAATAAAGAGGGCCGGGGCTGGTTTTCGCTGCCGCACTAATGCTGCGCCACCTTCTCTCTTTCAGGGGGAGCTTGAAGGAACTACTACTAAGCCCCTGGCCCCAAACCCAAGCTTCAGTCCCACTCCAGGCTTCACCCCCACCCTGGGCTTCAGTCCCGTGCCCAGTTCCACCTTCACCTCCAGCTCCACCTATACCCCCGGTGACTGTCCCAACTTTGCGGCTCCCCGCAGAGAGGTGGCACCACCCTATCAGGGGGCTGACCCCATCCTTGCGACAGCCCTCGCCTCCGACCCCATCCCCAACCCCCTTCAGAAGTGGGAGGACAGCGCCCACAAGCCACAGAGCCTAGACAGTGAGTTTCTCCCGCGGCTGGAGACGAGGAGGCTGGGGGAGGGCCGGGGGAGCGCGGGAGGCGCTCCCAGAGGGGACCACGAGAGGCGGAGGGCGCGGGATGCGGGGCGGGGCCTGGGGTTGCCGCCCGAGGCTCACCGGCCCGCGTCCCCGCAGCTGATGACCCCGCGACGCTGTACGCCGTGGTGGAGAACGTGCCCCCGTTGCGCTGGAAGGAATTCGTGCGGCGCCTAGGGCTGAGCGACCACGAGATCGATCGGCTGGAGCTGCAGAACGGGCGCTGCCTGCGCGAGGCGCAATACAGCATGCTGGCGACCTGGAGGCGGCGCACGCCGCGGCGCGAGGCCACGCTGGAGCTGCTGGGACGCGTGCTCCGCGACATGGACCTGCTGGGCTGCCTGGAGGACATCGAGGAGGCGCTTTGCGGCCCCGCCGCCCTCCCGCCCGCGCCCAGTCTTCTCAGATGAGGCTGCGCCCCTGCGGGCAGCTCTAAGGACCGTCCTGCGAGATCGCCTTCCAACCCCACTTTTTTCTGGAAAGGAGGGGTCCTGCAGGGGCAAGCAGGAGCTAGCAGCCGCCTACTTGGTGCTAACCCCTCGATGTACATAGCTTTTCTCAGCTGCCTGCGCGCCGCCGACAGTCAGCGCTGTGCGCGCGGAGAGAGGTGCGCCGTGGGCTCAAGAGCCTGAGTGGGTGGTTTGCGAGGATGAGGGACGCTATGCCTCATGCCCGTTTTGGGTGTCCTCACCAGCAAGGCTGCTCGGGGGCCCCTGGTTCGTCCCTGAGCCTTTTTCACAGTGCATAAGCAGTTTTTTTTGTTTTTGTTTTGTTTTGTTTTGTTTTTAAATCAATCATGTTACACTAATAGAAACTTGGCACTCCTGTGCCCTCTGCCTGGACAAGCACATAGCAAGCTGAACTGTCCTAAGGCAGGGGCGAGCACGGAACAATGGGGCCTTCAGCTGGAGCTGTGGACTTTTGTACATACACTAAAATTCTGAAGTTAAAGCTCTGCTCTTGGAGACAGTGGTCTGTCGGGATGGGAGGTGGGGGCAGAGGCCCAGATCCTGAGGGGTGAGATGGGAAAAGCCCTGCACTAGGGCCAGGTAGCCCATCACCATCACGCCAAGTGACAGAGGAGTAGCAGGTTCTTGTTCTGAACACCGTCATCTGTTGCCCAAGCTGGAGTGCGCTCACTGCAGCCTCCAACCCTTGGGCTCATGGGGTCCTCCCGCCTCAGCCTCCGGACACAGGCACACCACCACACCTGGGTAATTTTTAAAATTTTTTTTTGTAAAGACAGGGTTTCCCTATATTGCCCAGGCTGGTCTGGAACTCCTGGGCTCAAGGGATCCTCCCACCTCAGCCTCCCAAAGTGCTGGGATTACAGGCAGCCATGCCCAGCCAGGGCAGTCATTTTTATGCACAACTTTCTGTGGGGCTCAGGTGCACCTATGATACATAAATTTACAGTTCTTGATCCCCAAACAGAGCAGGAGGCAGGGTGCCTGGGCCAGGCTTCCTTTGGGAAATGTGGTCCTTGAGGTAGAGTCACAGATGCCGGAGGGTGACCAGCACTACTGGGGAGAGATCTCCTCTGGGAGAGATGCATGCCAAAGGTCCTCTGCATTCCTCATACCTCTCTGAAAAGACAGGAGGGGGTGTTAGGCGACATTCAGTGGCAACGGGTGAGGGTCAGGTGAAGAGTGAGGCGGAGAGCCCTTCCTGCCTCAGCCCCTGTTCCTGCTTTGCCCTCTTTCTATACTACACCCCACCACCATACAGACATCCCCGTCTGCCCCCTCCCAGGCCAGCTTCCCTCCAGCACTTACGATGCGGACAGAGGGGTGTCCAGCTGAATGATGTGGGGCCCCCGCATCCTCTGCAGCTGGGCCCGAGTCAGCTTCCGTGGCCTGCTGTCCCGGGGCTCCTCGGCCCCCTCAATCCTTTGGCTGGCCAGCTCCTCCCGGATCTCTCTGAGCATGTCCTCAGCCCGCATTGGGCGCAGGGATGTGTGGCCAGCTTTCAGGAACAGAGGCCCCTCTTCTTCCTCCTCCCCTGAGGACTCCCAGGGGCTTTCCCCGGCAGAGTCAGCATGGGTTGGGGAGGAGGGAAGCTGGCCCCGAAGCCGGGCCCTGTGGAGTGTTTCCACCACCACATTCCCTCGCTCGGAGGCCCCATCTTCTTCCTCAGACCAGGTTGGTGGGTCTTCCTGGGGAAGACTGCCTCCTTTTAGGATTCCTTCCGGCAGTTCGGGGGCGCTTCGGCGTTGAGGAGCTTGGGGGTCGGGAGGGTGGGGACGCAGAGGGATGTCCCGGAGTTCCAGGGTGGAGAAGGTGAGGCGAGGGTCCCGCCGAAGGGCTCTTTGGCGTAGACGGCTCAGTGGGGAGCGGGACCCCGTGGGGGTGCCTGGGATCAAAGTGCCGTAGCCAGAGTCTGAGGTATCATCTGGCACAAGGGGAGCATCTTCATCTGTGTCTTCTGTCACCACCAGGTGGGGGATAATGGTCGAGAACTCAGGAGTCCTACAGTTAATGGCAAAGAGTCAGATGCGTAGGGGTCAAGTTCAAGTCCAGGGAGTTTCCCTTGATCACTACATCCAGAAATGGCCCCTCCTCCAAACTTATTTTGGTATCATCTTTCCATCGCACTGTGATTGTTTTTCTCATCTGGCTGGCTAGATTTTAAGCTCCTAAGAGAGTACGGGCTGCCTCTATACTGTTTTATCCATAGCATCTGGTCCAGGATCTTGTATCGAGTGGGTAGTCAGGTTTTTGCTGAGTGGTTCCTGAACTTACCTGATATTATCCTCAATGATCGATTCTTCTTTTCTCCTTAAGCTGCTGCCAAGCAGTGGTGCTATCCTAGACGAACCTCACACTCCCCGGGGATTTGGCAGCTCTAATATTCTGCAGATCCACACCTACCTTCACTCTCGAGCTTGCTCCTCTCACAGTGCTCCTGTGTGACTCTAGGCAGGCTAACTCTGTAGGCTGTCTGTGCCCTATCCCCCACCTCCAACCCAACACGGCTGGTACCAACCTTCCGACCCAACACAGCTGGTACCGAGCTTCCCTACCCTGCCCTACGCCTGCGTTCCTCTATCTATTCCCAATTCCACCAAAAATGTGCAGTAATGCCATTTCTCAGCCTTATGGCTCCCTCCTCCTGCTCGGGGAGACCTTGTAGTCCGTGTGAGCCTTACCTCCCCTCTGCGCTGCTCTGAGAGCCCTCCAGGGAAGGCGTGGAGGGCCTGGTGCTGGGGGACTCCCTGTCCTGGTCCCGATAGAGGGTCAGGAGCTCCCTCTTCTGTTGAACATACTCCTCTGCCTTCAGCTTCTGTAGGGCGGCCTGGGACAGGACACTTTCGTTATTAAGAGCTCTCATTTATTGAGCACTTGCTGTTTGCCAGGCACCCTGCTAAGTGCGTTACATATATTACCTTATTTTATTTTATTATTATTATTATTTTTTGAGACTGAGTCTTGCTCTGTCACCCAGACTAGAGTGCAGTGCCACAATCTTGGCTCACTGCAACCTCCACCTCCTGGGTTCAAGCGATTCTCCTGCCTCAGCCTCCTTAGTAGCTGGGATTACAGGCGCCCGCCAACGTGCCCGGCTAATTTTTGTATTTTTAGTAGAGATGGGGTTTCACCATCTTGGCCAGGCTGGTCTCAAACTCCTGACCTTGTGATCCACCCCCCTTGGCCTCCCAAAGTGCTGGAATTAGACGTGTAAGCCACCGTGCCCGGCCTACATTACCTTATTTAATCTTTACAAAAACCCCATGAACCAGATATTTTTACCCCACCTTACTACTGAGACATGGAGACTCTAAGGTTAAGTAACTGTCTGAGGGGGTACTTCTTACCATAAGAAAGTGGGGTGGTGCCGGGATTTGGTGGCACCAAACTCTGGAGCTAGTGTTGGGGGTGAGTGGGGTGAACAGAATGGCCCTTTTCCTACCTGTACAGGTCTTCCTGCTTCTCATGTCCCATTGGCAGACCTGTTATCAGGTCTTCCCCCTCCTTCAGGAAGCCCTCCCTGGTTGGTGGTGATGGTAGAATAAGTGTTCTGAATTGGTACTGGTTGCTCCTTCAAGAGCATCCCTCTCCTACCACCTGGGCCTCTGCCCTGAAGCTGGGAGGAGCAGGAGGGCAGAACGTGGGCAGAGGTGGGCTTTGTCCCAGGCTGAGGACTCTGCTGTCCTTCAGAGGGAGGAAAGTTCCTAGAAGGCTGAGGAGAGGACGCATTATATTATCTGCCTTCTCCCTCCCTCAGCGATTTCATACAGGTACCATCAAAAGGAAATAGCGCCACCTGAGAAAAAATTTTCAAAGCACTTTTGCACATGTGGTCATTTGATACACATCATTGCCCTGTGGTGTGGAGAACATGAATGTTAGCCCATTTTACAGACAAGAAACCTAGACCTAGAGAGGTGAAGTGACTTGCTCAAGGTGCCACAGGTATGGAGAAGCAGAGCTGGGACAGGGCCTTGCTCTTTGAGTCCTAGTTCAGTCACTGCAACACTTTCAAGGACAGCCTTGAAGGGTAAAGAGTTACAGAAGGTCGGTTGTTGGCTTGGGGAGGGGGAGGGGGAGGGAGAGGGAAGAGAAGGTGGCAGAGCTGAGGTTGGAGGCGGAGGCAAGCCTTGGCAAAAGGGAGGTACTGGTGGCTGCTGTGGGCAGCACTGATATCAGGACTTGCTGGTATGGCCATATCCTTGTTAAAATATTGAAGTCTTCCATGCTGGTAAGGGAATGGCTGCTGCCTGGGCCTCAACCACTTCCCCCATCCCCATGATCTAGCAACTAAGGGAGATAACCTCTGGCACAGCAGAGGACCTCTAGTGCAGCGCTCCTTTCTGATTGGTTGATGCCCATGCTATACTAATTGTTAAATATTTCCACTATCTCCCCAGCTTGAAGTATATGAGCCAGCAACTCCTGGGCACCTGGACTTTCCCAAAGCCTCTCAAGAAACCCGGGGAGCAGCTGGGTCAGGACAAGAGACGAAATGGATGAACAGGGATAGGAAAATGACACCAGGCTTATAGTTCCCATTCTGCTTTTTCTGGCTCTCCAGTCACTTATTCCCAAGGCTGACAGCATTCTCATAAGATGTGGTCTGTTGGCCGGAGCAGGGGAGGGTACCTGGGGGTAGGAAACCTGCCAGGGCCGGGACCTGGGGCAGGACTCCCTCTTTCCCAGGCCTCATCTCCCAACTCCATGTGAAGGGAGGGAAGAAGTGAGAAAAGAGAGGGTGGAGGCGCTGGGCCGATCTGCTTGTCCTGCTGGGGTGCCCTTTTGCCCCACAGGACCCAAATTCAGGTTTGTGTTTCGGGTGCCAAGGAAGGGATGTTACGGGAAAGAAGAACTGGAAGGAAGCAGGGTTTCTGTAAGGGACGTTCAATGCCATCATCTCTGCTAAACTTGCCCCTTGCCCGACCCCAGGAAGAGGCTGGAGGAGGCGGCGGGGGGGGGAGGGGGGCGAGGGGGAGCCCCGAGTACGGGGTAGGGGGTCGGGGGAATGGGCGGGATGGGGCTCTTGGAGGTGCCTCCCAGCGAGCCCAAAGCCTCTCCAGCAACCCTGGGAGAATTTTCTCGGCTTGGTTAAGAGGAGAGACACATGGGGGCAGAGGGGACGGGAAAGGAAAAGGAAATTGGCGCTTAAGCCAGAATGTGACCCCCCTACAAAACTGAGAAGAGGAAGGGAGGGCCCCTAGCAGGATTCTTCTTCCTTTGTACCCATGGAGAGGAAATGCCTCCTTTCCCTGCTGTCTCTGGGGTGGCTCCTAGATTCACCCACTCTCCTCCCAGAACTCCCCAGTGCCGGACTAAAACCGAACTCTGAAACGTGCCCACTGACTTCCTGAGCAACAGATGCGGATGCGTTTCCCCAGTCAGCAGCAGGCCCTACCCAGGCCCCAAAGACCACCCCTTTCTTCTAATGATGACAACGGCAAACATTTATGGAGTGCCCATACAGTGCTGGGCCTTGTGCCTGGCCACTTGCGGACTGTCTGTCCTGCGTGCACTGCAACTCCCCAAGAGGTGAAGTAACTCCCTGACAGCTGCTCGGGCCTCTCCTTCAGACCCTGGCTCTTAGCCTCGGCTGCCTCCTTCAGTCTCCCTGCTTTAATTTCTTGGTCGCCATCTCTGACGGCTCTTTCTGTTCCTGTCTCTGTTCCTTTTCCTCTTCTCAGTCCCTGGGCATTCCCCAAGATTCAGTCTCTTCTCCCTGGAGAAGCTTACTTTCTCTAAAAGTGTGAGTCATCACAGCTAGACCCGCTAGGAATAAATCTGCAAGTCAACGTTTCTGCCAGGGTGAGAAAACAATAGTCTGCCCCCTGGGGATTGCTCTATGAAAGGGACCAACAGAGTTTCTACTGCCCTCTTCAGTGTATAAAGACTGATGGCTCTAGAGAGGATTCCCTAATAATCTGGTGTGAGACAATAGCAGGAAAAGTCATTTCAAAGTTTCAGTTTTCTTTGTTTTGCTAAGGAAGGCCAGGGAGCCTTGGTGCATATCTTGGTTATAGATCTTGACAGATCTTTCCTGTTAGCCTGGAGTGAGACTACCAGGGGACTGAGTTGTTTTGCATAGTAAAATACCCGTAATTTTCAGTAGCTCTTGGGATTCTGAAAGGGAGAAGGTGAGAGTCTGGCTGTTGTTCTGTGACTAAAAACCAAAAAAAAGAGGAGAAAGTTCTGAAGGTGGAGGTGGCAGTTCCGAAGGAAAAAAGGCAGCCTGCCATTCACTGCCAGCCCCACTGGCTATCCTGGGGAGTTGGGGCTCTAGGGACACCGATGCCACTAGCTTGCGCTTTTGTCCCTGGGCTCCCCCTTGAGCCTCTAGCCTTCAGGAAAATGTTTTATTTAACTTTTTTTTTTTTTAGACAAGGTCTCACCCTGTTGTCTGGGTTGTAGTGCAGTGGTGGGAACATAGCTCACCGCAGGCTCTATCTCCCGGGTTCAAGTGATCCTCCCACCTCAGCCTCCCGAGTAGCTGGGACTACAGGCATGCGCCACCAGGCCCAGCTAATTTTTGTATTTTTTGTAAAGATGGGGTTTTGCCATGTTGGCCAGGCTGGGTCTTGAACTTCTGGTCTCAAGCCATCTGCCTGCCTCAGCCTCTCAAAGTGCTGGGATTAGAGGAGGTGAGCCACTACGCCTGGCCAAGAAAATTTGATTAACCACCAGAATGATGTCACTTGCCAGTCAGTCCAGCCTAGTGGAAAGTGTGTTTAGGCTTAGGTGGAAGTGGTGGAGAGAAGTCCCTGCCATGCAGAGGGGACAGTGAACCGAGCCGGAAGCAGGGGACAGGGCAGATGGGAGACCACTGTCATCACAAAACCCACCTGCCTCCCCTTGGGGTGTGTTTTTTGTCCTCCTCTTTCACTTGAATTCCAGGTCTTTGTTTCTGTTTCTTTTGTTCCCAAAGCCCCTAAGATATCTCCACTAGGTTATATCTTGGCTGCCTCAATTTCAAAGCGCTGCTGTTTAAATATTCCTACAGTAAAGCCACCTCACTGAGGAAGCAATAACTAAACAAACACATTTCCCTTTCCCTTTCTAATGACTGCATTTCTGTCTGGGGTCCCATTGCCAATGCAGTGTTCCAAACTGAAGCTTCGGGAGGCCAACTGTGCTCTTTGCCGCTGGGTATCTGGAGTTCCTGAGCCTGTGCCCAGTGCTGGCCCCAGGCTGTGTGCCTAAGCCGAATGACAGCTTTGAATCTCCCTAGGAAGCAGGTAGTCATTGTGTATATCTGTTTTGCAGATGACGAAATTGAAGTTGAGGGAGGTCATATAACTTACCCAAGGTCACATGGCTAGGACCTGGTAGGACCGGTGTCTGAACCTGGATTTTTCTGAATTCAGTATAGACTTTAACCAAAGTATCCCTAAGGCTCCCCCTTCTCTTCCCTCTTCTTTTTTTTTTTTTTTTAAGACAGAGTCTCGCTCTGTCGCCCAGGCTGGAGTGCAGTGGCGCGATCTCGGCTCACTGCAAGCTCCGCCTCCCGGGTTCACGCCATTCTCCTGCCTCAGCCTCCCGAGTAGCTGGGACTACAGGTGCCCGCCACCGCGCCCGGCTAATTTTTTGTCTTTTTTAGTAGAGATGGGGTTTCACCGTGGTCTCAATCTCCTGACCTCGTGATCGGCCCGCCTCGGCCTCCCAAAGTGCTGGGATTACAGGCGTGAGCCACCGCGCCCGGCCTCTTCCCTCTTCTTTAGGTCCTTTCTTCTCCTTTGTTTTTTGTCCCTTTTTGCAATGTCTCCCTAAGGCTGTGGCACTAAACCTTCCATGTTTCACACCCAAACTAGTACAATAAACCTCCTGTCACCAATTTCTCCCTCCTCCAGCCCACCCAGCACACTGCTACCTGATTTCCTGAAAACCTAATTCAAGAGGAAACACACTGATTTCACCCTTGCTCAAGAATTCATGGCAGGGCTATGCACGGTGGCTCACGCCTGTAATCTCAGCACTTTGGGAGGCCGAGATATGCAGATTGCTTAAGCTCAGGAGTTCAAGACCAGCCTGGACAACATGGAAAGACCCTGTCTCCACAAAAAGATGCAAAAAATTAGCCAGGTGTGGTGGTACACACCTGCAGTCCCAGCTACTTGGGAGGCTAAGCTGGGAGACTCACTTGAGCCCAGGAAGTTGAGGCGGCAGTGAGCTGTGATCATGCCACTGCACTCTAGCCTGGGTGATGGAGTAAGACTCTGTCTCAAAAGAAAAAAAAAAAGAATTCACGGTGGCTGTCTCTTGTTGACCCTATTTAACTCAAGCGCATCCAGGCCACAGGGTTCTGCAGCTCTGAGATTCTGCAGAATCTGGCCTCTTACCACGCACTCACACAAACACTGTGCTCCATACTTAGGCAGATATGGCCGTCATTCCAGAAATATATCCAGCCCAGCTGGTCCTCTGATTCTGCTGCTCATGGTCTTCCTATCCTTAAAAGTCTAACTCAAATCTTCACTTCTCTTTGGCCATTCCGTTCCTGTGGTGGGTTGAATAGTGGCCCCCCCAAAAGATAGATATATCTAAGTCCTACCCTCTGGAACCTGTGAATGTGACCTGATTTCGAAAAAGAGTCTTCGCAGATTTGCAGAGATCCTAAGAGCTCAAGATGAGTTCTCCCTGGATTTAGGGTGGGCTCGAAATCTAATACTCACATCTTTGTAAGAGAAAGGAGGGGGAAATTTGGACACAGAGACATACAGAGAGGAAGGCCATGGGAAGACAGAGAAAGAGTTTGGAATTTTGTTACCACAAGCCACGGAACGCCTGGGGCAACCAGGAGCTGGAAGAGGCAAGGATGGATTCTCCTCTAGAGCCTCCAGAGGAAACTCAGCTCTGCCAACACCTTGATTTGAAACTTCTGGCCTCCAGAACTGTGAGAGAGTAAGCTTCTGATGCATTTTAGGCCACCAAGTTTGTGGGACCTAATACAGCTCCATTTGCATCTCTCTTCTTTTGAACTCCTCCTGCTTTTTATCTGCTCACATCACTCCCCTGCCCGACTCCTTCACTGGCCCTCTGTCATCCAAAGGACAAAGCTCATCTATAGGATGCTTTATCATGACATGCAGAGATGGGCATGACCTGGTGGCACCTACCCCCTAGCCTCTCCCTGCTGCGTCTACTCTTGTACTTGATACTGTAGCAATACCAATGGGGGCAGTTCTCTCAACACACACAACTGTTTCACAGTTCCCGCCTTTGCACGTTCTGCTCCTCCATGTGGAATGCCCTTCCCTTCCACCCTGACTCCCTGACATACTCCTAGGTATCCTCCCAAATGGTGCTCAGACATCAGCTCCTCTGTGTCCCTTCCAAACAGACCCAGCAGACAATGCCTTGCTCCCTTCTCTGTCCCAGCTTCATTCTACATAACTTCTCTCTATTGTTTGTATACTAATTACTCAACCAGGCTGCAGCACCTAGGCCTTGAGGGCAGGAATGGTGGTTTACTCTTTTCTGATTCCCTAGCACCTAGCTCTAGTGCCTGCCGTACTCAGCAAGTGCCCTGTAAATGTCTGCGAATGGAAGATGACTTCTAGAAGTTAATCATTTCAGGCTGTACAAACCTTCAGGGGATGCTGTATCTTGGGCTCTCCCAGTGGCTGGCACAGTAGCTGGCCAAAGGCTTTTTCTGTCTTCTGATGGATGGTGGAGGCTCTGCCTCCCTCTCTGGGGCACATCAGATTGTCCAGTCTGAAACTGAATCCACCCCAGCCTCTCTCCTCCTCCCCTCTGCGCTCCCATGTTCATTCGTTCCTTCCTTCCTTCCTACATTCTTTTTTTTTTCCTTCTTCTTCAGGGTCTCACTCTGTCACCCAGGCTAGAGTGCAGTGGCACGATCTCAGGTCACTGCAACCTCCACTTCCCGGGCTCAAGTGATTCTCCTGCCTCAGCCTCCCAAGTAATGGGGACTACAGGCACACACCACCACGCCCGGCTAATTTTTGTATTTTTAGTAGAGACGGGGTTTCACCATGTTGGCCAGGCTGGTCTCAAACTCCTGACCTCAGGTGATCCACCTGCCTCAGCCTCCCAAAGTGCTGAGATTACAGGTGTGATCCACCACTGTGCTCCCATTTCTGAGCTCCGGGGACCCCTGCCCATGCCTCCCCGTTGCTGGCTTTCCCATACCTGGGCCTGCTGGGTCTTCTCCAGCCACTGGGCACGGTCTGTAGGACTGGGACAGTGCACAAGGAGGGCGCTGGAGACACACTGGAATTCAGTGAGGTGGATCAGCAGGAAGCTGTCTGGATGGAGGAGACAACCTTCAAGAGGCCAGCCTTTATTTGATCTCCGTCCCAGCTCCTCCTTCCCCTCGCTGAGAAGAGGGAGAAGAAAAGACTCCCTGAAGGAAGGACGTACTGGGGTCTCGCAGGGGTTGGCACACGAGCTTCTCCAGCATGAGAGGGGGTCGGATGACCTTGGCTTTGTCCGCCTTGCGCTGGGGCTTGGTCACAAGGAGCACATCAGAGAAGAGGAACAGGTACACGTCCAGCTGGGGGTGGGGGCGTAGGGGAAAGAGACAGGGTCAGCTGGAGCCAGGGGCAGGGCTGGTCCGGGAGGAGGCTCAGGCATGGTGCGCAGGCACACAGGGACACACGCAGAGCCCAAATGCGGGAGTGGCCAGGGGCGTCGCTTTGGTCACATCTCTCACTTTACAGGCAGGCAAAGTGGCTGGCTCAGGGTCACACAAATGACTGGGGCTTAGCCAGAACCACATCCTCTTCCCCAAACCCCTCTTCTCCCACTTCCGGCGTTTCTGCCTCTTACCTTCTCCCACCGTGCCCCATCCCCTCCACTCTGTCCGCAGCACCCTCACCTTCCCTTCTCGTCCCTCCTTCACTCGCACAGGCCCCTCCAGCAGCAGCTGTCTGGTGTGCTCAGATGCAACCCCCAGCATGGGGGACGTCAGGTCCAGGGTGGAGAATGGGCGCAGGTTCTGAGGGACACAGAGGGGAGGGGTCAGGGCGCTCGGCAGTCTGCCTGGACTTCCTGGCCAAGGGCGGCTCCTGGTTCTGCCACCAACACCTTTCTGTTTGTATCCTTCCCCCATGGGCTAGAGAAAGCCTCCCAGGGCCTCCTTTTTGCTCTTCTGACCTGTACCCCTTGGACTGTCACCACCAGGTAGGAATGATGGACACCCTTGTAGCACCCAAGTACGGGGTGTTCTGGCCTTGCAGCCCTCCCCTTCACCAGTATCCCTGGGACCTTGCTTTTCCTGGGTCCCTTCCCTTTGCCCTCTCACCTTCTCCACCTCATCACTGGGTGGCTCCAGCACCTCGTAGGGCCCGATGCGTTGTGCTGCAGCCGCCAAGCTCTCTTGCTCTTCGCCCTGGCGGACCTGCCCATTGATGTGTCGCAGGAATGACTCCACGGCTTCAATCTAGGTGGGGTTGGGGGTGTGGGAGGAGGGACGGCTCAGCCGTCCCCTCCCAACCAATGCCAGCCACAGCACAGCGCCACACTGTCACAGACACACTAAGAAAGAGACCCCCCTCCCAGTCCCCGATTCACCAGAGTCCCAGCCCCACTGGGGCACCTACCATGGCATTCAGGGCCTCTTGGGCTCGTGCCTCGGGGCTCCTCTTGAGCACAGCATGGAGCAGCAGTGGGTACTTGGTGATGCGCTGGTGGGGCTTGATAAGCAAGTCACAGAGCATCTGCCTCCCAGAGCGCTTGTGCTTCTCACACCACTGCAGGGAAGGTGGGTGGGGCTCAGGGTTTGCTCCCTCCTGCCCTGCCTAGTGGTGAACTCAGCCTCAGGCTCAGCTGGAGACCGGCCGGCTAAGATGCACCCGTCCCCCTCCCCAGCACCCCTTCTCCCACCTGCACGAAGGCATGGAAGAGAGGGTTAGTTTCTTGCTGTTCTCGGGCGTAAGCCATGGTCTGCTTCACTCGGAGGCAGTACTGGACATAGGGGTGGAACCGCTGGCCAAACTGGAGAGACAGATACGGGAGGTGGGGAGCAGGCATGGGGAGAAGGCCATGAATACAGGCTCTAGCTGCAGGACCCAGGAGCAGGTGAAGAGAGCCTCGCAGGGGCCCTTAGCCCAGCTCCTGACAGTCCCTCCCTCCCAGGATCCTCCCAGGAATGCTCTCGAGGCTACGCCCCTTTCTCTGGATTCCACGAAGGAGCCTGAGGTCCCGACACTGACCCAGAGCTCTCTGAGCTCCCTCTATCCACAGTGCTACTGGGGCCTGCTGCTCTGGACTTACTCTCCCACCATCGATAATTCAGCTGGACCGTTGTCAGGACATTGCAGATCCCATTTCACCCTGGGGGTGGGGTGGCGACCTAAGAGTTGGCTCAGAAGCCTTGCTCCTATGGAGGGGGTACCTAAGGCTCCCAGGGGCAGTACGCCTACCTCTCTACCCCACTGCAACTTTTTCCTGCAGGGCCCACATTTTCCTGGCTAGGTAACATTGTAGAAGAAAGTCGGATCCTAGGCCCTCTTGCTTTCTCTTGTCACTCTTCTCCGTGCCCCGGGTGCCTCCTGTGGCCTTTTACACCCACCCAGGTCCTCCTAAGGGTCCCCTCACTTAGGCCTCATTTGCTGCACCCAGCTTTTGTAGTTGATGGGAGCCAAGGTGTGACCCTTCTCTGAGACAGCTGCATTTTCATTTCATAAAGGCCTCCAGAAGAACAAGGAGCCTGTGGCACAGAGGTCAGACTTGTGGCATGAAGGGAGGAGGTGAGGTGATATTAGGGGTAGGGGCTGTGTCCTGCGGCCCCTCAAATCACAGAGATTTGCATACTGTGGGCATGCCCTACACACAGGACCCCCGAGGGCTCCGAGTCCTGCCCCATCCAGACACAGCCCTTCACAGGCCTCACCGTCAGGAAGCCACTTTGCAGACCAATGGGGTCCAGAGGCTGGCCCGAGGCCCGAGTCTCCTCCAGGGTGGGCCCCAGCACCTCATCCCAAAAGCTCCGGTGGGTTCGAATCAGGCTGGGGACATTTCCAAACAGGGTCTCAGCTGACACCTGGAGGAGGGAGCAGAGCTGAGCAGCACACTTTTGGAAGGTCCCCAGGGGTGGCACTGGCTGAGGAAAGGTGAGGACCTTAAGCTTGGACAGCAGGGGCGGGGGTGAAGAAGGATGAACTGGGCACTGGGCCTGGAAGATCTCAAGGATGTCAGTCTGAGAAATGGGGGGCCTGTGGCCTGCTTGGAGTCCCCAGTAACAGGGAAGTAGGGAGGGCAAGGCATCCCAAAAAACGGGGCAGTGGGAATTCAGACAGGGATGGCTGGAGGGCCCACCCTCATCCCCAGGCTCAGAGGTCGGGCTGTGCCAGGGTCCCCTCCTGAGCACCCACTCACTTCCATCAGCAGTCCCACTCGCTGCAGGTTCAGCAGGCCGGCGGCTAGCAGCTGCAGGGAGGGAGACGAGGGTCTCAGGACCCAGCGCAGCCCTTCAGTGTCGTCACCTCCCACCCCCCACCAACTTCAGTACTGCTGACCTATCTCCCTGCATCCCAGACTGGCCTGAAATCCTGCCCCTCCCTCCCCCAGTGACCTGCCTTCCAGTCTGGGAGGATGGGGGCTCATGCAGGGAAGATGGGGCCGGGGCTGGGGCTGAGGGGGGCTCACATCAGTCATGATCTTGAGCTTTCTCACGTAGATCAGCTCGGTGGTCAGGAGCTCCCACAGGGCCTCCTGTTGGTGGCAGAGCTCCTGGCTCATCTCCTGGGGTGGGGAGAATGCTGGTTCAGTTGGGGAATGATAATTAGAATGGCAAGTACCAGCTGTTAAGTGCGACCGGATCCACTTCATAGGTTCTAGGCACTTTGTGCATGACCATGACCTTTTAATCCTCAAACCAGTGCTCTGATGTGTAGGTGGTATTATCCCCACTTTACATATGTGGCAACTGAGGCCCAGAGAACTTTACTGTCTTGACCAAGGTCTGACTAGTAAGTGGCAGAGCTGGGATCTGAACCCAGATCAACGCGTTTCCAGATGTTTTTTCCACATGACCCCACTTCCCAAGGCCTTTCCCTCCTCTAGAGCAGAATCTGTGTGTGCATTCACGCCGTGGGGACAGACTCACCTTGTGAGTTTCAGGCTCACCTTGTGCCCAGGCACCAGCTCCCTCCAGGACTTCTCGATGGTCAGGCCACTGTCGCCACCCTCTCCTATCTCCCAGTGCCGCCGGTCCTCAGGGGGCAGCCGGGGCATCCCAAACATGCTGAAAGTGTGCAGCCTCACCTCCAGCTCATGGGCCTTGGTGAGTTCCTGGGGGAGCCGAGAAGGGCATCAGCTCTGGTCACATCCTTGGCACCCAGCCACAGGGCCCCGGGAGGGCTGTGTGTGTGTGCATGTGTGTTAAAGTGTGTGCGTGTGTCTGTGTCTGGAATGGGAGATGGCAAGCAGCACTGAGTATGAGTGGGGACATGGAGGCCTAGAGAACAGGGGTCGGCCCCAGCTGGAATTCCAGGGAAAAAGGCATTGCTGGAATGTGGGTGAAGAGGCACCCTGGTCTGTGGAAAGGTCCCTGGAGAGGGGTCTGATCTAGGCTCCCTGACAGGAAAGAGGCCTTCCATGGGTCTCCTGAATCAGAATGAGGTGGGGGAGGGACAGAAACAGACACTTCAGAGGGACCTTCAAGTGAATCAGAACAAGACTTAGAGAACCAGTGGTCTCAGGCACCACTTTGACATTTGCCTATAAAATGGCATTTTTTATGAAGCAGCATGGCTTACATTTTACAGGTTTCTTTTTTTTTTCCTTTTGAGACAGAGTTTTGCTCTTGTCACCCAGGCTGGAGTGCAGTGGCGCAATCTCGGCTCACTGCAACCTCCACCTACCGGGTTCAAGCGATTCTCCTGCTTCAGCCTCCTTAATAGCTGGGACTACAGGTGCCCGCCATGACACCCAGCTAATTTTTTTTTACATTTTTAGCAGAGACGGGGTTTCACCATGTTGGCCAGGCTGGTTTCGAACTCCTGACCTCAGGTGATCCGCCCGTCTTGGCCTCCCAAAGTGCTGGGATTACAGGTGTGAGCCACCACGCCCGGCCCATTTTACAGGTTTCTTTGGTACCAAGAATGTGAGCAATAGACACTCCTGACCCTCACTCACTCCATCTGGATGTGGCTTGGGAGGAGAGGTGAGGCTCACAGTGGCAGTGAAGGATGATGTGGCACTGAGGATAGAGAGAGCATACCTGACTCTCAGCAACTTGGTAATTTGACTTGGTAGTTTTCAAAAACTGAAAGCTCAATATCAATCGTTTATCCACATTTAATCAAAGTGTCTCAAGTCAAAGTCCCTGGTTGCCATGCATGGACCAAAGAGAGATATATCCCTGAGAGGTCCTAGGCAGAGCCATGTCTGACTGGCAGGCAGCAGCCTCCTGGACCTGTGTTCTCAGCTCCCGGAGCTTGCTGGTCATCTGCGGAGCCATCACAATTGGGGCCGTATGTGTGGGGATGGGAGGAGAGGGACCCCCTTACCTTGAGTTTGGGGGAGTGAAGCAGGCCAGCCCCCACATGGCCCCCGTGCCTCTTCTCGGGCTCTGGATCTCGCAGTCTCATGGGTGACAGGCCTCGGGCCTGGCCAGAACCCCTGGCAAAGGGGACATACTGCTGGAGGCGTCGGCGACTGGGATCCTGGGAGAGGAGCAGGGGAAGTTCTGGGGGTGCCTCCCTTTCCCCAGAAACCCCAGAGAGGTAGTAGGGGGGCAGGCTTGGCTCTAGATGTTGTTCCCCCACCCTGGTAAGTCGGGCTGGCTCACTTCTCCCTGCAAACCAGTTTGGTGTGGACTGCTCCTGCCCTGAGTCACAGCGGCCACTGCCGGCAAGGCTAAGCTGAGTGGGCAGAGGCAAGACAGCCTGGCTCCCTGAGTGGGCCTGGGGAAGAAGTGGGGCCTCCTGCCGAGCAGGTGCACAGCACACACATGCCTGGGCTCTGGTGTGTGTGCCCCCACTGCCTCCTGCTCTCCGTACCATGGGGGGTGCATGGACAAGGCGTGGTGCACACAGCATTCTGGTCTCTCGTAACTCTCCTTGTCTATGACCAGCCTCCCTCACACATGGGGACGAGGGCACTCACATGTGCAGCCTTCTCCCCAGGGGCGTGCAGCCTGCATCCCATCCAGCTGGGAGTGGCTGCCCTTCTGTGTGAAAGGCTGAAGCCACAGCCACACAGCTCCTCCCAGGGCAGGCCTGGTCACATTCCTTCATTTGCCTGTGGCCTGAATTACCCCACATACTTTCTAGTCTCCCTTCTCACCCACAGCCTAGGAAAGTCCCATCTCCAAAGGCAAAATTATCGTGCATTGAGGCAGGGGATGTCCCAGCCACAAGCAGAACTGTCCTCAAGGTGGAGGGGAAACCTGCAGGCTGAGGGACAGACCTGGCTTCCACACCCCTCTGCTTGGTTAGGACTGGAGGAGAGCCAGGCAGGTGGAGCCAGGGGTGGAGCCAAGGCAGGCACCCTCCTGTCCCTACCCACCACTGGAGGAGTAGGGACACCCTGAACCTTTGCTCATCTTCATCCTGACTCAGGGAGAGGCAGATCTCAGGAAGGCCTCAAACTCCTGCCAAGCAGAGGCGGGAGCCTGGGAGGCGCCAGCTCTGGGGTTTGATGACCTTACCCGCAGCTCTTTGTCTGAGACCTGTCTAACAGCACTCCTCGGAGGGCCTGGCTTCTCCTGGCTCCGCCTCTCCTGCCCAGCTGCTGGGACTGGGGTGTGATATCCCTGGAGCCTGGCCCTGTCACTGCCCTCCTCTTTCCCGCAACCCAGGAAAGAAGAGTAGGGTAAGGGGCAGGAATAGCTCAACCTCTGAACCTGTAAGGGGACAGAGACTCCACAGCCTAGGTGTCTTCCCTCCTGCCCCACCAGGTCACTTTTGGGGCACAGCCTGGACTCACCAGCACAGGGTATCCTCGGGGATAGAGTCTGCCAGCAGTGCTCTGAGCAGAGGCTCGATGCCGGCCCCCATAAGTCTCAATGCGGGAGGCCACGAGTCCTTGGAGGGGGCCCTCATGTGGAGGACCAAAGGCCTTCATCCCTTCTCTCCTGGGTCACCTCCAAAGGGCCATATCTTCAATGTCCAGGAGAAAGAGGTCCCCTAGGGCTGCAAGAGAGAAAAGAGGAATGGAAGGGCCATCCCCAATCAGTGAATGGCACCAGGCGGGAGACCAAGGCTGGTAGGGGGCCTGGGAGGGAGGGTATAGTGGGGGAGGAGAGGGCCAAGGGCTTGGTCACTTGTTGGGGGGAACATGGCTGCCTCATCTATGACTTGGTGGGAGTAGGGTAGGTCCAGGTACATATTGGGTAGGAAGCCCCTTGGAGATGTACCTCCTCTCTCACATGTGTGCATATTTGGGGTACAAGCTCCTGCACTGGTCTCAAATGGGAACAAGGGTCACAGACAGGTCTCGGGCTTTCTGGATACACCCAGGTGGGAGGGTTCTCCTTGCACCTAGATATAACCCCATCCCCTTCCCCATATAAAGCTTGGGAAAAAGCTGGAGGGAGGCCATGGTGGGTGGGGTGGGCTGGGAGTGGGGGTGGCTGGAGACAGCCCAGTCTGCCACCAGTTTTTGTACAGCCTGTAAGCCTTTACATATTTACATAGTTGAAACAACTGCTGCCCCCCCTGCAAAAAAGCCACCAATATTTTGGGACAAGTAAATATTACATGATATTCAAATTCAGTGTCCATAAACACAGTTTTGTTGGAATCCATCCTCTTCTGCTGGTCTCCTAATAACCTGTGACTGCTTCTTGCTAGTTGGGACAGACGGTGTAGGCCGCGAAGTCTCTAATCTTTACTGTCTGGCCTTTACTGAAAGGCTTGCCCATCTCCTACCTGAACCCTCCTGACCACAGACAGGGAGGTGAGTGGGGCCAGCTGTCCGGCCACTGCCCTTAGAGACCAGCCAAATAGAATTAGAGTTTCTCCAGTTTCGGGCTATATATTTGGTCCTCCCCAGACTCTGGGAATACCACCATGGAGCTGGGGGCCAGGCGTGGGGCTCCATCCCTCCCCCCTAAACCTGGAGGGAGGGCCCGCCCTCGAGTGGGCAGGGCCTGGAAGAGGAGAGGCCTCCTAAGGGGCGGTGGGCTCAAGAAGGCTGCGCAGGTGTTTGTGCCCCGACCGGGTGGGCCTGAGGTCCTGCCTCAGCCCTCCCTTACCTTCCTCCGATTCAGGAGCAGAGGAGGAAACGTTCGCTGTCCCTCCTGCCGCCTCCCAATAGTCCTCCCTCTGAGGGCGCTGTCTCCCTCGCACTGCTCCCTACCCAGGGTCCTGTCTCAGCCCAGCCCCCGGCTCCCCTCCTC
Source organism: Homo sapiens (assembly GCF_000001405.40). NCBI lineage: Eukaryota > Metazoa > Chordata > Mammalia > Primates > Hominidae > Homo > Homo sapiens. The sequence continues at coordinate 6,310,950 of NC_000012.12, read as the reverse complement.
CCGCCTTCGGGAGGCCAGGCCTTCCTTCCCCTTCGCCCCGGCTTCCAGGCCCCGGGTCCCGGCCGCCCCGCCCCCGGGCCGCGTAGCCCTCCCGCCGCTCACCTGTGCCCACAGGTGTCACCGCACCCGCTGCCCTGCGCCGCCCTCCCCGCCCGCGGGGCTCCCCGTCGCCGTCGGCTCCCCGGCGATGCCAGCCAGCCCCGATGCCCAGCCTGGGACTGGGATCGAGCGGCCCGCGGGAGCCGGGCAGCGCGGGTCCGGGCGAGGAGGGCGGGGACCGGGCTGGCCCCTCCCTACCGCCAGCACCGCTCGGGGCAGAGGGGCAGAGGGGCGGGGCCCTGGGGACCGAGCAGCCCCCGCCCTCACGCAGCCACCGCCTTCCCCGGAGAGGACAGCTCACGTGGCGGTGCCCTCCTTTCCCCTTTTCGGTCGCACCTGAACTCGACACCCGCCGGCCGAGCGGGAGGGCTGGGACCGCGCGCCCTCCACTCCGGGCCAGACCCCCGCGAGGCGCTGCAGTAATGAGGGCTGAGTAAGGGGCGGGGCGCCGCCGGGGGAGGCGGCGAGGGTGACAACCTGTGGCAGGCACCCCTCTCTCCTGCTGGTCGCGGCGAGTGGCCGGCCGTCCGGTCCTCCCCCTGCCTCGGCCTAGACCCCTAAGCAGGCAGGGAGCCCGCCTGCCAGCTGGAGGGGCAGGGGGCCCCGTCGCTGTGTGGAGTCCAAAGTGTGAGCCTTATCTCTCAGAGGACCGGCTGGCCTGCCTGGTGGAAGGTGATACTGGAAGGCTATCCTGGACTTTGCCTTTGCTCCAGGGATAGGCAGCTGAGGCCTGACCCGCACTTCTCCTATGACCTAAGACTCAGGTGGGGGCACCCTCCCAGTTCACCTGCAAATAAGCCCACTCCCGGCTACACCAGGGTCACCCAGCCCTTGCGGTGGCTGCTAAAATAGATGCTGTGGGGCCAGGCGCGATGGCTCACGCCTGTAATCCCAACACTTTGGGAGGCCGAGGCGGGCGGATCACAAGGTCGGGAGATGGAGACCAGCCTGGCCAATATGGTGAAACCCCGACTCTACTAAAAATACAAAAATTAGCTGGGCATGGTGACGGGCGCCTGTAGTCCCAGCTACTTGGGAGGCTGAGGCGGGAGAATCGCTTGAACCTGGGAGGTGGAGGTTGCAGTGAGCCAAGACAGCACTACTGCACTCCAGCCTGGGCAACAGAGTGAAACTCCATCTCAAAAAAAAAAAAAAAAAAAAAGAAAGAAAAAGAAAAAGATGCTGTGGAAGGACTGACACATGCTGGGCATTGCATGAAAGGACCATACTTTATTTTCTTTATTTTTAAAATTTATTTTTTAAAAAGAAAATAGAGACAATATCTTGCTGTGTGGCCCAGGATGGACTCCAACTCCTGGGTTCAAGCGATCCTCCTGCTTCGGTTTCCCCACCTTTTCACTTCTCCAAATCATGGCACCTCGTCTGACAGAAGCACTGGATATTTGAGATAGAAGTGTCCTGTGGATGTGTGGTCATTATAATCTCACAACCATGAAACCCAAGACCCTGTAGTTGGCAGGTGGCAGGTCTGAGGCTCCCAGCCCCTCACCCTGACTGTGGTCTATTTCCTGCCAATGAACTCAACAGTGATTGATACGGCTCCTTACTTCTTCAGAGCATCCTGAAGTTCAGGAAACACTTTCAGAAGCAGAATCTCCTTGAGTTGCCAGGGGAAAAGGCCTCTATTCCCTTTTCCCATCTAGGCTATGAAACGCATACATGATCAGAGTGTTCTAGTCCTCACTCGGACTCTGGTGACTCTATTTTGTTTGGAGGAGGAATCTATATCTTTGGGCAGTTTCTAATTTTGTATTCCCTGTGTCCATCCTCAAATCTGCCCTCTGGGATTCTCTTTCTCTGAGCTTGCTGTTGTGTGATTGCTCTGCTGGTTCAGAAGTGTCCTCTGTTCCTCCAGCTCCTTGAACCAGCCTGTCTCCTGCTCCTGGCCCAGCTGGTGGTGGGACTAGTTTTCGGGGGTGAAGTCAGGTGGGAAAGGAACTGCAGTGGCAAGAAACCAGAGTGTGCCTAGTTCCTAGCCCTTCCCTCTTCCCATTCACTGTGTGTGTGTGTGTGTGTGTGTGTGTGTGTGTGTGTGTGTGTGTGTGTGTGTGTGGTGAGAGCTAGACAGAGATAGAGAGATGTCCAGGGATGACAAGAGTAGCCATGAGGGAAAGAGTTAATAAGCCAGGAGAGGAGGTGGTGATTACGGACAGTATTAAATGACACCCCAGAGACAGCTGGTGCCAATGGCCCCTAGCTTCTCCTCCCAGTGTCTCCCAGAAGGAGTGGGAAGGAGGAATAAGAGGGAAGATGAAATTGAGAGAGCACCAAAGACAAGCCTGGGCTTACAGTGCTCTGGGGTGAGCTGGCTAGAGGGGCCCAGTGGCAGGTGGTGGTGGGTGGCGGGGTGGTTAACCCTTTCACTTCCCTCTAGGCGTTGAGGTCCAGTCTCCACCCACTACTGCCCCAGGGCCTGTCTTCAGCCTCCCTGGGAGGAGAGGTTCCCAGGGCAAGCTGGAGTCTAGAAGCCAGAGGTGTGGCCGGGCACAGGTGTGTGGCCTAGGAGGCAGGCCTCCATGTTCTGTTTCTTCTCTTCTGTCACTCTCACAGTCTCCACTTCCATGACTCCTCTGTGCTGCGGAGAGCACACTCCTATGGCAGGCTGAGGGGAGCATTCTCAGGGAGCTGAATGAAATGTAAAGAATTGGGAGGCTGGAGGCTTGGCCTCTGCCAAGTGAGGCTAGGGGCCATCTGGTCCTTGGACCAGAGTATGCCATCTGGATACTTCTCTTTATTCCTGGTTATCCTAGCCTTTCCTCACATGTCTAGCTTGAGTCATATGCCTCACTTTCTCCCAGGTAAGATGCTCCTCATTAGGCCCCTGGATTGACCCCATAACTGATGGTAAAGTGTGTGTCCACGGTCAGAGCTCTGAGGATCAAATGCTTCTGTCCAATAGCAGCCTGAGGATAACTGCCTGGGGTTGGCATAAGGGGCTCACCAGGCAGGAAGGTCAGGGAAACTCATTTGTGCCTCGACCTCTGCTGAGCCCATATCTCTCAGGGCAGAAGTGGGGACCATCTGGGCTAATGAGGGGCTGGCAGGCACTAGCAACAGGAGGCAGCTAATGGGAGCTGTGTCCTCCCTGCCCAGAGCGAGGCAGAAACTGAGGGTTCAAGCTAGGAGGCGCCAGGTCATGTGAGGCAGATGAATACCAGGAGGACAGGCCACAGGGCAAAGCCTCTGGTGCCTCAGGCCAGAACTGGTGCTTCCCGTTTCTTCTTTCGTCCCCTCCCCCTTCCTTCCACATTTACTGGCAATGTGTAAGACAGTAGGAATATAGAAAAGAATAAGAGGCCCTGACTTCTAGGGGCTTACAGACTAGTGGGGAGGCAGATGGGCGAAAAGAACATTGATATTTAAGTTAGACCAAGAACGACTAAGTCAGGAGCTGTGGGAACACTTTGGAGGGACCGGTTACTACATAGGGGAGCCAGGGATGGCTTCTAGAGGAGGCGAGCTTTGTGTTGGGACTCGAAGGATGAGTAGCAGTCAGCTGGGCTGAGAAGGAGGAAAGGACATTTCTGGAGGAGGGAAGAGCATGTTTAAAAAGAAACTGGGGAAGGGCAGACTTCCCTAAAGGCCTCCTGAGGGTCTACCCTGTTGGCTCCCTGGGAATATCCCAGCTTCCGAGCCGAGGGTCTCTGGGTGGTGGCTTAGGAGGACGAACCTTCTTTGTGGCCTTCCAGGACCTCCGCAGTTTGACCTCAGTTATACTTCCCTACTCAATCCCTAGATGTGTCCCCATTCCCTGGGTCGGCCTCGACTTTCCTGACTCCATGCCTTTGCTCAAGCTGTTCCCCTCAGCTGGGTGCCTTGTCCTCCGACTCCACTTACCTCCTTCGAGGTCTTTCCTAGGACTGCCTCCTTCACGAAGCCTTTCCTAATAATCCCGCAGCCAGGCTGATCACTTTCCTCCCTGCTTGCAGCTGCCTTGACCGCTATGTTTCTTTAAAAGGCACCACTCTTGTTCTCCCTACTAAGTTGATATTAGCATGTGCCACCTATGCCTGAGGGCAGAGACCAGCCTAACACAAGACTGGCATGGTGTTTGGGAATTGAACTGGATTGACTTGCTAGAGGACCCAGACAGAATGACTTGCAGATAGACTGGCCTGTACTGTTCTGTCCCTACCCAAAGGAACCACATTTGCTTTTTAGATACCTGGAATTCTTCCATAATTTCAGTTTCCTTTCCTGCTTGATTACTGTAGCATCAGGACATCTGTGATGCACCTAAATGTTCCTCTCCATTAGGGCAAACATACCATGTAAGTTTACCTTGCAGGCCAATTCTTTTCTCTTTTTCTTTTTTTAAAATTCCAGATTCTCTCAGATCCTGAATTGCGGGCTAATTCTGATAGGTGGTGGGTTCCTGGAACATTAACTTAAGAAGGATTCTGTGGCTGGCTCAGCAGAAAGAATGCTAAGATGGCTTAGCAATGTCTGCCCCAGGGGAAAGAGGGCTCTTTCTGCCTTAGCGTGAGGTTTATCAGTCACTTGTCTTGCACTGAGCCAAGACTGGGACACTGAGAATGTAAGGCCTTTGCCTCTGTTGGAAGCTGATGGCGAAGGTGACTAGAAGACAATCGGGTGGATCTACCTTCTTGGGATTTACGGTGGCATATCTTCCAGTCAGATGTCTGGATGTCCAGGTCTGTGCTCCGAGGCACCCTTTTGACATGCGGCCCCAGAGAGGCTGTGGAATTTTTTTTCTTTTTTTGAGACAGGGTCTCACTCTGTCAACCAGACTGGAGTGCAGTAGCGCCATCACAGCTCTCTGCAGCCCAGACCTCCGAGGCTCCAGTGATCCTCGCATCTCAGCCTCCCGAGTAGCTGGGACCACAGGCACATGCCAACATGCCCTGTAGTGAACAGAACACTGGATGAACAGATGGGTGAACAGAATATTGATATGGAAGTTAGACATAGAAGGGATAAACTGGGAGCTGCAGGAACACTTTGGAAGGACCAGTTACTACATAGGGGAGCTAGGGATGGCTTCTAGAGGAGGCAAGCTTTGTGCTGGGACTTGAGGGATGAGTAGTAGTCGGCTGGGTAGAGAAGGAGGAAAAGGTGCTGGACCAAGAGCTGTGGAATCTTTTTTTTTTTCTTTTTCTTTTTGTTTGTTTGTTTGTTTTTGAGATGGAGTCTTGCTCTGTCGCCAGGCTGGAGTGTAGTGGTGGCGCAATCTCGGCTCACTGCAACCTCTGCCTCCCGGGTTCAAGCGATTCTCCTGCCTCAGCCTCCCAAGTAGCTGGAACTACAGTAGCGTGCCACCATGCCCAGCTAATTTTTGTGTTTTTAGTAGAGACGGGGTTTCACCATGTTGGCCAGGATGGTCTCGATCTCCTGACCTCGTGATTGGCCTGCCTCCGCCTCCCAAAGTGCTGGGATTACAGGCATGAGCCACTGTGCCCAGCCCATTTTGTGTCGGTTTCTACCTTAATTTTGCATTAATCATTTCTGCCTGCCTAAATGACGGATCTCTGCCTCCCTTACTGCTCCTGCACTTGTTGGTTTGTTGTTTTTAGAATACAAATGCACTGTGCAGGGCTCAGAGGCTTGGAGCCATCTCTGTCTCATGCCAGGGTCTTGGTTCATAGGGAAGCCCTTCATCGGGCTTTGGGGGCAGCTGGATTTGATTTGTCTATATCTCCATCCTTGTATGTAAAATGAGGATAAAGTAACTAAATTTTGGAATCATTGGATCATTACAATAATAACAATAGCTAACTTTAATTAATTAATTAATTAATTTTTTAAGAGACAGCATCTTGCTCTGTCATCCAGGCTGGGAGTACAGTAGTGCGATCATGGCTCACTGCAGCCTCAACCTCCTAGGCTCAAGTGATCCTCCCACCTCAGCCTCCCAAGTAGCTGAGACCACAGGTGTGTGCCACCAAACCTGGCTAATTTTTAATTTTTTGTAGAGAAGGGGGTCTCCCTCTCTGCCCAGGTTTGTCTTGAATTCCTGGCCTCAAGGGATCCTCCTGAGTTGGCCTCCCAAAGTGCTCAGATTACAGGCGTGAGCCACTGCGCCCAGCCAGAGCTAGCTTATTAAAGCAATAACTATGTGCAAGGCACATAGTTTATATGTTTTATTTTATTTAATCCTCACAAAAATCCTATGAGGTAGATACTATCATACTCCTATCACAGGGGAGGAAACAGGCTCAGAGAGGTTCCATGACATGTTCAAGATGACAAATTTAGCAAGAAAAAAAGTCAGGATTTGAACTCAATTGCCTCATTCCCAAGCTGGCACCTTTAACTACTATCCAATAGGCAAATAAACAAGTTGCTCTAGGTAAGCCTAGTGTATGGAAAGGAAACCAGATAAAACTGACTGCCTTGTTTCAGCCCTAAATGTCATCTCAGCATTTGAAGACACAAGAAATCTAACTCCTAAAGCTTTGAGAAGTATTTACTGAAGGCTGCTGGCCAGGGCTGGTCTTTACTGAGGGCTGTTGGCTGGAGCCCGAGCCCAGGGCTCTGTTGCTTATTACACGGCATCGTTTCCTAATAAGCATCTTCACTCCGCTCTCCCCAAAATATTCTTCCTCATAGTATCTATTCAGTCCTCTCCTCTCCTGCTCCCTCTTCTGTCTCCTTCCAACCCCTCTTCCTGATCTTCCCCCTCCCATGGCTCCATTCCCTTTCCTTTATGGAGCCATCTACTCTTGTCCTCCCTTTGGTAATCTCGTCTGCCCTTCTGCTCAGTAAAACAAAGATGTTTCGCCCACGTCCTCAAAAGGAGGATAGTAAATCCATGTAACAATGAAATATGGTTGTCCTCGGCATGCTGGGCTGTCAATGCATGGCCAAGGCAGATAAAAGGAAACCCTAAGGGGCTGAGGAGACAACAGAGAGGGGATTTAGAAAACTGCTTTCCTCAGGCTGGGCGCGGTGGCTCATGCCTGTAATCCCAGCACTTTGGGAGGCTGAGGCAGGCAGATCACGAGGTCAGGAGATCGAAACCATCCTGGCTAACACGGTGAAACCCTGTCACTCCTAAAAATACAAAAAATCAGCCAGGCATAGTGGCACGCACCTGTAGTCTCAGCTACTCAGGAGGCTGAGGCAGGAGAATCACTTGAACCCGGGAGGTGGAGGTTGCAGTGAGCTGAGATTGCACCACTGCACTCCAGCCTCGGTGACTCAGAGCAAGACTCCGTCTCAAAAAATTAAAAAAAAAAGAAAAGAAAAGAAAAGAAAGAAAGAAAACTACTATCTTCACAGGCCCTGCATTCTGTCTCTTTTCCTTCCCTTCCCTCCATCAGTACCAGGGGGAGGAGGAGGAGGAGGTGCGGGTATGAATCCCTCCTTACCATCTGACTCAAGTCTGCACATTCTCCAAGACCTGTATTAATCCCTGCCCAGACCCTCCTGGACCAACGTGGTCCACAGTACCTCCTCTGCCCCTGATTCCTGCTACATATGCCCCTCTTACATTTGCCTTACCTTTCTTGTTACCAAACTTTCATGGTGGGTGTCTCCTCTCCTTATCTAGGCCGTAAACTCCTTAACAGCAGGACCTTGCTCTTTCACAGTGCCAGGCTAGGTGGAACTTGACATAGATACTAATTAAAGATTTGCTTGGGAGATGACTGTGGAGTAAGACCTCTAGGAGTGAGGTCTCTGGAGTTTGTATTCGGGCTCCATCACTATGGTTGCTTGTCCCTGATTTTTCACATCTCTGAGTGTCTATGCTATTTGGTAAGATCCTTCCGCACTGACTCTGCGCTTGGCCTTGTGATTTGCTTTGGCCAATAGAATGTGATAGAAGTGATGATGGACTCGTTCTAGTCTTGGAGCTCCAAAGGCTTTGTCCACATTCATTGTCTGGGAAGCTTCCCACCATGATGAGGAACAAGCTCAGGAGGACAAGAGACCACGTGCAGGAGAGTAAGTCATCCTAGCTAAGGCCATCCTAGACCAGGCAGAGGAAAGCTGACCCATAGCCACAAACGTACGAGGGAGCCCAGCTGAGATCTGACTAACTTGGACCAAATCAGCAGAATGACTTAGCCAACCTGGTTGATTCATGTGCAAAAGTACATTTTTATTATTAGCCTGTTAGTAGTTTTGGGTGCTTGTTATGCAGCACTAATGTGGTGTTGGAGAATGGATACAACCATTTACCAGCTCTGTGATCTTGGGAAAGTTATTTAATTGCTATACTCTTTTTTTTTTTTTTTTTTTTTTTTTTTTTTTGAGACAGGGTCTTGCTTTGTTTCCCAGGATGGAGTGCAGTGGCGTGATCTCGGTTCACTGCAATGTCGGTCTCCCAGGCTCAGGTGACCCTTCTGCTGCAGTCCCCCGAGCTGCTGGGAGTACAGGCGCGTGCCCCCACGCCTGGTTAATTTTTGTATTTTTAGTAGAGACAGAATTTCACATTGTTGGCCAGGCTGGCCTTGAACTCTTGACCTCAAGTGATCCACCCACCTTGGCCTCCCAAAGTGCTGGGATTACAGGCGTGAGCCACCACACACAGCTGATTGCTATATACCTCAACTTCCTTGTCTGTAAAATGGGAATGTGGTGGATACTGTTGACAGCTTCAGCTGTGTCTCCTCTCCCAGCAATTGCTTCAGCTGAAGAACTGCTTCACCCAAGGTTCTGCTCCTTTTCCTGGGGCTGCCTGTATCCACTGGCTGGCTGATGTGGAAGTATTAAAGTCTGGGCCCCTTGTTCCAGCTGGGGGCAACTCTGCAGGGCCATCCTAGCTGCAGAGCTGCCTGTGGCTGCTGCATCATTCGCCTACCGCCTAATCCCTCTTCATTTCTCCACAAGGGTCAAATTCAAGAGACTTCCAAATCAACCTCTTACCTTCATATCCCCATCTTAGAATTTGATTTCCTGGAACTATCCTGTGGGGAGTGGATACAAGTGACTACGTAGCAAGATCTGGCCAATGAGATAAAAGCAGGTATGTTCCTTAAAACTGCCTGTGGCCAGTGGCTCACGCCTGTAATCCTAGCACTTTGGGAGGCCGAGGCAGGTGGATTGCCTGAGCTCAGGAGTTCATAACCAGCCTGGGCAACACAGTGAAACCCCGTCTCTACTAAAATACAAAAAATTAGCTGGGCGTGGTGGTGTGCACCTGTAATCCCAGTTACCCTGGAGGGTGAGACAGGAGAATCGCTTGAACCTGGGAGGCAGAGGTTGCAGTGAGTGCAGATCACACCACTGCACTCCAGCCGGGGTGATAGAGCGAGACTCCATCTCAAAAAAAAAAAAAAAGACTGTTTTGCCTGCAAACTTTGGATCTATTACTACTATCAATAGCATTTTGAAAAGCTGCATACATCTGTGTATATTTTTGAATCTAAAATCTTTTTTTATATTTTAAAATGTAACGTTTACCATATTATTAATGTTAACATTTAAGATGAAATAATTCCCTTTAACTTTTTATTTAAAAAATTCAAAGTTTTAGAAATTTGCAAGAACAATGTAATGACCTTTTGTATACCCTTTACCTACGATTACTGATATTTTGCCCCATTTGGTCTCTCACATTCTCTCTGCGTATCACTAGAATTATTGATATATAATTAAAACAGAAATTTTATATATATATATATATATATGTTTTTTTTTTTTTTTTGAGACAGGGTCTTGCTCTGTTGCCCAGGCTGGAATGCAGTGGTGTGATCATGGCTCACTGTAGCCTTGACCTCCCTGGACTCAAGTGATCCTCTCACCTCAGCCTCCCAGGTACCTGGGACCACAGGCACCTGCCACTGCACCTGGCTAATTTTTGTATTTTTTGTAGAGATAAAGTTTCACTGTGCTGTCCAGGATGGCAGAAATATATCTTAAATATATATTCAACTTAAAAAGAAAAAGTTAATTGAGATTGTACTCTTCCCCAGTGAGATGGACAGAGCTACCTCTGTACCCCCAAATTTTTTCAAAGAGAGGCAATATGTGCGGGGGTTTGGCTCATGTGTGGATTTAGGCAGCCTTGGTCTGAATCTTGGTTTTGCTGCTTATGGGCTGTGTGGTCTTAGACAGGTTATTTAACCTCTTTGTGCCACAGAATCTTCATAATATTTGTGTCTACATCATATGGTTGTGGTGAGGACCAAATGAGTTAATATATAAAGTACTTAGTTAGAACATTACCTGATATATTGTAAGTATGGTTTATGTTTATGATATAATCGAGTGTATCAGTGGATGAATAATTATTTATTGCTAGAATAATTAGGGTGCAGAGCAAATTAACAAGAAGATATATCACCAGTAAGTCGGAGGTTTCCAAAAGATGTATTCATGATCATTGTTCAATGCATTACTTACAGTAGAATCATTTCTCAGTGGTAAGTTAATCTAAGAACATGGTAGGAATAAATAAATGAGCAGAGACGTGATTGATAAATGATAGCAAATTGGAGACGTGTAAAAAAAATGTTTTTTAATGACTGAGGTAGGCTCCGTGGCTCACGCTTGTAATCCCAGCACTTTGGGAGACCGAGGCAGGTGGATCACTTGAAGCCAGGAGTTCGAGACCAGCCTGGACAACATGGTGAAAACCCTCTATAAAAAAACAAAAATTAGCCGGGTGTGATGGCTCCTGCCTGTAGTCCCAGCTACCTGGGGGGCAGAGGTGGAAGGATCACTTGAGCCTGGGAGGTGGAGGTTGCACTGAGTCATCATCCAGCCCCCTACACTCCAGCCTGGGTGACAGAGTCAGACCCTGTCTCAAAAAAAAAAAAAAAAAAAAAAGTGACTTTCCATTATTCAATAATTGGGAGCAAAAGGGAAAGAAGATTTTTTTCCTACAAGTCTTAGTAAATATAGAACACTAAAGTGCCTTTGATATATGTTTGTTTAACTGGAGGAGGCAATGTTCATCTATTGAAAGTAAATGTGAAACTTTTCACTTCCCCCTTCTTTTTTTTTTTGGAGACAGAGTCTCGCTCTGTTGCCCAGGCTGGAGTGCAGTAGGTGTGATCTCGGCTCACTGCAACCTCCACCTCCTGGGTTCAAGCGATTTTCCTGCCTCAGCCTTCTGACTAGCTGGGATTACAGGTGCCCGCTGCCCACGCCCGACTAATTTTTGTATTTTTAGTAGACATGGGGTTTTACCGTGTTGGTCAGGCTGCTCTCGAACTCCTGACCTTGTGATCCGCCTGCCTCAGCCTCCCAAAGTGCTGGGATTACAGGCGTGAGCACCACACCTGGCCTCACTTCCCTCTTCTTGAAATTGTGCAAAATATTCAGAGAAGAGCAGTCCCGCCAGGGTGGCAGACAGCCTGGCCCTGGGCTCTGTGTGAGCTTCACAGGAGATCGGCCTTGTCTGGGTGCTTTTAAGAATCATGATGATCTTTAAGATAGATAAGGCATGGAGCTCTGCCTCGAGCTTATCACATACATGACTTAAGGTGCTATCACTATCAGTGTTTACTACCTGACTCTCCCTTAGCACTCAAGTATTCCTGGGGAGCTTTAGGGATATGGAAAGTAATACTGTCCCTACTCCTGCTTCACCCTATCTGAGCCCACAACATCCCAACACATCTTCTTAACTTCACATTTTGCCCTTTACAAAAATATATATAGGACAGAGAAGACACGAAGACCTACAAGAGGTTTGTGGTGATTTCATTAAACGAAGACTTGCCCACACTGATATTATTATTTATTTTTTAAAATTTTATTTCAGTAGATTTTGGGGAACAGGTGGTGTTTGGTTACCTGGATAAGTTCTTTAGTGGTAGTTTCTGAGATTTTGGTATACTCATCACCTGAGCAGTGTACACTGTACACTTTTATCCCTCACCCTCTCCCACCCTTCCCCCTGAGTCCCCAAAGTCCATCATATCATTCTTATGCCTTTGCACCCTCATAGCTTAGCTCCCACTTATAAGTGAGAACATACGATGTTTGGTTTTCCATTCCTGAGTTACTTCACTTAGAATCATGGTCTCCAACTCCATAATATATATCACATTTTCTTTATCCACTCGGTTCAACTCAAACCGATGTTATGAAGCATCCTTTCTTCGGGGCCATGAAGCTTTTACGCTCCAAGCATTCTATCTTAAAATTTGGGAAAGTTGAGAGGTCGTGTGGTGCCTGAAGTGTTCTATGTGGCATGGGTTATTATTATGATTGTTCTTAAGAGAGCCACCTGCCTGGCCTCCCATAGTGCTGGGATTACAGGCATGAGCCGCCACGCCTGACCAGCGTGGATTATTTCTTAACGCACCCCCTTCCTCTACAAAAGTTATTTTCAGCAATAATCATGAATTGAAGTTTTCATATTGGCCCTCATAAAACAAAAATATTACAACTTGTAATTTGCCTTCTATCTCACTGCTTTTTTTTTTTTTTGATCACTGAAACCTCCGCCTCCTGGGTTCAAGTAGGTCTCATGCCTCAGCCTCCCGAGTAGCTGGGATTACATGCGTGCGCCACCATGCCCAGCTAATTTTTGTATTTTTAGTACAGACAGGGTTTCGCCATGTGGGCCAGGCAGGTCTTGAACTCTTGGCCTCAAGTGATCCTCCCACCGTGGCCTCCCAAAGTGCTGGGATTACAGGTGTGAGCCACCACACCCGGCCTCCTTTTCACTGTTTTGAATTTTTAACACAAATACAAAGTCCAAGTAGATAAGAGAAAAATAACTCAAGTTATTCCTTTGTCTTTGCAATCAGGGCACTATCATTGTGTCTTTTGAATCTACCTTTGAAAGGCAGAGATAACGTGGTTCTGTTAGTGGAAAAAAGGGTCTTGATCCAGAGCCCAGAGGGTTCTTGGATCTCGTGCAGGAAATAACTCAAGGCGAGTCACAGAGTGCAGTAAGAAGAAAGTTTATTGAAAGCTATCCTGTTACACAGGAGGGCGTCCTCAGAAAGCCAGCAGAGGACTGCCCCGGCTTTGTTTTAAGTTTTTCTCGTATAGGGGTCTTGTCGATGTAAAGGTTAAACTAAGCTGTTTCTACATGTGGGTGAGCAGACTGCATGAGAGAGTTTATTACTCTGTTGATTTAAAGAAAACTGTCCTTGACGTTTTAGTGTGTAAGTATTAATACATCAAGGTGTAACTATGATTATCTTCAGAGCATATGTTGATACGAGTATCGGGACATGTGGACTCTCCATTGTTGTCGGAGGGTGTCTTTGTAGGCATCTTTAGACTGTTTCCTCAACTGTAAACACACCATGACTATAGGCTGTGACCAGCAAGGAGTGTGCCTTTCTAGCTTTTTGTGTGTGTGTGCCTTTCTAGTTTTAAGATGGGAGTTGATTGGCCAGGTGCTGTGGCTCATACCTATAATCTCAGCACTTTGGGAGGCCGAGTCGGGAGGATTACTTAAGACCAGGAGTTGAGACCAGCCGGGCAACACGGGGAGACCCTATCTCTAAATTAAAAAACAAAACAAAACAAAAAGATGGAGTTGAGTGTAAAATGGTGTCACTCTGGCTCTCCCAAGCTCCTGCTTCCATAGCAGCTCCACACGAACGGAGGCACTGACCAGCCAGAAGTAAGAAACACATGGAGCTGAGTCTGCGGGTGTCGGGGGCCCACTGAATAACGAGTTTTCAGCTTTCATTTCTGCATAGGAGATAATGTTATTTATCTTTTTTTTTTTTTTTTTTTTTTTGAGACTGAGTCTCACTCTGTCGCCCAGGCTGGAGTGCAGTGGCGCGATCTCGGCTCACTGCAAGCTCCGCCTCCCGGGTTCACGCCATTCTCCTGCCTCAGCCTCCCGAGTAGCTGGGATTACAGGCGCCCGCCACCACGCCCGGCTAATTTTTTGTATTTTTAGTAGAGATGGGGTTTCACCGTGTTAGGATGGTCTCCATCTCCTGACCTCATGATCCACCTGCCTCGGCCTCCCAGAGTGCTGGGATTACAAGCGTGAGCCACCTTGCCCGGCCGATAATGTTATTTAAATGCTAAGTTATAAAAACAAGTTAAATTGAAGTTCACATTTTATTTATTTATTTATTTATTTTTGAGATGGAGTCTCACTCTGTCACCCAGGCTGGAGTGCAGTGGCCTAATCTCGGCTCACTGAAACCTCTGCCTCCTAGGTTCAAGTGATTCTCCTGCCTCAGCCTCCTGAGTAGCTGAGATTACAGGCGTGCACTACCATGCCTGGCTAATTTTTGTATTTTTAGTAGAGATGGGGTTTCACCATGTTGGCCAGGCTGGTCTCGAACTCTTAACCTCGGGTGATCCACCTGCCTTGGCCTCCCAAAGTGCTGGGATTACAGGCGTGAGCCACTGTGCCCGGCCGAAGTTCACATATAATTAAAACTCAGTGGTAATGACAGCATTTATTTAGATTTAGAACTTAGACCAATAAAATACTTTTTCAGGGAGGAATGTTTTATCACTGACATTGTTTAGGATTGCTGGCCCAGGGGATAACAAAGAACTTTCGGTTGCTTACTCATTTACAATTCTCTAAGGACAATGCAGCCTCTATTCCCTGCCTTGGCGGTGGTGGGGAAACGGTTTTCACTACCCTGCTATTGCCTACCACTGATAAGAGGCCTACCTTTTTTTATAAAGTGGCGGAAGGGTGACTCGTGTCAAAAGGCTGGCGGGATGCCAGCATGAGTCCTTGGCCCCTCTCCTACTTCGTTCCTATCCTGTCCTGTTCTCCATCTTGCTGTTTGGACAGATGTTGCCATCCTGGACCTTGAGGCTGAGAGACTTGTCCGAGGGGTGGCACACCAGAAGGAGCCTAGGACCCTGGCACTTCATCAGCACTCCATGGAAAGTGCTCCGTCTTCAGACTATGTGAGGGAGAAATAAGATCTCATCTTTTCTGGGGTCTCACTCTCCCACCCAGGCTGAAGTGCGGTGGTGAGATCTCGGCTCACTGTAACCTCCGCCTCCTGGGTTCAAGCAATTCTCCTGCCTCAGCCTCCCGAGTGGCTGGGATTACAGGCGCCTGCCACCACGCCCAGCTAATTTTTGTATTTTTAGTAGAGACAGGGTTTCACCATGTTGGCCAGGCTGGTCTTGAACTCCTGACCTCAAGTTATCCACCCACCTCAGCCTCCCGAAGTGGTGGGATTACAGGCATGAGCCACCATGTCTGGCCCTCTTTTCTGAGGTTTCTGACACTTTCAGGGATCAGGGACATTTATGCCGGAGTCCTGACCTTTAAGCCGAGGTCTGAAGAATGAATAGGTATTTTGTGAGTAAGAAGAGGGAAGAGAATTTCAAGGAGTTGGGGGCTTGGGTAGGAAAGCTAAGAGCCAAGAGACCACATGGTGAGTTTGAGGAACGGAAAGAAGCTTTGGATGGGGGAGCTCAGAGTGCCAGAGTGTCTGGAATAGGAACCCCAGAAGGACTTACTTGTGCAGATGATTGATCTGTGCTCATTGGCATTACCTAACATTCTGTCTGGGAGTTCTGGGGTGCTAGGAGGTTCTCAGAGGCCAGACCAGGAAATCCAGGGCCTCACCTTCCCAGGGTTGCCCCAGGCAACCTCTGTTTGTAAAGAATCCTGTTTATTATCTACTGACTCATGGTCATCTGTGGTTGCTATGGTTCCCACCAACAATGAAGCATAAATCCATTCCTAGAGGGTGGGGTCTGCAAGGTGGGGCTGTCCTCTTCCTTTTCTGGCTCCCAGCTCCTCGCAGCTTCCCAGCCTACAGCAGCAGGGTTGGGGGGTGGGGGGGTTGGGGGAGTGTCTTTGTCTATGGAATCTCAGATGTGGGGCTCCTTGGAAGGGTGGGACAAGGAGCTCAGTGGAGTGAAGGGACAGATCTCTGCAGTCAGGGCTGGGACCACGTCCACTGAGTGAGAGAGAACCGGGCAGCTCTAAGCTGATCAGAAGCCCTGTTCCCTCTGCATAACTAGAGGAGGAGCCCAGGAGATGGAGAGAGAGAGACTCCAGGAAGAGTTAGAGCAGGATTAGGAGACCTGGCCCCTTTCTCCACCAGGGACAAGCAGAGTTTGTTCCCCAAAGTGGTGGCAGATACATAAATGTGAAGCTGGGAGAGGCAGTTGTTTGGCAACAGGCAGAGATGTATATATGTTGTATAAAGGAACCAAGAGAAAGGGAAGCTAGAGGGACAGGTGGACTTTGGAAAGATTATTTCATTTCACACATTTGCACAAAGTCTTATAGGTTACAAAGCATTTGTGCATCTATTTTCTCATTTGCTTGTCACAGAAGCCCTGTGAGGAAGCCAGGGCAAGAAATATCAATCCATTTGAAAATGAGTAAACACTGGCTTATAAAGGTTGCTTAACACAGCCAAGGTCAAAAACAGGACTAGAATTTAGAGCTCCTGGCTCATAGTTCAGTGCTTTCTTTAAACTTTTTTTTTTTTTTTTTTTTTTTTAACAGAGATGGGTCTCTCTGTGTTGCCCAGGCTTGTCTTTAACTCTTAGACTCAAGCAATTCTCCTGCCTTGGCTTTCCAAAGTGTTGGGATTACAGGCTTGAGCCACCACACCTGGCCCAGTGCTCACTCTTTCTTTTCTCTCTTTCTCTCTCTCTCTCTTTCTTTTTTGACAGAGTCTTGAGTCACCACACGTGGCCCAGTGCTCGGTCGCTCCTTCCTTCCTTCCTTCCCTCCCTCCTTCCCTCCCTCCTTCCCTCCTTCCTTCCCTCCTTCTTTCCTTTCTTCCTTCCTTCCCTCCTTCTTTCCTTCCTTTCTCTCTCTCTCTCTCTCTCTCTCTTTCTTTCTTTCTTTTTTTCAGAGTCTTGCTCTGTCACCCAGACTGGAGTGCAATGGCAGGATCTCGGCTCACTGCAACCTCCACCTTCTGGGTTCAAGCAATTCTCCTGCCTCAGCCTCCCAAGTGGCTGGGATTACAGGCACCTGCCACCACGCCCAGCTAATTTTTTTGTATTTTTAGTAGAGATAGGGTTTCACCATGTTGGCCAGACTGGTCTCGAACTCCTAACCTCAGGTGATCCACCCGTCTCGGCCTCCCAAAGTGCTGGGATTACAGGTGTGAGCCACCACGCCTGGCCACCCAGTGCTCTTTCTATCAAATAAATGTCTCAAACTTGGGCTTTCGTGGGTCATTTTAATGGGTGTTTAATACACACAAAGTGCCAAAATTTTGGGTCAACTTAAAAAATTGTCAGCTAGGCGCCACCAGTGGGTCATGCCTGTAATCTGTGTGCTTTGGGAGGCCAAGGTAGGCAGACCACTTGAGGTCAGGAGTTCGTGACCAGCCTGGCCAATATGGCAAAACCCCATCTCTACTAAAAATACAAAAATTAGCCGGGCATTGTGGTGGGCGCCTGTAATCCCAGCCACTTGAGAGGCTGAGGTGGGAGAACCACTTGAACCCGGGAGGCGAAGGTTGCAGTGAGCCAAGATCATGCCACTGCACTCCAGCTTGGGTGATAGAGTGAGATCCTGTCTTGGAAAAAAAAAAAAAATTGTCACTGCTGGTGTGGTGGTGCACCACCTGTGGTCCCAGTTGCCTGCAGAGGCTGAGGTGGTCGGATTGCTTGAGCCTGGGAGGTCAAGGCTGCAGTAAGCTATGATGACACCACTGCACTCCAGCCTGGGCATCAGAACAAGACCCTGTCTCAGAAGAAATTTTGTCTCAAATTTTAAAATAATGTATTAAAACACGAAAAAAGTAACAACAGTGTCTCTGTTTTAAATCAAGGAGAAGGACATTGTCATCTTCATTAGATTGTTTATATTCAGCTTGGTGTCAGACTACTGTGGTGGACATTCTTGGGGAAGGTGATTTGCCACACCACCAGGAACTACATCTGTAAGTACACTACATTCAAAATTTGGAAGATTGTTTTAACCCTGGGTGATGGTGGAAAATAGATTTCTTATCCAACCTTTGGCTTCGTTGGAAAGTACTTCATGTTCTGATGTTGAATTTCAACTGTTTTTTTATTGTGGTAAAATATACATAACATGAAGTTTACCTTTTAATCTCAGTGGTTTTAAAATATACTCAATAATATGTTTTTGATTTCTTTCTAAAAAAAAATCCAATGTTGGGAAATAGTAAAGCGTTGATGTTGCAACTGTGCCAGAGTTCTAAGTTCAAGAAATCCTGGTATTTTATTTCTAACATTAAGGTTGTAAAATGCTGGTCCTGAGTCATAGGTTCTGGTGTGTCACTAAGATACACTACTTGAACAAACCCTTTGCAATTAGATGAATGCTCTTCGTTAGCATATCAATGTCACAAAGTGTCATCCTGCATTTAGAAAAACTTGTGTGATGGAAAGGAAAAAGTAAAACTATCTCTGTTTGCAAATGACGTGATATTATATATAGAAAACCCTAAGGAATCTACAAAAATAATTAGAATCTACAAAAAATAATTAGAGCTATAAAACAGTTCAGCAGAGTTGCAGGATACAAGATCACTTACATTACTAGTTCCGGGCTCTTCTATGTACAAAAATCAGTTGCATTTCTATGCACTAGCAATGAATAACCTGAAAATGAAATTAAGAAGACCGTCTGCTTAGAATAGTATCAAAATGAATAGAATACTTAGGAATAAGCGTTTTTTTTTTTTTTTTTTTTTTTTTTTCTGGAGACGGAGTCTCACTCTTTCGCCCAGGCTGGAGTGCAGTGGAACCATCTCGGCTCACTGCAAACTCTGCCTCCCGGGTTCACGCCATTCTCCTGCTTCAGCCTCCCAAGTAGCTGGGACTGCAGGTGCCCGCCACCACGCCTGGCTAATTTTTTGTATTTTTAGTAGAGATAGGGTTTCACTGTGTTACCCACAATGGTCTCAATCTCCTGACCTCGTGATCCACCCGCCTCAGCCTCCCAAAGTGCTGGGATTACAGGCGTGAGCCACTGCGCCCTGCCAGGAATAAATTTAACCAAAGAAATGCAATAATTGTACACTGAAAAATATTGTTGAAAGAAATTAAACAAGGTCTAAATAAAATCAAAGGACAGCCTATGTTTATTGTCTAAAAACTTAATATTGTTAAGATGTTGATACCAAATTTATCTACAGATTCAATGCAATCTCTATAGAAACTGTCCCCCCAAACCCCAGAAATGGACACGCTGATCCTAAAATTCATACAGAATTGCATGGGACCTAAAATAAACAAAACAAACTTGAAAAAGAACACAGTTAAAGGATTCATACTTCCTAATTTTCAAAACTTACTACAAAGCTACTGTAATCAAGACGATGTGATATTGGCATAAGGATAGATAAACAGACGGATGGAACAGAATCCAGTCCACACACCGACAGAACAGAATCCAGTCCACACACGGACGGGAATAGAATCCAGTCCACACACGGACGGGAATAGAATCCAGTCCACACACCGACGGAACAGGATCCAGTCCACGCGCCGACGGAAGAGGATCTAGTCCACACGCCAACGGGAATAGAATCCCGTCCACACACCGACGGAACAGAATCCAGTCCATGCACCGACGGAACAGGATTCAGTCCACGCACCGACGGGAATAGAATCCAGTCCACACACCGACAGAACAGAATCCAGTCCACACACGGACGGGAATAGAATCCAGTCCACACACCGACGGAACAGGATCCAGTCCACACACCGACGGAACAGGATCCAGTCCACGCGCCGACGGAAGAGGATCTAGTCCACACGCCAACGGGAATAGAATCCCGTCCACACACCGACGGAACAGAATCCAGTCCATGCACCGACGGAACAGGATCCAGTCCACGCACCGACGGGAATAGAATCCAGTCCACACACCGACAGAACAGAATCCAGTCCACACACGGACGGGAATAGAATCCAGTCCACACACCGACGGAACAGGATCCAGTCCACACACCGACGGAACAGGATCCAGTCCACACGCCGACGGAAGAGGATCCAGTCCACACACCGACGGAACAGGATCCAGTCCACGCGCCGACGGAAGAGGATCCAGTCCACACGCCGACAGAACAGAATCCAGTCCACACACGGACGGGAATAGAATCCAGTCCACACACGGACGGGAATAGAATCCAGTCCACACACCGACGGAACAGGATCCAGTCCACGCGCCGACGGAAGAGGATCTAGTCCACACACCAACGGGAATAGAATCCCGTCCACACACCGACGGAACAGAATCCAGTCCATGCACCGACGGAACAGGATCCAGCCCACGCACCGACGGAAGAGGATCCAGTCCACACACCGACGGGAATAGAATCCAGTCCACACACCGACGGGACAGGATCCAGTCCACACACCGACGGGAATAGAATCCAGTCCACACACCGACGGAACAGGATCCAGTCCACACACCGACGGAACAGGATCCAGTCCACACGCCGACGGAAGAGGATCCAGTCCACACACCGACGGAACAGGATCCAGTCCACGCGCCGACGGAAGAGGATCCAGTCCACACGCCGACAGAACAGAATCCAGTCCACACACGGACGGGAATAGAATCCAGTCCACACACGGACGGGAATAGAATCCAGTCCACACACCGACGGAACAGGATCCAGTCCACGCGCCGACGGAAGAGGATCTAGTCCACACACCAACGGGAATAGAATCCCGTCCACACACCGACGGAACAGAATCCAGTCCATGCACCGACGGAACAGGATCCAGCCCACGCACCGACGGAAGAGGATCCAGTCCACACACCGACGGGAATAGAATCCAGTCCACACACCGACGGGACAGGATCCAGTCCACACACCGACGGGAATAGAATCCAGTCCACACACCGACGGAACAGGATCCAGTCCACGCGCCGACGGAAGAGGATCCAGTCCACGCGCCGACGGAACAGGATCCAGTCCACACACGGATGGAATAGAATCCAGTCCATGCACCAACGGAACAGAATCCAGTCCACTCATCTATGGTCGATTGACTTCTACCAACATTACCAAAACCATTCAGTGGGGGAAAGAATAGCCTTTTCAACAAATGATGCTGAAACAAATCGATGTCCACATGCAAAAGAATGAATTTGAACTCATATCATACCATACGTAAAACTTAACTCAAAATATATCAAAGATCTAAATGTGAGAGCTAAAACTATAAAAATCTGAGAAGGAAATATAGGTGGAGACTGGGCAACATAGTGAGACCCTGTCTCTACAAAATATAAAACAAAATTTGCCAGGCATGATGGTGTGCTTCTTGGGAGGCTGAGGTGGGAGGAGCACTTGAGCCTGGGAGGTTGAGGCTGCAGTGAGCCGACGTCGCACCACTGTACTCCAGCCTGGGCAGCGGAAGGAGACCCTGTCTCAAAAAAACAAAAAACAAAAAACGGAGAAACAGGTGAAAATCTCTATGATTTTGAATTAGGAAATGGTTTCTTAGAAATAAGCACAAGAATCAAAGAAAAAATAAGATAAATCAAACTTTACTAAAATTAAAAACATTGTAGGTTAAAGGATACCAACAAGATAGTGAAAAGACAATCCACAGAATGGAAGACTATATTTGCAAAATATCTACCTGATAAGGGCCTAACATCCAGAATACGCAAACAACTCTTTTTTTTTTTTTTTTTTTGAGATGGAATCTCGCTCTGTCTCTCAGGCTGGAGTGCAATGGCGCAATTTCGGCTCACTGCAACCTCCACCTCCTGGGTTCCAGTGATTCTCCTGCCTCAGCCTCTCGAGCAGCTGAGACTGCAGGTGCCCGCCACCACGCCCGGCTATTTTTTGTTGTTGTCGTTGTTGTTGTTATTTTAGTAGAGACAGGGTTTCACCATATTGGTCAGGCTGGTCTTGAACTCCTGAACTCAGGTGATCCACCCGCCTTGGCCTCCCAAAGTGCTGGGATTACAGGCGTGAGCCACCGTGCCCGGCCTATACAAAGAACTCTTACAACTCAACAGTCAAGACAACCCAATTTGAAAAATGAGCAAAGCATCTGAATAGTCTTCAAAGAAGATATAGAAATGGCTAATGAACACATGAGAGGATGGTCAACTTCATTAGTTATTAGGGAAATGGAAATCAAAACCACAATGAGATATCCCTTCACATCCACTAGGATAGCTATACAATAAAAAAAAGGAAAACAGGCGGGCGCGGTGGCTCACGCCTGTAATCCCAGCACTTTCGGAAGCCGAGGCGGGCAGATCACGAGGTCAGGAGAACGAGACCATTCCTGGCTAACACACAGGGAAACTCCATCTCTACTAAAAATACAAAAAAATTAGCCAGGGCGTGGTGGTGGGCACCTGTCGTCCCAGCTACTTGGGAGGCTGATGCAGGAGAATGGCATGAACCCGGGAGGTGGAGCTTGCAGTGTTGCAGTGAGCCGAGATGGCACCCCTGCAGTCCAGCCTGGGTGACAGAGCGAGACTCAATCTCAAAAAAAAAAAAAAAGAACCAAAAAACCAGTGTTGGTGTGATTATAGAGAAATCGGAGCCCGCATATACTGGTGGTGGGAATGTAAAGTGATTCAGCTGCTGTGGAATACAGTCTGGCAGCTCCTCAAAAAGTTAAATATAGAATCACCATATAACTCAGCAATTGCACTTGTTGGTATATATCTGAGAGAAGAGAAAACATGTTCACACAAAGACTTGTACATACATGTTCACAGCAGCATTATTCATAATACCAAAAAGTAGTAACAACCCCAACATCCATCAAGCAATGTGATGAATGAATGAACTAAATGTGGCATGTGTAGTCCCAGCTATTTGAGAGGCTGAGGCGGGAGGATCTCTTGAGCCTGGTAGGTTGAGGCTGCAGTGAGCCAAGATCACGCCACTACACTCCAGGCTGAGCAACAGAGTGAGAACCTTTCTTAAAAAAAAAAAAAAATTAGCCAAGGTAATTCAAATGTCCATCCAGTGATGTGATTAATGAATGAACAAAATGTGGCATAACCATACAATGGAATGTTATTCAGCCGTAAAGAGGAATGAAGTTCTGTTGCATACTACCACATGCATGAAGCTTGAAAACATTTTGTTAAGAAGCCAGTCAGATATTGTGTGATTCCATTTATATAAAATGTCCAGAATAGGCAAATCCATAGTGACAGAAAATAGATTAGCAGTTGCCAGGGGACAGCATAGGGAGAGAATTCGGACTAACTTTTTTTTTGTTTTTTAAATACGGTCTCACTTTTTCGCTCAAGCTGGAGTACAGTGGCACAATCAGAGCTCACTGCAGCCTCAACCTCCCAGGCTCAAGTGATCCTCCCACCTCAGGTGCACACCACCACACCGGGCTAATTATTTTATTTTTTGTAGAGATGGAGCTTGGGCATGTTGTCCAGGCTGATCTCAAACCCCTGAGCTCAAGCGATCTGCCTGCCTTGTTCTCCCAAAGTGTTGGTATTACAGGTGTGAGCCATTGTACCTGGTCTTTAAAATGGTGACTTTTTTTTTTTTTTTTTTTGAGATGGAGTCTTGCTCTGTCGCCCAGGCTGGACTGCAGTGGTGCGCTCTCGGCTCACTGCAACACTGCAAGCTCCGCCTCCCGGGTTCACGCCATTCTCCTGCTTCAGCCTCCCAAGTAGCTGGGACTACAAGGTGCCCACCACCATGCCTGGCTAATTTTTTGTATTTTTAGTAGAGACGGGGTTTCACCGTGTTAGCCAGGATGGTCTCCAACTCCTGACCTCATGATCCGCCCACCTCGGCCTCCCAAAGAGCTGGGATTACAGGCATGAGTCACCACGCCTGGCCTAAAATGGTGACTTTTAAATTATGTGAATTGTATCTCAATTAAAATGCCAAATTAAAACAAAACGCAGTTCACCTTTGCTCTCTAGGGTCAGAGTAGCTCATGGTGTGTGTGTGGGGTGGGGCGTTGGAGTGATGGGGAAGCATTCCCTTGTACATGCTGCCTGTTTCCACAAGACCATGTTGAAAGGAATGTGTCCTTCATGACTGCAGCCTGAGTCACACAAAAGCCATTTCAGTCTGTACATCAGGAGTTTTGCAGCCATAAAGAGGACTCTCGCTGGGCGCGGTGGCTCACGCCTGTAATCCCAGCACTTTGGGAGGCCGAGGTGGGCGGATCATGAGGTCAGGAGTTCAAGACCAGCCTGGCCAACATGGTGAAACCCCATCTCTACTAAAAATACAAAAAAAAAAAAAAATAGCCAAGCATGGTGGCACGCGCCTGTAATCCCAGCTACTCAGGAGGCTGAGGCAGGAGAATCACTTGGAGGTTGCAGTGAGCTGAGATCATACCACTGCACTCCAGCCTGGGCAACAGAGCGAGACTCCGTCTCAAAAAAAAAAAAAAAAAAAGGACTCTGCTAGTACATACACATCATGGTGATTGCTCTTGTGTGCTGGTTGCCATGGTTATGTGACATGCAACAGTGGCATTTGATAAAACTGCTTCTCTGTAAGTATTAATGTCATTAACCTCCCAGCTGGTTTGTCTGACTTCTTTGCCATCCAGTGACTTGCAGCTGTAAGAGTGAGGGCAGTTTTGAAGGATATGCTATATTCTTGCACAAAATTAAATTTTTATTCTGGGAAATGTTGCTTTCTGCTTATTCTGGAAAAAAAAATAAATCAGTAGACTCTGATTGTGACTGATACAAAAGATCTGATGACTTCGAGCCAAGATCTGACATTTCATAGCAGATAATTCACTGAGGACAAGGAGTGAATAGCCAGTAAAACCCAGTTTCTAGATACTCTCTGAGGTAGCTCTTCTCTACAGTTTCTCTTTGCTGCTTGGGCTAAATAATCATTTACATTTTTCCTTCTTCCTAGCACATACAGCTATTTTATATTCCCAGTGAAATCCTGTTCACTGTTTATGTGGATGACATTATTCTGAGCTGTCAGATGTATATTTTCATTTTCATTGCTACTCTGATGAGTCAGTGAAGCACTTTTGAGCCATTTAATAACTTTTGTAATTTGCAGATATTGCACAAGCATATGAATGCATAAAGCATATTTTAAAATATAAACAACAACATGCATAGGATGGAAAATAAGATTAGCCCAGGTGGCTGGGCACAGTGGCTCATGCCTGTAATCCCAGCACTTTGAGAGGCTGAGGTAGGAGGATTGCTTGAGCCCAGGAGTTGGAGACCAGCCTGGGAAACATAGTGAGACCTTGTCCCCACAAAAAATAAAATTAGCCAGGCATGGTGGTACATGCCTGTGGTCCCAGCTACTTGGGAGGCTGAGGTGGGAGGATCTCTTGAGCCCCGGAGGTTGAGGCTGCAGTGAGCTGAGACTGAGCCTCTGCACTCCAGCCTGGGCAACAGAGTAAGACCCTGTTTCAAAAAACAAACAAGCCAACAAAAGGATTAGTCAAGGTAATTCAAGCAGTCCTGGAAACCCCTTGTGCCAATTTTAAGATTGTAATAATTATTAAAAACATAATCATTATTAGAACGTAATGATATTTCTGTCACAGCCATAATCGCTGTCATTTTTCAGATCTGTGAAAAGTAGAGGAACAAAATTGTTGATCACTTTGTCCTCTGAAACTATCTGTCTACCTGAGGACCTGTTGAGTAAACTGTCCTTGGGCCTCACTCTGAGAAACATTTCACTGCCTTAAGAGATATCAAATTCCTAAGAGATGGGCTGTGGGGAAGATGACTGAAGGACAGATGGGTGTACAAATCTGGAGGCTTGAGGGGAGACAGAGTGGACTCCGGCATTTTCCGAGTCCTACATTTCTTCCTCTGGCCTGGGAGTACGCAGCAATGATTATGATCTACCACCAGAGGGCACTGTGGCACTAGGGACGCCAGCCTTGGACCCCCCTGGGTCTGGCGTTCCTATTCTTCTCCACGTATTCTTGACGGCTACCCAAAGAGCTTTCAGCTCTTTAACCACATTAATTTCGTTTCTTTCCTTACATTCAGGGTTCTTAACCTGGCAACCATGGTAGGACTTTTTATGGTCAGTGAACCTCAGAATTTATATATATATGTCTGAGTAAGTGTATATACCTCTATCTAGAGGTAGTTTATAGTTGTAATCAAGTTCTCAAAGGTGTATGTGACCGTCTTCTCCCACCAAAAGTCAAGAATTATTGCCTAAGTAGTAGTATCCCCTTGAAGGGGTAGAATACAGTGATGTTAGGGACCAGTTGGTTGACCAGGGGAAAACACTTTTTATAGGTTATTTAATACAAGCCTCAAACTACCTTGCAAGATGTCTCCATTTTACCAATGAAGAGCCTGAAGTTCAAAGAGGCTAAAGATTGCCCGGGTCACACAGCTAGGAAGTGGTGAGGCTGGGGTTCAGTTCCTGGAGTGTCCAGCTCTGCGCTGTTGCTGCACTGAGAGAGAGCCTCACCCATTCATCAGCAAAGATGTGGAAGGCACCAAGGACATGTCCAGAGCTGTGCTGGGTGCTGAGGACAGTCTGGCGACCAAGCAGCGTTGGTTCCTGCCTTCGGGGGGCTTCATGCCTGGAGGAGGTGGTGACGGCGGTCGTGGGGGTTGGAGATAGACACTAAACACACAAGCGTGTAGCTACACACTGGGAACTGTGCTCCAAAGAAATGAACAGGGCACAGCAGAGACGGTGGGGAAACCTGCAGGTACACTGGCTAGGGGAGGCCTGTCCGAGGAAACAGCATATTAGCTCAAGGTGAAGCCGGGACTGTCTTCAGGGAGGGAGAGCCCGGCCTGGCTGGGCAGGGGGTGCAGTCAGCAGGGCTTTCTAGGCCAGGTCAGTAATTCAGACTTTATTCTAAGGGAAACAGTACACCATCGTGGAGTTTAAAACAAGGGAGAGGCTGGGCCAGTGGCTCACGCCTGTAATCTCAGCACTTTGGGAGGCCAAGGCAGGTGGATCACCTGAGGTCAGGAGCTCGAGACCAGCCTGACCGACATGGTGAAAGCTGAGGCGGGAGAATCACTTGAACCCGGGAGGCAGAGTGAGCCGAAATCACGCCATTGCACTGCAGCCTGGGCGACAGAGCAAGACTTCCTCTCAAAGAACCAAAAAGTAAAAGCAAGGGAGAAAGAAACTTGAGCTAATTTATGGGTTTTTCTTTTTAATAATGGCAAAAAAAAACAACATAAAATGTACCATCCTAACGTTTTTTTTTTTTTTTTTTTTTGACGGACTTTCGCTCTTGTTGCTCAGGTTGGAGTGCAATGGCGTGATCTCCGCTCACCACAACCTCCGCCTCCTGGGTTCGAGTGATTCTCCTGCCTCAGCCTCCTGAGTAGCTGGGATTACAGGCATGCGCCACCATGCCCAGCTAATTTTGTATTTTTAGTAGAGATGGGGTTTCTCCAGGTTGGTCAGGCTGGCCTCAAACTCCTGACTTCAGGTGATCCACCCGCCTCAGCCTCCCAAAGTGCTAGGATTACAGGCGTGAGCCACTATGCCTGGCCCCATCTTAACCATTTTTAAGGGTACATTTCAGTTGTGCTAAATGCGTTCACACTGCAGTGCAACCTATTTCCAGAACTCTTTGCACCTTGCCAAGCTGAAAGTCTGAACCCATTAAACAATAACCCCCCATTCTCCTCTCCCCCGGGCAACCGCCATTCTACTTCTGTCTCTGTGATCTTGACGATGCTAAGTGGAATCATACAGTGCTTGTCCTTGGCTTATTTCACTTTGCATAATGTCCTCACTGTTCATTCATGTTATAGCATGTGTCAGAATTTCCTTCCTTTTTAAGGCTGAATAATATTCCACTGTATGTAGCATTTTGTTTATCCACTCATCTGCTGATGGACACTGGGAAGATTCCTTTTTTTGTTTTTTTGTTTTGTTTTGTTTTGTTTTTGCAGCAGAGTCTCACTCTGTTGCCCAGGCTGGAGTGCCGTGGCACAAACATAGCTCACTGCATCCTCAACCTCCTGGGCTCAAGTGATCCTCCTGCGTCAGCCTCCCGAGTAGCTGGGACTACAGGCAAGCACCACCACACCAAGCTAATTTTTTAAATTAAAAAAAAAAAATTTTGTACAGACAGAGCCTTGCCATGTTGCCCAGGCTGGTCTTGAACTCCTGGGCTCAAGTGATCCTCCTGCCTTGGCCTCCCAAAGTGCTGGGATTATGGGTGTGAGCCACTGTACCCTGGCAGATTCCATCTTTTGGCTGCTGCAAATAACGCTGCTATAAACCTGGGTGTACAGGTATCTCTTTGATACCCTGCTTTCAAGTTTTTTTTTATTTTTAATTAATGTTTTAGAAATTATAAAATACATGAACATGGTACAAATTCCAGAATCACTCTGGCTGGGGTGGAGGAGAGATTGGGCGCAGTGAAAAGTGCAAGGGTGTTCTGTGGTGTGGGTCACAGTGGGGCTGGCCTGTCATGTGGTGTGGGCCTGCTGATGGGACGGGTGGACAGTGAGGCTCTGTTTTAAGGTCCTGGAGGCTTTCAAGTGGTGAGGTCAAGTAGGCAGTCAGGTATGAGTCTTGAGCTGAATGGAAGTCTGTGCCGGAGAGAGACTTTGGGAGTCAAGGTGCTGGGGATGGTATCTAAGGTAAGCGATGGCCTAGGCCTAGGCAGATTGCAAATGGAGAGGAAGGGGGCCGAGACCAGCCCCTGATGCTTAGAGTTGGGTGGAGGAGGCACAGAGTGGGAGGAAAAGCAGGAGGCTCAGTGCCAGGAGCTGACTGAGCAGGGAGCGGCCTACAATGGAGGCGACCACTGTGAAGGACGATGGGGAGAGGACGAGGCACCCACTGTGCTCGGCAGGCAGCGCAGAGGCTGTTGGTGACTTGGACAAGAGCAGTTTCAGCCCAGCCGGGAGGGAGTGGCAGAGGCCAGAGGGAGTGCAGCCTCGTGAGCAGGCAGCTCCGGAGAAGCTGGGCTCTGAAAGACAGCAGAGAAACGGGGCGCAGTCGTGAGTGAGGGGGAGGTGGAAAGGAGGGAGCTTTGGGTGATCGTTTTGGCTTTTTAAGATGCCCGTGTTACCAAATGCATGTTTTTTGTTTGTTTTGTTTTGTTTTGAGACAGTCTCACTCCTTCACCCAGACTGGAGTGCAGCAGCACGATCTCGGCTCACTGCAAACTCTATCTCCTGGGTTCAAGCGATTTTCCCGCCTCAGCCCCCAGAGTAGGTGGGATTACAGGCGAGCGCCACCACGCCCGGCTAATTTTTGTATTTTTAGTAGAGATGATTTCCCCCCGTTGGCCAGGCTGGTCTCGAACGTCTAACCTCAGGTGGTCTGCCCGCCTTGGCCTCCCAAAGTGCTGGGATGACAGGTGTGAGCCACCGCACCCAGCCCCCAAATGCATGTTTTGATGCTGAAGGGAAGATCTGGCAGGGAGAGGGTAAAGATGCAGTCAGCAGAGTGGGGACACATGAGAGGACAGAGTCCAGAGTGCCTGTGGACAGCTGGCTTTTGGGGGCCCCTCTTTTGTGCTATCAGGAAAGAAATAGGAGGCGGGGTCTCATGTAAGTGGTGAATTTGGCCTTAGGAAGTTAAGAAAGTTCTTGTCTGATGACTCTACATCCCCCACGAAGGGAGCAGTGTGTCAGCTGAAATAGGGGGCGTGGTTGGGGGAGAAGAGTTCTAGGCCACTGGAGACTGTGCATGGTGGCCACAGCGGAGAGTGGGCGAGAACCAACTTCACAAACATCTTAGGTCTGTTGGTGCCACTGGGAGCCCACTGGAGGGTGACGACAAGAAGTGACAGTGCCCTCATCTGCTCTGGTGGTTGTGTTTCCTCCACCAATGCTGGGCGCTGTTGGTGTGGCCTGGAGCGGTTCATCTGGGGCAAGGCTTTGTCAGGAGAGTATGACGGGAGGGAGAGAGAGGGAAGGGAATGGGGGACTTCTGCAAAGGAGTGGCTCTCATGAGGAACCCTTGTCTCTCTACTGGTTGAAGTGAGAGGAGAAACCAGAGGAGGGATGGCCTTGGGGGACAGGTGGACAGAGAGGGGGATGGAGACAGGGCCTCGGAGGTAGGTCAGTTTCAGGTAAAGGACAAGGTCAGGATGTGCCCCAGGAGTGGGAGGCTGGGGTGGAGGAAGTGGTCAGCAGAGCAGAAGAGGACAAGGAACAAGGAGGCCCTGGTGGCAGACAGGTCCCCCGCGCGGATGAGGAGGCTGCCTAGAATAATGAGAGGAGTGGGTGCAGAGCAAGACGGGAGCCAGGGGCCGAGCAGGAGGCCAGAGGAAGACAGCGACGAGGAGAGAGCGCTGGAATGGGATGCCCTGAAAGGATGTTCATGAGGGGGTGCGGTGGGGGTGGGGGTGGGGCGTAACTTCTGGAAGCAGCCATGTGGAGCCTGGAGGACACCAACCTCATTTCCTGCCCCTAAGGTGTGTGGGGAATGTGAGAATAAGATCAAGGCTAGATTTGAGGAAGAATTTTCTGACCCCATAGGATATGAGGCATGAAGACTGGCCACTAAAGGAACGCTAGGAAGTATCTCTTTTCTTTCCGGGGAGGTTTAGGACCAGAACTGACTCCCACCCCCACTCCTTCACTTCCTTCTCCTCCAGTCTTTTGGAGGTCTGTTAGGCACTGCCTGGCATCCTTTGGTCTAGGTTTCGTTCACTGAACAAACCTATTGAGCCCCAGGAGCTGGCCATTCTAGGAACTGGAGACACAGCAGGAACAAAACAGAAGGAGGAGTTCACCTCCCAGCAGAGGGTTTGTTTAGGTTTGTTCTTGGTGCAAAGCTATCCAAAGGGAGAGTTACTCATGGGTGCTGGAATTGGGATGTGGAGTGAGTTCAGAGAGTGAGTCACTCTTGCTGCCTAGGGGTGGGGAAAGGTGGAGTGGCAGTGGCCGGAAATGGAAAAAGGCCAGAACTTGGTGTTTGAGGACTGGGGCTGTGTGGCCTTGAGCAAATCATTTGTTTTTCCTGTTGCTGACCTGGAAAGCAGGGAAGAGTCCCTCATTCCCCACATTGCTGTGGAATTAAATGAATGTGTTGCTCAAATAACTAAGAGCTATGCAAATGATCCTTATGCCATTCCTTAAGTCTTCACTCCCTTCTCCTAGTATGGGCACAACAATAGCAGCCCCCTCCCGCCCACGGTAGGTGTATTAAATACAAAACTATGCACAAAGGCTCAGCACAATGGTAGGTGGCACCGGGTAAGTGCTGGTCACCCTCGTTAGTCCAGTCTCTGTTCAACGCCAGTGAATTTGCCACCATCTCAGGACCCAGCTCCACCGGGAAGGAGAAATGGGTAACTGTCCCAGGCAGAGGGCTGTGAGTCAGGGTGCTGGGGCCAGGCATGGATCTGCTGGGCACTCACATTCAGGACCTTAGTCCCTTGCGGATGACAGTGGAGGAGGAAGCCCCCCGATGAGGAAGGCTTTTCTGCCTGCTTCCTTCTCCCTTGCACCCCAGAGCCCCTCATCCATCCATTCATTTCGTACATTGTGGGACTATGCGGGCAAACGGGGCTTACAAGTCAGGATCGGGTGGAGAGCAAGACAGAGGAGGCCACTGCTCTCAAGGGCCTGCCGACCAGGCGCAGGATCAGGTCACTCGCCATCTCCCTGGAAGCTAAGGGCTATTTCTGGTCTCTCCTCTGCAGGCTGGGTGGGTAGTTGGGCTGTTCCAGCTTCCAGTTCCCACTTGGCCTTGGCTTGGGGTACCAGGAGAGGGCCCTGAAACTCATTTTTTAGAAGCAGAAGTGGGCGCGGGGGCAGTGGCTCATGCCTATAATCCCAGCGCTTTGGGAGCCGAGACCGAAGGATGGGCTGAGGCCAGAAGTTCCAGACCAGCCTGGACAACACCGCAATACCCGGCCTCTACAAAAAACGAAACAATTAGTCGGGTGTGGCGGCGCGCCCCTGTGGTCCCAGCTACCCAGGAGGCAGAGGCGGGAGGATCGCTTGAGCCTGGGACGTGGAGGTTGCAGTGAGCCGACATCGCGCCACTGCGCTCCAGCCTGGGCGACAGAGCGAGACCTCATTATCTACAAGAAAATGGAAAAATACTCCAATGCACCCCATATGTCCTTGGATTCCCGGGTTGCCGCCGATTGGCGCTTTCTCGCCAGAGCTCAAAGCCAGCTCGGCGCTCCGAGGAGGGCGCGGACGGGGCGGGGCGGGGCACCCCGGCTGCGCTTCCGCGCGTGGCCGCGAGGGGGCGCGGCAGGACGGGGCTGCCAGGGCGGCCGCGGGTGAGTCAGGGCGGCGCCAGGATGAGTCAGCCCTCCGTGGGCTTACCGCGCCCCCTCCGCCCCTGGCTTCCCCGCCCGGCCGCGCCCTGGCCGCCGGCTCGCCCTGACCCTCGGGGATCCCAGGCTCTGCGCCGCCCTGCGCCCTCCCGGGACTCCCCTGCCGCCAGGAGACCGCGCCTCCCGGGAACACAGGGCAGGGCGCGCGGGCCTGGGCCAGGCCGTTCCCGCGGGCCCTCCCGTCGCTCCTTTCCTGGGGCCGGGCGTGGCTTCCCTCCCAGAGCGGGTTTCGGGGCCGGCCCCGGCTCGGCCCGGATTCGAGGGACAGCTCTGCCAAGGCCCGGCCATGGGCGGCCGCCGCGGGGGAAATGTGCCCCCTGGCTAACACGTGGGGAGAAAGCCCTCTCCGTTCTTGGGTGTACCCCGGTGTTTCGGCCTCTTCTCAGAGCAAATCAGGAAAAAATAGGAACTCCTGGGTGGGTCCCCGCTTGGCAGGTTGAAGAAGGTGTCCTGACAGGATCTGGCTCAGAAGCCGAGTGTGTTAAAGCTGCAGAAAACTTGCCAAACCTGGGCCACCGGCCTCACCTTGGAGATCCCGCCCACGGACGGACGCAGGGACTCTCCAAAAGTCCCAGAACTCACAAGTCAGCTCTGCTGGGCCTCCCACTCACAAGGTGCATGCAAAGTGCCTAAAATAGTGCCTGGCGTATAGTCAGCGCTCCACTAAGATTGCATTTTACAGATACAGGTGACCCTGAGCAACAGGGCGTTCAACTGCGAGAGTACGTTTATTCGAGAATTTTCTGCTGTCTCTGGGACAGCAAGACCAACCCTCCTCTCCCTCCTCCCCCTCTTCCTCAGCTTTTATGCCTGATCTACTTCCATTTATGAATAGTAAATACACTTTCTCTTTCTTATGATTTTCCTAATAATATTTTCTCTACCTTCCTTTATTGTAAGAGTGCAATATATAATACATATAACATCAAATACGTGTTTACCTACTGTTTATGTTATCTGCAAGGCTTCTAAGTCAACAGTAGGCTATTGGTAGTTAAATTTTAGGGGAGCCAAAAGTTATACTCAGGTGTGGGAGCCTGTAGTCCCAGCTACTCAGAAGGCTGAGGTTGGGGGATTGCTTGAGTACCCGAGTCCAAGACCAGACTGGGCAAAAGCGAGAACGCTGTCATTGAAAAAAAAAATTATGTTTGACTGCTTGAGGATTGATGCCCCAATGCTTGCATGTGCTGTTCAAGGATCAACTGTATTTTATGTGTATAATTTGAGGTATATAATTATATTTATAGATGCATATTTATATAAACACATATGGATATTTATATATCTATGCCTACTAGCTGATCTTTATGTGTGCCAGGTACTGTTCCAAGTGCTCCTCAGGCATCAATGATCTCATTTGATTTCACAACCACACAAGGACATAAGGTGCTATTATTTATCTGCATATGGTAGCTGAGGAAACAGAAGCTCAGAGAAGCGAGGTAACTTTCTCAAGAGCACACAGCTAGGAAATATAGTGCAGGAGTTCCCCCGACTCCCTAACTTTAGAGGCCGTGTTCAGATATTGGTGGAGTCTGGTAACATACTTACTATCAAGGGTTCAGCCCTTCACAGTGTCTGAAGAGCAAAGTGTTAAACCCAGCCCTGGGAGGAGGAGCCGCTTTCCTTATGGAAATCTGCTGCCCTTGCTTGCTCTGCTCCTGCCACCAGAGGACCAAGCTCTCTGGTTGTTCCCAGGTGCCAAAGGGCCAGAAGAGACTCACTTGCCACTCTTTTCTCCTTGTTAGCTCTCCATATGGCCCCAGGACCTGGTCTCTGGCGCCCGCCATTCCCTTTGCTGGTTTGTTTTTTTGTTTGAGATGGAGTCTCGCTCTGTTGCCCAGGCTGGAGTGCAGTGGTGAGATCTCGGCTCACTGCAACCTCCGCCTCCCAGGTTCAAGCAATTCTCCTGCCTCAGCCTCTCCAGTAGCTGGGATTATAGACGCGCACCACCGTGCCCAGCTAATTTTTTGTATTTGTAGTAGAGATGGGGTTTCACCATGTTGGCCAGGCTGGTCTTGAACTCCTGACCTTGTGATCTGCCTGTCTTGGCCTCTCAAAGTGCTGGGATTACAGGCTTGAGCCACCGCACCCGCCCCCTTGCTGGTTTTGTAGACGACACTTGATGATTTGGGATGAGTTATCTTTAGCAAGGTTTCCCATTTACCTGTGAGCAGAGCAGGGCTGACCTGGGGTTCATTAGAATCTCTTGAGACACGTTCAACACACGGATTCCCCCGGCCTTTTGAAAGCAGTGGTTCTCAACCTTGATTGTACAATGATACAGTGGACTTAAAGGGAATGCTCGTGCTTGAGCCCTCCCAAGAGATTCCGATTGAGTAAATCTGTGCTTCTCCCTGGGCATCAGGATTTCCACAAGCTAGGCTGAGGTAGCCCTAGGAATCTATACTTCGAAGAAACAATTCCTGTGATTTTCCTGTGCAGCTATGTTTGCAAACTTCAGGGTGGACTCCCTTTCTTCTCACTGGTAGAGTGTCCAGGATTTTCCCACTAGGGTGGTTTTGGAATAGAGGTTAGAGGTGAGTGCTGCTTTTGGAGTCCTGTCCCTTCTCAGCCTCTTCTGGCCCCTGCCTCAGTTTACTGGATTTCTCTCCTTACCAGGCACCAGTATTCTCCCCCTCCCAGTGGCGTTCATTCCCTCAGAGGTTCTGGGCAGAGTAGACCCTCCTCTGAGCTTTTCACCTGGGGTTGGACCCTTGAACTCTGAGGGCTTAGAGCGGCCATGCTGGCAGCCCGGGAACTGTCATGAGCTCTCACATCTGTCTGCTTCTCCATGCGTGTGTCTGCTTCCCTGTGTGAGCTGGAGGGAGGGATTGCATCTCCCCTCTTCTGGGGCAAGTTGTTTCTCCCTCTCTTTCAGTATTGCTTTCCACCCTGGAGTAATGTTGGGTCTGGTATCTGCCAGCTTCATAGCATTTATTTTTTTTTGAGACGGAGTCTTGCCCTGTCGGCCGGGCTGGAGTGTGGTGGCGCGACCTCGGCTCACTGCGACCTCGGCTCACTGCAACCTCTGCCTCCCAGGTTCAAGTGATTCTCGTGCCTCAGCCTCCTGAGTAGCTGGGATTACAGGCATGTGTCTCCATGTCCGGGTAATTTTTTTTCATTTTTGGTAGAAATGGGGTTTCACCAAGTTAGCCAGGCTGGTTTCGAACTCCTGGCCTCAAGTGATCCACCTGCCTCGGCCTCCCAAAGTGCTGGGAGTACAGGCGTGAGCCCCCGCGCCTGGCTTGATAGCCTTTTTTGTTCTTCTTTGGATAGCAGGTATTTTTCCTGGGTTCCAAGTGTTAAGCTAGGTGTCTAGGGACCTGTGTTCTAGACTCACTCTGTACCCTGGGACATACCGTTTAACCTCTTTGACCCTCAATTTCCTCACCTGTTAAATGGGTACCTCACAAGATTGCAATGTGGTTCAAATAAGATAGTCTGCAAAGACGTGCTTTGGTGACTGTGAGTGACACCAATGTGATCCTGATGGAGCTTTCTCTTGCCTCGTTGGCAGAGTGAGGGGTAATTGCCCTTTTTAGGGAACCCCCAAGATGTCAGCAGCTGATATTAAAGTCTCTGACAATGGGAGGTCCTAGAATCTTGCCTCTGCTCCTCATTGAATCCGAGTGTATGCACTGAGTGCCTGCTGTATGCACCCAGCATGGAGGTGGGTTTGAGGCAATTCTGGGCTGTTTGTAGGGCAGTAAGGCAATCCACATAGGAAGGTAACTGCATCATGCTGGGTGAGAACTGCGTGCTCTAAGCAGTGAATGTGTTGGAATTTCACTGGGGTAGTGCAGCCTATGTAGCCAGCGATCGAAGACTTTATGCAGAGGAGGAATCTGAACTAAATGAGCTCAGGGGGGCAGGTTGGAATTAGGAGGGCGGAGAGGAGGATTAGAGCAAAGTGGCCCTGAGAGGGGCTGCAGAGCAGGGCTGAGGGGAGGCCTGTGGGAGAGGAGAGTGGCTTGGCAGGCCGCCCTCGCCCTGCTTCCTGGGGTAACCCCGCCCAGCAGGACTGACCAGCATCAAAAGCCTGTGTCACAATGAAGTCCCCTGAGTGAGGCTATGGCCCCCTCCCTTCCCACCTTTGCCTTTCTAAGCAAAAAGGAACATCCTTCTTCTAGGAGTCCCTCCTGGAGGGAGACCTGGTGCCCTGTCTGTCTAGAATCTGCAGCTCCCTGGTAACCATTTTTGGTGCATTTACAAGGAGGGAATACTAAAATCCCCTCCCATCCTGGGCCTTGCTCCTTGTCCCACTGGCAGGGGCAGGGGCAGGACAGAGTTTGGTATGCTGTGGTGTCACCACACCAATGAAAGCTGCTTGCTGACCACAGGCTGAATGTTCTAGGTGGCAGGTCACCCCTCCTGGACAGCGGCCATCTGCCGCAATCCTCCCTCCTTCGCTCTGGGTTATCTGGTACCCCCTGTGCCATCTCCCTCTGTAACTTCTTCCCCTCTATTTTCCTCCCCCCACAACATGGTATGCCAGCCCGAGCTTATCACCCTACCCTGAGCCAGCAGCATCCATTGTTCTCATGCTTGGGAATGGAGCAACAGGGGAAGTCACTCTGTTTGGGGCCAAGGAGGAAGGAAAGAGGGATGGGACTGAATGGGTAGGTGATGGAAAAAGTGACTTCCAGCCATTCCCTGGCCTGACCTAGATGGCAGCTTAGCGTGGTTGCCATGGTGATAGCCAGACAAACACCCACACCCCTCCCCACCAGCCCCAAACTGCATAATGGTGGTTGTGCCTTTTCCCAGCTCGAACCCCTCAGGCTTCTGCCTGGTGTGAAGTTCAGATTCCTCAGGCTGAGCTGCTCTTGCCTCAGTTTCCCAGCCTGACCAAAGGAAGCAGGTGGGGCCTCTGGGATAAAGAGCGTGTGCTGGCCCTTCCCTGTGTGCCCCGCAGACACACACTCCACCCCACTCCCCATGCCCCAGGGCCCACCAGGCTGACTTCTCCGCTGCTTCTGACGGGCTCCCTTGCCCTCTGGGTTCCAGTCAGCCAGCAGGAGGCACCAGCAGGAATCGGAGGGTGAGAGGGGAGTAGATGGGACACCCACTCCCTGCTGGGCTGCTGGTGGGCAGTGGCTACCTCCCTCTCCTGAAGGCCATAGCTCCTGTCAGCAGCTCCCACTGAAGCTCCAGGTCTCCTGGCTCGGGTTCCCTGCTCCTTCCCCTGCTCCCCAGCCCTGGAGGGGAGGGGCCTCGGCTCTTGCTGGCTGCAGTGGGCCTCACTGTCCCTTGTTCCTTGTGGACTTCCCTCAACCCTGCCCACCTCTCCACAATAAGCTCTTCTGTTGAATTCTCCTTGGTCACCCCTTTTGGATACATTCTGTTTGCTGCTGAGACCCTGACTGCTACTGAGAATGTCTCAACAATGAAGGGGGAGGCTGGATGCGGTGGCTTATGCCTGTAATTCCAGCACTTGGGGTGGGCAAGGTGGGCAGATTGCCTGAGCCCAGGAGTTTGAGACCACATGGCGAGACCCTGTCTCTACAAAAACTACACACACACACACACACACACACACACACACACAATTTAGCCGGGCGTGATGATGCATGCCTGTAGTCCCAGCTACTCAGAAGGCTGAGGTGGAAAATCACCTGAGCCCTGGAAGCCAAGCCGAGCTGAGCAGTGCTGAGCTGAGCAGTGAGCTGAGGTCACGTCACTGCACTCCAGCTTGGGCGATGGAGTTTGTCTCAAAAAAAAAAGGAAGGCGGGCGGCTGTCTCAGGACACCTTTTTTTGTGGTCAGGGCTCTGGCAGGCTGAATGTGTGGGTGGGGTGGCCTCCCAGGTGTAATCTGAGATGCACCCAGAAGGCTGCCCTGCCTGGAAATAGCCAGGCTGAAACCTGAAGTTTAGAGGGCCATTCTTGTGGTCTAAAAACTTTCGGGAAAGATTCCACATTCCCCAGGAAGGGGGGCGTCATAGCCAATCATTCATTTCTCTACCTGCCTTAGTTTCGTCAGATAAGAAGCTTGACTGCAAACTTCAGAAATGCAAAGACTGTGTCTGTCTTCACTGTGTAGACATGGGGCCTGGTGCCAAGTAGGTTGAAATAAACATCTGTTGAATAAACTTATTTACCACTCAACAATGAGTGGTGAGTGCCTACTGTGTTCCCCTATGTTCCAGCTGGAGTCATTGGGAAGCAGGATTTTTCACTCTGCTGAGGTTGCTGGGGAATATGGAGTTGGGTGGGGAGCTGTTGCTGCATGTCTCAACACTGCACCTTTCCAGGTGCACAGAGCCAAACCCCTTGCAGCTACCTTTGACTCTGTCTCACACCAACACTCAATCCATTAGGAAATCCTGCAAGGCAGATCCGAACCCAGCCACTCCTCACCCCGTCCACGGCTGCCAGCTGGCTCTCCCACCTGGAATCCTGCTTGACCTCCTCCCTCCTCACTAGTTTCCTAACTCCCACCTTCCCCACCTCCCACAGTCTATGCTCAACACGAGTCAGAATGACATTTATTTATTTATTTATTTATTTAAGACCGAGTCTCACTCTGTCGCCCAGGCTGGAGTGCAGTGGCGTGATCCTGGATCACTGCAACCTTCCCCTCCCGGGTTCAAGTGATTCTCCTGCCTCAGCCTCCAGAGTAGGTGGGATTACAGGCACCTGCCACCATGCCCGGCTAATTTTTTTTTTTTTTTTGTATGTTTAGTAGAGACAGGGTTTCACCATGTTAGCCAGGATGGTCTCGATCTCCTGACCTCGTGTTCTGCCCGCCTCCACCTCCCAAAGTGTTGGGATTACAGGCGTGAGCCACTGCCCTCGGTCTCAGAATGACCTTTAAAAATAAGTTGGGCTGGGTACTGTGGATCACACCTGTAATCCCAGCGCTTTGGGAGGCCGAGGTGGGTGGATCACGGAGTCAGGAGATCGAGACCATTCTGGCCAACATGGTGAAACTCCATCTCTACTAAAAATACAAAAATTAGCTGGGCGTGGTGGCGCGTGCCTGTAATCCCAGCTACTCAGGAGGCTGAGGCAGGAGAATCACTTGAGCCCGGGAGGTGGAAGTTGCAGTGAGCCGAGATCGTGCCACGGCACTCCAGCCTGGCAACAGAGCGAGACTCCATCTCAAAAAAAAAAAGTAAAGACATAAGTTGGATTATGCTATATTTTTACTCAAAACCCCATAATAGCTTCCCAGGACACTTAGAGTGAAACTAAAGTTCTTGCACTGGCCCCTGAGGTAGGCAGCCTCAGGTGATCCCTGCCTCGTGGTGGTCACGCCCTTGTGTAATCCCCTCCCCTGAGCGTGGGCTAAATCTGGTGACTTACTTCTAACCTACAGGATACTGCAAAACTGGGGGGCAGGTGGCTTGCGCTTGTAAATCTCGATATTTTGGGAGGCTGAGATGGGGGATTGCTTGAGCCCAGGAGCTTGCGATCACGCTGGGCAACATAGTGAGACCTAGTCTCTACAAAACATACAAAAATTAGCCAGATGTGGTGGTGCACGTCTGTAGTCCCAGCTACTCGGGAGGCTGAGGTGGGAGGATCGTTTGAGCCTGGGAGGTTAAAGCTGTAGTGAGCCGTGACTGCACCACTGGACTCTAGCCTGGGCAACGGAATGAGACCCTCTCTTAAAAAAATAAAAATAGGCTGGGCGCGGTGGCTCACTCCTGTAATCCCAGCACTTTGGGAGGCCGAGGCGGGTGGATCACGAGGTCAGGAGATCGAGACCATCCTGGCTAACACGGTGAAACCCTGTCTCTCCTAAAAATACAAAAAATTAGCCTGGCGCGGTGGCGGGCGCCTGTAGTCCCAGCTACTCGGGAGGCTGAGGCAGGAGAATGGCGTGAACCTGGGAGGCGGAGTTCACAGTGAGCCGAGATCATGCCACTGCACTCCAGCCTGGGCGATAAGGAAGACTCTGTCTCAAAAAAATAAATAAATAAAAAATAAATAAAAAAGACTATGTGGTAAAAGCAGTGGATATTGCTCCTGAGATTGGGTTATGAAAACCTGTGACTGCTGTCTTGCAGCCTCTCTGTCTCTCTCCTTCTTGGCTTGCTTACTTTGATTCATCAAACTGTCATGTTGGAGAAACTGTGCGAGGCCTCTGGGCAATAGCCAACAAGGAACTGAGACCCTCCGTCTAGCACCTGGTGAAGAACTGAACCTATCAAAGCCCCGTGAATAAGCGTGGAAGTAAGTGGCTCGTTCCTTCTCCAGTTGAGCCTTGAGATGACAGCAGCCCTGGCCAGCACCTTGCAGCCCATGAGGAATCTTTTTTTTTTTTTTTTTTTTGAGACGGAGTTTTGCTCTTGTTGCCCAGTCTCAAAAAAAAAAAAAAGAAAAGAAAAGAAAGAAAAAGACACCACGACTCCAAGATGGCGTCAGTCATACCAGTGAAGGACAAGAAACTTCTGGAGGTCAAACTGGGGGAGTTGCCAAGCTGGATCTTGACGCGGGACTTCAGCCCTAGTGGCATTTTCGGAGCATTTCGAAGAAGTTACTACCGGTACTACAACAAGTACATCAATGTGAAGAAGGGGAGCATCTCGGGGGTTACCATGGTGCTGGCATGCTACGTGATCTTCAGCTACTGCCTCTCCTACAAGCATCTCAAGCACGAGCGGCTCCGCAAATGCTACTGAAGAGGACACGCTCTGCACCCCGTACCCCACGACCTTCTAGGCCTGAGCCCCTCCGTGAGGAACACAATCTCGATCGCTGCTGAATCCTTTCATATCCTAATGGGAATTAACCCCCAAATAAAAGATGACTGGTAAAAAAAATTAAAAAACATAAAATAAAAATAAAATAAATAAAAAAGAAAAGAAAAGAAATATTTGATAAATGAATGAAGGAAGAATACACCTGAAAATGAGGGAAGCAGAGCTGGTAAATGTCCAAAGCCAGACCAACCCCTGGTGGTACCGTGTGTACCCTGGAGCCCAGTGTGCCTGGATGGTTCAGGTCCACAAAGCCAAAGACTTTCCTTTCACTCATTGGCCAGTCTGAATAAGGTTTACCGTCACTTGCAAGCAAGAGTCCTGAGTAATATATGGGATTAATGAGGAATATAGTGTGGCTGCGATGCTGAAGGAGGACAGGAAAGGAAAATGTAGGGGGCCGGGCGTGGTGGCTCACGCCTGTAATCCCAGCACTTTGGGAGGCCAAGGCAGGCAGATCACAAGGTCAGGAGATCAAGACCATCCTGGCTAACATGGTGAAACCCCGTCTCTACTAAAAAATACAAAAAAAATTAGCCAGGTGTGGTGGTGGGTGCCTGTAGCCCCAGCTACTCGGGAGGCTGAGGCAGGAGAATGGCGTGAACCCGGGAGGCAGAGCTTGCAGTGAGCAGAGATGATGCCACTTCACTCCAGCCTGGGCGACAGAGTGAGACTCTGTCTCAAAAAAAAAAAAAAAGAAAGAAAATGTAAGGAGAAAGGGAATGGTGGGGCAGCCATTTGTGAGCCTGTACTGTGTGCCCCGTAGTGGGCTGGCTTTGTCATGTATATCTTCGCTTTTCATTCTCCTGACAACCTTGTGAATTAGGTGTTGTCCCTCCCACTTCACAGGTGAAGAAACTGAGTGAGGTTAAGTGCCTGATCTAAGATCATAAAGCTAGCGAGTGGCAGAGGTAGAAGGAAATCCAGGTCTTTCTGATTTTAAAATCCCATGCTTTCTTGGTGGTTTATTTTGCTCTTTTTTTTTTTTTTTTTTTTTTTTGCTTCGTGGGTTGGCCAAAATCTCCAAATATTTTCACTACTGCTGGAGCCCTGGCAAAGGCAGCAAGTGGGGTGGCTGCCAGAGGCTGGGGCCGAGGAGGGAAGGGAGGAGGGGTACATGTGAGGGCCCTTTGTAGGCAGGTATTTATAAAGCTGGGGCTTCTCCCTTGTAACAAATATCAGTGATATTTCTCCTGGCTCTTAGATGGGGGAAGGTATCTTCGCCTC
Source organism: Homo sapiens (assembly GCF_000001405.40). Taxonomy (NCBI): domain Eukaryota; kingdom Metazoa; phylum Chordata; class Mammalia; order Primates; family Hominidae; genus Homo; species Homo sapiens. Next base: position 6,268,853 of record NC_000012.12, on the reverse strand, counting down.
TGTTCGCAAGTACACATCCAGGGAAGGCAGTGCCTGGAGGTCAGGTGAGGCCAGGCTGGCCTGGAGAGGTGAACTAAGGCTGCTGGACTGAAGGCGTCCTGGAGGTTTTTTGTCCACCACATGAATGCCCCGCCTACAGCCCCCTCTGAGAGAAACTGAGCTTCTCCCGGCTCCCTGCTGCGCGTTCCTAGGGTGGGCATTTCCTGTCCTGACCCACATGGCCCTGTCCCCTCTGACCTCAGCTGACTGGCCCAGCATTGGGCACCCTGCCCAAGGGCAGCCCCACCACAGCTGACCAGGGGTCACTGGGGGGCTTTGGTGTCTGAGCGATGTGATGAGCTGGGCCTCCTGGTAGAGGGGGCAGAAGCAGGAAGACACATTGAAAAAGCAGAAAAAGAGGTAGCCCACCAGAGGGATGACCATTTCGGGCCTGGCATGGGTGCCTGAGCGCTGTCTGCTCTCTGAATTAAGAGGCCTGCTGCATGGCTGCTCCTGGGGCCTGGAACGCTTCAGTCCCTTTGTGTTGTCAATTCTGGACAAGAATCCCGTGCTGTTTTAAAAATTTTTTTATTACTTTTAAATTAATTTATTATTATTTTATCTTATTTTTAAAAATATTAACTTCCCATACTACACTGATGTGTATTTTTGAGTTTATACTCTTTTGTTTTTTTGAGACAGGATCTTGCTCTGTTACTCAGGCTGAAGTGCAGTGGTGCCATCTCAGCTCACTGAACTCCTGGGCTCAAGCAGTCCTCCTGCCTTGGCCTCCCCGGTAGCTGGGACCACACCTGTGCTCCACTGCCCTATTTTTATTTATTTATTTATTTGAGATGAAGTTTCGCTCCTGTCACCCAAGCTGGAGTACAATGGCACAATCTCGGCTCACTGTAACCTCTGCCTCCCGGGTTCAAGCAGTTCTCCCTGTCTCAGCCTCCCGAGTAGCTGGGATTACAGGCATCCACCACCACGCCTGGCTAATTTTTGTATTTTTTAGTAGAGATGAGGTTTCACCATGTTGGCCAGGCTGGTCTTGAACTCCTGACCTCAGGTGATCCACCCACCTCGGCCTCCCAAAGTGCTGGGATTATAGGCATGAGCCACGGCTCCTGGTCTCCCCTCTTTTCCAGTCTAGCTTGAGTGGGTGCGATTGTGGTCACCCAAAGAGGCAGACAGGACAGTCTAGGCTGCAGAGCCTGATGTGGTCTGCCCCCCCTCATTCACAAGGATCATGACGCTCGGGCCTGTGGCCTCCCACAACTGGAACCGTGGGGAGGGAAAGGAGGGGCCAGGGGGGAACATGGTTTTCAGTCATGACATGACAACATACCTCAGTCGTGGGTGTGTTTTAAGTAATCTGTTATTCATCATAACCAAAGCACTTGCGTGTATTTTAAAGCACATATTTGCTTCTGTAACCACATCAAATTTCCAAAGGCCCAGAAGGGTACACGCTGAAAAGTCCCCTTCCTTCCCTCTGGGCAGCTCCCTCCCTTGAGGCAGCCATCCTTACCAGAATTTGGGCATCCTTCCAGAAACATTTTGTGCACCTATCAGCAAACACTCTTGTACACATTCCTCCTTTCCCTTATTTAGTACCCAAATGTTAGCATATTATTCCCATTACCCTGTACCTTGTTTTTTTCATTTGTGAATAATTAACTAACTTTCCCCCCAGTGAGAGCAGGTTTGAGATCATCCCCACAACAAAGTCACTTCTGCCACTTGCCTTCCAGGGCACCTTTCCGAGCGGGAGAGGGGGTTAGTGAGCAGGGCCCGGGACCCTTTGGGAGGGTGTGTGTGTATTCATGTGTGTATGTGTGTGCGTGTGTGTGCGTGTGCATGTGAGACCTGCAGGACAGCCTCACTTGGAAGACCTGGTTTTAGGTCTAAGACCCCACGAACAAGCCCAGGGCCTTAATCCCCCTCCGGTTCAGTTTCCCTCCCACAAAGAGGAATGACAAGCCTGTTCCCTGGGGCTGTTGAGGTTGGAATAAGGACGTGTTAAGAAACTGTCTTGTGAATTGTCTAGTCCTAGGCGGTGAGCGGTTATTGTCAGCCAGACAGATTCAAAAGCTTCTCATCCATTTTCCCTTAAGGATGTGTCTGGCCTTCTCTGCTTACTCCCAGCCACCTCCCTATTCCCAGCTGAAGGCATCATCTCCTCTTGGAGCTTCCCTCCCACATGGACCTGCCTGTTTATGGGCATCTGCTCTCCACCTCACCTGCCTTCCGCCACCTGCTCTTGGGCACCTGAAACCACTTCTGCTGGAGTGCAGCGGTGCAAATACAGGTCACTACTGGCCTTTTTTTTTTTTTTTTTTGAGATGGAGTTACGCTGTGTCACCCAGGCTGGAGTGCAGTGGCGTGATCTCCGCTCACTGCAACCTCTGCCTCCCGGGTTCAAGTGATTCTTGTGCTTCAGCCTCCCCAGTAGCTGGGATTGCAGGCATGAGCCACCAAGCCCAGCTTTTTTTGGTATTCTTTTGTAGAGACAAGGTTTCCCTATGTTGCCCAGGCTGGTCTTGAACTCCTGGGCTCAAACGATCCACCCACCTCAGCCTCCTAAAAGTGTTGGGATTATAGGTGTGAGCCACTATGCCTGGCCCCTTCATATGTGCTTGCTTTTTTTTTTTTTTTCAAGACAGTATTTCACTCTTGTTGCCCAGGCTGGAGTGCAATGGCACAGTCTTGTCTTACTGGAACCTCTGCCTCCCAGGTTTAAGCAATTCTCCTGCCTCAGTCTGCTGAGTAGCTGGGATTATAGGCATGCACCACCACGCCTGGCTAATTTTATGTTTTTAGTAGAGATGGGGTTTCACCATGTTGGCCAGGCTGGTTTCAAACTCCTAACCTTAGGTAATCCGCCCACCTTGGCCTCCCAAAGTGCTGAGATTAGAGGCGTGAGCCACCGCACCTAGCCTCTTCGTATATATATGTATATATATATATATATATATATTTTTTTTTTTTTTTTTTTTTGAGACGGAGTCTTGCTCTGTTGCCCAGGCCGGAGGGCAGTGGTGCAATCTTGGCTCACTGCAACCTCCGCCTCCCAGGTTTAAGGAATTCTGTGCTTCAGCCTTCCGAATAGCTGGGATTACAGGCGCATGCCACCACGCCCAGCTAATTTTTTTGTATTTTTAGTAGAGATGAAGTTTCACCATCTTGGCCAGGCTGGTCTTGAACTCCTGACCTCATGATCCACCCGCCTCAGCCTCCCAAAGTGCTGGGATTACAGGCGTGAGCCACCACGCCCGGCCGCTTCTTCATATATTTTAATTGAACATTTAAGGAACCTTTTGTGTCAGTTGTTGTTCTAAGCACTTGGATGTGTTAACTCAATTTTCCCAACTACAACCCAAAGAGGCAGGTACTATTACTATCCATTTTGTTGTGTTTTGTTTTGTCTATTTCTTTTTTGGAGATGGGGTCTCCCTATGTTGTCCAGGCTGGTCTTGAACTCCTGGACTCAAGTCATCCTCCTGCCTCAGTCTCCCAAAGTGCTGGGATTACAGGAATGAGCAGGCTTACTAGCCATTTTACGATGAGGAAACTGAGGCTGGAGAAGTTAAGTGCAGCTGCACTGAGTGCATCAGGCACAGGCAGGCAGTGCTGGTGCTGGTTTCAAAACCAGGCCGCCTGCTCTAGAGCCTGTGTGGATGGCCCTCCCTCACCCCCTGTCTTCCTTCCTTAGGTAACTCCTTTGTAGTATTAATACCTTGGTCTCAGCTTAAATGTCACTTTCTCAGGGAAGTATTTCCTAAGGCCCCTCCTGCAGTGTAAGTGGCCTTCTGAGGGCTCTTGGGTCCTCTTATGTATCTCTTGATCACTTCTTGTTTTGTACTGTAATTGCTTATTTATTTGTCTGTGCTCAGTAGTCCCCTGGGTTTGGGTATGTTTGTTTGCCCTTAGATCTGATCTGCCTTGCATACAGAAAGCATGTCATGAATGTGAGCTGAGTGACCTTTCCATGATGCAGCGCTGCCTGGAGCTGTAGGAAGAAAAGAGTCCCCAGTGGTGGTTTGGCCCAGGAGGGAGGAACGTGAAACTGGAAACAGACCGGGAGACGTAGCCGTGCCGATACATGTGTGTGTTTGGGTGTCTCAAGCGGTGGTAAAGAGAGCATGGGTTTCAAAGTGTGGTGAACCTGGTTCAAATCCCCACTTCAGCACCTGCTGCAGTATGATCTAGAGAAAGTTCTGGAACCTGTTTGTTTCTCATTGACCTAAGTTACCTGAAAGGGCTGGCACGACGCCAGTGGGCCCTGCTTCTGCTGCTGCTGCCAATGTCCTTATGCAAATGGCCTCCGCCTTGTGCACTTCTGTTCCCATCTGCAAAACAGGAGCCTTGGCCAGGGCATTTCTAAGGCCACTTCCCTGTTTAAGCCACTTTAGCTTGATGGAAGCGTCTCAGGTTTTATACTCTGGAACATTTGGATATAGCTGGGAATTTCTCTCCTGGAGGAAGCAGAGGGTGATGTTTCAGCCAGCAATCCTGCACCCACAAGAAAGCCTGCCCCTGGTCAGCAGAACAGCAATCAGAGAAGCTGCTTATGAAGATGGAGTGGCCTGTACCACAGAGGTACCTTTCTAAAGCTGCTTGGGAATCAGATTACAGTGCTTCCCTCCTGCTAGCAGGGAGGCTGGGAGTGCTGATAAGACCTCACATGTTTCTGTGCAAAACTGATCTCCATTCAGCTTCACAACAGCCCTGGAGACAGTGACCTTGACTAACCACCGGCCCATGCTGGCCACAGTGAGGGGCTGTGTTAGTCAGGGTTCTCCAGGGAACAGCCAATAAGATACGCGTGTGCATGTGTGTAGACATATATATGTATATATTCAGAGATTTACTTTAAGGAATTGGCTCGTGGGTTATGGAGTCTTGGTGAGGTCCCAGTCTGCAGGGTAGGCTGTCAGGTGGGAGACCCAGGGAAGACCCCCTCTTGCAGTTCACCACAGAATTCTCTCCTGCTGTGGGGGGGTCAGTCTCTCGTTCTCTTCACGCCTTTGACGAGTTGGATGAGGCCCATCCACATCATAGAGGACAATCTGCTTTACTCAAAGTCCATCACTGAAATCTTTTTTTTTTTTTTTTTTTTTTTTTGCTTGTCTTGCTCTGTCACCCAGGCTGGAGTGCAATGGCACGATCCAGGCTCACTGCAACCACTGCCTCCTGGGTTCAAGCGATTCTCCTGCCTCAGCATTGCGAGTAGCTGGGACTACAGGCGCCCGCCACTGCACCCGGCTAATTTTTGTATTTTTTTTTTTTCAGTGGAGACAGGGTTTCACCATGTTGGCCAGGCTGGTCTCAAACTCCTGACCTCAAGTGATCTGCCTGCCTCAGCCTCCCAAAGTGCTGGGAATACAGGCGTGAGCTACTGCGCCCAGCCTTAAATCTTATCATCCAAAATCACCTTCAGGGAAACATCCAGAATGTCGGACTAAATATCTGGTCACTGTGGCCCAGGCAAGTTGACACATAAAAGTAATCATCATGGGGGCTTCCTGTTTAATCCCTAAGACCTGGGAGTAGGTGCCAGATTCCCGTTTCCGATGAGGAAACTGAGGCTCCAAGGAGTGGAGAGGTATCTCAGGGCACGGAGTTGCGGTGCCATGCCATCAGAAGGCAGGGCATGAGAGTGCTGCCTGCGTGTCACCTGGGTGACCAGAGAAGAGGCGTGTGAGTTCACCCACCAGAACCAGGTGGAAGTATGACTGTGCATGGAAAGGGGATGATGGGCAGCTGGGGTCTCCCCACCCCTCAAGATCTGAACAAGAGTGGCTCAAATCTTCATCCCCCACTTGGCAAGTCTAATGTCTTCCTAAGGTGCTTAAGTTGTCTGGGATATGCTGAAATGTGTTTTCTTGGTCATTCTGGCCCCTGAGTTCCTGCCTCTGCCCAGAGAGCGATCTTAGCCCATTTGTCCACCCAGCAACCTTCTTCCTTTATTTCAAACTCCACCCACTCCTTGCCCCATCACGTTGCACCTGTGTTTGTGGCAAGCTTTGCTGATGGTCTGGAGAGATGAAGGGAAATTACAGAGCAGCAATGACAGCTGCAAATGAGATAGTAGACAATGTGCTCCTGTAAAACCAGCCTCTCTTGAACATTTGCACAGCTCTGGTGCCCTGTTACTTGGTGCTCCACCCCTTTCTTCTTCCTTTCTCTGCCCTCTCTTATTGTTACCCTCTTCCTCTCAGAAATGCAGTCAAATTCCTCCCATTTTCCTTTGCAGTGAAGTTCTACCTTCTCTCGTCCAGAGTCCTTATCTTGGCTCCAGGCTCCCGCTGGGTGTCCTGGGGGTGGGAAGGTGTTCTATGAGAGTTCTTTACACCAAGAAGCAGGCCTCCTCCTCCCTAGGTGCCCTTTTGAGGGTGGAGTCTGGTTCCTTCTCCCACAGGAGTGGGAATGGGGCAGTGTCTGAGGCCAACTGCAGCATTGCCCTTCCCAGGACTGGCCAGGTGAGGCCCTCTCCACCTGTCTGGCCTGAGGCAGGTGCCTGTGTTGTGGGGACAGATCTCAGTCACCTCAGCAGCAGACTCCAGGCTCTGATCCCAAATAGCCCTGCGATTCATCCTGCTCTGTGACTTGTCCACAGGGAGTGGATGCCCTGGCCAGGGGCAGGAGGGTCTGGTCTGGAAATTGTACTTGACGCTGGTGTGTCTCAGTCTCTGAGCTCAGGTGCACTCTGACACCCATCCTGGAGTCCACAGTGTGGCCCTCCACTCGGGATGCTTTGGGTTCTTGGATTCTCAGCCCCTCCTATTAAAAAAAAAAAAAGATCATTTATCCCTCTGCTCAAAACCTGGGATGGTGCTTTGTCATAGTGGCCTGAACCAAGACAATGATTATTAACTCCTTGTGGACCTGATTTGCATTTCCTGATTGCTAATAATAATTTTGGGTGCCTGTAATCCCAGCTACTTAGGAGGCTGAAGCAGGAGAATCGCTTGAACCCAGGAGACGGAGGTTGCAGTGAGCCGAGGTCGTGCCACTGCACTCCAGCCTGGGTGACAAGAGCAAGACTCTGTCTCAAAAAAAAAAAAAAAAAAAAAAGAGTAAGCATCTCTGGCTTGTGCCTGTAATCCCAGCACTTTGGGAGGCTGAGGCCGGCAGATCACTTGAGGTCAGGACTTTGAGACTAGCCTGGCCAACATGGTGAAACCTCATCTCTACTAAAAATACAAAAATTAGCCAGGTGTGGTGGTGTGTGCCTGTAATCCCAGCTACTCAGGAGGCTGAGGCAGGAGAATCGCTTGAACCAGGGAGGCGGATGTTGCAGTGAGCTGAGATCGCACCACTGCACTCCAGCCTGGGCGACAAGAGTGAAAGTCTGTCTCAAAAAAAAAAAGAAGAAAAAAAAAGATTCAGATTAATCTCCATCCTCATTGGACTTGACCCCATCCACAGCATTTGACCTGGGTCCTCACTCTTGCATTTGGGAAACCCTTTCTTGCATCTCTGGAGCTTTCACTCCTAATTCTCTGCTCACCCCAGTGACTACTCTCTATTGGTCTCCTTTGACCTCTCAGCTCCATCCTTGGACCTCTTTCTCCTGTTTCACTTGTTCTTTAGGTCTTTCATCCAGTCTCATGGCTTTACTATCAAGCATATGCTAATATCTTCCATTTTATAGCTCCTTCACCGAAGCCTCTGCCTGAACGTCATATATTGAACTTCTGATTCCATATTTCTCTACTTGGATAGCTAACTTGATATGGCTAAAATTCAACTCCTGAGTCCCTCACCCCCAAACCTCCTCCTGAAGTCTCCCCATATCCATAAAAGGCAACTCCATGCTTTCTGCTGCTCAGGCCCCAAACCTTGAAATAATCCTTAAGTCTGTCCCATCAGTAAGTCCCACTAGCTTTGTCTTAAAAATTTCATCCAGCCAGGCACAGTGGCTCACACCTGTAATCCCAGCACTTTGGGAGGCCAAGGCGGGCAGATCATGAGGTCAGGAGATCGAGACCATCCTGGCTACACTGTGAAACCCCGTCTCTACTAAAAATACAAAAAAATTAGCCTGGCGTGGTGGCAGGCGCCTGTAGTCCCAGCTACTCGGGAGGCTGAGGCAGGAGAATGGCGTGAACCCGGGAGGCGGAGCTTGCAGTGAGCCGAGATAGTGCGACTGCACTCCAGCCTGGGCAACAGAGCAAGACTCCATCTCAAAAAAAAAAAAAAAAGTTTCACCCAGAATCATACCACTTCCTATTCCTCCTCCCCTGCTAGCTTGGTCCAAGCCACTATCATATCATCTCTCATCTTGATTAATCCAACAGTATCTTAACTGATGTCCTCCTCTGTGACCTTACAATGTACTCTCCAGACAGAGAGCCTTTTAAGACATAAACAAGATCAAGACACTCCTTCTGTTCAAACCCTGCAATGAATGACTGCCCATCTCCTTCAGAGCAAAACCCAAAGTTCTTGGAATGACTTATGAGATGATCTTGCCTGTCACTTCCCTTCTGATCTCCTCTCGATTATTCTCTCTCTTTTATATGTGTATATATATATGCACACACACACACATACATACATATATATACATATATATATATGTCTCTGTGTGTGTGTGTGTGTGTGTGTATTTTTTTTTTCTTTTTTTTTTTTTGTGATAGAGTCTCACTCTGTCACCCAGGCTAGAGTGCAATGGCATGATCATGGCTCACTGTAGCCTCGTCTTCCTGGGCTCAAGCAGTCTTCCCACCTCAGTGTCCCGAGTACCTGGGACTACAGGTGAGAGCCACCACAGCCAAGTAATTTTAAATTTTTTATAGAGACGGGGTCTCACTATGTTGCCCAGGCTGGTCTTGAATTCCTGGCCTCAAGTCATCCTCCTGCCTCAGCCTCCCAAAGTGCTGGGATTACAGGCGTGAGCACCGTGTCTGGCCTACTCTTCCTCCTGCTCACTCTGTTTCAGCCTATTTGGTTTCTGTGCTGTGCCTGGGACCTGCAGGCACCCTCGTGCCTCAGGCCTTTGCATTGGCTGTTATGAGCACACCTCATTTTATTGTGCTTTGCTTTATTGCACTTTGCAGATATTACTTTTTTTAAAATTTTTTTTGAGAAGGAGTCTCGCTCTGTCACCCAGACTGGAGTGCAGTGGAGCAATCTCGGTTCACTGCAAGCTCCGCCTTCCAGGTTCACACCATTCTCCTGCCTCAGCCTCCCGAGTAGCTGGGACTACAGGCACCCGCCACCGCGCCTGGCTAATTTTTTTGTATTTTTAGTAGAGACGGGATTTCACTGTGTTAGCCAGGATGGTCTCGATCTCCTGACCTCATGATCCACCTGCCTCGGCCTCCCAAAGTGCTGGGATTGCAGGCGTGAGCCACTGCGCCCAGCATTTTTTTTTAATTGAAGGTTTGTGGCAATCTCGTGTCCAACAAGTCTATTGGCACAATTTTTCCAATAGCCTGTGCTCACTTCATGTCTCTGTCACATTTTGGTAATTCTTGCCATATTTCAAACTTTTTCATTATTAATATATCTGTTATGGTGACCCATGATTAGTGATCTTTGATGTTACTATTCTGATTGTTTTAGGGCACCACGAATGGTGCCCAGATAAGATGGTGAACTTAATCAATAAATGTTGTGTGCGTTCTGACTGCTCCACTGACCTGACCCTCCATTTCCCTATCTCTCTTCCTCTCCTCTGGCCTCCCTAGCCCCTAAAACACAACAATATTGAAATGAAGCCCATTAATAACCCTACAGTGGCCTCTCAGTGTTCAAGTGAAAGGAAGAGTCACACGTTTCACACTTTAAATCAAAAGCCAGAAACGATTAAGCTTAGCGAAGAAGGCTGAAAGCTAGGCCTGTTGTGCCAAACAGCCAATTAGTGTATTAAAAATAAAAGTTCTTGAGGGAAATTAAATGTGCTACTCCAGTAAATACACAGATGATAAGAAAGCAACACAACCTATTGCTGATAAGGAGAAAGTTTGAGTGGTCTGGATAGAAGATCAAATCAGCTACATTTCCTTAAACCAAAGCCTAATCCATACAAGGCTCCAACTCTCTTTGATTAAATTCAGTGAGGCTGAGTAAGGTAAGGAAGCTGCAGAAAAGTTAGAAGCTAGCAGAGTTTGGTTCATGAAGTTTAAGGAAATAAGCCATCTCTGTAACCTAAAAATACAACATAAAGTAACAAGTACTGATGTAGAAGCTGCAAGTTATCCAGAAGATCTTGCTAAGATAACTGATGAGGTGGCAACACTAAACAACAGGTTTTAAATGTAAACAAAACAGGTATCTACTGGGAGAAGATGCCATCTAGGACTTTCTTGGCTAGAGAGGAGAAGTCAACACCTGGCTTCAAAACTTCAAAGGAAAGGATGACTCTCTTGCTAAGGGCTAAGGCAGCTGGTGACTTTAAGTTGAAACCAATGCTCATTGACAATTCCTAAAATTACAGGGCCCTTAAGAATTGTGCTAAATCTACTCTGCTGTGCTCTATAAATGGAACAATGAATCCTGGATAACAGCATGTCTGTTAACCATTATACTATGGTTTACTGAACATTTTAAGCCTTCTGTTGAGACCTACTGCTTAGAAAAAAATATTTATTTCAAAATATTATTGCTCATGGACAGGCACTTTGTCACCCAAGAGATGTGATGAAGACATACAAGGAGATTAATGCTGTTTTCATGCCTGCTAACACATTGATTCTGCAGCCCATGGATCAAGGAGTAATTTTGACTTTGAAGTCTTATTATTTAAGAAATACATCTTACAAAGCTATAGCTGCCATAGATAGTGATTTCTGTGATGAATCTGGGCAAAGTAAACTGAAAACCTTCTGGAAAGGATTCACCATCCTAGATGCCATTAAGAACATTCGTGATTCATGGGGGGAGGTCAAAATAGCAACATTAACAGAAGTTTGGAAGAAGTTGACTCCAACCCTCATAGATGTCTTTGAGGGGTTCGAGACTTCAGTGGAGGAAGAAACTGTAGATGTATTGGAAATAGCAAGAGAACTAGAATTAGAAGTGAAGCCTGAATATGTGACTGAATTGCTGCAATCTCATGAGAAAACTTTAATATTAATATTTAGTAAACCATTCAAAGTAATGGCAAAACCACAATTACTTTTGCACTAAACTAATAGATGAGGAGTTGCTTCCTATGGATGAGCAAAGAAAGTGGTTTCTTGAGACGGAATCTACTTCTGTGAAAATGACAACAAAGAATTTAGCATATGACACAAACTTAGTTGATAAAACAGTGGCAGGGTTTGAAAGGACTGACTCCAATTTTGAAAGAAGTTCTATTATGGGTAAAATGCTACCAAATACCATTGCAGGCTACAAAGAAATATTTTATGAAAGGAAGAGTCAATCAATGCAGAAAACTTCATGTTGCCTTATTTGAAGAAATTGCCATAGCCACCCCAAACTTCAGCAACCATCATTCCGGTCAGTCAGCAGCCATCCATTAAGGCAGAAAGATATGACTTGCTGAAGGATCAGATGATTGTTAGCATAATTTTTTTTAGCAATAAAGTATTTTTAAATTAAGATATGTACATATTTTTTAGACATAATGCCATTGCACATTTAATAGACTACTGTGTAGTATAAACATAATTTTTATATGCACTGGGAAACCAAAACTTTGTGTGACTCACTTTATTGCAATATTTATTTTAATGCAGTGATCTGGAACCGAACCTGCAATGTTCTCTGAGGTATGCCTGTACGCTGAAATAGTTTAAATGTTCTTGTTTATTTTCCTTTTTTCCTTCTTCATTTTTTTTTTTTTTTGAGACGGAGTTTTGCTCTTGTTGCCCAGGCTGGAGTACAATGGCGCGATCTCGGCTCACCGCAACCTCCAGCTCCTGGGTTTAAGCAATTCTTCTGCCTCAGCCTCCCGAGTAGCTGAGATTACAGGCATGCACCACCACACCCGGCTACTTTTGTGTTTTTAGTAGAGACGGAGTTTCTCCATGTTGGTCAGGCTGGTCTCAAACTCCCGACCTCAGGTGATCTGACCGCCTTGGCCTCCCAAAGTGCTGGGATTACAAGCGTGAGCCACTGCGCCTGGCCCTTGTTTATTTTCTTATTGTCTGTTTCCCCCCAATAAAAACATGTTCACAGGCCAGTCTTTTGTTTTGTTCACTCCTGTATCTTCAGTACCTTAGAACAGTGCTTGGCACAGAGTGAGCCCTCAGTAACTATTTTTTTTGTTTGTTTTTTGAGACAGAGTTTCACTCTATCACCCAGGCTGGAATGCAATGGCGCGATCACCGCTCACTGCAACCTCCACCTCCCGGGTTCAAGCGATTCTCCTACCCCAGCCTCCCTAGTAGCTGAGATTACAGGCGCCCACCACCACACCCAGCTAATTTTTTTGTACTTTTAGTAGAGACGGGGTTTCGCCATGTTGGCCAGGCTGGTCTTGAACTCCTGACCTCATGCGATCCGTCCACCTTGGTCTCCCAAAGTGCTGGGATTATAGGCGTGAGCCACCGCACCTGGCCAGTAACTATTTATTAAACAAATCAAGTAATGGATTGTTATTATTATTATTATTATTATTATTATTATTATTATTATTTGAGATGAAGTCTTGCTCTTGTCCCCCAGGCTGGAGTGCAGTGGCACGATCTTGGCTCACTGCAACCTCGGCCTCCCGGGTTCAAGCGATTCTCCTGCCTCAGCCTCCTGAATAGCTGGGATTACAGACGCCTGCCACCAAGCCCAGCTAATTTTTGTAGTTTTAGTAGAGACAGAGTTTCACCATGTTGGCCAGGCTGGTCTAGAACTCCTGATCTCAGGTGATCCACCAGCCTTGGCCTCCCAAAGTGCTAGGATTATAGGCGTGAGCCACCGCACCCAGCCCAAGTAATAGATTATTATGCCCTATGTAATCTAAATCAGATAAAGGGGAAGTGACATCAGGAGGATGTGAGAGACAAGGAGAAGGTGGTAAGGTCAGTGGATGAGAGGTTTTGGGTAGGGTAGGACTGGAGTGAGTTCGAATGACAGAAAGGGATTGGAGACTGTGATGCTTGGATTGAGCTAATGAAGGGTCTCTTTTTTCTACTTTATTGGCTACTTCATCTCAGTCTTCATTGCTGGTTTCTCCTCAACATTTAAAAAATTTAAAAAGTTTAAATGTAGAGATGGGGTCTCAAACCCCTGGGTTCAAGTGGCCCTCCTGCCTCAGCCTCCTGAGGGTCTGGGACTACAGGTGCACCTTTGTAGTGTACACCAGTGCACCTGGCTCCCATCAACATCTCAATCTCTAAAACTGGAGTGAAGTAGTAAAAAAAAAAGTCTGGGACAGTGTTTTTCAAATTGAGAGACACAGCCCATTAGTGGATCATAAAATTAAGTTAGTGGGTTAAAACCAGCATCTATAAAAATGAAATAGAATAGAATAGAATAGAAAATAGCAGAGCACATTGCATGCAGCAAGGATATGTATCATATCATAAAACTTTCATTTCAATTTTATATATGTAGATGTGGATTTTTTGTTTTTGTTTTTGTTTGTTTGTTTTGTTTTTTGGAAATGGAGTCTTGCTCTGTCGTTCAGGCTGGAGTGCAGTGGCACGATCTCAGCTTACTGCAGCCTCCGCTTCCCAGGTTCAAGCGATTCTCTTGCCTCAGCCTCCCGAGTAGCTGCGACTACAGGCACCCGCCACCACGCCCGGCTAATATTTTTGTATTTTTAGTAGAGACAGGGTTTCACTGTGTTAGCCAGGATGGTCTCGATCTCCTGACCTCATGATCCACCCACCTCAGCCTCCTAAAGTGCTGGGATTATAGGCATGAACCACCGTGCCCAGCCAGATGTGTGTATTTCTATATGGTGCCTGTGTGTACTGAGTCACACATATGGTTGGGTCATGGACAAACAAGTTTGAAAGCCTTTGGCCACAGGAGTGAGTGAGGAGGTCAAAAAACTGAGAGGCCAGGTCATTGGAAAGATTTTATCGTAAATCCTGAAATTACCAAGACTTTCTAGGGGTAGTGCTCAAATACAGAAATTTTACCGGGCTTGAAAATCTTCAAGACATGTCCCAGTGAGTCTGTAGATGGTTGCAACGGCCGGTGCTTAGTCCTTTCTCCAAGATCTCTAATTGTACCCTTTCCTGCCCATTCCTGGACTTTGGCCTGCTGCCAGCTCTTTCCTCACTAGTGCACCCCAAACTGCCTTAGTAGCCTGAGCAACCCGCCTCCAACACTCTGGGTCCAGCCCCAGTGCCGAGTTTCCTCATTCATACCTCCTGCTGTCTCCAAGGGCACCTCGTGATCATAGCAGCATAATGACAAGGCTGGCCATCATTTACCGGGTCTCTCCATATGCTCTGTTTGGTAGGAATTGCCCCTCATTTTATTTTATTTATTTATTTATTTTTTGAGATGGAGTTTCGCTCTTGTCGCCCAGGCTGGAGTGCAATGGCACAATCTTGGCTCACTGCAACCTCCGCCTCCCAGGTTCAAGTGATTCTCCTGCCTCAGCCTCCCAAGAAGCTGTGATTACAGGTGGCTGCCACCATGCCTGGCTAATTTTGTATTTTTAGTAGAGTTGGGGTTTCACCATGGGGTCAGGCTGGTCTCGAACTCCTGACCTCAAGTGATCCACCCGCCTCGGCTTCCCAGTGCTGGGATTACAGGCGTGAGCCACTGTGCCCAGCCTGCCCTTCATTTTATAGAGGAGAGCCAGGAGTTTAGAGGTTAAGTGATTTGTCCAAGATCACTCAGTAAGTGTCAGAGCCAGGATTTGATCTCAAGTCTGTCTCCCTCCCTACAAGGCCTTTGCAATGTACCCCACAGCCTCCCTCACCAGTTATCTGAGTCACTCTTGCAGATTCTCACAGCATGAAATTCAGATTTCACGCTTCGATAACAGCTACGAATCACTCCATTTCATGAAGAATGGGGTCTCTCACAGAGTTGAAAATGTTAAAATTCTTTTTTTTTTCCCCCAAGATGGAGTCTTGCTCTGTTGCCCAGGCTGGAGTGTAGTGACACGATCTCGGCCCACTGCAACCTCCACCTTCTGGGTTCAAGCAATTCTCCTGCCTCAGCCTCCCGAATTAGCTGGGATTATGCCCAGCTAATTTTTGTATTTTCTTAGTAGAGACGGGGTTTCACCACGTTGGCCAGACTGGTCTCGAATTCTTGACCGCATGATCTGCCTGCCTCGGCCTCCCAAAGTGTTGGGATCATGGGCATGAGCCACTGTACCCGGCCTGAAAATGTTAAAATTCTTGAATGGCTACTGTCCACACTGCATGTCAACCCTGCCCCCAGAGCTGTGTTGGGGACATAGAGAGAAAGTGAAGACCTGAAGACCCAGCTCCTGGCCTCAGGAGATTACAACCAGAGTACTGGAGACCTTAGAGATTAGACAGGTTATCTGCATTTCACAAATGCCAGCACGGAGGCCTGCGTCACAAAGCAGGAAAGAACAGACGTCTTGGAGCACGAAGTAAGAATCACCTTGTTGCAATTATTTACTGACTCCTGGGTCACTCCCCATCATTTCTTGAAGGTTTTAGTGTCTGGTAAAATATCACTCTCTCTCCAACCCTCTCCCTATAAAATCTTCAAAATACAGATCTCCTGCCCAGCAGTTTATACCTTTCACAGGTTGAGATGATGAAAGTACAATGTGGGGGATAGATGAGTCTGGCTCACAGTGTTAGGGCCACTAAATTGCTGTGTCCCACTTGACTCCGGGTGTCTGGAGGCCACGTGCTCCAGGTGAGGCAGGACCCTCCCAACCCTGGGTGTTGGGGAATGAGTACTGCTTTGCCTGACCTGCCGTGGTAATTCCTCCCACCCTACTTGCCTGGTTTAAGAATGGGCATGTGATCATATCTGGCCAACAGGATGTAAGATGTCTTCTGTGGGAATTCTTTTCTTTCATATTCTTTTCTTTTTTTTGAGAGGGAGTCTCACTCTGTCGCCCAGGCTGGAGTGCAATGGCGTGATCTCAGCTCACTGCAACCTTTGCCTCCCAGGTTCAAGCCATTCTCCCGCCTCAGCCTCCCAAAATGCTGGGATTACAGGAATGAGCCACCGCGCCCGGCTCATGTTCTTAAAAAAGAGACACACTGAAGCTTTTAGACATAGATATCATGATGACATGAAGGCTTGAGTTGTGGTAGCCACCTTGTGTCTTTGAAAGGATAAACACAAAGTCAAAAACCGATGTGCTAAGGATGGTCAACCATGGAACTCCCCCTCCTCGGACCTTCCTGTATGTGACAGAAGTTCCTTATTGCTCAAAAATGTTTGGGTTGGGTGCGGTGGCTCATGCCAGTAATCCCAGCACTTTGGAAGGCCCAGGTGGGTGGATCACTTGAGCCCAAGAGTTCAAGACGAGCCTGGGCAACACGGTGAAACTGTCTCTACAAAAAAATACCCATACACAAGAAAAGTACCCGGGCTTGGTGGGACACGCCTGTAGTCCCAGCTACTCAGGAGGGTGAAGTGGGAGGATCGCTTGAGCCTGGGAGGAGGAGGCTGCAGTGAGCTGTGATTTCGCCACTGCACTCCAGCCTGAGTGACAGAGCAAGACTGTGTCTCAAAAAAAAGTTTGACTTTGGGCTTCTGATGCTTGTCACCCAAAACATCCTCATGTAACGTGCAGCATCAGATGGCCATAGAAGGCCAAGCAAAGTAGCAATGGGTTGCAACGAGGGGTGCAATGCCGGCTGCCGGAGCAGACAAGCCCAGGATTCCTAGTGTTTAGTACAAGATATCCTGACCGGGCGCGGTGGCTCATGCCTGTAATCCCAGCACTTTGGGAGGCTGAGGCGGGCGGATCACGAGGTCAGGAGATCGAGACCATCCTGGCTAACATGGTGAAACCCTATCTCTACTAAAAATACAAAAAATTAGCCAGGCGTGGTGGCAGGTGCCTGTAGTCCCAGCTACTCAGGAGGCTGAGGCAGGAGAATGGCTTGAACCCAGGAGGTGGAGGTTGCAGTGAGCCGAGATCATGCCACTGCATTCCAGACTGGGTGACAGCACGAGACTCCATCTCAAAAAAAAAAAAAAAAAAAAAAGATACCCCTCCCTGCATCCCCGCCAGTGCACAAGCAGTCTTGCTGAGGTGCCTTTCATAAGGCCATTCAGGGATCCAAGATCATTTCTTCCTTCCTCTAGATTCCTCCATTGATCTGTTAGAGGAGAAAGAGCCGAGAAGACACACCTGCTTCTGTGCTGGAAGTTACGCTCACCACTTCCACTTTTATTCCACCAGCAAGAAGTGGTCCCATTATCCCTTGCAGATGCAGGGAGACTGGCTGGGCAGCCCCTTCCAGCACTGACTGCACCCTCCATAAAGGGGGCAGGGCCTCTGACGATCAGCAAGAGGTCTCTGCCACAAGGTCTGATGATGGGTTGAGGAGGCTCTGAGCTGGGCCTTGGAGGGAAGGAAGGACCTCATGAGGAAGAGAGGGAGGGACTCTAGGTGGGTGGTGGTGGGCACAGTATGTGTTAAGGTAAAGAGCTGATTCAGGCCTGGCTCAGTGGCTCACGCATGTAATCCCAGCACTTTGAGAGGCTGAGGCGGGTAGATCACCTGAAGTCAGGAGTTCAAGACCAGCCTGGCCAACGTGGCGAAACCCTGTCTCTACTAAAAATACAAAAATTAGCCAGATGTCATGGCAGGCGCCTGTAATTCCAGCTACTTGGGAGGCTGAGGCACAAGAATTGCTTGAACCTGGGAGGCGGAGGTTTCGGTAAGTCGAGATCGCGCCACTGCACTCCAGCCTGGGTTACAGGGCGAGACTCTATCTCGAAAAAAAAAAAGCTGATTCAAAGGAGATCCAGTTGGGGTAGGGTCTGCATTTGGTGTGAAGAGGTCTATAAATTTGGGTAGAAAGAGAAGACCCAAATATAGGGGCCCTGTGTGTCTGAGTCAATCTACCCTTGTCACGTGTTCCCTGGAGTTAACTTGGAACCGTTGTGCAAGACGGGCTCTATCTGGGTCCCCACCTGTAAAGCATCAGGGATGAGGATGAATCCCACGATGTCCAATGGCATGGGTAAAAGAAGACCTTTTATTTATTTCCGAGGAGGTGGAGTAAGAGAAGGGAAAATTTACAGGTCCAGCAAGGCTCGGCAAGACAGAGTTGTCATGTTCCAGAGAAGGGACCCTGGCATTTATTTGCAGGGCAAATAATGAAAGTAGCCTTATTAAGGGAAGGACCCACAGACTGCTTGGGGCCAGGCAGTCTGGATTTAAGTGCTAACTGGTGACAGCTGCCGGAACAAGCCCAGGCCCCGGAGACTCCTGGACCAGGGAATGCTGCAATTCCCTGTTAAGCTACTAGTTGTGGGAAGCTGAGCTTGGGGTGGCTCCTCCCACTCAGAGAAGGGGAATCCTGGATCCCAATGAGCTCTCCGTGCATGCAACCCAGCTCAGAGTCACTTTCGGACAACCCTGCTCCTGGCACAACTGGAACCCGAGGATTTTGTAATCTTTTGGTGAGGTGGAGTTCAACACTCTTACATTTCAGTCAATAGGATTCCATAGGAAAAATGCCGTGTATTTTGTGTTTCCTATGTGCCAAGCATGTTGTATTTGCATCTGGTAGGTGGAACAAGCAGGGTTTGTGGGTTGCGATCTTAAAGCACCTTTCTTCTGTCTCACGTTTTTCCTAAATTGTGGTCAGTAGGGGTAGTTGTTCCCTGGCTCAAGATAGATATGTGACCAGTCTCAGACTTTCTTGATCCCTTTTAGGGTGAAGTCCCATAGTGACTTCAAGCTGCAAAACACAGTCTTAATTCTAGAATGATGATGCTCAATTGTAGGTAACTGTCAAAGATTCCGATTATATTCAAGTTATGACAGCTTTCCCTCTGCTGGGAGAAGCCAGGCTGTGGGGAAGAGGAGGTGGCCAGCTTTTCCTTTCTTGCTTGCTCACCTCAGGAAAGTTTTAAGAGTCGCCTCTCCACAGCCCCCAGAGTCACCAGCAACAGCTGGGACATGCCCCCTCCTCAAGGTCTGAGCCCCAACTCTGCAGAGCCCCTCCTCTGGGCTTCTAGAATCTGATAATCCCATCTCTTCCTTCTGTTCCGCAGCCCTAGGGCTGCCAGCTGTTTTCCCTGGCTATGATTTCTGCATTACTTCTTTGTTCTCTTAGTGGTTTTTCAATACTTGCTTAACCAGTTTCCTATATTAAATTCTCTCTGATGAATTACCTGTTTTGGATTCTGTTTTCTTGGCTAGACTGTGTTTATACATTGGTTATTCAACAATTTCCAACCTACTACAATTGTAAGGAGATATAAATTATACTAGATATAATAGCTAACTCTTATTATAGAGAAAATGATGAAACATTTGCTTGTGTCAGCCAGGGCCGAAAACATACTCCTCTCCTTGGGAGAGAGAGATTTGAAATAACTGAAGTGCTATTACCCTCCTCCTCTGTATTTGCTTTAAACCCAGAGAGTGGTCAAGATGTCATTCGTGACCAAACGCCTATTACACCTTCCAACACTTTGGTATCTGCAGGAGGATCTGGGAACATGGGAGGTGATGGGGGACTCCGTGCTGGTCCAGAAGGAAATGAAGGGCAGCCTGATATAAAATGGTGGTGGCCACTGAATTTGGGTCTAGGTTTTTCTAGGTCTGGCTGGGGCAGGGTGCATGGCAGAAGAGTTAGAAGTTCCCCTGAGTCTCTTTCAACATCAGGGGATTGTGATGGAGAGGTATCCATGCCAGTGAGGGCTCCCGGAGAAGCTAGAGATAAAGTGTTGCTGATTCCAGCACTGATGGGGACTTGAACTCCTATGTGCTTTCCATCTCCAAGAGCTTAGAGAAATGTGGATCTCCAAGCAAATACTCAGGAAACCAGCTCTCTTGTTTCCAAGAGATTCAGGGGATTCCTAACTTTAATTTGCTGAATACTGTCTTTGCATTTCATCTTCATTCTCCTGCTCATTTTCTTCATCACTGATAACTCTTTTAAGAAAAGATTAAGAAAAGTGGATCAGGGTCGAGTGCAGTGGCTTATATCTATAATACCAGCACTTTGGGCTGAGGTGGGTGGATCACTTGAGGTCAGGAGTTCGAGACAAGCCTGGTCAACATGGCAAAACCGTGTCTCTACTAAAAATACAAAAAATTAGCCGGGCGTAGTGGCGCATGACTGTAATCCCAGCTACTCAGGAGACTGAGGCAGGAGAATTGCTTGAACCCGGGAGGCAGAGGTTGTGGTGAGCCAAGATTGTGCCACTGCACTCCAGGGTGACAGAGTGAGACTCCATCTCAAAAAAATAAATAAATAAATAAAAATTTAAAAAAATGTTGGGATTACAGGTGTGAGCCGCTGTGCCCGGCTCTAATGCTTCTTAACCTTAACTGACTTTCTTTTATGTGCTCCACATTTTTGGTCAGAAGCTTCGGAAATGTCATCAGTTTTAGTGCAGTCTTAAACAAAGCTGTGACTTTACCATAAACCTTAATCAAAGTTGTATCATCTCATGTCAGCATCGTGACTCTGGCCCGCATCCCACTGAGCAACCCCAACTCCTCATGGGAGTTCATGGAAGCCACGGCCACCCAGCATTGCCACAGCAAGAAGGCTCAGGAGGTGCATAACTGATCTGCAGATGAACCCAGCACCTACTCAGGTATATGATCTCTACTGTCTCTCTTTTTTTTTTTTTTTTTTTTTTTCTGGGACAGAGTCTCACTCTGTTGCCCAGGCTGGAGTGTAGTGGTATAATCTCAGCTCACCACAACTTCCACCTCCTGGGTTCAAGTGATTCTCCTGCCTCAGCCTCCCAAGTAGCTGGGACTACAGGCACCCACCATCATGCCCAGATAATTTTGTGTATTTTTAGTAGAGACAGGGTTTCACCATATTAGCCAGGATGGTCTCGATCTCCTGACCTCGTGATCCACCTGCCTTGGCCTCCCAAAGTGCTGGGATTACAGGCGTGAGCCACCACGCCTGGCTCTGGCCTGATATGTTTTATTAGCTCCAATTTATATGAGGAAACTGAGGCCGAAGACACGCTAGTCGAGTGTCTGAGACATAAGTTGTACATAGGTCTATTTCCCATGTCTCTGTGCTTTCTACTGTAACCATGCTCTTCTCCAGGCTGGCTGGAGCTTTGTGGTCCCGGCATCAGTGACCCTTTTCTTTGGCCCTGTTTCTCCATATGTTAAGAATAGAGAATGATCCCCATGCCTCCCCAGCTCCCAGTGTGGTACAGAGGATCAGTTGTTCAGCCCAAACTATGCTGAGGTCTATGAGCACCGCTGCCTGTCCTTGCCGGGTGTGTTAGCCTCACTGGGTCACACACTGCCTTGCTTGGCCAGGTCAGCTCTGGGTCCTCGACTCCTTGCAGAGTAGTGGAGATTCTATACTGGAATAAGAGCTGATCCTCACCAGGCATGGTGGCTCACGCCTGTAATCCTAGCACTTTGGGAGGCCGAGGCGGGTGGATTGCCTGAGCTCGGGAGCTTGAGACCAGCCTGGGGAACACGGTGAAAACCTGTCTCTACTAAAAATACAAAAAATTAGACGGGTGTGGTGGCATGCGTCTGTAATCTCAGCTGCTCAGGAGGCTGAGGCAGGAGAATGGCTTGAACCTAGGAGGCAGAGGTTGCAGTGAGCTGAGATCATGCTACTGCACTCCAGCCTGGGCGACAGAGCAAGACTCCGTCTGAAAAAAAAAAAAAAAAAAAAAAAGCTGATCCTGCCTGCATTTCCACAGTGGAAGCAGATGGTTTGGGGAAATCTAATTTAAAAGGAAAGAAATCAAATTAGCTCTCCAGGGGTCTGATGGCCAAGACTTGAGTGAAGACAATTACATTAGATGCTGAGGCCTCACCAAAGCGGCCTAAAGACTGAAGGTGGGTAGGGTGGAAGCCACCCCGGGGTCCCTTATCCCTGGGTGGGTTCAAATCATGGCTGAAGGGGACAGGAGAGAGCTCAGATTGGTGGAATAAAGTCCTTAGACTCTAATGATGCCTGGCTTGGGAATGGTGAACCTGTAGCTGACTCTGCCACTTGACTTTCTATGGCTCACAGACCCTCTTGGTAACCTCTCTTTCTCAAAAAGCCCCACACACAGTCTTACCTCTTTTGGAGTGTGGTCAATTTAAGGAGAATGATTAAGAAAAACAGCTCTCATCAGGTGCTGTTTGACAAGAATGTCAGGGCTATTTACTCTGAGACACCAAAGCCCCTTGGGGTATCAAAACTACCATGTGGGGCTGGCGCAGTGGCTCACGCCTGTAATCCCAGCACTTTGGGAGGCCGAGGCGGGTGGATCATGAGGTCAGGAGATCAAGGCCATCCTGGCTAACATGGTGAAACCCCATCTCTACTAAAAATACAAAAAATTAGCCAGGCGTGGTGGTGGGCATCTGTAGTCCCAGCTACTCTGGAGGCTGAGGCAGGAGAATGGCGTGAACCCGGGAGGCGGAGCTTGCAGTGAGCCGAGATAGCGCCACTGCACTCCAGCCTGCTCAACAGAGCGAGACTCCGTCTGAAAACAAAAACAAAAACAAAAAACAGGCCGGGTGCGGTGGCTCACACTTGTAATCCCAGCACTTTGGGAGGCCAAGGTAGGTGGATCACCTGAGGTCAGGAGTTCAAGACCAGCCTGACCAACATGGAGAAACCCCGTATCTATTAAAAATACAAAATTAGCCGAGTGTGGTGACAGATGCCTGTAATCCCAGCTACTCCAGAGGCTGAGGCAGGAGAATCGCTTGAACCCGGGAGGTGGAGGTTGCGACGAGCCAAGATCCTGCCATTGCACTCCAGCCTGGGCAACAAGAGCAAAACTCTGTCTCAAAACAAACAAACAAACACTACCTTGTGAGCTCAGTCAGAATGGCCGTCCCAGGCAGTACTTGAGCCCGTCAGCTTGAACCAGAAATGTGTCCCAGGGTGTTGGGAACAAGCCCTCCAAAATCTGGCCATAAACTGTCCCCAAAACTGGCCATAAACAAAATCTCTGCAGCACTGTGACATGTTCATGATGGCCATAACGCCCATGCTGGAAGGTTGTGGGTTTACCAGAATAAGGGCAAGGAACACCTGGCCTGCCCAGGGTGGAAAACCGCTTAAAGGTGTTCCTTACACCACAAACAATAGCATGAGCGATCTGTGCCTTAAGGACATGCTCCTGCTGCAGTTAATTAGCCCAACCTATTCCTTTAATTCGGCCCATCCCTTGGTTTCCCATAAGGGATACTTTTAGTTAATTTAATATCTATAGAAACAATGCTAATGACTGGCTTGCTGTTAATAAATACGTGGGTAAATCTCTGTTCGTGGCTGTCAGCTCTGAAGGCTGTGAGACCCCTGATTTCCCGTTTCACACCTCTATATTTCTGTGTATGTGTCTTTAATTCCTCTAGTGCCACTGGGTTAGGGTCTCCCCAACCGAGCTGGTCTCGGCACCAGGGCGTTCTTTCTGCCTACATTTTTGTGCTTGGAAGGCTGTGGAGCATCCCGAACATCAGTGCTGTTCCCTGGCCACAGGCAATTGGACCAGGGATTGGTAGTGTTCTGCCAAGGGGTGCCAATAAGGCTGCGTCTTATTGGTTGGAGACAAACTACCTACTTAGATCCTTCCTGCTAAAGGAGCTTGCCTGTGAGATGCAAAGAGAAGTGGAGATGCTGGGGCAGATGCCATATGCAGGACTCCCATGAACTACTGTCTCGGGTCTCTGCAGAATTCAGCTTAGAAAGTGCAGAAACTCCTGAGTGGTGGTATAGCTGTTGAGATGATGAATATCCTTCCACCAAGCTCATTTAAGGCTTTGAATGCTCTCTTCCTTGCATCTTAAAGAGCCCAACCATGGCATCGAATATTAAAAAAAAAAAAGCAACAATTTCAGAGATAAAATATTATTTTGAAATATTTTGGGGTTTCCCATAAAAATGTTCACTGTTCCTATTACTTAATTTTTACTAGCGGTCCTTCCCTCACGCCCACCCCGTAAATGAATATAGAGGGGGAGAGAGCTGCTTTTCCTGGGTATTTGCTTGCAGACTCACATTTTTATAAGCTCCTAGAGATGGAGGGCATCAAGTTCCCATGGGTGCAGGAATCAGCAACATCTTCTCTGTAGCTTTTCCTGGAGTCCCCTCTATGTCCTGGGGCCCTCCACTCATGGGGAGCATTTTCTCTGCTGGACAGCCCTGGTTTAAAGGGGTTTCCTTTATGTTCAGCCAAAATCTTACCGGAGAGTTCTGCCCATCAGTTCTCATTCTGGCCTCTGGGACAACATACATTCTGGTTCATCTTACAGCCCTTAAGATATTTGAAAACGAAGACAGTTGTGTTGTTGGATGACCCCTCCCCCAGGCTACAATCCCCTGGTGCTTCACTCTCCTCTTGGGTGACAAGGTTTTTAGGCAGGCCGCCTACCCTCCCAAAAAAGTTCTGTCCTCTCCAGGTGTCTGTAGATGGTCAACTTTCTTCTTGAGGAATCGCCCCAGAACAGAGCACCATATTCCCCTAGGGCTGACTATCACATCTGTGGCTCAGTTGTCTCCATCTGGACACTTCTCTGGATGCATCCTCTCTTCAGTTTTGGCTTCTATTAAGTTTGTGGCAAGCTAAATTTCCACATCTTTTTCAAATGAAATTTTTTCTTCATCCTGCATTTATGTAATGGGTTCTTCCACTCAAAAGATGTTCCAGGATGTCCCTGTCAAGTTTCCTCCTGTGATATTAATCCTGGAAGGCAGCACTGTGCGAAATATGCAGTGAAACTGGGAGAAAGATAGTCCTGGATTCAAACCTGTATCCAGCCTATTAACTATACGATATTGGGGCAAATATTTAACTTCTCTCAACCCTATGTTTTCTCCAAATGTGAAATGGAATACGATACCTTTAACTCACTTGTCGTTTTCCAAACTTCACTATAGACTGAAAAGAAATCTAAATGCTCATATTTTCCGTCTCCCTTATAGCTATGAGTAGCCATGTGACAGATTTCTAGTCAATGATGTACAAATGTGAGTTGACTTCCAGCTTGCCAGGGGAAGCTTTTGCATTTGAGATAGAAGAGATCATTGCGGCTAGCAGTTGTTCTTTTTTTTATTTGGAGATGGAGTCTCACTCAGTAGCCCAGGCTGGAGTGCAGTGGCATGATCTCGGCTCACTGCAAGCTCTGCCTCTTAGGTTCATGCCATTCTCCTGCCTCAGCCTCCCAAGTAGCTGGAACTATAGGCGGCCGCCACTATGCCCAGCTAATTTTTTTGTATTTTTATTAGAGACAGGGTTTCACCACGTTGGCCAGGATGATCTCGATCTCCTGACCTCGTGATCCACCCGCCTCGGCCTCCCAAAGTGCCGGGATTACAGGCATGAGCCACCGCGCCCGGCCTTAGCAGTCGTTCTTCCCCTACCTCTACCTGTGAATGTAGGAATGGCTGGAGCCGCAGCAGCTACCTTATGACCGTGGGATACAAGCCAAGAGAATCACAGAGATGCCATCTTCCACAGAGCAGAGCTGCTAAATCAACACTTCTAATTCCCTCCAGACTTAACATATGAGAATTCGGCTGTTACCCAACCAGCCAAATGTATGCTTGCCCGGCTAACTTAAAGTGCTGTGGTAAGGACGAAGGGCTGCTAAACGTATTGTATGGATTGCTTGATTTTGTTTACTTATTCCTGTTGAGATATATCCTTTGGGTGTCATATTCTATTATTCCAGTCTCTGAGATCTCTTTGAACTATACGTCTGTTACTCAAAGTACTGGGTATTTCTCAGAGCCTTGTGAAATATGCATATAATAATACAGTATTTAGTAAAAGTCTTTTTTTTTTCCTTTTTGAGACCTAGTCTCACTGTTGCCAGGCTAGAGTGCAGTGGCGCGATCTCAGCTCACTGCAACCTCCGACTCCCTGGTTTTAAGCGATTCTCCTGCCTCAGCCTCCTGAGTAGCTGGGATTCCAGACACGCACCACCACGCTCAGGTAATTTTTGTATTTTTAATAGAGATGGGGTTTCACCATGTTGGCCAGGATGGTCTCCATCTCCTGACCTCATGATCCGCTTGCCTCGGCCTCCCAAAGTGCTGGGATTACAGGCATGAGCCACTGTGCCCCGCCTGTTTTTTTGTTTTGTTTTTGAGACAGAGTCTCACTCTGTTGCCCACGCTGGAGTACAGTGGTGGTGCGATCTTGGCTCTGTGCAACCTCCACCTCCCGGGTACAAGCGATTCTCCTGCCTCAGCCTCCCGAGTAGCTGGGATTACAGGTGCCTGCCACTATGCCTGGCTAATTTTTTGTATTTTTAGTAGAGATGGGGTTTCACTATGTTGGCCAGGCTGGTCTTGAACTCCTGACCTCAAGTGATCCACCCACCTCAGCCTCCCAAAGTGCTGGGATTACAGGCGTGAGCCACTGCGCCCGGCTGTATTTAGTAGTATTCCAAGTTATCATTTAAAACATTGACCAGGAAAGAACATGGCAGGACTGCACAGGCCACTGGTAGAGACCTCTCCCCCTTGTATGGTTGTGTTCACCCAACCACGATATGCCTAATTGTGCTGGAATTCCACCCATACCACTCCAACTTGTGCCCAAGAAGCTTATGAGATATCCTGGCCTGTCTGTCAGTGAAACAATTCCCTGTACACCTGGAGGACTCTAGGAAATGAGAGCATCATGGAATGAGCCCCTGGATCTATGTGGAGTCTTGGCCCCACCCTTGGCCACTCAACTCCCTCTGGAGGACGTGGTTTTGGAGAGTAGGGCCTTGGGAGGAGAGTCCGGGGGGTTTATGGATATTAAAGCACTTTCAGTCCTTGAGGGCACTGGGTAAAGTAATAGCCTTTTACTAAATCCAGCTGCTTTGATTCAAATTTGTTGCCCCTGGGCTGCTTTTCACAGTTGAGCCAAGAGGCCAACACCTCCATACAACTGCTTCTCTTATGCTCAAGGAGATTCTTTCTGGACCCAAAGCAGTTGTTGCTTTTGGCAGTGTCTGTTGCCTTTTTGTGACCTAAAACTTCCTAAAGGCCTTTGCTCCAAGGCCCTTCAGGACCCGAGAGCAGCAGGCTGTCCTGGTTCTCCCTAAACTGCAGAGCTACACCTGGCCCTGTCCGCCAAGAGTCAAGGGAGGCTCGTTTCGGCCTGATTGTGGACAGCCAGCTCCTTTTGGGATGTCTGCCAGCTTTCAATGATCCCTTGTCTTCTGGCGCTGGGCCCAATCAGCAGGTCACAGAGGGTGGCTGAGTGTTTCCTCCACGCACCCCTCCCTGCCCGCTGCTAGCTGAAGGAACAGAGGTAGACATTTGACTCAAACTGGGTCAAAATTTTCTCTCCTAAAACTTCAAGTGGGGCTAATGGAGGTTGCCTCTGTGTAAGCTTGGGAGCTGGGGGGCAGCCGGTCGGGAAGCGGCTGAGTAACAAAGTTGGTCTCCTCGAAGAGCAAAATATAGTAGCGCAGAAATGGAGAGCTGTAGGAGTTCTTGGTCCATGTTTCTGGAATCTTCCTAAGGCTCAACCATTTTCATTCTTGCGTTAATTGCTCACTTTTGCTTAAGCTAGCCCATTTGTCCTTACATTATTAACAACAAACAGAAAGGCAGGATATAGATAGCCCCGAGGTGTTCCAGGATTTAAGTAGCTGCAGTCTGTTCCACGCTAACCTACCCTTCAGCAAAGCTGCAGCATGGAATGTGCTCGTAGCCTCTGAGACCTGCTTTCTCTAGAAGGAGCTGGAGGTTACACGCAGGGGTCTCCTCCATTCCTATATAAAATGAATGGTTGGCCAGGCGTGGTGGCTCACGCCTGTAATCCCAGCACTTTGGGAGGCCAAGGCGGGTGGATCACCTGAGGTCAGGAGTTCAAGACCAGCCTGGCCAACATGGCAAAACCCTTCTCTACTAAAAATACAAAAATTAGCTGGGCATAGTGGTGGGTGCCTGTAGTCCGACCTACTCGGGAGGCTGAGGCACGAGAATGGCTTGACCCTGGGAGGCGGAGGTTGCAGTGAGCCGAGATCATGCCACTGCACTCCAGCCTGGGAGACAAAGCGAGACGACATCTCCCAAAAATAATAAAATAAAATAAAATTAATGGTTGACCTGTTACTTCCACAACGGGAACAGTCGTCAGCCGTCAGATTAATAAGGGACCTAGGGCCACAGAGCAGCAAGGACACTCAATAATGCCAAACCAGCTATTTTTTTGTGTGTGTTTAGTAAAATATAATACACAATTTACCACTTTGACCCTTTTTTTGTTCTTTTTTTTAGACAGCGTCTTGCTCTGTTGCTTCGGCTGGAGTGCAATGGTGAGATCCTGGTTCACTGTAGCCCTGACCTCCCAGGCTCAGGTGATCCTCCCAACTCAGCATCCCAAGTAACTGGGACCACAGGTGTGCACCACCATGCCCAGCCAGTTTTTTTTGTTGTAGAGTTGCAGTCTCACTATGTTGCCCAGGTTGGTCTTGGACTGGGCTCAAGCAATCCTCCCACCTCAACCTCCCAAAGTGCTGGGATTACAGGTGTGAGCCGCTGTGCTCAGCCCATTTTAACAATTTTTAAGCATATAATGTAGTGGCACTAAGTATATTCACAAAGTTTTGCAACAATCACCACCATCTATTTCCAGAACTTCTTCATTATCCCAAACAGAAACTCTGTACTCATTATACCATAACTCCCTATTTTCCCTTCTCCCTAGCCTCTGGTTACTTTTAATCTACTTTCTTTATAAATTTACCAATTCTAGGTACCTCCTATCAAGGGAATTGTAGAATATTTGTTCTTTTGTGTCTGGCTTATTTCAATGAACATAACGTACTCAAGATTCATCCATGTTGCAGCATTTAAGGTGGAATTCTAGCCCATCATATGGATAGGCCACGTATTGTTTATCCATTTATCTGTTGAAGGACACTTGAGTTTGCACCTTTTGGCTGTTGTGAATAATGCTGCTATCAACTTTGGTGTTCTGATGTTTGAATGTAATGGCATTCAGGGACATTTTGATCCTTCTTTCCTGGTTTTCTTTTTGTAATGTTAAGGAGGAACCCAAATGGAATCAAGGAGTGGAACATAAAAATCGGTTTCTTATGCCTCTGCACTTCACCTTTCTCCTGTTCATCCCACTCTGCCATCATTGCCTGCTTGCCTCCGAATTGCCCACGACAGTGCAGTCTGGGCACGGATCACACCTCCCATGCAGCGGTGGCTTTGTGATCTGTCCACCTGGGTAAGCTGAACCACACTTCCCAGAATTCCCTTCCCGTGTGTTTCCGGTTAGAGTGGAGCACAGAGGAGAAACTTGTGGAAGGTTTGGAGGTGGGAAGTGAAGCAGCAGTCATTTTACAGCTCACACGAATTGTGGCTTCTCTGCTGGCTCACCTCAGCAGAGGCAGGAACTGACATGGGGCCGGGTGCAGTGGCTCACGCCTGTAATCCCAACACTTTGGAGAGGCCAAGGCAGGTGGATTGCTTGAGACCGGGAGTTCAAGACCAGCCTGGGCAACATGGCAAAACCCTTCTCTACAAAAAATACAAACATTAGCCAGGTGTGGTGGCTCATGCCTGTAGTCCTAGCTACTTGGGAGGCTGAGTTGGGAGGATTTGCTTGAGACCAGGAAGGTCAAGGCTGCAGGGAGCTGAGATTGGGCCATGACACTCCAGCCTGGGCAACAGAGTGAGACCCTGTCTCAAAAAAACAAAAAAGAACTGACACAGACGGATGTGTCTGCCTTCAAGGGCTTCCACTTGGGCTTGTCCTCCCTTACTTTATATCCGTCTGTCCTTCCCGATTGTCTGCAGAGCCTGCTTAAGCAGCCCCAGTGCCAGTGACTGTGTAAGGTCAAATTCCCACAACAAATCTCTTCAAACAAGTACCTCTTAGTGGTTCTGCTTTTCTGATGAAACCCTGATGGGTACACACTCATTTATTCATTCAACCAAAAAATATTAACTGATAAAAAATACTGAACACTACCATGCACCAGATACTAGGTGCTAGGTAGTGAATAAAACAAAGTTCCTGCCACCATGGTGTGAGGTGTACTGTCATATCCCCAAGATATACCCCACTGCTGAATGAGCGTCTGAGGACCAGGTGCTGGTGCTGACTCCTCTGTTGACACCTGTGTGACTTTGGATCAGAATCCTTTAATCTCTCCACATCTAGATTTCTTCATTAGTAAACTGGGGTGAGCAACCTCCCAATCTACTTCTCATATAAATGCAGGTGGGGCCGGGCACGGTGGCTCACGCCTGTAATCCCAGCACTTTGGGAGGCTGAGGCGGGCGGATCAACTGAGGTTGGGAGTTCGAGACCAGCCTGACCAACACGGAGAAACCCCGTCTCTACTAAAAATACAAAATTAGCCGGGTGTGGTGGTGCATGCCTGTAATCCCAGCTACTCAGGAAGCTGAGGCAGGAGAATTGTTTGAACCCAGGAGGTGGAGGCTGTGGTGAGCCAAGATCGGGCCATTGCACTCCAGCCTGGGCAACAAGAGCGAAACTCCGTCTTAAAAAAAAAAAAAAATGCAGGTGGAGTTAATAGGAGTTGAAAGACATTTGCAAACCAAATAGCTCTCAAAATAATTAAACAAAACAAAAACCAGTCCAGGACATTGTCATAATTTTTTATTATGTATCAAATTGTCTTCAATATAAGTTACAACTTGATTAAAGTTGATAGACATTTGTATCTATTTAAAGACAAAAAAATTCTTTTATGTACAATATCTTGTCTAGAGTCTAGCAAATATAGTACCTTTCATTGCAGGATTTCTGCTTAATATAACAAGCAAAAACAAACAACTGAAAAAATATAAACCAAAGCAAACCAAACCCCCCGCTCAACTACAAATGTCAATATTGAATGAAGCATTAAAAGACAAACATAAAGTAACTTCAGCTTTTATCTAGCAATGCAGAATGAATACTAAAATTAGTGGCAAAAAAACAAACAACAAACAACAAACAAAACAAAACAAACAAACAAAAAATCCCACCAATCTTCATGGGTAAACTTTCCTGCTCAGGGATGTAAGCTGACTCTAGACCATCTCGCGGTTCCTGCGGATAGCACAGCACAAGATCATACTGAAGATCATGCCAAATATCTAGGAGATAGGAAGAAACATGAGGATCAGGGTGGTTTGATCTGAAGGAAGGCTGAGGGAAAGGGAGAGACATGGGTCACCCAGTCCAAGAAAAATGACAAGGAGAATGGCATCCAGGAGGCCAAACGAGTCAGAAGGTGCTGAAGCAGGAGAGATGCAGGCCAGATAATGAGAAGGGTGCGGGACGTGAGGAATCTGGGGGGGTTGGCAGTCAGCTGCACAAGCATTTTCCTTGGAGAACTTTCAGGGTGGGAAAGTAAGCTCAGAGCCAAATTTAATGCTCAAATTCCAGGTTTTCCTATAGTCCTAGTCCATACAGGTTAGTACTTTTGCATTTGTCTTTGTGTGTATGTTATTTAATACTCTTTTTTTTTTCTTTTGAGATGGAGTCTTGCTCTGTTGCTTAGGCTAGAGTGCTGTGGTGCGATCCGCCTGCCTCGGCCTCCCAAAATGTTAATATTCTATTTTAAAACGTATTGTTATATCTTGGCTGGGCACAGTGGCTCACGCCTGTAATCCCAGCACTTTGGGAGGCCAAGGCAGGCAGATTACCTGAGGTCAGGAGTTCGAGACCAGCCTGACCAACATGGTGAAACCCCATCTCTACTAAAAATAATCAGCTGGGCATGGTGGCACACGCCTGTAGTCCCAGCTACTCGGGAGGCTGAGGCTGGATAATTGCTTGAACCCAGAGAGGCGGAGGTTGCAGTGAGTCGAGATCACACCACTGCACTCCAGCCTGGGCGACAAGAGTGAAACTTCGTCTCAAAAAAAGAAAAAAAGAAAAAAAAGAAGGTATTGTCGTATATTTTGCTGAAAGGTGCTTCATGCCTTTCTTAAGATGCCGGTGAAGGGTGCAAATAACCACTAAGAAAGGAGGCGATTCTCTCTTTGGGGGCAGTCTGGCAAGAGGGCAGAGGCAGGCGGGGGTGGGGGAAGACTCAGTGAGCCAAGGCCATCCCAGCGAGGACCATGTTCCGTCTGGGGCTGTCCCTCATGGGAAGAGAGGACATGACCCCAAGGAACCTGGTTGGCCCTTGTTGGTTTCTAGGGGCTGATTAGCGAGAGACCTCCTTCTGGCTGCCCATGTTCAGATGCACTTCAGGAAATGGAACAATTCCCACGCCGGTAGCCTCTAGTGAACGACTTTCTTAGGGAGAAGAACAGCAGGTGCGTGAGGAGACATGCTCCGAGGACTAGCAGTGCCAGCACTGCCACCCATGTGCCCTGAACCTTAACGGCTAAGAGAGTCGACTCTTTAGAAGCCCAGGGGGAGCCTCAGATACTCCACTCAGGAGGTGAGAGGCTTTGATCAGAACATCGGCCTCTCTGTCTCTCCATTCCCTAGTGGTAAAATGGAAATACTAAGGGCACGAGGACAAAGTGAGTTGACAAATGCACAGAGTGCGGCGGTGTCTGGGTAGAGCATGGGCTGAATCAATGTGAACTCCTCAGTCCCCCTCCTGGGACGACGTCCTGCCACTCACCATGACCACGGCAATGCCGATGCCCACTGCGCCGATGATGTGGAATTTATTGTCGAAGACCTCTTTGATGGCATCAGGACAGGACTTGGGGAGACAAACCAAGACCTGGGTCACACACAATCCTTCCTCCCAGGGCACCTCCTCCCTCCCATGGCCCCCGTCTCACCCGGGAGAACTGGTGGGCAGAGGGTGGGCTGGGGACAGGAGTGTTCGGGGATAAGAGAAGTTCTGGCTGGTGGATGGAAAGGGGAACAAAGGGATGGCTATGCTAGTGGATCCCTAAAATCTGGGCAGGACGTCAGGGAAGGAGGAGGGACAGGCCCTGCTTGGGGGTCTATTTCTGACATGGTTGTAAGGTCACCTTTTACTATTCTGGAGTTGGACATTAACTCTGGCTTACAGACAGGAGCCACTGACAAAGTCAGAGTGGGAGTCCAAGACTCAGAAGCACGCCTGCCCTTGAGAGCTTCCGGGCTGGCAGCAGTGGGCGGTGCCAGAACACTTGTCATTCCCCTGGTCCGGCCTTTGTTTTATTGCCCTTGAGTAAACAGAGGGCCCAAAGTGGGAGAGAAAGAGATGGGTGCCCTGGGGCCCTTTCACAGGCAGAACGGGTCTTGCTGAAGCAGCACTTGGCTGCTGTCACTTTCATGCTTGCAGGGTTTGTCCAGAGCAATGGGGGCAGGGACACCAGGATCCTGGTCTGAGTTTACCTTCACGGTGAAGGTTTCGAGTACGTCCTTCTTGGGGCAGATGTCTGAGATAAACTGTTCCACGCCCCCAGCCAAACCACAGCAGTTCAACTACAGCGAGAAGGCAGGGATGGGGATGAGAGAAACAAATTGTAAGAAGACGATTAGAATGTTTGCACTGGTCTGGTGCAGTCAGCACCCTGTGTGCAGACACAATCCGGAGAAAGCGCAGGAGGGTGTCTTTGCCAAGGCGACATACCGCATAGTGGATGGCTTTCAGCGTTTCCCGCTGGGGCTCATCCTTGGTTTTCAGCTTGTTGTAGGTGTCCTTGTAAAACTCCTGGACTTCCTTAATCACCTACAATGGGCAGACGAGAGAGGGGCAGAGACGGCATTTTCACATCTTCCTCCACGAACAAATGTTATGCGTTCCATCTTGTTCTCTCTAAGCTCTCAGCCACCAGATGCCTGTGCTTGGACAACGTCACTGGGCAGATGGCAGCTGCTAGCACTGCCTTCTCTCAGGGCCTTTGGGCACTTCCCATCTCCTCCCACATCCTCCAGAAACCCACTCGGGCTGTTTCTCCCTGTCCCTTACACTTTGGTCAGTCCTTCAGCTCTACTTGGCTCCTAACTTGGCTCCTAAATTGAATCTCTATGATCTAGAGGATGATAATAATTGAAATACTACTCCTGACCTGACTATTTTCTCAGGCTTCCATCTTGTTTTTCTCTTCACTTAGGTATGAGTTTTGGCAAATTACTAAGCCTCTCTGTATGGAGTTTCCACATTTGTCCCTACAGCTCATAGATTATTTGTGAGAATTTAAATGAAATATTGCATGTTAAGCCTTTACCACTATGTCCAGTACAGAGTAAATCTGGAGCACGTGCCAGCTATTGTATCATAATATAGGGGATGTATTATTATGTGCCTGCGCCTGGCGCATCCCAATTTAATGTCTGTCTGCCCCTTTGATGCTCACCACATCCAGTTAACAGACCAACAGCCAGCATTTTTCCTTCAGCATCTGTCTGACATTTTTCACAATGATCCCCTCCTATTTCTATGGCTGTAGCTGTTATTGCTTACAGACATGTTTTTTTTTTTTTTTTAAACAGAGTTCCCTTGGCTGGGCTAAAAGTAGTGAGTTATCTCAATGGATTGCTCACGTCAGTTACAGATGGAAGTCCTTGTTCTACTCTTCCCTGTTTCTCACTACCGCGCTTGACTAGTCTCAAGAACAAAACAAAACAATAGGGTTCCTGCCTCCAGCATCTCAGCATCTCTCTTCCTTCCCCCTTCCTGCTGAACATGACAAGGCAGCCCTTCCAAAAACACTACTCTGATATGGCCCATCCTGGTCCAAAACTCTGCAGGGCTCCCCACGTAAGCCCAAGCTCAGCCATGCTCAGCCCCTTTGACTGGAAGTCCCCTGCCTCCACTAACTTTCCTCCTGAACGCATCTCTCATTCAAGGTTTAGGTCACGGCTCCCTTCTCTATGAAGCCAAAAGAGATTCCCTTCCCAGCCCCACCTTTTCAAATCCCATAGTACTTTGGATATAAATCACCTCTATGACCCTTATCAATTTCATGTCTTTTCCCCATACTAGATGGCCAAGTCTCCGGATGTGGGGCCCATAGTTCAAACATCTGTGGACCCTGCACAGGCTTGGGGGCAGCACTTGGCTCATGGGGGCAGCACTTGAACATGTTATTTATAGATCAGAGGAGGAGGCAAGGGTGTCCAGCCCACAGAAAGCCTGTATTTCCTGAGTAATCTTTCTAAAAGTTGTGGGGAAGGGCTGCTGAGGTGTGAGATGGACAGACAGACACACGCACAGGCCCAATGGGTAGTTTCTGAACATCTACTATGAGTCAACACCATGGCTGGCACAATCTCGGACAGGACAGTAAGCGCACTGACATTCCCTGCCCCGAGGAGGGCACATTCGCTGGCACACAGGGACGCGATGAGATAAGAGGCCTGGTCAACAGCTGAAAGCTGAACAAAGTGCCCAGCCAGGACTTGCCCCCTGCTTCACTGTCCCCCATCCCCCAACTCCCAAACCCAAGAGATCTCATGGGAAAAACCTACCTCATCCTTGTGGGAATATCCCCAGATGGCCGCAGCTATTTCAATGGCGAATATCACCAAGAGGAAGCCGAAGAACTGGAAGGCAACGAGGGGACGGGGTGAGAACAGTCCCAGCCAACCAGCCAGGAAAATCAAAGGGTATTTTGGGACAAGGAAGAAGGACAACTCCCTGGGAACAGGCATCTGGTGACACAAATGAATAGCCTAGCAGGGGCAGGGAAGAAGTTCACAGAACAGGCAGTTAACCAAGCCCAGGACAGAGGCCACAGTGAGGCAAGGTGCCCGGACATGAGGAAAGAGCTGAGCACAGCTGAGCCCAGAACTAGCATTTACAAGGCGTTAGTTAAGAGTCAGTGAGCAGGCAACTACTATTGTTCACAAAAGACAAGAGATTTGGGCAAGTAAAGGGAGCGAATCCACTCCGTGGAGTTCGGAAAAGACCAAAACAGATTTTGAAACAAGAAGGAGAAGGCAAAGGTACCTGTGGATTCAGGGAAAAAAAGCAAACGTGGTCCTCGAGAAAAGGGGGAAACATAGTCCTTTTAGTTGCCTAGGGGAAGCGATAAGACAGGCTCCAGAAAGGAAGAGGGGCGACGCCTCACATCGGGGAGGGGCCCAGGCTGAGGACAGCTCATGCCCTTTGGGTACCTTCCTGACCCCATCCCCCTCCATCTGTTCTGTGGTCTGGGTCTGGGCCTGCTGAGGTTTTTGTTGGTGGGAGTCAGGGTGGCTGTGGGGATGCCGAGGGGATACTCACCAGTCCCAGCATGCACTGGGACTCCTGCACAGCCCCGCAGCAGCCCAGGAAGCCCACCAGCATCATGAGGGCGCCGGCTCCGATCAGAATATAGACTCCTGCGGGAGGACAGAGGAAGCACACACGCGTGGAGACATCAGTTCAGAGGCCCAGGCATCTCCGGCAATTCCTGTTTCCCTCTGCCTAACTCCTGCCTCCCCACCTCCTTATTCCCCTCATCTCAGGGAAGAAGTTCCCTTTCCTTAAAATACAGCCTCCTCTTCCACCTCTGCCCCAGGTCTCCTTCCCACCAGCCTCTCTTGCATGACTCTGCTTCATCAAGCTCACGCTCCTACCTTACCCTCAGCCCTTCTGGAAGGTGCCCATTAGCCCTCAATCCAGGACAGAGAATATCCACGGGAATCCCTACATTCGGAATGCAAACTGGTCCAGTCTGTCAGCTCTTTCCAGCAAGATGAATCCACTCAAGCTAGTTAGCATATACCTTCCACACTCTGGCTAACTTCTGGGACCCTGCCTTACAGAGGACGCTGTCAGAGCAGATTTCCAGCAGGAAGGGGCCGTGCACACCTAGGCACCCCCCTACCCAGGGGTGGGGGGAACCAACTCTGCCTGTTCCCAGAAGGCGGGCCTCTTTGCCCTGTTGCTGGGTGGTGGTTAGGCACATACAGTTAGGAACACCCAAAGGCACCTCTTGGCAAAGGTCCAATACCTGACTCTAGTGCAAAGGACACAGATCTGGGTGTCAGAAGACCCTTCTTTTGGCCCTAACACTGATGCTAATTGCTGTGTGACCTGGGGTAAGACATTTTCCCTCTCTGGGCCTCAATTTCCTTACTAGTAAAATTAAAGAGGTATGTTCCTGGAAATTTCAAAAGATCTCTATAGCATGCTAACAAGATCTTAACAGTCATAACTCAGTTATTGCAGGTTAAGGGTGAAGAGGCTCCTCCTTGCTAAGGAGAGGATGAGTGACACCATTACTAAGCCCTTGATCTGAGTGGCTCATGGAAAGGAGGTGAGAGAAGGGCAGCAACTTCTATAACTTTTGCCCAAACCCAGAACAATGCAAATTCCTGGGACACAAACAGTAGAGCAGCACTGGCCCCATTCGTTCCACAACCCACCAAAGGAATGCCCAGAGGGGCCACCCCACAGTTCTATTCTTGAGAAGCCACAGCTGTCCTGCAGGGACTATTCCCTTAATCAGCACCCCAGCCCTACATGGGTCCCAAAGGAAAACCAGCAGCAAAGTCTCTGTGCCTCCCTGTCTTGCAGGCATGTTCTATCTAGCCTTGGGAGAGGCTACTGTCACATGTCGAGAGCACCAGATCTGTGACTCTGGGGAAGCCACTTAACCTCTCTGTGCAACAGTTTTCTATCTGTAAAACAGGAGTAGCAATAATGCCCACTTCCAGGATTGCTGTGAGGATTAAGTGATATAATCCACATGTGCACAACAAATGCTAGCTGTTGTTAATCTCAATTATACCAAGCATGAGTAACAATCATTAATAATCACCATGGTGAATTTTAACCTGCTGCTGTATCCCTACTGTCCTTTCACTGGGACCAGAGAGATATCCTTGATGTAGGGGCTGAAAACACGCACGCGAGAGAGAAAGTCTGTGATGTTTCCCCACAATACACAGCAGGACACTCGATGAGAACCCTCGGCAGGTGACACGCTGACTTCACTGTCCCACATCTGCACCCCGAGCAGGGGTGAGACTTTGCAGGCAACAAACCATGCAGTCTGCCCGCAGCTGAGGCTCACGGGCAGCACAGAGCAGAATGCACACAGAGAGCGTTTGTTCCTCCCCCTTCTCCCCCACATCCGTCGTGAGGTCAAGTCACGTGGGGTTACTGGCAAACCCCATGTTGCAAGAATATGGGTATTGTTCTTGTGCATGCCTGGCCCACACTGGGCAAGGGGACA
Organism: Homo sapiens; assembly: GCF_000001405.40. Classification (NCBI taxonomy): domain Eukaryota; kingdom Metazoa; phylum Chordata; class Mammalia; order Primates; family Hominidae; genus Homo; species Homo sapiens. Next base: position 6,230,790 of record NC_000012.12, on the reverse strand, counting down.
AATGTAGCTTGTCCTCAAGTCAGGTCGCATCTTCCTGGGCAGTCAAACGCTGTTGAGGCCACAAGCTGGGCTTGGGGAGGCTGTGCAGCCCCATGCATGGAGCACTGGGTAAGAGGGCAGCCTCCTTTGGTTCTCTCACATGGGGACAGTAGAAAGGCCCCAGTTTCTCCCCATCTAATGGGGGCAAGTCAAGGAAGGATGAGGTCACTCCTTTGAGCTCCATAGCAGGGGCTGAATAAACAGGAGGTATTAAGAGATCAAAAGGATTTACAAACACATGAAATACCGTGGAGTGGGAACGAACAGGCAGACATGTTTTCTCTAAGTCCAGATCCCAGTTCTTGAACCTGGCGGTCCTGGCAGAGGCCAAGGGAATTGGATTAGCTGCAAGTGAGCTACTAAAGAGAAAGTATTTCCCACGCAGAGAAAGAGAACATGCTCCTAATGGGGCTTGTGGTTAATATTAAATATTCATGCTAGGGCTCAGCAGAGGAAGATTTTAGGATCACGGGTTTTGTGGGCTTTAAATCTTGCGTGGATGGCTACGGATCTGCAGTGCCTAGCTTTAGCCCTCTCTAGTCACGGGAAAAGGGAAGCGATCCCCTGGCAGCTGTGTTCGGGGACTCAGCAGCAGCCGGCAAGCTACAGGACAGCTCATCTGGAAGCAGGCCCCATGGAAGTCACGGAACCACTGCAGGGCTCGGGCTGGTTTTTACAAGGGCTATTCAGTGCTTCCCTTTGGAGAAGCTACTCATCGCTTACACCCCAAGCTTGTTAGCCAAGGCTGCTGTTGATAAATGACAAAGTGTTCCCCTTTATAAAACAAGCGAATGTTAGCTTGCTGTCTGACTCATGGAAAAAGTTATCCATCACAGAGCCTTCTCTAGGATTACGGTATTAATTTGCTTAAGGGTTGTTTATTCTGCTTTTTTCAGGCTGACATTACAGGCCCAGAAAAAAAAAAAAAAAAGAAAGGCTGGTGTAGCAGCAGTAGCATATGCCAGCGTGTCCTTTACACAAGAAATGGAACAGTGTTTTTCACTGTTCACCAGGGCTCTCAGTTTAGCCCAGGGAGAGGACACAGCAGGCTCCCGTCCCTACACCAGCTCTGTCCTGCAAACAGCACTCACCACGCCCGTTTGTGTGAAGGAGAACAAAATCCGGTAGGGCCTCTGGCCTGCAATAAAAGTTTATTATATCCAAATAACTCCACCAGGTGTTCAAAGGAGCCCTACCTCTGCCCCGACTGGTTTCGTCTTGGTTCCCGCCCTCCCGAGTTCACGGGAATAAGTGCCACAATGGAATTCCATTTGCCACACGCTGTACTTCTTTGCCCCAGAGGGGAGTGGGTGTGTAAGCTGTGCTGTGGTTGTGTAAGCTGTGCTGGTTTCAGGAGGGAGAAAAATGAAGCCCAGAGCAATAAAATGAACTGCCCCAGGTCACAAGCCAGGATGGGGATGCCAGCTTACTAAGGCCAAGTGTCGCGTGTCCTGAAAATCACCAGGCACCTCATCATGGATAGGGGGCTGGCCGAGGAAGGGGGGGCATTCACGGCCTCTGGCTGGAGCCCCCCTAGATGCCCTCATTCAGCAGCCATGGTTCTGGAGGGACACCAGGGAGCTGGGAAAGGCTGCTGGCCTAGGACCAAGAAAATGAAGTTCCCCAACAAGTTTGCAGCCTGGGATTAGGGATCTTGCTGACGGGCTGAATCTCCAGGCCTGGATTGGAGAGAAGGCCCATATAAGGCTGTCAGCTGCTCTGGACTTACCATAGACTGTTCTGAATGTTGGAAAGGTTTTCACTTGCTTTTCTGCCTGGTTATATACTCTTTCTCTACTTGGTAAGCTGTGGCCCCACTGGAGAAAAGACACCCCTGGGCTGTTCAGGTTTCCTGAAAAGTCAGCTGCATGGTCAGGCTGGCCTGTGGGTTGCTCTGCAGACAGTTGGTGGCCCAGTGCAAGGGGCGGTCACCCCATGACTATTCCTTGGAAAAGTAGCCAGGGTGTGGCTGGCACTCCAAGCTCATCTGCTAGGAGAAGGGCTCTGGGCCAGTACAGAAGGCTGGTCTCACAGCCTCGTGGGGAAGGGGACACAGAGCGACGCCTCCTTGGCCCTTTGCCCATGGACGACAATTATTATTTCCTAAAGCGTTCAGTGACGTTCAGGGCATAGCTCAGACCTAAGCAGTGCTCAGAGTGCTGTGCTGCTGTTTTTTTTTTTTTTTTTTTTTTTGAGATGGAGTCCCGCTCTGTCTCCCAGGCTGGAGACAGAGCCTCAGTGGTGTGATCTCAGCTCTCTGCAACCTCTGCCTCCCAGGTTCAAGAGATTCTTGTGCCTCAGCCTCCCGAGTAGCTGGGATTATAGGTGCACGCCACTACGCCCAGCTAATTTTTGTATTTTTAGTAGAAGTGGGGTTTTGCCATGTTGGCCAGGCTGGTGTCGAACTCCTGACCTCGGGTGATCTGCCTGCCTCGGCCTCCCAAAGTGCTAGAGGCTGAGGCGGACGGATCACCTGAGATCAGGGCTGATCACTGTGCCCAGACACAGTGCTGCTGTTCTAACTTTACCGTGCATCATCCCCCTTGCCGGCGCTTCTGCAGGCAGAACGAAGTCTTCAAAGCTCCGCTCTCTTCCCCGAATGGGGTGTCGCTGCAAAGGATCTGTATTTCCCTGGCAGAGCTAAGTGGACAGTGGCCCTTAGACCCCAACTAGGGGATCTGTGTCTCTTTGGGGTTGTGCCTTCAAATCACCCTCCTGGTCACTTCAGGTAGGACCACCGGCCACCAGCAGGGCCCTGCAATGACCTGCAGGATCTGAATCCTGTGAGGTTCCCAGAGGTGAGCCCCAGCTCCTCTAATGGCACTCACCATTCTCCTGCCACCCTGCAGCTTTCCCACCTGTCAGCTGCTGGCTGGGCCACCGACGCAGGGGTTTCTCTCCCTGACTGCAATTTGGGTGAAGTAAAAGGGCCAAGACAGCGCCACCCCATCCCTGCCAATGGGGCACATTCAGCCAGTACAGACCTCTTCCATTCCTACAGAGGGAGACCCCACAACCTGGCAATGACAACCCGAGAAGCAGCTCTTTTAGGCCTGGGTTCAAAACCTGGCCCTGCCTCTTGAGGGAATATAAGCTTAGACAAGTTATTTCAGCTCTCTAGGCCTCGGTTTCTGCACTTGTGAGATGAGAATCACTCCACACTCCTCGTAGAGCTAAGGGGATTAAATTATATAATACACACAAGACAATGAATGACACACAAAGAAGGGGGCTCAAAAATGTTAGTGTCTTCCAGCCGGGCGAGGTGGCTCACGCCTGTCATCCCATCACTTCGGGAAGCCAAGACGGGAGGATCACCTGAGGTCGGGAGTTGGAGACGAGCCTGACCAACATGGAGAAACCCCGTCTGTACTAAAAATACAAAATCAGCTGGGCATGGTGGCACATGCCTGTAATCCCAGCTACTCAGGAGGCTGAGGCAGGAGAATCGCTTGAACCTGGGAGGCAGAGGTTGCGGTGAGCCGAGATTGTGTCATTGCACTCCAGCCTGGGCAACAAGATTGAAACTTCGTCTCAAAAAAAAAATAAAAAAAATAAAAAATAAAAATGTTAGTGTCTTCCTCCCAGTTCCATCCTCTTACCCATGAGATTCTTAACTCCCACATCTAAAAATATAAAGAATCAGCCATAGAGGCTTTGGGTAACAGAAAAGAAAAAGTGGGTTGTTAGAAGCAGCCAGGACAAGGGAGGACTGAGTCTCTCTTTGGAGACACACGCGCCGGCCACAGGGCTTTTGCTTAGGAAAGCAGGCCTGACTGTGCCTGCTCCTGCCGGCAGACCTGCTCCCCCAGCACAGGGCTCCCTTCTGGAACACGGCGTGGAGTGTGGAGAGTCTTCCCCAGCACCCGCACCCGGCTCCTCCCTCCTGCTCTGCAGGACAGCATTCTAAGCCTGTCACAGACTCCCAAAAAATGGTCTGTTGCCAAAACAAGTCAGGGCGCTATAGAAACCTGTTCCCCAAAAACTCTGTGTGTATGTGTAGTTTTTTTTCTAAACATACATTGTGCTTTCTCTCACTTTCTTTCCGATAATAGAGAGACACACCCCAAAAAACCCCAGCTAACAATAAAAAGCAGTAAACCCAGCAAAACTATCCACAGGGCTCAAATGTTACGCAACCAAAGGAGCTGTTTTTAAAGACTCTCCCTACCCAGTTCAAGAGGTGGGAAAGGGAAGGTCTACGTGGCTGGCCAGCCTTGCTTCTCCCTGAGGGACTGGGAGATAACTGTTTTCTCCCTCGTTTGTAAAAATAACTTTTTTGGTGGGTGGGAAGGAAGTGACCAAACTTACATTTTGAGCCTGACAACATGTCAGCGTCATCCTAAAAATAGGAGGTTTCCTTTGTTCCTCACAAATGAAAAGTTTCCTACCTCCAAGCCAGGCAGAGTACAGCCGCAGAGTCTGAATTCACGCAGACGCGGGCAACTGCACTTGGCAGGCACCAGGCTCCCCCTCCTCTGAAGGGAGCTTTGACGTGGTGATACGGCAACGAGAGGGATAGAATGGTCTAGCAAGGCTGCCAAGAAGCCTGAGTGTAGAAAGAAACCTGCCAAGTCTGTTCATGTTCAGAGGATCCCAGGCAGGTTTAAACTGGAAGCCTCTCTCCCAAAGCAAAAGTCGTGTCAAATACAAACAAATAAAACTAAACACTACAGCATTTACCCCAGTACCAGGGGTCCAAAGGACTGGGCAGAGTCCATTCTAGTCTCTCCTATTGTTGCTGTGTTTTCCAGGAGGCTGATGTTTTTCCCAGTCTCAGAGTCCCTATCTGAACAGTGAAGAGGAAAGCTGTCTATATCTTCTTCCAGCACTGCAGATCCCCAGGACAAAGCTTTTTGAATTAAGGAAATGATGCAGGATAAGAAGACAATCAGGAGAGAGCATCAGAGATGAGAACAGAGGTTCGTAAACCCTCAAGAATGAGTACAACTTTGGCAGAGGCTACATCACATCAGAGAACCATCAACATGCCTGACTTGGCCATCAGGAAAAGAAACCACATCAGTTAAACGCAAATTCCCAGGCACAACGACACACACAAAAACTGCACAACTTGAAAGGGACACGACTGGCCAGCGTGGCTAGAGCAAAAGTCTTTCCCAAGCCCAAGTCCCTGGGTCAACATGGGGCCTCCAAAGTTGCAGGAACTTTGTTGGAGCCAGGGTCTGAATTCACTGAGCCTTCCCCGTCCCTCACCTGTGTAGAAGCTGGAATTATTATTATTAGTTTCTTGCTCGAAGATGCTCTTGGTCTGAGAGTCGAATCGGAGCCATAGTCCAATGGCAAGGACAGCAATCCCGGCAAGCTGCAAGACATACAGGACATCAGCATTAATTCTGGCTGCCAGCAACAACACAGTCCCCACGCGCTTAAGGGTGAGACTTGCAAAGGACTTTGTGACCACCCTTGGTCTCTGCCCCTCATATACGCCTGGTAGTTGTAGATGCCATTACGGGGTGTGTTTGATTCATGCAGGTACTAAAAATACCAGCAAGCGAGGAATAAACAGTGACCTACCTGCCGCCCATTGGCTGAAGGGGTATTTTATAGGCAACAGAACACTATACAGCAGTGAAAACGAGTAACTCTAGCTACACGCAACACCATGAGTGCATCTCACAATGCTAAACCAAGAAGCCAGAGCCACAGGCACACACACAATATGATTCCATGTAGTTAAAAACGCTATGCTGTTTAGGGATGCACACAGAGCTAGACGCTTACATGTGCCTATAAATGATAAAGGAAAAGCATTGTTATCAGGTGAGTGGTGATGTTTAGGTGGAGGAGGAAATTATGCTCAGGGAGGTGCCATGTGGCTGGGGGTGTCGTATTCTAACTGTTGACTTGGGTGATGGTTACACAGTTCCGGACACACATGCACCAGGGAGGGCAGCTGCAATGTCCCTGGAGACCTGCTGCTCAGTAAATGACATGCCAGGGCCTCCCCTCGCTGGCACTGCTGAACTAGATGCTGTGCAGGAGGCCTCCTGCCAAGTCCCCCCAGTGCCAGCTGAGCTCCCTCGTCGTCACCCGTACCAGGGCTTGCCGGGGGAGTGACTCACAGGCCTCCAGTGTGGTAGCCGGCTGGACGCAGGAGTGGGTGGGCCCAGGTTTTGCTGGTCCACCCTCCTCAACAGAGGCACTCTTATGTCAGAGCCCGCTCATCAGGGACCTTGGTTCTCGGCTCCAGGAGCTATTGATAGCCCATGGTGTGGACAGGCCTCTCTTTCCTTCCTCCTTTCCTCCTCTCCTTTCCCTTACGATATGGCAGTGAGTGTGGGCATGTTGGGTGGACAGCAGATGTGGCAATAGTGGGAAGGGCCACCCAGACCTCCGCCTGCAGCAGTCACAAACTCACCTACCCCCCAGGAGCATAAGGGGATTTGCTCCTGCCAGGGAGGTGTGCTTCCACCACGAGGGGCTGCAGAGTCTAGCTTCATATTCTATTGCTTCAGTGTTCCCATCTGTAAAGCAGGGATTGTGAGATGCGGCCCTTCCCTGCCTTTTAGGTATGGCTAAAGAATAAAGAAGATAATATCAGAAGTGCATCTGAAGAGGAAGGTACCAAATGGGCTCTGGGAGAACCACCTCACTTTACCAGCATGAAGCCCCACCAGCCCTGCACTCCCAGCCTGTGGACTGTCACTCAGCATCTTCTCAGCCTCTCAGCCGCACCTTAGGGCAGGCAGCTCCAAACATTGGTAAGGACTGTACGACGCCACATGCCCCGCGGCTGGACAAGGCAGAGGAGAAAAACTCACACAGGCACAAGAATTTGAGAGTTCAAATGAACTTGAGAGTTCTGAGTTCAAAGACGAGTCTGATTTTCTTTCTTAATAAAAGGCCAGTGAGGGAGGGTCTCCTGGCCTAATCCAAAGGCAGCAAGCAGATCACTGTTTGGTTGGGGAGAAGCGTGAGTCTCCACCGTCCTGGACCCAGCAGGGTACTCGCATTCAGACCATGGGTTCCCCGACCAAGAGCACTGCAGTTAGCTTAGGCGGGGAGGCGGGCCCTGCTGGGAGCGTGCTGGGCTAGAAGAGTTATGTGGCTTGAATTCACGTACACAAGGGACTAGACAAGCACACACTGGGCGGTCTTGACTCTGTACATGGCAAGTCCTGGCCTGGGTCCCCCCCCAGGTCCCTGAGCATTAAAAGTACAAAGGTGGGCTGGGTGCAGTGGCTCACGCCTGTAATCCCAGCTCTTTGGAAGGCTGAGGCGGGTGGATCACGAGGTCAGGAGATCGAGACCATCCTGGCTAACACAGTGAAACCCCGTCTCCACTAAAAATACAAAAAATTCTCCAGGCGTGGTGGCGGGCGCCTGTAGTCCCAGCTACTCCAGAGGCTGAGGCAGGAGAATGGCGTGAGCCCGGGAGGCGGAGCTTGCAGTGAGCGGAGATTGCGCCACTGCACTCCAGCCTGGGCGACAGAGCGAGACTCCCTCTCAAAAAAAAAAAAAAAAAAGTACAAAGGTGATACCTTCCCTCCTTCCACCCCAACCCCAGGGAGGCCCAGTCAGTCCCCTGGGAATGGAAGACTGAAGCTGCTGGCCTCCTGGACATAAAAGCGTTAACCTGAAAACTGTAGGCCGGTGCTCAATTTTGGTCCACGTTTAGCCACAACCTGTTTCTCACCCTGGTCCTCCCTCTCGCCCTGGTCTTGTGATGCTCTTGCGCGCATAGGGAGATAGCGAGACAGTGCTCATTACTGTCCTTTTTGCTCTAGGCTTGTGCTTATCAAGCAATTATCTCCCAAGTCATCTTACTTCCCCTGATGAGTGAAGTTATGACCCCACCCCTTATCTGCTGGGAAAACTGAGTCGCAGAAAAGAACGAAAACAATCCCAGGTCTGCCAAGGAACTAAGCTGTAAGATGAGGTAAAGCTACGCTCTGCACAGCAGCCTCTCACGAGCAGGAGCTGCGTCTCTCTGGGAATGTTCCACGCTCAGATAATGACAGGGTACCCCAGTGGAACCTCCAGGGGTAAGGCCCCTTCCATCTTATAGAGAGCCCCAATGTCGAGGACCCTGAGCCAATATGTTAAGTCCAGTCATTGATCCGGTCTCTGTGCACAGGTGGTAAGAAGGATGCTGGGCTGGAGAACTGGAACCACGAGGGAAAAGGAAGCATCTCAGGTCTCTTATCTTGGCCAAGGGCCAGGCCAAGCCCGGAGTCGGGAGTCCCCCGCATTCGGACCCCACCTTAAACCTTACATCATGCGGCTTGGTTGTCAAAGCTACAACATTTCACTACAACCAGGAAGGAAAAGCAGCTGGCTCTGGAGAAATGGGAAAAGCTGCCATAGGTCTCGGTCTCACAGGCTTAACAACTCACAATAAGAGAGGAGAAAGGTTCAAGTAACCCAGAGAAAAGGGAGGGCCAGGGGCATGACTGGGAACACTTGGACAAAAATCAGGAGTGAACCCTGCTGCCTTTTCTGACAGAATGACTGAGTTCACCGGCCGGGGGGGATGCTATGTGAACCATCAGCTGCCCCATTTTCTGTAACGCTGTTGGAGACATTGCTCCAGTTGGCTGAGTCACAATGGCTTGGGGTCACAGGGTCACAAAACTTGTATAACCAGTGCCACCCAATAATGCCTTTCATGGTTGTCAGGCAGCGCTATCTAAGGCGCTCTGAAGTATTTTCTAGGAGAACTCACTTTCTGGTGTGGCATAGAGGGGCTCCCCTGTCCCCATCCGGCTTTCACCCCAGCTGCTTTATTTTTTGAGACAGGGTCTTGCTCTCGTCACCCAGGCTGGAGTGCAGTGGTGCAATCATAGCTCACTGTAGCCTTGGACTCCTGGGCTCAAGCCATTCTTCCACCTCAGCCTCCTGAGTAGCTGGGATTACAGGTGCATGCCGCTAATCCTGGCTAATATTTTAAACCCTTTTTTTTTTTTTTTTTTTTGTAGAGCCAGGGGTCTCGCTATGTTGCTCAGGCTGGTCTTAAATTCCTGGCCTCAAGCAATCCTCCTGCCTCAGCCTCCCAAAGCACTTGGATTACAGGTGTGAGCCACTGCGCCCAGCTTCAGCTACTTTAATAATAGGAGAAACTAAATGGGAGGGGCCAGGAGCAAGAAAAAAAGAGAGCTTTAACCCTTAAAAGAGGGTGCCAAGTCAATTATTCAGGGACTCCATAAATGAGAATATAGGAGTCCGGGAGGCCAAGGGGTCGATGGCTTCCACCCAGGTTAATTAACAGACATATGGCGGCATGCTGACCATGTAATTTCTTCGATGGCTGCCCCACCCCAGCCTATCATCCCAGGAGCAGAGCAGGTTTGATGCGGATGCTGAATGAGACAGTGCCCTGTTCCCAGGGCTCTGGAGAGAGGATGGCAACCTGTAGTATGCCCAGCTGGTCGGGCGGGGATGCGGGGATGCAGGAGAGAGCCCATAGCTTCTACTCCCAGCTCGCGGCCCTGCCCATGGTTTCCTCTTTTGTTTCCAAGAAAAGCCAAATGGAAACATTCTGGTTTTGCTGGGAAAAGCTCCTTTGCTATCTGGCCAAAAAATGGTTCCATCCCTTTGAGAGGGCCGAGAGGAAAAGGGTCATTTTTTCCCATTGTTTTACTGGAAATTTCTTCGTTTCTTCACTGGTGCTAGGCCCTGAGAAAAACATGAGCCAAACCTCAACTGAGCACAGTCTACAAAATACTTGCCTAGCACTTCTCTCCAAACTGTCAAGGTCATGGAAAACAAGGAAAGACAGAAACTGTCACAGCCCAGAGAAGACTGAGGGGGCATGACAACTGTCCTGTGGTGTCCTGGATAGGACCCTGGAACAGAAATAGGACGTTACATGAAAAACTAGTGAAATCCGACTAAGTCCAGAGCTCAGTTAACAGAATGTACCAACGGTGGTTTCCTAGTTGTGACAAATGAAACACAGTAATATGAGATGGTACAATAGGGGAAACTGGGGAGGAGGATGAGGGAATTCTCTACACTATCTCTGCAACTTTTCTGTAGATCTAAAATTATTCTAAAACAAAGTGTATAAAACAATAATAAAGAAGCAGGGGTCTCTCTCTTTCAAAGCTTCCTGTCTCCTTCAAGAACCTGCTCCACTAATTAACCTCTTTCCTGACTATGCAGGTCTGCCTCTGCCACTTTTTTGACCTTTGCGAAGACACAGACAGGTCTCCCTAACCTAAAAATCCAAACAGAAGAAAACCAGAAATAGAACCCTTTTTTTCTTCAACCTCGCAGCTCCTTCAGGGTGCTCTCTGCTTTCCTTTCACCCCTGAGCTGGCGTCTTAACCACCTCCAAGTCCTCACTGGCTCGTCACTGCATCTCTCCCAACCCGAAAGGGGTGGTGAGTCTTAAGACTTTTGCTGAATCCTTATGTCTTGGGATCCCACAGCAGCTGACACCACTGAACCCTGCCTCCTCCTTGTCTGCTCCTTAGATGCAATCTCTCCAAGTTTCCCGAGTTCAGCCTCGTGCATTGTGCCTCTGCTAGTACAAGTCCCTCTTAGAATGCTGTCGTGATCGCCTAAGCCAAGCCTGCTGCTTCCCCACCCATTTCCTCCCATTCCTCCCATGCAAATGGCAAATGCAACCCCTGAGCAAGCCAAGCACGTGAGCAGGCCAGTGTCGCATCCATCCTGTCCTCTCCAGCATCCATGCTCCACACTCTCTGCCCTTCCTCTATCTGGGGTTTGCCTCCCATCTCAGCAGAGCACAAGCTCCTTGAGGTCCAGGGGACCTCTGAGTCATTCTTTTATCTCCTTTGCCCCATCCATGCTTTGGACGGATGGTCATTAGTAAGTAATTACTCCATAAATGAATGACTACTTCAGTGAAAAAGTATTTGAAATCCACCCAGATCTCCTCTCCTGTGTCCTCTTCATTTGGACCAGCTTCCTTTCCCATCAGGCCTTTTATCCAGATCCATCTTCAAATGTCTCACAAGAGTCAGAAACCACAAAGAGGCCAGGCGCAGTGGCTCTTGCCTGTCATCCCAGCACTTTGGGAGGCCGAGGCGGGCGGATCATGAGGTCAGGAGATGGAGACCATCCTGGCTAACATGATGAAACCCTGTCTCTACTAAAAATACAAAAAATTAGCCGGGCGTGGTGGCGGGTGCCTGTAGTACCAGCTACTTGGGAGGCTGAGGCAGGAGAATGGAGTGAACCCGGGAGGCGGAGCTTGCAGTGAGCCGAGATCACGCCACTGTACTCCAGCCTGGGCGACAGAGCAAGACTCCATCTCAAAAGAAAAAAAAAAGAAACCACAAAGAACAATTATTTGCCCAGAGTAAATACTAAGGAAGCCCCATTAAGGTTGGTTGGGGAATATTTGGGGAATGACAACAATTTCCCTTTCTGTTGGTGAAGCATGTCCCAATGTGACTTACAGGCAAATCCTTATACAGACTTTGGAAAACCAAGTTTACAAAAAGCCCATGCAGGCCGGGTGCGGTGGCTCATGCCTGTAATCCCAGCACTTTGGGAGGCCAAGGCAGGCGGATCACTTGAGGTCAGGAGTTTGAGACCAGCCTGGCCAACATGGTGAAACCCCGTCTCTACTAAAACTACAAAAATTAGCCGGGCGTGGTGGTGTGTGCCTGTAGTCCCAATTACTTGGGAGGCTGAGGCAGGAGAATCACTTGAACCCGGGAGCCAGAGGTTGCAATGAGCGGAGATTGAGCCACTGCACTCCAGCCTGGGTGACACAGCGAGACTCCATCTCCAAAAATAAAAACAACAAAAAAACAACCCATGCATTGCTGTCCTCGGTCTTTATCTGCAACTCTGCCAGCACCCCCATCCCTCAAAGAAGTCCAGTCAAACACTCTTATGTTTGACGAACACAGGTAAGCTGGTCACCTGGGGCTTATGTGAGCCTCAGGAGACATGAGAACCCAAGAGTGCCCCAAACTCAGGCCCACAATGAATGGTGTCCTGGTCATCCCTTGCCACACCCACTCACCACTGAGAGCACAATTCACCCAAGGCTCCCACGCAAAGATGAGAATTTCAGTGACTCACACTGCAAAATCTTGCTGCAGGGACAGGTTCAGAAATCTTACACTGAAACACACACCTGGAGTTACAGGAAACATTTCCAATTTCAAAGGAGGATTAAACAAAAAACATCAAAGTGTAACGGAGCTTAGGGGCACCTGGCTGCTCTGGGGACTCTATGCCAAGTGTGCAAAACCAGTTCCAGTTAGAACCTGGGGAGGTTCGTATGTACAGCCTGGCCTCCTGATGGAAATTCTTGAAGTAGGTGTGCTGAAAAAGAGGAGGTAACCCAGAGGAAGAGGAAAAGAGCAGTGGGTTGAACGTGGTTTCAGTGTGGGGGAGGGCATACTGCATGCCACTCCCCGGGTGGGAGAAGCCAAGTTTGCCTATGGGACAAATCCTACTGCAAAGAAAAATCCTTTGTGGTCAAACAAACTGGGTGCTCTTGGCGTGGGCCCCCTTTTCCTCCAGGTCCCATCTTCTGTAATATGTACTGACTGGCCATACACTTTTTTTTTTTTGAGACAGGGTCTCACTCTGTCACCCAGGCTGGAGTGCAGTGGTATGACCATGGCTCACTGCAGCCTCGACCTCTCTAGGCTCAGATGATCCTCCCACCTCAGCCTCCTGAGTAGCTGGGACTACAGGTGTGCACCACCACGCCCAGCTAATTTTTAAAAATTATTTGTAGAGATGAAGTTTCCCCATGTTGTCCAGGCTGGTCTCGAACTCCTGGGCTCAGGAGATCCACCCAGCTTGGCCTCTCAAAGTGCTGGGATTACAAGCATGAGCCACTGTACCCAGCCCATTTTTTAAAAAGGACAAAATATTTGTTATGCTTCCTCTATTCAGCTGCCTTGGAAAGCCCAGAAAGTGGAGAGCAGATCATTGCTCACAGTGATTTCTTGCTGAGGATGCCTTGGCCTTGAGGTGGCCATATCTACCACTTTGGGAGGGGTTGGAGGTGGGCAGTGGTGAGTGGATGGAGTCCAGGAAGGAGGGAGAACTTTCTTCCCAACTTCCCATTGTCCTCCTGGAAAAGCAATGGCTACTTGGTTACTCTGCTGAGCCCATGGTCAAAATGATACACAATTTTCAACAAGGGACAGGTGGCTTAATAGAAAGAATAGTGAGCTGCTGCCTGCACAGCTGTGCCACCTAGGGCCTGCTTCTTTATGGGGTGGGCATCAGAATCATCTGGGAAAATACTTGTTTTTTTGAGACAGGTCTCAATCTGTCACCCAGGCTGGAGTACAGTGGCACAATCTTGGCTCACTGCAACCTCTGCTTCCCGGGCTCAAGCGATCCTCCTACTTCAGTCTCTCAAGTAGCTGGCACCACAGGTGGAAGCCACCATACATGGCTAATTTTTTTTTTTCTTATTTTTTTTGTAGAGACAGGGTTTCACCGTGTTGCTCAGGCTGGTCTTGAACTCCTGAGCTCAAGCAATCCACCCACCTTGGCCTCCCAAAGCTTGGGATTACAGGTGTGAGCCATGGCACCCAGCCTACCTGGGGGATTTCTAAACATGCACCTGCCTCAGCAATCCCAGGGGACTCTTTGTGCTCCCAGGGATTCTATTGCACGCCTCTGTTGAGAATGACTGGACTGTGATGGATATAAACTTGGGCTCTAATTCTGGCACTGCTACCTAGGAGCTCTCTGACACTACACACTTTCCTCAGCTTCTCTGAACGTTACAGTCCTCGTTTGTGGAAAAAAAACAGTATGATACCTGTCCTGCCTTCAACGTAGGTTGAAGGAGAGGATTAAATAAAGTGATGCATGTAAAACATTCTGAAAACTGTGAAGTGTTACAGCCAGCCGGATTCCATAGGGAAAAAAAATGACAATAATAATAAACCCTGAGAAAGACGTGAGGTGACACTGGGTCAATTCATGGGCCCTCTGTGGACGGCTGTTGTGTCCTCCTGTGATCGGAGAAGGCGGCTGGGTGGCAGCGGGGGAATTTAGGACACTGGGGTTCTGTTTCCTGGTTTGTGTGGGAGTCTGTGTGAGCGCTGGGTAGTGGAGGAAAATGGATAAACTTATCTGCTTCACACCTGCAAACTGCCATCCAGAGCTCCACTAAGACTGGATGGGAATGGCCAAAGGAAAGTGGGGAAGGAAGGCTAAAGGGAGACTGTTGGCTCAGATTTTAGGCTTCTGTCCTTCCTTGGATCACAAACTGCTTCCGTGGGCAAATTAACCCTGCTGAAAGGAGTTATTACAGCAGCAGATAACAGAGAGAGAGGGGATTTTCCTGGGTTGGGCAGGAGAGGAAACCTTGGCCTCTTTATCACCCTCCTTCAATAAGATGCTTGTCAGCCCTGGTTTTTGTTTTTGTCATCTACTAAACTTGGGAGAGCATTAGTCATAGTTGTCCATAGCACCCAGGAAGTAAGCAACACACCAAATACTGGGGATGCAAGTTTCCCACACCAGCAGTTTTCCAGGCCCCAAAATACCAGTCACGCTTTAAGAAAGCCACAGAAGTGGAGATAGGCCCTCCCTCTTCGCACAGACTTCAACATTTAAAAACAAGTCAGGCCACCCAGACCTGTGGGCTCTGGGCCTCGCCCATCTCCATGGCAACCCTTGGCTCACTACTGCATGCCAAGCCTTGGATGGGCTGATTCACTCCTCAGGAAGCCGGGCCAGGCAGTGCCAGCAAGAACAAACAGGATCCCGATGCCCACAGCCTCCTCCAACCCTCTCTGTGTCCTCCTCTCCCACCTCCAAATGAAGGCTGGGGCTGTTGTCTTTGGAAGGGCAAAGCCACTTGGGCAGGACTAGAGGCTTTGGGGTGCTCCCTTATCCAGCTCCACCACACAGTAAACACCGGGAACAAGAAAACCAAAACTCCGCTGTAATCAGCAGAAGAAATTGCCACGACTTGCTCTCCTTAAGCGTCCCAACTAAACTACTGTAATAGCTCATGGCGGAATTTCTAGATGACAACAGGGCATATTACTAACTTTAGTTTTACTACAGCCAAGTTGAAAAGCCCCAGAGATCACAGCCCTAGAGAACCAGAACTCCCTTTTGTAGGTATGACTGGTTGGTCAGGCGCATCCTGGGGGCCATCTCTCCTCTCCAGACAACTTCTGCTCTTGGGACTTCTACCGAGCCACTGTCTGAAGGCAGTGCTCAAACCTTCAGAAATTCTTATCTTCAAAGGCAACCCAGGAAACTCTTCTCTATGCCAGTCCAGCAGCTCTCGAAATGACCCCAGACCAGCAGCAGGATGACCCAGGAACCTGGACATGCAAATTCGCAGTTCCCTCCTAGACTCACTCAGTGAAACTGGAGTGGGACTGGGCCGGCACTCTGTTTTCCAACACCTCCCCAGGTGACTCTCATCACGCTCAAGTTTAAGAACCACTACTCTAGGCCTTCATTTACACACCAATAATCAGGAAGGACAGAGAAAAGCTCTCTCTGGGGGTTCTGAATCCAGAGAATAGCTTTCTAAATGCCAGTGCCGAAAAGCCTGAAGGCATGGATGGGAGGTGTGAGCTTCCTCTGAGCTGGAGGTGCTTTGTGTGTGTTAGGGAGAGCTCACTGCCCAGCCCCACGAGGGAGCAGGACTGGCACCTACTACTTTACACTCCGATCTGGAGAGTGGGGCATTTGGGGGCTCAAATGCTTTGACCAGCACTGTGAGCCACGGGGAGGGAACCTGGGGTCACCCTGGAAATGCGGCATTGTGACCATTAAGGGTGAGGATGCAGAGAGGTGGGAAGGCAGGAAGAGGTAAGAAAGGAGAGAGAACGGCTGGACAACTCTGTGCTGAACCCACTGAGCCAGGAAGTCATGGTAAAGGGCTCAAGTTGGAACCTGCGTTTGGCTCCCAAATGCACATCCACCACCCAGGCCCTGCCTGCGTGAACTCTCCTCTGGTAACAGGCCCTGGTGACTCAGTGGGCCCGTGAGAGGCTCCCACAACCTGCAGCAGGGCACTCCTGGTAAGAACCTCCCCCCTGAATTCTGCAGCCGGCTGTGCTCCCTAGGCCAGCTCGCTGTTATGCATGAGACTGGACTTCTCCTCAAACCTCCCCGAACTCTAGAAAAACAATTTTTTAAAAGAATACACTCAGAGGCTGATGGTCAGGCCTCTGACCTGACCTAGCACTTTGGGAGGCTGAGAGGGGGGCGGAATGCTTGAGCTCAGGAGTTGGAGACCAGCCTGGGCAATATGGTAAAACCCAGTCTCTACTAAAAAATACAAAAACTTAGCTGGGAATGGTGGCACACGCCTGTAGTTCCAGCTACTTGGGGGGCTGAGGAAGGAGGATGGCTTAAATCCAGGAGGTCAAGGCTGCAGTGAGTTGACACTGCGCCACTGCACTCCAGCCTGGGTGACAGAGACCCCATCTCAAAAAAAAAAAAAAAAAAAAAAAAGAGGCTAATGGTCAAGTTGCAGGTTGTCTAGCTTAGGGAAAATAACACCACAGTAGCAATTTAACAGTAGAAGTTACTATGTACAAGGACCCACGCCCCCGACACATTACAGGAGGTGGTTTATGTACAGTCTCTCACTGAATCCTCTCATCACCCTCATTTTATGGATGAATCAGGCTCAGAGATTTTAAGCAACTGACTCAAAAAGACACAGCCAGGAAGAGGCAGAGCTCAGATGGAACCAGCTCCACATAGACGACTCAAAGCTATGCTCTTCTCGATGCACGGTGCTTCCTCACTGGCCAGGGGGTGACTGGGAAAGATGTGAATCCCTGAGAAATTTTCTTGGGGGACAAGTGGGAGGCTTGGACGTGTTGAATTTGGCAAAATGCTCTGACTTAAGCCTTAACCTGGTGACAGGGTTTCCCTGCCTGCTGCAGCTTGACAACAGATGCTTTCAATTTGGGGTGTTGACCCTAGCCCTGGTGGGGGCCAAGAGGGAGGGAGGGAAGATGCTGGCCCGTAGCTTCTCCCTTGGGTTTGTTCTCTCCCGCCATTGAGGCTGGGAGAGGTGGTGGTCCCTGGGAAGCTGCACCCTCAGGCGCTACCTTCCTTCCACTTCCTACCCCTGGTGTCTACACAAGCAATGGTGACCGTGGCTCTGCATCTCTCTGGGACCTGGTTTCTGGGTGTAGGTGTTCTAGGTGTCCAGAAAATTCTACATACGAAGAATCAACTTCCTTTTGGAAGGCACAAGGAGTGAACTGAAGGAGAGGCATTGAGGCCACCCTTCTTGGTGTGGACATGAAGTAGATTTTCCTTCAATTTCCATTGTAAATTAATTTCCAAGTTGAGCTCCACAAAGCGAGTCTCTGCCAATGGGGCATTCTTACAGGCGCTTCCAGCAAAGTGCAAAACTGATTCCCTTCTTTATCCGTCTTCCCCAAACTGGGGAAGTCTCAGAAATGAGTGTTTTATAGACAGGTGGAAAGATACGTCCTCCAATTCGTGTTCGAGAGGGAGAAAGACTGGAGGTAAATTTCAGCATTGACTGATCTTGTGTGATGTGGTTTCATGAACTGAAGTGAGAAGATATGGATGAATGTGAACACTTAGACAACCTCAATCTGTGAAAAATGTTAAGGAGAGGTACCAGTAGCAGCAACTACAGCAACAGCAGCAGAAGCTAACACAGAAGCTCTGCCTGTGAGCCAGGCCCATATAATAGCTTTACATTAAATATCCCCTTAGTCCCAGTAACAATCGTAAGACGCTGGTTGTGTTATTACCTTCATTACACAGATAAGGAAAGTAAGGCTTAAGGAGAGTGACTAATTTGCTGTCTCCCCACGGGAATCAGCGTTTCTATCAAGACAACTCCTTGCCCGCTCCTGGCCCACTCCCCCCAACCCCAGCAATGTCCCTGGGTCATAAATGGCCCCTGCTATTATATGTCACTCTTTTATACCATAAGGGCAGGCTGGGGAGAGGGGTCCACACATACACTTAAACCCAACATTCCATGACAAGCTGGGTCCCTGGGGAGGCCAACTTCTGCCTTCTGTGGCCATTTAGTGCTCTAGACACTGAGATGATTATGGTACCTACCCCACAACCCATACAATTCAACATAAAAAAAGTTGAACTTGTAAGATAAAGCTCAAAAAAAGTGCCTATTTCCCTGGATTCCTTGAGCTGCCTGCATTGTTGGTGCCCTAAGCACATGCTTAGCCTGCCTACTGACTCTGTGGCCTCCCTTTCCAGGGGTGCTAGTGCAGCTGGGGGGCTCCTGGGTGGAAGGGTGAAGGTGGCCCTAGACAGCTACAGCCTGGGGGTGCCACCACCTTGCTATGCCTGGCTCGTTGTGTGTAAATGTTCGAGCCTGGCCTCAGGCTGGTGCAGGCCATTACTTTACAAGAGAACATTCCCTGTGGGAGCAACAGTAATGCAATGCATGAGAGGTTTCCCAGGGAGGAGACTAGAATTACACTACAAGGCCCTGCTGCCCCTTCTGATTCTTAGTGGGCTGCCTTAGAGCCTGAGAGCTAGTTAGAATCATCCCTGTGAGAGATGAAGAAACAGGCTCCGAGAGGTAAAGCGACTTGCCCGTGGTCACAGAGCAGGCATGAGTGACCCAGCTGTCAGCACTCTTCCTCTGACGGTGCACAGCACATGCCATGCAGAGATCGGTTACTTGCTGACCTGTCTCCTCCCTGATAGAAGGGAGACAGCTTGGTCCCCTCTCCAGGGTGTGGCAGAGGATGAGGAACTCCGTAAGCTTTTTCTCAGCATATCTTTCTGGAAATTAGGCAGCTACCTGGTCTGAACAAGTTCGAGTTGAGAAATCTTCCCTCCTTTCAAGGACAAAGTCAGCATCATTTAAAAACCTGGAGCCCTTCCTCTGCCCTGGAGAGGAGAAAAGCTTCAGTGAAGTGTACTGGCGTTAGGATGTTGGGGCTGATTGGGAGGGAGGCCCCAGCCCAAGGTAACCTCTTTCTAAACAAGAAATCCCATTTCAAGTTTCCACTGCCTGCTTGCCAGACGCGTAGCATACACTGGCCAGCCCATAAATCCCTTTTCCACTGAAAGCAGGCATTCTGATCTTAACCAAAATCATCTGATGTGGGGGATTGTTTTGGATGTTTTGCTTTAAATTCCAGAATACCACACATTTGTTTTCCGTTGTGTATGCCTCGCCGAGCTGTCTGGCGATGACTGCACACACTCTTGCTGACACACTCTAGCCACTTGCAGCAGCTTGCTCTCATTCCATCTGCAGAGTTGGCCGCCACGTGCGTGCGTGGCCCTGAGTGGTGGGAGATGCTCCTTCCTTGACAGTTTTCAAGCAATGCCAGGTGGTGCCTGGAGTGGCAGGGTCGGCTAAAAGCACTTCCGGCACCGCTTGGTGGAACGGCCCTCCTGCTCCAACATGGGATCTTGCAAACCCCAAGCCAGCAAGGGAGGCCAAGATCCCCAAACTCTTGTCTAACCTATCAACCTGCCCTACCCCTCTGCCAGGAGCTCCTTCTTCATATTAGGTCACCTAATTACTAGCAGCAAGTACTCAAATATTTGCTATCTATGTTCCACAACCCCACCCTAAGCACTTCTCCAGAACTATTTAGTTTTCAGAATAGGCCCACCAAAGAGGTAATATTGTCTTCTATTTTTTAGATGAAAAAACTGGGGCACAAAAGTTAAGTTGCTCGGGCCGGGCACGGTGGCTCAAGCCTGTAATCCCAGCACTTTGGGAGGCCAAGGCGGGAGGATCACAAGGTCAGGAGTTCAAGACCAGCCTGGCCAACATGGTGAAACCCCATCTCTACTAAAAATATAAAAAAATAGCCAGGCATGGTGGTGCGTGCCTGTAATCCCAGCTACTTGGGAGGCTGAGGCTGTTCAATCGCTTGAACCCAGGAGGCAGAGGTTGCAGTGACCCAAGACCACGCCACTGCACTCCAGCCTGGCAACAGAGCGAGACTCCTTCTCAAAAAAAAAAAAAAAAAAAAGTTGCTCAACTGAGATCACAGGGCAAGTAAGTGGCAGAGTTAGAACTTGAACCCAGAATGGTCTGACTGCAGAGCCCCAATTCTCAATTATTTTGTTAAGCTGTTTGTGTTTTTGATCCATTTCTTCTATTCTGAAGCCAGAATTTTTTCCCTTTTGCCTGTTTCCCCCCCATTCATATCTAATCCCATTTCAAAGTGGTGTTTTCGATCTTTAAAGGCCACAAGGGAGCCCATCTGCACCGGAAGGAAGGCAGCTTGCAGACGCGCCTCCTCCCTGACAGCAGGGCAGCTGCATGGCCACCTGGGCTGGAGATGCCACCTACACCTGGCCTCGCTTGGGGGCAGTGGGGGTAGTGGGTGCTCGAAGAGAGTCTAAAAAAAACAGCCGGTGCTTCCTCTCCCTGGCCTTTGTCCTGAGAGCTTCAGCCACACCCTTGGTTCCACTGGTCATATAGTCAGGGTGGACAGAGGCGGCGCTCTGGGAAGGGACTCTCCAGGGCAACTCGCACATCCTCCTTTCCCCTTGGCTGCACTGTTGCAGCTGCCCATTGGCATTGTGTCCATAGACGGGACCGCAGCCCGTTCAGTGGCCATGGTCCTTCCATCCCCCGTGAAAACAGCCCCAGAGTGGGACCCGGAGCCTCTGCCCTTCCCCAGAACCACCCTGCCAGCAAAGGGCAGAACAAGATGACATCAGCACAGGCCTCTCTGTGTTATAGCCCTGGGCACGAGCTCTCAAGACACACCCCAGGGTCCTAGAGGAGAGTGCCAGCCTCCCATGACAAAGAAGGCCAAAGTGTCCCTCCTCATCCTAGAAGATAATCTAATTTCTATTTGAAATGAGCAGTCCCAGCTGGGCGCGGTGACTCACGCCTGTAATCCCAGCACTTTGGAAGGCCGAGGTGGGCGTATCACCTGAGGTCAGCAGTTCGAGACCAGCCTGGTCAACGTGGCAAAACCCCATCTCTACTAAAAACACAAAAATTAGCCGGGCATGGTGGTACATGCCTGTAATCCCAGCTACTCAAGAGGCTGAGGCATGAGAATCGCTTGAACCCAGGAGGCAGAGGTTGCAGTGAGCCGAGATTGTGCCACTACACTCCAGCCTGGGCAACAGAATGAGACTCCATCTCAGAAAAAAAAAAAAAAAAAAAAAGAAATTTGCAGTCTGGGTCTCTAAAGGGTTGTGTCTTAGGGAGCCAGGGCTACAATTTGACTAGAGAGGAGGAAAGGAGAGTATGAAGAGATTTTCTCAGGCTTGTAGACAGGAAGCTTTAAAACATCTGAGCTTAGCAATAATAAATTTAAATCCACAGTCCCACATTGTGAGAAAGAAGATGTTTACATTGCACCATGGAGAGCAGGAGGAATATGTCTTAGTGGGAAGGGCCTCCCGTCTCTAGGAACGGGGCCGCTGAGGGAGGTATGGATGACTCCCCACCCAGAAAACATCCAGTGGAGTTGGGCATAAATCTGGGGTGTGCATGCACACTACACACTGCAACTGCCCACCTACAAGGGAAGACATGATGTGGATTCAAACACCAGATTTCTATTGACTTGAAAAGCTACGACGAGCCCGGTGCGGTGGCTCACGCCTATAATCCCAGCACTTTGGGAGGCAGAGGTGGGTGGATCACCTGAGGTGAGACCAGCCTGGCCAACATGATGAAATCCCATCTCTACTAAAAATACAAAAATTAGCTGGGCGTGGTGGCATGTGCCTGTAGTCGCAGCTACTCAGGAGGCTGAGGCGGGAGAATCACTTGAACCTGGGAGGCAGAGGTTGCAGTATGCCAAGATTGCGCCACTGCACTCCAGCCTGGGTGACAGAGCGAGACTCTGTCTCAAAACAAACAACAAAAAAAGCAATGATGAGTTCACAAATAGTATGATTTTGCTGATCATTTCATTTAGAGTTTTAATAAATCAGTACACTGTATTATCATACTACATTCAATCAACTTAGGTTTAAAAGACATTAAACTACACACCTGTAATCCCAGCACTTTGGGAGGCTGAGGCGGGTGGATCACCTGAGGTCAGGAGTTCAAGACCGGCCTGATCAACATGGAGAAACCCCGTCTCTACTAAAAATTAGCCGGGCATGGTGGCACACCCCTGTAATCCCAACTACTCAGGAGGCTGAGGCAGGAGAATGGCTTGAACTCAGGAGGCGGAGGTTGCGGTGAGCTGCGATCGCACCATTACACTCCAGCCTGGGCAACAAGAGTGAAACTCCACCTCAAAAAAAAAAGAACAAAAACAAACAAACAAACAAAAAAAACTAAAATCCTTGAATAGGTTTTGAATTAATAAATTCATAATTAATAAAACTGCCTGATTAACTTTATGGTATTTTTAGCCTCAGTCGAGGTTCTTCTCCTATGACCCATGTATTGTGTTGTTTCTGAACTTGGAGACTAACACACAGCTTAGACTGGGAGTGTCAGCAAGGGACTGGCACCTGAAGCTGTGAAGCTCAGTTCCGAGGAGAGGGCTTGGCAGGAGCCACCAGCTGCTTAGCCTGCTCAGAGGTGTCACTGGAAACTTGGATGTGCATTGGGTAAGCTGTGAAGGGTTACTTTTCTTTTCTTTTTTTTTTTTTTTTGAGATGGAGTTTCACTCTTGTCGCCCAGGCTGGAGTGCAATGGCACGATTTCAGCTCACTGCAACCGCCGCCTCCCAGGTTCAAGCAATTCTCCTGCCTCAGCCTCCCAAGTAGCTGGGATTACAGGCACCTGCCACCATGACTGGCTAATTTTGCATTTTTAGTAGAGAGGGGGTTTTTCCATGTTGGCCAGGCTGGTCTCAAACTCCCAACCTCAGGTGATCCGCCTGTCTCGGCCTCCCAAAATGCTGGGATTATAGGCGTGAGCCACCGCGCCTGGCCTGAAGGGTTACTTTTCTAGCAGAGCTCATAAGAGCCACTATTTCTTCCCTCAGGCACAATGCCTGGCTTAAGGATTGAAGAGGAAGGGCTCTTAAGACCCGGGTTTCTGATTTTTCTCCAAGTCAGTAGTCCCCAAACTTCTCTCTACCGGGACCTCCTCTGGAATCACATTAATCCGGGCCCCTCTCCAAGTCAGGCTGCTTTGCCTTTCCCAGTTACTCAACCAGGCTGCTTCTCAACTCCTTGGGAGTGCAGCTCCCCAAATGATCCCTCCTGAGACATTCCTCCTTTCTGCAAGTCCTCAGAGGACGAGACTTTCCGTCTGCATTTGGAGGGAAGGAGAAGAGAGACAGACCTCCTTTCTTCCTGAACAAAGATGAAGCACCAAGCTCTGGGAAAAGCTAAGCCAAGAGGCCCAACCTGGCTGGAAGATCATACAGTTGCATTTTTCGTGTGTACTAGAAATACAGAGCACTCATTAAATTAACCGAGTGAAAACCACTCCTTAGGCAATGATTAAGCTGAGAGTCAGAGGGATGGGTGGGAGGCCAGCTGTCCCATCTGAGCTGCACTTGATCACTAGGGAATTTATCATTTCTAATGCCTTTCACAAAGTCCCCTGTGATGCCCCCATTGCAGCCCCCGGGGAACGGTGAGGCAACCTGCTTCTTATGGCAGAAATATGGGACTCAGGACAGAGCAGGGGTTGTCTGGAAACTGAGGGAGAAAAACCAATATGGGGCATTTATAGCGTGAGCTCAGGCTGGGCGTGGTGGCTCACATTTATGATCCCAGTGCTTTGGGAGTCCGAGGCTGAAGGACTGCTTGAGCCCAGGAGTTCAAGACCAGCTTGGGCGACATAGAGAGACCCTCTCTGTACAAAAAAATTAGCCGGGTATAGTGGTGTGTGCTGTAGTCCCAGCTACTTGAGAGGCTGAGGCCAGGATTGTGTAAAGCCCAGGAGTTTGAGGCTGCAGTGAACTATGATGGTGCCACTATACTGCAGCCTGGGCAATGGAGAAAAAGGCAAAAAAAAAAAAAATGTCTATGGGCCTCCAGAAACAGACATAACATTTTTCTGGAGGCAGGTCGTACTGATTCCAAGGAATTCCCTAAAAAGGAATTTCCCTAAAAACGTTAAGATGTATTAGTCTAGGATGACAGGATATAGCACTTAAAACTATCCACAACTAAGTATTTTTGGAGAGGCGGGGGGAGGAAATTACCAGATAGATACAATTATTATAAAATTATCACAAAAAAATTATCTCATCTGGGGACAGGATGTTGCTTTCTACGGCTGCATGCCATCACTTGATGGAAAATGAGAATGTCCCTGGACCAGCATGACTTTTTCCATGGAATAAAACAGGCAAGTAATCTGTAGTCAGGCCTTAAAACATAAATTTAAGAAATGTAGGCCAGGCGCGGTGGCTCATTCCTGTAATCCTAGCATTTTGGGAGGCCAAGGTTGGCAGATCGCTTGAGCCTAGGAGTTTGAGACCAGCCTGGGCAACATAGTGAGATCCTGTCTCTACAAAAAAATTAAAAGGTTAGCTGGGTGTAGTGGCACATGCCTGTAGTCCCAGTTACTCAGGAGGCTGAGGTGTGAGGATCGCCTGAGCTGGGAGGTTGAGTTTGCAGTGAGCCATGAGCCATGATTGTTAACACTGCACTCCAGCCTGGGTGACAGAGTGAGCACCGTCTCCAAAAAAAAAAAGAAAGAAAGAAATGTATAAAGACTAGCCCCCGCCCCCTATTCCCCTGCATTTTTTTTTTTTTTTGTCTTCTGAATTTCCTTCCCAGTTGCAAAGGATTTTTCCTGCTCTCTGAGGCCATGGGTCTGACAGGCTCTCACCCAGATTTTCAGACTCTTAACAAGGAAGTCGTTGCTCTTCTGTGTGTATGGGGTAAAGCCTGTTTCTGCAAGGCTTTGGTTGAAAAGACCTGTGGTGGATCCAAATAAAGTCCCGCTGACCCCAACCTGGGGGAGGGAGGAACACAAAACATAAACATGCAGCTTCCTCAAACTTCTCCACTCTCCTTTCCCCAGCTCCACACAGGTCTGTCTAGAACATGCTGCCAGTAGGACCACAGAAGCTGTGGTTGGGGTGACCTCAGGCCCCCTACCCTCACAGCCAGGCTCACCCAGGTGAGAACCACACCCAGGCAAGAACCATCAAGGTTTGTGTTCTTTAGAAGAAAAGGCGCCTTTGTCAATCCAAGGTATTATTAAGTTCCAAACCCAACCCTGCAACCAAGTCCAAAAGCTATGCCTCCTTATAAAATTGAACAGAACAGGAAAACAAAAACAAACAAACAAACAAAAGCAGACAAAACAAACACAGGATCTATGTGTGTAAGGGGGAGATTCTCATCCAACACTGCTCCTGGAGGAAGGGGTGAGAAGGCTGATTTGTGAGCCCAGCAGCCGCAGAGGGCTCATCTAGAGTCAGTACTGGCAGGGCCCCAGAGAGGGCTGCATATCAAAGCACTCCCAAATTCGGGCTGGAGCCAGCAGCTGCTTCCTCTGAGCACAATAGAGCAGGGTCTGGAATCGTGCTGTGGGCCACGTTGAAAAGAAGGGGGTAGAGAACGTGAGTGTGAGCGTGTGCAGAGGAATCCTCACCACCATCAAAAGATTGGGTCTTTGTTGTTCACACCCACTGTGGGTGTAGGGGAGAGACCATCAAAATCCTGGGCAAAGGAAGCAGATACCTGGCCTCAGCTCACCTCTCCCCAAGCCTGCCAGCTTCAGTGCACGTGTAGCCAGCTTCACCCCAGCGCAGGCTGTCTGGGCACTGGAGGTGGGAGCCATTTTATGCAACAGTCCCAGCAACTTGCTTCTGGGGGAAAAGGCAGACCATGGGGAGGGGCTTTTGCCACTGCCACCCAACTTGTCCATGCCCTGCCCAGATCCGGAATCCTGATCCTTAGGGTTTCTCTGACAGGCAATTTTATTTTCAGAAGCGGGGCCTTCCCGCAGCCAAATGAGCAGTAGCAACCCATGAAATGGAGTCAGGGTTTTGATGCACAGGACAAAGTTGGCACTGATACAGGAAGGGGCAGGGAGGCCAGTGTGTGGATTGGGAGGGTCCTCCTGGCCACATCTGCGGTTTAGACTTCCACACTTCTTAGAGAACTGCTCTCACCCTCCCCAGGGCCTCATTCTACTCTCCACTAGTGAATAACAATAGCTACTGTTGGAAGATATGTCTGGTGCAATCTACTATGCTAAGTGCACTACACATACTCCCCATTTAACTCTCACAGCACCATGTGGGGTGGTCACCAGCCCCATCTGGTGATGAGACATGGAACCCAGGACTGGTGCTTTGATCACTAGGCCAAGTACTAAGGTATACGGGCAATGAACACCCCTGAGAGAGACCCCACCCAGGGTGAGGAGAGGGAACTGAGAAGCAACAGCAAAGAAAAGCACCAGCTGGGCTCTTGCTCCAGAGGTAAAGGCCAAGAAAAGCTAAGTTCTGAGGACTCAAGCCTTGGTATCCATCTCCCATTTCCAATTCAGGGCTTGTATTTTGTTTATTATATTATTATTTATAGATTTAGGGGACACGAATGTAGTTTTGTTACACATGGTGAAGTCTGGGCTTTTAATGTGACCATCACCAACATAGTATACATCGTACCCAATATTGGTTCCTATTTTGGGTTGTGTAGGAGAGTTCTATTGTTGTATGTGGTATGTGTAGGGGTGTTGGGTTCATAGACTGAGCTTGAAAGGACCTTTTGAGACCATTTGTTCCAAGCTATTGTTTTACAGATGAGGAAACTGAGGCTTAGAGCACAGAAGTGACCAACCCAAGGTTTCAAAGTGAGTTGAGGACAGAGCTGGGCTCACATCCAGGTCTCTGAATTCCCAGTGTAGGTCTCTGTGTTTCGCACCAGCCTCCCCTAGGTCTAGGGGATATGGTTTCTTGGGAAAGAGACCTCCCAGCCCCACACTGCTGTTTCCATCAGTGAGCGAGGCATGAGAGACAGTAAGCAAAGGGGCTGAGGGAGGTGGGGAGGGGATTGGGCTCTGTCAGTATAGCCAAACCTTTCCCTCTTTTGCCCTAAGGAGTTCCTCCCCTTCTCTGACCAGAAAGAGGGCAGACATGCATGTGTCAGACTGGACTGGCCCTAACCCTGGTTCCCCATTTCAGCTGGAGAAATACTTGTGTGTCTACCACATGGACATCAGCAAGATGTTTTCCCTCTCAACTGTTTTTTGGGGGGTGGGCAGGCGGGCAGGGAGGTCTGAAGGAAATGTAGAAACAATCAAAATAGAGCTAGGAGGGCCGGTTCTGGAGGTGGTGGAAGAACAGACTGATTTGCTGGTTTGGCTGTGGCCATCAGGGAGTGACCCACAGGGATGAGATCAGGCCAGGGAAGAGGCACAGCCCCCCAATAACCATCCTACTCCACTGAGGTTGGCCTCTCTCTGGATGCCTGTTGGACACCCCCTCTCAGCAGCCTCTGTGCAAAGTGCTGCTGGGCACTGGCCTCACAATTCCTGCTTTTCAAGGCCCACATCAGGTTCCGAATGCCAAGTTTATAAATGTCTGGTCTCAAGAGAGAAACGGACGTGGTGACAACATAATCACCCAAGCAGTTCCCTTAGGTTACACCTTTCCTTAAGGGAGTCTTGGGAGCTTCTTCCCACCCTTCTCCCATTCCCACTCAGCAGCCAAAACCAGTTGGGTAAAGTAACCTAGTTCTGAGACCACCCTGCCGCATCACCTTGGATAAGTCACCTAACCTCTCTGGGAAATGGTTTCCTGATCATCAGTACAGTGGGGACAATGCTTCCTGCTCTTGGCTACATCATGGGACTAGAACAAGAAAGGCTCTAAAGACTAACACTCTGCACAAGTGGACCGACCACAGTCTTCCTTTTCATTACATCATCTCCTAGGGATGAGGGCTTCATCTCCACAGGGACCCAGATACAGGACAAATGAACAGTAATTCAGGAAAACATAGCTACTGCCCATCTTCCTGCCTCTGATGAAGATGGAAGAGGACAGAAGTAAAGTAGGGGCCCCAGGAATTGTAATACTGGCTCTGTCTCTGCGATCCTGGGTAAATCACCCCATCTCTCTTCCTCTGCTGCCTCACTATGAATAAGAGAGCTGGACTGCATGATCTTCAAAAGTCATTCCAAACATTTCCAGTGTGAGTGATTTCTGTTTCAGACTACATAGGTCATCAGCTGCACCTAGGCTGGGGCCAGGCATAGGGGGTTCTGAATACGAGTGGGGTGGCAGGCTGAGGACAGTACGGACAGATTGCAGGCCAGCAGGCCACAGACAGAGTAGATACCAGTGGCCCTGTGAGCCTCGCATCAGCTTCCTGCATATGCCATGGGGCAGATGGGGGTAGGGAGGCACACTGTGGCAGTCTGTGTTTCCCTGCAGTCCCAAACCTGGATGCAGTCTAGGCAGACAGCTGAGGACTAACCAACACACCAGCCGGGAGAGACTGTACCTGGGAGGGGAGAGGAAAACTCCCAAAGTTCAAGGGTGGGTGAGGCCAGCTGCCTTCCCGCATACTTTTCTGCTGCCAGGGATTGGTGAAAGAAAGAAGCTAAGCGTGGCAGCTGGGTGGTTGCTGGGGTGGGTGGCAACACAGGAGGAGGGGTGCCCACGGCCAGCAGGGTCTTTTTAAAGCAAGTCAAGGGTTGGGAAGGAGCACACCTATATGCCGTCCTCACTGGGGTGTGTGTTATGGTGACTGATGCACTGGGGGAAGTCAGTCTCTGCAAATTGGAAAAACTGTTCAACCACCCCTTCAGCTCTGGGGAGGAGTGAATCTTAGAAGATTTCCCTAAGGAGGCTTGTGGGGACCTCAGTGACCAGCTCCAGGGGGAATAAGTGCATTTGTTTCTTTTCTACTTTTTTTGAGACAGGGCTCACTAGGTCACCCAGGCTAAGTGCAGTGGTGCAATCATGACTCACCGCAGCCTTGACCTCCCAGGCTCATGCCATCCTCTCATCTCAGCCTCCTGAGTAGCTGCGATCACAGGTGCATGCCAACACGCCCAGCTAATTTTTTATTTTTTTGTGGAGATGGGGGTCTCACTATGTTACCCAGGCTGGTCTTGAACCTGGATGAAAGCGATCCTCCTGCCTCAGCCTCCCAAAGTGCTGGGATTACAGGCATGAGCCACTGTGCCTGGCCAAGTGCACTTTTTTGTTACAAGACTCTGGTGGCATGCACCTGTTTCTACATCCATCTATCTTGAGAGTGGCATAGAGACTCTCTTCCTGCCTGCAGAGCGGCAAGTATTGTCATGTGTGTGCAGGGAATGTGGCTATAGAAACAAGGACACAAGGGTTTCCTATTCCTTGCTTCTGTCGCCTCTCAGCCTTCCCATTTGTAGAGGCTGAGTGGCCTGCAGCAGGTGTCTCTGGAGCTCCTGGCCCCGCTGGCCTCTCCAGATGAACGTCCGCTCTGCGCCCTGCCTGGCCTTGGGTGGGCCGCCTGGGCTGGCGGGGAGGGGAGAGGGCAAGGCCAAGGCTCTCCTGGGCGGGCAGCTGGCTGGCACCTGATCTCTCCCGGAAATGCACACACAGGACTCATCCCACTAGAGGCGCAGATAGGTATCTGCCCCCTCCTCTCCCGAACTCTGAGTTCTCTCCAGTGAAGATACTTATCGTCCTTGAAAGAAATCAAGACAAGCTAGTCTTTCAGGGAGCTACCAGGGAGTTCGGCGCTCTCACGGTGGCTCAGAATCAAAGTCTGAGGGAACGGGGGCCTGCGAGGTTCCTCCTCAAGGGTGGAGGGGCCCCCGACTCTCAGGGACTGGGTCCCGGGGCCGGACCCGCGGCCGAGGCACCCCTGCCGCTCCTGCGTAAAAGTGAGAGCCGCTCTTGGCTGAGCTCTCGCCGTGCCCGCACCCTCCCTTCCTGGCGCCCCCTACTACCTGGGAGACCCCACCCGGTCACAAGCCATACTGCTCACCACAGTCCTCCTTGGCCTTGGCCCAAAGAGGGGTGCTCCGCTTCTCCCTGCCTTCCTCTCTGGCACTCGGAGGGACTTGAGCTGGGAGCAGACACACACCCCAGCTCAAATCCTAGGCGAGCTAAAGTGCTCAGGACCCTCCCGCACGCCTCATCTCAAGAGGGCCCGGCTCCCCACGCCGGCTGGGCGGTGATGAGCCCCCACCCGAATGCGCCCGTCGCGGCCGTCCCGCCCGGCTCTGGACCCGGCCTTGGAGCCAGCTGGCAGCCGCAGGGCGCTCTCTCTTCCCGCCCGGTGCCTGCCCGGTGCGGGCAGTGCCAGCTGCCGGCACTCGCGGCCGCGGCCAGTGTCCGGGGCCCGCGAACAGGTGGGCCCTGAGAGGAGCGCGCGGCAGTCGCGCTCACTCACCCAGAAGATGAAGTTAAATCCGAACAGCAGGTATTTGATGCACTTGGTGCCTCCTTTGACCGGCATGGTGAGGGCTAACTTAGCCTGGGCCGAACGGGTGCGGGACTGGGGGGCGCGCGCAGCTGGGACTGGCGGGACCTGGCGCTGGATACAGATGCAGGCGGCTGTAGGCTGGTCTCCGGCTGCACTTTTAAAAAGTGCCACTCCTTAGGGCGCGCGACCCGCTGCGGTGCGCATGTGCCGGGAAAAGCCGCCCCCACTCCCCCCGCCGGCCACGCCTCCCGCCCCACCGGCCCCGCCCGGGCCGCACCCCCCCCGCCCCCCGCCCCCGCCCAGGTCGGCGAGCCCCGGCCCCAGCTGCCCCGCGGAGCCCGACCCTCTCCCTGTTTCCCCGCCTAGTCGCCCTAACCCCCACCCGCCACCCACTCCTTCTTCAAGCCGTCTTGGGGTCTTTGCAGGCAGCCACTCCCTGCCACTTTTACCGCGGACTTACGTGGAGGCCTCGCCCTTCCGGTTCCCCCGCGTTTGGTCTGGGCGCCGGACCGGGCGTTCTGCTTTGGGAGACTCTTCCCCGGGTCGTCAGGGCTAAAGGCCCCTTGGCCAAGGCCTGCTGCCAGAGTGAGGGGCCCTTCTGCTTTGCGAGGATTTAAAGGGAAGCCGCCTGGCTTAATTTCGCCCTCGTCTGTCTCCTTGCAAACCTTCGCTCGCTGACCATACTTTTCATTGGGCACAGCATGTGGGGTAGGAGGAATTAGAAGCGCGCAGTCTGGGTGGGATGACAGATGGGAGGCTTTTGGAAGTAATTAGCAAATACCTATCACCGAATAATAACACAGCTGAGGGCTGGGCAGTCCCCAAGCGCTTCCTGCACTTGAGGTTTAGTTGCCCCAGAGGGAAAAAGGGTCTGTAGACGGCTTCTGTTTTCTCTCTACTCCTCCACCCCACCCTCCCTCCTGCGTCTTTGGACTTGCTCGCTGCTGCCTTGAACTGCTCCAGATGCCGAGCTCGGAGCGCTTCTCCTGAGCTCACAAACTTTCTGTAGCTCTCCAGATTCAAGGACCTAAGTCGAAATTCCTCGTCTTGCCCTCAAGGCCCTGTACAGAGCACTGATCTGACTTCTCCCGGACCCAGAGCCCACCCCACTCGCTGGCCGGCATGCGCCCTGGCTGGCTGGCCCCCCCCCAACGTCACTTGTAGGAATTCTGTGGGTCTTTAAACACTCCTTTCCTGATTCTCTGGAGTGGACGAGGAGAGTCACCTTCTTTTGAAGTCCCCGAATCCCTTTGTATTATTTTCAAAATGAAGTTTCCTTTACTGTCCTTTATGATTACAAAAGCAAGATACAGTCATTACAGAAACAACCGAAATACCAAGAAGTGAAAGGAACAGACCTCAAAATTCTGCTCACCAGAAACAGCCACTGTTAGCACATTGCTGTTATTTGCCTGTTTATTATCAGTAGACTTGTCTCATTGGTTCAAAAACATTTTTCAGTATCTATTAGGGTATTTCATTAGGGGTAGGAGCTGAAAAACATGGATTAGTCCTTGTTTCTGCTCAGGGACCAGTGTGGGAGGAGACAGGCAGCCAGACAATGGTTTGAGGGTGATAGGTGCAGTTACGGGGAGAGGCTTGGGGGCTAAGAGGCTAAGGAGAGGCCTCTGACCCAGACTGGGAGATGATGCTGCAGAACCACAGGGAAAGTTGCCGCCAAGGGAGAATCCTGGGCAAAGGCTGGGGCAGGGGCTGTCCGGGCTCTGGGCTGGAGCCTGGAGTCACGGGGTAGTTTGTGGGAAGGTGAGAAAGAGCCTTGTGCTCCTGGACTTTGCACTCTGAGCATTAGGGGCCACCGAAAGGTTCAAGCAGGGGAATGGTTGGATCTGCTGTGTTTTCAGAGGTTCTCTGCCTGTGTTTTAGGTAGTTGGGTGGGGGAAGGCCGGAGGGGCAGGTAGGAAGCCCCTTGAGGACCAGGACCATTGTTGGCATCTCCAGTCCTTGGCTCAGTGCTTTACGGGATTGCATGGAACATGGAGATGTTGTATTTGGGGAGACGCAATCAGGTAATATGAGGGGAGCAGTGGTAGATGAAAGTTGAGCTGAGGACCAGGTGCAAATCTGCTAGGAGGCTGTGGAGTAGTTCAGGTGAGAGAAGAATGAATGAAGGCGGGGCAATGGGATAAAGCCTAGAGAAGGCAGGGCAAAACCCCATGAGGTGTCAGGCCGGGAAGGGGAGGGAGAGATCAGAGGCAGAGCAGCAGAAGCTAGTAACAAGTAGGGGCACAGGGCACATCCCCACGTCAATCTGAGTCCGAGAGGCTCCCCAGAGCAGGGGACATTGCAGCAGCTGACTTGACTTGGGAAGGTGGAGTCAGTAGTCAATGCGGAGGAGGGAATTCCAAGAGGGAACTGGATATGCAAAGACACAGAAGCGGGCAGCTGGCTGCACTGGGGAAACAACCGATAGTGGTACATGGGGAGGAAGGAGGACAAGGAAGGAGAGGCAGGGCCTAAACTGAGCCTAATGCCAAGAGGACAAGCAGAGGAATTTTGGTGATGCTTGACTTTACACATCCTAACCAGTGTCCAGGATGATTCCAGCACAGGGGAGGAGTGTGAAGCACCCTGGAGGGTGGGAAGGAGGCCGGAAAACAGTCAGTGTTCCATTGTGCCCTTTTGGGCCTGCGTCCATCTATCTTGGGAGACAGGTCTTAGGAAAAGAAAGATTTTATTGCATCTCCCCCTTCTCCCAAGTTAACAAGTACTGGTGGGAGGAGTTCAGTAAATATTTAAGTTTATAATAGAAATTACTTATTAGGGTAAACGTGAGTGTTGACAGAGGAAATCCACAGGGAGGCCTTAGAACCTGCCTGCCACAGAAGCGCTGCAGAAACGCTGCCTGTTGCTCCTATTCCTATTATTGTTTACACTGAAGAAAGAATTGGGGTCAGCCTATATAGTTCAGTGCCACATTCGTATAATCAAGGCATCCTTTTTATGTGATGAGAGCATTGGGCCTGAAGTGAGGGGGTCTGAGTTCTACTCTTGGTTCTGACCCTTTGGTCTATGTTAGGCAGGCAGCCTCCTCTCTGGGCCTCAGTCTCCTCACCTGTACAAGAGTATTGTGAAAGGAAAATAAATCTTAGGACCCCAAAATCAATAAGCCAAAGGAAAAAATCAAGCTGGGAACTGCCACAGGCAAACCTGCCTCCCATTCCTAAATAAGATAGCTACAAAGATTTTTTAAAAAGCTATGCACTTCTCGGCCGGGCGCAGTGGCTCACGCCTGTAATCCCAGCACTTTGGGAGGCCAAGGTGGGCGGATCACGAGGTGAGGAGATCGAGACCATCCTGGCCAACATAGTGAAACCGCATCTCTACTAAAAATACAAAAATTAGCCAGGCATGGTGGCGCATACCTATAATCCCAGCTACTCGGGAGGCAGAGGCAGGAGAATCCCTTGAACCAGGGAGTTGGAGGTTGCAGTGAGCCGAGATCGCGCCACAGCACTCTAGCCTGGCGACAGAGTGAGACTCCGTCTCAAAAAGAAAAAACAAAAAAAGCTATGCACTTCTTGTTGGGCGCTGTGACTCACACCTGTGATCCAAGCACTTTAGGAGGCCGACGCGGGAGGATCATGAGGTCAGGAGATCAAGACCATCCTGGCTAACACGGTGAAACCTCGTCTCTACTAAAAATACAAAAAAATTAGCCGGGCGTGGCGGCGGGCGCCTGTAGTCCCAGCTACTCAGGAGGCTGAGGCAGGAGAATGGCGTGAACCCGGGAGGCAGAGCTTGCAGTGAGCCGAGATCGCGCCACTGCCCTCCAGCCTGGGGGACACAGCCAGACTCCGTCTCAAAAAAAAAAAAAAAAAAAAAAGCAGCTATGCACTTCTTTCACAATTTGCCCATGAGGAAATTTCTGGTGGACCCTATGATATTTGCCCTAAAACAGTTCTGTTGAATTTCACCATGACAATGTAAATTGATAGCATATCTTCACAGGTACAGAAAAAAGGACAGAACTCAAAGTCATCCCTCTGCTCACCTGAGACAAATGCATATCTGATTGCTTCCTCCAATGTAAAAATGAAGATTCGCTGTGCTAGACAAGGCATAAGTGACTTATTTCTCTACCCTCCTCTGCCATGTAAATTGTGCATTCAGTGAGAGGATGATCAGTGACTCAAAAGAATGCAACCGTTTGTTTCTTACCTACCCACACCTTAAAAAAACTTTCTTCCTCTTTCCCCACCAGCCGCCTTTTAAATATTGAAGCCCTCAAAATCATCTTTGCAGAAGGCACAGATCTGCCTCCTGGGCGCCCATCTGTAACCTTGGCAAAATAAACTTTCTAAATTGATTGAGACCTGTCTCAGATACTTTTTGGTTCACAGCATTTTGGATCAGGAGGTGTCTTTCATTCCTCCTGACATTCTGTGTCACAATAAACCCCTGGGCCAAAGTGCATTTGTTACAGACAGTTAGTGCTACAGGCAACCAGGAAGGTGAGCGATGGAAAAATTATGTTTTGCCTTAACCGGAAGAGGAAAATATGGGTAAGCCCCTGAGTCAGAAATCACATGGAAGCAGCCAGGCCTTCCAGGCTTTGTGGTGCTGGAGTGGGAAAGCTTTTCCTCCCTTCCCTCAAGGCGTCCTGTCTCTGGGAAAGAAACCCCAGCTCAGGCTCAGGGTCCACTTTGGCTCTTGTGCCCCCCCTGGTGGTAAGATTTGAACACGCAGAGGCCAGGTGACCTAATGAGCCGTCACACCCATGCCCCAGGTCCCTCCAGCTGTGGGCAATGGCTTTGTAAGGCAACAGGTAGGACCCTCGCTCTCACAGGCCACCAAGGCCCTTCCAGCCACCACACCAGTGGCCATCTTGATTCACCTCCTTCACTTCTAGAAGCTTCTCTCCTGTTCCTCTTTCTAAGCTCAAATACACCACCTTATGAAGCCTTCCTGGAGCACTCCAGTCTTTTTCTCCGTGGATTACCTTGAGTCTCGCATGTGTGATTCTCTGGTCATCATCATCTTCCTTTATGTGTCCACTTCTTGGTAGTGAGCTCCTCGAGGGTGCACTTGCATTTGATTAATTTCTGTGCTCTCCCTAGCTCCCGGTCCCTTCCTGGCCCAGAGCAGGCCCTCTGCAAACATCTGCAGAATGACGGCTGGGCGTGGGGCTTTCTCAGGCCCCTGCCCTTCTCTCTCAGACCTCTCCTGGAGCACTCATCCCCTTTTGTGCCTTCCACCATTTTCTCTGTTTAACTCATCTCTCTGTAAATGCAAGTCCTGATATCCAAGAGCCTGCAGATTTTTTTTTTTTGAGACCAAGTCTCGCTCTGTTGCCCAGGCTGGAGTGCAGTGGCTCAATCTCGGCTCACTACAACCTCCATCCCTGGGCTCAAGAGACTCTCTTGCCTCAGCCTCCCAAGCAGATTGAATTACAGGTGTGCGCTGCCATGCCCGGCTAATAATTTTTTTTTTTTTAGACGGAGTCTCGCTTTGTCACCCAGGCTGGAGTGCAGTGGCACGATCTTGGCTCACTGCAACCTCTGCCTCCCGGGTTCAAGTGATTCTTCTGCCTCAGCCTCCCAAGTAGCTGGGACTACAGGCGCACACCACCATGCCCAGCTAATTTTTGTATTTTTAGTAGAGACGGGGTTTCACCATATTGGCCAGGCTGGTCTTGAACTCCTGAATTCGTTATCTACCCACCTCAGCCTCCCAAAGTGCTGGGATTACAGGCGTAAGCCACCGTGTTTTTTATATTTTTTATATTTTTTATATTTTTAGTAGAGATGGGGTTTCCTCCTGTTGGTCAGGCTGGTCTTGAACTCCTGGCCCCAGGTGATCCGCCCACCTCAGCCTCCCAAAGTGCTGGGATTACAGGCGTGCGCCACCGTGCCTGGCCCGTTTCCACTTCTAACGGCCCTCCAAATAGGCCCACGTTCCAATCCCCAAAACTGTGAATGTGTTACTTTCCATGGCATAGCCTGGACCATCCCAGTGGGCCCAGTGGAATCCAAAGGGTTCTTATAAGAGACAGGTGGAAGTGTCAAAGCCAGGGAAGGAGATGTGACGACAGAAGCAGAGGTCGCAGTGATGCACAGCTGTGTGTTGGGGAACAAGGACAGCCTCTAGAAGCTGGAGAAGGCGAAGAAACGAATTCTCCCCTGCAGCTGCCAGAGGGATCCAACACAGCCCTGCCCACCCATTTTAGATTTCAGACCTCTAGAATTGTGAAATAGTAAATATGTGTTACTTTAAGCCACTAAATTTGTGGTTGTTACCGAAGCAATAGGAAATATAGTAATCTCAATGTAAACATCAAGATCAGAATTCATAATCTCCAAGGGCTTTCTAGGCTCGCAGCTGACTTTCTCCTCAGCCCTCCCTGTCTCTAATCAGTCAGCACCAACACCTCCCATCACCTGGGGCTCCTCCTTCCCCCAGCCTCACAGCTGCTTAGTGAATGTGATTCCTGTTTCTTAGCTGTTCTTACGTCATTGCTGGGAGGCACCAGGGCTAAGGCGGGTTGTAGTGATTGAGTGGCAGAGCACAGATCAGACCTCAGAGCTTCTGGTTTCAGTCCAGGGTTGGATCCTGATCTTTTGTTCCCCCTGATGCCCTGCCATCCGCAAGGGGGCTGCATCCTGGAAGCTCATCTGCAGCCCAAACGGCTGTTCTACCCTTGCCCTGCCTCGCTGCTGTTCACCTGCCCAGGATGGACACAACATTGGACCCAGAGAGTCTTGCTGCGTGCGTCCTTGGGGGTGGGCTGCCCTCCTCTCACCCATCACTTCTTTTCCTTGCATTAAGCACACACACACTCAACCTGGAAACTGCCTATGTCCAGTGTGGATTTTATGAAGGTTTCACGGATAGGTGGATGAGGGGTTCCCTCTCATATGCCAGAGAGAACCATTCTAAGAATCCCTCTGGATAGCTCTTCTCAAACGTCCAATCTGTGGCAGCCACCCCTATCATCTGCCCCCCAGCCCAGCCTCAGCCAGCCCCCTGCCCTGTGGATGTCCTCTGCATATGTCTGTGTGGAGCAATTTAGCTCTAAACTTGGCATTTTCCGTTTGTGTCCCCACCTCCCCTCACCCTGCTCAGCAAAACAAATCATGGCTCTCAGGGTCTGTCCTCCTTAGTATATGGGGGTTGGGGGCAGGCGGGGAGCAATTCTAAACAAGCAATATTTAATATCATCCTTTCATCAGACTCCTGAAGCTCAGCTTTACTCTTTCCTGCTCAAAGATCTCCCAACTCCCCTTACCCCTGTTCTACTTCCAAACAATGCTCCCATAGCATTTACCTTCTCACAGAGTGGAATGTTTCCTTGGTATGTGCATTGCTATTTACCTGTCTCCTCCAGCTAGAATGCAAAATCCGCATGGCTGTTCTGTTCTCTATGTATCCCAAGGGCTTTGAACAGTGCCTGACATACAGTAGGTGCACAATATTTATTGAATGTATGGAAAGCCGATGTCTCAATTGTAAGATCATCATACAGGCCCTCTGCTCTCTCGCCTTAACCTCTGTTTGCAAATCTGTTCACTCTTTTGGAATACCACATGCATCCCCAGCTCTATGCCTGGGTCCCCACCTCTTCTTTCCGAAGCCCAAGCTCTTGGCACTTCCTCCTTTCTGCCCTTCAAGCAGCCTGCACCATCTCTGAGGCCAGCCCAGCCCCTGCCTTCCCCAGCACCCTCAGTCATCTTAGTCTGCTCTGATCCTCTTTCTCAGGACACTCCTGTAGCAACTTCTTTCTGAATCATCCACTAGACTCTTACAAGATTTGTCCTGGGTGATAATTTCAGGTTTCATGCATCTGTTTAAAAGAGTTGGCTGGGCGGCCGGGCGCGGTGGCTCACGCCTATCATCTCAGCACTGTGGGAGGCTGAGGCGGGCGGATCACGAGGTCAGGAGATCGAGATCATCCTGGCTAACACAGTGAAACCCTGTCTCTACTAAAAATACAAAAAATTAGCCAGGCGTGGTGGCGGGCGCCTGTAGTCCCAGCTACTAGGGAGGCTGAGGCAGGAGAATGGCGTGAACCCGGGAGGCAGAGCTTGCAGTGAGCTGAGATCACACCGCTGCACTCCAGCCTGGGCGACAGAGCGAGACTCCGTCTCAGAAAAAAAAAAAAAAAAAAGATTAGCTGAGCGTGGTGGCAGGTGCCTGTAATCCCAGCTACTCAGGAGGCTGAGGCAGGAGAATCGCCTGAACCCAGGAAGCGGAGGTTGCAGTGAGCTGAGACTGCGCCACTGCACTCCAGCCTGGTGAGAGTGAGACTCCGTCTAAAAAAAAAAAGATTAGCTGGGCATGATGGCGGGTGTGGGGAAAAGAGAGATCAGATTGTTACTGTGTCTATGTAGAAAGAAGTAGACATAGGAGACTCCATTTTGTTCTGTACTAAGAAAAATTCTTCTGCCTTGAGATGCTGTTAATCTCAATGTCAAACTCAGGGTTAAATGGATTAAGGGCGGTGCAAGATGTGCTTTGTTAAACAGATGCTTGAAGGCAGCATGCTCCTTAAGAGTCATCACCACTCCCTAATCTCAAGTACCCAGGGACACAAACACTGCGGAAGGCCACAGGGACCTCTGCCTAGGAAAGCCAGGTGTTGTCCAAGGTTTCTCCCCATGTGACAGTCTGAAATATGGCCTCGTGGGAAGGGAAAGACCTGACTGTCCCCCAGCCCGACACCCGTAAAGGGTCTGTGCTGAGGAGGATTAGTAAAAGAGGAAGGAACACCTTTCTGCAGTTGAGACAAGAGGAAGGTGGGCAATGGAATGTCTCGGTGTAAAACCCGATTGTATATTCCATCTACTGAGATAGGGGAAAACCGCCTTAGGGCTGGAGGTGGGACATGCGGGCAGCAATACTGCTCTGTAAGGCATTGAGATGTTTATGTGTATGCATATCTAAAGCACAGCACTTAATTCTTTACCTTGTTCATGATGCAGAGACCTTTGTTCACGTGTTTATCTGCTGACCTTCTCTCCACTATTATCCTATGACCCTGACACATCCCCCTCTCCGAGAAACACCCAAGAATGATCAATAAATACTAAGGGAACTCAGAGGCTGGCGGGATCCTCCGTATGCTGAACGCTGGTCCCCTTGAGAGGTGACAGCGTGCTGGCAGTCCTCACAGCCCTCGCTCACTCTGGGGGCCTCCTCTGCCTGGGCTCCCACTTTGGCGGCATTTGAGGAGCCCTTCAGCCCGCCGCTGCACTATGGGAGCCCCTTTCTGGGCTGGCCAAGGCCGGAGCCGGCTCCTTCAGCTTGCAGGGAGGTGTGGAGGGAGAGGCGCGAGCGGGAACCGGGGCTGTGAGCGGCGCTTGCGGGCCAGCTGGAGTTCCAGGTGGGCGTGGGCTTGGCGGGCCCCGCACTCAGAGCAGCCGGCCCGCCCTGCGGGCCCCGGGCAATGAGGGGCTTAGCACCCGGGCCGGCGGCTGCGGAGGGTGTACTGGGTCTCCCAGCAGTGCTGGCCCACCCGCGCTGCGCTCGATTTCTTACTGGGCCTTAGCTGCCTTCTCGCGGCGCAGGGCTCGGGACCTGCAGCCCACCATGCCTGAGCCTCCCACCCACTCCGTGGGCTCCTGTGCGGCCGAGCCTCCCCGATGAGCGCCGCCCCCTGCTCCACGGTGCCAAGTCCCATCAACCACCCAAGGGCTGAGGAGTGTGGGCGCAGGGCGCGGCACTGGCAGGTAGCTCCACCTGCAGCGCTGGTGCGGGATCCACTGGGTGAAGCCAGCTGGGGTCCTGAGTCTGGTGGGGATGTGGAGAACCTTTATGTCTAGCTCAGGGATTGTAAATACACCAATCGGTACTCTGTATCTGGCTCAAGGTTTGTAAACACACCAATCAGCACCCTGTGTCTAGCTCAGGATTTGTGAATGCACCAATTGACACTCTGTATCTAGCTGCTCTGGTGGGGCCTTGGAGAACCTTTGTGTCGATACTCTGTATCTAACTAATCTGGTGGGGAGGAGGAGAACCTTTGTGTCTAGCTCAGGGATTGTAAACGCACCAATCAGCGCCCTGTCAAAACAGACCACTGGGCTCTACCAATCAGCAGGACGTGGGTGGGGCCAGATAAGAGAATAAAAGCAGGCTGCGTGAGCCAGCAGTAGCAACCCGCTCGGGTCTCCTTTCACGTGGTGGAAGCTTTGTTCTTTCACGCTTTGGGTCTGCACTGCTTTTATGAGCAGTAACACTCACCACGAAGGTCTGCAGCTTCACTCCTGAAGCCAGTGAGACTATGAGCCCACTGGGAGAAACGAATAACTCCTAGACTTGCTGCCTTAAGAGCTGTAACACTCAACGCGAAGGTCTGCAGTTTCACTCCTTAAGCCAGCAAGACCACAAACCCACCAGAAGGAAGAAACTCCAAACACATCTGAACGTCAGAAAAAACAAACTTCAGACGCGCCACCTTAAGAGTTGTAACACTCACCTCACCGCGAGGGTCCGTGGCTTCATTCTTGAAGTCAGTGAGACCAAGGACCTACCAATTCCAGACACACCCTGGGCCCCCTTTTTTTCTTTCTCTACACTTTGTCTCTGTGTCTCTTTTCCAAGTCTCGTTCCACCTAATGAGAAGTGCCCACAGGTGTGGAGGAGCAACCCATCCCTTCAGGCAGGTGCCTGTAATCCCAGCTACTCAGGAGGCTGACGCAGGAGAATTGCCTAAACCCAGGAAGCGGAGGTTGCAGTGAGCTGAGATGGTGCTATTGCATTCCAGCCTGGGCGACACAGCAAGACTCCTTCCCCATAAATAAATACTCTCCAGCTAGATTACCAGCTCCTGTTGTACCCACAGTAGGTACCTTCCAGACACTTAATGTAGTAGGTCTGAAGAACTAACACTTGCATGGGTACATAAGATGTAACTAATGCTGTTCTAACTGCTGTATATAAACTCAATCCACAAACAACCCTTTGAGGTTGATAGTTTTACAAATGGGGAAGCCAAGTCACAGGCGGTTCATGCTCTTGTTAGGAAGCAGCAGAGCCGGGATGTAAACCCAGGTGGCCTGGTTCCAGAGCCCAGGTGCTAAGCTGCTGCTTCCTGTGGTAGGTAAATGTGGACTGGCACTACACTGCCGTTTTTGCCCTTTGACTGTAGAGGTGGGTGAAGGGGCTGCAGATGACTCCTCAGCAGTTGTGCCATCTTGAAGGTGCCTCCCTGCAAGGCGACTCTGAGTCTTAGGGCTGCTGACAGGTGGTGAGCCTGCAATTGGGTCCTGCCTTTGCTGGTGCTTGTCTGTTCCTCTGAGGCTCGCTTTCCACAGCTGCAGAGCGAGGATGATTACTGCTCTTTCTCCACCATGAGGGGTGGGGATGGGCGGGTATGTGCCCAGGCAGCCTGCCCCTGGCTCAGTGGTAGGCAATGCCAGCCCATGGGTAGCAGCTGCAGCTTCTCTTCACTCTGTGGCTGCTGGCTTCTGTTCTGGTTGGTGGTTCTGGCTTCAGGTGGAGGAGCAGGGACTCTGGGGGCTATGTATTTGTGGTATTTCCTGCGTAAGAGGGTAGAGAAGCTGTAGGCAATTAGCATGGGGCTTGAAATTAGAAGTCACAGGTGCAAGCCCTACTGCATACTTACCTGGGAGCAGAGATGACCTGAGCAAGTCTCTGCTTTTCTGAGACTCCATTTCGTTATCCACAAAATGGGCTTAGTAAAAACTCCTACTTTGCTGTTGTAAGAGAGTCAGATGAAATCCTGGATGTGTAAGTGCTTTGTAAACTATAAGGGTGCTTATAAACTTGATTTTCAATTTTAATCTCAGTACAGGAGTAGTGGACTTGGTTGTTATAAAATGCTAAATAGCCCCAAGGCTTGGAGTCTTGGAGAATGTTGGCAAGATGAGCATTTTCAGCTCTGTCTTCTGAGTGTCTTTGCCCAGCATGCTAGGTCCTGTTCACCCCACATTTACTGAGCACCTGAGTGCTAGGCTGTGGGAGGTGCCCAGGATAAGCCACGCCCTAGTTTTGCTCATGAGAAACTCACCTCCTAACTGGTGATATAGGATGTGGTGGACGCCAATCATTAGATGGTAACAAGGCGAGGAAGAGTTAGGGAAGTGAGGAGTTGCAGGGGTCCAGATATCTG
The DNA here is from genome assembly GCF_000001405.40 of Homo sapiens. Lineage (NCBI taxonomy): Eukaryota > Metazoa > Chordata > Mammalia > Primates > Hominidae > Homo > Homo sapiens. The sequence continues at coordinate 6,188,441 of NC_000012.12, read as the reverse complement.
AGAGCAGGACTGACCAGGCAGCCGTAGCAAGACACAGGTGGGGACAGGGCAGTGCTGGGGGCCACTGGGCTCAGCTCTATGCCTGCTTCCCATTTCCACACAGCTTAGCCTAAGCTGGTCCTGAGAAGGTTTTATTCATATCAAAGGGCAAACGAAGTTGCTGAATCTATCTTGCTGACAGTTTCTTTGTGTCTCATATAATGTTTGGCTGATGCTCCTGAAACTATAAGCACCCAGAGGCAGGGTCGCTGTCTCTCCCAGCTGTATCTGGGGTGGGTTGGACAAAGGTCCCCCTAGAGGGCCAGTGTGTGTGTGCACACGTGTCTGCATGTGTGTCTGTGTATAAGAGATGGGACTTTCGTCTGTAGGTTCAGGTAGATATGGGCAGGTAAAATACAGTGAAGGTAAGAAGCTGTCACTAATGTCTACCTGTGGCCTGTGGGAAGGGTTTAGAGAGAGGGAGAATATGGCCATGGAGTCACTGCCTAAAGACAAAGGAAGTCTGAACCTCATTGTGTGGCACGGGCCTTTGTAAACCAGCCTCTGCTGACGTCCAGCACCTGATTTCCCACTCTGGCACCTTATATGCTCTAGCTGGTTTTATTTGTTTATTTTTGAGACAGGGTCTCACTGTGTCACCTAGGCTGGAGTGCAGTGGTGAGATCATGGCTCACTGCAGCCTCGATCTCACAGACTCAAACGAGACTCCCATTTCAACCTCCCAAGTATCTGGGACTACAGGTGCACGCCACCACCCCCAGCCAATTTTTGTATATTTTGTAGAGATGGGGTTTTACCATGTTGCCCAGGCTGGTCTCCAACTCCTGGACTCAAGGGATCTGTCCGCCTTGGCCTCCTGAAGTGTTGGGATTGTAGGTGTGAGCCACTATGCCTGGCCTGCTCTAGCTTTTAACAGCTCTACTTCCCTAAATACCTCGAACTCTCTTTCTTTCCCTCCCTCCCTCCTTTCCTTCCTTCCTTCCTTCTTCTTCCTTTCTTCCTTTCTCTTTTCCTCTTTCTTTCCTTTCTTTCCTCTCCCTCTGTCACCCAGGCTGGAGTGCAGTGGCATGATCTCAGTTCACTGCAATCTCCACCTCTTGCCAACCCTCTTTCTTAATAAACTTTTAATTTTGGAATAATTTCAGTTTAAAAAAAGTTGCAAAGATAGTGCAGCTTCCTTCTAATGTTAACGTCTTATATAATCGTGGTATATTTGTCAAAACTGAGAAATCAACATTGGTACAATACTGTTAACTAGACTGCAGACTTTATTTAGATTTCATCAGTTTTTCCACTGATGTCCTTTTTCTGTTCCAGAATCCAATCCAAGTTTCCACATTGCATTTTGTATTTTGCATTTTTTTTTTTTTTGGACATAGAGTCTCGCTGTCGCCCAGGCTGGAGTGCACAGTGACACGATCTTGGCTCACTGCAACCTCTGCCTCCCAGGTTCAAGTGATTGTCCTGCCTCAGCCTCCTGAGTAGCTGGGATTACAGGCACCTGCCACCAGGCCTAGCTAGTTTTTGTATTTTTAGTAGAGACCGGTTTCACCATGTTCGTCAGGTTGGTCTCGAACTCCTGACCTCAGGCAATCTGCCCGCCTCAGCCTCCCAAAGTGCTGGGATTACAGGTGTGAGCCAATGCGCCCGCCCTGTATTTTGCATTTTTTTAAATTCTCTGGACTCACTGGGCTCATTTCCTATTTCTCTGTTTTTGACCCTGTCATTCTCTTTCTCTACAATAACTTTCTTGTTTCCAGCAAACTCCTATTCATCCTGCAGAACTCCTCTCTTAAATTAGGGATAATGTTGGGAACTTGGTAGGATTGGGGTTTTGGGATCTGGCTGTTAACAATATTAATTGACACTCCCTTTTCCATACCCAGGATCTCATTTGATGCTGCTTCGGTTTTTATTGTGCCCTTCTTTATGCAAATACAAGCAAACACTAATAGATGTTATTCGCCATTCCACCTCTCCCAGCCGTGGTTACTAGAGGGAATGTGTTTAGAGGTGGCTCTCACAGGACTGTGCAGGTGGCTGGTGGCAGAGCTAGAGTAGGACTTGGACCTCCCGACTTCCAGTTTAGCCAACCCCTCCCCCGTCCTGCACATTCTGCGCATCTCCATTTTTCCCGGTTGTCCAATCTGGGCACGCTTTGGTTTAACACCTGGGTCTAGGAGTGTGATATGGCTCTGATGGAGGGATGGTGGGTTTCCTGTGGCTCTCCCACCCTACCCACATAGAGTGACTGCAGCACTCTTGACTTTGGGGACTTTCCTCAGGGCTAAATTGTATCGCTGGCATTCCCACCACTTCCCCACCCACCTCCAAGCAGGCCAGGAAGCCAGAATGTCAGAGCCTAGACTCCCCAAGTCTGTTCACCACGTGTAGCTTTGGTGGGGCCTTCTGCCTCCCATCCGCTCCAGCCCAGAGCTCCACTGAGGCTTCCCCTCACCCACCACTTTTTGGGACCCCTTGGGAGCCTTATCTCCATGAAGCATTAGATTTTTATTTTAAATTTCATTTAAAAATAGATCATTTGTTTATATAACTGAAAAATAAAGATACAAGAGAGGGAAACGTGTTTCTCCTGGAAACTGTTAATCTGTAACAGAGATTTAGGAGTTCTGTCCACCAAGGGCAACGTGTGGGCCTGATTCTTGAATCCTGATGCAGACAGACCAGTTATTAAAAAAAAGGTTTTGTAGGCAGTTAGGGAAATTTAAATATGGACTAAGGACTAGATGATGTTAAGGAAATATTGTTAACTTTCTTACGTGTGATGATGGCATTGTGGTTATGTGTTTTTTGTTTTTGTTTTTTTTTCTCTCTGAGACGGAGTCTCGCTCTGTCGCCCAGGCTGGAGTGCAGTGGCGCGATCTCGGCACACTGCAAGCTCCGCCTCCCGGGTTCACGCCATTCTCCTGCCTCAGCCTCCCCAGTAGCTGGGACTACAGGCGCCCGCCACTACGCCCAGCTAATTTTTTTGTATTTTTAGTAGAGACAGGGTTTCACCGTGTTAGCCAGGATGGTCTCGATCTCCTGACCTCGTGATCCGCCCGCCTCGGCCCCCCAAAGTGCTGGGATTACAGGCATGAGCCACTGCGCCCGGCCATGGTTATGTTTCTGAGAAAACCGTATCTCTTAGAGATACACGCTGCAGTTTTTATGGGTAGAATGATATGATGTCTGGGATTTGCTTTAAATTGTTCAGTCCCCTTCCCAAAAAGTGGAGAGATAAAATGCAATAAGAATGCAAAATCGTTGATGCTGAGCGATGAGTATATGGGATTCATTATACTGTTCTCTCTACTTTTGCGTGTGTTTGAACACTTGCATAACGACAGCAAAAATCTCCATCCAGTCTTGTCCCCATCAGGCTAGCTCTTCCCCAATACTGGTTCCTTAATGTATCCTTCATTATGCAAATACTAGTATATATTGTTATTCTCCCCATTTAAGAATTTTTTAACACCAGAAGAAGCACCTTGCTACTGATTCGGCACCTTGCTCTTTTCTCTCTCTCTCTCTTTTTTTTTTTTTTTTTAGTAGAGTTTTGTTTGTTTGTTTTTAGTAGAGACGGGGTTTCACTGTGTTAACCAGGATGGTCTCGATCTCCTGACCTTGTGATCCACCCGCCTTGGCCTCCCAAAGTGCTGGGATTACAGGCGTGAGCCACCACACCCAGCCAATTTTTTTGTATTTTTAGTAGAGATGGGGTTTTGCCATGTTGGCCAGGCTGGTCTTGAACTCCTGACCTCAGGTGATCCGCCCGCCTCAGCCTTCCAAAGTGCTGAGATTACAGGTGTGAGCCACCGCGCCTGGCCTCTTTTCTCTCCTTTTTATATGGCTGGCAGGATAATGGCCCCCACAAAGGTGACCACACCTTAATCCCTGCCAGGTGTGCATGTTACCTTACTTGGCAAAAAGAACTTTGCAGATGTGATTAAGGACTTTGAGATGGGGAGAGTATCCTGAATTATCCAAGTGGGCTCAATCTAATCCTATGGATCCTTAAAGTCAGATAATCTTTCCTGGCTGTGGTCAGAGGGAACTGGGACAAAGGGTTAGAGAGACATGACAATGGTGGCTTTGCAGACAGAGGAGGGGCCAGGAGCCAAGGAATGCAGGCAGCCTCTAGAAGCTGGGAAAGGCAAGGAAAGGGATTCTCCCCTGCAGCCTCCAGAGGGGAACACAGCCCTGCCCACACTGAGATTTTAGCCCAGTGAGACCCACATGTCAGACTGCTGACCTCCAGAAGTGTGCAATAAATATGTGTTAAACTTGTGATAATATGCTATAGCAACAATAGAAAACAACGGCATGATATCTCGGAGAGATTTCCGTATCAGTGCAGAAATTGAAGCAGCATCAGTTCCTTATGGTTCTACACGGGGTCTGGAGTCCAACAGATCTGGGCTTGAGTCCAGGCTCTGCCACACACTAGTTATATAATTCTGGGCAAGTTACATCACCTCTCTGAGCCTGCCTCCTCATCTGTAAAAGGGGAATACTAAGAGCTCCTGCTTCATAGTGTTGTTCTAGGATTAAATCATACAGTGCATACAAAACACTTAGCCTGGCACATAGAGAATGCTCACGAAAGAACAGCTGGTAATATGAGTTACATAACTGTGATGATTACAACAAGGAGTGTTCCCTGAGTTCTCCTGGCCTCACTGTCCTCTCTTCTGACTCCTTGCAGACTGAGAACGCAGCACATAAATGAGCCCTTGGTTTCTGCGGTACACACCCTCTCTCGTCTTGTGTGCTTGGTTCCGTCTGTGTGCAGCCCTGTCTCCTAGACTGTGGTCAGCAGGACCCTGTTTCCAATGTCCTGGGGCTGGTCATTAGGATTGCACACCGCCCGAGGGGTTGCTCTATTAACAGACGGCTTCTGGGAGTGGCTGGACATCACTGTGCCCTCACTCTTTCCAAAGTTGAGGTTCCCTGCTTCCCACGCTAAAGGCACGTCATGGGTCCAGTGGACCCTGGCATCCTCCCACACAGCATTGATTCAGAGTGGTGGTGACCTTCAGAGTCCCTCCCAATGTCCCCAACAGCCAGCTTTTGCATGAGCTTACCCCTCCTGAGGCAGGCCACTCCACTCTTGTGCAGTCTGGTTATTGGAAAGTTTCCCTCCCTTCCCATAACCTTTGTCCATGTCCTGCCCTCTGAAGCCACATGGGATGAGTCTGCCACCCCTTCCTAGTAGCAGCCCTTTGGCCTTCCAGAGGAGACTTGCAGGGGCCTGTCCCAGCCCTGCCTCTTTGTGGCTGGGTGGCCCCAGGGTTACAAGAGTTTTTGGTTTGTTGGTTGGTTTGTTTTTGAGACAGAGTTTCACTCTTATTGACCAGGCTGGAGTGCAGTGGCGCAATCTCGGCTCACTGCAACCTCTGCCTTCCGGTTTCAAGCGATTCTCCTGCCTCAGCCTCCTGAGTAGCTGGGATTACAGGTGCCCACCATCACGTCCGGCTAATTTTTGTATTTTTAGTAGAGACAGGGTTTCATCATGTTGGCCAGGTTGGTCTTCAACTCCTGGCCTTGTGATCTGCCTGCCTTGGCCTCCCAAAGTGCTGGGATTACAGGCGTGATCCACCGCGCCCGGCCCATGAGTCTTTTTTGAACGCTGTTTTCACAATCTGCAAAAAGGGAAGGAAAACGCCTACCTGTCTGGATCATCATGGGAGCCCGGAGAAGGCATCCTGCACTTGTGAATGCCCCACACATGTTGCTTCCCTTCTCTCTGCTCCAGGCCACGCCCTCTGGATCCCTTAACTGCTCCTTATAGGGGAGGTTTGGAGGCTGCCCCAATGCTCTGTGCTGTTTCAGATATGCAGGAGGACCCACATCTGGCCTCACGAGATGGGCAGCCCGTGACCGCCTGGAGGCTTTTTCTGCTGCGAGTTGGGATGGCCTTCGCCCTCAGTCCTTCCCCCGCCCATCCTGGGGCCTCCCACCCAGGCCTGGCCTTCCCTCCTACTGTTCTGGTCACACTGCGCCTGGTTCAGCTGAAACCACACTCTTCCCACCACGCAAACCCCACAGATGCTAGCGCTCTTGCTGGGCACAGAAATACTGTGTTATTTTTAGTTCTGGACCTGGTCCAGCACACGGCACCCCTCCCTACGTAAACATGCCTGGATCTGCAAGTTGTTTTCCCAAATCCTTAGAGCCGCGAGAGCGCACTCACTCACGACAATTGCATGAGCTCTGCTCACATTTCTCCCCGCAGCCACCCTGTTGCCTCTGTGACTCGTGTGCCAGCCTGTACACACGTGTTTCTGCCACACTCTCTGAAGGGTCTCCCCAACTCCTCCTCCATCCCCTGTCCCCATCCCCTGTCCCTTCCTCCAGCGGAGGAACTGTCCCAGGAAAACCAAGCTGCGGGGAAGCTGGCAGAAGGAAGACATTATCTGCTTCTTGGCCTGTGAGGCCAGCTGGGGAAGATGTGTTTCTGCACCTCACAACACACACCCTGCCAGGCCAGCCTGCCTTCTGAGGCAAAAGCCGTTAACCTCTCTCAATTTAAACTTAAGATGAACAAGCAAACAAGCGACTCCTTCTGGGACAAAGAGTCTTCAACCAACCCAGACAGAAAACCAGGTTTCTCGACTGGGACCTGCTGGCTTCCCCATGCCCTGCAAAGCACCTCTGTCTCTCCAGGCCAGCTGGGTTCACGCGTCTTCCGCGTGAATTCACTGTCAAGATGGCTCCTTCCTGGGACTGCCCCACTTCTAATCCTGGACTAGACGTTCCTTGAGGGCATGGGATGTTTTGCTTTTATTCCCTCTTTTACCCCCAGTTTCTTGGGGGTAAAACCCAAACTCATTAAAGCCTAAAACCCAGTGTCTCCACCATATAGTGCACCTGCCACTGCCATTTCCCAACACACACACACACACACACACACACACACACACAGACACACAGACACATATATAGATACACACACACGTACAGACACACACACATAGAGACACATAGACACATCATACAGACACATGCACATACAGACACATACACATATAGATACACACACACACACATATAGGTACACACATACAGACACACACCCAGGAACATAGACACACACACAGACACACACACATAAAGACACACAGACATCATACAGACACATACACATACAGACACACACATACACACATAGATACACACAGACACACACATAAAGACACACAGACATCATACAGACACATACACATACAGACACACACATATAGATACACAGACACACACACATAAAGACACACAGACATCATACAGACACATACTCATACAGACACACACATATAGATACACACACACACACACACACACACACACACACACACACAGACCCTGGACTCGTGGGTGTTTCTTGGAAAGGATGGGGGCACTCCCGCTCTCGCCTGAGCCCTTGCTGCTTCCTCAGCCTGGATCCTCTCCCCCAGGATCCACATGGCTGGTTCTGTCCAATCCTTTGGGCCTCTGCTCCCAGGCACCCTTGTCAGAGGTGGCTCACGCAGCCCAGCCCACCGGGGCCTTCCCTATCCCCTCCCCTGCTGCTGTGCCTCCTTGGCCCTCATCGCCATCTGACAGTGTGCACTCGACTGTTGTGGCCTTTCGTCTGCCTCCTTCACTTGAATGGGAGCCTCCTGGGGCAGGGGCTGCTCCTTTTGCTGCTGTTGCATCTCCAGGCCTGCAGCCAGGCCTGCCCCGCAGTGGGTGTCAACACGCTCTGTGGAACGAGGGACGGAATGAGGGACGTGAGTGATCTGTGTGGATGGAGGAGTGACTTGCAATGGAAGCCTGCCAGCCAAGACAGCTGGGCCCCTGGGTAAGTGGGCACGGTCAGGGGAGGGTGGGGCATACGTGGCTGCCCATCAGCCAGGCAGGACACACCGAGTGGTGCCGGGAGGGCTGGTGTGCGGGGGCTCCCCAGGAGGCTGTGCCAGGCCCGGCCAGAGGTGAGGGTCCCTGGCTCATCGGCCTGAATTCCTGCCCTTCCTTTTCCTGTCCAGTGAGTCAGCCGGGCTGGGGAAGCACGCCAGGGAAGTGGCTCCTGTAGGGAGTACAGAGGGGTTAAGGGTCAACAAAACAAGAACTTGCTCATCACCCCTCCCATGCTGCCTGTCAGGGTGGCTTTTTCTGTTCCTCCCATCTCTGTCTCGGTCACGGCACACCTGTTGTGTTGTGTCCCCCCAGATTCCTATGTTGAGGTCCTCATCCCCGGTGCCTCAGAATGTGAACTTAGTTGGTGATAGGGTTGCTGCAGAGGGAATTAGTTAAATTAAAATGAGGTTGGACTAGAGGAGAGTGGGCCCCTAGCCCTCTATGATTGGGATCCTTTATAAAATAGTGCCATGTGAACATGGATGAAAACGGAAGGCATTGTGCTCAGTGAAATAAGCCAGTCACATCAGGACAAACTGTGTGATTCCATGAAGGAGCTGCCTAGAATAGTGAAATTCATAAACAGATGGTAGAATAGATGTGAGCAGGGGCTGGGAAATGGGGTATGGAGAGTCAGTGTTGAATGGATGTGGAGTTTCCGTTTGGGATGATGAGAAAGTTCTGGAGATGGAACGTGACACAACATTGTGGATACACTCAAGGCCACTGAACTACTTAAAAATGGTAACTTTTAACACACACGTGAATGCCATGTGTAGAGGGACACATACAAAGGGAAGCTGATTGAAGACAGGGAGAATGCCATCCACAAGCCAGGAATGCCAAAGACTGCAGCAAACCCCTAGATGCCAGCGGAGAGGCATGGGACGGACCCCCTCACAGTGCTCAGAAGGAGCCTGGAGGCTTCTGGCTTCCAGAGCTGTGAGACAGTACATTTCTGCTGTGTAAGCCCCCTAGTCTGTGGCATTCTGTTACTGCAGCCCCAGAAAATGAATACAATGCATCTCTGTGGCTCATTGGTGCCTCCTCTCCAGGCCCTCTGGTTTCTGGAATGCAGGGAAGAGTGGGGAGGGGCTGGCCTGTGACGCCTCTTTCTGCTTTTGCCTTTTTCCCTTCGTTTGTTCTTGGTTGCTCCTTCCCTCCATGGCCTCCTTTTCCTTCTGTCTTCCCTATAGCCTCGTCACACTTGTTATTACTTGCTCAATGTGTCTCTCCTGCTGGACTGGAAGTCCGGGAAGCCAGTCCTGGGCCCTTGGGAGCACTCAATACCTACGGGTAAATGAATGGATGGGGAAGGAAGGAGGAGGGAAGGAGTGGCTGGCCCTGGGGCCTGCTCAGAGACGTTTTGACAAATTGCCTGTTCTTGGAATAGCCAGGGGCAGTTGCAGCCTCTGACCAGCCTCTGACCAGGATGAGCAGTGTGGCGTCTCCTGGATGAGACGGCTCCCACTGCAGAAAGTCTGGCTGGGGCTGCTTCAGGCAACCCTGGTTCTGTGGGGTCAGGGCAGGCATTCTGGGGGATAAAGCCTTTTCCTCAGGTCCCCTGAGTCAAACCTGGTACCGTCCAGCAATAGAAAGGCCAAGGAGAAAGGTTCCCTTGTTGTATAAGGCAGAGCCTGGAACTGGATGGGGAGAGGAGAGTATGGAGTGAATATGGGGCACACATTCCTCTTTCTCTTTATTCCTGCCCCATGACGCTTCTCCATTGTGAGAGTGGGGGAAAAAAGGAATGGGAAACAAAGACACAAAAGTCTTCTCTTTTATTCATTGGTTGATTCAATAAATATTTATGGGCTGACTATGTGTCTAGTACCATTAGGCCGAGGATGGAGAGATGAATAGACCCAGTCTCAGACCTCAGGGAGCTTGCGGTACGGACAGGGAGACAGACAAGTGAACAGCCTTAGAACAAGGCCATGGCTGCTCCGATGAGGCCTGTGTAGACGGCTGTGGGAACAGAGGAGATACTCTAAGTGCAGAACTTGGTGAAGGCTGAATGAAGGAGATGCCATCAGAAAAAAGCCTTGAAGGGTGAATAGGAGGTTGACATGTGAAGAAGGGGAGAGGGTGGAATAGGGAAGGTGTGATACAAGCAGAGGGAATAGGGTCTGGCAAGGTGGGAAGTTGTGAGAGGGCTATGCAGGTCTGGGGGTAACTGTCACTTGGGCATGGGGATGGTGGGAGGCCACTAGCAGGAACCAAGGTCGTAGGGAGAGAGTGTGTCGGCTCATGCGTGCCTGGTATGCCATGCCGGAGAACCTGGGCTTGCTCCTGAGAGCATGGGGAGTGAATAGTGGCCTTAAGTGGGTGTGCTGGCTATTTAGTTTGCCCTGTCTCCCCTAGCCCCTCCATTCTCTATCCTCCTCTGACATCTCTACAGACTGCTCCAGCCAGGCTCCTTTGCCCACTGGTTGGCGGGCAGGAAGAGAAAGAGACAGGGATGTCTGTCTCCCACTGCCTTGTCCCATTTCTGACGGCAGCTGCCTTCCTCTGCGACCACAGCTCCTGTCGGGCTCCCCCTCCCCTGGCTCCAGGTGGCATTGACTCTGGTGATAGATACCAGGCAGGCGTAGGTGGTAAAGGCTTCAGCTGTGGCTGGTCCTTGGGTGCTTCACCACTTCTACCCCCATCACTGTAAATCATCCCTGATTTAAGCTCTCTTTAGAAAACCCCTTTGGGTGTTTCACTTCTCTCTGGAATCCTGCTTGATGCAGTAGGAGTATGGCTTAGTCAGCATTTGGTGGGGAAAATCATCCTGGTGATGGTGGAGACTGGAGCTGGGGAGAGATGGAGGCAGCAATGCTAGCAAAGACACTGTTAAAAGTGCAGGTCAGGGCTGGGCACGGTGGCTCACACCTGTAACCCCAGCACTTTGGGAGGCCGAGGCAGGCGGATCCTGAGGTCAGGAGTTCAAGACCAGCCTGGCCAACATAGTGAAACCTTGTCTCTACTGAAAATACAAAAAAAAACAAAGTGCGGGTCAGGGCTGGTGGGCCGTCATCGAGGCAGTGGCAGTCGGGCTGGAGAGCAGGGTCAGAGCTGGGAGGAGTTCTGAATTAGAGCTGTAGAGCTCTGGTGATTTATTGGGTAGATGGGGGAGTGAGCGGTAGGGGAAGATGAATCCCTTCGATCGTAAAAGACCGATGGTATCGGTCCACAATTGCTACATAACTAACCATAAAATCTGATATTTCCAATTCAAACTCAAGACTATGAAGTTCTTACTTAACCTCTTCTATCTCACACCTGTGTCCCCTTTGTCTCATGTCAAGAATTTCAGTCTTAAGTACCCTAAGGATGATAGAACATACGCAGGCCTTTGCTTTATCCCGCAGTACATACTCGGCAGTTCCGGAATGACAATACCAGCATTATCTTCAATGATATGATCATTGAAAACACTTACAATTTTCCCCATGTCTTCTCTTCCTTGAGATAGAATGCACTAGGGATGTACAGTTGAATTTTGTACTTTCAAGTCACTTGGAGTACTGCTTCTCTAGTCACCAAGAAGATTACAGTTAAGTTTATTTGTTTTATTTTTAATTTCAGAGCTTGCTTTTTATTATTTTACTTTTTTTTTTTTTAGACAAAGTCTTGCTCAATTCCTCAGGTTGCAGTAGAATGGCATGAACAGGACTCACTGCAGCCTCGACATCCTGGGCTCAAGTGATCCTCCTGCCTCAGCTTCCTGTGTAGCTGGTACCACAGGTGAGTGCCACCACATCTGGCTAATTTTTTTTTTTGAGATGGAGTCTCGCTCTGTCGCCCGGGCTGGAGTGCAGTGGCGTGATCTTGGCTCACTGCAAGCTCCGCCTCCTGGGTTCACGCCATTCTCCTGTCTCAGCCTCCCTAGTAGCTGGGACTACAGGCGCCCACCACCACGCCTGGCTATTTTTTGTTGTTGTTGTTGTATTTTTAGTAGAAACGGGGTTTCACCGTGTTAGCCAGGATGGTCTTGATCTCCTGACCTCGTGATCCACCCGCCTCGGCCTCCCAAAGTGCTGGGATTACAGGCATGAGCCACCGCGCCCGGCCACACCTGGCTAATTTTTAAAATTTTTGTAGAGATGGGGTCTCAGTATGTTGCCCAGGCTGGTCTTGAACTCCTGGGCTCAATCCTCCCGCCTTGGCCTCCCAAAGTGCTGGGATTACAAGTGTGAGCCCCCACACTTGGCCCCGAGCTTGTTTCTTAAAAAAAACCTATAAGATACTTAATGATTCCAGAGTGAAATCTACAAAATGAAGTATTAATGCATTGATTAAAATATTAGCTTCTGTCTTGGTGTCTCTTCTCCCTTGCTTCCTTCATCTCCTTCAATTTAGTTTATGGTTTATTATTTTATTATCTGTTTTATGAAATGTAAGATATCTATCTATATCTATATCTATATCTATTTTTTTTTTTTTGAGATAGAGTCTCGCTTTGTTGCCCAGGCTGGAGTGCAGTGTCTCGCTCTGTTGCCCAGGCTGGAGTGCAGTGGCGCGATCTCGGCTTACTGCAAGCTCCGCCTCCCGGACTGACACCATTCTCCTGCCTCAGCCTCCCGAGCAGCTGGGACTACAGGCGCCCACCACCATGCCCGGCTAATTTTTTGTATTTTTAGTAGAGACCGGGTTTCACTATGTTAGCCAGGATGGGTCTCGATCTCCTGACCTTGTGATCCGCCCGTCTCAGCCTCCCAAAGTGCTGGGATTACAGGTATGAGCCACTGTGCCCAGCCCATATCTATATATTTTTTACCCCTCTTTTCGTGGATAAGTGGAAACATTTTGCACACATCTTTCTCCATCTTGCTTTTTTCACGTAGGGATGAAGGCAGCCCTCATTTCTCTACTTCTTTATTCAGTTGCGTGGTATTCTACTGCTTAGTTGATTTAACAGTTCCTTACCAATGGATATTTGGGTTATTTCCTGTCTTTTGCTATTACAAACCTGTTCATATGTTTTTCTGTTTTTTAATACACAGTATCTATGGGATAAATGCCCAGATAAATTCTGAATCAATGGTTAAATGCATATATAATTTTGCTACACATTGCCAAATTCCTGTAATGGTTATACCATTTTGTATTTCCTCTAGCAACATATGAAAGGGCTAATCTCCCTGTAGCCAAAAGAGTATAGTGTCAAACTTTTAGATTTTTGACAATCTAAAAGTTATCTTAGTGTAGTTTTTTTTTTTTTTTTTTTGAGACGGACTCTCATGTCTCGCACTGTCACCCAGGCTGGAGTGCAGTGGCGGGATCTCAGCTCACTGCAGCCACCACCTCCCAGGTTCATGCCATTCTCCTGCCTCAGCCTCCTGAGTAGCTGAGATTACAGGCACCTGCCACCATGCCTGGCTGGGTTTTTTTTGTATTTTTAGTAGAGATGGGGTTTCACCGTGTTGGTCAGGCTGGTCTTGAGCTCCTGACCTCGTGATCTGCCCGCCTTGGCCTCCCAAAGTACTGGGATTATAGCCGTGAGCCACCGCGCCTGGCCATCTTAGTGTAGTTTTAATTTTTCATTTCTTGTATTATGAGCAAGGTTGAACATTTTTTTCATAAAATTGAGAGCAGTTGTTCATTTTGCCAGCCCATTTATTTCTACAGGGTTACTGGTTCTTTTCTTTTTTTTGAGACAGAGTCTCACCCTGTCACCCAGGCTGGAGTGCAGTGGTGTGATCTCAGCTCACTGCAACCTCTGCCTCCGAGGTTCAAGCAATTCTCCTGCTTCAGCCTCCTGAGTAGCTGGGATTACAGGCACACACCACCATGCTGGCCAATTTTTGTATTTTTAGTAGAGATGGCGTTTCACCATGTTGGTCAGGCTGCTCTCGAACTCTTGACCTCAAGTGATCTGCCTGCCTCAACTTCCCAAAGTGCTGATATTACAGGCGTGAGCCACTGTGCTTGGCCTCTTTATTTTTAAAAGTCCTTTAATATTTGGGACAATGACCCATTCTCTATGAACTTGGTTGCAACTGTTTTCTCCATTATTTTCTTTTTCTACTTTGTGTATGGTATCTTTGGCTATATTACATATATATATATATGTAATTAAATTTATTTACGTTTTCTCACAGAGAAATTTACCTATCCTTTCTTTTTGTTGTTGGTTTTTAAAACTCAAACAACATGGGTTGAATACCCATCCTTTCTTCTAACACTTGTATCATTTCATTTTTTTATATTTAGATTCATGATCCATTTGGAACTTATTCTGGTATATGGTGTGAGGAATGGATCAAATTTTGCATTTTTTTCCATATGGCTGTCCAGGCATCTGGCTCTTATAGTTGCCTTCTGAGGTTGTGGTGTATATACTAATAAGGTGAAATTATCCAATGAGAGCAGGTTCAGGGAATCACAGACAAAGCCACTGAATCCACTTGAGGCAGATTACAGTGTTTAATTCATTTTTACATATTTTATTACCTTTTCTTACAGGTAGCCTACTTAGTTTTTATTCATTTTGCTGATAAATCAATTGGTAAATGAAAATAAATTTATTAACCAACTACTACGCATTGTTGCAGTGGATGGCTACACATGTGCATAGTTGGGCCATTTAGCATCTGTTCACCCTCTGGGTAAAAGAGTACCCAAATTTCCCTTAATAACCTATCTGGTCCCACCCTCCGCCCTTGTGGTTTAGGGGGATTGATCTAGCACTGTGAGTTGGCCTCAATTAACCAAAGCCATATTCCGCCTTCACAGTAACAGTAAGGGGTTCCTGGAGGGGCTTGGGCTTCTACTGGAACCCAGGGGACTGGAGCTGAGCCTTCTGAGAGGGAGGCAGGGTTCTTCCCCGTGGACTTGAACCTGGAAGCATTGAAGCCGGAACCACTATCTCCATTCTGTCATCACCTGTGGGCTGAGAAGATCTCAGCTCCAGGAGACCATGAAAGCTGAGCGGAGAACAGGAGAGAAATCAGGTCTTTGTTGTGTATGAACCCCAGACAGGATGCGCAGATGGTGGTCCAGCCTGATGCTGGGCTTCTCAGCTAAAAACCCAATACTTGGTTTCTATGTCTTTGTACTTGCAGCTGAGAGGGCCCTAAATGAAACAGTAGTCATCATTAGGTTTTCCTGATGTCCTAGTGTTTTAGGGACGATGCCTCAGGTAGAAAGTGTAGTGGGATGCCAGCAGAATATCATTTCTCCCAGGTAGCCTAGCTCCTTCCATCGGAGGTCCTCGTTTGTGAAACAGCGTCAATAACACTGCCTATCATTTTGAAGAAAAAGTGAGAGAAGGTGTATTAGTCTGTTCTCATGCTGCTATAAAGACACACCTGAGACTGGGTAATTTACAAAGAAGACAGTTTTAATTGAGTCACAGCTCTGCCTGGTTGGGGAGGCCCTCAGGAAACTTACAATCATGGCGGAAGGCGAAGGGAAAGCAAGCACCTTCTTCACAAGGAGGCAGGAAAGAGAGTGTGAGGGGGGAATTGCAAAACACTTTAAACCATCAGATCTTGTGAGAACTCCTTCACTGTCACAAGAACATGTGGGAAACCGCCCCCATAATCCAATCACCTCCCATCAGGTCCCTCCCTCAACACGTGGGGATTACAATTCAAGATGAGATTTGAGTGGGCACACAGAGCCAAACCATATCAGAAGTAAAGGTGAACTGTAAAGAGATCTTCAAATTTTAGTGACTGTCATTATATGATAGGCTCCTTGAGGGCAGGGACAGTGGGCTTTTGTGTGTGTACCCCTGAGGTGGCTAAAGTGTCTCACACAAAGCAGGTGCAGTGCTTCAGTTTGAATCAAATTGAATGCTTCTCATGCTTATTCTTTCCATAGACAGCTAAAGAAAACAGAGTCACAGAGAGATGAGAGATGAAGCCACTGGCCAGGAGCACACTCAGGGATTCTGTCCCCTGCCTCAGGCTGAGTCCCGCAGTCAAACTCTGTCCCTCTGTGAGGCTGAAAGACATGGGAGGAGGAGGCTCGTCCAAGGGCCAGCTTTGTCACTCACCTGCTGGGTGACTTTGAGCAAATCCCTTCCTCCCTCTGGAACTTCAGGAATCACTTCCTTGTCATTCACACAGGGTCAATCTTCACCTTATAAGTACCCGCGGGTTCTATATACCGTCATTTGAAGAGTAGAACATGCCTTGCAAGTGTGTTTGCTGCATCACACGGGTAGAGGCCAAGCTGCAGGCTGCCTTGCAGGCCTGCTTAGACGCTCCTGTGGGTAACCAGGGGCGGTGATTCAGGGCGTACCAAGTACCTGCGTCAACGTGATTCGCTTTGATTTTCCCAGGCCGTGAGATACTTCAGACAGACACAATTTCTCCCAGCGACAGGGGAGGAAGCCGAGGCCTTGAGAAGGTGAGTGACTTACTCAAGGCCATCCGGCTCATTAGAGAAGGAGGCAGAACTCACACCCGTGTTTTATGACTTCCAGTTCAGGCCCATCACAGACCTCCATCCATCTGCAGGAAAGCAAGCGGCCCTCAGGGACTTGCTCATGGAGAATGCTCCATATATGCCGAGGGGATGGGCTCCGAGGAAGCCAGATTGTCCCAGGGCAATGCTGGCCTGGCCACTCTGGATGGCCGTACTGGGGCCCAGCTGGCGGGGGCACTGGAGGCCCGTGTTACCCTGCACTCTGTTTGTGGGGTGGTATGCCCAGCATTCCTGGCAAAGGTTGCGATGCCTCAGCAGGGTTGGGTGAGCAGCTGTCTGGGGCGGCGAGGGGAAGCGGACAGGCACGCCGTCTGTTTTGCTGGGCCGTGCGTGGCTTTTCCGGGCATTGTGCTCACCAGCGTGCCCCGGTCATGAACACTGAGACCAGGATGTCTTTGTAGCGATCACAGCAACACCCTGTACTTCCCCAACATTCCAAGGAGGCCCCAGGCATGGCACTTACAGGAGGTATCCCAGACGCCGCCTTCCTCCTCCTCCTCCTCAACTCCATCCTCCCCAGGAGGAGGCAGCCATCTTCATGGCGTGATGTGTGGGACCTGGAGGGCATCCGGCCAACAGAGCTCTCCCGTAAGGCAGTCCTCCTCCCACAGGTTCTTATCTCTGAGCCATGTGTTCTTAACCCCTATATTCTGACTTGGACACTGCACTAAGAGTTTTAATTACGTTCTTGATAGTTCTGTGACATAAATGCTATTGTTATCACCTGCCCCCCCTCCCCCCCCCCCCATTAATATAAAGGAGACGGAAGCTTTGAGGGGTCTATATCAGCAGTAAGTGGCAGAGTCAGGACTCAAACCTCACGGGCCAGAGGCTGGCATCTGTGCTTCTTTTTTTTTTTTTTTGATATGGAGTCTTGCTCTGTCACCCAGACTGGAGTGCAGTGGCGTGATCTCGGCTCACTGCAAGCTCCGCCTCCCGGGTTCACGCCATTCTCCTGCCTCAGCCTTCCGAGTAGCTGGGACTACAGGCGCCCGCCACCACGCCCGGCTAATTTTTTGTATTTTTAGTAGAGACGGGGTTTGCACCGTGTTAGCCAGGATGGTCTCGATCTCCTGACCTCGTGATCCGCCCGCCTTGGCCTCCCAAAGTGCTGGGATTACAGGTGTGAGCCACCACGCCTGGCCGTGTCTGTGCTTTTGACTTCGCTGCTGCACTGCCCTGTTATGTAAACCTGGTGGGTTGTGCTTTGGAGATGGGTAGGGATGGAACACAGCCATTCATTCAAGAGTATTTTCTAAAATAATAACTTTCTTACTTTAGAACAATTTTAGAGTTATAGAATTATAGTGCAGGGAATTCCTGTATACCCTGTGCCCAGTGTCCCTATTATTATTAATTTTTTAAATGTTTTCCTTTTTTTTTGGAGATGGTCTCGCTCTGTCACCCAGGCTAGAGTGCAATGGCTTGATCTCTGCTAACTGCAACTTCCTTCTCTTGGGTTCAAGCGATTCTCCCACCTCAGCCTCCCAAGTAGCTGGGATTACAGGCACCTGCCATCATGCCCAGCTAATTTTCGTATTTTTAGTAGAGACGGGGTTTCACCATGTTGGCCAGGCTGGTCTTGAACTCCTGACCTCAGGTGATCTGCCTGCCTCGGCCTCCCAAAGTGCTGGGATTACAGGCGTGAGCCACTGCGCCCAGCTCTATTTTTCTATTTCTTTTTCATCCCTTTTCACCATTCCTAATGTCCCCTGTCATTAACATCTTACATTAGTGTGGTACATATGTCACTGTTAATGAACTAATATTATTAACTAAAGTGCACACTTTATTCAGCTTTCTTTTTTTTTTAACCTATTGCCCCCATTCTGTCCCAGGATCCCACCAGGATTCTATATTACATTTAGTCATCATGTCTCTGTAGGCTCCTCTTGGCTGTGACAGTTTCACAGACTTCCCTTGTTTTTGGTGATCTGGACTATTTTGAGAGGTGCTGGTCAGGATTTTGCAGAATGTCCTTTAACTGGGATGTGTCTCATGTTTTCCTCTTGAGTAGACTGGCGTTTGGGTTTTGGAGAGGGAGACCACAGAGGTAAGTGTCATTCTCATCCCATGATATCAAGGGCACTATCAACGTGACTTATGGCTGTTGGTGTTCACCTTGGTCACCTGTTTCTTTAGTGTAAAGCTATTCTTTTCTTTGCTCCCTTTCCATGATGTTCTGAAGAATCATTTTTTGAGCACCAAAAGAAGAAACTGGTGGCGGGGCGCAGTGGCTCACACCTGTAATCCCAGCACTTTGGGAGGCCGAGGCGGGCGGATCACCTGAGATCAGGCATTCGAGACCAACCTGGCCAACATGGTGAAACCCCATCTCTACTAAAAATACAAAAATTAGCCGGGCATGGTGGTGCATGCCTGAAATCCCAGCTACTCAGGAGGTTGAGGAGGGAGAATTGCTTGAACCTGGGGGGCGGAGGTTGCAGTCAGCCGAGATTGCACCACTGCCCTCCAGCCTGGGTGACAGTGAGACTCCATCTCAAAAAAAAAAAAAAAAAAAAAAAGAAGAAGAAGAAGAAGAAACTGGCAACTCTGGCAACTCTCCTAAGAGGGAGGAAGAGAGGAGAAAGGACAGGGCAGGGCGGTGACAAGTGTCCTGGAACGGAAAAAGAAAAAAGAAGAAAAAAATTGCACCTGTGTAGGAGGAGATGCTGGTGGCCCTTGGAGTGCCCATGTGAGAGAAGAGCCAGTTCCAGGATTCCAGTGAGAGCAGCCAGCTCAGCGTGGCTCAGCAGCGGGGGACAGCCGTCTAGGAATCCCTGCGGAGCACCCCAGAGAAGGAGCTTCACCTCGGGACCTGGGTCTCATTTTCAGGGACTTCATCTCCCTGAAAAGCAATGCTGCATCAGACACAGAGACGCCCCGACAGAACGGAAAACAATATGCACTGTTCAACATGAAACTCCCATTCATCTCACTGCTGCATGACTTTGCCTAAGAGTTCAGGATAAAGTAATGTTTGCAAATACATCCTGAAATTGCTTTTGTGGGTTAGCATCATTAGATTGCATTATGCTTTGGGATTAAAAGCGTTAACTTTGCCATGTAGCTATTTCAAATAGATCACAAGCTCTTTTTTTTTTTTTTTTGATGATCACCACTATACTAACGAGGATCAAATAGACCACAAGTTCTGCAACCCTGTTTAGATGTTTCTTCATTTCATAAAGTATAGGTACCAAGAATCTCAGTACCTCCTCCTCTCCCCCCAGACTTTCTCTTGTTATTCTGGGATCAAAGGGGCCTCATGTCCCCTCTGAGGGACCTTACCCCTATCAAGCAGGCTGGCAAGCGGGAGAACGGAGGCCTGAGAAGCTGCAACACAGCTACACTGAACTCCCCAGCCAAGCCATGTGCTTGCATCTGCCCGTCTACTCCAGAGTGTGAGCCAAACATCTGAGACTGTGAGAATTCGGAGAGCTGACCCCAGACGTTGGTTCCAGTGTTGGGAGGAACCTGGGAAAATCAAGGGATGCTTTGGTCCTGTCATTGTGACTGACAAGCAATTAGAGGTGAATATCTGTGAATATTTGGGGGTTTAGAATGTACCTGTTGAAATGAAATGCCCCTGGGATATGAAATAACTTTAGCTGTTGGCATCTAAGACAACAGAGGCAGCTGGACGTGGTGACTCACGCCTGTAATCCCAGCACTTTGGGAGGCCGAGGCGGGTGGATCACCTGAGATCACGAGTTTGAGACCAGCCTGACCAACATGGTGAAACCCCATCTCTACTAAATACAAAAAATTAGCCGGGCGTAGTGGCGCATGCCTGTAATTCCAGCTACTTGGGAGGCTGAGGCAGGAGAATTGCTTGAATCCGGGAGGCGGAGGTTACAGTGAGCCAAGATTGCACCATTGCACTCCAGCCTGGGCAACAAGAGTGAAACTCCATCTCCCCCCCCACCCCGCAAAAAAAGACAACAGAGGCGTTCAATCAGTCGGCCGCGGTGAGCAATGTCCCGTGAGAATGGGGCCCAAGACAGAAGTCTAGGAAAGGGTGTATGTGGGCGAGGTAGACACAGATAGGGGCTGTGGACGGAAGGACTCTAGGACCTGCTTGCAGTCTGTCATGAGTCTTTGGACTATTTATAGCTGGTGACCTCAGATGAGTCACCCCCATGATTCAGTTTCCCCATTTCTCTGAGATATGGAGACAGCAGCTGGTCAGGAAGGGACCCTTTCCCTCCTCTCCGCCTCTCCACCGCCACCACTGCCGTCACCGGCACCCATGTTCTGCCCACACAGTAGCCCAGGATGCCAAGGGCTAAAGGCTTGACATAGACGACACCTAATGTAATCTCACAGCCCTGGGACACAGCTCTTGTTATTGCCTCCACTTTGCAGAAGGGAAAAGTGAGCCTTATAGAGGCTGAATAACATGCCTGATGTCTACACTGGGGATGGGTGGATGTGGGCTGGTGTTCGGGCCACCCTGACTCACACTTGGTTGGCCAGGGCTTCCACTGCTAAATCCATCTGGGTCAGGGGCTGGCAACATTTTCTTCATCAGGTAAATATTCTAGGCTTTGTGGGGCATATGATCTCTCTTCCTCTCACCCCAGATTTTCTCCTGTTACTCAACACTTTAAAAATGTAAAAACCATTCTTAGCTAGTGAGCTGCACATAGGAGTCTGCTGGCTGGATTTGGCCTGAAGGCCAGAGTTTAGTCACCTCTGATAACAGGAAAGCAAAAAATGCAAATTGCTGTGGGCTGTCATATCTCCCCAGATTTCAGAGGCGTTCTAAAACTCACTCAAAGAATCCTGGGCCCTGGAGGGTGGCAGGGCTACCTGTGCGGCCCAGGTGGATGTTAGTTTTACTGAGGACCTACTGGGGTGTGGGCACCACGGTGTCTCTCCCATGGCCACTATTCCTACGGGCAGTTACTGCCCCTCACACTTGTCCCTCTGTGTCCTACCCTCTGTGGGGGCTCACTGGGGGCCCAGCTTCTCCACCCTGTCACCATCCTGGCCTCACTTTCCTTTCTCCTGGGACTTCGGTTCTTGGTCAAGTGAGGCTGGACAGGCCCAGCTGTGGCCCCTGGCTGAGCTGCAGAGGAAGCTGAGAGGACCTGCTATCAGCTCCTTTTGGCCAGGCTGCCTCAGTGGCCAGCGTGGGGTGGGAGATGCTGAGGCAGAAATGGGGGAGAAGAGGTGGGAGCTCTGCAGCCGGAGGGAGGAGTTCCGTGGCCTGGGCAGGAAGCTGGGAAACCTCTGTTTCTTTCTTTCTTTGTTTTGTTTTTTTTTTTGAGACGGAGTCTCGCTCTATTGCCCAGGCTGGAGTGCAGTGGCACGATCTCAGCTCACTTCAAGCTCCGCCTCCCGAGTTCATGCCATTCTCCTGCCTCAGCCTCCCAAGTAGCTGGGACTACAGGCACCCGCCACCACGCCTGGCCAATTTTTTGTATTTTTTAGTAGAGACAGGGTTTCACTGTGTTAGCTGGGATGGTCTTGATTTCCTGACCTCGTGATCCACCTGCCTCGGCCTCCCAAAGTGCTGGGATTACAGGCGTGAGCCACCACGCTCGGCCACCTCTCTGTTTCTAAGGCTCCTCAGAGTTAAGGAGGTTTGTGAAAGGAGTAAACACAGGAATTCTGCTTGTGTGTGGGGCCTGCCTGTGCGTGTGTATCACATACAACCCATGCCTGTGTTCCTGTGGAGAGGGAGCATGGAAGGGGCCCGTGTTCTAGGCAATGCACAAAATAGTTAAACCAGGTCTGAAACTGGGATCAAGTCCCAACACCACCACTGACCAACCATGGGAACCAGGTCCAGGTCTTTAACCTCTTGGACACTCACTTTCCTCATCTGTAAAATGGAAATAGCAATATCTCAGCAGATTGCTGTAAAGCTTACAAAGTAACACGATTTATCGAATGCTTCCTACTGGGCAGGCACTATTCTAGGGGCTTTCTATATTCAGTTGATCCTCATCACTCATACATTCTGTATTTAAAGATTTGTCTACTCTGGCCGGGTGTGGTGGCTCATGCCTGTAATCCCAGAACTTTGGGAGGCCGAGGTGGGTGGATCACGAGGTCAGGAGATCAAGACTACCCTGGCTAACATGGTGAAACCCCGTCTCTACTAAAAATACAAAAAAAATTAGCCGGGCGTGTTGGCGGGCGCCTGTAGTCCCAGCTACTCGGGAGGCTGAGGCAGGAGAATGGTGTGAACATGGGAGGTGGAGCTTGCAGTGAGCCGAGATAGCACCGCTGCACTCCAGCCTGGGCAACTGAGCAAGACTCCATCTCAAAAAAATAAAAATAAAAAAATAAAAATTTGTCTACTCCATACAATTTACTTGTATTGCCAAAATCAATACTCACAGTGCTTGCATGGCCATCCATGAACACAGAGCAGAGAAAAATTTGGCAGGATGTGCACATTCCCAGCAGAGGGTGAACAAGGTGACAGTCTGCCTTCTTGTTTCAGCTCATACCACAAGCAAGTGTCCTTTTCAAGGTCTACTTGGTACCATGTGTTTTGCATTTTTCTGCTGCGTGTTGGTGATTCCACTGTTTAAAATGGTCCCAGCATCATGCTGAAGTGCTGTCCAGAGTTCCTAAGTGAGAGAAAGCTGTGATGTGTCATGTGGAGAAAATATGTCTAGTAGTTAAGCTTCGTGCAGGCATGAGTTATAGTGCTGTTGGCTATGAGTTCAATGTGAATTATTCAGCAATATATATTGAATAAGGTGTCGTTAGACAGAAACACACATAAGAAAAAGTTATGCATTGATTTGTTGATGAAAATGTGACCAGAGGCTCACAGGAACCTCCCCTTGTATCTCCCCTAGGAGCACTGGTTTGGCATTCACTAATTCAGTGTTTGCAGTGACTCCATAAAACACAGCCACTATGAATAATGAGAATTGACTGTATTGGCCAGGCACAGTAGCTCACACCTGTAATCCCAGCACTTTGGGAGGCCAAGGTAAGCAGATCACTTGAGGTCAGGAGTTTCAGACCAGCCTGGCCAACATGGTGAAACCCTGTCTCTACTAAAAATACAAAAAATTAGCTGGGTGTGGTGGTGGGCACCTGTAATCCCAGCTACTCGGGAGGTCGCAGTGAGCCGAGATTGCACCACTGCCCTCCAGCCTGGGCAACAAGAGCAAAAGTCCGTCTCCAAAAAAAAAAAAAAAAAAAAAAGAAGAAGAAGAAGAAGAAGAAAAGAAGACAAGAATTTACTGTATTAACTCATCTTTTGAAAATTTTATTTACTTATTTTTATTTTTTATTGTTTTGAGACAGAGTCTCGCTCTGTTGCTAGGCTGGAGTGCAGTGGTGCGATCTGGGCTTACTGCAACCTCTGCCTCCCGGGTTCAAGCGATTCTCCTGCCTCAGCCTTCTGAGTAGCTGGGACTACAGGCGCCTGCCACCACACTTGGCTCATTTTTTGTATTTTTAGTAGAGACGGGGTTTCACCATGTTGGCCAGGATGGTCTCGAACTCCAGACCTCGTGATCCACCCGCCTCGGCCTCTCAAAGTGCTGGGATTACAGGCGTGAGCCCATGCCCGGCCTATTTATTTACTTTGAGACAGAGTCTCACTATGTCACCCACGCTTGAGTGCAGTGGCACGATCTCAGCTCTTTGCAACCTCCGTCTCTCAGGTTCAAGCGATTCTCCTGCCTCAGCCTCCAGAGTAGCTGGGCCTACAGGCGCATGCCACCATGCCCGGCTAATTTTTTATATTTTAGTAGAGACAGGGTTTCACTGTGTTAGCCAGGATGGTCTTGATCTCCTGACCTCGTGATCTGCCCGCCTCAGCCTCCCAAAGAAAATTTTATTTTTAATTAATTAATTATTATTATTATTTTGGGTGGAAACAGAGTCTTGATATGTTGCACAGGCTGATCTCGAACTGGACTCAAGCAGTCCTCCCGTCTCGGCCTACCAAAGTGCTGGGATTACAGGCATGAGCCACCATACCCGGCCGTATTAACTCATCTATTCACCACAACCACCATACTGGGTGGGTGCTCCGCTGTCATTATTGTCTAGATTTTACTGAGGCACTGAGGCACAGAGAAGCTGCCTAATTTGTCTGAGGCCATATGGATGGCAGAGCTGGGATCAACGCCAGGCAGTGGGGCCTCGAGGGTCCCCTAGCTACTCCTGAATTAGACAGGGCAACACGCAGAAAGCCTGAGGGCAGCCCCCTCTGTGTCATGCACATTCATCAAGGCTCTGCCACTCGGGGGCCCCATGGCCGTGGGATTAGACAGTCTCTGAAGTTCCTTCCACTTGGATATTCTAAGGCCCTGCAATTTCTGCCCGCTCTCCCAAGCTGCTGTGCACTTAGGAGTGGGCTGCAGCCTACTCCTACTCCTCCTACTCCAGGAGTGGTCTGCAGGCCTGCAGTGGGGAGCTGCAGCTACAGGACTGGAAATTGGGATGGATGAGCTGTGGGTATGGCAGGGAGGCTGTTGAGGTGGATGATGCCAAGGGCTCAGGAGGACCTTTGATGTCACCTCTTTTGGTTGTGCTGGTGTGCTTCGAGCTGGGGGTGGCTGGGAGGGGAAGGTTTGCTTCTTCTTTTTTGTACATGTGGAACTGAAGCTCAGAGAGCTTTCTCAACACAACAGGACACTATGGGACCCACCAGGAACAGATTCACCAGGGATGATATTAAAAATATTAAACAGGCCGGGCACAGTGGCTCATGCCTGTAATCTCAGCACTTTGGGAGGCTGAAGCGGGAGGATCACGAGGGCAGGAGATTGAGACCATCCTGGCTAACACGGTGAAACCCCGTCTCTACTAAAAATATAAAAAATTAGCTGGGCATGGCGGTGGGCGCCTGTAGTCCCAGCTACTCAGGAGGCTGAGGCAGGAGAATGGCGTGAACCTGGGAGGCGGAGTTTGCAGGAAGCTGAGATAGCACCACTGCACTCCAGCCCGGGCGACAGAGGGAGACTCTGTCTCAAAAAAAAAAAAAAAAAATTAAACATTGGTGTGGCACAGACACAAGCTGATCATCACAGATGCAGTTTTGGACATGGAGGCTGTCTGTACGGGGGGATGTTGGCTGAGTCAGGCCTGGTCCCAGGCCTGGTCCTGGCTGCTCTGCCCTGTGCCTTTCCCTCCATATCACGCTGATTTGCAGGGTTGGAGCAGATTTTTCTGTGTCTGTGAGAGTGATGGGATTGTGCTCTATCAAGTCACACCTATCTTTAGCTGCTGTCTTTCCTGAAAGCTTCTGGTGGTGGTGGTATAAGTGGTAGAAATCCACTCACCCTCACATTCACAATAACCCCATTACTCCCTGCTAGTGAGGGGTGAGAGCAAATATTCTGGAGAGAAGGTCTGAGTTCAAATCCCAGCATTCATCAGCCTGTGGCCCTGTGCTAATCGCCTCACCTTGCTAAACCCTGCTTTTCTTATGGGTAAAATTGAATTAAACTACCTACCTCATGGCATATTGTGAAGACCAAGTACAATTATGTGGGTGACAATGCTTTATATGCTGGAAAAGTCTGTGCGTAAAATGAAGGGGATTAACCCATTTATGCCGGATGTTGCAATTTTTTTGAATTGCAGACGTGTGAAAAATCAGACCTTGGCAATGACATAGAGCAGTGGGATATAAATAACTCCCGCATGCTTAGCGTTCCAATAATGGAACACTAGGCATAAAATTAAGCTGGGCTCCATCCTGAGAGGCTCACACAGGGAGTAGGAACCTAACACTAAGGTCAAATGCAACTGCGTTGGACATCCCTGTGCCAGAGCAGCTAGCAGTCTCCCTAATTTTTTTTTTTTTCTGGACAGGTTCTCACTCTGTCATTCAGGCTGCAATGCAGTAGTGTGATCTCGGCTCACTGTAGCCTTGACCTTCCAGGCTCAAAGTGATCCTCTCACCTCAGCCTCTCTAGTAGCTGGGACTATGGGCACATGCTACCACACCCAGCTATTTATTTTTTATTTTTTGTAGTGACGGGGTCTTACTATGTTGCCCAGGCTGGTTTTGAGATCCTGGACTCCAGTGATCCTCTCTCCTTAGCTTCCCAAACTGCTGGGATTACAGGTGTTAGCCACCATGACTGGCCCCAAATTCGCCTTTCCTTCTACCATAGTCATTGATTTAGTTGAAGACATGACTCCCCAGAATAAAATCTCTATTTCCCAGGCTCCTTTACACCCAGGGTAGCCACAGGGACAAGTTCTGGCCAATAGGATGTGAGTAGAAGGGGCGGAGGCAACCTCTGGGCATGTCCTTAAGCGGCAGGGGCCTCCCTCCTTCATTCCCCGGACCCGCAGCTCCATCCCCGCACGCCCCTGACCCAGCTTCCTCCTTCTGGCCGTCCAGAGGGCAGATGTGGTGATGGGCTGTCTGAGCCCATGAGATGAGGCCAGCCTCCCAGGGTGGAACAGCTGGGGCTGGCTCTCTGCCCTGTGGAGCTGCTGAGCAGCCCTGGACTACTTACGTTCAGAGAATTCCATGAGGGAGAAATGCATCCTAGCTCATTTCCTCCCGGGTGTTTGGGGCTGTTGCAGCAGTCAAGTTCATAGCCTGACCATGTGATAGTGAATCCCACAGTGACCTATGTTACTTCTCAACCAGCAGGTTACTAACGTGCTGCTTTTGTTCAAGGATGGGAGTTGAAGCTGGGAAGTGTGGAGGGGAGGTGGGTGCAAGAATTCCCTTGAGAAGGGTCAGGAAGTCATCACTCGTCAGATTAGTCCCACAGACTTCGTGGGGGAGGCAGGACTTTAGGAATGTTCACAGTGTAGATATTCCTTCTTCCCCTACCGGTTCCCCCATGTCGTCTTTTTGTCCTTGCTCCCCTCCTCTCTCCCTGATCATCGTCCTGGCCCGGCACCCACTCCACATTCCTGAGGATATGGTGAGGAAGAACGAGACCCATTTTTGCCTTGCAGGCTGGTTATGATACAGACTCAGGCCTCTCAGGTCCAAAACCTGGGCCATCCTCCACCCTTCTCTCTCTCCCACCCCATGTAGACTTCGTCAGCAGATCCTGCCAGAGCTATTTCAAAATATGACCGGATCACCCCTTTCCATCCCTCCTCTCCTGCTCTAAGCCCCCATCATCTTTGGCCTAAACTTTGCTTTAGCCCCCTAATGACTCTCCATGCTTCCACCCTCATCCCCACCCCCGCTAACGCAGTCTGTTCCCAACAGAGCACCCAGAACGATTTCCTTAGAACGTAAATCAGACCATGTCACTTTTCTGCGCAATTTTCCAGTGGTCCCCATCTCTCTCAGAGGACACTCCAAATTCTTTTCGTGGCCCCCAGGGCCCTAACTGATGCTCCCACCTTGCCCCTCAGCATTTCACTTGGGTGTGCCTAGAGCACAGCAGGCGTGTTCCTGCCTCACGGTGCTGGCGTGCAGCCCTCTTTGTCTAGATTCTCCATGGCTTGTCTGTCACACTGTGTCTGGAATTGGTGGGTTCTTGGTCTCACTGACTAAGAATGAAGCCGCGGACCCTCGCGGTGAGTGCTACAGTTCTTAAAGGCGGCGTGTCTGGAGTTTGTTCCTTCTGATGTTAAGATGTGTTCGGAGTTTCTTCCTTCTGGTGGGTTCGTGGTCTCACTGGCTCAGGACTGAAGCTACAGACCTTCGTGGTGAGTGTTACAAGCTCTTAAAGCGGCGTGTCTGGAGTTGTTCATTCCTCCTGGTGGGCTCATGGTCTCTGTGGGCTTAGGAGGGAAGCTGCAGATCTTCGCAGTGAGCGTTACAGCTCATAAAAGCAGCGTGCACCCAAAGAGAGAAAGAACAAAACTTCCACATTGGGGAAGCCAACTCCAGCGGGTTGCCACTGCTGGCTCGGGCAGCCTGCTTTTATTCTCTTATCTGCCCCCACCCACATCCTGCTGATTGGTAGAGCCGAGTGGCCTGTTTTGACGGGGTGCTGATTGGTGCGTTTACAATCCCTGAGCTAGACCCAAAGGTTCTCCTCCTCCCCACCAGATTAGCTAGATACAGAGTGTCCACACAAGGTTCTCCAAGGCCCCACCAGAGCAGCTAGATACAGAGTGTCCATTGGTGCATTCACAAACCCTGAGCTAGACACAGGGTGCTGATTGGTGTGTTTACAAACCTTGAGCTAGATACAGAGTGCCGATTGGTGTATTTACAATCCTGAGCTAGACATAAAGGTTCTCCAAGGTCCCACCAGAGTCAGGAGCCCAGCTGGTTTCACCCAGTGGATCCCGCACCTGGGCTGCAGGTGGAGCTGCCTGCCAGTCCCGCGCTGTGTGCCCGCACTCCTCAGCCCTTGGGTGGTCGATGGGACTAGGTGCCAGTGGAGCAGCGGGCGGTGCTCGTCGGGGAGGGTCCGGCCGCACAGGAGCCCACGGAAGAGGGGGGTCTCAGGCATGGCGGGCTGCAGGTCCTGAGCCCTGCCCCGCGGGGAGGCAGCTAAGACCCGGCGAGAAATCGAGCGCAGCGCCGGTGGGCCGGCACTGCTTAGGGACCCAGTACACCCTCCGCAGCTGCAGGCCCAGGTGTAAGCCCCTCGTTGCCCGGGGCCGGCAGGGCTGGCCGGCTGCTCCGAGTGCAGGGCCCGCCAAGCCCACGCCCACCCTGAACTCCAGCTGGCCCGCAAGCTCTGCGCGCAGCCCCGGTTCCCGCTCGCGCCACTCCCTCCACACCTCCCTGCAAGCTGAAGGAGCCGGCTCCGGCCTTCGCCGGCCCAGAAAGGGGCTCCCACAGTGCAGCGGTGGGCTGAAGGCCTCAAGTGCCGCCAAAGTGGGAGCCCAGGCAGAGGAGGCGCCGAGAGCGAGCAAGGGCTGTGAGGACTGCCAGCACGCTGTCACCTCTCAATATCAGGTCTCTTCTCAAGTGGCACCTGTCGCAGAGGCCCTCCGGGGCTATTCTGCATAAATACCACCCACTCTTGTCACTTGCTGTCCCCCTTACATTACTTTATTCTCTTGCTAGCCCTTATCACCATCTGATTTATATTTGCTTTCTTGTTTTTTGGCTTTTTCCCTCCATTAAGTGTAAGCTCTTTGTGTGTCTTGTCTGGCAATCTGTACCTCCACTTTCGACAGCAATGCCAGCAAGCACACAGCCGGGGCTCAGTAGACGCTTATAGGACGCTGAGTGGCGTGTGCTGGATGTGCTGCTGTGCAGAGCCCAGAAGCCAAGCTGCCCCTGCATGGCGTTCAGAGGAGGGATGGCTGGACCTGATACTCGGAGAGTGACGGGGAGGGAGTGCTTGGCCTGGGTCTGCTCAGATGGCCGCCGGGCCAGCCAGGCCATTGCTCTGACCTCAGTTCTGGAGAGTTCGGATTGGTGGCAAGGGAAAGGGCAGGAGCTGAGGAATGGATGGTTCCATTAATCATGGAACTTTGCCCAGAGGGGTCAGAGGAGTAAGGCAGGGGATAGAGGGAGAGATAGCATTAGACAGAAGGTTCTGGTGGCAGGGGAGGGGCTGGGGGGGAGAAAAGGGATCGGGGTGTGGGTTCTGGCTCAGCCTTTTCCAGACTTTGTGGCTGCTGCTGCAGTCCCAGAGTCTACTGGGGCCCCGCTGTCTGCTTCCTGGCCTGGCTGTTTGTTTATTTGGCCAGTAGTTTGGGCAGCCGTGGGCCTCTCTTGCTGACCTCCAGGGGAGGAGTTAAGTACATACTGCCTCTCAGGTGCAGCAACTAAAACCGTACAGGAAATGTTGAGGTGCCAGTCAGCAAGAGGGCCAGTCCTGGGCTTCCCCTGCCAGGGCCCCCTAGGAGCAGATACCCACCCCCACTCTTTCTCATCCCCAGCTCCTGTGGGAGTGAAGTGGGCTTCCTGTGCTTTCCAACGGAAACTTTACTTGGTTCTCTTCACAGCCAGCATTGATTCATTCTCTTAGTTGGCAAATACTTGTTAAGTACTCCATGCTACCAACGAGCTAGGAATACAGACAATCTTGGTGTAGAAAAATTCATCTTTAATGTTCATAGCCTTCCTGGTCAGCACCCATTCCTCCTCTCACTCATAGAACCTTTCCCCACATTGGGGAGAGGCTGGTTAATGGATACAAAGTTACAGCTGGCTAAGCTGAGGGGAATAAGCATTAGTGTCCTGTACCACTGTAGGGTGAAAGTAGTTAACAATAGTTTCAAGTATAGTTTCAAAAAGCTGCAAGGTAGGATTTTAAGTGTTCCCAGCACAAAGAAGTGATCGGTGTTCAAGATGTTAGATATGCTAATTACCCTGATTTGATCAATATACATCATATGCATGTATCAGAATACCACTTTGAATCCCATAAAAAATGGACAATTATCGTCAACAAAAAATAAAAGGGAAAAAACACCAAATATCTTTCCCCACATCAATTTCGTGTCCTAGGCTGGTGCTGTGTGCCTGGGAGCAGTGGTGTGTTGATCAATGTTTAACAAGTGACTCTTTGGAAGAAAAGCCATGATCTGTAGTGTCTGCCAATTTCTGTGGTGTAACTATTTCCAGCGTGTCAGATTCCATGCCACCCATGTGATGTTACTCAATGGAAAACTGGGAAGACTTCACAGTAACACACCATTATGTGTCATTTCCATCACACAGATACAGACATTGGTATGTATAACCTCAAGGGTATAGATAATAGTAAAATATAAAATAATTAGGAAGTATGAGTTTTGAGTCGTTATCTCTGTCTTAAATGTAACTTGTTTTACGATGATTATATATACTTTAGTATTTAATAATGAATGTATTTAACAACAGAGCCACAAAATTCCTGAAAATGTAAAAACTGGCTCTGCAAGCCAGGATCACTGCCTGTGAGCTTGTTGGAAATGCAGATTCTTAGGCCCCACCAGCTCTACTGAATCAGGATCTGAATTTTAACATTTTTAACAATACCCTCAGGTAATCCATATACATTATACATTTAAAAAGCATGCCCTAGGGGAAATAACTGTTTATTATTTCATTGATATCTTTTCAGAACTTTTCCACAACACAGATGTGTGTATTTTTAAAAATTTTGTTTTTAACAAAAATAAGATCACGCTGTAAATGTTTTGCAAGGTTTTGTTTTGTTTTCAACTTAGTAACATGTCTGATATCCTTCCATGTCAGTCTGTAGAGATCGCGTTATTTTTAATGTCTCTGTAGTATTTTAGGACATGAGTAAATCATGATAAAAAAAAATCATCTCTTGCTGGGCACAGTAGCTCATGCTTGTAATCCCAGCACTTTGGGAGGTTGAGATGGGTGGATCAATTGAGACAAGGAGTTTGAGACCAGCCTGTGTGACATATCAAAACCCTGTCTCTACAAAAAATACAAAAAAATAGTTGGGTGAGGTGGCTTGTGCCTGTAGTCGCAGCTGCTTGGGAGGCTTAGGGGGGAGGATCGCTTGAGTCTGAGGAGGTCTAGGCTGCCGTGAACCGTGATACTGCCACTACACTCCAGCCTGGGTGACAGTGAGACCCTGTCTCCTCCCCGCTCAAAAAACCTTCTCTGAACAAACACATATTGTTTTCCCCTTTTGCTTCAAGAAACTTTATAATTAAAAAGAAAGTTTCCTTGAACTGTCTTTGAATTTCCTTAACAAAATATACCTCAAAAAAACTTCTGAAAGCTAATTTATACCAAAGGGTTAGTGGCTGGCAATAATAGTTTTACAGCGTTTTCCTTCTTCCCCAGATTTAAACAGTTTACATTTTATCAATATTGAGATATTTTATGCATAATATTCTGAATAAGCTGCTAGGGAATAAAAAGAAGTTAGACGGGCTGGGCGTGGTGGCTCAGGCTTGTAATCTCAGCACTTCCGGAGGCTGAGGCGGGTGGATCACCTGAGGTCAGGAGTTCAAGACCAGCCTTGCCAACATGGCGAAACTCTAGTCTCTACTAAAAATGCAAAAAAATTAGCCAGGCGTGGTGGTGGGCGCCTGTAATCCCAGCTACTCGGGATGCTGAGGCAGGAGAATCGCTTGAACCCGGGAGGCGGAGGTTGCAGTGAGCCGAGATCGAGCCACTGCACTGCAGCTGGGTGATGAGCGAAACTCCGTCTCAAAAAAAAAAAAAAAAAAAGAAGTTAGACATGGGCCTGACTTTCACACGCTGACAGCCCTCCAAAGGGAATGCAATAATCATGAAATGAGGCAAATAATCATAAAATGAGGCACGACATATAGATACAGAACTGTTCCCAGCATCTGTAGTGCCATAAGAACATCGGAGAAGGGAGGGTAGAAAAACCTAAACTAGACACTGGGTGCTACCGATGACATTAGAGAAATTGATGGATAAGTGGGAAGGTGTCTGTCCTGTCCTCAAACCGCAGCAGGCAGCCTTAGGCTAAGGGCTGGTGGATGTAGGATAGGATAAAAAGAGAGCCCCAAGGGCAGTATTTCTACAGGGTGAACCTGGTACCCTTTTCTTCACAACCACCCTAAAGGGAAATTTTTCCCCCCACCCTTTTTTTTTTTTTTTTTTTGAGACGGAATCTCGCTCTTGTCACCAGGCTGGAGTGCAGTGGTGCGATCTAGGTTCACTGCAACCTCCGCCTCCCAGGTTCAAGCGATTCTCCTGCCTCAGCCTCCCGAGTAGCTGGCATTACAGGCGTGCGCCCACCACGCCCAGCTAATTTTTGTATTTTTAGTAGAGACGGAGTTTCACCAGGTTGGCCAGGATGGTCTCGATCTCTTGACCTAGTGATCCGCCCGCCTCAGCCTCCCAAAGTGTGGGAATTACAGGCATGAGCCACAGCACCCGGCCCCCACCCTTTTTTTCTCTAGCCCTAACATCTGGTTCCTTAATCTTCAGGAACCCTGATCCGCAAAGATGATAGCAGTTCTGCTTGGTTCCTGTCTGAGCCTGGATCTGGATCTGGGAGGTGCTGGCGGGGTCCTGTTCTTCCGCTCTGGTGGGAATCTGATTGTGATCAGCATTGGGCCGCATGCCAGAGACGGCTGCAGTCCTGTGCCTGGCCTGGCCGGCCTCGGTGCTACCCGCCACCCCTCACGTCTTCCCTTCTGGCTCCTTGTACGTCACTGGTCAGTCCGCGAACCCTGACTCTCCATCAGTGAGCTGTGTGGCACTGGGCAAGCCTCTGCCCTTCTCTACTTCCCAGGGTACAGAGTGAGCTTCCACCTTTTGGCTTGATTCTCCTTCACATCTTGCCCACCCAGGCTTCTGACCGAATCTAGCAGCTCAAGTCAAATTCAGCTGGAAATTGGCTGCTGAAGAAGCTGTCTTTCACCCTCTATAACTGAGGACTTACTGTTCCTAACTGTTGCTAAGTGGGGGCTGTTTTCTTTGAGGGAGTTTTTTCTTCTTTAGCAATTTTATATATAAAATAACAAATGCAAAGTATGTATTATGAGACATGCTAACAAAATGAACATCTGTGAACCCACTACCCCATCTAAGAATTAGAACATTATCAACAGGGTTGTATGTGCCTATGTGTTCTTTCCTGTTCTGTATGCCTGTCTCCCTTGAAGAGATAGCTATTACCCTGAGTTTTGGTGTTTGTTATTTCCTTGCTTTAAAAAAGTAGCTTCATCGGCCGGGCGTGATCCCAGCGCTTTGGGAGGCTGAGGCGGGTGGATCACCTGAGGTCAGGAGTTTGAGACCAGCCTGACCAACATGGTGAAACCCCATCTCTACTAAAAATACAAAATTAGCTGGGTGTGGTGGCATGCGCCTGTAATCCCAGCTACTGAGGAGGCTGAGGCAGGAGAATCACCTGAACCCGGGAGGCGGAGTTTGCAGTGAGCCAAGATCACGCCATTGTATTCTAGCCTGGGCGACAAGAGTGAAACTCTGTCTCAAAAAAAAAAAAAAAAAAAAGCTTCATCACATATGTTTGTATCTACAAACTTTACTTGTTTACTTTTGCTTGTTTTTGAGCTTTGTAAAAATGGTGTCATATTGTATATAGTTTTTTTTTGGTTGTGATAAACGGTAATGCTGTGAGTATTCTTGCATAAATCTCTGTATGCAGCAGTTCCCATGCACCAGCGTTTCTTCTAGAGAAGTGCAATCGATGAATTCTAGGGCATGTAAATGCTCAAGTTCACAGATTGTTTTGCCAATTTCCAATCCCACCAGCAGTATATGTAAGAGTATATGCTAGAATAATCATCGTTTATTGAACAGCCCAACTTTTTCCAATTGACCTACAATTGATCTCTGTTATCTAAAAAATTTCTATATATCTGTGGGTCTGCTTTTTGGCTTTTAACCTAATTCATTGATCAAGTTGTCTAAACCTGCACTAATATTATTCAGTCTAAAATGCTATGGATTTATAAGAAGTCCTGATGTTGGGTAAGTCCTGCCATCTCACTGTTTTCCTTGAAGAGTAAATTGACTATTTCTGGCCCATTGCATTTTGGCCTGTTGCATATATCAGAATCAACTTGTAATTTTGATTGGCATTGTATTGAGTCTATATCTCAGTTTGGACAGTGCTGACATTGTTGTGATATTGAGTCTAAATATCCATGGTATAACTCTCATATTAGTTAGGTTTTAATTAATGCCTTCTAATAAATATTGTATTTTTTCTTATGTATCCTGAGCATCTTTTTTTTTAGATCTGTTATTATGTAACTTATAGTTTTGTTGTGTGTTACATGAGTTTTTTTTACAATTTTTTACAATTATATTTCTGTTGCTGGTATATAGAAATGTAGTGGATTTTCAAATATTCATCTTATATCTGATGTTGCCAAAATGTCTACTGATTTCCAATATTTTATGTGTAGATTCTTTTGGGACAATGATATTGTATGTCATTAATGAGAGTTGTTTAGTTCTGGTCTTTTTTTTTTTTTTGAGACGGAGTCTCTGGAGTGCAGTGGTGTGATCTCGGCTCACTGCAAGCTCTGCCTCCTGGGTTCACAGCATTCTCCTGCCTCAGCCTCCTGAGTAGCTGGGGCTACAGGCGCCTGCCACCACGCCCAGCTAATTTTTTTTGTATTTTTAGTAGAGACAGGGTTTCACCGTGTTAGCCAGGATGGTCTTGATCTCCTGCCCTCATGATCCGCCCGCCTCAGCCTCCCAAAGTGCTGGGATTATAGGCATGAGCCACCGCGCCCGGCCCTAGTTCTGATCTTTATGATTTTCATTTATTTTTCTTCTCTTGTTTCATTGCCCAGAATTTCCAATGTAGCTTGAATGGAAGTGGCAAGAGTTGGCATCTTTGTCTTTTTTTTTATTTTTAAGGGAACTGATCTTCTATTTCTTACATTTCCTTATTAGAATGATGAGTCACACGTTTTGTTAATTAGGTTAATTTTTTTTTTTAATTCCTAGTTTACTAAGAGTTTTTATGATGAATAAGTAAATCTGGCAAATGCTTTTTCTGCAGCTATGGAGATGCCTATATTTTTACCCCTTAATTTGTTAATGTAGTATATGATTATGATACAATTTTAAATGTGAAAACCACCCTAAATTTCTGGAATAAATAAAACTTGGTCATAACGCACTCTCTTTTTTAATAAAACGGTTGGATTCACTTGCGAGTATTTTGTTTAGGACTTTTGCACCTATGTTCATGAGTAAGTTTTGCCAGGGATTTTCTTTTTCTTATACTGCTCATGTCTGGTTTTGGAGTCAAAATTGTATTGGAGACATCATCTGAATTAAAGCTAATTTTCTTTGTGGCAGAGTCCACTGATGGTTCTCTAATGGTTATTCTGGCCTTCTAACTTTTAACAACAAAACCCCAGTTTTTAGCTGGATACAAAACTGAAGATTATATTTCCCAGCCTCCCTCATAGGTAGATATGGCCATGTGATTAAGTTTTGACCAGTATCCCTTCATCAGCACCATCGTCAGTCAATTCTTTGTAGTTTTGAGTCCTGAGATTTACGATTCCAGCTTTGAGAAATAGGTCTTTGAGGGCATTTGTTTCTAATAGTGATTAATTTCATTAAAACTAAAAACATAGGCAGGGCGGGGTGGCTCACGCCTGTAATCCCAGCACTTTGGATTGCTGAGGAGGGCAGATCACGAGGTCAGGAGTTCGAGACCAGCATGGCCAACATGGTGAAACCCCATCTTTACTAAAGAAAAAAAATTAGCTGGACATGGTGGCGGGCACCTGTAATCCCAGCTACTTGGGAGGCTGAGGCAGGAGAATTCCTTGAACCTGGGAGGTGGAGATTGTAGTGAGCTGAGATTGCACCATATCGCTCCAGCCTGGGCCACGGGACGAGACTCCATCTCAAACAAACAAACAAAACTAAAAACATGATCTAGTAACTAGATTTCTTGATTTTTTAATACATCAGGGTAAAACAGAAATACCTTCATTGCTTCTTGACCTATATTTGAAGCTTCTGTAGATACCTTCACATAGTAGGAAGTCTAGCAGTTCTCAAGGCCCTACACCAGCCATTATATGCATGAAAGAAGATCAACTGTGAAAAATTTTTGGCTTTTAAAAATGTATTTACCAGGCGTGGTGGCTCACGTCTGTAATCCCAGCACTTTAGGAGGCTGAGGTGGGTGGATCATGAGGTCAGGATATCAAGATCATCCTGGCTAACACGGTGAAACCCCATCTCTACTAAAAATACAAAAAATTAGCCGGGCGTGGTGGCGAGCGCCTGTAGTCCCAGCTACTCGGGAGGCTGAGGCAGGAGAATGGTGTGAACCCGGGAGGCGGAGCTTGCAGTGAGCCAAGATCACGCCACTGCACTCCAGCCTGGGCGACAGAGCGAAACTCCGTCTCAAAAAAAAAATGTTTTTAAAGGTTTCTTCAATTATCAGAAAGTTTGCACCTATGTATTAGTTCATAATAGGAACTAATATGACTTTCATATTAAACTGATAATATTCTGCATTTTATATGCATTATAGCAGAATAGACTGAATTTTACATTTTTCATGATGATTTCTTCTTTGACCATGAATTGGAAATATATTTAGAAGTTTCTAGCCATATGGGAATAAAACATAATTATATTTTGTTATTTGCTTCTAATTAAATGTATTATGCAGGGAAACACATTGATACTGATTCTTTGAAATCTGTTGAGAATTGCTTTGTGGTTTAGTACTTAGGCAGTTTTTTTTTGTTTATTTTTGTTTTGTTTTGTTTTGTTTTAGACAGTCTCACTCTGTCGCCCAGGATGGAGTGCAGTGGCGTGATCTCGGCTCACTGCAAGCTCCACCTCCTGGGTTCATGCCATTCTCCTGCCTCAGCCTTCTGAGTAGCTGGGACTACAGTCGCCTGTCACCATGCCCGGCTAATTTTTTTGTATTTTTAGTAGAGACGGGGTTTCACCGCGTTAGCCAGGATGGTCTCGATCTCCTGACCTCGTGATCCACCTGCCTTGGCCTCCCAAAGTGCTGGGATTAGAGGCGTGAGCCACCGCGCCCGGCCTGGTCAGTTTTTATATATGTTCCAAATGTGTCATCCCTAATTGCTGGGTAGAGAATTCTATCTATGCCCAATAAATCAAGCTGATTAATTGTATTGTGCAAATTTTCTGTCTTTTCTAATTTTTTGTCTCTTTGATCTAACAGTA
This sequence comes from Homo sapiens, assembly GCF_000001405.40. NCBI lineage: Eukaryota > Metazoa > Chordata > Mammalia > Primates > Hominidae > Homo > Homo sapiens. The sequence goes on along the minus strand of NC_000012.12, from coordinate 6,150,631 downwards.
ACGGAGAGAGGTGTGTTGACATCTCCCACTATGATGGCAAATATGGCAACTTCTCCCTGGGTTCTTTTAATTTTTATAATTTATATATTTTAAACCTATTTTATTAAGCTTATTTTTTAGTTTTATAATCATATCTTCTTATTTTACTAGGTTTATAATAATCTTAGTAGATTGTATTTTTTGTCATTATTTAATGTCATTCTCTAGCCATAATAATGCTTTATTTCCCCAAAGTCTATTTTGTCCCATATTACTAACAACTACTCCAGCTTTGCTTCAAACACTTTCATGTCCTTATATTTTAGGTATGTCGTTTATAAACGTCATGGAATTATGTGGTATCCACCTTTCAAGATAGCCCTCCAGTGAATCTTATTTCACCAGTCCCACCCTTGTGTAGTCTGATGTTGAGTAGGGCTGACTTGTATAACCAATAGGATATTGTGGAAATAAGACTCCTGAGGCCAGATCATAAAAAAACCTTGTATCTTTCATTTTTCTCTCTCTTGGACTCTTGCTCTGGGAAAATCTGGTCACCCAGTGCAGCAGGGAATCCAGGCCTCCTGCCAGCTACAGCACCAGCTGGGCAGCACCGTGCATGAGCCGTCTTGGAAGTGGATCTTCCAGTCCCAGTCGTGCTGGCGCCTTTGGCTGACTGGGCCTTAGCCAACCTCTGCGGGATCCTGAAGCCGAACCACTGAGGAAGCCAACCAATTGCAGAGGAATATTCTTCAGCTTCTACAAAGAATCCGGCCTCTTATTTTTCTTGAAACTTACAGCTGTCTTGGTGTGTCTTATTTTTTTCCCCTCTTGATAGAGAAGTGCTACAAAGAAATGTTTTTGTACTTCAATAAAAAGACGAAGTAAGTAAAAAGATAAATGACAACTGGTTTGGACCTCATGTTGGAGATGTGATAGGGTGTAGAAGGGACTGGAAACTGGAGAGAACATGCCCATCCCAAGAGAGAAGACCCGCCTTTCCAACAACTTCCAGTCTTCCAAGTGAAGCTGGAAATCCACATTTAAAAACACAGATAAGAATTACACACACACGACTGGATGCGGTGGCTCACGCCTGTAATCCCAGCACTTTGGGAGGCCGAAGTGGGCGGATCACGAGGTCAGGAGATCTAGACCATCCTGGCTAACACGGTGAAACCCCGTCTCCCCTAAACAAAATACAAAAAATTAGCCGGGCATGGTGGCGGGCGCCTGTAGTCGTAGCTACTTGGGAGGCTGAGGCAGGAGAATGGCAGGAACCCAGAAGGCGGAGCTTGCAGTGAGCCGAGATCTCGCCACTACACTCCAGCCTGGGCGACAGTGTGAGACTCCGTCTCAAAAAAAAAAAAAAAAAAAAAAAAATTACAAACCACACACACCCTGGCTACTTTGGGTAAAAGAGTGCCAGAGAGGGTCAGTCACTTTCTCAAGATGGAGGAGGAAGCAGATAGAGCCTCAGACCTCCAGGACTCTATCTGAGACTTTTTTTTTTCTTTTTTCTTTTTTGAGATGGAGTCTTGCTCTGCCGCGCAGGCTAGAGTGCAATGGCGCAATCTCCACTCACTGCAACCTCCGCCTCCTGGGTTCAAGCAGTTCTTCTGCCTCAGCCTCCTGAGTAGCTGGGATTACAGACGCCAGCCACCACGCCCAGCTAATTTTCGTATTTTTAGTAGAGACAGGGTTTCACCATGTTGGCCGGGCTGGTCTCAAACTTCTGACCTCAGGTGATCGCGCGCCTCGGCCTCCCCACGTGCTGGGATTACAGGCATGAGCCACTGCGCCCAGCCCAAGACTTCTGTCATTTCCAAGATTTGTGATAAAATATATACGCTATTAGTTCAAGTCAAGAGTGTGATTATGTCTCACTGTTTGCTTGCTACAGGTCAGTATCTTAAACACTTTGGCTTTCTTCTTTGAGCAAGAGGTTCCATCCTTGGTGAATGGCTTGAAGGTGCTTGAAGGTGGCAGCTTGCTCAAGGCCCACAGTGGGGGATGCATTACATTTTCTGTGCAAATTATAGCAGGTAATTCAGTTTCACAGAGAGAAGCCAAAAATTTAGAACAACAGAAAACTTTGTCCTGTAGTATTTGAGGAAGAGGAATAAGATAAGTGTATTTTCCTTAAATCAACTCACCATCTGTAGTATGAAAGTCCATTTTAAATAGTTAATGATACTTATGTTTCAGGAAGGCACAGAGACAAGGAGAAAGTTCTCACGGCGTGTGAATGTGTGAGTAAAAGCCTCCTGTGAGAGGATGTGGCCTGGTTCACAAGAGAAATTTTCTGTGTCTCAAAGTAGAAGCCTGGAACTGTGGACTAATGAAATTATAGGCAGGGATTGCTTGGTCCAGCTCACATCATCCCAAGGCCTTTCCCCACCAATCAAGTCTGAACTAAAAGGATTTTGCTTGTATCTTAGAGTAAATCAGGAAGAGCTCAGCCAGAGACCCTGGGGTCCTTCAGTTTTGCAAGATGCAAATTGGGAGAATCCTAGAAGAGGTGTCCTTCCCTAAAGTCCTTTCCAACTGTGAGACCTGATGCCTTCACTTTGGGATTTGGGAGCTGAACCATAAGGAAGACTGAACAGGATCAGGAATAGGCAGTGGGAGCAGAGAGCACTGGGCCAGGAGTTGGAGGGCAAGGAGTAAGCATAGGCTGTTTGACTCCCTCGCTGCGTGGCCTCTGGCAAGTCACTTTGTTACAGGACTCCACCATTTACCCAAAGGTAGCCGTTGGGTCAGGGTTTCTGTACTATAGTGCCTTCTGTGTTCGCCAGAAATATGTTACAGGAAAGGGGGTCCCGATCCAGACCCCAAGAGAGGGTTCTTGGATCTCGAGCAAGGAAGAATTCAGGGTGAGTCCGCAGTGCAAAGGCAAAGCAAGTTTATTAAGGAAGTAAAGTGGTGAAAGAACATCCACTCCATAGACACAGTAGGACGTTCCCGAAAGTAAGAGGAGGAACGCATCCAACCTACGTACAATGCTTGTATATATGGGGAGATGTGCTCTGCTACAAGGTTTGTGATAAAGGATTAATTTTCTTAATTACTATATTTTGCAGGAATTGATATTATTATCTTTAAAGCAAAATTAGGAATACCTTTGTTCAGCTGGGCACAGTGGCTCACGCCTGTAATCCCAGCACTTTAGGAGGTTGAGGTGGGTGGATCATGAGGTCAGGAGTTCAATACCAGCCTGGCCAACATGGCGAAACCCTGTCTCTACTAAAAATACAAAAATTAGCCGGGTGTGGTGGTGGGCGCCTGTAATCCCAGCTACTTGGAAGGCTGGGGCAGGGAATTGCTTGAATCTGGGAGGCAGAGTTTGCAGTGAGCCGACATCGTGCCACTGCACTCCTGCCTGGTCAACAGAGTAAGACTCCGTCTCAAAAAAAAAAAAAAAAAAGGAATACCTTTGTACCAGGTTATCTGGACACTCCCAAGTCTGGGCCTGTTCAGTAAACACGATTAATTTGTTCCCTTAACTGTAAACATGCAGAGGCTAATAATGCCTAACTTTCTGAGAATGCAGCCCAGCAAGTCTCAGCCTCATTTTCCTAGTCCTCACTCAAAATGGAGTCATTCTGGTTCGAATGCCTCTGACAACTTTGCTGAGCATTCACTTCTTCATGTGCAAATTGGGAACAATACTGCCTGCTCTTGCTAACTCATGGTGGTAGCGTAAGGCTCTAATGAAGTCTGGTCTGGGAAATTGCCCTGAAAACCAAAATGCATCGCAGAAAGGAGTAACGTTTCATCTGACCCCTTCCTACCTCTCCAGCCCTGTCGTCCACCATGCTTCCCCTGATCTGTGTTGCAGCCACAGACTGTCTTTCAGTGTCTTGGTAGGTAGCCTCCTCCTGCAGCTGGGCCTTTGCACGTGCTATTCCCATGGCCTGAAGTGTGCCCACCAACCTTTGCCTGGCTTTACTCCTACTCATCCCATAGAACTCAGTTCAGTTGTACCTCTTCAGGGAGGACTTCTCTGCCCACACCCCCCGGCCCTCTCAGTTTGGGTGGGAATCTATTACTTGTATGCCTCCCTGGCACCACGTGTCTTACTCTCATCACTGTTTGTAGTTATAATTTGTTTGGATTAATGTCGGTCCTGTCAACAGATCATAAGCTCCATGAGGGCAGAGAATGGTGTGTTTTTTCACTCACCTTCATATCCCAAGAGCCTAGCCCAGATACCAAATAAATACTAGCGGTTGTAGAGTAGGTCCGGGAAATCTAGGTAGCAGGGATTCTGAATTTAGGTTTCTGGATGAGGGTGCTGGGAATGAGACACCCAGCAAGAGAAGTCTCCTCTCTGAATTAGCCTGGTGTTTGCACCTTTTTTCCCCTCCCTTTAGGCAAAGCTGTGCTACACTATGTAATGTCATGCTGGTGTCTGTCTGTCTGTATGTATTTATTTGAGAGTGAGTCTCTTTCTGTTGCCCAGGCTGGAGTGCGGTGGCGTGACCTCGCTTCACCGCAACTTCTGCCTCCCGGGTTCCAGCAATTCTCCTGCCTCAGCCTCCTGAGTAGCTGGGATTATAGGCATCTCCACCATGCCCGGCTAATTTTGTATTTTTAGTAGAGACGAGGTTTCTCCATGATGGTCAGGCTGGTCTCGAACTCCTGACCTCAGGTGATCTGCCTGCCTCAGCCTCCCAAAGTGTTGGGATTAGAGGCATGAGCCGCTGCACCTGGCCAGAAAAAAATCTTTAATCCTGCAGCTGAGGAGTGGAGATGGGAGCCCAGTCTCAAACCCATCTCCCTGACCTACAAAAAGTAAGGGTTTATGTAGCAGGGAAGAAATGTAACAATGCCTACGAAAACAGGAACTAGGGAGGGGCAAGGAAACAATCATGATGAATGAGGGGTCTGGGCATTTCCTTGTCTGGATGTGGTGATCTGGTGAGTTTCAGTTCTTTGATACTTTTTTTTAGAGGCCTGAAGGTCTTTTCCTGAGGAGGGAACTCAGATAAAACAAATTAAGTTTTTCAAGCTTTAAGACTAGAAAAAAGGCCGGGCGTGGTGGCTTTAAGACTAGAAAAAAGGCCGGGCGCGGTGGCTCACGCCTGTAATCCCAGCACTTTGGGAGGCCGAGGCAGGAGGATCACGAGGTCAGGGATCGAGACCACCCTGGCAAAGACGGTGAAACCCCATCTCTACTAAAAATACAAACAATTACCCGGGCGTGGTGGCAGGCGCCTGTAATCCCAGCTACTCGGGAGGCTGAGGCAGGAGAATGGCGTGAACCCGGGAGGCGGAGCTTGCAGTGAGCTGAGATCGCGCCTCTGCCCTCCAGCCTGGGCGACAGAGCGAGACTCCGTCTCAAAAAAAGAAAAAAAAAAAAAAAAAAAGACTAGAAAACAAAGACTAGAAAAGTCAATTTCGATGCTTATCCAAAAAAAAAAAAAAAACCTATCTATGGGATGATTGGGTCGGTTTCATTATAAACACAACCACACTCCTCTCATAGTCCCTCAGCCTCTCCCCTGTCCCTAGCCCTAATCTGTTCTCCATTTCTGTAATTTATATAAATGAAATTATACAGGATATAACCTTTGGGGATTGGCTGTTTTTCACTCAGCATAATTCCCTGGAGATTCATCCACGTTGCGTGTATCAGTAATTTGTTCTCTTTTTTTTTTTTTGAGACGGAGTCTCCGTCTGTCGCCCAGGCTGGAGTGCAGTGACGCGATCTCGGCTCACTGCAAGCTCCGCCTCCCGGGTTCACGCCATTCTCCTGCCTCAGCCTCCCGAGTAGCTGGGACTACAGGCGCCCGCCACCACGCCCAGCTAATTTTTTATAGTTTTAGTAGAGACGGGGTTTCACCGTGTTAGCCAGAATGGTCTGGATTTCCTGACCTCGTGACCCGCCCGCCTCGGCCTCCCAAAGTGCTGGGATTACAAGCATGAGCCACCGCGCCCAGCCTCTTCCAGTTTTTGTCATTGCAAATAAAGCTTCTGTGAACATTTGGCCGGGCGCGGTGGCTCACGCCTGTAATCCCAACACTTTGAGAGGCCGAGGCGGGCGGATCACGAGGCTAGGAGATCGAGACCATCCTGGCTAACACGGTGAAAACCCGTGTCTACTAAAAATACAAAAAATTAGCCGGGCATGGTGGTGGCGGGTGCCTGTAGTCCCAGCTACGCAGGAGGCTGAGGCAGGAGAATGGCATGAACCGAGATCGCGCCACTGCACTCCAGCCTGGGTGACAGAGCGAGATTCTCTCTCAAAAAAAAAAAAAAAAACCTTCTGTGAACATTCACGTACAATATTTAACATGAAACTATTTAGATTTCTCTGGCATAAATGCCCAAAAATGCAATAATAGGGTTTAACCATTGTTTTTTGTTTTTGTTTGAGACAGAGTCTCACTCAGTCACCCGTTCTGGAGTGTAGTGGCACTATCTTGGCTCACTGCAACCTCCGCCTCCCAGGTTCAAGCAGTTCTCCTTCCTCAGCCTCCCAAGTAGCTGGGATTACAGGTGCACGCCAAAATGCCTAGCTAATTTTTTTTTTTTTGTATTTTTAGTAGAGATGGGGTTTTACCATGTTGGCCAGGCTTGTCTCGAACTCCTGACCTCAAGTGATCCGCCCACCTCGGCCTGCCAAAGTGCTGGGATTACAGGTGTGAGCCACCGGGCCAGCCCGTTTGTTTGCTTTTTGAGACAGGGTCTTACTCTGTTGTCCAGGCTGGAATGCAGTGGTGCTGAGGTAGGAGGCAGGATCTTACTCTGGACCAGATTGAAGATTGGCTGAAACAGGGAAGAGGCGGGGAAAACACCTCTCCATGACATGCCCACCAGTTGGCTGGGCATGGTGGCTCCCGCCTGTAATCGTAGCACTTTGGGAGGTAGAGGTGGGCGGACCACTTGAGGTCAAGAGTTTGAGACCAGCCTGGCCAACATGGTGAAACCCCATCTCTACTAAAAATACAAAAATTAGTAGGGCGTGGTGGTGGGCACCTGTAATCCCAGCTACTCAGGAGGCCGAGGCCAGAGAATCACTTGAACCTGGGAGACAGATGTTGCAGTGAGCTGAGATTGCACCATTGCACTCTAGCCTATGAGACAGAGCAAGACTCCAGCTGGGGGGGGGGGGGGGGGGGAAAGACCTGACAACCAATTCCATGTCAGTTTACCATTGCCATGGCAACACACAGAAGTTACCACCTCTTTTCATGGCAACCACGTGAAAGTTACCACCATTTTTCTAGAAATTTCTGAATAACCCATACTGCGTCTGGAATTGGTGGGTTCTTGGTCTCACTGACTTCAAGAATGAAGCCACAGACCCTCGTAGTTAACAGCTCTTAAAGTGGCACATCTGGAGTCTGTGTCTTCTGACTTTCAGATGTGTTCAGAGTTTCTTCCTTCTGGTGGGTTCATGATCTCCCTGGCTCAGGATTGAAGCTGCAGACCTTTGCGGTGGGCGTTACCACTCTTAAGGCAGTGCATCTGGAGTTGTTCGTTCCTCCCGGTGGGCTCGTGGTTTTGCTGGCCTCAGGAGTGAAGCTGCAGATCTTCACGGTGAGAGTTACAGATCTTAAAAGCAGTGTGCACCCAGAGTGAGCAATAGCAAGATTTATTGCAAAGAGCAAAAGAACGAAGCCTTCACACTGTGGAAGGGGACCGGAGCGGGTTGCCAATGCTGGCTCCGGCAGCCTGCTTTTATTCTCTTATCTGGCCCCACCCACATGCTGCTGATTGGTAGAGCCGAGTGGCCTGTTTTAACAGGGCGCTGATTGGTGCGTTTACAATCCTTGAGCTAGATACAAAGGTTCTCCACGTCCCCATCAGATTAGTTAGATACAGAGTTTCCACACAGAGGTTGTCCAAGGCCCCAGCAGAGCAGCTAGATACAGAGTGTCGATTGGTGCACTCACAAATCTTGAGCTAGACACAGGGTGCTGATTGGTGTGTTTACAATCCCTGAGCTAGATATAAAAACTCTCCACGTCCCCACCAGACTCAGGAGCCCAGCTGGCTTCACCTAGTGGATCCCGCACCTGGGGCTGCAGGTGGAGCTGCCTGCCAGTCCCGCGCTGTGCGCTCTCATTCCTCAGCTCTTGGGTGGTCGATGGGACTGGGCGCCGTGGAGCAGGGGGTGGTGCTCGTCGGGGAGGCTTGGGCCACACGGGAGCCCATGGAGTGGGTGGGAGGCTCAGGCATGGCAGGCTGCAGGTCCCGAGCCCTGCCCCGCGGGAAGGCAGCTAAGGCCCGGCGAGAAATCGAGCGCAGCGCCGGTGGGCCAGCACTGCTGGGGGACCCAGTACACCCTCCACAGCTGCTGGCCCGGGTGCTAAGTCCCTCATTGCCCGGGGCCAGCAGGGCTGGCCGGCTGCTCTGAGTGTGGGGCCCGCCAAGCCCACGCCCACCCGGAACTCCAGCTGACTCGCAAGCGCGGCACGCAGCCCTGCTTCCTGCTCGCGCCTCTCCCTCCACACCTCCCTGCAAGCTGAGGGAGCGGGCTCCAGCCTTGGCCAGCCCAGAAAGTGGCTCCCACAGTGCAGTGGGGGGCTGAAGGGCTCCTCAAATGCCGCCAAAGTGGGAGCCCAGGCAGGGGAGGTGCTGAGAGCAAGCAAGGGCTCTGAGGACTGCCAGCACGCTGTCACCTCTCAATACCTTAACTTGCAAGTAATTGAAAGTGGGTATATGTATGACTGTTGACCTGCCCCTGAGCTGGTGCTCTCAACACATTGCCTAGGGGTTAGCCCTGCTCTGCAGGAGTAGTCATAAAGTTGTCACACTGCTGCCTCCATAAAGCTGTTTTCTTCTACCACCAGCTGGCTCTTGAATTCTTTCCTGAGCAAAGCCAAGAATCTTCCAGGGCTAAGTCCCAATTTGGGAGCTTACTTGCCCTGCATCAGTGCAATCATAGCTCACTGCAGCCTGGAACTTCGGGGCTCAAGCAATCCTCCTGCCTGAGCCTCCTGAATAGCTAAGATGACAGATGTGTGCCACTACACCTGGCTAATTTTTTCTTTTTTTTGTAGACATGAGGTCTCACTTTGTTGCCTAGGCTGATCATTGTTTTTAAAATTTCTATCTTTACTGATTTTTATCTGCCTGACCTATGGATAATTGAGAAAGCCTTTTTGAAGTCAATTGTCAATTTATGTATTTTGAAGCTATTTTGTAAGATGCATATAAATTTGAGTTGCTGTAACTTTCTGCCTCTCAAATTAGAACCCCAGGTCTTGAGATAGTGATTCTGGGGTCAGGAATCCTGCTGTGCTACTACTGGGGCCAGGAATGCCACCAGATGTAATGGTCTGAGTTCTCTGTAGCTCGATAGCAGCAATAATGTGGTGTCATTGTTCCTGAGAACCAGGGAAGATGAGTCTGAAGCTGCACCATTCTTCTGACATTGTAGCGTGGGTGGGTCCTCTCTATTTTGATGATTGTGAAGGAAGTGAGCATGTTATTCTTGCACAAGATGTTTGTCTTTAGAAGAGAGGAAGTAGAGGAGGACAGCTTCCTCTCCGCTGGGGGCTACAGCTTTATGCTGGGAGCTGGTCGTCTGGCCTAAGAAATACTGCTGTGTTTATTTATTTGGCGCATACTGCCAAGAAAATTCTCTTTCCTGCAGAATTTACGTAAGAGAGATGCTACAAATATACAAAGAAAAGACAAAGATGGGTCCTCCTAGAAAACCTTTCCTCCCCTGAGGTTCTTTTGCTTTTGTACTAGTTACCTGGAGAACTTACTCCTCAGACAGGCAGAGGTCAATTTACCCATCCCCCTGCCTCTGAGCAGCCCTGCCCCATGCGCCCCCAGAGGTCACGCACCCTTCCCATTTGTACTTAATGCTGTTTACATCAGCCCAAGTTCTAATGGCTCTCATACTGTGGTCCTCAGGGATCCTTCTTCCTTGAGCCTCACAGCACTAATTGTCCTCTAACTTATTTGGCAAAGCTGCCTTGGGACACCCTCCATGAGGGCAAGGGAGCAGGTTGTGTGGCATGATATCTTGGCCTATATTAGTTTTCTATTGCTGCAGTGACAAATGACCACAAGCTTAGTGGCCTGAAACAACACAAATTTATCTTACAATTCGTAATTGTAAGAAGCTCGAATTGGATCAAAATCAAGGTGTGTTGGAAGAGCTGGATTCCTTCTGTAGGTTCTATGGGAGAACCTGTTCTTCGCCTCTATCCACTTCCAGGGGCACACATTCCTTGCCTCGTGGCCCCGCGTTGCATGACCTCTGCTCGCATCATCACATCTCCTTCCCTGATGCTGACCCTCCTGCTCCTCTTATAAAAACTCTTGTGATTATATCGGCCCAGCAGGATACTCTGGGGTAAGCCAGGATCATCTCCCCATCTCAAGACCCTTAACTTGCTCACATCTGCAAAATCCCTTTTGCCATGTAAGGTAGCATTCAGAGGTTTGAGATGGGATGTAGACATCTTTGGCTGTTCTTCTGCTACCGTAATGTGTTACGTGGTTGGCTGTATCTGCTCTTCTCTTGTCAAACCCATGGTCTCCTCCAGGCCCTCGTCTTCCCTGTCCGGGAAGGTTCCACCAACCACTAATGGATCTCCCTTTCTCCATCTGACCTCTCACAATACATGCCACTGCTGCCAGAGGGCCTCATCTGGTGTCACAGGATGAACATAAACCCCTACACTGGTTGAAGGTCCCTGAGGACTTGCCTCTTATTCCTCTCTTTGGTCTCTTTTCCTGTGAGTCTCCTTTATAGGCTGTAACAACTGGCTTATTCACCTACTTACTGATTTAGCATCTCAGAGCTTGCCTGCTTCTAAGCTTTTACTTCCTTCCTTGCAGCTGATGTGCCTTTGCCCTCATTTTCACCTGGCAAAATCCTACTCAGCAAATGGGTAATTAAACCATTGCAACCATTATAAACCATTGCAATTTTTCAGGGGGGCCATTTGGCCTTATTGTCAAAGGCCTCACTGAAAATGTGGACGGTGGCTGACCCAGTGCTCCACATGTAGGATTTCATCCTGTGGGAGTAATCCTGAGGGTTGTGCATGGATATAGCTTCAAAGATGTTCACTGCAGCATTGTTAATTAAAAAAAAAAAAAAGTAGGCCGGGAGTGGTGGCTCACGCCTGTAATCCCAGCACTTTGGGAGGCAGAGGCGGGCGGATCACGAGGTCAGGAGATTGAGGCCATCCTGGTTAACGCGGTGAAACCCTGTCTCTACTAAAAATACAAAAAATTAGCCGGGTGTAGTGGCGGGTGCCTGTAGTCCCAGCTACTCGGGAGGCTGAGGCAGGAGAATGGCATGAACCCAGGAGGTGGAGCTTGCAGTGAGCCGAGATTGCGCCACTGCACTCCAGCCTGGGTGACAGAGCGAGACTGCATCTCAAAAAAAAAAAAAAAAAAAAAAAAGTAGCACTAACCTAAATAAATATCCCATAATATGGAACTGGTTACATAAATTGTGGAATATCAGTAAGTGAACTATTCCAGCCAAGTGTGTTATACTCTGATAAAACAGACACTTGAGTGTTATTTAGAAATAGTGCCAGAGTGTCATATGAGTTACAGGCGCAGAATACCACATGGGAACGTGACCCCAGTCTGATGTCCCTGCCCCCTTGCAGAGCCATCCTGTGACTTTCACCGTGCAATTTCCCCAACCACAGTGACGAGTGCTATCTTCTGTGCTGATGATTTGGAGAGCAGGCAACAACTTCCTTGGGTATTAAGCAATTTTTTTTATCTGCAGTTTCAGTTCTGTAGCTACATTTTAATATTATATGCTAATTAACCCACATCATTGTTCTACTAGCAGGGAGTTCAACAGACATTTATGGAGCACTTACCATGTGCTATGCTCCAGACAGAGCACTTTGGAAGATACAGAGATGAGTAAGGCAAGGTCTTGTTCTAAGGAGAGCTCAGACTGGAGGAGATAAGACAAACAAAAATGCATGAAAAGGCTGGGAGCGGTGGCTCATGCCCATAATCCTAACACTTTGGGAGGACGAGGCGGGCAGATCACGAGGTCAGGAGATCAAGACCATCCTGGTAACACGGTGAAACCTCGTCTCTACTAAAAATATAAAAACAAAAAATTAGCTGAGTGTGGCGGTGGGCGTCTGTAGTCCCAGCTACTCGGGAGGCTGAGGTGGGAGAATGGCGTGAACCAGGGAGGCAGAGGTTGCAGTGAACCAAGATCGCGCCATTGCACTCCAGCCTGGGCAACAGAGCGAGACTCCGTCTCAAAAAAAAGAAAAATGCATGAAAAGATGAGAGGGCCACAGAAGCACCCAGAGGTGGTTCAAAGGCAGGAAAAGCGGGGGTGAAGGGTGGGAGGAAAGGAGAAAAGGCTTATGGAAGAGTTATAGGTATAGTGGAGAAAACACGGACTTTGTAATCAGGTAGATTCAGATGCTGGCTGCCTTTGGTAGCAGTGTGATCCTAGGCAAGGCCCTTACCCTGTCTGAGCCTCAGCATCCTCAACTATAAAATGAGAGTAACGCTCTCTTTCCCTCAAACGGTTGTTAGAAGGTACAGTGGATTGAATGGTGACCCCCAAAAGACATGTCCACATTCTAACTCCTGGACCCTGTGAATGTGACCTTACTTGGAAAAAGGCTTTTTGCAGATGTAATTAAGGATGTCAAGATAGATCACCCTAGATTACTAGATCCTTAGGCGGGGTGTGGTGGCTCACGCCTGTAATCCCAGCACTTTGGGAGGCCGAAGTGGGCAGATCACTTGAGGCCAGGAGTTTGAGACCAGACTGGCTAACATGGCAAAACCCTGTCTACTAAAAATACCAAAAAAAAAAAAAAAAAAAAAAAAGGCTGGGTGTGGTGGTGGTGCCTGTAATCCCAGCTACTCGGGAGGCTGAGGCAGGAGAATCACTTGAACCTCGGAGGTGAAGGCTGCAGTGAGTCAAGATTGTGCCACTGCAATCCAGCCTGGGTGATAGAGTGAGACTCCACCTTGACAAAAACAAAGAGGCTGGGTGCGGTGGCTCTCGCCTGTAATCCCAGCACTTTGGGAGGCTGAGGCGGGTGGATCACCTGAGGTCAGGAGTTCAAGACCAGTCTGGGCAACATGGTGAAACCCTGTCTCTACTAAAAATACAAAAATCCGCTGGGTGTGTTGGCACGTACCTGTAATCCTGGTTACCTGGAAGGCTGAGGCAAGAGAATCACTTGAGCCAGGTAGGCAGAGGTTGCAGTGAGCTGAGATTGCACCATTGCACTCCAGCCTGGGTGACAGTGAGACTCCGACTCAAACAAACAAAAAAACCAAAAAAAGATTACTAGGTCCTTCCAGATTACTTAGATTCAATGTCAGGTGTTCTTATAAGAAATATACAGTGGGAGACACACAGGGAGATGAGGAGAGAGCCATGTGAAGACAGAGGCTGAGATTAGAGTGATGCTGCCACAAGCCAAGGAAAGTCTGAAGCCACCAGAAGCTGGAAGAGGTGAGGAAGGTCTCTCCCTTACAGCCTTTGTGGACACCTTGATTTCAGACTTCTTCCTTTCAAAACTGTGGGAGAAGACATTTGTGCTGTTCTAAGCCACTCGGTTTGTGGTGATTTGTTACGGCAGCACTGGGACACTCACAGAGGAGGATGAAGTAACACAGTGTTCACAAGCAGCTAGCAGAGTATCTGGTACTTGCAAGGTGTTCACCAAATGACAAATTCTCCCTCTGCAGGAGGGGGACATGGAAGGATGAACAGGAGAGAGGAGGAGTGGGGAGGAGGCAGGACATTTGGATGGTGGAACAGTGTGAGCTGAACACAAGAGGTGTCTGGGAAGCAATGCCTCCGGGGACCAATCAGACATTCTGGGGTGCAGGGTGTGGGGTCAGGGTGGACGTGGGCGTGTGCTCAGCAAGGGTGCAGGAGGAAGGCACGTGTGCTGACTGTTGGATGGGAGGTTGGAGAAGAAGGGCCCACCGAAAGGGAAAGAGGCAGGCTGCTGGGGCTCCTCCTCGCCCTGGGGCCTTCCACCTGGGCTGCTCCTGCCTGGCCTCTAGTGCCTTGGTGCTCCTGGTGGAGCTGAAGCAGTGCTTGAGGCCATGCCAGAGGAAAGTCGCTGGGCTGCTGGTCATTAAAGGAGTCATAATGGGCTTGGGAAGAAGGAAGCAGCAAGTGGGATGGAGTGAAGATTTCAGATCCTTGAGTTTGTTTACTGAGCACCTGGTAACCCCCTGGATTCTTCTGTCAACCTGGCTATGAACATGTAATCAAGGATGGCAAGATAGATCATCCTAGATTACTAGATCCTTAGGTCAGGCATGGTGGCTCACACCTGTAATCCCAGCACTTTGGGAGGCCGAGGTGGGCGGATCACCTGAGATCAGGAGTTTGAGACCAGCTTGACCAACATAGTAAAACCCAGTCTTTATTAAAAAGTACAAAAGTTAGCTGGGTGTGGTGGCACATGCCTGTAATCTCAGCCACCTGGGAGGCTGAGGCAGGAGAATGGCGTGAACCTGGGAGGCGGAGCTTGCAGTGAGCCGAGATCTCGCCACCGCACTCCAGACTGGGTGACAGAGCAAGACTCCATATCAAAAAAAAAAAAAAAAAAAAGAAAAAGAAAAAGAACATGAGATGATTCCTCAAACTCCTGTACATCAAAAAACAAACAACAAAAAAAACCCTCATCAATATATATTAAAGTGAAGAACTGAAAAAAAAAATCCTCATATCAATGTGAGAAAACACTAACATTTTTAATCTTTAAAGAGCTTTTATAGATCAATATAGATAAGCATCTCAGTTAAAAATGAGCTAAAGACATGAACAAGAAATTCACAAAAGAAGAAATACACATCGACAATGTTAGAAAATGTTCTCCCAATAATGAAAGGAATGAGTATTAAAGTAACAATCTTTTTTTTTTTTTAAGACGGAGTCTTGCTCTGTCGCCCAGGCTGGAGTGCAGTGGCGTGATCTCAGCTCTCTGCAAGCTCCGCCTCCCGGGTTCACGCCATTCTCCTGCCTCAGCCTCCCGAGTAGCTGGGACTACAGGCGCCCGCCACCGTGCCCCGCTAATTTTTTTTGTATTTTTAGTAGAGACGGGGTTTCACCGTGGTCTCCATCTTCTGACCTCGTGATCCACCCACCTCAGCCTCCCAAAGTGCTGGGATTACAGGCGTGAACCATGGCGCCTGGCCTAAAGTAATAATCTTATAATAGTTTTTGCCACTTACATTACCAAATCTGTAATAAAAAATAATAATGCTATAGAAGGGTAAATTGGTAAAGTTCTTGGGAGGATATATAAAAGGCTTAATTTTTGTGCCCTTTGACCGAGCAATTTCTTTTACTTCTAGGAATTTGTTTCAAGGAAATGGGCTGTGTGTGTGAGGATTTATGTACAGGATGTTGGTCACCCTGCTATTTGTAAGGCAAAGCCAATATTTCCACGTCACTTGGCTTCAGAGCTTTATCTTTTAAGTGAAACTTTCAACCACAGAGAAAACTAAAGAGGATAATGCAGAAACACCCATGTTCTAGCCAGCTTGCTGCATGTTAACATTTTGCCATATTTGCTTTATACTTTTGAAATAATTAACAAAATATTTACAGAGAGGTATGGCCCCCTAGGTCCCACTCTCTGGATTCCATCTTCTCTTTTCTTCCCTAGAGGTAACTAGTATCCCGAATTTACAGGTTATCACTCCACCTGCATGTTTTACTGTAAGTAAACGTATTTATTTATTCATTTATTTTTTGAGACAGAGTCTCAATCTGTTGCCCAGACTGTTGTGCAATGGCATGATTACGGCTCACTGCAGCCTCGAACTCCCGGGCTCAAGTGATCCTCTTACCTTAGCCTCCCGAGTAGCTGGGACTAGAGATGCACACCATCATACCCGGCTAGTTGTTTTTTTTTTTCCCCATAAAAATGAGGTTGCTGTATGTTACCCAGGCTGATCTTGAACTCCTGGCCTCAAGCAATCCTCCTGCCTTGGCTTCCCAAAGTGCTGGGATTACAGGTGTAAGCCACCATGATTAGCCAATTAAACATATTTGTAAGCAATAATATATAGTTTTATTTTACATGGTTTTTACCTTTATGTAAATGGTACGTATCCTCTGATCCTTGCTTTTGTTTTTTGTTCACCATTATTTTGGGGGGTTTTCCATGTTAATACATGTAGCCTAGATTATTTTTAATTGCTATTTGTTATTTCACTGGATGAACATACAATTTATTAATTCTTCTATTGAAGTATATTTAGCCTGGTTGTTTACACATCTCTGACTGCAGACTCTGCTGCAGTAAACATTCTGTGCATGCTGGTTGGTGCACATGCGTGAAAGTTTCTCTAGGGGATACGCCTATGCATGCAGTCACAAGACTGTGGGGAAGAGCATCTTTACATTTTATAGATATATTTCCACACTTTCTCCAAAGTGCTTTACCTGTTGTCCTCAGCAACATATAGGAATTTCAGGAGCCCCTCCTTGCCATTCTGAGAAGTGGGTAACTAATTGTGGTTTTATTTTAGATTTCCCTCATGACCAGCAAAGTTGAACAGGTTTTGGGTTTTTTTTTTTTTTTTAAAGATGGTGATTTGCTCTTGCTCTTGTGCCCAGGCTGGAGTGCAATGCTGTGATGTTGGCTCGCTGTGACCTCTGCCTCGCGAGTTCAAGTGATTCTCCTGCCTCAGCCTCCCGAGTAGCTGAGTCTGTGTCTGGAATTCGTGGGTTCTCGGTCTGGCTGACTTCGAGAATAAAGACGCAGACCCTCGCGGTGTTTGTTACAGTTCTTAATGGCGGCGTGTCCCGAGTTTGTCCCTTCTGATGTTCCAATGTGTTGGGAGTTTTTCCTTTTTGGTGGGTTCGCAGTCTTGCTGACTCAGCAATAAAGCTGCAGACCTTCGCTGTTGAGTGTTGCAGCTCTTAAGACAGCGCATCCAGAGTTCTTCGTTTCTCCTGGTGGGTTCATGTTTTCCGTAGCTTCAGGACTAAAGCTGTATATCTTTGCAGTGAGCGTCACAGCTTATAAAGGCAGTGTGATCCCAAAGAATAACCAGCACTAAAATTTATTACAAAGAACAAAGCACCTAAAAGGTGGAAAAGAATCCAAACGGGTTACCAGGGCTGGAGCTGGCAGCCTGCTTTTATTCTCTTATCTGGCCCCACCTACATCCTGCTGATTGGTCCATTTTACAGAGAGCCGATTGGTCTGTTTTACAGAGAGCTGATTGGTCAGTTTTGACAGGGTGCTGATTGGTGCGTTTACAATCCCTGAGGTAGACACAAAAGTTCTCCATGTCCCCACTAGATTAGCTAGATACAGAGTGTGGATTGGTGTATTTACAAACCCTGAGCTAGATACAGAGTGCTGATTGGTGCTTTTACAAACCTTGAGCTAGATACAGAGTGCTGATTGGTGCATTCATAATCCCTTAGCTAGACATAAAGATTCTCTAAGGCCCCACCAGATTAACTAGATACCGAGTGCCGATTGGTGCATTCACAAACCCTGAGCTAGACACAGGGTGCTTATTGGTGTGTTTACAAACTTTGAGCTAGATACAAAGTGCTGATTGGTGTATTTACAATCCCTTAGCTAGCCATAAAGGTACTCCAAGTCCCCACCAGATCAGCTAGACACAGAGTGCTGATTGGTGCATTCACAAACCTTGAGCTAGACAGAGTGCTGATTGGTGTATTCTCAATCCCTTAGCTAGACAAAAAGGTTTTTCAAGTCCCCACCACACTCAGGAGCCCAGCTGGCTTCACCCAGTGGGTCCCGCACTGGGGCCGCAGGTGGAGCTGCCTGCCAGTCCCGCGCAGTGCGCCGGCACTACTCAGCTCTAGGGCGGTCGATGGGACCTGGCGCCCTGGAGCAGGGGGCGGCGCTCCAGGGAGGCAGCTAAGGCCTGGCGAGAAATCGAGCACAGCACCTGCTGGCCCAGGTGCTAAGCCCCTCACTGCCCGCGGCTGGCCGGCCGCTCCGAGTGGGGGGCCCGCTGAGCCCACGCCCATCCGGAACTCGCGCTGGCCCGCAAGCGCCGCTGCGCAGCCCCGGTTCCCGCCCGCGCCTCTCCCTCCACACCTCCCTGCAAGCTGAGGGAGCCGGCTCCAGCCTTGGCCAGCCCAGAAAGGGGCTTCCACAGCGCAGCAGCGGGCTGAAGGGGGGCTCCTCAAGTGCGGCCAGAGTGGGCGCCAAGGCCAAGGAGGCGCCCAGAGCCAGCGAGGGCTGGGAGGGCTGCCAGCAGGCTGTCACCTCTCAGGACTACAGGTGCGCCACCACGCCTCGTTAATTTTTGTATTTTTACTAGGTGTTTCACCGTGTTGTTCAGGCTGGTCTCGAACTCCTGACCTCCGGTGATCCTGCCGCTTAAGCCTCCCAAAGTGCTGGGATTACCAGGCGTGAGCCATCACGCCCGACCTGGTTTTGGTATGTTTACTGGCCAACTGCGTTTCCTCCTTTTCTGTAGATTGTCTTTCCATATCACTCTCTATTGCCACTGGGTTGTTTGTCCATTTCTTTTTCTATTTTTTTTTTTGATACGGAGTCTTGCTCTGTCGCCCAGGCTGGAGTGCAGTGGCACAATCTGGGCTGACTGCAATCTCCGCCTCCCGGGTTCACACCCTTCTCCTGCCTCAGCCTCCTGAGTAGCTGGGACTACAGGCGCCCACCACCACACCCGGATAATTTTTTATATTTTTAGTAGAGACAGGGTTTCACCGTGTTAGGATGGTCTCAATCTCCTGACCTTGTGATCCGCCCGCCTTGGCCTCCCAAAGTGCTGGGATTACAGGCGTGAGCCACCGTACCTGGCCATTTTTTTTTTAGACGGAGTTTCGGTCTTGTTGCCCAGCCTGGAGTGCAATGGTGGGATCTCGCCTCACCCCAATCTCTGCCTCCCTGTTCAAGCCATTCTCCTGTCTCAGCCTCCTGAGTAGCTGGGATTACAGGCATGCACCACCACGTCCGGCTAATTTTGTATTGTTAGTAGAGACAGGCTTTCTCCATGTTGATCAGGCTGGTCTTGAACTCCTGACCTCAGGTGATCTGCCCTCCTTGGCCTCCCAAAGTGCTGGGATTACAGGCGTGAGCCACCGCGCCCGGCCACATTTGAAATTGTTTTTAACTATTCTTTTTTTTTTTGTTTTTGAGACAAGAGTCTCGCTCTGTCGCCCAGGCTGGAGTGCAGTGGCGCAATCTTGGCTCACTGCAAGCTCCGCCTCCCGGGTTCACGCCATTCTCCTGCCTTAGTCTCCCGAGTAGCTGGAACTACAGGCGTTTTTAACTATTCTTGATATTTTGCTTCCCATATGGAGTTTAGGATCAGCTTGTCTAATTATATGAAAAACCCTGTTGGATTGAAATTGTATTTAATTTATTGATTAATCTGAGGATATTTGGCATCTTTACAATATTGTGACTTAGTAAATATGAACACAGCATGTCTCTTCATTGGGTTTTCTTTTATGTCTTGGGACAAGATTTATGATTTTCTCTGTAATATTGGACAGTTTTTTTTTTGTTTTTGTTTTTTTGTTTTTTTTTTTTTGAGACAGAGTCTTGCTTTGTTGTCCAGGCATGATCTAGGCTCACTGCAACCTCTGCCTCTCTGGTTCAAACGATTCTCCTGCCTCAGTCTCCCCAATAGATGGGATTACAGGCATGCGCCACCACACCTGGCTAATTTTTTGTATTTTTAGTAGAGACGGGGTTTCACCATGTTGGCAAGGCTGGTCACAAACTCCCGACCTCAAGTGATCCGCCCACCTCGGCCTCCCAAAATGCTGGGATTATATGTGTGAGCCACCACGCCCGGCCTATTCTATTTATTCTTAAGTATCTGCAGTAATTGCTACTTTACTAATAGGGCCACTTCAAAGATTGTATTTTATAACTATATGGGAACATAATAGATTTTAAAAAGGAATCTTGCGGCAAACTTCTAAACTCTTAGGTAGATTCTTTTGAATTTTTCTATGTACACATTCATATCTTCAAATAATAACTATTTTGCTTTTTCCTAAGCTCCATACCTCATATTTTCTCTTCTTCTCTTACTTTGCTGGCCTGGGCATCTGATCCAATATTGACTAGCAGTGATGACATTGAACATGCTTGTCGGCCGGGTGCGGTGGCCAACGCCTGTAATCCCAGCACTTTGGAAGGCTGAGGCGGGTGGATCACGAGGTCAGGAGATCGAGACCATCCTGGCTAACACGGTGAAACCCCGTCTCTACTAAAAATACAAAAAAATTAGCCGGGCGTAGTGGCAGGCACCTGTAGTCCCAGCTACTCAGGAGGCTGAGGCAGGAGAATGGCATGAACCTGGGAGACGGAAATTGCAGTGAGCCGAGATCGCACCACTGCACTCCAGCCTGGCTACAGAGCGAGACTCAGTCTCAAAAAAAAAAAAAAAAAAAAAAAAAAAAGAACATGCTTGCATGTTCAAGTAATTATCCTGCGTCACCCTCCCTAGAAGCTGGGACTACAGGCGCGCGCCAGCGGCATGCCCAGCTAATTTTTGTATTTTTAGTAGAGACGGGGTTTCACCATGTTGGCCAGGATGGTCTAAATCTCTTGACCTCGTGATCCACAGGCCTCGGCCTCCCAAAACGCTGGGATTACAGGCGTGAGCCACCGCGCCCGGCCTTGTTCTGGTTTTTAAAGGGAAAGTGGCTTCCATTTTACCATAAGTATGAAATATGCTCTGTGTCTCAGGCCAAGGACCTTCCCTTCTTTTTATAGGTTACTTAAGTGTTTTGTTTACTTGTTTTCCATAACTGGGTGTTGTTGACTTTTACAAAACTGAAAGCTTTTCTGCTTTATAATTTAATCGTTTTTAAAAATAAATTTTAAGCTTATATTATGAAGTGCACATAAATCTATAGATTCCATCTTCCTGGTGCATTGATCTTTGTATCACCTTTTTCTACTCTTTGGTGCTAATGATGACTTTGATCTTAAGGTCCACTGTGTGTGATAGTGGTATAAAACGCTTTTCCTTGGCCATCACTTGCCTCTCCTTTCTTTTCCTTACGGTCTTTGTGTGTTTATATTTTAGGACTGTCTCTTGAACATTGCTGGATTGTGTGCCTTTTTAAAGAAATCCAATTTGATAATCTCTACCTTTTTATTATTGATTATTGATCTGTTTGAATTTTTTGTACTGTTGCATTTACATTTTATACTATTTGTCTTGCTTTTTCCATTTTTCTCCTAGATCAATCTAGTTTTTAAAAATTTCTTGTTTTTTTTCGATAGGTTTGGAAAACATACATTCAATTCTATTCTTTCAGTAGCCTCCCTTAAAATCTTACTATGCAGTATAGCCTTAACTAAGTCTAAAGTGATCATGACCTGTTTCTTCCTTCTGAGCCATGCAAGGACCTTAATACACTTTCACTCCTGTCTTACATGTCATTGCTATCTGGTATTTTGGTTCTAATTTTTAATAACTCTCCAACTTATCATTACCATTGTTATTGTTTTATATAATGACTGCCTGCTCATATTTACCCCCAGATTTACTATTTTATTTATTTACCTTTTCTTGGCATCCTGTTTCTAGGCTGAATTTTCTTCTTCCTGGCAGGGCGAGGTGGCTCACACCTGTAATCCCAGCACTTTGAGAGGCCGAAGCAGGAAGACTGCTTGAGCCCAGGAGCTCTAGGAGTTTGAGACCAGCCTAGGTAACATGGCAAAACCCTGTCTCTACAAAAAAATACAAAAATTAGCCAGGTATGGTGGTACATGCCCATAGTCCCAGCTACTAGGGAGGCTGAGGTGGGAGGATCGCTTGAGCCCAGAAGGTTTAGGCTGCAGTGAGTTGTGACTGTGTCACTGCGCTCCACCCTGGGTGACAGAGACCCTGTCTCAGAAACAATAACAAAAAATGTTTTTTCTCCCTGAAATTCCTTCTTTAGTAGTTTCTTCAGAAAGGACTGTTAATGTTAAGCCCACTCTGTTTTTCCAAAAAAAAAAAAAAAAAAAAAGTCTATGTTTCCTCAACTCTGAACAATAATTTACAGGTAGACCAGATGTTACAGTCCCTCTGCCACGGCCCTCTAACCCCATCTCTCCGTTTCTTCTAGACTACCAGTGTCTGCTCCTCCGTGCCTGAGGGCCAGAAGTGTTGAGGGCTGAATGCCTCCTGAAGCAGCCTTGACAATAACTGACAGGAAGGAGTAAGTGTAGAAACTCTCCTGCTCCCTGACCCAAGAGTGGGAAGATTCAGAGGCATGGATCTTACATTTTCCCAGACTTCCCTCCAGAAGGAAGCTTTCTTGTCCACTTGGTGGCTGGCATAATAAACATCTTTTATTGACTGCTTTCCCTGCCCCGTATCACATTCCCACTTCCCTGCCGATGCTTCCTGTCCTCCCAAATCAATTATCTACACTAAAATACTCAGGGTCTGCTTCTGGGACTTCAAACTAAGACACTGCATATAGAATTCTCCACAAATGGACTTCTTCTCTCAGCACTTCTCTTTGGATCTTCTAATTCTATCATGTTTCTTAATTCTGCCTCCATTTTTTTTTTTTTTTTTTTTTTTTTTTGAGATGGAGTCTCACTCTGTCACCCAGGCCAAAGTGCAGTGGTGTGATCTTGGCTCACTGCAACCTCTGCCTCCTGGGTTCAAGCAATCCTCCTGCCCCAGCCTCTTGAATAGCTGGAATTACAGGCATGCACCACCATGCAAGGCTAATAGTTGTATTTTTAGTAGAGATGGGATTTCAACACGTTGGCCAGGCTGGTCTCGAACTCCTGACCACAAGTGATCTGCCTTACTTGGGCTCCCAAAGTGCTGGGATTACAGGCATAAGCCACTGTGCCTGGCTGCTCTTCCATTTTTTCATCTCTATATTTGAGTGATTTCTTTAGAACCATTTTTCAGCTTTTTTTTTCCCAAAAATATCTGGTGTTTTTGAATTTTTCAATTAATTTACTATATACATTTCTTAAAGTTCTTTTTTTTTTTTTTTGGGACAGTATCTCACTCTATTGGCTAGGCTGGAGTGCGCGATTATGGCTCACTGCAACCTCAACCTCCTGGGCTCAAGGGGTCCTCCCTCCTACCTCAGCCTCCTGAGTAGCTGTGACCACAGGCATGCACCGCCAGGCCCAGCTAATTTTTTATTTTTATTTTTTGTAGAGATGGGGTCTTGCTGTGTTGTGTAGGCTAGTCTCAAATTACTGAGCACAGACAATCCTCTTGCCTCTGCCTCCCAAAGTGTTAGGATTACAGGTGTGAGCCTCCACGTCTGGCCTTAAAGTTCTTTTTCAAGTTTTCCTCCTGTTCTTTCTTTTTTTTTTTTTTTTAACGGACTCTCACTCGGTCACCAGGCTGGAGTGCTGTGGCATGATCTTGGCTCACTGCAGCCTCCGCTTCCCGGGTTCAAGCGATTCTCCTGCCTCAGCCTCCAGAGTAGCTGGGACTACAGGTGCGTGCCACCATGCCCAGCTGATTTTTGTATTTTTAGTAGAGATGGGGTTTCACCATATTGGCCAGGATGGTCTTGATCTGTTGACCTTGTGATCCACCCACCGTGAGCCACCGTGCCCTGCCTTGAAAAAAGTTTATTCTTTGTAAAGACAGGGTCTTGCTGTGTTGCCCAGGCTGGTCTTGAACTCCTGGTCTCAAGCGATTATCCCATCTCAGCCTCCCAAAGTGCCAGGATTATAGACATGAACCACCGTGCCTAGCCTCTATTATAATTTTAAACACTCATTTTTTTCTTTTTATCTTTCTCTGATGATTTTATTATCTGAAATTCTTAGGGATTTAATTCTTGCTCATGGTAGATTGTTTTCTCAAGTGTTGAAAAATTTGTGATTTTGAATTCATCGTCAAGAGAGCTTTATTTGCATGAGTGCAAAGGATGAAAATTCTAGACTGGGCGTGGTGGCTCACGCCTGTAATCCCAGCACTTTGGGAGACCGAGGTGGGCAGATCACGAGGTCAGGAGTTTGAGACCAGCCTGGCTAACATAGTGGAACCCCATCTCTACTAAAAATACAAAAAATTAGCTGGGTGTAGTGGTGTGTGCATGTAATCCCAGCTACTTGGGAGGCTGAGGCAGGAGAATTGCTTGAAGCCGGGAGGCAGAGGTTGCAGTGAGCCATGATTGCATCACTGCACTCCAGCCCAGCGGACAGTGCGAGACTCCATCTCAAAAAAAAAAAAAGAAAGAAAAGAATATTCTAAAAAAAGACTTAATTCCCCCCGCCACCCCACCCCAAAACAAGTGGAGACAGGCAAACTTCCTTATCTTCTAGGTTGGGGGATGGATTTTTTTCCTGGTCCACTGTTTGGAAGATGTTTCCCTTCAAACTTTCAGCTTTTGCAGGGATCTCCGTTCTAGTTCTCCCTCTGGGTCAGGCCCGTAGCTGCACTGCCCATTCTTGTAATGTGCGGCCTCCAGTCTGGAGGGTTCCCAGACTGGCCTACGCTAGGCCACCCATGGGCCTACCCTGCCTCATGCTCATTTAGGCTCCTCTTCCTCATTGACCCTTTAAGATATTCCTTACTTTCCTCCCAGATCAACTGTGGATTTAAAGAACATTTGTTGTATTTAGCACAGCATTTAAAGATATTTTGTAATGAAAGGGTTTTCAGATTAGTTATTTAGTTTTTTTAAATAAGAGCTGGAAGTGGAAATCCCGATGGCCTTTTCTTTTCTTTTCTTTTTTTTCTTGAGACGGAGTCTTGCTCTGTCACCCAGGCTGGAGTGCAGTGGCTCGATCTCAGCTCACTGCAAGCTCCGCCTCCCGGGTTCACGCCATTCTCCTGCCTCAGCCTCCCGAGTAGCTGGGACTACAGGCGCCCGCCACCACGCCTGGCTAATTTTTTGTGTTTTTAGTAGAGACGGGGTTTCACTATGTTAGCCAGGATGGTCTTGATCCCTTGACCTCGTGATCCGCCCACCTCGGCCTCCCAAAGTGCTGGGATTACAGGCGTGAACCACCGTGCCCGGCCCCCCAATGGCCTTTTCTACTGTCTCATGCTGATTCTGCCTCTGGTGCCATTTTTCTTCCTTGGGAGTGTGCATCTTCCTCTCCTGGGGCGGTAAAGGGAGTAGCAGAGTGCGAGGTATGTGGGAAGGGAGGAGGTTGGAACCTAGTGGTTTCTCAAAGTCTTAGGGCAGGAGGTATCATGGAGAAGCAGTGAGGAGGTCTTCCATACCCAGACATGCCTCAGGGTGCTTGTCTCAGTGCCTGGAATCCCAGCACGAGAGTCATCTTCCCCCCACCGCTGCCCATTGCATCAGTTACTTATTTTAGTAGGAATTAGTTTAGCAGATGGTGTTGAGAATTAGGCTTTTGGGAATGGGAGGCTGGGAAGAAGAATTGTGTGTGTGTGTGTGTGTGTGTGTGTGTGTGTGTGTGTGTAAGATCAGGGTACCAGAAGTGGGTGGAAATGTCCTTGAGAATTAGAATTATTAGAATGTAGCAACAGTAGAAGTATTAGACTCAAACCATCACTCCCCACCTTCACCATTTTACAAAGGCTTAGGCTTGTGGCCAAGACCTTCATCTTTAGCCGATCCATTCAACCCTGGCCAGGATCCAAATGGACTGTTTTTGTCAGGGCCAGGACCGGATCCTTCATACCTGGGGTGCATAGGAAGTGTTAGTACTCCCCTTCCTCCAAACACAGCAGCAAAATTGGCTCAGGTTGAGGTGTTTTTCTCAACTTCCCTGGAGTCCAGCCCTGGAAGCTGGATCAGGAAGCTGTGTTGTTCTACTGTGATTCCCCCTGGCCTGTATCAGCTTGCCCTGAAACAACCAGCATTCCTGGTTATCCCACACAGGTGGGGCACTCTAGGAAGACCAGGGATCAAGTGTGGGGGTGTAGGGATAGGGGGTGTTTGGGGAGGGCAAGGCAGTTAATTAAGGCAGCTGCCAGGAGGTCTCCCTCCAAACTCTACAAAGCTTTATCAGCTTGGAGGTACTTCTAATACCATTTCCTTTCATTGTTTCCTTTTGGTAATTAAAAGGAGGCCAATCCCCTGTTGTGGCAGCTCACAGCTATTGTGGTGGGAAAGGGAGGGTGGTTGGTGGATGTCACAGCTTGGGCTTTATCTCCCCCAGCAGTGGGGACTCCACAGCCCCTGGGCTACATAACAGCAAGACAGTCCGGAGCTGTAGCAGACCTGATTGAGCCTTTGCAGCAGCTGAGAGCATGGCCTAGGGTGGGCGGCACCATTGTCCAGCAGCTGAGTTTCCCAGGGACCTTGGAGATAGCCGCAGCCCTCATTTGCAGGGGAAGGTATGGCCTTTGGAAGGAGAGCTGGCTCAGTTGTGGGAGGAAGATGCAGGACTGACTGATCCCTGCTCCTGGGGAGCTGGAGTTCTCTGTCGCTGGACTAGAAGGGCTTTGTTTGGAGGGGCAATTCAATTCAGCCAGGGATGATCCTAATACTCCCTCCTCCACTTGCCTCTGAGGGTCCTGGGGCTGCTTTTCTTCATGCAGTGGGTTTTACTGTTTGATAGTACTTCACTCAAATGAGTTGGAATGAAGTTTGCCCTCACCTCTGAGAACCTGGGAGCAGCTGAATGTACCTGCGTGTTAGGACTGGGAGGGGACACCTGCTTGGAGACCGAGACCTGGCAGTATCTGACATCTCAGTGTTCCTTCCACAGATGTATCACAGATTGGCTTGATTTCACCTTTGGCTGGATGGGACCTTAGGTAGGAAGGGAGTCACCCCCAGTGAATCTCAGGCAGCAGATTCTGCACTTCATTTAACAACTTTTCCCGAGGAGAGGGGCTACAGCAGGGGCTCTAAGTGACTTGGGGTACGCTCTGCCAGCCAGGATGAATTGTCCCTCTCTTGGGGGTCACACAGTGGGGAAGTCTGCCTGCATCCAGGGCCGCTGGACTCCTGTCCATTTTTTCAGATGAACTCAGCAAACATTTGCTGGGCATCTCCTGGGTGCTAAGCATCTTGCCAGGTGCTGGGGTTGGAGGCAAGGGAGACAGCCTTTGCTCTTGTGAAGGCACTTGTGGTACAGAGTCAGGGGCCAACAAGCAAACCGTCAAGTTGGTGGTTCCTGAGCATTCTCTATGTCTGGGCTGCTGTGGTGGGCACACAAGTGTAAGACGGTTCCTACTCGCCAGTTTGGATGCAGAGGCAGGAAGGAATGAGGTGTGTGTTAGCTCCCAGCTGCTTCAGGAGGCAGGGATGTGAGGCCCAGCGGGCCTGGAGGGAAGGCAGCGTTTTCCTCCTGTCTTGGGCCTGGGACTGCTGTCTGTGGAAAGGTGCCCACAGGTCCCAGCTCACAGCGATTGTTACCCTTGGGCCTGGCACTGGCCAGGGGTTTTTTCGGGGGCCAGAAGTCCATGTTCAAAGGGGAAAAGGGGGTCACGAGGATCAATCTTTTCTCCTGCTTTAAAGAAATGTTTTTGCTACTGCATGCCCTGATAGTCGCCACACCAGCAGCCGCCTACCTGGGCAGCAATGACCAGCTCACGTCTCTTGCTTCTTTGCAGATGATTCCTGCCAGATTTGCCGGGGTGCTGCTTGCTCTGGCCCTCATTTTGCCAGGTAGGTACAAAAGGGCCTCCATTTCTCATTCCTGCCCCAGGGCCATCTGGAGTGACACCTTTCCGGGAATCAGCAGGTGTGTCTGGAGCTCACCTGTGTGCCCAGCCCTAACTTAGGCTGTTGGTTGCCTCCTGTGAAGGTTCTGCGGAGTTCCCACCCTTGACTTGTATTCCAGAGACCAGGTGCCTGCAAATGCCATCTCCTGTTGGGGAATTAAGAAGCATAAAGGTGGCACAGAACTGTCCTATATTATGGGGGCACAGGATGAGGAGGAAGGAATCCAAGACTTGGATGGATTATTAGTTTTCGATAAGATTGTGGAGGTCACCTTGTTGAACCTCCCATGGTACAATGAAGAGACTGAGGGTCAGAGAGGAGAAATGACTGCTCCAAAGTCTCCTAGAGCCAAAATCAGAGGTCAGTCTTCCTGGGTTCCAGGCCAACACCCTTTCCACTGCACTGCATCATACTGCTGCCCTTCCCTTGCTAAGATTCTGGGTCTGCAAATGGCGGGAGGGGACTTTTGACCTTGGGCGCTTTCCACTTAGATCTCTCAGGTCAGCAGCATCCAGCTACTGCCCACAGGTGAGTCTGGGAAAAAAAATACACATTTGTCACACTCTCTGCATCTTCCTACTAGGTGGGTCTTTTGCCGGGGAACCCAGAACACTTAGAGATTTACTGCTGTATTTCCCCACCTGCCGACACACACACACCCATAGTCAGTGAAGGAGTTAGCCTGTGACGCCGGAGGAGTTCACACTTCAGAGAGTCTATGTGTCAGGCACACAGTCTGATCTGTTTAAAATTTAACATGCCCAAGACATGCTAGTAGATTTATGTACAAAGATGCTCACTGCAATCTATCTATAATATTAAAACATGGAAAAATGCTAGAAACCTAACAATAGAGGGCTATACTATAGACATTCAGATGCAAAATATAATGCAGCCACTAAAAACCGCATATTGGAAGTATATACACTAGCACGACAAATTGTTTACAATCTATTGAGAAATAAACAGAGGTTATAGGTAGTTTGCACAAGTTGGTCACCAATTTATAAAAAACCCACAGCTGTATATATGCTATACAACAAAATGGAAAGATGAACATTGAAATGTTAACTCTAATCATCGCTGAATGTTGGGTTACAGATGGTTTTAACTTCTTTGTCTTTTCTTTTCTTTTTCTTTTTCTTTTTTTTTTCGAGACAGAGTCTCACTCTGTCGCCCAGTCTAGAGTGCAGTGGTATGATGTTGGCTCCCTGCAACCTCTGCCTCCTGGGCTCAAGTGATTCTCCTGCCTCAGCCTCACCAGTAGCTGGGATTACAGGCGCCCACCACTACACCCGGCTAGTTTTTGTATTTTTAGTAGAGACAGGGTTTCGCCATGTTGGGCAGGCTGGTCTTGAATTCCTGACCTCAGGTGATCTGCCCACCTCGGCCTCCCAAAGTGCTGGGATTATAGGCGTGAGCCACTGTGCCCGGCCAGCTTCTTTGTTTTCTTCTGTATGCCCCAAATTTTTAATAATGGACATGATGACATTTTAAATCAGTAAGTAAATGTCATTGAAACTAATGGATTTCCTGAAAAACTGTTCCTTAGTTATTGCTGTGAGTCTGGGGTCATATCTGGGAGCTGAAAGCAACAGCTTTAGTCTCATTTAGGATGGAAAATACCTCCCCACAGCCCAGTTTCTATCAGAGGCAGTCTAATTTCTACGAGGCCAGAGAGGTTTGAGCTGATGGTCCCAGTTGTGCCCTGAGATCACCAGCCCAACCTGTGGCCTCTCCCTCCAGGGACCCTTTGTGCAGAAGGAACTCGCGGCAGGTCATCCACGGCCCGATGCAGCCTTTTCGGAAGTGACTTCGTCAACACCTTTGATGGGAGCATGTACAGCTTTGCGGGATACTGCAGTTACCTCCTGGCAGGGGGCTGCCAGAAACGCTCCTTCTCGATTATTGGTGAGTTCTGGGCACTGCAGGGAGGACTTCAGAGGGAGGGCTGGCTGAGCTTAGCCCTGGTGTGGGGGAGGATTCCTGCTCTCAGGACAGTGTCTGAGCGGAAAGGTCACTGCTGAGAACAAGGAGAGGAACAGCCTTTCTGTGACACGTAGCCCCTCTTGGCTTTCCCCGGGTCTCTCCCCACGGGAGCCGGGTGGGATGGATGAAGAGAGTCTTCATCTTTGGTAGTCCACTGTGTCCGTTGCTCTGGGGCCCGGCGATGCCCTGGGAACTCCACAGCATCAAGGCAAATGATGAACTAGAGAAGGTGCTTTGGAACGTGTAAAACTCCTTGCCAGAGAGAAGACTCGTTGTTGTTTTCTTGGTGGCCTGTGGATCAGAACATCAGCTTATGCTGAGGACTTCCTGTATTCCTGCAGAAGGGCTGGTACTGTCCCTGCCATGTCCCTGCATCCCCACAACAGCCCTGGGATGTAGCTGTAGTCATCCCAGTTTTACCAATGGAGAACCAAGGCTCATGAAGGTTGCATGATCCTTCCAAGGCCTGACAGACAATAAAAGGTGGAGCTGAGGCCGGGCACGGTGGCTCATGCCTGTAATCCCAGTACTTTGGGAGGCCAAGGTGGGTGGATCACCTGAGGTCAAGAGTTTGAGACCAGCCTGGCCAACATGGTGAAACCCCATCTCTACTAAAAATACAAAAATTAGCCGGGTGTGGTGGTGTGTGTCTATAATCCCAGCTACTTGGGAGGCTGAGGCAGGAGAATCGCTTGAACCTGGTTGCAATAAGCTGAGATACACTCCAGCCTGGGCAACAGAGCGAGACTCCATCTCAAAAAAAAAAACAACCCACAAAAAACAAAAAAACTGGACTAAGCAGGCCAAGGACAGAGCCCAAGGCCAAGGCTTAATCTAGAAGAGGGCTCAGAAGTGCCCCACTCAAGTTTGGTCAAGGAGGGAGTCTTTGGCAACACCTGGACACTTACCTGAGATCTGGGCTGTAGGGCTCCTGGGGTCATTGCTCCATCAGTCAGCGGGGACTGACACAGGGTCCTCCATGTGCCCAGCACTGGGCTAGGCTCTGTCTAGCACCTGGCTATAGCTATGAGCTCCCCGCATTCCTGCTTTCTCCCTGAGGCCATCTTTGCTACCTGCCCTGACTCTGCTGGGAAACTTATCACATATGACTTCTGGGCACTGCCATCCTTCCCACTCCTCCATGAGCTCCTCAGGGACAAGGAGCATGTCTCACTCATCTGTGTTTCCTGGTGCTTAGCTCACCGAGTTCTCTGTTGTGCTGAAGATTATGTATTTATTTATTTATTTTTGAGACGGAGTCTTGCTCTGTTGCCCAGGCTGGAGTGCAGTGAGTGGTGCGATCTTGGCTCACTGCAACCTCCGCCTCCTGGGTTCAAGCAATTCTCCTGCCTCAGCCTCCCAAGTAGCTGGGCTTACAGGTGCCACCATGCTTGGCTAATTTTTGTATTTTTAGTAGAGACAGGGTTTCACCATATTGGCCAGGCTGGTCTCGAACTCCTGACCTCAGGTGATCCACCCGCCTCAGCCTCCCAAAGTGCTGGGATTACAGGCATGAGCCACCATGCCTGGTCTGAAGATGTTTACAGAGTGTGTGTGAGGAGCCCTAGGGAAGGAGCTTTGATTGGCCAGAGAAGACAGGGGAGGGTGCTGCATGTGGTGGGGACAGCATGAGAAGTGGGGAGGCTGGAAGGGGCATGTACTCCTGACATGGAGCCCTGGGGAGGTCAGTGTGGCTGGAGCAGCAGTTGCCAAACTCCAGGCTGCATCAGGACCACCCGGAGAGCTGTGACAAACAGATCACTGGGCCCTGCCCCTGGAGTTCTGACTCAGTAGAAATGGAAGGGGGCCTGAAAATTTCCCAACTGCTGCTGCTGCTCTTAGGGTGGGTAACCAGACTTTGAGGGTGCGGGACTGGAGGAGAGTAGGCTGGGAGGCTGTACCATCGGGTGAAGCTGCAGTGTAGGGTCTTGGAGTCTGATGGGGACTTTGAGTCGATTCCGCAGGCTGTGAGGAACTAGTATAGGGTCTTGTGCAGCAGGGAAGTGGTGAGAGGAAACTGGTTCTTTGCCAAGATGGTCCTGAAAAGGAGAGAGGTAGGAGGCGGAATGGCCTTGGCCGTGGTAACCAGGGAGGTAGTGAAAAGGCCAGAGGCGCCCCAGGGCATGACAAATAAGAAAGTCATCCTCAACACTGACCGTGAGGGTCCCAACTTGCTTCAGAGGCTGCAGCTGGGGAGGAGCTGGAAGAGCAGCTGGAGAGAACCCCTGAACCCCTGCCCCTGGGAAGCTGAAGGCTCATGCCCTCCCTACCTTGGTGACCCCAGATTTTATTTAAAGTGGATTTTCCCATTTTATAAATCACGGCAGAGCTGATACAGACCACTACCTGTGATGGCTCTGGGGTTGTCAGTGGGAATGGAGGGTTAGAAGTGACCGGAAGAGGCCGGGTGCACGGGTGCAATGGCTCATGCTTGCAGTCCCAGCACTTTGGGAGGCCGAGGGGGGCGGATCACCTGAGGTTGGGAGATCGAGACCAGCCTGGCCAACATGGTGAAACCCCGTCACTACTAAAAATACAAAAATTAGCCAGGCGTTGTGGTGGGTGCCTGTATCCCAGCTGCTCGGGAGGTTGAGGCACAAGAATCACTTGAACTTGGGAGGTGGAGGTTGCTGTGAGCCGAGATTGCGCCATTGCACTCCAGCCTGGGCACAGAGTGAGACTCTGTCTCAAAAAAAAAAAAAAAAAAAAAAAAAAAAAAGTGACCAGAGGAAGATTTTGATGGAGACACTGCAGTGCCCGGGGTGGGGGCGGGTGGATTGCTGTCTGGACTCCATAATCTCTGTTAGTTCAGCTCTGCTCTGGACTCCCTGCCCCGAGACGGGCTGGTAAACAACACATACTAATACCTTAGTCCCAGGCACAGAGTTCATGTTCTGGGCTCAGAGAGCCAAGTCAGCATGTTGAAAAAGCTCCCTTCCCCTATTTGAGCCCAACTCCAGACCTCTCCCCAAGTCAGGGTAGCCCTACCAGGTGGGGACATGTAGCGTGTGCTGGTGCCTCTGGGCTGTCTCGGTCACCTCCTTCAGGAAGCCCTCTTGCCCATTCCACCCGTCCAGCACTGGGCTCATCAACTCGTGCTCACTGGTCGGTTTCCGTCCCACAGAACTGGGTGGCTCTGCCCCCAGCAGGAAATGGAAGCACAGACAGAGCCAGAGTTGCAGTCGGAAAACCCGTGTTCTCCTCTGCTCTCCCTCTTCACTGAGTGTTCCGAGGGCAGTTGTGCTGTCTTAGCCTCCAATTCCTCATCTTTTGAAATGGAATCTCGCTCGTGTTGTCCAGGCTGGAAGGCTGGATTGCAGTGGTGCGATCTCGGCTCACTGCAACCTCCCCCTCCCAGGTTCAAGCGATTCTCCTGCCTCAGCCTCCCGAGTAGCTGGGATTACAGGCGTGCGCCACCACACCCTGCTAATTTTGTGTTTTTAGTAGAGACGGGGTTTCTCCATGTTGGTCAGGCTGGTCTCGAACTCCCGACCTCAGGTGATCCGCCCGCCTCGGCCTTGGTTCCTCATCTTTAAAATGGAGATACTGTGAGCATCAAGGGAGACAGGTTATCTGAAAATGTGACTGCTTAGCCAAGCTGAGTTATTGAAAGCAGCCAGCTTAACATGGGGTGTTCACTTGGAATCGCCATGCAGAGACAGGGGCTGCTGGGCCCCCAGGCATTTCCACGAGGTCAGGGTCACTTGAGTTTCAACTCCCCCTCATAATCCACACAGGTTTGTGCTAGAGGTCTGGCCTCTCGGGCCACCGTTTTCTGGGTTTCAGTGGTCACAGAGGAATTTGAAGGGCCATGGAAGGCCTGTCTACCTCAAAACCCCTTGGTGGGATTCCCCACCAGGTCATTATTCTTTTCTTATAAGCTGTTTGCCCTTGTGAAGTGTCCATTTTCTGGGAGATTGTTTGCCTAAACAAGGTTATGGATCAAACACACTTTAATGTAAATTGATTTCATTTTCACCAAAACCGTGCTGCTAACATCATAGAGAATGGGTGGCTGCTTTGCCTCTTGTTGGTGGTGGTGGCAGGTTTGGGGTGTGTGGGAGAAGAGGAAGAATTAGAGGGGGGTGGGCTGGCATTGGTGCATCAGGGCAGCCAGGGGCACTGGGTCAGGGGAGGGAGCCCAGGACTTGGGCCCTGCAGTTTCAGTTTCCGTGCACATGCCTACCTTCTTTTCCATTGTTCTGCAATGACATCCTGTCTCCTTGACCGTAAATCGCACATCCACATTCCTCCCGAGTGCCTGTGGACCTTATTCATATCCTGGGAAAAGTGTTTATGTACGCACACGAAGGGCCACCTGGTGCCAAGGCGAGGCCCCTGTCCTTGATTCTGTCTCCTGGTGAGGCAGGCTCCAGGGTTCGAGGCCAAGGCGACACGGCTGTTTGCCAGACAGCACAGAGGCCAGAGAGAGACTATGGGAGTCCTGGTTCCTGCTCCTCCGTAGAGACTGCTCTTCCTAAGCTACGGCTGCAGGATCTGGCTCTCATACCTGCCAAGAGAGAGCCATCAACAACCAACAGCCTGCTGAGTCACTTCCCCCGGGGAGCCTTAGTTTCCGTGGCATGGTCAGACCAGACCCCTGTTCTCAGTTTGGAGGGAGGGTCACCTGCACCAGAATCACGGGCATAGAAGGTAGAGTGTTTAGTGGAAATGCAGATGAGTGAGTTCCACACTAAAGCCTAAGAGAGCGCCCAGGTCTGACGGTAGTTCCAGCTCCTGGCCTGCTTCTGAAGGTCCCAGGATTCCTCTCACTCTAATATGTGGGCTAGGAGCTTACTCCTCACTCAGCGCCTTAATCACTGCGTTCAGCAGGCCTGGTGGGAGCCTCTGGGAGAGCTTCGCTGGCTTGTCTTGCCTCTTTGGGGTGACAGCCAGCCTCTCTTTTCCTAAGAGTTATAGAAAGTGCTAACCTGGAGGTCTGTGGAGTGCAGGGGTCTCTCCTGGGCTCACCGGCGATTTCTAATGGCTCGTTTTCCTAATGGCTGCACATCATCTGATGCCCCTGAGTTCTGCATGGAGGGAATGAGGGAAATAAAATGCAAGGCTGGTCTGGAGTTCTCCCTGCATTAGTGATTAGTGCAATCCTAGAACACTCCGATGCCCTGTTACGCAGCTTTGTGTTGCAAAAAGGGGATTTGGACAGTCAAAAAAGCCTGAGTGTAGGCTCTGCTCCATTTCCACAGTGGAAACCAGGGGTTCTCAGTCGGGGTGGTTTTCCCCCTGAGGACATTTTGCAGTGTCTGGAGACATTTTGGGTTGTCACAACTGTGGAGTGGGTGCTGCTGGCATCTAGTGGGTAGAGACCAGGAGGCTGCTGGTTCTCCCACCATGCACAGGGAAGTGTCTGGCGCTGAATGCAATAGTAATGCAGTGGAGAAATCCTGCTGTAAACCTAGGCCTTCGTTTCTCCGTCTGTAAAATGAAGTCAGCCTAGATCATTGTTTTCTGAACTGAGTCATGGGCCATGGGTCCTAAAATGAGTTGAGTGGTTATAACTAGCATTTAAAAAGACAGAAAAGGTTAGAAAACATCAGAAAATATCAGAGTGCATGGCACACGGCAAGGGTAAATATGATATGAAACGTGTGTGTGTGTGTCCTGAGTCATAAAGTTGTGTTTTTACTGTGCTTTCTGAGCAAAAGAGTTTAAGAGCCGCTTATTTAGATTCTTCCTGCTGCCATAGTATGTTTTTCTGAATTATAGGCCTAGATCACACTTTGAAAAATCTCATTGCCAGGCTGGACACAGTTACTCATGCCTATAATCCCAATGCTTTGGGAGGCTGAAGCGGGAGGATTGCTTGAGCCCAGGAGTTCGATGCCAGCCTGGGCAACATAGCGAGACCCCCATCTGTACAAAAATATACAAAAATTAGCTGGGCATGGTGGCACACACCTGTAGTTCCAGCTATTTGGGAAGTTGTGACAATAGGATTGCTTGAGCCCAGGAGTTCGAGGGTGAAGTGAGCTGTGATCATATCACTACATGTCATCCTGAGCGATAGAGCAAGACCTCAAAACAAAAGAAAACAAAACCCCAAATTCCCTTGCCACTCCCCTGCTCCGGCTGTGGACTGACTGCTCTTCAAGCCCCCTCAGCCATCCAGGGCCAGGAATTCTCCTTGCCATGCAGTTCAATCCTCACTGAAGGGCACGATGCAGCCCCACTCCTGCCCCTAGACTCCTGTTTTTGGTTTGTCTCTGGGTGGATGGGGGCTGGTTACCAGAACCTGAATCATCCCCTTCAGGAGCCCCAGTTCCTGCGGTAGGTGAAGCTCCAAGGGCAGCCAGCCCCACGTCCCCTGGCTGCCTGGAGCTGCCTCACACAGGCTCAGCCCTGGGCTGCCCCTTGGACTTCCTGATGCTGGTCTCTCCTTGGGCTGCCCAGAGCAAGCCCTTGACATACTTAAAACAGCACTCGCTTGAGTCCCAGCTCTTCATCACTGACTAGCTCTGTGATGATAGGCAAGTTACCCCAGGGTCTGCCGCCTGGCCAGCCCCGAGCCCCGCAGCCTGTGTGGACAGGTTCCTCTGTTATTTACTCTAGGAGGGCTGGGGCTCTCCTTCTCTCCCATACACTTCTCCTGGTTCTCTCCTGTTTGATTTTTCTGCTTCTGCTGAATTCTTGGTTTATTCAGCCTTGCAGGCCTTACTTTACAAACTTATAGCCATAGCGACCTCCGGGCTCCCCTGTGGCACCCGCTCAGCTCTGCCTCCTGTGGAACGAGTACCTTGCTTAAGTGATTTTGCATCTTTGGAAGCCTCTAAGAGCTGTAGATCAGCAGCCACAGGGCCATGCCAACCCCAAGCTGCCTGGCTGCCTCTGAAGCGTTCCCTACCCATTCTCCAGCCACAGTCCCTGGGAGACTTGGTCCCACCCACCCTTTCTGCATCCCCAGGAGAAGGAGAAACACCAAGGAGGGGCTCACGGGGGTTCCTTTCCCATTTCCAGGAGGGAGATGCCTTTGGCTCGGAGGTGACATATTGGTTGAGTTACCCAGTGAAGCCGAGGCAGAACTCCCTGTGAGATGGGATGAAAGGAGGATTCACTGATGGGGAGACAGGCTCAGTGGTAATAGGGACACAGACCCCTGAGCCCAGACCTCGTGGGCTCATTTGTCTGCCATCTGGCAGGTGGAGGCTTCTGCTCTGGCAGGTCTCCAGTGAGGAGTGTGAAGTGGGTCCCTGCCCTGTCACATGGGCTCACTCTGGGCTGTGTGTAGTGTTCAGAGCTCCAGCCCCAGAAAAGGCCGAGGGAGGGATTTGGTCTTGGGCCCAGTGCAAATGCCTAGGGCCCTGGAAGGGAGAGGGTGCAAACTGGAGGTTGTTACCTGGTTGTCCCATTTGTTTGGTTTTTCGACATTTTCTTATGGAAATTTTGAAACATACAGAAAAGTTGAAAGACTTCAAGATCCATATACTCCTCACTCAGATTCTACCATTACTGGTAAATACATTACTGAAAAAAAGAAAAAGTTACTTTGCAGGGCACGGTGGCTCACGCCTGTAATCCTAGCACTTTGGGAGGCCCAGGCAGGCAGATCATGAGGTCAGGAGATCGAGACCATCCTGGCTATGGTGAAACCCCATCTGTACTAAAAATACAACAAATTAGCTGGGCATGGTGGCGGGCACCTGTAGTCCCAGCTACTCGGGAGGCTGAGGCAGGAGAATGGCGTGAACCCGGGAGGCGGAGCTTGCAGTGAGCCGAGATCGCGCCACTGCACTCCAGCCTGGGCGACAGAGCGAGACTCTGTCTCAAAAAAAAAAAAAAAAAAGTTTCTCTACGCAATCACTTTTCCAGTTGTTTCTTTTTCTTTGGCCAATTTCTTGCTGTCAGTAAGTTTGTTCAGCTTCTAAAGGTTTGCTTGCTGTAAAAACTGTTCTAGGTGGGAATGCAGAGCAAGGGAGACACCTCAGCTCAAACAGGACAAGTCCCCTTTCATTTGGCAGGCATCTCCATTTTCTCCCAGTTGTGTTGATCTGGAGCTCCGCAGAATGTGGTTTATGGACTGTGAGTGGTCTGTGTGTCTTTCCTGGTGGCTGCTGCTGCTGGCATATCATTAAAACTATTCCTAGAATAGACTTATTATTTACGTGGGAGAGCCCTCACTGAATTTCCACCAGAAACAAGTCTATTCTGTAGCTCATTCGGGTTGGTTTGGAGTGTTTGTGTGTTCCAGGGTGCATGCTTATGTGTGTGCATGGTGTGTGTGCGTGTGGTGTGTGTGTGTGTGTGTGTGTGTGTCTGTGTGTCTGTGTGTGTGGTTGTCCTCCTGCAGCCTCAGTTCAGCCCAGAGCCCTGCTGGGGACTCTTCCTCTCCTGGCTAGGAGTGAGGAGACCTCTGCCCCAGCTCCTCTGGCCATGACAGCAACACCTTGAGTCAACAGACCTGCCAGGTCTTCTGGGCTTCGTTCCACGGACATCTTAGCCTCTTCTTGCCAAGAAGAAGCCCACACTCCCCTATCCCTTCTAGGAGAAGAGAGATTTGCTCATTTTTAAGACCAACTTTACCCCTGAGTCCTATGCCCCATTCCTTCAGGACCTCAAGGCATTGTGCCCCACACGTCAGCTCTTTGTTTTCTCTGGCTGCCCCTATCTTTCCTATTTCCATTAATTTCTCAGTCTCCAAGGCTTGAGACCAGACTCTCTATTTTCCCTTCTGGGTCTTTTGATTCTTATGACCAATTAGTTATCTTTGAATATCAAAGACCCACCACGAGTAGCAGTTCTTAGAAACTAGGTGAGGTTTGCTAAGCTTTGGTCACGCTGTGAAAAATGTCTTGCCTGTGTTTCCTCTTTCATGCTGGCCACCGTCCCATCACCCTTGTCACCCTGTTCAGCCCTCACAACCACACCATTCTCAGAGCCTATTTTATCATGTGTCTGGATCTTCAGACATTTCCATTGTCAACCATTTAGTGTGTCCTTATTAATTCCATGTGCTGTGTAAGGCGTTTGACCCACACGATCTGTAAACTCCTGGATAATCAAATTCAGCAAACTTAGGTGGAGCTCATGAATCTCCATTTTAAACAAACAGCCCAGGGATTCTGACTTGGGCTGTCCTAAGATACCATTTTATTTATTTATTTATTTTTATTTTTTATTTTTTTTGAGACAGAGTCTTGCTCTGTCACCCAGGCTGGAGTGCAGTGGCGCGATCTCCGCTCACTGCAAGCTCCGCCTCCTGGGTTCACGCCGTTCTTCTGCCTCAGCCTCCCAAAGAACTGGGACCACAGACGCCAGCCACCTCGCCTGGCTAATTTTTTTTTTCTTCATATTTTTAGTAGAGACGGGGTTTCACCGTGTTAGCCAGGATGGTCTCGATCTCCTGACCTCGTGATCCACCCGCCTCAGCCTCCCAAAGTGCTGGGATTACAGGCGTGAGCCACCGCACTCGACCGATACCATTTTAAATAGCACTGCTAGGCCAGAGCGGGGTGGCTCATGCCTGTAATTACTCGCACCAAGGAGCTCAAGACCAGCCTGGGCGACACGGTGAGATCTTGTCTCTACAAAAAGAAAAAAAAAATTAGCTGGATGTGGTGGTACATACTTGTGATCCCAGTTACCCTGGAGGCTGAGGTGGGAGGATAACCTGGGCCCAGGAGGCAGAAACTGCAGCGAGCCATGTTCACATCACTGCACCCCAACCTGGGCAACAGAGCACAACCCTGTCTCAATAAGTGAATGAATGAATGAATAAATAACACTCTCCTAGAGCACCTGTTACCAGTAACTCACAGTGTTGCCTTTTTGTTTGCTGCCTTACAATATACTCAATTGTCGCATGTTTGTCTTCTATTTATACGCAGGTTGTAAACTCCCAGAAGCAAAAGATCATGCTTTTAGATTTTTCTTTTGTGATGTTTGAGAGCCTACCTGAGGGCAATGTATCCAGAAGTCACTCAATAATTATTTTTAGATGAATGGAAAAATGGGTGAGAAAATGAGATTTTTAGGGAGATTTTTGTTGCTCGCTTGTAAAGACTTTTTGGGGCGTTTTCTGCTGAGAAAAGGTTACGTAGATAATGATTCTTAATCAATGTATTCATTTTTTGAGAGGAGTAATAATCACTACTATTGACTTTTTTCTCTTTCAGGGGACTTCCAGAATGGCAAGAGAGTGAGCCTCTCCGTGTATCTTGGGGAATTTTTTGACATCCATTTGTTTGTCAATGGTACCGTGACACAGGGGGACCAAAGGTAAGCCAACAATGTCTGAGTTAGAAAGGACCCTAGGGATCCCCTGACACAACCCCCTCATTTTTAGATGAGGAAGCTGGGGCCCAGAGAATGGAAGCAAATGTTCCAAGGAAGTGAGTAGCAGGGCTGGGTGAGAGCCAGCTCTCCCGATTGCTGATCTAGGTCCTCAGCCACTTTGCACCATGTTCTGAACCCTACAACATGGGGTTGGGGTTAGAAGGTGGGAGAGACATCCAGAAAATGCACAAGAAGCCCACTTCTGAACTTAGCCTTTGCCCTCCAGAGTCTCCATGCCCTATGCCTCCAAAGGGCTGTATCTAGAAACTGAGGCTGGGTACTACAAGCTGTCCGGTGAGGCCTATGGCTTTGTGGCCAGGATCGATGGCAGCGGCAACTTTCAAGTCCTGCTGTCAGACAGATACTTCAACAAGACCTGCGGGCTGTGTGGCAACTTTAACATCTTTGCTGAAGATGACTTTATGACCCAAGAAGGTAAGATGTTCTGGGATACCATTTCCCTAAAGTGTGGCCATGCTTTTTATTTCCTTGCTCATAAACCTTCACTAACATGCCTTCCCTGGCATTCAAGCCTCACTGTGACCTCACCTCAATTTATGTTGCCAACCTTATCTCTTTGCATTCCATTCCAATGCCTAGACCTCTAGTGAAACCAGGTCTTAGAGCTCCTCAAAGCTGACTTCGTTCAACTTTGAATTCTCTGTAGCAACTTGCACGTGGCAGATGGTTGGTCAATGCTGGGTAGTTTGAGTCGATCCTCCTCAGCCCACTACAGTGGAGTGGATAAAATCTATGGAGTGGTCGGTCCTCCACACCATCCAAAAAGGCCAGTTTATGTGTGTGTGCATGTGTGTGTTCACGAGCAATAGAAAGTAATATGGATAATGTGAAAACACTAGGCTGGGCGCAGTGGCTTACCCCTGTAATCCCAGCATTTTGGGAGGCCGAGGCAGGCGGATCATGAGGTCAGGAGATTGAGACCATCCTGGCTAACATGGTGAAACCATGTCTCTACTAAAAATACAGAAAATTAGCCAGGCGTGGTGGCGGGTGCCTGTAGTTCCAGCTACTTGGGAGGCTGAGACAGGAGAATGGCGTGAACCCGGGAGGGAGAACTTGCAGTGAGCAGTGATCGTGCCGCTTCACTCCAGCCTGGGCGACAGAGCGAGACTCCGTCTCAAAAAAAAAAGAAAACACTAAAGATGAATATTTCAATCTTCTTTAATTTCAATTACATAAACATTCAATTAGTGATGTTCCCTTGCCAAAGCTAAACACTTACATATGTTATCTTTCTTCCTTATGACCCAACCACTTTCTGATTAGAGAGTAAACATGCAGAGAAACAATTGACTCTTCCTTTCATTGGAATGTACCATATTGGAAAATAGCATGATAGTTTATTTTTTGGTTTTCTCCAGCACTGATTTTATTGTCTGATATGTACATTTAGGGCTATAAATTTCCCTCTAAATATCACTTTAGTTGCACTCTATATATGTGTGTGTGTTTGTGTAAATATGTATATATACTGTATATGTGTGTATATATGTAATTATATATGTGTGTGTATATATATGTATATATATACACGTGTGTGTGTGTGTCTGTGTGTCTCTGTGTGTGTGTATTTAGAGATAAGGTCTTGCTAAGTTGCCCAAACTGATCTTGAACTCTTGGGCTCAAGGAATCCTCTTGCCTCAGCCTTCCTAGTGGAATTATAGGTGTGTGTTACTGTGCCCAGCTGTACCAATTTTGATATGTAACATATTTCATGTTTTAAATTTTCTAACTTCCATTTTGAGCTCTTTCTGAACCTATATACATTTACAAATTCAAAAGTTTGAATTTTTTTTTTTTTTTTTTTGAGACGGAGTCTCGCTCTGTCACCCAGGCTGGAGTGCAGTGGCGCGATCTCGGCTCACTGCAAGCTCTGCCTCCTGGGTTCACGCCATTCTCCTGCCTCAGCCTTCCGAGTAGCTGGGACTACAGGCACCCGCCACCATGCCTGGCTAATTTTTTGTATTTTTAGTAGAGACAGGGTTTCACTGTGTTAGCCAGGGTGGTCTCCAACTCCTGACCTCGTGATCTGCCCCCCTCGGCCTCCCAAAGTGCTGGGCTTACAGGTGTGAGCCACTGTACCTGGCCTGAAGTTTTTAAAGTTACCTATTTGTAACTAAATTGATTTCTAAATTTGGTTAAAAAATTGTGGCCTAGTTAAAAAATTGTAGACTTGTTTGCAGCCTTTTTTTTTTTTTTTACAAGTGTTCTATGTATGCCCAAAAATAATGTATTCTCTGATTGGTGCAGGACTCTACCTATACTTCTTGAATTAAGCTTTTTAATTGTGTTTTCCAGATCTTCTGTATGTGTACTACTTCTTGTCTGCTTATTAATGACCCATTACTAAAAGAGCTAAATTTTTCTATAATGGTGGTGAATTTGTCACTTTCTTCATGTAATTCTGTCAAATTTTGCTTTGTGTGTGTGTGTGTGTGTGTGTGTGTGTGTGTATATATTTCTTTCTTTCTTTCTTTCTTTTTTTTTTTTTTTAAAGACAGAGTCTTGCTCTGTCACCCAGGCCGGATTGCAGTGGTGAGATCTCAGCTCACTACAGCCTCCACCTCCCAGATTCAAGCGATTCTTCTACCTCAGCCTCCTGAGTAGCTGGGACTACATCCAGGTGTCACCACGCCTGGCTAATTTTTGTATTTTTAGTAGAGATGAGGTTTCAGCATGTTGGCCAGGCTAGTCTTGAACTCCTGACCTCAAGTGATCTCTCCGCCTCTGCCTCCCAAAGTGCTGGGATTACAGGCGTGAGTCACCGTGCCTGGCCTGCTTTGTATATCTTGAGCCTTTGTTATTAGTGTTTAGAAATACTGAATCTTTCGGCTGGGTGCGGTGGCTCAAGCCTGTCATCCCAGCACTTTGGGAGGCCGAAGTGGGCGGATCATGAGGTCAGGAGATGGAGACTATCCTGGCTACCACGGTGAAACCCCGTCTCTACTAAAAATACAAAAAATGAGCCAGGTGTGGTGGCAGGTGCCTGTAGTCCCAGCTACTCGGGAAGCTGAGGCAGGAGAATGGCATGAACCTTGGAGGCGGAGCTTGCAGTGAGCTGAAATCGCACCACTGCACTCCAGCCTGGGCGACAGAGTGAGACTCCGTCTCAAAAAATATATATATATATATATTGAATCTTTCTAGGGAATTGTTCCTTTAATGTAATGACTCTCATTTTTACCAGTGCTTTTTGCCTTCAATCTGTCTGATATTAGTATAGCTATTCCACCTTTCTTTTGG
The DNA here is from genome assembly GCF_000001405.40 of Homo sapiens. Classification (NCBI taxonomy): domain Eukaryota; kingdom Metazoa; phylum Chordata; class Mammalia; order Primates; family Hominidae; genus Homo; species Homo sapiens. The sequence continues at coordinate 6,107,544 of NC_000012.12, read as the reverse complement.
TTAGTGTTTGTTTGATGTATCTTTTTCCATTCTTTCAACCTTTCTATGTGATTTTGTTTCAGATGTGTGTCATGGAAGCACCACATGGCTCTATTTTATTATTGTTCTTTCAAAAGTCAGATTTATTGAGGTTAATTTACAGACAGTAAAATTCACCCTTTCACATACAGTTCTCTGAGTTTTCGCAAAAGCGTAGAGTCATGTAACCACCACAATCAAACTATAGAACAGTTTTGTCACCCTCAAAATCACCATGCTCCTTTGTAGTCAAATCTTCCCCCAACTCCTAGCTCCTGGTGGCCACTGATCTTTTATCTGTTTCTGTAGTCTTGATATTTCCAAAATTCATATGACTGTAATCATACCCTATTTGCAGTATTTAGTCTTGTAAGTCTGGCTTCTTTCATTTAACATGGTCCGTGAGAGGTTAATCCATATTGGTGCATGTATCAGTAGTTTGTTCCTATTTATTGCTAAGGAGTAGTTACCACAATTTGTTTACCCATTCACCAGTTGAAGGATGCTTTGTTGTTTCCAATTATGGAAAATTATGAACAAAGCCAGTGTAAACATTTGTGTATAGATTTCTACACCCCGCCGCATTTTTTATTGTGCTATGATACATGTAACATAAAATTTACTATCTTTTTTTTTTTTTTTTTTTTTTTTGAGTCGGAGTTTCACTCTTGTTGCCCAGGCTGCAGTGCAATGGTGTGATCTCAGCTCACTCCAACCTCCGCCTCCCGGGCTGAAGCAATTCTCCAGTCTCAGCTTCCCTAGTAGCTGGGATTACAGGTGTCCGCTACTATGTCCAGCTAATTTTTGTATTTTTAGTAGAGACGGGGTTTCACCATGTTGGCCAGGCTGCTCTTGAACTCCTGACCTCAGGTGATCCGCCTCCGCTTAGCCTCCCAAAGTGCTGGGATTACAGGCGTGAGCCACCGCGCCTGGCCAAAATTTATTATCTTAACCATTTTTATGTATATAGTTCAGTGGTATCAGGTACATTCATGTAGTTGTACAACCATCACCACCATCCATCTCCAGAACTCTTTTCATCTTGCAGAACTGAAACTTTATATTCATTACACAATAACTTCCCATTCTTCCCTCTGGGCTCCTGGAAACCATCATTTTACTTTCTGTCTATGATTTTGACTACTCTAAGTATCTCATATAAGTGGAATCATACAGCATTTGTCTTTTTGTGGCTGGCTTATTTCACTTTGCATAATGTCCTCAAGGTTCATTCATGTTGTGGTGTATGTCAGAATTTTCTTCCTTTTTAAGGATGAATAATATTCCATTGTATCAGAGGAATTTGAGGAAAAGAAAAAAAATTTCATTGTGCATACAGACCGTACGTACTTTGCTTATCCATTTATCCATCAGTAGACACTTAGATTGCTTCCACGTTTTGCCTATAGTGAATAAAGCTGCTATGAGTATAGGTGTACAAATAACTCTTTAAAACCCTGCTTTCAATTCTTCTTTATTTTTTTTGAGATGGAGTTTCCCTCTGTCGCCAGGCTGAAGTGCAGTGGCCTGATCTCGGCTTACTGCAACCTCCACCTCCCGGGTTCAAGTGATTCTCCTGCCTCAGCCTCCTGAGTAGCTGGGACTACAGGCGCATGCCACCACGCACAGCTAATTTTTTTTTTTTTGTATTTTTAGTAGAGATGGGGTTTCACCATGTTGGCCAGGAGGGTCTCCATCTCTTGACCTCTTGATCTGCCCACCTTGGCCTCCCAGAGTGCTGGGATTACAGGCATGAACCACCGCGTCCGGCTCAATTCTTTTGAGTATATTCCCAGAGGCAGAATTCCTGGATGATTTCTAATGGCAATTCTATTTTCTTCATATATTTCATGATTTATTTTTCAGGTATGTGAAATTTTAAAATATTCCTTTTACAATATCTATTTCTCTTTACTTAAAAGGAGAAAAATTTGATATGCAATTTCTTCTTAAACATTTTTTAAATTTTTTCTTTTTAAAAATTTGTATAAGGCCGGGCGTGGTGGCCCACGCCTGTAATCCTGTAATCCCAGCACTTCAGGAGGCCGAGGTGGATGGATCATTTGAGGTCAGAAGTTCAAGACCAGCCTGGCCAACATGTGAAACCCCATCTCTACTAAAAATATAAAAATTAGCTGGGGGTGGTAGCACATGCCTGTAATCCTAGCTACTAGGGAGGCTGAGGCAGGAGAGTTGCTTGAACCCAGGGGACGGAGGTTGCAATGAGCCGAGATCGCCCCACTGCACTCTAGCCTGGGTGACAAAGCGAGACTCTGTCTCAAAAAAAAAATTGTATAAATTTATGGGGTACAAGCGCAATTTTGTTACATGCACAGATTGTGTAGTGGTCAAGTCAGGACTTTTAGGGTACAATATACTTTGTACCCATTAAGTAATTTCTCATCATCTGCCCCACTCCCACTCTCTCTCACCTTTCTGAGTCTCCAATATCTATCATTCTACTCTTTCTGTCTGTGTGTACACATCTTTTAGTAACCACTTTTTGGTGAGAACATGTCATATTTGACTTTATGTGGTTTGTTTCACTTAACATAATGACCTCCAATCCCACCCATGTTGCTGCAAAAGATGCGATTTCATTCTTATGGCCAAATAGTCTTCCATTGTGTATATGTACCACATTTTCTTCATCTAATCATCTGTTGATGGGCATTTAGGTTCATACCATGTCTTTGCTATTGTGAATAATGCACAATAAATATACTAGTGCAGGTATATTTTTGATATATTGATTTCTTTTCCTTTGGGTAGATATCCAGTAGTGGGATTGCTGGATTGAATGGTAGTCCTATATATTTTTTTTTTTTCCGAGACAGAGTCTCACTCTGTTGCCCAGGCTGGAGTGCAGTGGCCTGATCTCAGCTCACTGCAACCTCCAGTTCCCGGGTTCAAGCAATTCTCCTGCCTCAGACTCCTGAGTAGCTGGGACTACAGGCGCATGTCACCACGTCCGGCTCATTTTTTTTTCTTTTGTATTTTTTTAGTAGAGGCGGGGTTTCACCATGTTGGCCAGGCTGGTCTCAAACTCCTGACCTCGTGATACGCCCGCCTCAGCCTCCCAAAGTGCTGGGATTACAGGTGTGAGCCACCGCGCCTGGCAGTCCTATTTTTTTTTTTTTTAAAGTTCTTTGAAAAATCTGCATACTGTTTTCCATAGAGGTTGTACTCATTTACATTCCCACCAACAGTGTGTAAGAGTTCCCCTTTTTCCTCATCCTTGCCAACATCTGTTATTTTCTGTCTTTTTAATAATAACCGTTGTGACTAGGGTAAGATGATATCTCATTGTGGTTTTAATTTGCATTTCTCTCATGACAAGTTATGTTGACCATTTTTTTCACATTCCTGTCAGATATTTGTATGTCTTCCTTTGAAAAATGTCTACTCATGTCCTTTGCCCACTTCTTGCTGATATTATTTGTTATTTTTCATTGTTGTTGAGTTGTTTGAGTTCCTTGTGTATTCTGGATACTAGTCTCTTGCTGGATGAAAAAGTTTGCAAATATTTTCTTCCATTCTGCAAGCTGTCTCTTCACTCTGTTGATGATTTCTTTTGCTGTGCAGAAGATTTTTAGTTTAATGAAGTCTCATTTATCTATTTTTGTTTTTGTTGCCTGTGTTTTTGAAGTCTTAGTCAGAAATTCCTTGCCTAGGCCAATGTCCAGTACAGTTTTCCCAAGGTTTTTTTCTAGGATTTTTATAGTTTCAGACCTTACATTCAAGTCTTTAATACATCTTGAGTTGATTTTTTTTTGTATATGGTGAGAGATAGGGGTCCAGTTTCATTCTTCTGCATATGGCAATCCAGTTTTCCCAGCAACATTTGTTGAAGAGGGTGTCCTTTCCCTAGTATATATTCTTGTCAGCTTTGTCAAATATCAACTGGCTCTATCTCTGGGTGTCTATTCTATTCCATTGATCTGTGTGTGTGTGTGTGTGTGTGTGTGTGTGTGTGTGTGTATACATATATGTGTATATACACATATGTGTGTATATATATACGTGTGTGTATACACATATATGTATATACACACATATGTGTATATACACATATATGTGTATGTATATACACACGTGTGTATACACACACGTGTGTATACACACACGTGTATACACACACGTGTATACACACACACACATATATATGTATATATACACACATATATATATATATTTTTTGAGACGGAGTCTCGCTCTGTTGCCCAGGCTGGAGTGCAGTGGCGTGGATTGGCTCACTGCAAGCTCCGCCTCCTGGGTTCATGCCATTCTCCTGCCTCAGCCTCCCTAGTAGCTGGGACTACAGGTGCCCACCACCACACCCGGCTAATTTTTTGTATTTTTAGTAGAGATGGGGTTTCACCGTGTTAGCCAGGGATGGTCTCAATCTCCTGACCTTGTGATCCACCCACCTTGGCCTCCCAAAGTGCTGGGATTACAGGCATGAGCCACCACGCCTGGCCGATCTATGTGTATATTTTTATACCAGTACCATACTGTTTGATTACTATATTCTTGTAATATATTTTGAAGTCACATATTGTGATGCCTCCAGCTTTGTTCTTTTTGTTCAGGATTGCTTTGGCTATTCGGTCTGTTTTTCAGTTCCATATGAATTTTAAGATTGCATTTTCTAATTCTGTGAAAAATGACATTGGTACTTTGATAAGGATTACATTGAATCTGTAGATTGCTTTGGGCAGTATGGTCATTTTAACAATATGAATTCTGATCCATTAGCATGGCAATTCTATTTTTAATTTTTTTTTTTTTTTGAGACGGAGTCTCGCTCAGTCACCCAGGCTGGGTGCAGTGGCACAATCTCGGCTCACTGCAAGGTCCACCTCCCAGGTTCATGCCATTCTCCTGCCTCAGCCTCCTGAGTAGCTGGGACTACAGGCGCCTGCCACCACGCCTGGCTAATTTTTGTATTTTTAGTAGAGACGGGGTTTCACCGTGTTGGCCAGGATGGTCTGGATCTCTTGACCTCGTGATCCGCCTGCCTCGGCCTCCCACAGTGCTGGGATTACAGGTGTGAGCCAACGTGCTCTGCCTGTTTTTGTTTTTTTGAGACAGTCTTACTGTGTAGCCCAGTCTGGAGTGCAGCAGAGCAATCTCGGCTCACTGCAACCTCCACCTCCCAGGTTCAAGCTATTCTCCTGCCTCAGCCTCTGGAGTAGCTGGGATTACAGGCACACATCACCATGCGCAGCTAATTTTTGTATGTTTATTAGAGACAGGGTTTCACCATGTTGACCAAGCTGGTCTCAAACTCCTGACCTCAAGTGGTCCGCCCACCTCGGCCTCCCGAAGTGCTGGGATTACAGGTGTGAGCCACCTTGCCCAGCTGACTGTAATGGTTTTGAACATTTTTAATGCAGCTGCTGTTCAATAAATATTTGTTGATTGAATAAAAGAATCAGCCCTTCCCTTTCTGAGCACATGCAGAATCTGTGCCTTCTTCTGGTTTTTAACTAACACCTAGTTTTAAGAGAGAAAATTCCGCCCTCCCCCATAAATGTCATGTTCTGTCTGTCATTTGGACATGACCCAAAAGCTTAATTTTCTAAAAAGCCAAAGTGCTGGGATTACAGGCATGAGCCACCACGCCTGGCCCTGATGCTTCCTATCTTTCATCAGATTTAGAACATTTTCAGTCATTTTTTTCTCCTTTGGGAACTGTGAGAAATATGTTGGATTACTTTATTTTTATTATTATTATTTTTTTCTTTTTGAGATGGAGTCTCACTCTGTCGCCTAGGCTGGAGTGCAGCGGCGTGTCTCGGCTCACAGCAACCTCCGCCTGCCGGGTTCAAGCAATTGTCCTGCCTCAGCCTCCTGAATAACTGGGACTACAGGCGCCCGCCACCATGCCTGGCTAATTTTTTGTATTTTTAATAGAGACGGGGTTTCACCATATCGGCCAGGCTGGTCTCAATCTCCTGACGTCGTGATCTGCCCTCCTCGGCCTCCCAAAATGCTGAGATTACAGGCGTGAGCCACCGCGCCTGGCCTGGATATTTTTATTTCATCCCTTTTTTAATCTTTACCTTACTTCCATTTTTTTTTTTTAAGCTCTTTATCCCTCTGTGTTGCTTTTTTAGGTCGTTTGCTTGGCTCAAGTGTTGTGCTCATGCTGGTTGGTGAGAATTGATTGTGTGTATCTCTTCCCAGCTCCACATTCACTGATATCACATTGGTAGCTTGAAACTGGCCATGGTAGGAGTATTTACACGATGGAAACCAGCAAATGCTACAAATCAGAGCTTTGCTTTTTTCCTGGAGAAGGGGATTATCAGCTCATCTCTACTTAGATCTATCTTCTAATCCACTAATTCTCTCTCAACTGTGTCTAATCGGCAGGTGATGTCTAACCACCATCAATAGAGGTTTCTGTTCATTTCATTAACTATATTTGTAATTTTAGAAGGTAAACCTGGCTCTTTTTCTACTCTATTATTTTTCTTATTATCTTGTTCTTTTATGAAATTTCCATTTCTTCTTTACAACAATAATTTTAAATATGTTTGTTTTATAACCTTTATATAGAAATTTTATTATCTGAAGTTTTTGAAGCTCTACTCTTGCTATTTCTGTGTCTTTCTTTATTATTATTATTATGCTTTAAGTTTTAGGGTACATGTGCACAATGTGCAGGTTAGTTACATATGTATACATGTGCCATGCTGGTGTGCTGCACCCATTAACTCGTCATTTAGCATTAGGTATATCTCCTAATGCTATCCCTCCCCACTCTCCCAACCCCACAACAGTCCCCAGAGTGTGATGTTCCCCTTCCTGTGTCCATGTGTTCTCATTGCTCAATTCCCATCTATGAGTGAGAACATGCGGTGTTTGGTTTTTTGTCCTTGCAATAGTTTACTGAGAATGATGATTTCCAATTTCATCCATGTCCCTACAAAGGACATGAACTCATCCTTTTTTATGGCTGCATAGTATTCCATGGTGTATATGTGCCACATTTTCTTAATCCAGTCTATCATTGTTGGACATTTGGGTTGGTTCCAAGTCTTTGCTATTGTGAATAGTGCCGCAATAAACACACGTGTGCATGTGTCTTTATAGCAGCATGATTTGTAGTACTTTGGGTATATACCCAGTAATGGGATGGCTGGGTCAAATGGTATTTCTAGTTCTAGATCCCTGAGGAATCACCACACTGACTTCCACAATGGTTGAACTAGTTTACAGTCCCACCAACAGTGTAAAAGTGTTCCTATTTCTCCACATCCTCTCCAGCACCTGTTGTTTCCTGACTTTTTAATGATTGCCATTCTAACTGGTGTGAGATGGTATCTCATGTGGTTTTGATTTGCATTTCTCTGATGGCCAGTGATGATGAGCATTTTTTCATGTGTTTTTTGGCTGCATAAATGTCTTCTTTTGAGAAGTGTCTGCTCATGTCCTTCACCCACTTTTTGACGGGGTTGTTTGTTTTTTTCTTGTAAATTTGTTTGAGTTCATTGTAGATTCTGGATATTAGCCCTTTGTCAGATGAGTAGGTTGTGAAAATTTTCTCCCATTTTGTAGGTTGCCTGTTCACTCTGATGGTAGTTTCTTTTGCTGTGCAGAAGCTCTTTAGTTTAATTAGATCCCATTTGTCAATTTTGGCTTTCGTTGCCATTGCTTTTGGTGTTTTAGACATGAAGTTCTTGCCCATGCCTATGTCCTGAATGGTAATGCCTAGGTTTTCTTCTAGGGTTTTTATGGTTTTAGGTCTAACGTTTAAGTCTTTAATCCATCTTGAATTAATTTTTGTATAAGGTGTAAGGAAGGGATCCAGTTTCAGCTTTCTACATATGGCTAGCCAGTTTTCCCAGCACCATTTATTAAATAGGGAATCCCTTCCCCATTGCTTATTTTTCTCAGGTTTGTCAAAGATCAGATAGTTGTAGATTATTTCTGTGTCTTTTGACTCTTGCTTAGAGTGGACTGTTTCATCATGTTTCATAATTTTCGATTGTGAACTCATCTTTGAAGGGTTTTGTGTTAATATTTCAATATGGAGTTACTAAATCTTATAAGAAGTATAAATAGGAATCTCAAATCCATATGAGGGCTTTCCCACAAGTACAGATATTGAGGGAGACGTTTTTCCTCACTTATCCAGAACTTAGACTAGGTTAACAAACTTTTGCTTCCTTGGTTTTTTTTTTTTTTTTTTTTTTTGAGATAGAGTCTTGCTCTGTCCCCCAGGCTGGAGTGCAGTGGCGCGATCGGGGCTCACTGCAACCTCCTCTGCCCAGTTCAAGTGGTTCTTCTGCCTCAGCCTCCTGAGTAGCTGGGATTACAGGCATCCACCCCCACGCCTGGCTAATTTTTGTAGTTTTAGTAGAAACAGGGTTTCACCATGTTGGACAGGCTGATCTTGAACTCTTGACCTCAAGTGATCCACCTGCCTCGGCCTCCCAAAGTGCAAGAATTATAGATGTGAGCCACTGTGGCCAGCCCATTGTTTCTTAGAGTAGATTTTTTTTCTTGTGAACTTTCTCATGGAGGGTGTTGTCATCCTTTAAGGGTCCCAGCTTCACAATGGGGGTCTCAGGATCTCCTTCCTACATCATGGAGATCCAAAGCTGTTAAACCCACACCCCTTCGTTGGCAAGATTGCCACCCTTGCCCCGACTTCAACACTCACCAGGTCTGTTTTTCCTTTTTCTCTCCTTATCCTTTCCCCCTCTTTCTTTTTGTCTTTTGAAATTTCTTTTTTTTTGAGATGGTGTCTCTGTTGCCCATGCTGGAGTGCAGTGGTGCCATCTTGGCTCACTGCAAGGTCCGCCTCCCAGGTTCACACCATTCTCCTGCCTCAGCCTCCCGAGTAGCTGGGACTACAGGTGCCTGCCACCACACCTGGCTAATTTTTGTTTATTTTTAGTAGAGATGGGGTTTCACCATGTTAGCCAGGATGGTCTCGATCTCCCGACCTCGTGATCCGCCCGCCTCGGCCTCCCAAAGTGCTGGGATTACAAGCATGAACCACTGCGCCAGGCTTGTCTTTTGAAATTTCTTATACTTTTTTGTGAGATTAGTCATGAATTCAATAGGGCATTTGTTCATTGTAGTGGCACGTGTTTCAGTGTTTTCTAATCTGTCATGTTGCTAGAAATGGAAGTCCCAGCCCTAAAATATCTTTCATATTCCCAGGCTTTAAGGTTTAAAAACTGAAAATGAAGTCTATACTGTGTTGGTGTTTGTTGGTAAAAATTCAGGACTCTGGTAATATTTCAGAAACCATCCTCAAAGGACTGGGGGTTTAGTTGTCTTTGGTTGTTAAAGACTCAACAATGTTTGTCCCCAAACAGTTAACTTTCCTTCCTGACTTCTAGGAATCTGCTCAGCTTGGCTTTTACTTAGGCTTTCAGAGAGTTTTCTCTAAGCAAGAATATTTGTAATTCCATCTCTTGGACAGTGTATGTCTCGTTTCAGATCTAGCCTGTAAAGTTTCACTTCATAGATGGTCAGGGCTAAAAACGACCCTAGAAGTCATCTAGTCTAACTCCTTATTTGCACATAAGGAATTGGGATCAGCCCAGATCACACAGGGTCACAGAGGGGCTTTGCCCAGGCAACAACATGAAGCCTCCTCTATGTCCCTTCCTTAATGTGGTTTATTAGAAAGTGTCAAAACCTGTGTGATATGGAGTGACTGAGTACCCAGAGAGTACCTGTCACAATGTCTGGCACACAGTCAACATGCCACAAATTTAAGTTCTCTTGCCTTTGGCTTCTCCCATGTATCAGTTTCCTGTGGCTACCAACACATTACCACAAACTCGGTGGCTTGAAACAACTGAAATTTATTCTTTCATGGTTCTGGAGGTCAGAAGTTTGCAATCAAGGTGTTGGGAGGGCCAAAACTCCCTCCAGAAGCTCTCGGGAAGCATCTGTTCCTGGCCTCTTCTACCATCTGCAGTCATACCTGACTCATGGCTACATCATTCCAGTCTCTGCCTCTGTCTTCACATTGCTTTCTCCTGTGTGTGTGTCTTTGCCCGTCTCCCTCTGCCCATGTCTTTTTTTGTTTTGTTTTGTTTTGTTTTGTCTTTTGTTTTGGGATGGAGTCATGCTCTGTCACCAGGCTGGAGTGCAGTGGTGCATTCTCGGCTCACTGTAGTCTTCGCCTTCCAGGTTCAAGCAATTCTCCTGCCTCAGCCTCCCGAGTAACTGGGATTACAGGCACGTGCCACCATGCCTGGCTAATTTTTTTGTATTTTTAGTAGAGACGGGGTTTCACCATCTTGGCCAGGATGGTCTTGATCTCCTGACCTCGTGATCCACCCTCCTTGGCCTCCCAAAGTGCTGGATTACAGGTGTCAGCCACCGTGCCCGGCCTCTACCCATCTCTTATAAGGATACAGGTGATTGCATTTAGGCTTACCCAAGTAATCCAAGAGAAACTCTTCCTCTCAAGATCCCTAACTCAAGCACATCTTTTGCCATATGAGATAATATTTACATGCTCCAGGGATTAGGAAGTGAATATATCTTTGGTGTGGGGGGGATCTTTTTCTGCCTATCAAACCCCCACATACCAACTGACTATATTCCAAGGTCTCATTTATATTTTCCTTCCCTGGGGACAGTTTATTTACTATTTGCAAATGCATTACTTGACCTTGAGACCTACTTCTCTCTTCCAGGCCTGGCTATGCAGAAAACTGCTCATCCCAATACTGCAAAGGTAGTAGTCTCATACTGCCTTTGTAATACAGATTACGCAATTACTTTGCACTAGGCCATGTAGGTCCACGAGGCCCTCACAGTCTATTGTGAGTAGCTGACAGTAGCATGAGCACTATAAGTACTAAAGCACAGATGCTGTGAGAGCCTGGAGTATGCAGTGACTTGGGGACTGGGCTTAGGTTCCATGTCATATTCTTACCTTCATTCTGCAAAAATATTTTGAGCATTCGTAATCCACTGTATAAGAATTTAGAGATAAGAGACACAGCCCATACCCTTAAGTAAGGAGCTCACAGTTGAATGGGAGATGAATATGAGCAAAAAGAATACAAACCAAAGGTGATGAGTGTTTTGGTAGAGGGATGCCCAGGTGCCATGGGGCACAGGGAAGGTGACACCCATACAGGCTGGGGTGCGAAATGGGAGTAGAGCTGTTCAGAAAGGACCATTCACTCACCAGGACCACACCTGGAGGCAGTGGTTCTTGAGCTGCATCTTGAAGAAGGAATGGAGATAGTTAAGGCAATAAGGGGGAGGAGAACATTCCACATGGAGGGAGAAAGGCACATGAAGGCATGGAGAAGTGACAGGGAAAGGGCATTTCCTCATCATCTTTCACCTCATCTCCCTCATCGTAATTGTAACCGTCCATCCATCCATCCATCCATCCATCCATCCATCCATCCATCCATCCATCTATCCATCCATCCTTCTTCAGTCTCCAAGCGTCTGCTGAGCTCTGATGCCCATGCCCTGTGGTGTTAGGTTGAGCACTGTATGCATGCTTATTGTTTAATTTAATACAAGTTTGATTCAGGTAAAAACAGACCTAGAGCCTGGTGTGGTGGCCCACACCTGCATTCCCAGCTACTGGGGAGGCTGATGGGGGAGGATTGCTTGAGCCCAGGTGTTCTGGGCTGCAGAGCACTATGCATCAATATGGGGGCCTCCTGGGGAGTGGGGGACAACTGGGTTGCCTGAGGAGGGGTGAACCAGCCAAGCCAGAGATGGGTCAAGTCAAAACTCCTGTGCTGCTCAGTAGTGGGATTGCACTTGTGAATAGCCGCTGCACTCCAGCCTGGGAAACATAGCCAGACCCTGTCTCTTTATAAAAAATTAAAACAAAACACACAAAACCACCAGCAGACCTAGAATTTTCACCCAGAAGTTCTGGGACAGGCATAACTGAAGCATTACTTTCCTGAAACTTTCCTCCACAGGGACCTTGACCTCGGACCCTTATGACTTTGCCAACTCATGGGCTCTGAGCAGTGGAGAACAGTGGTGTGAACGGGCATCTCCTCCCAGCAGCTCATGCAACATCTCCTCTGGGGAAATGCAGAAGGTGGGTGTGGACTGGCCTGGGTGCACCTGGATGGTGTGTGATTTCTGGATCTAAAAGACAGAAGGACTCAGTCTCATATCCTTCCATCTGGGGGAGGAATGGACTTACGCAGGGCCATTTCCTCCAAAACTAACTGTGGCTAGAGTCTAATTCTAATACATCTCGAGCCTGAAGCTCTAAAAATGAGTCTGGGCTAATGACTTGGTGTAGTGTCTCAGTCCATTTGTGCTGCTATAACAAATGCCTGAGACTGGGTAATTTTAAGGAACATAAATTATCTTTTATAGTTCTGGAGGCTAGGCAGCCCAAAATCAAGGTACCAGCATTCAGTGTCTTGCAAGGACCTTCTTGCTGTGACCTGAAGCCGGGTCCTGTGGCTCATTCCTGTAATCCCAGCACTTTGGGAGGCCAAGGTGGGTGGATCACGAGATCAGGAGATCGAAACCATCTGGGCGCCTGTAGTCCCAGCTACTCGGGAGACTGAGGCAGGAGAATGACGTGAACCCAGGAGGCGGAGCTTAGCACTCCAGCCTGGGCGACAGAGTGAGACTCTGTCTCAAAAAAAAAAAAAAAAAAAAAATTAGCTGGGCATGGTGGCATGTGCCTATAATCCCAGCTACTCAGGAGGCTGAGGCAGGAGAATTGCTTGAACCTGGGAGGTGGAGGTTTCAGTGAACTGAGATCGTGCCACTGCACTCCATCCTGGGTGACAGAGCCAGACTCTGTCTCAATTAAAAAAAAAGAAAAAAAGTACACTGAAGTGCTCTCATCTGCCTCTTTTATCAGAGCACTAATCCATTCACGAAGGCAGAGCCCTCAGGACTTCATCACTTCCTAAAAGGCGCCACCTTTTAATAGCGTCACTTTGGGGTTTAGGTTCCAACACATGGATTTTGGAGGACGTAGACAGTTGAACCATAGCAATAAGTAACTATGCTTTTCTGTTTTAGACTCCAGTGCCCTCTTTTGTCCCCAAATATCTCCATCATCACCTGCTAGGTGTCTGAAATTTTACCGATAGAAAAAAGCCACTTCTTTCTTAAGTGGCTGTTGTAAACTAGAAATAGGAGGGAAAGCCTCCTCTTATACCAGCTCAGCTGGAAGGAAAACTACTTTATAGTTGCAGACACTGAAGGGAGTCTGAGTGAGAGGCTGTGCCTGAAGTGACATAGCTTGGATGTCAGGATGGCTTCCTGAAGCTGCTGTAACAAATTATCTCATACTCAATGGCTTAAAACAGTAGGCATTTATTTTCTCCCAGTTCTGGAGGCTGGAGGTCCAAATTTAGTTTCCCTGGGCTGAGATCAAGGTGTTGGCTGGCTTTGCTCCTTCCAGAGGCTCTAGGTCCTTGCTTCCGTCATTTTTGGGTGGCAGCGGCATTCCCTGTCTTTGGGCTCATGACTTCAATTTCTGCCTCTGTGGTCACATGGCCTTCTCCTCTCCTGTGTGTGCTAATGCCTGCCAACCCTGACAAGGCTGGGAGGACTGCCCCACCCCTTCCACAGAGCCCTGTTGCCACTTACAAGGTAGCCTTGTAGCAGCTCTGTCTGCATCAGAGTTGCCATTCATGATCTCACTCACCAGGACCTCACACTGGAGAGAAGGGGAGGTGGGGAGGGGTGGCCAGACCACACTCTGCCTTCACCTGCCACAGGTAAAGATGGTCTTTGTGCCTCTCTGTGTGTGGGTGTTTGGGGCAAGAATGCTTTATGTGGGGCAAGACCTCACTCAATGGGTAATTCCCTCCCCACTGTGGAACAGGCTGACTTGGGCTGAGGAGGTAGGTGCAGCTGTGAAGCTGGACTCCTGTGGGGAACAGGGGTTGTTGCCCTTTTGGGATTGTGCTCAGAGACTCATCATCTGAGGAGCAAGGTTCCTTGGTGGTGCTGTGAGTCAGCCTCCCTGGGCGGGACGTTTGTATGCAGGAGGTTTACTGGGGAGCTCTCGAGCAGCCTTGGTTAGGAAGTGAGAGAAGCAGAGTTGGGCAGTGGGAGAAGTTGAACTGCTTGTGATAGCACTGATAGAGCTTCAGCGGGGCCTCAGCTGATCCTTCAAGGAGCTCTGGAAGGTGGAGTGGCCCCTGTTGGTCACTGGATGTGGGCTGCCCTGGGTAAGGAGGTGGAACTCCCTTGGGCTGAGGGCCATTCCTGAGGAATGACTCAGTGGTGAGCCCTTGGCAGCCAACACTGGACAGCTGGTGGATGAGTCCTCGGGCTCTGAATGGGCACCTACGCTGTGCCCCGACACCTACGCTGTGCCCCGACACCCTCTACAAAGCTGCTCTGCTTGACAGCACCACCTTCCTGCCCTTATCCAGAGAGCAACCACACTGTCAAAAATGTCAACTGAAGAATCACAAGGTTCATAAACTTAGAGAGGAGAGCTTTTCTTATTCAGAGTTGTGGCCTGCAGGCTGGCCATCCTGCAGGCTGGGAAGTGTAGCCTCTGGTAGAAACTGAAAGCAGGCACTTCAAGGGAGAAAGGGGTGGAATAGAAACTTATTCCAAAAGGGTTGGCTCAGTGTACATATTTAACAGGTTATGGGAGGAGCTATGAATATTCATAATGGGAGGAGGCATTTGCATATACAGTAAGCAAACATACATGTTACATATGTCCCACATTCATTTTGGGATGGAGACTTAACATTTAAATGCATTAAAATTAGCCTCTATAGGTCAAAAGGTGAAATGGAGGACACAGAGGCATCTTGTGCACAGCCTCTGTAAATCAGCCAGAACCATTCCGTGGTTGGTGGTCTCTTACCAGGAAGGAATGCTGGTCAGCACACACACACACACACACACACACACACACACACACACACACACACACACACACTCTCACTCACTCACTAACTAGCTGGGCATGGTGGCATGCACGCACGCACACACACTAGCTGGGCATGGTGGCACACGCGCGTGCACACACACACACACAGACAAACACATACTAGCTGGGCATGGTGGTGCACCAGTAATCCCAGCTAATGGGAGGGCTGAGGTGGGAAGATGGCTTGAACCTGGGAGGCAGAAGCTGCAGTGAGTTGAGATTGCATCACTACACTCCAGCCTGGGTGAAAATGTGAGACCCTGTCTCAAAAGAAAAAAAAAAACCCGCAAAAAGGGAAGGGAGTCCCTGCTGGGCCAGTTCTGTTTAACTCTTAGGAAAGAAAGTCTAATGGTGGTTAGCGAGGGAGAGGGTATAAGGAGGGGTGTTCAACCTCCCATCCTATCATGGCCAGGAACTCAGTTTTAATATTTCTCTGGGGTCCCTTTGGCCAAGGGGGAGTCCGTTTAGTCGGTAGGGGGGCTTAGGATTTTATTTTTTTCTGAAAACCTACAAACATGCACAAAGAGGGTGGCCCCTGCCTATACCCAGGACCATGGTCATGATGGACGCGACAGGCCACAGTTGCCTTTGTCTGGGCATGGGCCACTCTGCAGAGCGTGAGTGCATGCTGCAGTCACCCGAGTGCGCAGCCCATCAGCAGAGCAGTAGGGCAGGTGCTCTGTGATTTTGTTCATCCCATGAGAAAACAAGCCATAGGAGGTTAAGTAGCTGCCCCAAGTCGCCAGCTAGCAAGGTGCAGAGCCAGGACTCATGCCCTGCCTGGCTCCCTCCCTTTCCTGTTCGGGTCACATTGGTTCAGGCTACTCAAGTTATTTCTACCAGTGGGCCCTTGTGTTTCTCTTGGGGAGTTGGGCTTTGCAGGTTCTTAAGGTTTCTTTAAGTTCTAAAACCCTTTATTAGCCTGGTGCGGTGGCTCATACCTGTAGACCCAGCTGCTCAGGAGGCTGAGTCAGGAGGATCACTTGAGCCCAGGAGGTAGAGGCTGCAGTGAGCTACAATTGCACCACTGCACTCCAGCCTGGGCAACAGAGTGAGACCCTGTCTATAAAACAAAACCAAAACCAAAACTCTTTCATTATGTGTTTCTGTGGATTGGGCTATAGAGACAGTATATAATAGGTCTTAATAAATATTGGATGGGTGGATGAATGGAAATTGGTGGTGTAATTTATCTAGGGATTGTGACCTCCACAATAATCCAGACTCCTTTACTTGTAGAAATCTGATTTATCTAAGTAAGTACATAAGTAGAGAAACCCAGCCCTCTCCTATTCCAGAAACAAAATAAAACACACCCACATCTCCCTCCTCCCACCCACCCCCCATCACGGTAACACGAGGAAGCTTCGTTTTAGCTGGTTATTAATTCAGTGAGTCTTCATCTTCATGGAACAATTTGACCTCTGACCAAGGAGAATGTCAGACCCAGAAAAATATTCTGAGTTGATGCTAAATCCAGCTGCCTAAATTGTGAACAGACAATCTCCACCTTATAAACAAGTACATTCCAAAAGACTTTTTCCCTTGGACTTTGGTGGTGCTAGGTCCTCTGGTTAGTCCATCAAAGTCTGCATCACCTGGATCCTAGCCCAGTACCGGCACTAACAAAGGCGGACTGAGTTCTAGCACGTGAGGGGAGGGTGCTGTCTTGTGGAAGGGAGGAGTTTCCTCTTCTTTGCAGTCAAAGTTCTAAATGCCTGAACCATACCCTTGATAGCCCCTTGAGTGTCTCTCACCCTGGGCCTCGGCGTGAGCGTGGTGCTAAGGGTGTGGGTTTGAGTCAGCTCACTTACTGGCTTTGTGAATCTGGGCAAGACAAGTGCCTTTGCAGAGCCTCAGTTTCCACATTTGTAAAGCAGAAATAGTACCTGCTGGGTCACTGAAAAGGTAAGAGAGGGATAATATGTATAGAGTTTAGCCCAGTGGGGCTCAACTGTTAAGAGCCATGATGATGATGAGGAGGAGGAGGAGGACGAGAAGGAGGAGGAGGAGGAGGAGGAGGAGTTGTTGTTAGCTGGCTCCCCATATTCTCCCACTGTCCCGTGTTTTCCGCTGGAGTGCCCCTGCCTTGAGAATGGGAGCCGGCAGAAGCAGGACAAGCACACGCCGGGCTTTAAGCACAAGTTTCAACACGCATTCTTTTTCTCCTTCCCCCTCGCAACTATAACCCATTCCTTTTGGGTAGCCGAGCACAGCTTGAGGTTAGAAGGAAAACAAGGTGCCCAGATATCTCCACACCTCCAAGTGGGTAAGTGACAGGAACCAGCCTTCCTTCTAGAGCGGTTTGTGAACCCAGATGGATTTCAAATTGAGTGCACTCGAGGTATTGTGTAAGAGAGGACAGATTTTCGGCCGGGCACGGTGGCTCACGCCTGTAATCCCAGCACTTTGGGAGGCTGAGGTGGGTGGATCACGAGGTCAGGAGATTGAGACCATCCTGGCTAACATGGTGAAACCCCGTCTCTACTAAAAATACAAAAAATTAGCCAGGTGTGGTGGCAGGTGCCTGTAGTCCCAGCTACTCGGGAGGCTGAGGCAGGAGAATGGCATGAACCTGGGAGGCAGAGCTTGCAGTGAGCCGAGATTGCACTACTGCACTCCAGCCTGGGTGACACAGCGAGACTCCATCTCAAACAAAAAAAAAGAAAAAAGAGGACAGATTTTCATAATTTCTTTCTTTTTTTCCCAAACATACAGTTGTGCTGTTGGCAGGTGGGTCACCCTCGGCTGCCCTTCAGTGTTCTCCAGGCAGATGAAGGGGAGGTGGTGGGTGCTTCAGTGGGTGAGGTGGGGTCAGGGTGGCTGTGGAGGTACCTCTAATACTGAAACATGGCTTCAAAGATTTATTATTTTTGGTCTCATTTTATTTTGCAAACATAGCCCAGTGCAGAGTAAGTACTTGACAAATGTTCCCTACCCTCGGAATACAAAGGAATGATCTCATTTATCCATACTGAGTGGGAGGTAAAGACAGGATTCTCAAGTGGAGAACCTGATCCTGAGGTCGGGTTGAGGAGGGAGACTGGGAGGTTTGTCTCCTGGAGACAAAGGGGAGGGAGAATGCAAGAGAAGCCTTGTTTGCCTCCCGGGGCACCTTTCTGAGGCTCCAGCTGTACCCTAGCTACTCGCTTTGTCTCCTGGGTGCATTAAAGTCCTTACTAACCAGTGTCCTGGGAACAGCTGAAAAAACTGGGTACCAGGTTCTTCGTGTTGGGCTGAGGCCACAAACACGTGAGACCTCCCAGAGGCACAAGCTCCTCCCAGCTCAGAACTCCCGGTTTCAGGTTGTTTACCTGAGAAGAGAAGACTGCTTTGTCCTCAGCCAATCAGATAGTGTTTGCCCACAACCGAGGTTTTTTCACTGGCTCGGAAGCACAATGACTCGTCTCCCAAGAGGTGATTAATATGGCCTTTTGAATTGTTCACAGCCTGTGTAGTCCCGCAGGGCCCCCAGGTTCAGAAGTCCGGTCTGGTAAATGCCGCATCATTTATGAGTGTCTGCTGTTGTGGCTCCAAGGGCCGTTCGGGGTGGCAGAGTGTTTTGTGTGGGAGTTCACACTGACCTTGAAACTTTCCTTGACAGCCTCCAGAATCTACTTCCCCAACCCTCTGGTGCTTTCTGTCTTTCTAGGGCATAGCAAGGAGTCAGCTCATTCTGAGAGCCAGGTCATATTACTTGTTAGTTATACCTAGGGAATGAATGTTTCCTTGTTATGCCAACAAAACCCAATGCCTGTCTCCACTGGGACTGATAATGGCCTTGTTTGATTGCATGCAAATTTGCAGTTTTTTCAGCTTTTCAAACTGAAGGCAAGATGGTTGGAGTTTGGAGCCCCAAGCTATGAACATTCAGATAATTGATGTTCATCTGCAGGTAACTATCACAAAGTGTACCTTTGAGAAAGAAAGACCCTTAGATCACTTTAAAAAAATTCGATCAGACTGGGGAAGGCCAGCAAGGACTGAACCTTACAAAGGGATCTTGGCTTTGTCCTGTAGTCCTGTCTGCAACAGGAAGCCCAAGGCTCCGGGGGGCTGGGCTTGGGCTGCATCCAGCTCATAGCATGCTTTTGCTAATTAGAAAAAGGCACCCCTTTCTCTCTCTCTCTCTCGCTTTTTTTTTTTTTTTAGACAGAGTCTCGCTCTGTCGCCCAGGCTGGAGTGCAGTAGTGCGATCTTGGCTCACTGCAAGCTCCGCCTCCCGGGTTCACGCCATTCTCCCGCCTCAGCCTCCCGAGTAGCTGGGACTACATGCGCCTGTCACCACGCCCAGTTAATTCTTTATATTTTTTAGTAGAGACGGGTTTTCACCGTGTTAGCCAGGATGGTCTCGATCTCCTGATCTCATGATCTGCCCGCCTCGGCCTCCGAAAGTGTTGGGATTACAGGCGTGAGCCACCGCGCCCGGCCAAAGGCACCCCTTTCTCAAGAAACTTCACCACCACCTGCCGGGAAACGGCCAAGATAAACATAATAACTGAACATATAATGTACATGTATATACCTCTACAATGTCTACCATATGAACAGTAGTCACTTGGTGTGTTGCCACTGTGTGGACTGTGTGGCTTGCATCATGACATGTGATGGTGTTGGCCTGGCTTCCTCAGGGAGGCACAGTCTCTGTGACCATCATCTCCTCGCTCAGGATCACCTCCTCAAGGCGATCAGTCTCTATTGAGAAACTGAGTGCACCAGTTACCACTCTACCTACCGTAGAGTGGTGAATCATTCAGCAGCAGCAGCAACCTCCGACAGCTGTCTGAAGTGGAAGAAATTTCTTTTCATCAATGTTAGGAATCTTAGGCTCATAAGAACTCAGAGTTGGTTGAGAATCTAGCAGATATCTACTTCAACCCCCTACCTGCCGCATGAATGCTCTCCACAAACTGTGTCTGGGTAGACAGGTTATGCTGTGACCTTGACTGTAAGAGTTAAATCTTGGCCAGGCGCGGGGGCTCAGCCTGTAATCCCGGCACTTTGGGAGGCCGAGGCGGGCGGATCACGAGGTCAGGAGGTCGAGACCATCCTGGCTAACACAGTGAAGCCCCGTCTCTACTAACAATACAAAAAAAAAAAAATTAGCCGGGCGTGGTGGCGGGCGCCTGTAGTCCCAGCTACTCGGGAGGCTGAAGCAGGAGAATGGCGTGAACCCGGGAGGCGAAGCTTGCAGTGAGCCGAGATCGCACCACTGCACTCCAGCCTGGGCGACAGGGTGAGACTCTGTCTCAAAAAAAAAAAAAAAAAAAAAAGAGTTAAGTCTTTGAGACACCCTTGCTGGGCGCTTCCCAGCCATCTTGCAGACCTCAGCCCTAGGCAGCCCTCCTTTACTCCCTGGTAAATTCCTTCTTTCATTGTATGCCCGTTCGAAGCTAAAGCCCTGTCCTTCCGTGTCCCTGAATACTGGAGAAGCAGGTGCTTTGGGTCTGGTTTCTCCTGGTCTGGCTCAGGAGCTCACATCAATTGCAGTCCTGTCAGTCACTGAATAGCCTCAGATTTCCTGTTTTCCACTGGTCTCTGAATTTGGTGTTTATTAGGTGAACACAAGCCTTATTTTCTTTGGCCATTCATGTCTTCACATTCTCTCGCGTCCTCCATTATCTTGTAGAACTCTTTCCGCCTCCTCTGAAACAGCATGCAGTTCACCTGTGATTCCTCTTCCTCCCAGAAAATCACCTGTCCTGCTTGAGCTAACATTTTAAACAGTCATGTTGACTTTGAATAATCACAGCATGCCTCCTCAGTAGCCCAAAGAGGCACAGAAAATACCCATTCCGTTAGAGACAAAGCAGTTCACTCTTCATGTTCTCATTAAATATTGCTCAAGCCTTTTATTTGCAAAGGACCTACCAGCCCTTTCTGCTATTTCTGCTCATGGTGACTCTGAAAGGGAAATTCACAGGCATGGAGGGAGGCAATGTAAGCCCAGCGGACTTGGGTCTCACTGTCTAGGCCCACTTCTGCCTTCCCTCCTTCTTCTCCTTGCCTCTTCCATTCACTTAATTGGCAGTTTTGGTCTGGAATGGACTTTTCTTGGAGACTGGGAAGAATTTTGTTACATTTGTTTGCTTGGTAGCATAGTTGTGATTCATAGAGTACAGTTGTCAGGGGAGAGCCTGGCCCAGAGAAGGTCAGTAGATCTCAAGGAAGGACCCTTGGAATGCAGGATCCCAGAGAAGTTAGTTGTCAGATGATGGCCCTGGTTTTAGAGTTGGGGTGCCCACCCACTATGCCCCAGTGACACCAAGCTCAGAGCTGGGGTTTGCAATAAGTACACACGTGTCTTTCCCCGTTTTGATGAGAACTGCTCTCTCAAGTCTCTCTTTCTTGAGTCATTGATAGGCTAAGGAATGAGGACTTATTTCAAGTGCTTTAGTGAGGTCCAAGAATCCAGGGGGCAGTCCCTGGTTTGGCCCAATTCTCTGCATGTCCTCGTGTAAGTTACTTTCCTACTCTGCCTCTCAGTCTTCCCTCTCTGAGGTAAACAGAGCTCCACGGAACCCCCCATGGATAGGCACCCTTTCTTTACAGCAGACTGGCTCACCTGAGTGCAGGATGGGAGAAGGGCAGGGAGCCAATGGTTGTGGTGAAACAGTGGTGACCTTGGCCACTGTTCCCTTGGGGGTCTAGCCTCATGGCAGAGGTCAGTGGCTACCATGGGGTTTTGCAGATTTCCCTTGAACTTGGCCTTTAAAAATTTTTTTTTAAAATTTTACTTTAAGTTCTGGGATACATGTGCTGAACGTGCAGGTTTGTTACATAGGCATACATGTGCCATGGTAGTTTGCTGCACCTATCAACCCATCATTTAGGTTTTAAGCCCCACATGCATTAGGTGTTTGTCCTAATGCTCGCTCTCTCCTTGCCCCCGCCCCCCGCGCCCCCCCTCCCCGCCCACAGGCCGTGGTGTGTGATGTTCCCCTCCCTGTGTCCATGTGTTCTCATTGGAACTTGGCTTTTTATGTTGCTCATTTGACAAGCCCTTGAGGAGAGTTGGATAAGGACCTAGCACCCAAGCATTCAATTCAAAGGCCTCCCTAACATAATGTTCCCAAAATCCTTTAACGAACTATTTCTCAGGTGGGTTCCTTTCCCTTTTCCTTTTCCCTGGTGAGCAACAGAATGGACAAGAATCTGATGGTGCCCATAAGTGCATATTCACTGAGATGTTTCATATGGCTTGCGTGATACAACGTAGACTAAGGGACAAGACACGTAAGAGAAATTAAACCATGAAAGACTGTCTGGGGTTAGTAAATGACAAATCGCCAAGTGAATGGTAAGTGATAGCGCAGCTTAGGGGAATTAGCTCCTGTCACAGAGCTGATGCTTTTTTCTTGCTGGGAGCAGGATGGGTGAGTGATTCAGAAAGGGCTGCTTTCCATCCCCAGAGCTTGGTAGGCCCTAGACTGGGAACCAGGGAATGGTGCCCCGTCCTTGTCCATCCAGCCAGCATGCCCTAATCCCTAGAAGCTGCTCAGATGCCTCCAGGAGCCCCAAGGAGAAGGTGAGGAGGGTCCCTTAGAGAGGTCCATGGCCAAGTCTCCTACTTCTCATGAGCACTGGACCCCAGCTATCTTAGAGAGAGGAATGTCAAGCTCTGCAGAAACCATCCATTTGGTGGAAATCTATCAACAGGTTTCACCAGGTCCTTGTGAGTCAGAATCTTGGAATGCGGGTGGGAATCTTGGGCCGGCCAGAAGTTATAAATAGAATCAGCTACCCTCCCCCACCCATCATTACAGCTGACCAATGAGAAAGTATTCCCTGCTGCAGGGTGAATTCTTGAACCCACTACTTTGGAGCAGCTCAGACTCCAGGCGCCTCCATACCTACCAGGGGCTGCTGCAGGGCACCCATCCCAGAGCTAGAAAGATCAGGGCTTGTGGAACAATATTGCACTCTATGTATTAGACTTTCCTTTCTTTGTTCACTCAGTCCTAGGAATGTCCCCCTCCCTTCTCCTTTGTCAGCTGCTTGGGAGCAAACACAATAGCTAAGCTTCAGATCTCTGGCTCTGCTTTCTCTCCTCCTGCTGCCTGCCACTGAGATGTGCTTGCTTTCCCTCCTCCTCCCCTGCACCCGCCTGATGTCTCCAGGGAAGATGCCTGGTCTTCTTTAATGAACTGGAAATGTGATTAAGATGGGCCACAATTGGGCCTGCACACCAACCCAGGCATGGTGAGGTCATGGCTGGATGGGCTGGGGCAGCTGCTCTCCCGCAGCTCCTGGCACGGCCGACAGGAGTTGAAAGAAGACAGGAGTAGCTGATGCAGGGCCTTGGAGCCAGGGAGATGCTGGAAGTGTGCAAATTAGCTGGCCCTTGTTTTGCATCCCTGCCAGAATGGTTTAGCAGAGAACTGAGGAGCCAGTACCGATTGCAGGCAAATGAGAATAGTTATAAGCATTTGATTTCCTGGTGTCATCTCATTTGATTTCATTTTGCAGAAACCATCTAGGGTAGGTCCAAGTACTGCTGTCTGTGTCAGTTAGGAGTAGGTTCAGCTGTGAGTGACAGGACTTATACAATCTAAGTTTATTTATCTCTCATGTAAAGAAGTTTGGGGTAGGATGTCCAGGGCCATGCAAGATCTCATGGTGTTGGGATCCAGGGTCCCTCTGTCTTATTTCTCTGTTGTCCCCAGTGGGGGCTTCTACCTTGTGCACCAAAACGCCGGCTCAAGCTTCAGGCATCACAACTACATTCCCGCAGTAGAAAGAGAAGGGACTAAGGAAGAAGCAGTCCCTTATTTTGAGGACACTTGGTGGAGGTTGCACAAGACCCCTCTGCTTATAGCCTACTGGGTATTGCTTAGTCATATGGCTGCCCCCAGCTGCAAGGGAGGCTGAGAAATGGAATCTTATTCCTAGCAGCTCTGTGCCCCGTGGGGGTGGGAAATTGAAAACTGAGGATTCTGTGACTAAGAAGGGGAGAATAGCTCCTGGACAACTTTCAACCTCTTCCACTTTTCCCCTCTTTCACAGGTAGGGAAATGAGGATGCAGAGAGGCAAGATAATTTTCCTTTTCTTTTTTGTTTTTTGCGACGGAGTCTCGCTCTCTTGCCCAGGCTGGAGTGCCGTGGTGCAATCTTGGCTCACTGCAACCTCTGCCTCCCAGGCTCAAGTGATCCTCCCACCTCAGCCTCTCTAGTAGCTGAGACTACAGGCACGTGCCACCACGCCTGGCTAATTTTGGATATTTTTGTAGAGATAAGGTTTTGCCATATTGCTGGTCTCAAACTCCTGGACTCAAGTGATCTGCCCACTTTGGCCTCCAAAAGTGCTGGGATCAGGCCGGTTGCGGTGGCTCACGCCTGTAATCCCAGTACTTTGGGAGGCCGAGGTGGGTGGATCATGAGGTCAGAAGTTTGAGACTACCCTTCCAACATGGCAAAACCCCATCTCTACTAAAAATACAAGAGTGCTGGGATTACAGGTGTGAGCCACTGCACTTGGCCAAGATCATTTTCTTAAAGTCACACGCTTTGAAAGTGATGGGTTGCGAGAGGCAGAGGTTGCATTGAGCTGAGATCACGCCATTGCACTCCAGCCTGGGCAACAAGAGCGAGACTTCATCTAAAAAAAGAAAGTGATGGGTTGAGATTCTAGCCCAACCATGCTTCTAAAACCTGAGCTACAGCCACTGTATGACCCTGTCTTCTAATCTGATTGCTAGGAAACAGGAGTGGGAGGGCAGGATGGAAAACTGTAATTTGTGGTTTGGAATGGACTCAGGCACTCAGGGTTTGCACCCCATCACTAGTGTTAAAAGAAAAACCTGAGACAAATTAAATTTAACAGGGTTTACTTGAGCAAAGAATGATGCATGAACCAGGCAGCCCCCGAATCAGAACAGGCTCAGAGAGACTCTGGCCTGCCTCATGGTCAAAGAAGATTTATGGACAGAAAAAGACAAGTGACTTACAGAAACTGGAAGTGAGGTAGAGAAACAGTTGGATTGGCTACAGCGCAACATTTGCCTTATTAGAACGTAGTTTGAACAGTGGGCTGCCCCAAGAGGAGGTTACAGTGTGTTTACATCTCCAGTTAGGTTACAGTTCATTATGTAGGGAGAAACCTTTAGGCCTAACTTAAAATATGTAAGGAGGCAGCTTTCGGCTAAACTTAAAATTTAACGATTGTATAGCAGTTCTCCAACTGTTTAATCGCAGGGCCCCTGTATACTCTTAAAAAATAATGAAGGACTTTAAAGAGATTTTGTTTATGTGGGTCATAACTCTTGATACTTACCATATTAGATATTAAAACAAATTTAAAACATTTTTTGATTCATTTTAAAATAACAAGCTCATCATATTTAATGTAAAGAACATATTTTTAGGCCAGGCGCGGTGGCTCACGCCTGCAATCCCAGCACTTTGGGAGGCCTAGGCGGGCAGATCATGAGGTCAGGAGTTCGAGACCAGCCTGACCAACATGGTGGAACCCAGTCTCTACTAAAAATACAAAAATTAGCCGGGCGTGGTGGTGTGCACCTGTAATATCAGCTACTCAGGAGGCTGAGGCAAGAGAATTGCTTGAACCCTAGAGGCAGAGGTTGCAGTGAGCCGAGATTGTGCCACTGCACTCCAGCCTGGGCGACAGAGCGAGACTGCGTTTCAAAAAAAAAAACACCATATTTTTAAATAAAAAGAACGATAAATTCCAAGCCAAAAAATAATTTAGGGGAAAAATGACACTGTTTTACAGTTTTGCAAATCTCCTTGCTGTCTGGCTTCAGATACATCATCTGGACTCTCATATCTGCGTCTGCATTTAAATCTGTTGGGATATCTCATGTCTCATAGCCTCGGAAAACTGCACTGCACTCTGGTGAAAGAGTGAGAGAAAAAATTGCAAATAGCATCTTAGTATTATTATAAAAACAGTTTTGACCTCGTGCACTGCTGAAAGGATCTTGGGAGTCCTAGGCGATCCCTGGACCTCACCTTAAGAACCACTGACTTAGGCCAGGTGCCGTGGCTCACTCCTGTAATCCCAGAGCTTTGGGAGGCAAAGGCGGGTGGATCACGAGGTCAGGAGATCGAGGCCATCCTGGCCAACATGGTGAAACTCCGTCTGTACTAAAAATACAAAAATTAGCTGGGCATGGTTGCGCGTACCTGTAATCCCAGCTACTTGGGAGGCTGAGGCAGGAGAATCCCTTGAACCAGGAAGTCGGAGGTTGCAGTGAGCTGAGATCGTGCCACTATACTCCAGCCTGGTGACAGAGCGAGACTCTGTCTCAAAACAAAACAAAACAAAACAAAAAACACCACTGGCCTAGTAAATTCTTTACCCACTCCATGCTTCAGTTTCTAAATCTGAAAGGCTGTCTGTATCAGCCTTTGTCTGAGGAGAGCTGTGTTCTTTGGAGGTGTCTTCAGGCCTCTGAAGGGCCCATTTGTGGCATGGGTGATGAGATGGTCTCTGAAAGTACTTTAGGTGGGCTAGGAGAGAGGTCAGCTGTGGAGAAGGAGGTGAGGTTTGCCTCAGCCTTTCCTGAACGCAGGAGGATGGGCGGAGAATCTGTGGAGGGCCTTCTGGGCAGGGAGCTCTATGAGCCAATAGCCCCCCGTGACTGAGTGGATGGTAAGAGCCAGAGATGCCTGGCCTAGGCATCCCGCCTGGCTCCTGCTGCCCACCCCACCCACTGGTGTGCATGATTGTGCCAATTCCCACAGGAAAAGAGGGCACACGGAGCCGTTTCTAAGCCATGGAGGGCATAACCTAGGGGGAGTGAGAGAAAGGGGTCTATGAGAACTTCGCGCAGGCAGGAACACACGCGGAAGGGTCTGAGGGCGTGGGAACAGGCGGAAAGTAGACACCTACTCAAGGAGAGCTTGGTTGGGTTTGGATTATGATGGGGCCGTAACTACCTGCTAAGAGAAGCTGAGGCCACAGACTTGGAACAGCCTCTCAGCGGGCAGCTGTGCCTTTCCTGGGGAATCTGTCGGCAAGACTGGGCTGGAGTCTTAGTGCTCGGCTCAGCCGTGGTGACTCTGTTTCTTCTCCTGCCTGAGCTTATGCCATTGGCTTCACCTGACATGGCCTCCCTCCTGCCCTGCAGCCTAAGTCCTATGTTGCATCCAGGGCCCTGTGCAGACTGCCTTCTGTTAGGCAGCCTTCCCTGATGTCTCAGCTGCAGGTTTCTTGCTGCTGCCATTGGCTGCACCATTGGGAAGACACCTCTAGGTGAGAACCAAGTCTTCAGGCTGTTAGGCAAACATCCCCATGGAAACACCCGGTTCAGGTAGATTGAATGCCAGTTAAGAGCTGGAGGGCATGAAAGGCATGACTTACTCCTGTCTGCGTTCATCACTGTTAGGTTTGATTCAGCATATCCTTATTCCCTGCCATGAGTGCCCTGGGAATACAGCTCCTGTCTTTGAAAAGCTTGCAGAGAAATGGAGGAGACGGCCACAGAAATGGACCATTTCAGTACAAGAATAGAGGCCCCCAGAGGGCTGTGAGAACACCTAACTCGGCAGAGTGGGGAGAAGGACCTGTCAGAGAAGCCTTCCTGGAAAAGGAGGCTCTTGATCTGAAGTGTGGGGTGGGAGTTAGTGGGGGCCAAAGAAGGGGGAAATGCAGGAGGGCAGATGGGATGGGTAGAGGGCAGATTTCCCTGCTGGGCTTTATGAGGGGGATCTGTTTGCTTTCTATTGCATTCCTTGAGCCTGGCACAGTGTGTGAGGTGGGGAGCAGGGAGGGTGAGGCTGGAGAGCCAGGCTGGGGTCAGATCATGAAGGCTGAGCTTCCTGGCTTTGCTGTGTCCTAATGAGCTAGAGCTTTGCCCTGTCAGCCAGGGTGGGACATACATAGTTAGACTTGCATTTTATATGGGCTTGGACACCCTGCTGGAGACCCAGAGGCCACACTGCTAATGCTTGTTGAGTGAATGTTTTGGTCACTACCTGCATCCCAGTGTCTCTGCCACGAGCCTGAGAGTACAAGACGCCAACTCCTCTTTGGACCTATTTTTTTTTTTTTTTCGAGACAGAGTCTCACTCTGTCGCCCAGGCTAGAGTGCAGTGGTGCGATCTCAGCTCACTGCAAGCGTTGCCTCCCGGCTTCATGCCATTCTCCTGCCTCAGCCTCCCGAATAGCTGGGACTACAGGTGCCCGCCACCATGCCCGGCTAATTTTTTTTTTGTATTTTTAGTAGAGATGGGGTTTCACCGTGTTAGCCAGGATGGTCTTGATCTCCTGACCTCTTGATCCGCCCGCCTTGGCCTCCAAAAGTGCTGGGATTACAGGTGTGAGCCACCGCGCCTGGCCCTTGGACCTGTTTCTGTGTCCTGTCTCAGGACCTGGTCTGGTCTGGCAGGGCTACCTGTGGCAGAACAGGGAAGCTGGGAGCAGCAGAGATAGCCACCTAAACATGCCATGTGGTATGGCTGCAGGTGAGTGCGGATCCAGCTGCAAGTCCTGCCTGGCTCTCAGCTGTGCCCACTCAGGTGGACCAAGTTCAGGCCAAGCCTGACCAGAGGAAGACTGAAGGACAAAATGGGAGGACAGACTTTATCTTTTGTTTCTGCTAAGAAAGAAACCCTAGGCAGATTTCAGAAGTTTGTACAGTGGAGGCCAAAGGAATTGTTCTAAGAAGGGAGGTGGCTGTTTCTGCAGAAATCCACTCCCATCCTGCAGGCAAATCATCAGAAACACCCTTCTTGCTAAGGCTTTCTATAAGCCATTTAATGCCTCCAGGGACCTCCCAGGAAATGTGCTGGAGTACTGTTCCCATTATCCCTCTGAGTGGGAAAAGAGTGATTTGGAAATGCTGGAGATGGGCCATGCTGGGCTCTGTCTGGTCACGGCTCTGAGAGGGGAGGGTGCCTGGATTCCTGGGTCTCTTCTTTCCCTTGGCTGGTACTGTGTCCTGCTGGTGAGAATCCCTGGTTCCTTGTCCCTGTGCCTGCAGGAATCAGTCCTGTGGTGCAGGGACTGCTCCGAGCCACTCTGCTACAGCCCAGGTGATGGCAGCAGTCATAGCAATGACCAGGAAAACCCCAGGGAGTGCATTTTTGAGGTTTTCTCTAGTTTCAAATTGTGGGTGGGGAAAAGGCTAGACAATAGCCTGAGCACATGACCCTCTCTGGGACACCCTCATCTGCACTCTGAGTTCAGTGACGTAATTCTCTGAATGACATTTTTGATGGGGTAGGCAGCATGGCAGAATGGAGGGAAAGACACAGGCCTCAGTCTCCTTCCCTGAGCCCCAACTTGGCAGTGAGGATGGGAAGTTCTGCCTATTGCAAAGAAGAGAGGTTCCCTCCCTGCTACTAGAAACTCACTTTGTTCTGGAGAAGTGTGAACTTCCCAAATGAAAGATGAATACAAGCAGCCCCTCTGTTCCCTAAGGAGCACGCAAGATACTAGGAAGTGATAATGCTCGGCAACCATTCATCTCAGTATAGCCCAGGGTGATGGAGATAAGGGGAAAAGGAGAAAGGTGTCCTTCTGTCCTGCTGGGGACCTGCTCACTATTCTAGAGGGTAAGCCTAGTGGCCGGAGGGATCTCTCTGGAGGCCAGGAGATGATGAAGATGATGATGATGATGATAGGGGTCATCATTTATTAAGGTAAGTCTTCCGCGTGCATATTCCATTCAGTCTTCACTAGTCTTGTCCCAGAGGAACTGTTACTATTCTCCCCTGTTTTGCAGAGGAGGGGTTGAGTAAACAGCTTAGCTCACACGCTAGCATGGGGAAGACGCTGGGCTGAATCTGGGGCTGTGGAAGTCATGATGAGGCCAAGGCAGGCCTGCCCACCTCTGTCAGTCTCCCTCGTCATTGCTTTCAGAAGCCTCAGGTTCCCCTTGTGTAAAATGCTCAGGGTGACCAATGGAAGGCTGCATGTAACCACCTGAGACCTAAGTGGTCCCGGGACCCACAACAGTGGCCTGCATTCATGGCTGGCCTACGTGGTGCTGGCATTGTGGCATCTTCACGTGGCCCCAACAGGCCGTCTGGGACTGGTCATTTCCACAGGTCATTCTCACTCTGGGACACTCTTCTCTGACCAGGTGAGCTGATTTGCCTAAGTCCCCACCGCCAGTAAGTGGCAGAGCTGGGCTTTAAGGCCTAGGCTTGTCATAGCCATGCCGTGGGTGCCCGCCCGGCAGAAGGGGATTGGGCAAGGCAGGGCCGTGGAGGGGCTGCTGTTGGCCCCGAGACGCAGAGCAGCTGATGGCTGTCCCCATGAGCCTACCTGCTGCACTTCTGCAGTTGAGCAGCCCATGCCGGTGGGTGCTTTCCTAAGGTGCAGAGAGAACCCGGCTTGTTTTTTGAGACAGGGTCTCGCTCTGTCACCCAGGCTGAAGTGCAGTGGCACAATCTCAGCTCACTTTAACCTCCACCCCTGCCCCGCCGTTCAAGCAATTCTCTTGCCCCAGCCTCCCGAGTAGCTGGGATTACAAGCATGCGCCACCACGCCCCACTAAGTTTTATATTTTCAGTAGAGATGGGGTCTCACCATATTGGCCAGGCTGGTTTCAAATTCCTGATCTCAAGTGATCCGCCCGACTTGGCCTCCCAAAGTGCTGGGATTACAAGTGTGGGCATCTTTTCCAGGCCTGCCTGCTTGGCTTTGATGGTGAAGTGGGTGGAGGCCTAGCAAGCGGCAGGGCCCTAGCACCAGGCATTGGGGCTAGAACACTGATTTCCTTAGGACCAACGTCCCTGTGCTGCCGGACTGGATTTCGAGAACGGTGAGCAGATGGGGTCAGGTTTCTATTCCTGTGGGCTTTCTGTGGCGCCGCAAAACAGGAGGCCCACAGGCCTGGCCCCTGGCCCCGACTGTAGATTTATACAGGCTTGCTCTGGAGACCCTTGGTACAATTCAAGCTGATTGAATTTCCCTCTCCTCAAAACGGGTCGTTTCTTTCCTCTTTTTTGCTGTCCCCTTTCCCAAATACCAACTGGCTCCAGTTTACCCTTCAGGACCCAGTCCTTCCATTGAGATATTCTTGCACTTTTTTCTTTTTAGCTGAAGATCATAAGTTTTTTCATGAACTTGCAGCTTTGTCAGTCAGAGAGTATTGCATTATGCATCCAAGAAGTTATGCAAGAAAGAAATCATGGGGATCATATATATCCATGACTCTGTGTTGTGCCAAAGCTAAGAAAGACATCATGGATTCTAAGACACACCATTGTTCTGTGTATCGCTCAGAAACAAAAGCCTACCAATTCAAATATGATAGCCATCCTAAGACGCAATCCAACTTCAGAGATGTTACACTGTGGGAAAAAGGTGTATTTAGAGTCATTAACATACAGAATGGAGAGATGTTTCTAGGTAAAACGTAGGGTCGTTGATACTCGTGAGTGAGCAGAAGTAGGAAATGATGACAATTCCAAAGCTGCCTGTGTTATCAGGTTGAGGGCATCAGCAAAGTGGTAGAACCAAGAATACTCGTGCTTGCTGCAGTGTGTCTGGGACATTCCACAGAATCAGCGCATGCTGTTGCTGATGGGAACTGGTCCCGTCTGGCCCCAGCAATCACCTGGGGAGTGTTTAAAAAAAAAAAAATCTTGCTGATCCCCATCCCAAACTACTGCATTCAGATCTCCTAGGGTGAGACCCAGAAATCTCTATAAAGCCCCTTGTCCCATCCCCCTCATTCATAGTGAAGAAGATCAAGGTCAGGGAGGGGAGCTGAACAGGTCAGTGCAGAACCGATGCTGACAGCATTCCTGGACTCTGCAGCCACCCAGGCCAACTCCAGGGCGCATGCTCTTTGTGCTTCTCTCCATCCTCTGTCCGTTCCTAGGACACTGCCCACCATGGCAATCCAGGGCCTTGGACTCTGCATTTCCAGGACTCAGTCTAGGATGTAACCTTAGCCTTGGTCTACTTCACATTGCACGGGTCCAGCATCTTTTCCTTGGTCGATGGGCTGGTGCATTGAACACATGCATGTGCTTGGTGCCAGCCTGTCCCAGGTGCTGAGGGAGCTGCCTTGGTTTCCCTAGCAGGGCTAAGTCTCAGTGCCACACTCAGGGAGACACTAACGGAGCATACCGCTGAGGCGGCCCCTCTTCCTGCAGGGCCTGTGGGAGCAGTGCCAGCTTCTGAAGAGCACCTCGGTGTTTGCCCGCTGCCACCCTCTGGTGGACCCCGAGCCTTTTGTGGCCCTGTGTGAGAAGACTTTGTGTGAGTGTGCTGGGGGGCTGGAGTGCGCCTGCCCTGCCCTCCTGGAGTACGCCCGGACCTGTGCCCAGGAGGGAATGGTGCTGTACGGCTGGACCGACCACAGCGCGTGCAGTAAGTCGGCCCCCTGCCCCGTCCTGCCCTGCCGGGGATGAACGGTCTGTCCTGGGTGGTGTCCCTTAGGGTGCTTCGGGGCTGTGTCACGTATGTGCGGCTTTACCACACCCAGCCAGCCAGTGACTACAAAGCCACGTGTCCCGGACCCATTTCCTGAATGGCTCCTGCCCTCTGTCAAACGGGCTTCCCAAAGCCCCGTGTCCTGCCCCTGCCTCCGTCCCGCCCCCACGCCTCCCCTGGCGCCCCCTGACTTCCCTCAGGAAATCCGACCCCTGCACTCACACAGTGTTCTCTGCTTCCCACCAAGATCTTGGCAGTTGCGGTTTTGGTTTTTGTCTTCACCGCCTGCCCGCCCGAATTGATGAGGAGCAGGACGCTGACCTGGCTGTCCGTGTGTGGTGATCTTTGAGAGAGCAGAAAGCATTCATTAAGTTCTTCTCTTTTATTAAATCTCTCTCCTCCAGGCTAATGACCGCTATCCCTCCTGCCTTACTCGTGCTGTGTGTTTCATCTTCCAGTCTCAATGGGTGCCTAGTTATGGTCACTGTCCCCAAATTATCAGGATTAAGTGGGGACTTCTGAGGTCACCTTGCAAGAAGTCTCCTCTTTCCCCAGCCCTTCCAGTGATTAAAAGCCATGCAGACGGATAAGCAGTCTGTGATGGTTCCACAGATGAGCTGAGCCGGCCACATCTTTACACTGCACACGTGTGTCTCAGTGTGTGGCAAATAGCTGCTGAATTCAAACTTTCTGCCTGTGGTGGGGGTGTGAGGAAGGAGGATGCTAGCAGCTGGTTTCTTCTCTGTAAAGCCGAGTGGCTGTTTTTTTTTTTTTTTTT
This sequence comes from Homo sapiens, assembly GCF_000001405.40. Lineage (NCBI taxonomy): Eukaryota > Metazoa > Chordata > Mammalia > Primates > Hominidae > Homo > Homo sapiens. The sequence continues at coordinate 6,074,493 of NC_000012.12, read as the reverse complement.
TTTTTTAGGTCTGTGAATGTAGGGTAGGGGAGATAACCTGATGTATCTTGGAGAAGGGTTAAGGGGCAATAGTTTGGTGTCAGAAAGCCCAGAAAAGAGTGCTTATGTGTTTCGGTCTTTCAGTCAGCCTGAATGTCGCTCAGCTACAGGGTAGAGAGAGGAAGGAGGAGAGCCTGTCCTTGCAGTGAGGAGCTGGTTCCATTGGGAAGAACAGAGAGTGCTTAGGTGATATCTGTGAAGGCAGCCTTGTGGCAGAGTGGAAATAAATATGGAATGAGTGTCACCATGCAGGCAAATGTGCCCTGTGCTGGGTGGGGCATTTGATTGGGGCCAATTTCATGGGGAAAAGGAGGAGGGATGGGATGGAGGGCACCATGGCTCCTTGCTTTGTCGTAGGACTCCACTTGTTTTGAGCCTAGAGGAGTTTGGTGTCACTCTGAAAGGGTTTTAGGTGAAGGGGAGGAAAGAATGCCAAGTTATACATGGAGAGCAGGCGACCAAGGGGAAGGGTGGGGGTCCTGGGTGCCCCCGATGGGTCTTGGTAAGGGCCTCACAAGATGGAAGATGTTCATCTAAGGGAGGGGTGGCCTCAGGGGGGCACGTGGCTCACTGGGGGTGAGAAGGACCTGGAAGCCTGAAGACAGAGGGGAGCAGTCAGAGTGGGCACGAGAGGCTCAGGCTGTGGCATGGCTGGTGAGATGATGCACCGGTGGGACCTGCCCTGGGTAGACCCCTTTGATGTTCCTTTTCAGGCCCAGTGTGCCCTGCTGGTATGGAGTATAGGCAGTGTGTGTCCCCTTGCGCCAGGACCTGCCAGAGCCTGCACATCAATGAAATGTGTCAGGAGCGATGCGTGGATGGCTGCAGCTGCCCTGGTAATGAACTTCCCACTTTATTTACAGATCAGAGACCTTGCCAGCACCCTTGGCTTTGGGAAGTGAGATGAAGGCCACTTGTGTTTGCTCCCCGTTGCTGAAATCAGAAGCCTTTTATTAAGTTTTTAAATGTCTTTGTCCAGCGTGATCAGGATTGAGCTGGTCTTTATTTTTAATGTACGTTGTCCTGTTGTACTGTATCCATGAACGCACTTGTGTTGAGGGAAATTGGAGGGTGGCCTGGGCCCCAACAGTAACTTTGTTTGGGGAACTCGTGGCCCATCTGAGCTGAGCTGTTTTCTCAATTAGGTGTGTCAGGGAACCGATCTGGGAAAAAGATCTCCTGGGTTTGTCATGTGAGCTCAGCTGAAAAAGGGCTCTGCACTAGAAAGTCTTTTCAGGGGAGGCTTGGTGGGCTTTGGGGAAAACCCCTGTTTAATTACTGAGAGCAAGGCTGGGTGCGGTGGCTCATGCCTGTAATCCCAGCACTTTTGGAAGCCGAGATGGGCGGATCACTTGAGTTCAGGAGTTTGAGACCAGCCTGGCCAACCTGGTGAAATCCCGTCTCCACTAAAAATACAAAAATTAGCTGGGGGTGGTGGTGCACACCTATAATCCCAGCTACTTGGGAAACTGAGGCAGGAGAATCACTTGAACCCAGGCGGCGGAAGTTGCAGTGAACCGAGATCGCACCACTGCACTCCATCCTGGGTGACAGAACGAGACTCGGTCTCAAAAAAAAAAAAAAGTTATTGAGAGTGAGTCCTGTGTGTTTCAACTCATGACTTCTCTACTGGAAGAACTTGAACAAAACTCTTGACTCCCTTCATCTGTGGAATGGTAATGAGTAGTCTTCTCCCTCTCACGTTGCATTAATGTGTAAGGGAAGCAGCACACACATTCTTGAGCTTCCTGGAAGAAGCCCTAAGCCCAGACTTGTGCCTCCCCTACTGGATGACCTGGAACAAAATTCTTTTGCTCATGTCTTCATCTGTAGTAATGGAGATGAGGAATTTCCCTTCCTTATATTGCATTATGTGAAAGATAAACACCACAGAACAAGTTCTTTGAGCTTCCTGGAAGAAACCCAACCATTGTCCCTGGGGATTCTATAGTTGTGGGATGAGTGACGCAATGACAATGTTGAGGCCTTTGTCTTGATGCCCTTGACCCCAGAGGGACAGCTCCTGGATGAAGGCCTCTGCGTGGAGAGCACCGAGTGTCCCTGCGTGCATTCCGGAAAGCGCTACCCTCCCGGCACCTCCCTCTCTCGAGACTGCAACACCTGGTAATGGGGGCTGCGCAGCGTGCTCTGGGAGACCTGCCTGGGGGACTGGGGAGGGAAGCTGGGTCAGCAGGGGTGGTGGCAGGTGGAAAAGAACCTGGACCGTGCCAAGAAAGAAGAGACTGAGTTGGAGGCTACTGGTGGGGGCTAGGGACAGGTGTGGCAGGCAATGATGGGGAGCAAAGAGTATATTACAGATAAATAAGCCTTGAAGATGGGGAGGTCAGGAAGGGCAGGATCCTTCACGTGCAGACATCATCTCTAGCTGTCCCTCCAAACTATGCTTTCATAAATGATCCTTTCCCCCTGGAGGAGGGCTGTATCACTAAGCAGTACGTAGGTCCTTCTCTCCTTGAAATCTCTCATCTGCTAGGTGGTAGGAAGTTGCAGTGGCCAGTGGAAACTCACACCAGTCTGCCCTCCCTTGGTCCCTGCAGTAGGCCAGGCCCAGCCTGGCTTCTGTCATCTCAAGAAGCACCCCTGGATGTCACCTCTGGCTGGCTTTGCCAGTCTCCTGCACAGCAGGGACAACTCGTTTGGTCCCCAGGCCTCCTCCCTTTGCTATCTTAGCAGCCTTCTGTGTGCACTGAGCCCCCAGGTTCTCAGTCGGCCACCGCCCACCACACTTCTGGGCTGGGAGCTACCCATTTCCATATCGCTCTCTTGCTCTCTGCCACTCACTGTGTGTGGGGTAGGAATTTGACTTCTTGGTATCTGAGTAGATTTTCAGGGGGATCAGGTAGTTTTTTTTTCTTTCTTCTTTTTCTCTGTTGGGGTTTCTTCCCCTGGGTAATATCTCTAAGATTCCTTTGTGGCCAAAGCTCTGTCCTGTACAATTTTAACCCTATGAAGATTCTGCTAGCACCAGCTCTTTTCTTTTCCCACATCCCTTCGTTTGGGGACTGTGATAACTACCATGAGCTCTAAATCCATTTGCATACCCTTGTGTTTGCAGAACCACCAATGACCTGTGCTTTTTCCCTCCAACAGCATTTGCCGAAACAGCCAGTGGATCTGCAGCAATGAAGAATGTCCAGGTAGGCGACCTGCCGCTCATTCTCTTCCTCCTTCCCTGAATCGGGGAGGCGTCTCCTCCTCTCTTACCAGACAGGGAGGGCCACAACTCAAGGCAGCGAGAAGTTGCCCTCTCTGCACAGGTTGGCTGCAACCACGTGACCCCAGCTCTGGTTTCAGGTACCAGCTATGCTAACCCATTCACAGGCCAGAGGTGGGAGCCCTGCAACAGCTGAAAGCGGAGAATGCACCTGCGTTCAGATGTTATTGTCTGTCCTTATTACCTGTTTGCTGAAAGGATTAAGGTTGATGAGCTGTAAGGCCTGTATGGTCATGATTGACTAAACAAAGAGGATACACATTCTTTGGAAAATTAAGAGGTAGAAGGGCCTGGTAATTCTTTAGGCTTGAAGGGACAGTTCTAATGGAACTTTCCAGAATGCCTAATATGAAGACCATGGCGTGGTCCAAGAGCTCGGAAAACCAGGTCACCAAATGATTCCTCCCATCCTGTCCCTGCCCTGGAAAATCTGCTTAGGAAAAATTATTGAGCAATCTCTGCCATTTGCTTTCTCCTCTGTTTGGCCCCAACTCTATTCTATTTACTGCAAACCTTGCCCATTCAAAGCTCCCTTCTGCCCCACCTTCCAATGACCTCAGACCTTGCCCTCTGTGCTCACTCACGTGGTGTTTTCTATGTGCTGGCCACTGTGCTAAACACTTTCCGGTTACAACCTGTGAGGCAGGTGCAATTTATTCTCATTTTAGGAAAGCAGAAACAGACCTAGAGAGGTTAAATGACTTGCCCAAAGTCACACAGCTGCTACGAGGCAGAGCCAGGGCTTGAACTCACAACTGCCTGACTTCTTACTTTTTCCCTTCCCTTTCTTCTCCTTCCCAGTACTAACCTTTGGTGGCCTGAAGTGGGTTGAGCTTGGATACCTGGGACTGTATTTAGGGTCTGTGAGTTAAAGACTTTAGGATGACTCAGGACCTCATCCAGTGTCCTCTACACTGGGAAAATTCTGGAACTAGATGTGGGCTAGATCAGTTAGTCTTGCAAAGAGATGGTCACCCAGCCAGGTTATCTTTTGTGTAACCCTTAAAGAAGGCACGAAGGAGAAAAGATTGCTCTTGAAAGGGATATCTGTGCTCCACTGAACGTAATTACACCATGTCCAAGACTAAAGGAGCTCTTTGGAAGACATATGAGTTGCTGCAATTAACCTGTGAAAACACTTTTAACATTTAAATAATAAGCACTCATTGTATGAGATCTGTGAGCCACAGTGGATGGAATTAGGAATTCAGTTTATTGTGTGTGTTTTTTTAGACGTTTGTAACCACCAGATTAGGAAGTTTTAACAAGTACTTACTATAGGGTGAATCTTCCGTCCATCATCCTTCCAACTGTCCATTCATCCAAGTACTATTTGAACACCAACTATGTACATGATGGACTGTTTTCTGGGGCAGACAATACAGTCCTCTGGTCTTCAATTCAAAATCTAGAAGATGACTTTGCTGAGGATGTAAGACATTCTCTTGATGTCTTGATGAAAAGATAAACAGTGTCAATTCTGTCTACTAAGTGGTTTGATATTTTGCCAACAAAACCACTACGCTCTTCTCTGCATTCTCAAAGCCCTGGCTCTGACCATCTTTTTCTAGTTTGGGAGTTTTGTTGATCATCGCCTCCCGGTCCATTTGCACCCACGCACACAAGCATATTTCCACACCCTGCCATGACTCAGCAGGCAGTGGGGCTGTCTGATGCTCCCAGTGTGATGACTGCAGATAGAGCTTCTGATGGGAAGAATAGGCGGTATGGTTCTGGAGGGGATATGCTTGGCTCTGCTTGTAAAGTGAGGAGCAGGCCGGAGCTTCTCTGCAGCCCCTGGAGGAGGATTAGAATGACATCAGCCATGTGAGAAATGGTAGGAGCCAACCCGGGAGGCAGTTTTAGGTGGCATCAAGGGCTCTGGGCTCTGCAGCTGGACAGACCTGCCCGTATTCAGATCCCTGTTCAGTTTCTTTGGGAACTTGGATGAGTTGAACTTCTCTATGCTTCAGTTTCCTCATCTGTAAACTGGGGATAATAATGAGCACTTCATAGGAGCAATCAATGAGATGGTTTCCATGGAGCACTTGGAAATGTATCTTATGCCAGGCATGGTGGCTCACGCCTGTAATCCCAGCTTTTTGGGAGGCTCAGTGGGCAGAGCGCTTGAGCCCAGGGGTTGGAGACCAGCCTGGGCAACATGGTGAAACCCCATGGCTACAAAAAATACAAACATTAGCCAGGCATAGTGGTGTGTGCCTGTAGTCCCAGGTACTTGGGAGGCTGAGATGGGGGGATCGCTTGAGCCTGGGAGATTAAGGCTGCAGTGAGCTGTGATGGCATCACTGCACTCCAGCCTGCTGGGTGACAGAGATCCTATCACACACACATACACACACACACACACACACACACACACACACGCAAAAAAAAAAAAAAAAGGAAGAAAAAGAAAAAAAAATGCATCTTGGGCCAGGCGCGGCAGCTCATGCCTGTAATCCCAGCACTTTGGGAGGCCAAGGCAGGTGGATCATTTGAGGTCAGGAGTTTGAGACCAACCTGGCCAATGGTGAAACCCTGTCTATACTAAAAACAAAAACAAAAACAAAAAACCCACAGAAATTAGCTGGGCATGGTGGCACATGCCTGTAATCTCAGCTACTCGGGAAGCTGAGGCAGGAGAATTGTGAGAGCCCCGGAGATAGAGTCTTCAGTGAGCCGAGATGGCGCCACTGCACTCCACGCCGGGCAACAGAGCGAGACTGTCTCAGGAAAAAAAAAAAGAAATGCATCTTGCACATTTGGTAGAGATTATGTTGCAGGCTTTGGTGACAATTTGCATCTGGTGGAAGTCTGAGTTGCTTTGCTAAAGGCCTGTGGGTTGGGCATTTCTGCAGGGAAGGCTTTGGGAGGTAGAGGGTTGTGGGGCTGGGGAAACAAATGGTCTGGAGCAGGGCAGCCGCGTCCAGGGCTCACTACTGCAAACCAAAGGGTTTGTTTAGAAGAGGTAATGTGCTTCCATTAGGTGAGAGGTTCCGTTTTGTTTTTTTTCATGAGGCAGGATCTTTATTCACATAGAAATGGATCTGCTTTAACTTCTGGATTTTTTTTTTTTTTTTTTTTTGAGACAGAGTTTCACTCAGTCGCCCAGGCTGGGGTGCAGTGGCGTGATCTCAGCTCACTGCAACCTCTGCCTCCTGGGTTCAAGCAATTCTCCTGCCTCAGCCTCCCGAGTAGCTGGGATTACAGGCACCTGCCACCACACCCGGCTAATTTTTTGTATTTTTAGTAGAGACGGGGTTTCACCATGTTGGCCAGGCTGGTCTCGAACTCCTGACCTTGGGTGCTCCGCCTGTCTCAGCCTCCCAAAGTGCTGGGATTATAGGCATGAGCCATGACGGCCCGGCCTGGATGCTCTTTTTTTTTTAAATGCAGTTTTAGGAATCACCTGCCTTTCATTCATTCCCCAAACTTCCAGTGCCCATCTCCATCTAGTGGTGGGCCCGCTGTTCGTCAGGAGCTGCCTGTTGCTGACTGATGGGGAATATCCTAGTGTCCCATCCTGGGTGGAGGATGGGTGAGCGTGTTCGCATGGCCCATAGTTCTGGCTGACGTTCTAGCTCCCGTGGCTAACGGCTACCTGGCAGCTCACCCACCCATTTTCCTGTGTTTGTGGCTCTGTTGCTCAGTTGTACCGAGGAGATAAGCTCATATAATATTTAGACTTCTGATTTGCGAGAAACTTGGGAACACAAGTCAGTGAAGGTCAGAGAAGGAAATCAGATGAGACGATTAGATGCTGGCCCTGAAAGTTTTCCTTTCGAATATTTGCACATTTCTCGTTGACCCTTCTTTTCCTGGGTATTGTTAAAGAAGACAGAAGTCCATTTTCTTGCTTAGATAAGAGTGCTCTGAGAAAACACAGAAAGGCAGGGGGAAGAATTCCCACCCATTTTTACTGCCCTGGGGTCAAGACATTTGACACAAATGACCATATTACTGTGTTTGTAGAATGATGATAATTTCTGAAAAATGGTCAGTTCAAAAAGGCTTTCCTGAGACCTCACTGGACTTGAAATTACAGCACATCCAGAATGGGCTGGGACGATCCTGGCCCCTATCTTGTGGCCTGCTCTGTCCTCCACGAACAGTCACTCCTCACTCCCGCTCTTCTAGAGGGGGCAGCGGAGAAGGTGGGCCATGCTGATGGGAGTGATCTGGGGCCTTTCCACTTTCTCCTAATTTCCTCTGGGCTGGATGTGCCCTCCTGACCCATGCTGTCCTGGAAGGGATCCACTGTCCTGGGGACCAGGCAGAGGGATGTGTACATCCCTGAGGCACCTCATCCTTAATCCTGCCTTCATACACATCTCAAAGGCAGGCCCACACCTGGGTCCAGTACTGCACAGTCTAGCCTGGCCCCTGGCTGGGCCTGTCAGGGCACATGCGAGCATGAAGTGCCAGACAGTGAGGGCCTGTGGAGCTTGTCCTTGACAAGCTAGAATCTCTCTGTGCCTTTTGGGGACCCCTTGGCTGTGTGACAGGGCTAGCATTAGCCCCTGGAGCTGGGCCCACATAGGATGGTCTGTAGGACCCTCTTACATTTGTCTTTCCAACGTTGGTCTAGCATCTGTTCCCCAAAGGGGGAACTTCAGGTGGAGGCTGAGGTAGCGCTGTAGACAGCCAAGCTTCCGCTGTTTGGAGGGTCTCAGGGGAAGCCCTGTGCACTCTATGTGTCCTCATCTTTGCTTTGATCCTTAGAGAAAGGAACTCACACATGCACCGTAGAGTGACTGGGTGGGAAAAGTCTTCCTCCTTCACCAAATGGCAATGGTGTCTCTCTCTATATATATTTCTTTTTCTGTAGAGTAGATAGCAAAGATGAGAGCAGGTGGAGGAAATATATAGGGCAGGTTGGGAAGGGATCCAGATGCCCTTTTCAGCTTTGATGGGTCCATGTTTGGCCCTGAAGATGGGATTGCCTCAAGCCAGGCAGGTTGATGGAGAATCACTGGAGACATTGGCAGAGGCCTCCCCCTGCCAGGACACCTTCCAGGATGTGTGATCTCAGTTTGGAGGTGCATTGGGCCACAAGTATGGGGCCTAGGCTGGGGCGTGGGGGAGATGGTGTGGGAATTAGGGTGGGGACAAGCTGAGGGCTTTGGGTTGCAGGGTGATGAAGGGGAGTCCTAGTCCCCACCCACAGATGTGTCAGCCTGGGCTGGGAAGCTGGCGCTGCCGAGGTCAGCACTGCCTGGGTGGTGGTGAGATCATGGGCAGATGGCCTCCTGGTTCCCCATTGGCCCTGGCTGGAGTCACAGCGTGGGCTTGCCCCTCTGAGGACGCAGAAAGCAATGGCCTTAGAGTTGCCCCTCTGCTGGTGAGGAGGATGGAGTCCCCATTTTCACTGCTGAGCTCCAAGACTGTCCTGCCTCACCCTCCCACCTCATCCTGCCTCTGGGCTGCCTACTCTGCCCCCTGGCCTCCAGGGACTCTCCAGGGGTGACACTGTTTCCCAGAGCCTCTCCACACTCAGGTTCAGAGAACCCTGTGCTATTGGGCAGCCTCCCCCTGGCCAGGCATTCCGCTGGCACCAGTCTGAGGCTGGTGTGGCCCTGATGCCAGCAGGTAGCGTGGGACATGGCAGTGAGCTGTGAGGGAGGAGGGGAGGCTGCAGGGAGCCTGGAAGCAGGAGCGTGGGTTCCTGCGTGGTTCCACCACTGACTGAGTGTGGCTCTGTCACCTTCCTTAGTTGCCCCATCTGTAAAATGAGGCCTTGACCTGAATGACCCAGCTCTGACATCTTGCAGTTTTAGGAGCAGGAACCGAATTTTCTCGTAGAACTTGTTTTTAGACTGGTTTGGGCAAAGGACGTCCATGCAGTTTTGGGGAAGGGCACCCTGCTTGCATATGCATTCCACCTTGGCCACCCCAGGGGAAGTGCCCTCACCTCCCATTCTTCTCCCTTCCTCTGTGTCTCTCCAGGGGAGTGCCTTGTCACAGGTCAATCACACTTCAAGAGCTTTGACAACAGATACTTCACCTTCAGTGGGATCTGCCAGTACCTGCTGGCCCGGGATTGCCAGGACCACTCCTTCTCCATTGTCATTGAGACTGTCCAGGTGAGCTTTGCCAGCCCGGCTGCTGGTCGGGTGGTAGCCCAAGGTGCTGCATAGCTGCTAGGCTGAATGGGCAGTCCCTGGAAGGCGTGGGGCATTGCTTTCTGTGCATGAGGGAGGTCTCTTCCAGACTTCAGTTAGCTCCTCATTCATCCAGAAACCCAGCCCATCCCCTCTCTCCCTAGATGCTGGCGGAAGGCATCCTGCCCTGACAATAATGCCTCCTCAGGGCTGGCTCAGCTCCCCACCCAGTGGACGCATCCTGCTTGGGTCTAGCCTGTTGCCCCCATAACTAACCCTCTGATGTTTGGAGCTGGGGATGGCTGGGGTGGGGGCAAAGAGGGCTGGTCTTCTCTTCTGAACTCTGTGGTACATGTGTGGCTTCCTTTCTGTAGGGATGGAAGCAAAGATGAGGACGAAGAGAATGCACAGGGCTTTCCTTGAGGATCAAAGTCTTTGATTCTCTTTGGAACAGTAGGTCCAAGGAACACGATGAAGCAGAGGCCCATGGTTCTTTATAAGAGACTGGGCCAGGCTGGGAGAAGGCGTGTGCAAGGATGCACTTAGCAAGCCTTCTTGCTGCACAACTCTAGGGGGCCCCATTCACATGGAGTATTCTGGGAGAATGGAGTTGTAGGTTATGAGAAGGCCAGAGGCTCTCGGGTTGAGGCCTTTCTCTGATTAAGAGGGTCCTGGGCTGGGGAGCTGGATAGGCAGGGGGTGCAGCAAAGTCACCCTGTGTTCCCTCTTGGCAGTGTGCTGATGACCGCGACGCTGTGTGCACCCGCTCCGTCACCGTCCGGCTGCCTGGCCTGCACAACAGCCTTGTGAAACTGAAGCATGGGGCAGGAGTTGCCATGGATGGCCAGGACGTCCAGCTCCCCCTCCTGAAAGGTATGCTTCGTCCTGCTCCATCAGGCCTGGGGCTGGCACAGCCCATCCCTTAGCACCCTCCTTCTCAACCCTGGCCACTGTCCTTAAGGACCTGCATGCCTCTTCCATGGGAATGTGATGGAGAGTTATTTTTGGAGGGCAGGGTGGGGTGCTTGGCATGCATCCCTCCAAGAAAGGAAGGCTTCCTGGAGGAGGAAGACTAGAGAAGGAAGCCTATAGATGAAGAGGTTGCTCTAGACCTGGGACAGAGTGTAGATGGGAAAAGGGAACCGAGAGGATTTTTATTTGGCTTGAACCAAAGGGGCGAGTTGAGTCTTGGGCAGGTGGTTCTGGTTTGCTCTGGGGTGGGACAGGGGCAGAGGCTGATGCTGAGAGATCGGGGGTGGCTGGTGATGTCACACCAGAGGATGCCACTTGGGGCGAGGCCAGGTGACCCTCTGGCCTGTCTAGAGGTAGCAAAAAACCTACCTGTCCAGTATCTTCACCTGGGTTGCACTGTGCCGGTCAAAGCAAACCTGCTTTTGCATGGTAAAGCTCCCAAACTTCACACTCAAAGTGGCTCTCAGACTCTTCCTTCTTCTCCACAACTGCTGGCCACTTTGTCGCCCATTATCCTAGCATTGCACACAGCGGATGAACTTGGGCTAGTGGGTACCCAGCACGTCCATGGGTGTTATGCTGTGTGTCTCCTTATAAGATATGTTTGTTCCCCCAGGGCAAGGGGTGTGCTCCTATCTGTCGCCACCTTCCCACAGAAGCAACAATTGCTGTATTCAGTGTCGTACACAGCATCGCTCAGACATGAGGTGGTGTGCAGTGGCAGAGTGTCCCAGGCACATTCAGATGTCGTGGTGTCAATGCTAAAGAGATCCCCCTCTGCTCCAGGGCACCTGCCTACAGCCCAGGATGCAGGAGCCTCTGCCTCCCTCCTGTGGCAGTAGGGGGAATGGCAGGTCATAGCGGGGGGTGCAGAGGCTTCTTCCTGGGGGACCCTATTTGCGCTCTGTCCACCTTGATCACCCTTCCTCCTGACACCCCCTTAAACCTCATGGCCACCCCATCTGCCCCTAAGTCATTGCTCTTCAGTGCTACCATCCTTTTGAGACACCCCATTTCCTCCCAAATACATCTGCCTGCCACCACCCTGTCCTCTCCCCACCTCTGCCTGAGTCCTGTCCTGCTGGGTTCCAGGTGACCTCCGCATCCAGCATACAGTGACGGCCTCCGTGCGCCTCAGCTACGGGGAGGACCTGCAGATGGACTGGGATGGCCGCGGGAGGCTGCTGGTGAAGGTAGGTGCCCTCACGGGGTACTGGCTCCCTGCGGCCCGACCCTTACAAAGTACCCCTTGTGCTCTGGGTAGAATGGCTTTGTGTGGTGGGAGAAGAATTCCTTTCTCCTCATGGCCTACACCCCCAGAGCGAGAAACAGGCCTCTCTTGTTTATGAGGCTGGTGTTTGTTTTCTGGATGCCCCTTCTTGGCCCTGGGGATTCTTCCTGCTGGGCTCTGCTATCCCAAGGGCCTCTAGACTGGGGTGGGCTCTTGTGGGGCTGGGGAAGGAGCAGGTTTGCTGTCCAATCTCCCGGCTGAAACAAGGCCCGGGAGCAGGGGTGTCTCCCTGGGTGCCCACTGTGGGCAGTAAGGGAAGAGCCAGATTGGCACTCTCAGCTAAGAGAAAGCCTGCCCGGGAAAGGTTGCTCAGGAAACCACCAGATTCTTCCCCTGGACACTGGGACTCTGCATGTGTGGGCCACTTCCTCTTGTTCTTGGTGGTCCTGGAATCACACTGGATAGCAATCCATACTTTTCACTGTTTCTCTGGAAATGACCCTGGCAGGTGGACAGTGCAAATATTACTGCCATTTTATAAATGAGGCAACCAGGGCACAGGAAGTGGAGGGATGGTGCAGCACTCCAGAACTTCCAGGGCTAGGATAGACTCCTCTGATCAGAGGACTGATCCCACTCTGACCCCCACCAACCGTGTCATGGCAGAGCGAGGATTAGTTCTCTGCCTCATGCCTTTCCCATCAGAACAAAAAGTGGTTCTCGCTTTTTGGTCTTGAATGCCTTTACACTCTTAAAAATTATTGAGGACCTCAAGATCTTGTAGGAGGATTATATTTATTGGTATTTATCAGATTGAAAATTAAATTAGAGACATTTAAAATATGTATTTATTAACTCATTCAAAAATTATAATAATAAACCCACTACACATTAATATAAACATCACTGTTTTGGGGAAAAGTAACTGTTTGCCAGAACAAAAATAAGCAACAAGAATAATACCACTGCTGCACATTTCTGCAAATTTCTTTAATGGCTGGCTTAATAGGAGACAGCTGGGTTCTCATATCTACTGCTGCATTCAATCTTTTGCAATATTGCATGTCATGTGGCCTCTGGAAAATTCCACTCTATACTTGTAAGAGAATGAGGAGGGAAAAGGCAAATAGCGTCTTCATAGTATTATGAAAGTAGTTTTGGTCTCGCAGACCCCTTGAAAGTCTCAGGGACCCCTATGGGTCTCAAGACCACACTTTGAGAACCACTGCGCTAGATTATGCCTGGGATCCCTGGAGAGCCTCCTCCTGCCTCCTGGGGTCCTGTATTCCACAGGGTCCTTGCTATAATCCTGGGTGGCAGGGGCAGGGTGGCAGGTTTCACCCAGGAGATCCTGGCGTCCTCCATCCTCGTGTGGCTATGTTCTTTCTCCTGTCTTAGAGCTCCTGAGGGAATTTCAAACTAACTCCTTTTTTTTTTTTTTTTTCCTTTTATGAAAATAAACCTGCAACCACAGACCATAAAGCAGGAAGGTCTGGGAGATCCTCTTGTCAACCTCCCTTTTCCAGTAGGAAATAAAGAGCCATTATTTCTGGAGCAGGAGTAACTTGCCCTAGGCCTCATGGTCGTTTAGTTACCGGGCAAGGACCAGAACTCGGGTCTCCTGGTTCCTGACCAGTCTTGCCTCCTGCACCCCGGTCTTCAAGGGGGTGCTTCACGTTAGCCAGTTCACTTTCTTTTTGTTTGTTTTGTTTTTTGAGAGAGGGTCTCACTCTGTTGCCCAGGCTGGAGGGCAGTGGCACGATCTTGGCTCACCACAACCTCCGCCTTCCAGGCTGAAGCGATTCTCCTGCCTCAACCTCCCGAGTAGCTGAGATTACAGGTGCCCACCATCATGCCCAGCTAATTTTTGTATTTTTAATAGAGATGGGGTTTCACCATGTTGGCCAGGCTGGTCTTGAACTCCTGACCTCAAATGATCCACCCTCCTCAGCCTCCCAAAGTGCTGGGATTACGGGCATGAGCCACCACGCCCGGCCAGCCAGTCCACTTTCTCAGCATCTTCCCACCTCACAGAGAGGGTGCTCTCCACCCATGCACTTTCTCCCCTTGATCAGCAGGGCCGTAACTTCTCATCCTGGGCAGCTGCCCTTCCTCCCCTCAGGTTTCTTTGGTCTTTGTCTCTCCCCTGAGGAGAAGAGAAGCCAACTTCTTTCTGTGGGAGGGGATGTAGGGTTATCTTTGGGGTGGGTTTGTGTCAGTTTAGCTAACAAGAAGACGTTTCCTTGGCCAAGGTTCAGGACAGGGTCAGATGACCCCATGGCCTATAGAACTGTCTTTTTATATATATTTTTCTTTTTTCTTTTTCTTTACACAGATTCCTGGGGCTCATGGAAAGGGACTATCTTGTGGGTTTTATTATGAAGCAGGAAAGGGGGTGTTTGAGTTGGGGCAGGAGGTGGGGAGCCTCAGAATACTGACACCAGGGCTTTTGGGGATGGAAGTGTGGAGGCGAGAGCTGGAGGGAGGCCAGCTGGGGCAGAGGCGGTGCAAGAGGAGGTGCAGCTAGGGGCCCCCCGGTCTCCTTCCCCTGGGTGTGTTATGTACGCTTTGTCCCCGTGGGGCTGGCGGTCCAGGCAGCAAGGCTCCAGCCAGCAGAAATCACATCCTCTGTGTGCTGCTTCCCTGCCCTGCTGGCTGCCCTGCAGGGCCCAGCTCTGCCTTAGGCATAGCAGTGTGGAAAAGATCCTTGCACAGGCTTCATTTAGTCAGAACTGTCACTGACCAGAGGTTTATTTCAAATAGTGAGTGTCGCTAAGTGACACTAAGAGAGTCTCTAAGTGTCGCCCCCACTCTCCTAACCCTGGCCGAGCTGACCTCCGAGACAAGCCAAGGGGATGGGAGAAGACCTGGTTTTAGAGTGGGACATGGGAGTGATGGCTGGCTTGGTGGGGGTGAATGAAAACGCCTTTGGGGAGCATCAAACTCTGAGAAAGGAGAGAGAAAAGATGCTGAGAGGCGGGAAGGGAGTGGAGGTGCACCACCAGTTATGCCGCCTTGCCCAGGGTGCCCTGACTGCGGGCATTGCATTCCAGCACATCAGGAGGAGAACCTAGTCATTCACTTACTTATTCATTCATTTGTTCAACGATTCATTCATTCAACAAACACTTACTGAGTGTCTGCTGGCACTGCTGTGGACTGAATGTCTGTGTCCTCCCCAAATTTATATGTTGAAATCCTAACCCCCAAGGTGATGGTGTTACGAGGTGGGGCCTTTGGGAGATGATGAAGAATGAGATTTGTGCCCTTTTAAAAGACCTCAGAGAGCTTGCTAGCCCCTTCCACCATGTGAGGACACAGCTAGAAGGCACCATCTATGAACCGGAAAGCAGGGTCCTCACCAGACACCAAATCTGCTGATGCCTTCATCTTGGACTTCCCAGATTCCAGAACTGTGGGCAATCAATATCAGTTGTCTATAAGCCACGCAGTCTGTGGTATTTTGTTATAGCAGCCTGGAAGGGCTAAGACAGGCACCATTCTGGATGCTGAGATTACAGCAGTGAGACAAAACAGACAAAAATCCTTGCCTCATTTAGCTTAAGTTCTAATGGAGAGAGACAGACAATAAACAAAGCAAACAAGTAAATTATATTATAGATCGGAAAGTGATAGATCCTGGGGGAAATAAAGCAGAGAAAGGGGCAGGATGTGCCAGGATTGGGGGGATTTAAATTTTAAATAAGGAGGTGGGAGAAGGCCTAATGTGACAACATTTGGTATTTGTCAAGCAAACAAGGAAACATTACTCTGTCCCCTTTCTTAACAGTGTTTACTTGGGTTCGATTTCTATGGGCCTGGGACCTTCTACTGGATTGTTAACCCTGCATTTTGTTAGGTTGGAGCTGGAAGCTGAAAAGGGGCTCTAAGAGCTGACCCTAGCCCCTGAGGGATTCAGAACGCAGGGAGGTCATCCCACCTTGGTAATGACATGCGGAGAGGGAGTCAGGACTCCTGGGTCCCAGCCCCCGCTCCACCTTCAAATCGGGGTCCTCTCCGTAGAAACCAGCAGATGCCCCCAGCTGTGTGGGGGAAGGGCGGGCTCCACTCTGCTGGTTGTTCCCGAATGTGCACTTTGGGCTCAGAACTTTGTTCAGTTCTGAGAATGGACAGTAAACCACATGCTCATGGCCTGGAGTTTGAACTGTGCCGCTGCTTTGCTGCTGTCACCCTGGCAGGCTGCCTCAGAGCCTCTGCAGACTCCTACTCCTATCCATCATCACCCTCAGAGTCTTCTGTGGCTCGTGGCCCTTTCTCTTCAGTGATGCCCAGGGCCTGAGTGGCAGGCAGCAGGTTGTGGGGAGGTGTTTCTTGTCATTAACCGTGAGCTCCCGGAGGGCTTGGACCACACCTGGCAGCCTGCTGGGCCCACACCGAGTGACCAACGCGAAGTCTTTCTATATAGAGGGGCCTTGAGTTTGCACGTAACTCTGGGTGGGGGGGTCAGGCCCACTGGTGTGGATGGCACAGAGGGCAGAGTGCTTCGGGCTGGGCTCAACCTGCCTACTCACCCTAGCTCCGCCACTACCTCCCTGACCTTAGGCAAGTCACTTTGCCTCTTTGGGCCTCCCTTCTCCATCCTTAGATGATCTGATAATTTCTAAAATCTCTTGTGGCAGTACAGGGCTCTGATGATTTGGGAACAGGGATGGAGCTGGTAAATTTACACTGCAGTTCACTTTCCCCCGCCCCCCCTTTTGCAGCCTAGGGCTTAGCTGCCTTTTATTACATTCATATTTATGTTTCACCCGGGGAACTTTTTTTTTTTTATTAAAACCATCTCATTAGCTAAACAACTATGCCGCTGCTTTCGCGGCAGCGGCTCCAGAGTGGCCTGGTCTCTCCTGCAGCTGTCCCCCGTCTATGCCGGGAAGACCTGCGGCCTGTGTGGGAATTACAATGGCAACCAGGGCGACGACTTCCTTACCCCCTCTGGGCTGGCGGAGCCCCGGGTGGAGGACTTCGGGAACGCCTGGAAGCTGCACGGGGACTGCCAGGACCTGCAGAAGCAGCACAGCGATCCCTGCGCCCTCAACCCGCGCATGAGTATGTGAACCCGGGGGCAAGGCAGGGACCTCGCAGAATCTCGAGGTCTCCACATTAGTGCAGTGCGTTCCGGAGGCAGTGCTCCCACCGCGGAGGGCGGGGGCGGGGAGCGAGGAAAGGGGTCGGGCTTTGTTTTTACCGTCAGCACTTGATCATCTGAACTGGGCCATTTGCTCTTCAAAGTCCCTTTATTGGGCGCCCGCCACAGGCCAACCCCCGGGAAAGAAAAAAAAAAAAAAAGTCTACCGAGGCGGGAGGATCGCTTGAGGGCAGGAGTTCGAGACCAGTCTGGGCAACGTAGGGAGCCCCCATTTCTATTAAAATAATAATAATAATAATAATAATAATAATAATAATAATAATAATAAATTTGCCGGGCGTGGTGGGGCGCGCCTGTAATCCCAACTACTTGGGAGCTACGTGGGACGGTTGCATGAACCCAGGAAGGCAAGGCCGCAGTGAGCCAAGATCGCATTTCTGCACTCCAGCCCGGGCGACAGAGCAAGACCGTGTCTCTCCAAAAAAAAAAAAAAAAAATTCCATAGTCCCCGTCCTTCGACCTTCCCAGTCTACTGCAGCAGCAGCTTACAAACTCAGCGTTAGATGATTGTAAGATAAATGGACTTGGGGGTGGGGGTGGCATTTGCAGATTTCTCTGCGTGACCTTGCAGCCCTCTATTAGCAGCACTGGGCTATTTCCAGGGGAGTGTTGACCGGGAGGGCGTGGCCCCCACTCCTCCCCACCACATCCCAGGCTCGCTCCTCTCGCCCCACAGCCAGGTTCTCCGAGGAGGCGTGCGCGGTCCTGACGTCCCCCACATTCGAGGCCTGCCATCGTGCCGTCAGCCCGCTGCCCTACCTGCGGAACTGCCGCTACGACGTGTGCTCCTGCTCGGACGGCCGCGAGTGCCTGTGCGGCGCCCTGGCCAGCTATGCCGCGGCCTGCGCGGGGAGAGGCGTGCGCGTCGCGTGGCGCGAGCCAGGCCGCTGTGGTGCGTGCCCTCCCTGCCCGCAGCCCTCCGGGCCGCCCCCCAAATCCGTCCACGTGTGCTTTTCGAAGCCCTTTCTCTGCGTTGTTTCCTGTGGAAAGAGGGCGTAGGGCATTGTGACAAACACGGGTGGGGAGGACGGTTCATTTGCACCCACTTTTCCCTTCCACCTCCCAGCAGGACAGGCGGTGGGGACCGGCTGATGATTCGGGCCTGTTCCAGGAAGACAGGTTGGCTCCTCCTACCTGGAGGCCTAGAACGTGGGGGTCCCTGCAAAGCTTGGGTTTCCCGTGGCCGCTGCCACCTAGTGTTCGTTCAGCACAGAAGGTCAGGCTGTGGAGCGAATGGGTCCCAGATCCCACTGGGTCTCCGCCTCCCTTAAGAGTCCGATGAAGGCAAGGGAAATTCACATACAAACCCTTTGCTTGTAACTCCAGGCAAACCACCGATGGACAAAACCTCTGGCGTTGTATAAAGTTACCTAAAGGTGAATTACATCACTGTCCCCAGTTGGCTTTAGATTCTCACTCTGCACTGTTGGATTCCTGGCACCAGAGGTGGTATCTATTGTGCTCACTTTTTTGTTTTTGTTATTGCTCTGGGGACATTTGCTGCATGCCCAGTGTGGTCGGGCAACAGTGATGATGTGGAACTCCAAACTTACTGTTAGAGTCACAGATGGAAATGGCCGCCCTACTAGATACCTATCCTACTAAGTGAAAGGATGAGTAGATTCAGGGCAGGGAAAACCAAGGAAGGCTTTCTGGAGGACGTGTACTTGGCTAGGGTTTTAAAAAGCTGCTTTCTTGGCAGAGAAGACTTGTTTCCAATGGTAGAATCATAGTAGGCATAGAAGTGACGAGTATATTCTGTTAAGAATAAGGCATAGTGGATATTCTGTTTTTTAGGGTAAAGTAGATGTGTTTAGAAATTAAAATGTAGGTGTAGTCCCAGCTACTTGGGAGGTTGAGGCAAGAGGATTGCTTGAGTCTAGGAATTTAAGGCTGCAGTGAGTTATGATCGCACCACTGCACTCTGACCTGGCCAACAGAGAAAGACCCTGTGTGTGTGTGTGTGTGTGTGTGTGTGTGTGTGTGTATACATATATATATATATAAAGTAGATGGTCCTGTTGGAAGAGGAGTTATGAGAAACAGTGAAAGGAATTAGCATCTATATTTCAGGAGCAGTGTAGGCATGGGGACCCTAGAAGTGCTACTATTTTGGGTCCAATGAGCCAACTCATGTTTTGAGTTGTAGAAATGTCATATGAAAGAGGAGCAGAGACAACAGTAAGGACGAAAGGGACGAGCACATAATGCAGCCGTTGTGCCCTCCCCATTCCTCCAGCTCTGGGATGTCTTGGGGAGCCACAGGCTAGGGGCTGGGACAACTGGGTCTGGGTCCTTACTGGCAACTTTCCCGTGAGGTACCAGTTATGGGACCTTGAACCCTTCACGTAACCCCTTTGCACTTCAGTTTCTTCCTTAGCATTTGCTATTTAGAAATTGGGGAAAGTAATGAGGAGTGAATGAGATGCTGCTTGTGAATATTCTTTGCTTGTCCACCAGTGTTAGAAATGATGCATTATCAGTATGTGGCAGCATCCGCAGGATTTCTTAATTTAGGACATTCTCCTGGAATGCTAAGGGCCCACTGAAATATTCTTTAATCTGTCATGAACAGCCATTCTTAACCTCCACTGAACAGAACAGGGGAAATGGGCTGATGCTTCAGTAGTGGGGATAAGATTCAGTTAAAGAATGTCTTGACTCCTGAGGCATTACGATAGGGTAGAAAGGGTGGTAGGAAGGAGCTTTCCCTGGAGACTGTTAAGGACAAGAGGGGTCTGTCTCTGTGGGTTTATGTGACAAGAGACTGGGCTGACCAGATGGCCTTGGGCTGTCCCTTTGTACCCAAGGCAGTTGGGTAAGTCTCCTGGGTTCTTGCCCCAATCTTTTCTTGACTTGGAGAAGAGCTCAGGCTCAGCTGTCCCCTCTACCCACTTCCACTTTCTCTTCCAGAGAAATGAACAGAGCTCCCTAAACCAGTGAATCTATTCGTAAGAAGAGGTCACATCAATTGGAGACACTCAGGGAGCACAGACTTACCATGTAGCTACTTTGTGGGATGGTGTGAGGAGATTGATGAGAAGCACACACATTTTTTTTCCTCTTGCAAATTGGTTGTGCTCCCTTTGGGAAGACAGGACCACAGGCTTTCTGAAGGCAAGGACCAGGGCTGGCCATCTCTGCCTCCCTGGGCCTAGCATAGCCCCTGGCATGCAGTGGATACACAAGAAGTGTCTGCTAAACTGAGATGTGCATTGTTTCTTTGGGGAAGAAGGCTAAAGGAGAAATTTAATAAGGCTCCAAGCCAGCCCTAGAGATAGCCTATCAGAACAAAGAAAGTTCTCAAGTCTAGCTGCTTTTTAATGGGTAAAATGTGCCCTTGTCATTGTAGGCTCAGGTGGTTGAAAGACATCTCCATCTTTATTGTCTAACACATCCTGTCTTAACCTACACTCCCTCAGTATTCATCCAATAATCCAACCTTTCCATTCTTGCAGAGAAAAATCAATGTCTAATAGGATTAAAGAGGCCCTCCCTTCCCAGCTACCTTCAAACACCAAGTTCAGGGTGGTTGTAGGAGCGGGAGGCTGCAGGGTCTCTCCAGAGGCTCCCCACTCCATTGTTCAGGCTCACGGCCAAGGCTTACTTTTATAACATCTGTGAAATGCCCTGCCAGTAGGTTTCTGCTGGAGCAATGGATTTGAACAGAGAGGGGAAGGATTGTGATGGTCTCAGAAGAAGCATGCCCAGGGTGAGGTTCTCATTTCTTGGGCAGCAGCTGGTCTGCACAGGGAAGGCATTTTGAAAGGGCAGAATGCTCCCCACACCTTCCCTGTCCTCTACCCTGCCCATAAGGAATTTTGTCACCAGAATGCCAGAGCTTCTGAGGCCTAGGCCTTTCTCTGGAACACTCCTTCCTTCTTGGGACCGCTGAGCTGGGGCTGTTTCCTTAGCAATAAGAATAATAATTATTATCAGTGAACATTATTAGCAGTGAACATTCTCCACATGCCAGACATTCTTCTAAATGTGTTAGCTCATTCAACCTTCACAAAGACTGGGTGGATACTGTTATTCCATCCAGTGAGGATACTGCCCAAGATCACACAGCCAGCTAGTGGTGGACCTGGGCGTGAACCCAGGTATTTGGGATACAGAGCCCGTTCCCTTAGCTGCGTTGCCACTTTGCTACACTTCCTTCTGGCTTGTGTCTCTTGCAGTATTTTTCTGTGGGAGGCTAGGGAGGGTGAGGGCTGTGGGCAGATGGGTGCAGCCCATTTCGCTGTGGTAGGCATGAGTGTCCCTCCTCTTTGGGACCAGCATGTCCTCAAAGGGACTGTTTTCTTTCTAGAGAGTAAGGGTTATGAGCATGAGCTTTAGGGCTGCAGAGAGCTGAGTTCAAATCCTTCCTCTGCTTCTTCCTGTGAGGTATACCCCTAACAAGTCACTCAGCCTAAGTTTCTTGAAAGGGGGTGATGAGAGCTAACTCGGCATGAGGCATAGAGCCCACGTAAGAGCAAGGCATTCAGTAGGTGCTCCATAAATGGTACTCATTGTTGTCACGGGGTATGCCCTTGCCCGTCATTCCCAGTACTTTTTAATATTCACAGCTTCAAAACCTGCCAGGATTTCTACTACATCCTAGGCTTTGAGAATTCAGAGATGACTAATGCACATTCCCTGTGGTTGAGGAAAGGAGAAAATGTGTGCCCCCATAATTATAATACATATCTGCATGCTGAAAAATACACATTTGCTCATAGTGGGAAAGGAAGTTGATGACCATACAGATATAATTGGGGGTCACTTGGGGAAAACTGGGTAAAGGGTACATGGGATCTTTCTGCATTACTTCTTGTAATTGCAAGCAAGTCTACAATTATCTCAATAAAAATTTTAATTAAATAATTGGGGGTCACAGCTACAAGGGGTGGCAAGTCCTAGAACCACAGTCCTTGCTGTCCAACATTCCCGCTGAGGCCTTACTTCTCCTCTCTCTTCTAGAGCTGAACTGCCCGAAAGGCCAGGTGTACCTGCAGTGCGGGACCCCCTGCAACCTGACCTGCCGCTCTCTCTCTTACCCGGATGAGGAATGCAATGAGGCCTGCCTGGAGGGCTGCTTCTGCCCCCCAGGGCTCTACATGGATGAGAGGGGGGACTGCGTGCCCAAGGCCCAGTGCCCCTGTTACTATGACGGTGAGATCTTCCAGCCAGAAGACATCTTCTCAGACCATCACACCATGTGGTAAGTGCAGGCAGCAGTGTCAGGGACCTCTAAAACAGCAGAGCTGGGGAGGAAAACGGGACCCCCAAGTCCTTTACTTCATGGATGGGTAAACTGGGGCCCAAGGAAGGAAGTGACTTGTCCAGAACTGTACAGCAAGTCAGAAGCGGAGCTGGGATTTGGTCCAGGTCTTCTGACTTCCTTACTACACAGGGAACTGGGATTCCTGGCTGGCAGTAGGAGTTCTTGAGTTTTATTGCCAACTGTTATGTGTTGGCCCCCATTTCTGGGCTTTAGGTCTCAGTTTTCCTTTTCTGGAACAGGAAAAGGGAGATCTGCCTGTCACCCTCCTTTCCAGCCTGCTTTCAGTATTCTCAAGCTGAAGCATTTGAGCAGGAAGAACATGGACCACTGCAGCGCTGCCTCCATGGGGCATTGCTACCCTGACCTGCTTCATGCACTTCCCCAAAATAGCTCCAAATCATGCTTGCTTCCTGCAGCTCTTTGCCTAGGCCTTCTGTGACAGTCGGTTTCAACAGGGTTGCCATGAGCGTGGAAGAAATTTACAACAGGACATTTGTTGAGCAAACACTTACCTGTCACCTGTTCTGTCTTAGTTCTGGCTAAGAATTGGTGGTCTAAAGATGAGCCAGGCTGGGGCAGTGGCTCACATCTGTAATCCCCAGCACTTTGGGAGGTGGAAGTGGGAGGAATGCTTGAGCCTGGGAGTTTGAGAGCAGCCTGGGCAACATAGTGAGGCCCTGTCCCTAAATACAAAGAAAAAAAAATAGTTGGCCATGGTGGTGCATACCTGTAGACCCAGCCACTTGAAATACTGAGGTGGGAAGATTGCTTGAGCCCAGGAAGCCAAGGCTGCAGTGAACTGTGATCGCGCCACTGCATTCTAGCCCGGGCGACAGAGGGAAATCCAGTCACCAGACACAGTACCTGATAGTCTACTAGGGAAGACCAGTTAGAAACATCCTGATTGGCCAGGCACAGTGGCTCACGCCTGTAATCCCAACACTTAGGGAGGCCGAGGTGGGCGGATCACGAGGTCAGTAGATCGAGACCATCCTGGCTAACACGGTGAAAATACAAAAAATTAGCTGGGTGTGGTAGCGGGTGCCTGTAGTCCCAGCTATTTGGGAGGCTGAGGCAGGAGAATTGCTTGAACCCAGGAGGCGGAGGTTGCAGTGAGCTGAGATCTTGCCACTGCACTCCAGCCTGGGTGACAGAGCGAGACTCTATCTCAAAAAAAAAAAAAAAAAAAAAAAGAAAAAAAGAAGTCCTGATTATGGAAAATTTCAGACAGACATTAAAGTAGAGAGAATAGTATAAGGAGCCCCAACGTATCCATTCCCAGCTTCAATGATTATCAGCACTTTACCATTCTTATTTTGTCTATTGACTCCTCTGCTGTGTGGCTGGAATAGTTTTTTAAAAAAGCTGTAAATATTACATCATTTCACCTGCAAACACTTCAGTATGTATTTCAATAAATAAACGATTAAAAAAGTAAAGGTACCATTATTAACCTGAACATGAACAATAATTCCTTAATAACGTCTAACATTCAATCCATGTTCACTTCT
This sequence comes from Homo sapiens, assembly GCF_000001405.40. Classification (NCBI taxonomy): domain Eukaryota; kingdom Metazoa; phylum Chordata; class Mammalia; order Primates; family Hominidae; genus Homo; species Homo sapiens. The sequence continues at coordinate 6,050,968 of NC_000012.12, read as the reverse complement.
TTTTTTTTTTTTTGAGACTGAATTTTGCTCTTGTTGCCCAGGCTGGAGTGCAGTGGCACAATCTCGGCTCGCTGCAACCTCCACCTCTGGGGTTCAAGCGATTCTCTTGCCTCATCCTCCCGAGTAGCTGGGATTACAGGCACCTGCCACCACGCCCCGCTAATTTTTGTATTTTAGTAGAGACGGGGTTTCGCCATGTCAGGCTGGTCTCGAACTCCTGACCTCAAATGATCTGCCCGCCTCGGCCTCCCAGAGTGCTGGGATTATAGGCATGAGCCACCACGCCCAGCCTGGAGGATTGTTTTGAGGTGGAGCAGAAGTCTAGGGACTAAACGCACAAGGTGTACTCCACAATCCCCAAGGTAAGTCCTCTGGCATGAACGCATGCTATATGAAGGAAGACTAAGACTGGAGGGAAGTTGGGATGAGGTTCAGGGGTCTTCAGAAGTGAGGGGGTGAGCACTGATGCTGGAGCAGTAGGAATGGGGCCCCTGGAAGGTTCTTAGCAGGGAGCAAATAGGATCCAAGAGTAACTTCAGGGGGTGGGTTTTGGGAGCTGCATGAGGTATGATGGCAGGGAGAGCATCTGCAGGAAAATGTTGACGTTGACCGATAAGAAGGTAGCGAGGCCTTGGATCAAGCGATAGCAGTAGAAATGGAGAGTGGAAGCCAGAAGCCAGAGACGCTGGGAAAGCAGATGGACTAGTGGGATGTTTGAGAGGAGGAGGGGCTGTTGCAGATGGCCCTGGAGTTCTGAACTTGAATGCCTGTGAGGACAGTGACGCAAGAACAGCAAGAGGGCCCTCTGGAGGTAGAGGGCAAGTGATGGCTTTGGTTTTGGCCTTAATGACTTTGAGTTACCATCTTGGTGAACAAATGGAATCAACAGCTTGAAATGGGTCTGGAAGGTGAGTGAGAGGTTGGGGTGGAGAGAAAGACGTACATGGAGGTGACAGTTTCAGCCATGAGAGTAGCGAGGATCCCTAAGGGGAGTGGGCCAGAGGGCAGAAAAGAGGACTGAGTCAGAACTTGGGGGAATGTTCAGAGGGCAAGAGGAAGAAAAAGAGGATTGCATGAGAGAGGCCAAAGGTCAAAGGCCAGTAAAAAGGGCAGAACCAGAGCAGTGCCATATCATGGAAATGAAGGGCAGAAGGGAGTAAGGACCTCCTCTGCAGGACTGCTGACTTGGCCTTAGCCCAGTGCTGTTTTACTACAGTTGTCTGGCTATAGTTTGCCAGGAGTTTCTCTCTGGGACCTTAAAACAACACTGTTGGGCAGGCATGACTTGCTTTTTTAGTAAAGAATTTGAGGCTTAGAGAGACTATCACTTTCCTAAATCAGCCAGCAAGTGACTAGAGCCCAGGGATTCTTGAACTCTCCTTATTACAGTGAGAATAGACGGTTGAATTTGGGGATCAGAAGGTCATGGTGGCCTCTGTGTTTCAGTGGTAAGGATAGAGGCTAGACTATAGGAAGTTGGTATGACTTGGGAGGGCAGCAACTGTTGCTGGCTATTTCACTAAAACAGAGAAGGTGGGAGAAGGTGCGCCTTGGCCCCTGGGTGAACAGGGTTGGGGAGTGACCCTGGCTTTGGGCTCTTTTTAGGGTTTGACATCAGCGACCTCTCCATGTCTGCGTCCTCCTTGTCTCTCTTTTAGGCACCAGGGCTGAAAGCTATTCAGCAGCTTGTCTTTCCACTTCATTTAGAAAATTGGGTTTCACGGAGAAGGTGTGTTGGAAGGACCTCGGGGCCTGTGTGCCGCTGTTTATTTTTATTCTTTAGACAACACACTGGAGAATGAGCCTCGCTGGAGCAGGTGCTAGTGGTGGTCGTGAAAAGGTGGCAGGAGGGTGAAATGCTGTGGCCTGGAGGTTCTGCAGACCGCGTGCTTGGTCATCCCAGCGGCCATCACAATGGAGTATTTCTTCTTCTGCAGACCAGGCTCAGGGCCAGGAGTTGATTTTAAACCTATCTTTGAGGCTTTTTAGAAAATTAAGCTTTTGGGTCATGTCCAAATGACAGATTGAACATGACATTTACGGGGGCGGGTGGAATTTTCTCCCTTAAAACTAGGTATTAGTTAAAAACCAGAAGAAGGCACGGGTTCTGCACGTGCTCAGAAAGGGAAGGGCTGATTCTCTTGTTTATTCAACAGATATTTATTGAACAGCAGCTGCATTAAAAATGTTCAAAATCATTACAGTCAGCTGGGCAAGGTGGCTCACGCCTGTAATCCCAGCACTTTGGGAGGCCGAGGTGGGCGGATCACTTGAGGTCAGGAGTTTGAGACCAGCCTGGTCAACATGGTGAAACCCTGTCTCCACTAAACATACAAAAATTAGCTGGGCATGGTGATGTGTGCCTGTAATCCCAGCTACTCTGGAGGCTGAGGCCGGAGAATTGCTTGAACCCGGGAAGTGGAGGTTGCAGTGAGCTGAGATCATGCCGCTGCACTCCAGCCTGGGCGACAGAGTAAGACTCTGTCTCAAAAAAACAAAAACAGGCAGGGCACGTTGGCTCACGCCTGTAATCCCAGCACTGTAGGAGGCTGAGGCGGGTAGATCACAAGGTCAGGAGATCGAGATCATCCTGGCCAACATGGGGAAACCCCGTCTCTACTAAAAATACAAAAATTAGCTGGGTGTGGTGGCACATGCCTGTAATCCCAGCTACTCGGGAGGCTGAGGCAGGAGAATCGCTTGAACCAGGGAGTAGGAGGTTGCAGTGAGCCGAGATCGAACCACTGCACTCCAGCCTGGTGACAGAGTGAGACTTGGTCTCCAAACAAAACAAAGCAAAACAAAACTGAATAAAATTATTACAGTCTGAGAAATGCAAATTAAAGCAATGAGTATGACTTCATACTAGACTGGAAAAATTAGACATCTGGATAATGCAGAGCTGAGGGGCATGGGGGCCTCATCTGCTTTTGTAAGGCATAGACTGGTTGAGTCATCTAGGAGAGTACTTGGCACATCATGTGCAGGTCAGGTATTCACACCTGCTATCCCCGCCCTTCTGCCTCTGTGCAGATAGACTAAAATCCTTATACACATTCATTAGGACACATGTCTGCAGATGTTCAGCACAGCTTTGTTTGTGGTGGTAAGGAGCAGGTGACAACCTATGTCAATCACTGGGACACTGAGTGGGTAAAAGGTGTATTGTGCAACAGAAGTCACAGACAAGTGGTCCGTGTCTTCACAGGGATGAATCTTACAAACACGGTGCTCGATGGGAAAAGCAAAACACAGCATGCTATGTGATATCATTTATACAAACTAAACATACATACAAAGCAACCACAGACGTTTTATAAAAATATGCAGTCAGTTAGGAGACTTTTACATAGTCCAGGCAAGAGGTCATAGTGTCTTGTCTCATGACAGTGGAGATAAAGTGGATATGAATTTCAGTGGTATGTTGGAGGCCAAGTCCAAGGGCTTGATGATGAATCAGATACAGAGGATGAGGGAGAAGACAGTGGCAGGGATGATCTTGGGTTTCTGGTTGCGAAGCCAGATGGATGGCGTCACCATTCAGTGAATCAGCCCTGGAGGAGAATTGGCTTTGGTCGGGGGATCATGAGTTTAGTTTTGAATATACTGAGTTTGAGGTGTGTTTGAGACTCACTACATTAGTGAGACCATGTAGGCGTTTGAGTATATGGGTCTGGGGTTCAAAGGAGCGGTCCGAGCTGCTGATGTAGATTTATGAGTCATGTCTGTGATTGGAACTGGGGATGGCAGCAGAGTGTGAGAAGAGGAGCGAGCCTAGGACAGAGCCTGGGGAAGGCCGATATTGAAAGGCCAGGCAGTGGGGGCACATGAAAGCTGAGGCTGAGAAGGAGGAACCAAGGAAGTGGGAGGAAAACCTGGAGAGAGAAATATTTTTTTTCTAGAAGAGTGGAGTGTTCAACAGTGATGAATAATGTTGAATGGGATCAATTAAGCAAATAACTGAAAAAAGTCCCATGGGATTTAGTGACGTGGGGATCATCCATTGGTAACGTTAGCAAGCTGTGCTTCAGGAGGGGTTATGGGACTGGGACCTGGTTGGAAGGGGCAGAGAGTGAGTGGGAGGTGAAGATGTGGAGGCAGCGAGTATAGACGAGTCTCGTGAAGCTCGGCTATGATTTTCTTCTCTGCAGCTACTGTGAGGATGGCTTCATGCACTGTACCATGAGTGGAGTCCCCGGAAGCTTGCTGCCTGACGCTGTCCTCAGCAGTCCCCTGTCTCATCGCAGTGAGTACTGTCCCCCTGGAAGGCCCATTGACTCCATCCTGCCCAGATTCCTCACGTGTGGAATGGCGGGAGAGAGCTGGGTGACACCGTCAGATGTGCGTGTGCACCCAGGCATGGGTCTGGCTTCGCCCAGGATCGCCTTCATTTCTGGGTTTGTGTGAGTGACTTTCAGGCCAAGGCATGTCTTTGCATGTGTCAATCCCGACCATTGAGGCAAGGAGTATTTGATTTCGTGTAAGGGGAAAGACCTGCAGATAAATTCTATGAGACCCCTATTTTGCCCGTGGAGACCTTAACCCAGTGGATAGCTGTGAGTTGGTGGCCTTGATTGTGATGACAGTCACCCTTCTTTGATGGCCTCTTGTTTCCTATGGACATGCTGATGAAGACAGCTCTTCCTTGAGAAAGCTTCTTGGATGGGTTTGAAAGAGAGAAAGAGAAGGGTTGGGTCCGTTGCTCTCCATTCGAAGGTCCTAACGGTGGCTGCACTGTCTTTTTTTTTTGAGAGTCTCACTCTGTCACCCAGGTTGGAGTGCAGTGGTGCAATCTCAGCTCACTGCAACCTCTGCCTCCTGGGTTCAAGCAATTCTCGTGCCTCAGCCTCCCAAGTAGCTGGAATTACAGGCATGCGCCACCACACCTGGCTAATTTTTTGTATTTTTAGTAGAGACGGGGTTTTGCCATGTTGGCCAGGCTGGTCTTGAACTCCTGACCTCAAGTGATCTGCCTGCCTCGGCCTCCCAAAGTGCTGGGATTACAGGCATGAGCCACCACGCCTGGCCTGTTGTACTGTTTAAGGACCAGGCATGGAAGGGAGAAGGGGCTGACCTGGTACTGGGGGTTTCACATTTACATTTATGGATTGCAGCACCCTTATTTGCTTCCAGAAGGCTTATCCTTGCTTAGAAAGGACTCTTCCAGTGGGAGAGAGATAAATGGCTATCTTCAATCTCCAGCTTGACTGCTTCCCTCTCTGCCTCTCACTTTCCACAAGGCTCCTTCTGTCCAAGGGACCCAGTTCTGTGCCATGGTGTTTGCTTCCTGGCTTGCCCTGCGTGACAGGTCTGGCTCCTGGCGTGACCGACTGGAGAGCGTCTCTCAGCCTAGAGCTGGGGCAAGATCCCGAGGGCATGGGTGGCTCAAAGGTTGAGACCAGAACTTGTGACCTCAAGATCACTCCATCCTTCTGTGTCTTCTTCTGTCCCTCTCAGAGAGTTTTCCCCACACCCACTCTCTGTTGCATTCTGCCTCTCAGACCTACCTTCCGTGCTTCTGCTCAGAATCTTCTAGTCTGGTCACTGGAAAATGTAATATTTTTCAAAGTCAGGAAACTCCTGGGATTCTGTGCAGATTGGGAAAAGCCGTTTAGCCTTTTGGAGTTTCAGTTTTCTAACAAGAGTTTCCATATAAAAATAAGGCTAGAAATTTTGACTGTTTTGCCCAGAGGAGCGAGTATGTGATACAAATGCTATTAAGTGCACCTGGGCTTTGGAAAGAAAGGTGCTGTATCAGTCATCTGCTGTCAGTATTACCCAATTAGCCATTGATACCTACTAATTGCCACGAAGTAGGATATGTCAATGCGCAAAGTAGATAGAAATCCCTGGCTTCATGGAACATGCGTTCTAGTGGGCCCAGTGGCTTGGGGAGGACAGTAAACAAGTAAGTGAGATGTGTAGTATATCAGATGGTGAGAAGAACATATATAGGATATCAGAGGGGAAGCAGCAGGGAGGGGAGATTGGAGTGTCCAGGGATGGAGTGTTGCGGGTGTTGCAAATTCGCATGGAGTGGCTGGGCAGGGGCTGACGCGAGCAGAGATCTCTTTTAAAGCCATTGTGGTCAGATGGCCTTCTCTCCCCACATTAGTTGTAACCATTTAGGAATGATTCTGTTGGGTCCATTAAAACTCCTTTTTAGCACCCAAACTCAGGTCTTTTCAAGCCTGGGTCTGGAAATTTCTGCAATGCATCCTGATTCAATGTAACCTGCTATAGCAAGGTTAAGGGTGATGACAAGTATGGGACATTAGATGAGAGCTGGGGTCAGAAGAGCTGCCACCAATGTAAGCCAGAGGTCAGAAGCCCAGGTGAGAAGATGCCCTCCCAGTCCCACACAGGGACCCTGGCTCAGGCAGCTGCTGGTCCCCGTGAGTGGGCAACTCTGAGTCTCTTGAATTTAGTCACAGACTCTAGGGGACCAAAGGACAGTGTGGAAGGTAGGTCCATTCTCTCCTTCACTAATCATCTCTTTGCTTTTCCTACCTTCGAGGCAAAAGGAGCCTATCCTGTCGGCCCCCCATGGTCAAGCTGGTGTGTCCCGCTGACAACCTGCGGGCTGAAGGGCTCGAGTGTACCAAAACGTGCCAGAACTATGACCTGGAGTGCATGAGCATGGGCTGTGTCTCTGGCTGCCTCTGCCCCCCGGGCATGGTGAGTCACCAGGCACAGAGCTGGTGCCTGCCCTTCAGTTTTCTTGTAGGCAGGGATGAGTGAGGGGGCTGTGCAGCCAGAGAGAGGAAGAAACAAGGGCTAAACACGGATAGCAATGGAGGTGGTGCTGGTAATGGGGGCATGGAGGAGGGGAGGCTCTTCTGTCTCCTCCCTGCCAAAGTCAGGGAGGGAGTTGTTAGGAAAATGCCTGGGGTTGATCCTCACAGGATCTGACAAAAATATAAGAACTTAGCTTACAGGAGTGCCATAGGAAGCAAAGAATTTCCAGAAAATACGTACTAGTAAAAACAAGCATTCCCACTAGAATTTTCCCAGGGGCCGCCTTCCATGCTATGAAAATGGAGGGACACATATATATTTGCATATGATTGACGTATATGCATATAATTTTCTATTTCAAAAAAAGACATTGATGGCCCTGCCGTGTCACTAGCAAGCCATGGGCCCAACAAGTCTCTTCCCCACAATGAAACTTGTTTTCCTCATCTGTAATGTGAGTCGTGAGGTCTTGGCCAGCCCTTAACATTCCATGACTCCGGTGCTGTGCCTGAAACAGGCATGGAGGCCGTGCATCCAAGGCCGTGCTGGTTTGCGACTCCTGGCTCCTATGTGGATGTTCTGCTGCTGGTGGCAATGATCTGAGCATGCCTACTCCTCCTTATCTCCCTCCCAAGTCTAATCTTAGCCAGCGTTGTATTAAATAGATTACGCATACATCCTGAAGGATGCAACTTCCAGATGTTTCTCTTTCAAAATGCATCCTGTCTTCTTGTTTTCCCCAACTCCAATTCCTTATACCCAAAGTGAATGGTGAGGAGTTGGGGCAGAGGCTGTGGAGGCCAGAATGGGAGAGGGTGGCTCTCAGATGGCTTTGGAGGGGACTTAGTGTTGCCCAGGACTCTGCTTGAGGGGAAGTGTCCTGGACTGTGGGACCTGTCAATATTCTGTAGAGGGAATGTGGACTCAATTACCAGTGTCTCTCAGGAAGGCTGGGATTGCAGTGTGTGAAGGACAGATGCTTACTTTTCTACTTCCCCTTCAACTCTTTCTTCTCCCAAACAGAGAGACCAACTCTTGTTAATTCTCTCCTCCTCTGTCTTAGCCTCTGAGGGTTTTGGAACTGTCTTTTCTGATGAGGAGAGCTAGCGATTGGCCAATGAGCACCTTTGAACTGGAAGGGTTGTTTGGTGCCTTAGCAGAAGGTGGATATCACGAAGGGTCTCTAAGGTGGGGAATCTCAGACCTGGGTAGGAACAAAAAATAGGAGAGGGCAGGGGAATCTTCCTTATTGCTCTTCTTTATCCCTGGGGCCTCTTAGGTAGAGTGTCTCAGAGCTTTGGTGTGGGGAAAGCATAGATCATTGTCTCTTCATCATACTCAGCAGGAAAAGGAACATCACTCAGAGGACTATGTCAGCATCGGATATGCTTTGAAACAAACTTTTTTGTCATGAAGGAAAAAATACAGATAGCCTTAAATATTAGTAACCACAATAATTATATTATGACCCCAAATCCAAAAAAGAGGACAGCGGGACCTCAAATACAGGCTGTGGCTATCCTGTTAGGCGCTCATTTCATTCCTGAAGCACTGGGCATGCATTCTGAGGACAGCACTTGGATACCTGTCACGTGACGAGGTGACTCGCACTTCAGCCACAGGGGATTCTAACTTGCAGGTTCATATTGTAAGAGATTCGGTTATTTTCACAACTGCTTCCTTACGATGCCGGCGAGTGTGCAAATTATTGCGGCCAGATTCGAGAGAGCAGAGAAGTCCGTGTAATTTATTAAGGGTGCGCAGCGTGCCGCCTGCAGCACGGGACACGTGTTCTTGGCCATAACACAAAGAAAATGGAGCTGGGCCTGGAAACACCCTGTTTGGGCCCATCTGATGGTGCAGACATCATCCCTCGGGGTGTTCCTCTGTCCAGTCTGTCCCTTGTGAAGGGGCAGGGTTGTGGGATGTCACTAAGGGCTTGGGGAAGGGGTCACGGATTCTGCATTCTTCTGAGGACTTGACAGGGGAAAGGGAAGTGGCTTTTTCCCGGGGGCAGATCTGCGGGGGGCAGAAAGAGCAGGAATGGGGTGCAGAGGGCAGACCCGTCAGGCCAGGCTTCCCTGCTTTCCCACTCCATGCTCTTGTGCAATCCTTCAGTCTTTACCGGAAGCCCAGTCACCTCATGTGTTACGTAGACACCGAATTCCTGTTCTGCCTCCATGATGCATGGCTGTGGGCCCCAAGGAGATGTGTGTGAAAGCACTTTAAAGCCAGAGAGTTCTACAGAAGTGTAGGAATAGCTTTCATTGTTGTTTCTGTAACTATCCAAGGCTGTCTCAGAGGCTGCACCCATCAGTTCTTCCTGCTGTCCATAGGAGAGACCTGTAAAGGATGCTTTTTCTTAGATTTCCAGCCTGCTGTGGACCCATGCTTTTGTAAATACAATAAAAATGAATTCTCATAAAAATAAAACAAAAGCAATGACAAAAATAATATGATCCCACCCAACTAAAAAATATTTTCAGCTGGGCGCAGTGGCTCACGCCTGTAATCCCAGCACTTTGGGAGGCTGAGGCGGGCGGATTACGAGGTCAGGAGATCGAGACCATCCCGGTAACACGGTGAAACGCTGTCTCTACTAAAAATACAAAAAATTAGCTGGGCGTGGTGGCGGGCGCCTGTAGTCCCAGCTACTTGGGAGGCTGAGGCAGGAGAATGCCGTGAACCCAGGAGGCGGAGGTTGCAGTGAGCTGAGATTGCACCACTGCACTCCAGCCTGAGCGACAGAGCGAGACTCCGTCTCAAAAAAAAAAATTTCTTTTTTTTTTAAAAATTTTTTTGAGACGGAGTTTTGCTCTGTCACCCAGGCTGCAGTGCAGTGGCATGGTCTCGGCTCACTGCAACCCCCACCTCCCAGGTTCTAGTGATTCTCCTGCCTCAGCCTTCTGAGTAGCTGGGATTACAGGCGCACACGACCACACCCAGCTGATTTTTGTATTTTTAGTAGAGATGGGGTTTTGCCGTGTTGGCCAGGCTGGTCTCGAACTCCTGACCTTAGGTGGTCTGCCTACCTCTGTCTCCCAAAGTGCTGGGATTACAGGTGTGAGCCACCATGCCCGGCCTTAAAAAATGTTTTCTTTCCTTTTTTTCATGATCCCTAAATCTAAACTCTTACTTCCCACTTTTTATGACATATAACAGACATAACATGACTCTGCCAAATTTCCCTAAGATTTTCTAAACACTTTCTCTTAGTTTCTGTGCTTGCGTCCTCACAGGCTGGCCCTGGCCCAGGGAATGCACTTTGAGCAGCCCTGTTCTCAGCCGAAGATTGTCTCTCCTCCTCTAAGGTGCCTCTCAGTGTCCACCGTATGCCCAGAAGCACCTGTTTGAAAATATTGGCGGGGGCAGAGAAAGAACCCCTCTCTTTCTGGTTTGTCCCAGGCCTGGCACCTGCTTAGAGCAGAGGTTTTCTGGTTGACCCCACAAGCTGCAGGCTGTATCTGCTCCTGCCATCGTGCAAAGGTCTCCTGGCATGGGAATGAGGAGGATGGGGGTCCCTTTGCTAAGTGGTCCGCACCGTGATAAATGAAGGGCAGAGAAACCGCCTGGAAACGGCATGGTATCGGAACCTCACACTTCCAGGTTTGAATCCTGCCTCCTAACATCTACTTAAGTGAGTGGCAAGTCACTTAACATCTTGGCGTCTTAATTTTCTTATCTGTAAAACTGGCTTGCAGGCTGTTGGGAAGACTGGAGATGAGAGCAGCGAGCACATGGGAGGTGCTTAGTGAGTGGTGGTTTAATGACCACTAACTATTACAGTAAGTTCGTGGTGGGAAACGGTGAATCCTGCCATGAACAGAGATGCTGCAGGGAATTAGCACACACAGGAGCATCTTTTTAGATCCCAGTGTTCACTTTCTGAGACCTGCCGGATCGATAAAATGAGGGGGTTGTGCTGGAAGATCTCCCAGGTATTTTTCTCTAGTTCAGAAATTCTTGGAGCCATGCTTGCCTGAAGCATCCATCTCTTTAAGTTAGAATATTACCTGCTACCACCACTAGGTGACAGCAAAGCACAACTCACTGCCCTGCTCACCCTTCCTGAGTCCGGCGGCAAGGGTAACTCTGGGAGCATCGTAGAGGGCAGAGAAGAAGAAACCCTGAGGTCCCATTATGTCAGCCCCTTCTATCACACGGGAGGAGACTGAGGACAGAAAGGGAACAGAGCCGGGTCAAGCCTTCATAGTTGTATAGTGGAAATTCTGGTCTCCTGACTCTGAGACCAGGGCTCCTGTAATCTGAAACACTTAGGCCTCTGTCTGGGAGATGCTGACTTCCCGTTTGAAACCTAGCAGCTACATCTCCCAAACTGCTGGTATTAGGAGCCTCTTGGTGGCGAGAAGTGTGGTTATGTCCCTGATCCCAGGATGTCCAGTTTCCTCACTGGCCCCATGTGAAGACTGAAGGAGTTGGGCACCACTTCTTAAAGTTCAGAGCTTGGGTTCAAGGGCCCATCCAGAGGCGGCCTCACATGTGGGCGTTGCACATTTTAAAAGATCCAAAGAAGGGCCTGTTTCAGAAATATCTCCTACATGGTCCATGATTTGTCACTCAGTCGGGCTTACTGAAATATAATAAGCAAAAATTCATTTTGGTTAACAAGCGAGAGGTTTAAAAAAAGCGGAACCTCATAAGTCTTCATAGGAGGAGTCATCACGCTCAGCAGGAGTGCTTTAATCAGATCACTCTCCTCCTCGCAAGCTTCTGGCTGAGTTCAGCTGCTTTGGCCTGAAAGTACTGATGGGGTAGGAGAATGAACGAGAGGCAGTTGGAAGGTAAAAAAGATTCTGGAGAGTGGGTCACGATGGTGTTCATGTATGGAGAGTTGGGGACAATGGGGCCTTTTCAGAGAAAGGTAACAAGACCAGTATTTTCCTACTTTATAATTTTCTTGGAGTGGACCAACACGTAGGACCACGTTCTCAGCCTGACCCCTTTCGGACTGAAGATGTCATGAGTTGGTGAGTGATGGGACGAGTATTTTTGCCAGGCTTTCTTCTGAAGTCTTCAGGGGACATTCATAGACTTTATCTTAGTAGCCTTTTGATGTCCCGAAGGGACAAACACTAGACGGAGGTGGTTCTCTTCATTTTAACTGTGAGGTTTAAGTGACTTGCCACAAAATTTGGCCAGGGACTGTTGTGCTGGCCTGCCCCGCCTCTCTGCACAGCTCCCCTCTGGGTCCAATCCATCCCCTAAATTACCCCTTTATTTCCAGGCCTATCTACCTCCATGAATTTCCACCTCCCTGAATGTCTTTGCCACTTTGGGATTCTCTGGGTGTTTTTAGCTGGGCTATTGTTACCTGCTCTTCTCTCCCAAGTCAGGAAGTCTCATGCTGTGTCCTGGAAACCCTTTCCTCTCATTGAAGATTATGTTTTGTCTCCTCTCCAGCTCTCTTATGACCTAACTCCACACCACTGTGGCCTTCATAGCAGTCCTCACTTAATATCAAGGTCCTATTATAATATTGCTGTCCATGAATTAATAACCTCCTCTTGCTAACACGAGTCGGCAGAGAGCAGCCACGTGGTTTGCAGTGGGTGCTCAGAAGGAGGAGGAGGTGGCGGCTGCAGTCATGGCATTGTTATCTCACACCTGAGCTGGGACTGGAGTGTTCTGTCCGCTGGAGGAGGGCTGGGCTTCCATAGACCCACACCTGGGTGACAGGAGGCATGGTGGGTTGTCCCATGGGTTGAATATCATGGCGAGAGGTAAAAACATGCAGCATGCAGACCAAGAGGCCTGGGAGCCCCCAGCCCGGCCTGCCCAAGGGTGAGGGGCAACATGTGCTGCTGAGGTAAGGGGAGCCTGGCTCTGTTTCCTGGAGTCCGTCCCTGCACTTCTGTCCCACATGGTATTTGCCACAAGGAGGCGTATTATCTGGTTTCCGTTGACTGTAAGGCATCCGTGGGATACCTCAGTCATTCTTATAGCAGCCACTAGGTGGTGGGCCTCAGGCTTAAGTCAGAGCTGACACTGGACGGGGCGATGTGGACATGAACCCTAATTGTGACAGAGGCTTTGAATGCTCTGCTAGAGAGAGGTTTTTCAGCCCTGCCAGCTCCTACCAAGGTGCCATCTTCCCTACTGGGTGCTTAAGCTCATTCCCTCCCAAGAACAGTGGTTCCGGGAGGTAAGAGCTACCAAGAGTGGGGTCAACCTGCATCTTATGCCCTGCACTGTCATCCTGACCCATCAGCTGGGCTTCCAGAGATGCGGGAACACCTCCTGAGGTTGGGTGAAGATGACATTAAGCAGTGGAGGATTCTTCCTATTTCCCTCCCCCCAACCGCCCCAACACACACATGCTCACATACGATTCTAGCCTGGGTCCTTGAAAGCCCTTTGTTCAGCCCAAGATTGCCCTGTTCCCAGGGATTTGTCCAGCTCCAGGCCTGGGAGCTCAGACTTGTCTGGGGAGTGACTGGGTCACGTGGAGCTGGAACTGTTCAGACCAGGAGCTTCTCGCCCTGCAGGGAGCTCTGGAGCCAAGGTGCCACAGTCCTTCACCTGGGGGTGACCCAGGCCTCTTTGAGAACCCCCAAGGCTAGGCCACACCAGGACAGGCACCCAGGGCTGCCCCTTGGAGTCGGGACAGAAGCGTGTCTGCATGTTGAGCTCAGAGTGGGTTTGGCTGACTCTTCTGGGGCTGGTAGTTCTTAGTTCTTTTATTTTCTCAGCCCCAACAGACCGGAGGAATACAACATGCTCACGAAAGTAGTTTCCCGAGGGGTGACGACGGGGAAGTAGAGCATACCCCATGGAGAGTGAACCGGGATACGGGAGACTGGGCAGGAGGGGGCCTGTGGCTTGGACCAGCCCCCAGACTCTAGTTCTGATCGATTTCTACTTATGCCCAATATTTGGCCCTCACCTCCAGAGTGTTAAGTACATATTAATTTTATTCAATATAGTGTTCATTTTCTTTAATTATAAACATAATACATGCTCATTGAAGAACACTTGGAAAAAAATTTTAAAACTGAAAAAGAAAATAAAATCCTCCCACTCGCCTATCCCAGCTCACCACCTGGAGGCAGATTCTGTATTTCCTTCTAGTCTTTTGTGAAATATATATACATTTGGAACCATATGTATATACAGTTTTTCTTCCTGTGTTAAAAATTAACAGCATAAGTATTTCTCACTTCATTTAAGATTCTTCCAAAGGACCATTGTAATAGCACCATAGGATACTGGCGCCTGGTGATTCCTCAATGGATTTAGTCATTTTCCTATTAAGTGTTTCCAATTTTTTTTTGCAATGATAAATAATTCTCCATCAATCTTTGTCCATAATTCTATTTCCCTCAGAGAAATCCTTTCCTTGGGATGGCTAGGTGTAAGAATATGTGCATTTCAAGGCCTCTGGACATGATTTTTTGAAGTACCTTTGCAAAAATGTCCAGGTTACAGTGCCCCAGCAGGGCACGAGAGGGCAGAGGGCAGTCAGTGTCTTTAGTTGACAGGGAGGAGCCATGTAGATGGGAACCCATGTTTGCCAAGCCCTGGCCTGGGCATAGGATCCCTGTCCTGGCTTGGCCTGCAGTGGAAGCTGTCCCCCTGGCTCAGCCCTGGTCCTGGTGCCAGTCCCAGTGCTGGGCTTACCCGTAGGCTCAAGTCTCAGACAACACTTCCTGGAGCGGGCTGGAGGAGGGCTTTAGATCAGTCACTGTGGCCCTGAGGACTTTTGGATTCTTTTCTCTTAGGTCCGGCATGAGAACAGATGTGTGGCCCTGGAAAGGTGTCCCTGCTTCCATCAGGGCAAGGAGTATGCCCCTGGAGAAACAGTGAAGATTGGCTGCAACACTTGGTGAGGCTCAGTGAGGGGCTGCGCCGGGGACCCAGGCCCTGCGGGTGGAGTGAGGGTGCACGCGGCCACAGGACCTTCCGCACTTGCCTCCAGCCCCCTGTGGGAACCTGGTTACTCTCTGCCTTTCCTCCGTGCCTGTGTTTCTCCATCTGTAAAATGGGGAGAATCTTTTTCATCACCTGTGTCCATCCTGCATAGACACTATTCAACAGGTTAGTACAGTAGCCCTTATCCGAAATGCTTGGGACCACAACTGTTTTGGATTTTGGATTATTTTGGACTTTGAAATATTTGCATATACATAATGAGGTGTCTTAGGGATGGGACCTAAATCTAAACATGACATTTATTTATGGTTCATATATACCTTATACACGTTGCCTGAGGGTAAGTTTATACAACATTTTAAATATGTATTTAATGTGTATTTAGTATTTTTAATGTTTGTGCATGAAACAAAGTTTTGTGTACATTGAACCATCAGAAAGTAAAGGTGTCACCCTCTCAGCCACCCATGTGGTGTCATGTTGGTGCTCAAAGTTTTGGGTTTCAGAACATTTTGGACTTCAGAGTTTTGGATTAGGAATGCTCAGCTTGTATTTCTGTTCAGGGAGATGGGCCCCAGGGAAGACAGGGACCTCGCCCCACCAGTCATTGCATTTGGGCCAAGCTGCCAGTGGGCACGGGGTCTGGAGGGTCCTTTCGTTGCAGGCCTTACACTGCCCATGAGCACTTCGTGAGTGTGCTTGCAGTGGCGTGGTTTGAGGTGAGGGTGGCTGGTTGCCTTCTCCCTTTTCCTTGGCCATCCTGCACGTAACCCCTCACCCTGCTCATTCACCCTGCCTTTGACTTGGTGGCTGTGCACAGCCTTGGAAAGAGGCCTACTGGACAGAGGTAGAGAGGGCTGTCTCTTGGGCTTGAGGTCTGAGCTTACCACCTCTGACGCACAAGTGGGCTTCTTGATGTCAGCTCTGGTTACGGGTGGTGGCAGGGAGGGACACGTGGCAGTGGGCAGATCACTATAGATTTTAACATGTAGCTACATACATCTTAACGTGTAGCTATGCACACAGGACTGCTCCTGGCAGAAGTGCGTACTTCATCACTCTTTTCTATACTCTGGGCTTTCCCACTGTTCTGTCTTGTTTTTCCCATTAGCCTCAGGCTTTCAACATCAGTGTGTCTGTTTTACAGACACCCTGTGGCCAATCTCAGGTAGATGTGGCTTTCAGGGTGAGGCTGAGCGAATTCATAACAGGAGGCCTAAAGAGCATCCGGGCCTCCTCCCTGGCTGCCTGGCTCACTTTGGACAACCCCTTCCCTTCTTTGCCTCAGTTTCCCCCTTTTAGGGACAGCCACTAGGCTTCCCTGTCTCCTGCTGGGCACCATACTGGGCCTATGAAGTCCACACTCCACGCTACAGGTCCTCAACTTCCTTGGGCTTCCTGGAGGGTTGGGAGGCACCCAGAGTATTCTGTGTTCCTTCATTGCCTCCATGGCCCAGATGGGCCCCTCAAACCCAAGGTGCCCAACTTGTCATCTCTGCCATGACTGCTCCTAGTGTCTGTCAGGACCGGAAGTGGAACTGCACAGACCATGTGTGTGATGCCACGTGCTCCACGATCGGCATGGCCCACTACCTCACCTTCGACGGGCTCAAATACCTGTTCCCCGGGGAGTGCCAGTACGTTCTGGTGCAGGTGAGAGGTGGGGAGATGGGGAGAGGGTGCTGTTTCTTTCTAGGAGGGGTGGGAGGTGTGGCCTCAGGTTGGGTTCTGTGGATCTGTCTGCAGAAACAACTCTGGGGTCTGGTTTCTACTGGAGTACTTCCCAGTCCTTCACAGAAGTGCCTGAAGCGGTAGGGGATTTGAAGCTCAAAGTGGTTGTCCATTTTCCCTCTGCTCACCTGGGGACTTATAAAACGAGACAGAAGCTTGTTTGTTGTTGAGGATTGGTGTGGGAGAAAGGCTACTGCTAGTCCACATTAGCACAGATGTGGAATTAGAAAAAGTCATCTGTTCCTTCTGGTAGACACAGCCTCAGTCAGGGTGCATAGCTTAGGGAGTGGGTTGGGCTGGGAAGTCAGTCCCGCTCAGCCTCCCTTCCAGCACCCTGGGCAGTGCACAGTCTGCAGGTGTTGTGCAGTGGCCCTGGACAGGGGGATGGTTGAAATGACCCCTGGAGTTTGCTTCCCACGATATGGCTTTGTGGAATTCTCCGCCATTTTAATGTCTAACTTGGTACAATTCAGAATGGGAGGAGTGGGAGGATGGGACACAGGAAAGTCATCCTGCCCAGCAGATGAGAGCGATCCAGGAATCCTCACGGTGAGTGTGGGCAGCAGCCCCTCTGCCTCCCACTCCCCACTGCGTGGATTCTTGTAAGTTTCTCTTTCTGGTTGACATCAACTGTGTAAGCAAGGAAGTATGAGTGCTTTTCTCACCAGAGCTGAGGCACTGTACTCTGTGAAGCTTTGAACAAATATGGTCCCTCTGTCTCCATTCCCAGGAGGAGGAGGGGCGGGAGCTTGGTGTGGTCTGAATGGAAGACCACAAACCCATAGGAGCCCCAGCCCCAGAGGCTGAGTTGCAGGAGCTGGTGAGTCAGGCAGCGTGGGTGACTGTGGACCGACCACTCGTGTAGAGCATGCTGGGCATGGGGCGGAGCCAACAGCAGCCTCCTCAGTCCCCACCTCACACCCGGGCTGGCCCAGAGAGGCAGGCAGTGTGCTGGGGACACAGGGCATGCAGACCAGGCAGGGAACCTATGATCCGGGGGGATATGCGCCCCTTTAGAGCTTTCCCAGAGATTCTATATGGAAGTTTCCCAGCCTCAGCAGCAAAAGAGAGGGCGACACCAGCTTTGCAGAACAACTGCCCAGCCCATTTCAAATCTGAACATCCAGGAAAAAATTAATTCAGTGCAGCAAGGACCAGACAGCTGGTCAGCATCTGCTGCTCCCAGCCCTTCCCTGCCCAGGCCAGCTTTCCCAAGTGGACCAGTTTTAAAGACTCCCCCTCCAAACGGTGCCCCTTGTGTGTGGCTTGTTTTCCTTTCCTACAGCTGGTTCTGTTGTCTTCTGATGCATTGTCCTGGGGCCCCTCCCCTTTCTGCCATCCTCCTTTGGGGAGTATCATCAAGACCTAACTCCCTCTTTCAGAAATCTCAGCTGAAGATAAGGACAAATAAAACACCTACACCCTTGTTTCCTCTTTTAACCTTCGCCATGCATCGACCTAACACAAAGCCATTTAACCTGACAATTCCATTAAGTTGAATGGAATCTTAGAGGTCAGATTGTGTGTGTTGTATGGACATATGTATGCATGTATGTGTGCATGTGTGTATGCATGAGCATGTCTGTGTGGGTGTATGCATGTGCGTGTGTGTGGGTGTATGCATGTGCGTGTGTGTGACTGTGTATGAGTACATGGGTGTATGTGTGTGTATGCGTGAGCGCGTGTGTGTGTATGGCTACGTGTGTGTATGTATGTGTATGCGTGTGTGTGTGTATGAGTACATGGGTGTATGTGTGTGCATCTGTGTATGTGTGAGCACGTGTGTGAGTGTGTGTATGAGTACATAGATGTATGTATATGTGTGTTTGAGTGTATGCATGTGCCTGTGTGTATTTGGGTGTATGTGTGTGTGTGGGTGTGTGTGTCAGAAAGGTAAGTGGTTTGCTCAGTGTTACCAATAAGTGGCAGAATCAAGATTCACACCTTGTTTTTATTTTTTCTTTTTTTTTTTGAGACAGAGTCTCGCTCTGTCACCCAGGCTGGAGTGCAGTGGTGCGATCTCGGCTCACTGCAAGCTCCGCCTCCTCGATTCATGCCATTCTCCTGCCTCGGCCTCCCTAGTAGCTGGGACTACAGGCGCCCGCCACCACGCCCGGCTAATTTTTTGTATTTTAGTAGAGACGGGGTTTCACCGTGTTAACCAGGCTGGTCTCGATCTCCTGACCTCGTGATCCGCCCGCCTCAGCCTCCCAAAGTGCTGGGATTACAGGCGTGGGCCACCATGCCCGGCCTCTTTTTTCTTTTCTTTTCTTTTTTTTTTTTGAGATGGAGTCTCGCTCTGTCACCAGGCTGGAGTGCAGTGGTGCGATCTCGGCTCACTGCAGCCTCCGCCTCCCGGGTTCAAGCGACACACTCTGTTTTTCTAAGTTGAACATTTTATCTTTCTTTTTCATCACATCACAATAATAGCCACCATGGGGGAGGCATTTGCCAGGAATGTGTCCCCTTTTGCTTAATTTTCTATGCAATTGACCAACAAGGACCAGAGCTCCTTATCCTCTCTACTCATCTCGACTTGGTAGCTCAGGACCCATGGAGCTGTGTCAAACCATCTTTGGTTCCATTTCTGGGCCAGCAGTGCAGAGGGATTCAACCAGAATTCAGAGCCACAAAGTGCCCTGTGGTCAAACTGTCCCAGTTACCTGGGTGGGACTCTAGGCAAGGCTCCAGTGGGACTCTAATGGGCTCTAGGCAAGGCCTTTGAGCCTGATGCATCCATCGAAGCAGGCCACATGTCACCTTCCTTCCCTCCCCCTCCTTCCCCACCCCCACCCCACTCACTGCAGGCACCTGGCTCATCTGTCGTGGGCGAGGTTGACACACCTGAGGGCATTCACCTGGGCATATCCCCCGTCCCCCAGACACACACAGAGGCACATATGCGCAGCCATGGACGTGGCAAGATCCTGTGACACGTACTCAAAGGCCTGTGATGAAGAGATGCCAATCTTCTGGTCTGGTGAGAGCCAGTGGGGATAATGGTCTTCTCCTGGCACTCCTCTTTCCCCAGGATTACTGCGGCAGTAACCCTGGGACCTTTCGGATCCTAGTGGGGAATAAGGGATGCAGCCACCCCTCAGTGAAATGCAAGAAACGGGTCACCATCCTGGTGGAGGGAGGAGAGATTGAGCTGTTTGACGGGGAGGTAAGTGCAGCCTCATCTCCACCCTCATGTCCCGCTTTGTGCTTCTGCCACTTAATAGGAACATTTTCCAAGCATTCATTTAGAGCTCGTGTGAATGGAATAACGCACAGCCATTAAAGAGGATGAGGCAGAGCTATTGCAACTGACCGTGACGTATTATTTTATGAGAAGAACAAGTGGCAGAACAATAGGGATGACACAATCCCATTTTAGCGACAGTGCAGAGTGTGTGTGAAGGATGTGCACATGTGTCTGCACAAACGTGGGAAGAACCAGTGCTCACCTCTAGAGTAGGGTGGGGACTGGAGGGTAGCCGGGTTTCTTTGTGTGTGTGTGTGTGTATGAAGTGATGATGTTATGGGATATGTTTCATATGTTTTTCTGTTCTTTTCAGATAAATACTTTATTTTTTTGAGATGGAGTCTCGCTCTTTTGCCTAGGCTGGAGTGTAGTGGTGTGATCTCTCTGCTCACTGCAACCTCCACCTCTAGGGTTCAAACGATTCTCCTGCATCAGCCTCCTTAGTAGCTGGGACTACAGGTGTACACCACCGTGCCCGGCTAATTTCTTGTATTTTTAGTAGAGATAGGATTTCGCCATGTTGGCCAGGCTGGTCTCGAACTCCAGACCCCAGGTGATCTACCTGCCTTGGCCTCCCAAAGTGCTGAGATTACAGGCATGAGCCACCATGCCTGGCCAGAAAGGAGCTCAAAAGAGGAGTAAACTAATTCAGTCCCCTGTGTACTAAGAACTTAAAAAGTAGTTCTCATAAGTGTACACAAGACTCCCTTAGGAGATCTTGTTTAAAATGTGGCTCCTAGAACTCCATGCTGAGATTCTGACTCAGTAGGTCTGGGTGGGGCCCAGGAACCTGTGTTTAAAGTTGCAGGTCATCCCCAGGCCACAGTTTTGGATCCGCTGCTTTGACTATGTGGAGTGCTGTGGAGACCCAGGCTCTGGGCACAAACTTGTCCTGGTATCTTCATTTTCTCCCATGGCCTCAGCCTGCAGCTCTGCCTTCTTCCAAATACCCACCATTGACAGCAGGGGATGGGAGGTGAATTCTTCACCATTATGGAAGAAAACTGCTTAGCAAGCATAACGTATTAACTGTGAGTCAGCAGTGTCAACTGCATTTCAAAGAACAGCTCTATTTAGGGCAGAGTGGCGGTGATGATGCTGAACAGGAGGTGTGCAGACATGTGAGGGATAGATTTGCACATGTGATTAGCTCTGCACTGCATGTGATATGTTACTAATGAGAGGACCTCTGCAAAGGGATGATGGCAGTTCTCAGCCTCAGCCTCAGTCTGATGAATTGGAGAGTCCGCCACACATGCTGAAATGGTCCTCCAGGGTACAGCACTGGCAGGGATTGGGCTAAGTCAGAGGCTCAGGTCAGAGCCCTTCTTGAACCTGCAGTGTGTGATTCCCAGCACTAGCACTGAGCACCTCAGTTTCCTTTTTCTTCAGCTCTGTCTCCTGATGACAGTGGCTCTGGGGAGGGGGAGGTGGTGGGATACAAGAAAGGTGAGAGTCTACTGCTTATTTTTATAGAGGAATAGATTTTTAAACAATCAACTAGAGATGCTTAAAATCATTGCCATGTTGAAAACCTATCTAGGAGACCACTATATTTAATGACTAATTGTCAATAAAATACCTGCTCATTGGTTTCATAGTACTTTAATTTCATAATCATGATTTTGCTGCTACCTCTGTTACCGTCTCTTGGTCATGGATGCCTGGAGAGTGGTGGTGGTGAGATGGTCACAGACATGTCCTGGCGTGGGGCTGGCCCTGCAGGGGTGCAGTGGCAGGTGGGGTCCTGGAGGGGTGGCAGTGCCTGCACTCGTGGGCACTGAAGACAGATGGGCAGGTGTAGAGTGGAGGGAGGATCTGGCTGTCGAGCCTGCCCTTCATCCTCCTGGATTTCTTGCTTTGTCTTCCTCCAGGTGAATGTGAAGAGGCCCATGAAGGATGAGACTCACTTTGAGGTGGTGGAGTCTGGCCGGTACATCATTCTGCTGCTGGGCAAAGCCCTCTCCGTGGTCTGGGACCGCCACCTGAGCATCTCCGTGGTCCTGAAGCAGACATACCAGGTCAGTGGCTTTCTTGCTTCATCTTGTTGGGGACTTGGCCTTTGGAGTGTTTTCTGCTCCCTGATCGTAGGTCTCTAAGGACTTGCTTTATGAATCCAGGTGCTCCTGTGTTGGGTGCATATATATTTAGGATAGTTAGCTCTTCTTGTTGAATTGATCCCTTTACCATTATGTAATGGCCTTCTTTTGATCTTTGTTGGTTCAAAGACTGTTTTATCAGATACTAGGATTGCAACCCCTGCTTTTTTTTTTTTGCCTTCCATTTGCTTGGTAGACCTTCCTCCCTCCCTTTATTTTGAGCCTATGTATGTCTCTGCACGTGAGATGGGTCTCCTGAATACAGCACACTGATGGGTCTTGACTCTTTATCCAATTGGCCAGTCTGTGCCTTTTAATTGGGGCATTTAGCCCATTTACATTTAAGGTTAATATTGTCATGTGTGAATTTGATCCTGTCATTATGATGTTCGCTGGTTATTTTGCCCATTAATTGATACCGTTTCTTCGTAGCATCGATGGTCTTTACAATTTGGCATGTTTTTGCAGTGGCTGGTACTGGTTGTTTCTTTCCATGTTTAGTGCTTCCTTCAGGAGCTCTTGTAAGGCAGGCCTGGTGGTGACAAAATCTCTCAGCATTTGCTTGTCTGTAAAGGATTTTATTTCTCTTTCACTTATGAAGCTTAGTTTGGGTGGATATGAAATTCTAAGTTGAAAATTCTTTTCTTTAAGAATGTTGAATATTGGTCCCCCCCTCTCTTCTGGCTTGTAGGGTTTCTGCCAAGAGATCTGCTATTAGTCTGATGGGCTTCCCTTTGTGAGTAACTCGACATTTCTCTCTGGCTGCCCTTAACACTTTTTCCTTCATTTCAACCTGGTAAATCTGACAATTATGTGTCTTGGGGTTGCTCTTCTTGAGGAGTATCTTTGTGGTGTTCTCTGTATTTCTTGAATCTGAATGACAATATCAACTTTTCTTTAGGTTTCTTAACCTACAGCAGCAAACCAATCATGCACAATATTAGTATAACACTGCAGACTATTCTAGGGTGTTTCCTTATCATTGAGTCATGGGCCAGCATGTTTTGAGAGCTATTTGTAAAATTGCTAATAACCAACTTTTGAGAACGGTTCCACTATTTAGGGTCCAACAGTTTGTTGGAACTTGCATGATTTCTTTAAGTGGCATGTATGTGACAAGTGGCTCTGGCTACTCTAGCCACTGGTTTAGTCAGGCAGGAATGGCCTCCACAGCATCCCTGATAACACCATCCATTTTCAGCTTGTACAAGCCAGTGAGGCAGCACTGCCCTCACTTCTCTGTGGCAGCCCATCTCAGTCCCAGAAAGCATTAACAATTCATTCATTCATTT
Organism: Homo sapiens; assembly: GCF_000001405.40. NCBI lineage: Eukaryota > Metazoa > Chordata > Mammalia > Primates > Hominidae > Homo > Homo sapiens. Next base: position 6,027,971 of record NC_000012.12, on the reverse strand, counting down.
ATTCAACAAATACTGAGTTCCTGTATGTGTCAAACGTGGTCCTAGGCGCTGTGGATACAGCAGGGGAAAAAAGTTTTTTTGTTTAGGGGTGTGTGTGTGTGTGTGTGTGTGTGTGTGTGTGTATGTGTCTTCCATGTATTTGTTTTTTTATTGCTGCTATAACAAATCACCAAAAACTTGATAGCTTAAAACAACACATTTATTATCATATGGTTCTAGAGGTTGGAAAGCTAAAATTGGTGGGCAGGGCTGCATTCATCTTAGAGGCTCTGAGAGAGGTCCCTTTTCTTGCCTTTTTTACATTCCGGAGGCTGCCTGCATTCTTGGCTTGTGGCCCCATCCTCCATATTCAACGCTGGCAATGTAGCATCTTCTACTTTTTTTCTCCTTTTCTGCTTCTGTCTGTCACAGCACCTTTTGAACTCTGACCCTCCTGCCTCCCTCTGATCAGACCCTGTGATGACATTCAGCCCACACAGATAATCCAGGTTAAACTCTTCATCCCATGGGAGCCACTGTTTTGCCTTCCATAATCCTGGTGCAGATTATATCCTAGCAGGAATGTTACTATAGATAGTTTGGGCTGATGAGCCCTGTGAAGAGGGGATGTAAGAGCAGAATCTTTGGGGAAGGGAGGGAATGAGTCATGCCAGTATCTAGGGGAGAGAGTTTAGGCAGACGGAACAAGCACGTGCCGAGGCCTTAAGGTGGTAGGTGTCTGCAGCCGTTGTACAAGGAGGTCAGTGTGGCTACAGAGGAGGGACTTGGGGGTAATGGTAGTTCACGAGGGCAGGGAGGGGCAGTAGCCATACCATGGGGGCTACTAGGCCATGGGAAGATCGTTGGCCTTTTGCCCAACAGTGAGAACATTCTTCCTCTATGTTTCCTGGTGACTTACACCCCTTGTACCAAGCTGAATGCAGCTTATTGAAGCAAGATAGAATACATTTTTTCTCTTTGTCTCAACATCAGGGCTCTAAGTATATTGTAAAAGTATAGCACCTTTTCTTCTCCAGGCCAAATATTTCCAGTTTTTTCTGTAGTTTTTTTGTTTTATTATTATTTTTAGTTGACATTTAACTGTATGTATTTACTGGTGACAGTGTGATATTTCAGTACATGTATACAGTGTGTAGTGATCAAATCAGGGTAGTTACTATATCTGTTCCCTCAAACATTTACCATTTCTTTGTGTTGGGAACATTCAAAGTCTGCTCTTCCAGCTACTTGAAAATATACAATAAACTGTTGATAATTATAGTCACCCTGTGGTGCTACCGAACACTAGAACTTATCCCTCCTCTTTGTGTAGTTTTCACTTGTTTCTCACTCATTCGTAACTACTTTTTCAGAACTTGTTGCATGTTGCACTCCATGATGGGTGAACATGGAGACAGGTGAGACATATCTTCCTGATTACATTTATGAGAGAGCAGAATTCTGCCCAGCCTACTCTGAACAGGCTGCACTTCTCCAGGCAAGGGGACTCACCTTCCCAGAGGCAGGCAGTTCTATAACTTTCCCTCCTTGGACCCCTACACCTCCATTGGTGGAGCAGTGTACCTGGCTCCTCTCTCTGCTTCTATGCTTGTTGGGGACAGTGATAGTTCCCACCAGTGATCTCAGGGCCAAGGCTGCCTGATTCCCACCTCTGCCCTTGGCTGACTATGTGACATGGGCATGTTGCCTCTCTGTTTCCATAGCTTTAAATAAAATGGGGCCAGCAAGGAAGCTCAGGAATGGGTCTTGGCAATGGCAAGGCTTTGCTGCTCACCTCGGGCCTCCTCTGAGTCTCTGTCCCGCTCCTCCTCCTCTTCCTCGAATGCCCTCTGCCTCCATTGCCGCCAGGAATGTTCCCCTTTCCCCTGAGCCGGAGAGCATGCTCCTGGGCTTGACGGTGCTCATCCCTCAACTTGTCTCTCAAGGAGAAAGTGTGTGGCCTGTGTGGGAATTTTGATGGCATCCAGAACAATGACCTCACCAGCAGCAACCTCCAAGTGGAGGAAGACCCTGTGGACTTTGGGAACTCCTGGAAAGTGAGCTCGCAGTGTGCTGACACCAGAAAAGTACGTCTGGGTCTCTGTGTGGACAGAGCCCTAGAGCTTGCTTCCTGGAATGTCCCTCTGTCCCCATTGTCATGGGGGCTGGAAGGGGGGTTGTGGGTGGTATGACCTCCAGGTGGCTGCAGGGTGGGAAGGAGGGTCTCTTGGATCCTTCTGGGCTGAATAACCCCAGTTTGACCAGCTGACGGCTGGCCTATCTCTTGCCTGGTTCCCAGGTGCCTCTGGACTCATCCCCTGCCACCTGCCATAACAACATCATGAAGCAGACGATGGTGGATTCCTCCTGTAGAATCCTTACCAGTGACGTCTTCCAGGACTGCAACAAGCTGGTGAGGACCTTGAGGGTAGTGGGAAGCAGACGGTCCCAAGGCTTGGCCTGGTGGTATGGACACAGAGTGTGACCTTCTAACGTGGACACTACCCTCGTGTCTTGACATGATCTGCACCAAGACACCACTTCGGCTTTTTTTCTTGGCTTTCAATCTGGGAAACAAAAAGTAAAATCAACAGTTTCTAGGGGAAGCAATGCCTGGCAAAACATTTCCTTCTGCATGAGAAGTAACTCCCCTTGGCATGTGCCAATGCTTCTCTTTCAGCCCCAGTCTTAGGATTTGTTCTCTTATTGAAGTATCTTGTTTTCAACACCAGAGCCAGAGATTTCCTTTTCCTGTCACTGCTGCATTTGTCCAGACCAAAAGACCTTCCTCTCCCACCCCCTAAAACCCCTTGGTGCCCATTTCTTGTCTCACAGAAATTCTTTTCTGGCCTTAATTTTGGTGATTTTGAGTCCTCGTATTATGACTTATTTTTGTGTCTTCATCTCTAATGACAAGGAGGAATTCCGCAAGGTTAAGTGCAGTTGTCTCTCTCTTTTTTTTTTTTTTTTGAGACAGAGTCTCGCTCTGTCACCCAGGCTGGAGTGCAATGGCATGATCTTGGCTTAGTGCAGCCTCTGCCTCCTGGGCTCAAGCGATTCTCCTGCCTCAACCTCCCGAGTACCTGGGATTACAGGCACCTGCCACCACGCCCAGCTAATTTTTGTATTTTTAGTAGAGTCAAGGTTTCACCATGTTGGTCAGGCTGGCCTTGAACTCCTGACTCAGGTGATCTACCCACCTCGGCCTCCCAAAGTGCTGGGATTACAGGTGTGAGCCACCATGCCCGACCATAGTGCAGTTGTCTCTTATCTGCTGCATGTATGTGTGTACACACATGTGGACATGGGCTTGTACATGGACATATGTGACTACAGAAGTCTGTGTACACACACAGCCATGCACACATACATGCTGCTGTGTAACACCACCAATGTGGGAGAGACTGGTTGAAAACATGGATCTCAATTCTCTTTCTATCTATGCAGTGATTTTCGGTCTCTGAGGACTCCAAAGGATACTTACATTCCCTGGTTTGGTGGAAATCCTGGGCATCTGAGTTGGAAGAGTGAGGACAGGGGAGGAGTTGGGGACATTGAGACTGTTGGAACGTCTTGGAAACAATGACCCACTCAGTGTCTGAATTCATTTTCTGTCATAACTGCCCTGAAAAAGTCCAGTGTGTTTAGAGGCGTGTTTTGGGGATGAGGAAGGGTTGGAACTGGTTGAACTGGATTTGGAATCAGAGTCTAGGCCCTATTGTCCTGCATACCTGCCCCATAGCACTGCAGTGAGGCAGCTGCAGGGCCTGATGTATTTCCCCATTCTCTTTGCTGAATTGAGGCAAAGAAAGACAGTGACCAGCACATATGTGTGTTTGTGTTTTTGTAAAAGCACCCACATGCTCATGAGGCTAAGAGTGGGTTGTGAGGACAGATGGGTGGCTGAGCAGGGAGGTAGGCAGAGGGACAGAGGGAATGTTCTTCTGGAAAATCCTCAGGCTCATTGTGTTCTGCAGAAGGCCAGCAGCACTGCATTATTCAACTCTTCTTGCTGGAATGCAGATTAGAAACTAAGAATCTTGCCTTCCCACTCATTCCCTCTTTGAGACCATTGAGCTACATTTCTCCTTCTACCTGGACCCCCTTATCCTTAAATTGACCATCAGAACATTTGCACCCAGACTAAGAGCCAGAGTTCCTGACACCTGGCCATAGGCCTGGGCCACCTGAGGCTGCCTTTGCAGGTGGACCCCGAGCCATATCTGGATGTCTGCATTTACGACACCTGCTCCTGTGAGTCCATTGGGGACTGCGCCTGCTTCTGCGACACCATTGCTGCCTATGCCCACGTGTGTGCCCAGCATGGCAAGGTGGTGACCTGGAGGACGGCCACATTGTGCCGTGAGTACTGACGCCCTCATGTTCTCAGATGCCCTCCCTTCTTCCCATGTGTCTATGCTTGAAGACCTTGTGAGTGCAGGGGGATATCTTCATGGGCGAGAGAAGACAGAGTGTTAGTAGGGACTGGATGGCCAAGGGCTAAGGAGGGTTAAGACATTGGCTGTGTAAGAAGTTTATATTACGGGTGAGGTGGGACATGGATTCAAGGCATGAACATGTGGAGACTTTTCTTCTGGAGAGATTCTGGCAGGGGAGAAGAGGGAATACTGATGAAAAGAAGGAAGTCGATTTATGTCTTTAATTAGGCGTGATTATATTTGCCAATATGAGTGATCAACTCATACATTCATGTCTATAGAATCTTGCTTCTTTGGACAGAAGCAACTTAATGTTTTTATGTAGAAAACTGGGCCGGGCACAGTGACTCATACCTGTAATCCCTGTGTTTTGGGAGGCTGAGGCCAGAGGATTCCTTGAGCCCAGGAGTTCAAGACCAGCCTGGGCAACATAGCAAGACCCCATCTGTACAAAAATTAAAAAAAGAAATGAATTCAGAACCAATAGATTCTGGTTTAGGTGCTTCAACAATCCAGAAGTCTCTAATATTGGTGACGCCCATAGTCCCCTAGTTCCCCAACATTATCTCCAGATGGCGCAGGCCATCACCACATGGGTCTGCAGTCCTGGAGGCTTTGCCTGTTGTGGCCACAGCCTTGTCTCCTGTCTACACAGCCCAGAGCTGCGAGGAGAGGAATCTCCGGGAGAACGGGTATGAGTGTGAGTGGCGCTATAACAGCTGTGCACCTGCCTGTCAAGTCACGTGTCAGCACCCTGAGCCACTGGCCTGCCCTGTGCAGTGTGTGGAGGGCTGCCATGCCCACTGCCCTCCAGGTGAGGCCTCTATCCCTGGGGGTCAGGCTGGTGGGATGGGATAGGGATGGATGGAAAGGTGCTTCTAGGTCTTGCTTCATCTCAGCCTCCACCTGCCACGTCCTATCTCTGACCTGCAAGGCTGCTGCAGGTTCCGTGGGTTCTTTCATCAGAGTCAGGACAGTCGTGATTTTTCTCAAGTCGAGCTCCTCCAAAATGCTTTTCTGTGCCTATTTATGGGATTCTCACCTAAAGCAGCCCCTGCCGATAGAACTTTCTGCAGTGGGGGAATGTTGTATTGAATGTAACTGTGACGAGTGTGTCTGAGGAACTGAAGTTTTGAATTTTATTGAATTTTACTTAATTTAACGTAAATAGCCACACGCAGTTTGTGACGATCCTATGGTACAGCACAGCTCTAGAGTTACTGAAGGTGTTATTCAGAAGAGCAGAAAGAGCCCCGGAGATAAGATTTCATTTGTCCTGAGGCTTGGGGAGGTGAGGTAGGGTGAAGGAATCCCCGCTCCCAGTTTTGCAGAGGGATCAATCAAGGCACAAGCAGGAGAGATGCTCCTTGAGTGATGGGGTGACCCCTGGGAGTGCAGGCAGGAGGAGTTGGCTTCTAGGGCAGGAGGAGGAGTTGGCTCCTCCCTTTTAGTTAAAAATGAGGCTTCCTCGTGGGAAAGGGGAGCGTTTTGGTTCCTAATGAGAGCTTTCTTTTGCAGGGAAAATCCTGGATGAGCTTTTGCAGACCTGCGTTGACCCTGAAGACTGTCCAGTGTGTGAGGTGGCTGGCCGGCGTTTTGCCTCAGGAAAGAAAGTCACCTTGAATCCCAGTGACCCTGAGCACTGCCAGATTTGGTAAAACAGATTCCTGGGTTGTTTGAAGTGATGAATCTTATTGCTTCTCCAGGGGCCAGCTTAGAGACTAGGTTTTGGGTAAAAAGTCCTAGCCACATGAGTTGAGAGACTGAGTTTATTTTATTTGTTTATTTATTTAATTCATTATTTAATGTAGTTTATTGTTTTGTTTGTTCCTAGGGTTTGCTTCTTTTTCTTTAGGGATGGACTAGACTGCTTCCTCCACATATATTCCTCCACAGTGTTTTTGCTCTTAATAGGTTTTTAAGTCCTAACAGGTTTTTGCTTTTCTCACTGAAGGTGGGGGTATGGTCACTTATTGTCCTTGTAGGTCATGACTAGTCTGAGCACAGGTGTCCATATACTGGAGGTGGGGACTCAGGAGAGGAAAGTGAGATGGAACCCAGGGCCCTCAGGTAACATGAACGTCGTGGGGGCCATAGTCAAGGTGGCAGGGTGTGGCTGTCATAATGGGGAGGGAAGGTGCTCGTTGCTCTCACCCTGGCTTCTCACTGGACTTGCCTCTGGGAAACTGGCCTTTGGGGAGGTGAGAAGGAGTCCTCAGGGTGAGCTCTGAGCCCTCTGAAGTCCTGCTCATAAGTAGGGAGCATTTATTAAAATCCAGATCTATTCAACACCACTCCCTGACACTAATCAAGCCTTCTGGGAGCTTAAACTTGAGAACGTAAATTCGCTGGGGAGGGGCTATGGTCACAGCTGCTAGAGTCAGATCCTGCCGCCACCATCTGTACAAACAAGAATGAACACTGCCTGGGGTGAGTTTTCTAGCAAACACAGGAAACTAGAAAGTATGTCACTCATGCACTGTTAACCAAGGATTGAAGCAATAAATCTTGTGGATCACGGGAAGGAGGAATTAACTTCCTAGTAAGACTCTACCTGCGCACACTCTTTATGCTGAAACAGAGACTGTAGGGAGCAAAGGACTGGGTGATTCTGATGCTGGCTTGGGGTTCTGTGCCAAAAGGGCATGAGAGCTTCGAGCCCTCTCCCCACCTCCTTTGCTGGCACACGGGCAGGGGCAGCTGCCACGGTGCACGCTGAAGCTGCAAGCAGTGTGTGGACAGAAGTCCCACAGCAGGCTGGTGGCATCACCTGGTATCAAGCCGCAGGGGGACACTTCCCAGGCTCAGGGCGCTGCCGCCTTGTCAGCTTTACTGGGAGTGCTGAAGGCCAGGTGCCTCCAAGGCTGAGAGTCCAAAGAGGAGATGGTCCTGGCCCATATTGGTCTCCACCACACGGTCACTTGATTTCACCTGTGGGCTGGCAGGCCGTGCCACTTTCCGGGACACTGGCAAAAAGGTGATGTTACCAGCAGAGCCTGGAAATTTGGCATGGTAGTGTAGGAATTTGTGTGTGGGGGGCCACTGCTCTACTACAGACTTGTGGTGTGTGCTTGGGGCTGGGCACAGAGCCTGGCCAGTACCTGGCACATGAGAGGTGCTCACCCTATGTCTGCTGGAGGAATGAGTGAATGTCTTTTCCTAGGCCTGACACCGTGGAGACCCCTGTCTGCTACTCCCAAATAATTTGTTCTGCTAGATAAAGCTGGGGTTTTGAATCTTTATTCATCTTTCTACAATGTTTTTGCTCCAATTTTTTCTCTCTTCGTTAGGGCCCAACATATCAAACATGTTTTAAAACTCATGCAATTTACATTCTGTTAGAATATGTACTGTAAAGCATTTATCTTCAACAGAACATGTACAAACACAGGTTAGCGTCTACATTTTAGTAACATTTGTTCTTGGAGACACTTGTAAGAAGGCTTGGATTATAATTAAGTATTCATGTTGCTAAAGATGTAGGTTGAAAAGAAATCAGCTTTGAGTGGTTGTGTGGATGGCCTAGAACAACGAGTATATTTTTTCATATCCTAGGATGGGCTAAAGCTTTGGTTTCTAGAATCAAAGGAAGTCGGCTATGTGTGTGTTTTGAAGGTGGGGGGCATGCTATTTGGGGACAGATGTTAAACAATGACATCTCACTTGGATGTGGAATGGTCCATGGGATCTCAAGTTCAGGTGGAACAGAGGAGATTCTGTGGGAATATGGAAGTCATTGTACACTGTAGGGCTCAGAAGTGTCCACAGGTTCTTCCTGAACCATTTTAATTTCTTCGCTCTTTTCTGCAGCCACTGTGATGTTGTCAACCTCACCTGTGAAGCCTGCCAGGAGCCGGGAGGCCTGGTGGTGCCTCCCACAGATGCCCCGGTGAGCCCCACCACTCTGTATGTGGAGGACATCTCGGAACCGCCGTTGCACGATTTCTACTGCAGCAGGCTACTGGACCTGGTCTTCCTGCTGGATGGCTCCTCCAGGCTGTCCGAGGCTGAGTTTGAAGTGCTGAAGGCCTTTGTGGTGGACATGATGGAGCGGCTGCGCATCTCCCAGAAGTGGGTCCGCGTGGCCGTGGTGGAGTACCACGACGGCTCCCACGCCTACATCGGGCTCAAGGACCGGAAGCGACCGTCAGAGCTGCGGCGCATTGCCAGCCAGGTGAAGTATGCGGGCAGCCAGGTGGCCTCCACCAGCGAGGTCTTGAAATACACACTGTTCCAAATCTTCAGCAAGATCGACCGCCCTGAAGCCTCCCGCATCACCCTGCTCCTGATGGCCAGCCAGGAGCCCCAACGGATGTCCCGGAACTTTGTCCGCTACGTCCAGGGCCTGAAGAAGAAGAAGGTCATTGTGATCCCGGTGGGCATTGGGCCCCATGCCAACCTCAAGCAGATCCGCCTCATCGAGAAGCAGGCCCCTGAGAACAAGGCCTTCGTGCTGAGCAGTGTGGATGAGCTGGAGCAGCAAAGGGACGAGATCGTTAGCTACCTCTGTGACCTTGCCCCTGAAGCCCCTCCTCCTACTCTGCCCCCCGACATGGCACAAGTCACTGTGGGCCCGGGGCTCTTGGGGGTTTCGACCCTGGGGCCCAAGAGGAACTCCATGGTTCTGGATGTGGCGTTCGTCCTGGAAGGATCGGACAAAATTGGTGAAGCCGACTTCAACAGGAGCAAGGAGTTCATGGAGGAGGTGATTCAGCGGATGGATGTGGGCCAGGACAGCATCCACGTCACGGTGCTGCAGTACTCCTACATGGTGACTGTGGAGTACCCCTTCAGCGAGGCACAGTCCAAAGGGGACATCCTGCAGCGGGTGCGAGAGATCCGCTACCAGGGCGGCAACAGGACCAACACTGGGCTGGCCCTGCGGTACCTCTCTGACCACAGCTTCTTGGTCAGCCAGGGTGACCGGGAGCAGGCGCCCAACCTGGTCTACATGGTCACCGGAAATCCTGCCTCTGATGAGATCAAGAGGCTGCCTGGAGACATCCAGGTGGTGCCCATTGGAGTGGGCCCTAATGCCAACGTGCAGGAGCTGGAGAGGATTGGCTGGCCCAATGCCCCTATCCTCATCCAGGACTTTGAGACGCTCCCCCGAGAGGCTCCTGACCTGGTGCTGCAGAGGTGCTGCTCCGGAGAGGGGCTGCAGATCCCCACCCTCTCCCCTGCACCTGGTATGCTGGCACCTTGTGTGCAGGTGGGAGGGCTGGGCGAGGGCTGGCATGGCCTTGGTGCTACATGCATCTGCCAAGATACGACTCGGGTTCTAATCCTGGCTTCCCTGGTCTGTGTGGCCTTGGTTGAAACTTGCCTTCAAAGGGCCTGTGTTTCCTCACCTCCCTGGCAGGGAGACAAACTGTGATCCTTTTTCGGGGGAAGATCTTTTCTTATTGTGTGTGCTTCTATAAATTCAAAGGTAATGGAAGCCTATTGTTAACATTTAAACAATGCCAATAAGGAGTAAAAAAAAAAAAAAAATGCAAGTCTTACTTTATCACACAGCCTCTTCCCCACCCAATTCCACCCTCTGCCTTCAAGGTAACCTCTGTTAAAGGTGGTGATGATAAGCTTCATTTTGACCACACTGGGTGGGTGAAATTATTCCGAGTAGCTGACATTCTTCAGGGCAAGACCAGGATGTCAGGTGTCAGGTAGCAGGTGCAGTCTTCAGACACTGGAGTCAGACTGCCTTAGTTTGAATCTTATCTCTGCTACTTGCTAGCTGGGTAATTTTGGGCAAATACTTAACCTCTTTGTATATCGTCTATACAAAGGATGAGGCAAATACTTAACCTCTTTGTATATCATCTATACAAAGGATACACATCTTTGTGTATCCTCATCTATAAAATGGGGATAATAATAGCACCTACTTGCTTAAAATAGTATCTGGCACATGACAAGTGCTCAAAAAAAAATGCTTGCTCCCACTGCTGTTACTACTACCTTTTACTGACACTGGCGTCTAATCCATTCCTAGTTCCTGAACATCTTTATTCGGTGTGTTTGGGACCATCCCAGAATAATAAGCCTTCTTTTAGTATCTTTTGAGTCACACACTTGTCAGTACTTTTGTTTCTTTGTTTTTGTTTTTATTCACGGCCATAGATTTATTTAAATTCTTGTAATATTTCTGCTGAGGAAAACAACAATTACATCATTTCATCAAATCTCAGATGTGCTCAGACACTAACAGGAGCACTAGGCATTTATAGCTGGAAGAATCACAGTATGTTCACCTGCCCTGCAAGATCTGAGGACACAGCAGCTCATTGTCCAGGGAGGGGCTGCCGCTCCATTTCCTTTTGCAGTCTCCTTGTATTGCCAGGCCAGTATTTTACTCATTTCTAGAAGAATGGTGGCCCCTTCTTACCGAGGAAGCCTATGCCTGCTGCTTTTATTTGTAGACATTTAAACTTCCTTTGGGTAGAATTGGAGTCTTCTCAGTGTCTCTAAATCTGAGGTAGTCCGGACCCAGGAACTCCATCTCCCCATCCCCTCCTCCCTGGCCCACATTGCCCTTGTACTCACGAAGGCACCCCCCGCCCCCCTTGGTGGTGCCACGTGGTCAGCACGCCCTGCAGATCCTATTGGATGTCAGGTTGTAGGCCTGGTGGCCATTGTCCCTGCTGGCACCTGTGTGCTCACCTTCCTGGTTGTCTTTGCAGACTGCAGCCAGCCCCTGGACGTGATCCTTCTCCTGGATGGCTCCTCCAGTTTCCCAGCTTCTTATTTTGATGAAATGAAGAGTTTCGCCAAGGCTTTCATTTCAAAAGCCAATATAGGTGGGTGAGCGAGGCACCTGAAGCAGCAGGTGACGAAGAGGCTCTTTTTGTGGCTCTACTTGATTCAAAATAATCCGCATTTTCTCGTTCCGTTTAGGGCCTCGTCTCACTCAGGTGTCAGTGCTGCAGTATGGAAGCATCACCACCATTGACGTGCCATGGAACGTGGTCCCGGAGAAAGCCCATTTGCTGAGCCTTGTGGACGTCATGCAGCGGGAGGGAGGCCCCAGCCAAATCGGTAACGTTGGTGCCACAGGCTGGATGCAGAAGCTGCATTCTGGTTCTTATTTTTGGCATAAGTGACTGTGTGACCTCGGCCAGTCACTTTGCTCCTTGGCCTTAGTTTCTTCTCCTGGAAAGTGAGGGGCTAGATGCTCTTCCACGTCTCTCCAGATCTCAACTGGGTGTTCCTTGGAGTTTCTGAATCATTCAGCTTTTAAGTGACTTAAGGATCCACCGTTAAGACAGGGTGTCGAGCCGCAGTCAGTACTGACTTGGCGTGATCTGTTCTCCATCCTCAGGGGATGCCTTGGGCTTTGCTGTGCGATACTTGACTTCAGAAATGCATGGTGCCAGGCCGGGAGCCTCAAAGGCGGTGGTCATCCTGGTCACGGACGTCTCTGTGGATTCAGTGGATGCAGCAGCTGATGCCGCCAGGTCCAACAGTAAGAATCTGGTGTACAGTCCTCAATTCAGGAGAGCGAGACTTCAGAAATGATAGAGGATTAAAAGTGGGCTGGGGTTACTTTTGGATGTTGTGGCTGATATTAAATATGCTCAATACCAACCTCTGTCCTGGTTTCAAACAGCAGGAAATTATCCAACCACGATGTGATTAGGAAACCAAACAATAAAAAGTGTGTATTGATCCTATATCTTTATAACTAATTATAATCTTTAATTTCTCCACATTTTCCCTTTGTGTCCAGGAGTGATCATACCTCTATGCCCTTTCTTTCTAAAGTAGGATTCGTGGTCTCTTACTAAAATGTCATGTCTGAGGCCAGAGTGATTCATTGTAGGGCCTTGAGAACCAATGGGGGCTTTCATGTATTTAGAGTCCTTTCCTGGTACCAGGTAATGGGCTTGGCAGGGTTGATGGATGAGAGACAAAGGATCATGCTGTAGGAAAGGGAAGGATCCAGATGTCCAGCCTTGTGCTCCATAAGAACATGTGCTTATCATGTTCTTAATATCAACAGGATGTGAGCTGGGACAGGTGGTAGAGTCTAGGGACCACCTCCCAGCTGAAGAAGGTCTGGGTGAGTGGAGTGACATTGAGTCCCCTCGTGGCCACCTGGAGAACTGTTCATCTTTCAGAACCCTGCCTAGGAGTGCTGTCAGAACCCTGTCTTTTCTCTGCTGTCTTCCTGATGTTCTTCCTGAGGAAGTTATTTGCTCCGTTCTCTATGTCACATATGAGCTACTCAAAATGTGCAAATCGTATTGTATTGTATTGTATTTGTAACATATCTATTCCTTGCAAAAAACTGGGAGTTCTTTGAAGGCAAGGGAAGATCTTGCTTATTTTTGTATCATCTGTGTATGATGCACAAAATAGGTGACCATTTAACGTTTGTTGAGTGAATGAATGTGACATGTTTATGAAATCTATGATTTTAGGGTAAAGGACACTAAAAGGGAAAGGATATATATTTGGATAATATAACGAACTTACAAGAGCTGAAAAGCTGCTAATAGAAAATCCGTTCCAACCTGAAGCACATTGCAAATTCCTAGAACTTTCTGGAGAGCTGAATTGAGGAATTTCAGGATGGAGATTTTTTCTCCTTCAGTATCAAGAATCCAAAGAAAGATTTTCACTGGGAAAGAAAGCAGTTGTGGTCTTGAAGCAGATATGATCCAGAGCAAGTCATTTAACCGTCCAAAGCCTCGGTTTCTCATGTGTAAATGAGCATGCACATTCTCTGGGCTCAGCCCTGTGATATTTTCTCTTCTCTTCTTACATATACCCCCTTGGTGGTCTAGTTCAGTGTCATGGGTCTAAATACATTTATACATCTTTGACTTTGAAATTCGTATCTCCAGCCTCACCTCAACTCAGTTTGCATGCTCTAATAGGCAAAACTAAACTCCTGATTTTCACATCTGTCTTTCTTATCTTAGAAAATGGCAATTCCAACCTTCCAGTTGTTCAGTTCAAAAAGCTCAGCATCCTTGATTCTTCTTCCTTTTCCCTGATACCTCCATGCAAGCCACGAACAAACTATAGCTCCATCTTCAAAATACTTCGAGAGTCACACCTCCCCACACCATGTCCACTAGGGTCACCTCAATCCGAGTCCCCATCATCTCTCACCTGGACTATTGAAATAGCTGTCTAACTGGAACCCCAGCTTCCACCTTTGTCCCCTGCAGATCATTCTCAGCACAGCAGCTGCAGTGGCCCTTTAATATCAAAATCAGCTCCTGTCCCTCTGCTCTGTAGTCTTGGCTGGCTTTGTTTCATTCACAGAACATGGTGAGCCCTTACTGTGGCCAATGGAGCATTGCCTGATCCATGCCCTTTCCCTCTCTTGCTTGTCCCTCTCTCCCCAGCCCCCGGGAGCATGCAGTCACATTTCTGCTCTGGGGCCTTTGCACTCACTCTTCTCTCTGCTTGGGATGTCCCTCCCTCAGACATCCTCTTGGCTCCTTCCATCCTTACATCAGGTTTCTGCTCAGATGCCATCTTTTCACCAAATGCTTCTCCAACTGCCATATATGCAACGATAACCCACACCTCAGCCCTGGGCATTCTCATCCCCCTTATCTCATTTTGTTTTTTTCCTAAGCATTTATCCACATCTGAAATTCTATATATTTACTTTGTTTGTGTGTTTGTTGTCTATCTCTCCATGAGGACGGGGGACAGGGAGGGACTTTATGTGCTTGGTTCACTGCTGTACCCCTATTGCTTACAATAGTACCTGACACAGAGTAGCAGCTCATTAATATCTGTTGACTGAACATCTTCCTCATAGGGCTGATGTATGTGACCAGCCTGGAAAACATGAGGCTGTATTCAGATGCTGGATATAACGTCAGGCCAGTCCATTTTGAGCCTTCTTGCCCACAGATCCTTTCTTGTCTCTTTGCTAACTCTAGGAGTGACAGTGTTCCCTATTGGAATTGGAGATCGCTACGATGCAGCCCAGCTACGGATCTTGGCAGGCCCAGCAGGCGACTCCAACGTGGTGAAGCTCCAGCGAATCGAAGACCTCCCTACCATGGTCACCTTGGGCAATTCCTTCCTCCACAAACTGTGCTCTGGTGAGTCTTATAATACCTTTCTTACTTCCCTCAAAAAAAAGTTCCAAAATAAACCCGCCAAAGAAACAAAAATAGTATTCAAGAGACCCCAGGGTGCCCATGCATAAGATTTGGCCTTGAATGAAGATTATTATATAGACCAGGACCTTTAAGTTTCTGTTCATGGGAGGTGTATACCACAAGCCCCCATGGGGCCAGCAGAAAGCTTTCTGTGTATGGTCCTATTTCCACTCTAATTGTCCATGTGAACTTGGCAGAGAGAGCCTAAGCTTATTTGTGTAGAGGGATCTTGGACAAAAGAATCAGAAGACATAAGCAAGGAACCCCAGCGTTCCGTAGGTATAGTCTTCTTCCCCATGGGCCTAGACTAACTCTCAACATGGGTATAAAGGGCTTTAGAAATACGATAACACGGAGACTCATATCAAAGTACCATAGTTTAAGTTGATTTTAGGTTAGAAACTTAAAAAATATGCTTTTGGCCAGGTGCAGTGGCTCACGTCTGTAATCCCAGCACTTTGGGAGGCCGAGGCGGGCGGATCATGAGGTCAGGAGATCGAGACCATCTTGGCTAACACAGTGAAACCCTGTCTCTACTAAAAATACAAAAAATTAGCCGGGCGTGGTGGCGGGCACCTGTAGTACCAGCTACTTGGGAGGCTGAGGCAGGAGAATGGTGTGAACCCGGGAGGCAGAGCTTGCAGTGAGCCGAGATCGCGCCACTGTACTCCAGCCTGGGCAACAGAGTGAGACTCCATCTCAAAAAAAAAAAAAAAATACACACACACACACACACACGCTTTTTTTGTGGCGGGGGCCTGGGTTTGTATATTTTCCCGTTACTAGATGTAAGTCAAAACCTGCATAAAGCTACTGTCCTTCGGGGGAATAAGTCAATGCAAGTTTGCCCTTAAAGGGCAATAACTCTATGCAAGTTTTGACTTATAGCTAATAACATTAGCTGTACAGAGAGATGGCAGCTCTCCTGGTAGGAATCTTCAAGTAGATCTCTTTCAGGTTTCCAGGATCTTGCTTCATCTCCCCACCTTCCCCATCCCTGGCGTGATCTACATGTGAACCAAGATAATGACAGCGTAAGCTGTAGTTATTGCCATATTATCGCTGTTGTTGGCATCATAATTATTAATAACTGCAGAGCATGTCTGAAGAACCACAGGATGACCACCTCAGCCTCATGTCCCTATGTCTCCACTGTTAACCTTGTTCAGATTCTTTTCAGAGTTGAGTTGACTTCAAAAACTAGACCAGGTTGCTTAAGCAGACATTGTGAATGGTTCAGAATTTCTGGGTGAAAGATGGGAACTAAGGTCTTATTTGTGTCTGTTGCAGGATTTGTTAGGATTTGCATGGATGAGGATGGGAATGAGAAGAGGGTAAGTTCCTTTCTGTTGACTTTGAAAGAAAGGTTAGAGATGTGTTTGGGGCTCTTGTTCCCACTGGTTAATTTTTCCTCCTTTGGTCTTAGTCCAGTGCTTCCTTTTACTATTATCTTGTTTTTGCGGGTCCATCTGTACATCTTGTGTTTTGCTTCCTGTCTCATGTACAGGGGGCCTCCTTGCTGTGTAGGCCTGTGTTCAATTCTAGGGGTCAGTTGTCTGGCAGATGGGCTTAGAGTTGGAGTACCTCATCTTATTCCCTGCCTGAATCTGCTGTTTTCTTCTGCAGCCCGGGGACGTCTGGACCTTGCCAGACCAGTGCCACACCGTGACTTGCCAGCCAGATGGCCAGACCTTGCTGAAGAGTCATCGGGTCAACTGTGACCGGGGGCTGAGGCCTTCGTGCCCTAACAGCCAGTCCCCTGTTAAAGTGGAAGAGACCTGTGGCTGCCGCTGGACCTGCCCCTGTGAGTCCTTTGCTTCTCCAGCCAGGGCAGCGTCAAAGGGGCAGTGCTTTTAGCTTGGCTGTGCAGAAAAGTAGAGCAGGCACCCACCAGCCCAGAAGTACCCTTTCCCTCATCACCACATGCACAGTGCTACCTTCACTCACCTTCCTTTCCTCCTGTGCTCTTTGGACATGCATGCAGCCAGTCTCAGGGATCACTGCCCTCTTTCTCTGTCTTTGGAAGGCACTTCCCCAGATTATGCATAACTGGAAGGAAGAATTGCTTTTCTGAGGTCAATGCTCAGCTTGGCTGTTGGCAAGTCAACCTTTAGGAATCTGTGTATTCAGGGTATAGCAGTGGAAGTATAGCAGTGAGAGAGACGCTTCCAGAAAACTCTCCAACCACACCTATAGCAACAGTACATCACCAAGGCGGCCTGGATTAAGAGGAGGAAATATTTAAAGTCCATCTCATGTACACTTGTGGAGAGCATGTCATCCATGGGCTGGGTTAGCCTTCTGTCTCATGTTTGGGAGCAATGACTGCTTATGGTGACCATGACTCAGCAGTGGATTGTAACCTTTATGCTGAACAGGCATAACTGGTGGGATGCAATCAAAACTGTATTTATAGCTCATTCCCCCTTTAGAATTTATTTAGTGAGATAAATTTCCCTCTTGGTCTAGGTGAAAACTCCACCAGACTTTAGGTTTCTTCTGTTTATTCATAAAGAATTCTATAGTTACTTTGTCAGAAGACAAAGTCTCAGTTGATAACTAGATACCCACTCTTGCGTAATAATCAAAACTTTGAATTTGATTAGAGTTAAAACACCTCCCAGTTCCAATTTAGGCTGCCTGCCTCTGGGAAGGAGGGTATGGTCAGCTTTCCTCTGTACAAAGAGCTTTGCCTTTTGTGATTAAAAGCATATCCTGGAAATTACTCGATGTCATTTCAAAGAGAGCTTCCTAATACTTCACTGTGTACCATAGGTTACCCAACTGTTCTTCTATGGATGTGCGTTTAGGCTGTTTCCAGTGTTTTGTAATGACAAGCAATGCTGCAATGAGTAAACCTGAACATACGAACGAATTTTCATATGGTTGGAGGTGTGTCTTCAGGGTAGATTCCTAGAAGTGAGATTCTTGGGTCAAAAGATAAGTGCATATGAAGTTCCCCTTAGACATTCCCAGATTCTCCTCTAACAGGTGAGATGTGGTTGTGCAAAACTGGAATGTCCATCAGTTTGGTTTTCGATCAGCGAGGTATGAGAGTGCATGCATCTCCACGGCCTTGCTGAGTGTGTTGTTACAGTTTTTATTTATTTTTTTTGCAAATTTCTTACTTTTCAGGAAAGAAATAGTATCTCAGTGTACTTGAAATTCATTTCTCTAATGATGAGTGAGGTTAAACATTTTATCATATGTTTAATTGCCATTTTTTGGTCTAATTTTGTGAATTTTCTGCTCATGCCTTTCCCCATTTTCCCATTAGAAAAGTTGTGATAAGAAACACATGAGATCTACCCTATTAATAAATTTTCCAGTGTACAATACCATATTGTTAGCTATTTGCAAGTTGTTGTACAGCAGATCTCTAGAAGTTTTTGTTTTGTGTGACTGAAACTATGCCCACTGAACAGCAACTTCCCATTTTCCCCTTCCCCTAGCCCCCGCAACCACCATTCTGCTTTTTGCTTCTATGAATTTGACGATT
Organism: Homo sapiens; assembly: GCF_000001405.40. Classification (NCBI taxonomy): domain Eukaryota; kingdom Metazoa; phylum Chordata; class Mammalia; order Primates; family Hominidae; genus Homo; species Homo sapiens. Next base: position 6,009,921 of record NC_000012.12, on the reverse strand, counting down.
TTAGATACCTCCTGTAAGTGGATTCATGCAGTAGTTATCCTTCTGTGACTGGCTCATTTCACTTAGCTTAACATCCTCCAAGTTCATCTATGTTGTGGCATATGAAAGGATTTCCTTCTTTCTAAAGACTGAATAGTATTCCATTGCATGTATATACCACATTTTCTTTATCCATTTGTCCACTGATGTGCATTTGGATTATTTCTAACTCTTGGCTATTGTGAATAATGTTGCAGTGAATGTGGAAGTGTATAAGTACCTTTTTGAGATCCTGATTTCAATGCTTTTGGATGAATACCCAGAAGTGGGATTACTGGGTCATATGCTAATACTAGTTTTAATTTTTTGAGGAACCTTCTTACTGTTTTCTGTAGTCGCGACACCACTTTACATTCCTACCATCAATGCACAAGGGTTTCAATTTCTTCACATTCTTGTTAACACGTGGTATTTCCTGGTGTGTGTGTGTGTGTGTGTGTGTGTGTGTGTGTGTGTTTGATAATGGCCATTCTAGCACGTATGAGGTGATACCTCATTATGGTTTTGATTTGCATTTCCCTGATGATCAGTAATGTTGGATATTTTTTCATATAATTGAGTTTTTGGATGTCTCTTTGGAGGAATGTCTTTTCAAGTCCTTTGCTCATTTTTAAATTGGGTTATTTGCATTTTTTTTTTTTTTGCTATTGAGTTGTATGAGTTCCTAATATATTTTGGATATTAACCCTTTATCAAATGTACGGTTTGCAAATATTTTCTTCCATTCTGTAGGCTGCCTTTTTATTCTGTTGATTGTTTCTTTGGCTGCACAGAAGCTTTTTGGTTTGCTGTAGTCCCACTTGTCTATTTTTGCTTTTGTTGCCTTGTTTTTGGCAATGATATCCAAGAAATCGTCGCCAAGACCAATGTTGCAAAGTTCTTGTGTTTTCTTTTAGGAGTTTTATAATTTCAGGTTTTACGTATCAGTGTTTAAGTTTGATTTTGGGTTAACTTTGTGTATGATATAAGGTAAGGGTCCAATTTCATTCTTTTTCATGTGGACAGGTTCATTGTTAGTGTATTGAAACAAATGGTTTTGTATGTTGATTTTGTATTCTGCAACTGAATTTGTTTTAACTTCGCTGAATTTGCTAACAAATTTTTGGTGAAATCTTTAGAGTTTTCTATGCATATGATCATGTCATCTGCAAATGGAGATAATTTTACTTCTTTTTTGATTTGGGTGATGTTCATATCTTCTTGATTCATTGCTCTAGCTAAGACTTCTCGTACTATGTTGAATAGAAGTGGTGAGAGTGGGCATCTTTGCCGTCTTCCTGATTAGAGGAAAAGCTTTTAGTTTTGCACTATTCGGTGTGATGTTAGCTGTGGTATTTTCATTAATGGCCTTTATTTTGTTGAGGTAATTTTCTTCTATTCTTAGTTTGTTGAATGTTTTAATCATGAAATGGTGTTTGAATTATGACAAATGCTTTATCTGTATCTGTTGACATGATAGTATGATTTTTATCCTTTGTTCTGTTAATGCTATGTATCACCTTTATTGATTTTTAGACGTTGAGCCATTCTCCTATCTGAGGGATAAATCCCACTCCGTCAGAGTGTATTATCCTTTGATTGTGCTGTTTAATTCAGTTTGCTGTCATTTTGTTGAGAATTTTTGCATCTGTGTTCATCAGGAATATTGACTTGTAGTTTTTTTTAATGTAAAGTCTTTGACTTTGGTATCAGGGTAATTCTGGCTTCATAAAGTAGGTTTCCCACTTCAGTGTTTTGGAAGAGTGTGAGAAAGATTGGCATTAATTCTTCTTTAAATCTTTGGTAGAATTATCCAGTGAAAGCATCTGAGCTCTTATTTATTGAGAGATTATGATTACTAATTTCATCTCCTTACTAATGATGGGGCTGTTCAGATTTTCTGTTTATTCATCATTCAGGCTTGGTAGGTTGTATGTTTCAGGGATTTATTCATTTCTTTAGGTTATCCAATTTGTTAGTGTGTAGTTGTTCATAGTAGTCTCTTACTAACCTTTTTATTTCTGCGCTATCAATTGTAATGTAAGCTCTTCTATTTCTGATTTTATTTATTTGAGTCTTCTCTTTTTGTCTTGGTTAATCTAGCTAAAGCTTTGTTAATTTTGTTGACCTTTAAAAAACCAATTCTAAGTTTTATTGATATTTTGTATTCTATATTTCATTTATTTTTCCTCAAATCTTTATTATTTCCTTCCTTCTGCTAACTTACGGCTTAGTTTATTCATTTTCTAGTTCTTACATTGTAAAATTAGGTTATTTGTTTGAGATCTTTCTTACTGTAGACATTTACTGCTGTAAACTTTCCTTTTATTGCTTTTGCTGTTTCCCATAAGCTTTGCTATGTTGTGCTTTAGTTTTTGTTTTTCTCAAAATATTTTCTGATTTTTCTTTTGATTTCTTCTTTGACTCATTGGTTGTTCAAGAGTGTTTTTTAATTTCCACATATTTGAGAACTTTCTGAAATTATTTCTCTTAGCAATGTCTCATTTTATTCTGTTGTCAGAAAAGATACTTGGTATGATTTTAGCCTCCTTAAATTTGTTAAGATTTGTTTCGTGGGCTAGCATGTGAGCTATTCTGGAGACTGTTCTATGTGTGTTTGAGAAGAATGTATAATTTGCTGTTGTTGGGTAGAATGTTCTGTATTTGTTTGATAGGTCCACTTGGGCCATAGTGTTGTTTGAGTTCTCTGTTTCCTTATTGATCTTCTATCTGGATTTTTTATCCATTATTGAAAGTGAGATATTAAAATCTCTCACTATTATGTTGTTCTATATTTATCATCACTTCTGTCAATATTTGCTTCTTATATTTGTGTGCTTTAATGTTGGGTGCAATGTACTTATATCTTCCTGGTGAATTGATGCATTTATCACTATATAATGTCCGTTTTTTTGTCTCTTGTGACCATCTTTGACTTGAAGTTTAATTTCTCTAAGTATGGCTACCTGTGCTGTCTTTTAGTTAACATTGGCATGAAATATCTTTTTCCATCTTCTCACTTTAAACCTATGTGCATTCTTAAATCTAAAGTGAGTCTCTCTCTTGTAGACAGCACATAGTTGGATCTTGTTTTATATTTTATTTATTTATTTACTTAATTTATTTAGATGGAGTCTTGCTCTGTTGCCCAGGCTGGAGTGCAATGGCTCGATCTCGGCTCACTGCAACCTCTGCCTCCCGGGTTCAAGTGATTCTCCTCCCTCAGCCTCCTAAGTAGCTGGAACTACAAGCACGTGCCACCATGCCTGGCTAATTTTTTGTATTTTTAGTAGAGACGGGGTTTCACCATGTTAGCCAGGATGGTCTCGATCTCCTGATCTCTCATGATCTGCCTACCTCAGCCTCCCAAAGTGCTGGGATCACAGACATGAGCCACCGCACCTGGCTGTTTTATTTTATTTTTAAAAATTCATTTCAGCCACTTCATAGCTTTTGATTGGAGAGTTTATTCTACTTATACTTAAAGTAACTATGGATAGGGAAGGACTTACTGTTGCCATTTTGTAATTATTTTCAGTCAGTCTTGTAGCTTTTTTGTCCCTCTTTTCTACTCTTACTGCCCTTCTTTGTGTTTCATTGATTTTTTTGGGTAATGATGAGATTTGACTCCTTCCTCATTTCCTTTTGTGTATCTTCTATAGATATTTTCTTTGTGGTTACCATGAAGCTTACATAAAACAGCCTATACTTATAACAGTCTATTCTAAGCTTATAACAACTTAATTTCAATTGCTCACGAAAACTCTACTCTTTTACTGCCTCTCCCCCACTTTACATTATTGATGTCACAAATTATATTTTTTAATGTTGTGTATTCATTAACTGATTTTTATAGTGATAGTTATTTTTATAAGTTTGTCTTTTAAGTACTATACCAGAATTCAAAGATTTACACATTGTCATTATAGTATTAAAATATTCTATATTTGTTTATATATTTACCTTTACCAGGAATTTTACCTTTCATATGTTTTCATGTTGCTGCCTAGCATTCTTTTATTTCAACATGATGGACTCCCTTTAGCATTTCTTATAAGGCAGGTATAGTGGTGATGAACTCTTTCAGCTTTTGTGCACATGAGAAAGTCTTTATTTCCCCTCTATTTTTGAAAGACAGTTTTGCTAGACAGAGTATTCTTGGCTGCCCGTTGTTTTCTTTTGAATAGATCATCCATCTCCCTTCTGGCCTGCAAGGTTTCTGCTGAGAAATTTGTTGATAGTCTCATTGTGGCCCCCTTTTATATGAAAAGTTGCTTTTCTCTTGCTGCTTTCAAAATTCTGTTTTTGTCTTTGACTTTTGACAAATTGATTATAATATATGTTGTAGCGGACTTCTTTAAATTCATTCTAGTTGGAGTCTTTTGGGCTTCTTGAAGCTGGATGTCTATTTTCTTCCCTAAATTTATTCATTATTTCTACTTTCCATTGGGTTTTAATCTTATTCGTTATTTTAAATATTTGAACTATTAGCTCATTATCTGTGATATAGGTTGCAGTACTATTTATTGACATGTTAATATTTGCCCCAGTGGTGTGAGATAAGAATAATAATCATAAACCAAATTTTCATATGTGCATGGGCTTATTTCTGAACTTTTTTTCTGATTCCACTTGTTGTAAGCTATTCATATACCAAAACCACATTGTCTTAATTACCACACTGTCTTAATTAAGAGGAAATACCTCTAATATTTTGTCATTAAAGGCTTTATGGTATGTTTTATTGTCTGGTAGCACTAGTACCTCCACATAGCTTTATTCTAAAGTGTTTTCCTGGCTATTCTTTTATGTTTGTTTTTTCTGTATAGACTTTAGTGTCAACTTGTTTACCTCCATAAAAAGTTTGTTGGTATTTTTATTGGAATTGCATTAAATTTATACATTAACTTTGGGAGAACTGGCATTTTTATGATGTTAAATCATCCTATCCAAGAACAAGTTTGTCCACTTATTCAAGCTGACTTGTCTGTCTTCTAGAAGTGTTTTCAGGTTTATTCATTTGGGTTTTGCATATTTCTTGCTAAGTTTATTCCAAGTATTGAATCTTCCTTGTTGCAATTGTAAATGAGACTTTTTTCTTCTCCATTATGTTCTTTAACTACTTATTATTTGTGTATATAAAGGGTATTGATATCAATATATATAACATCTATATATCTATATATAACCTATATATATCTGTATATGTTAATTCCATATCCTATAGCTTTACTGAATTCTTTTATTATTGAGTTAGTTTTATCATGGATTCTCTAGGGTTTTCTGGGTATGATGGTTTGTCATTTGCAAATAGAATTGTTTTTCTTTTTTGTCAATTTTTGTGCCTCCAATTAATTTCTCTTGTATAATTCCATTAATAAACTTTTTAGTACAATGTTGAATAGCAGTGGAGTATCTTGCACACACACACACGCACACACACACGTGCACACACATATCATGTATTTTATATTATGAAAGTATCCCTCAATTCTCATTTTTGAGTGTTTTTTTGTCAAGAGTGATTGTGGAATTTTGGTGTTGGTGAAGGCTTTTTCAGCATCTATGGAGATAATCTCTTGATTTTTTTTCTTTAAATATATTGATATGGTATATTATTTGAAGAAATTTCCTAATGTTGATCCCACTTGGCTATGCTTTGTTATTTTCATAATGTGGTGTTGGATTCTGTTTGGTAATATTTTATTTAGTACGTTGGTTTTGACATTCATAAGTATTTTTGGTCAGCAATTTTAACACTACTTATTTAAATTTTCAGTAATATACATATAACATAAAATTTATCCTTTTAACTATTTTTAAGTATATATCCAGTGACATTATCATGAATGAGGTCAGGAGATTGAGACCAGCCTGGCTAACACACGGTGAAACCCCGTCTCTACTAAAAATACAAAAAATTAGCCGGGCGTGGTGGCGGGCGCCTGTAGTTCCAGTTACTCGGGAGGCTGAGGCAGGAGAATGGCGTGAACCCGGGAGGTGGAGCTTGTAGTGAGCCGAGATCTTGCCACTGCACTCCAGCCTGGGCAACAGAGCGAGACTCCGTCTCAAAAAAAAAAAAAAAAAAAGAGAGAGAAAGAAAATCCACATTGTTGTGCAACCATCACCACCATCCATTGCCAGAACTTCTTTCATCTTGTGAAACTGAAATGCTTTATTCATTAGACAATGATACCCCATTTCCCCCTTCCTCCAGCCCCTGGCAACAACCATTTTGCTTTCTGTCTCTCTGAATGAGACTACTCTAAGCACCTCTTTTGAGTGGAATTATGCATTTTTCCTATTGCGACTGGCTTATTCTGCTTAGCATAATGTCTTCAAGGTTCATCCATGTTGTCATCCTTTGTGTTTGGTTGATTTTTTTTTTTTTGTAGTGAAACATTTTAACTCCCGTTTCCTTTCTTTTGTGTATATTCTATAACTATTTTCTTTATGGTTACCATGGGGATTACATTTAACATCCTAAAGTTATAATGCTGTACTTTGAATTTATACCAGCTCAACTTTGGTAACAGACAAAACTCTGCTCTTATACAGCTCTATCCCCACACTCTTTCAGTTATTGATGTCATAAACATTACATCTTTATACACTGTGTGTTCAAAAACATAGACGTATATAAATTTTAATGCATTAGCCTCTTAAATCATGTAGAAAACAAAAAGTGAAGTCACAAACTAAGATTACAATAATATCCAGAACTTTTTTGGTTCCTTTTTATGATTTCAATTTCTTTATTGAAATTTCCATTCGGTTCATACATCATTTTCTTGATTTTGTCTACATCTTCTTTTAGCTCTTTGATAATTTTTAAGACAGTTGTTTTAAAGTCTTTCTTTAGTGAGTCTACCATCTGGTCTTTCTCAGGGATAGTTTCTGTTGATTTACTACATGAGACAGATTCTGCCAATGCTATTGTTGTCTAGGTGGGGAGACAGATATTTGGTGCTTCTTACTCCACCATCTTCCCCGTCTCCCACCCTGTAGGTTTTTTGTTTTTTTTTTGTGGTGGGGGAATACTGTCTTGATCTGGTTTAGATATTGGTGTTAAAACTGGTTTCATTAAAAGCTTTAAGAAGTTTTCTCTCCTTTTCAGTACTCTGGAACAATTTATGGAGCATCGGACTATCAGGTCTTTGGAAGTTTAGGAAAATTTCCTTGTGAAATCATTTGGGGTTGGTATTTTGTTTTTTGTTTCTTTTTTTTGGTGGAGTAACTTTCTTTAATTCCTACTAACTTACTCTAATTCTTCCATGTAAATTGGTGTGCTTAAGATTTGTCTTTTATCTACAGGAGTTAATTTTGTTAATCTCCATTTTCCTAGAAATTTATCCATTTCATCTAGATTTTCACATTTATTGTATAGAGGTCTTGAAAGTAGTCTTTTTTTTAAACTAAAATTTTGTTTATTGTTTGTATATACTCTAGGGTACAAGTAAAATTTTCACAGTAATCTTTTATAATATCAAAAATTCTTTTTAAATAGCGATTTTCTTTTGTCATTTGTTAATTTATATACATGTTTATTATCTTTTTTCTTGATCAAATTAACTCATGATTTGTCTTTCTGGATTTTTTTAAAAATCAAGATTTCAATTTATTTATTATGTTTACTGTTTTTATATTCTCTACTTTATGGATTTCTGCTTTTATCCTTGCTATTTTATGACTTCTTTCCTTGAATTTTCTTTTAGTTTACCTTTTGTGCTTTTCTATTTAATTGGAACTGGGAATTTCATTCATTTTCATTGTTTTATTTTTATTGACAGAAATGTTTACTGTTATGAATTTTCCTAGGATCACTTTATATGTATCCCAATGAGTCTGATATGTAGTGTATTTATTATCATTATTTTCTAAAGAAATTCTGTACTATCTGTTTTTATTGTCCCTTTCACCCAGGATTTATATCATAAATTAAAAAAATTTCCAAGTGTAAAGATCTTTTTAAACAATAATTAAAAAATTTTTAATTTTACTATACTCTGACGAGAGTATCTGTAATAGTTCTACTTTGTGGAAGTTACCGTTATTTTCTTCGTGATCTAATACATGATCAGTTTTTGTGAAGGTGTATTCTCTATTATCAGGGTGTAGAGTATGAGATCCCTCGCTCTCTTCCTGTCACCCCTCCATGAGAACTACATATTTTGATTTTAATGTTTGTCTTCTATAGTCTTACTTACCTTTTCCCCATTTTATCTATCTGGTTCTGAAAGGGATGTCTAAAAGTATCCTGTTATTAGTTTGTCTACCAATGTCTCCTTGCTTCTCCTATAGTTTTTGCTCTATGAAGATGTTGTCTGGTGCATAGATATTCACAGCTGTTATGGCTTCATTGTGAATTATACTGTTCAGAATGCTCTTATTAGTCACATTTAATCTTTTTTTTGGCTAGAATTTTACTTTGTCTGATATCAAAATCTCCATCCCTGTTTTCTTATTGTTTGATATCCTTTGTCTGTCCCTTTACTTTAGCCTTTCTGAATTTTAGTTATATAGCAATAGTTGGGTCTTGCCTTTGAGCCGAATTGAAAACCTTTTTGTTTTAGTAGACAAGTTAAGCCCATTCTCATTTATTGCCATCTTGTGTTTGATCTTCTTTCGTCATTATATTTTATAATTGTTTGTTATATATTTTTCATTTATAAATGTGGTGATACGTTAAGGTGTCTAGGAAGGTTTATGCTTTTGTTCCTGTCATTACCTTTGAAGTTATACCTTTCTAAAATGCCTTCAGGCCCATATTTTTAAATTTAAGCATTCATTAATCAGTTTTTCAGTTTTTAATAGCATTCTTTAACTTCTACCTGTGGCTATCCAACAATCAATGAGGTTATTCTAACTTTTCTTGTTCCCTCCCCTCTCCTCCCATTGTCGAGTTCTATTATTTCTACTGTCACAGCATATAACATTTGCACATTAGTCTTCCATTCTTCGTTTTAGTTTTAGATCTATGACTATATAAATAAAAATGCTCACTTTAGTTGTTTTGTTAACATTTCCTAGTCATCTCTTAGTTGGAGGAAATGTTCTCTAGTAGATTTCTTTTTTTTTTTTTTTTTTTTTTTGAGACAGAGTCTCGCTCTGTGGCTCAGGCTGGAGTGCAGAGGCGCGATCTCGGCTCACTGCAAGCTCCGCCTCCCAGGTTCACGCCATTCTCCTGCCTCAGCCTCCCGAGTAGCTGGGACTACAGGCGCCCGCCACCACGCCTGGCTAATTTTTCGTATTTTTTTTTTTGTAGAGACGGGGTTTCACCGTGTTAGCCGGGATGGTCTCCATCACCTGACCTCGTGATCCGCCTGCCTCGGCCTCCCAAAGTTCTGGGATTCCAGGCGTGAGCCACCGCGCCTGGGTCTCTAGTAGATATCTTAAGAAGGGCTTATGTGTACAGAATTCCATTAATTCCTATGTATTTAAAACTGTTTTTCTATAGCATTGATGCTAGAAGGGCACCTTGGCTGAATACAGAATTCTTGATTCACATTTTCTTTCACTAAATTTCTGAAAAATGCTGCTCCATTGTTGCCTTGCTTTGTATATTGCTTTTGAAAATTCTGATACCAATATAATTCTTTTGTCCTTGTAAATTATTTGATCTTTTTGCCTGAAGGCCTGGAAAATTTTTTCTTTATGTTTGAAGTCTAATAGTGTACTGTAATATGTCTCAGAGTTGACTGTTTTGGGTTAATTTTTCCGGACATCTGGCACATGACTCCCATACATAGATTTGGTTCTTTTTTGATTTCCAGAATGTTTTCATGAGTTATATTCTTTAAGTGTTAGTTCTGTTCCATTGTTTTGTTTTCTCTTTTAAGAGTCCATTTTTTCTCCTGTCTTACATTTTCATTACTGTCTCTTTGACCTTTATACTTTCTTCATTAACTCATTTTCATTCTCTTGATTGGTTTTTTTTTGCTTTTCTCTGATGCTCTTTATTAAATTCTTATTTTGATGTCATCTTCCTTGGGTACTTATAATTTAGTCTTTATTTCAGAGTTGACTTTGCACTTTTATTACCCACCCCCACCAAGTTCACTGAGTTCTATTTTTATTTATTCTTGTCTTTGTTCATTTCTCTTCTTAGTTTTTGAAATTCTGATTCAAGGTGGTTTTCATTTGTGCAGATGTTTGAGTATATTTAATTCAGTTTGAGTATTGTCTCATAGTTTTCTTCTATGTCATAACATTTTGTTTTTTGTTTTTTCCTTTTTGTGGAATTTTCATTAGATGAGGAGTGTTGGTTCTCATTTTCTGATCTTTTGAAGAAGCTTTTATGGACTTGCTTAATCTGTTCATTTTGTGAATTTTGGGTTTTACAAGATTTCTGGTTCAGTGACCCTCCTTTCTATTAGTATAGAAAAGTCATTTCCTTAGTGGTGTGTGTGTGTGTGTGTGTGTGTGTGTGTGTATGTGTGTACATGTGGATCCTGAAGGATTGTGTGGCCTCTGATTTTTCAGGTTTTTCTGGACCCTGACTTTCCCGTTTGCTTTATTTTTATGTCTCCAGTCACTTTCCAAGCACCTTTCCATTTCTTTTTGCTCCCAGTCCCCTTGAAACTATGCTTTTCAGGTTGTCACCAAATATTGCGTGTGTTTTTAGCACCTGCTCTGGTCTGTTGGGATACTTCAAAATATTTTTGCCCTTAGGATAGGCTTTTCTTTCTGGTGGTAGTGGTGGTTATAGAGAAATTTTAGGCTTGCTGCCCACTCTCTTCTCTCTTCTTTTCAGTTCTCCTTGGATTGTCCTTGCTCATGACAAAGGCTAACAGTTAGAGGATGAGGGATTTTTGCTGGGTGGGATTTGGTGTTTTTTCTCTTTTACTTTATTTACGGCTATTTTAAAGTTTGGATGTTTTTGGCTGGGTGCAGTGGCTCACGCCTGTAATCCCAGCACTTTGGGAGGTCAAGGCAGATCACGAGGTCAGGAGTTCGAGACCAGCCTGGCCAACATGGTGAAACTCTGTCTCCACTAAAAATACAAAAGTTAGCCAGGTGTGGTGGCGCATGCCTGTAATCCTAGCTACTTGGGAGGCTGAGGCAGGAGAATCGCCTGAACCCGGGGAGGCGGAGGTTGCAGTGAGCCAAGATCGCGCCATTGCGCTCTGGCCTTGGTGACAAGAGTGACACTTCTCTTGGAAAAAAAATAAAAATAAAAATAAAAATAAATAAAATTTGGGTATTTTCTTGTTTTCTACTTATGCTGAAAGCATGCTTTTTTCATAGTAATTTAATTTGTTCTTATTGTTCTTCACTGTGTTCAGAGGATATATATCTCCCTACATATTTATTTGCCTTGTAGTTTATTTTATTCTCATGACCGTTGGGGCTGGCTCCTTGACTTGACCATATATATATATATATATATATATATATATATATATTTTTTTTTTTTTTTTTTTTTTTTTTTTTTTTTTGACGGAGTCTCGGAATCTCGGCTCACTGCAAGCTCTGCCTCCCGAGTTCACGCCAGTCTCCTGCCTCAGCCTCCCGAGTAGCTGGGACTACAGGTGCCCGCCACCATGCCTGGCTAATTTTTTGTATTTTTAGTAGAGTTGGGGTTTCACCATGTTAGCCAGGATGGTCTCGATCTCCTGACCTTGTGATCCGCCCGCCTCGGCCTTCCAAAGTGCTGAGATTACAGGTATGAGCCACTGTGCCCGGCCAACTTGACAATATTAATAGCTGAAGTATTAGGGCCCACTTTGGCTACCTGGACGTCTTTTTGAACATTTGTGTTTTGCTAACAATTCACTTTAGTATCTGATATCATTACATTTTGACAATCAGCCAAAAGTTTTAATATAATATTCAATCACAAATATTTGTATTGTCACTTGGAAAGATAATGAGTAAGAAGATGTTGAAGAAAAGGAGAGAGATGAGATAAAATGATTTCAGGAGATATTTATGAGTGATATACTTTACTCTGTGATAATATTTTATAACTGTGCAGTAACATTTTGTTATATAACTCTAATGTATTAATTTTTAATTGGTTCGGCCTAACTTTCTCTATGTCCTGAACATTGGAATGTGTTAATATATATGGCTCATTAAAACTAATCACTAAACTGGAGTATAATGTGATGGTTTGTTGGGAGGTAATTTGGTATTCTGGAGATGGAAGGACCTCAAGTTTTACTATACCTACAATACAGCAATTTACAAACTATTGAATTTATTTTGTGTCTTATTCATAAAGATTTGGAGATCTGTTTGTTAAACATGCACATGTGAGTCATGCACTATTAGGTAGGCATTTCATCTATATTGCAACTAATTCTCACAAGAATACTAAAAGGTATCGATTATAGGCCTATTATGCAGAGGAGATAGGAGAGGATCAGTAAAGTTAAGTAACTGATCCAAGGTCACAGTGCAAGCAAGTGAAACAGAAACCAACCCCTAGTTTCTCTGGCTGTAAAGTACCCATTACACAGTCACAGTTCATCTTAGGGTGGGCAGAGCCATTCTCACTAACTTGCCTTGTGTGAGCTAAGACCATTTCTTTGCCTTGTGATTTATTCCATCCTTATGGCAGTTGGGCTGACTCCTTGACGTGACAATATCAACAGCTGCGTGTTGGGGATCACTTGCAGCATGGATGTTAGTAAGCCAGTAGTATTCAGTACTGTCACTTGGAAATGACTGACTGCTCAAGGACATAGGGGATTTTTAGTAGAACTTCTGGGGAGGCTGCTTAGCTCTGATGGTGCTTCCAGACCCATCATTTGTCAGTGGTTGTGCTGCTTGACAGTAACCCCCATAGGGAGAGGTTGGCTCAGGCTTGGCTATGAGTGAGGGATGTTAGTGGGGCCTCCCTGCTCCACCGAATCTGTGTCTCAGCTCTTGGGCATGTATTCACCTGCCATTGTAGATGTGGTCGTGGTTTGTCTGGAAAGCTTATCTCCAACTTTACTTAGGTCCAAGATTAGCTTTCAAATCATTTATGGTGGTGGTGCCTTCAATGTGAGGATTTTTACCAAATCATCTTATGTAGGTGCAAAATGATCAGTATTCACCAATAATGTTTTAATAGGAATCTTGAGAATTTGCCAATTATGTGAATGACTCAGGGTCAAATGAGGGAGCATTGAGACTCAACCATTTTTTTTTTTTTTTTTTTTTTGGCTCTGGAAATATTTCTCCTGTGCGATCTCTTAAGGGATTAAGTCAACATGGTCACTTGTACCATTACCTTAGTCACTTGGCAGCTGAAAGGACACGTGTCTTTAGGTGAATTTTCTTTACAATGAGATCATGAGCTCATAGCTTGCTTAGCTTTTCTTAATTTCCACGAGTCATAACACCCCTGGAACTTAACTTTGTTTTCTGGGCCAAGGCATCCCTGTAGAATGGATTATTCACACTGTACATTTAAATTTTTTAGAAGTGTGGTTCTATAATTTGCCACATTTTATGTAACAGGAAAATATTTAATGGCCAAGTGTTACTTACCTAAACCTCTCTACCTCTCAGAGCCCCAGTTTCCTAATCTGTAAAAAAAGGAGGAAATTGTTCTATATGACCTCAAAGGGCCTGTTCCATTCTCTACTGTATTTATCTGTGTGCAACTTGGTCACACCTGCCTGTCTGCATGTAGTAGGCATGGGGGTTTGGATAACGTCGCATCCATCCTCTGCTTCTCTCTGTCCAGGCGTGTGCACAGGCAGCTCCACTCGGCACATCGTGACCTTTGATGGGCAGAATTTCAAGCTGACTGGCAGCTGTTCTTATGTCCTATTTCAAAACAAGGAGCAGGACCTGGAGGTGATTCTCCATAATGGTGCCTGCAGCCCTGGAGCAAGGCAGGGCTGCATGAAATCCATCGAGGTGAAGCACAGTGCCCTCTCCGTCGAGCTGCACAGTGACATGGAGGTGAGAAGTACTTTCTGTGGATCCGTGGTAAGGCAATAGAATGTCAGGAAAACCACCTGGACCTGGTGGCAGTTGCTTTTAGTTGATGCTCTTGTTAGGAGCTCTGCCTTCTGCTTAAGTGGAGGAGAGGAGTACCACTTTCTTAGAGGGGTTTATTGCCATCCCCTTGTCTTGGCGTGATTTCATGTTGTTCCGGGCTCAGATTTGCAAGATGGAATCACTTTTAGATAGCATAAAATTGTGAATTTAGTGCCAGTTTCTGGCACTGGTGGAGAATTGGGATTGGCATCAGGATTGTTCACTCGGAAGGTATTATGAGTCCAATGCCTAAACCCTGTAAGCTTTCCAAAGGGAAACATTTATGGCCTAAATTAGGTCTTTTGAAAATATTTAAGGCCTACATAAAACGTCAGGCTCCAAAATTTGAAAAGAAAACTGCAAAACTGATATATATATATATAAATGATTGATTAAATGCTTACAAAAGGTTACACTATGCCAACTTCTTTACTTGTTCGTGTAGAAATCATAAATATTTCATTGTGTGAAAACAACTTGTAAGCTAGATTTTCTCACTTCGCAAGAATTCCTGAATTTGAACAATAATTGCAGAAAAATCTTAGTCATATATCAAGTGAGTAACTCATAGCCAAAAATTAAAAAATCAAAATGATAAAAAATCCTTCCAAAAATTTTACAGCAAAATTATATTCATTGTGGAATGTGAGTACATTTTAATGTGTTTGATATGATATATGGTGGGGCTGCCCAAGAAAGAGCGTCTAGTGGCACACATACACACAAAGAAGACTTAAAGTGGTCCCATTAAAACACCAGTGTCCAACCTTTTGGCTTCCCTGGGCCACACTGGAAGAGGAATTGTCTTGGGCCACACATACAATGCATTAACACTAACGATAGCTGATGAGCTAAAAAAAAGGTCTGGGCATAATTTTCTGATATCCACCACCACAGAGAAGCAAAAATGTCCTTGCATTCAAAGGGTTGGACACAGCTGCTAGATGCTCTTGGAGACACTGCTCTGATGAGTTGGCAATAAGGCGACTTTCCCAGCCTGTCTTAAAGGCATTGCCCTTCCCTGTTGAGTCACATAGACTCAAGGTTCCTTTTAATCTCCAGGCTTTTAGGTTCTTGGTGCATGGCCACCCGTACAGTATTACAACAGCCTGTTTTCTGGTCAAGCTCTGTAAAGTCAAGCTCTGTTTTCTAGTCAAGCTCTTCTTTATCTTAGAAGAGCTGCCGACAAATATCAAGGTTTGTGGCTGATGTTGCAGTTGAGTGTGATGAATGTGCAGGAACTCTCGGTAACTTCCCTAAAAACCTAGGATTCCTCATTGCTAGGACTACGGATGAGCTCTTTCTTCTTTGTGCAGGTGACGGTGAATGGGAGACTGGTCTCTGTTCCTTACGTGGGTGGGAACATGGAAGTCAACGTTTATGGTGCCATCATGCATGAGGTCAGATTCAATCACCTTGGTCACATCTTCACATTCACTCCACAAAACAATGAGTTCCAACTGCAGCTCAGCCCCAAGACTTTTGCTTCAAAGACGTATGGTCTGTGTGGTAAGAACATTTTCTCAACTCCTCTTCTCCCCCTGCTATACATTTATAAACCTTACTTGCTCTACTCTGAGGCTCTTGGATGCTTATATTTCAGGGTCTAGTAGCGAGGGTCAGATTCTGGTGAGGATCAAGAATGGCCTGTCTCTGGCATCAATGTTTTTGTACCCAGGGCCACTCAGTTTATCTTTTTTTTGTTTGTTTGTTTCTCTAGGGATCTGTGATGAGAACGGAGCCAATGACTTCATGCTGAGGGATGGCACAGTCACCACAGACTGGAAAACACTTGTTCAGGAATGGACTGTGCAGCGGCCAGGGCAGACGTGCCAGCCCATCCTGGAGGAGCAGTGTCTTGTCCCCGACAGCTCCCACTGCCAGGTCCTCCTCTTACCACTGTTTGCTGAATGCCACAAGGTCCTGGCTCCAGCCACATTCTATGCCATCTGCCAGCAGGACAGTTGCCACCAGGAGCAAGTGTGTGAGGTGATCGCCTCTTATGCCCACCTCTGTCGGACCAACGGGGTCTGCGTTGACTGGAGGACACCTGATTTCTGTGGTGAGTCTCCAAGTTACCTCTGAAAATCCTGGAGACCAGCTAACTGGGCTTGCTCAGCCTCTCTGTGCCCCAGATTCTTTATCTGGCTAATAAGGATGAAAATCCCTGTATTTCGTATGACCTGGGATTCCAGTTAGGATCAAATAAGATGGAAGATATATATATACATATACATATATGTATATGTGTGTGTGTGTATATATATATATATACACACACACACACACATATATATGTATATATATACACACATACACTCTGCACGTAGAATTTTTATGTAAATTAATGCATGGTCCTTTCCATTAGTATTTCTATAGTTCAGACAAATGCGATTTTAATGTGTTAGACACATATAGGCATCTGTAAAGGGCTGTGTAACCAGTCACATTGAATTTGAAATTCCACCAAGCTTTAGCACACACTTACAGTGTAGTCCATGCCTGAGCAGGATTTTGAAGTGCAAGTAGAATCATTGGTTGCCAAGAGTCTTCTCAGTTATAAACACTGCAGGATTGCTAGTGCAGACAGCCCCTCCCCAAGGTCAGCTTCCCTACCTGGACTTGGCATTTATTTAAAGTACAGGGGAAACTGAAATGAATCAGATATGGCTCCTGTCCCTCAGGGGTGCTGGAGTGAAAAGAATACTGAACTTGAAACCCTCAGTCATCAAATATAATCCTCGACTATTTTTTTGAGGGAAATCAATATGTACATGCCTGTTAGAGCCTCAGAGTTTATCATCATGGAACTGTCAGCAGCTCTGAGCTGGGTCTGGAGGACTTGGGCATCCTAGTCCCAGCTCAGCTGGTGGATGGACTGTTCTCTTAGTCTTTCTGGACCTCAGTTTCTGCATCCTAGAATGAGATAGTTGGCCTAGATAACCTGTAGGTTCCTTAGGGCTCTGATTTTCTGAGGCCATGTGGATGATACTGCCTCCTCCCAATCAGCCTGCAAATCAAGGGGCAAATGTTAGTTTCTAAGTTACTGGAAGCACTTTCTCTGCATACTGATTTCTTTGTGTACCTCCTGGTTATTTACTGTGCACACAGAGGGAAATCTTTGGTGCTCCAAATCCTTGGAAACTTCGTCCATCACCTGCCTGCCTTGGTGCCTTGAGGATGTGAGGAAGTTGTTGAGCGAATCAGAACGAGGGAAATGAATCACCTTGTAGCTTCTCTCCCAAGGCAGTTCTAAGCTGTGTATTCCTAATTTAAAGATGCTTTTCAAGCATAAAAGACATATGTATTCAAAAAAGGACAACAAAACCTACTAAGGACACACAGGTTCACAACATTTGTTAGGACTAGATTTGGCTGCTAGTAGCAGAGAATTAAAATTTTCTGTCATACAACTGATCGGAGGCGGTGGCTCCAGCTGATTCTGGGCCTCAAACTGGATTCTAGTTCCTTGCTCTGCCCTCAGTTGGGTGTGGTCTTTTTCTTCATGGTCTAAGATGGAGTTCTAGCCATCACATTCATGCTCCAAGGAGGAAGCTGAGGGAAGGAGGGAAGAGGGACAAGGAGCATGCATAGCTGTCTTTTAAAATGGACTCCTGGAAGCTGCCATGGGATACTATACTTTCTTTTACAGTTCATTGGGCAGAACTAGTCATGTGACTACACTTAGCTGCAAGAAAGGTTGGGAAATATAGTCCTCATTCTGGTGGTCATATGCCCAGCCTAAAGTTCTGTTTCTATGGAAGGTGGGGAGGATGAAGATTGGTGGAAAATAGCCGTCTCTGCCCTGGCAAGTTTGTCTGATGATTAACCATGTTGAATCAGCTGTGCCCATTTCACTCTGGCTGGTGTGGGCCTTTGCAAGTGACCTCCTTCTCTGTCTACAGCTATGTCATGCCCACCATCTCTGGTCTACAACCACTGTGAGCATGGCTGTCCCCGGCACTGTGATGGCAACGTGAGCTCCTGTGGGGACCATCCCTCCGAAGGCTGTTTCTGCCCTCCAGATAAAGTCATGTTGGAAGGCAGCTGTGTCCCTGAAGAGGCCTGCACTCAGTGCATTGGTGAGGATGGAGTCCAGCACCAGGTAGGAGCCTGGGCCTTTCACTTCCCATGGGGCTGCTTCCCTCTTGGGTCAAAAGGGAGATATGTTCACCAGTGATTGGCCTCTTCCAACTGTGGCAGCAGGGTTGACTCTTACGGGGATCATTAGGGATAGGGAGGCAGTATTGTGTAATGGCCTTGCATTCAGATAGCTCTTGGTTCAAATCCTGCGTCTGTCATGTATTATCTGTGGGATTAAACATCAAAGTGTTGTTACCACATTATTATTATGATTGTTATTACTATTGTCTTTATGATTATAGTCATTTAAGCAGAATGATACAGAAATCCAGGAGGGAAAGGGAAAAGAATATTTTGTGTCATAATGTCTGCCATTGTTAAGAGAGATTATGTACCTTGATTGTGCTAAACCCAATATATTCATTATCTTAGTGTTTTTCAAAGGTGTATTTTGCAGGGTATTAACAGTTACTTGTGGTCAAGTGAGTTTAAAGAACACCAGCTAACCATAGTTAAACAGGTTTCTTTATTGCAGAACTCTTTAGTCTTTTTAATATACTACTGTACCTTGCAGATATTTAAGAGAGTTTTTGTTTCTCAAACTTATTTGATCATGGAGCGTGTGTGTGCATGCGTGTGTGTGTGTGTGTGTGTGTGTGTGTGTGTGTGTGTGAGAATCCCTTGGGACTGGGATTCCACAGAATACATTATTGTATCCTGTGTCACTCATAAATACAAAAATCCTATGAAGAAACTAAGACCTAAAGAGCTCAGTAAGTTACCCATGGAAACAATTTATAAGTAATGGAGTTGATCTCAGAATTTGAAGCTCTATGTGACTCCAAAGATCTGGCTCTTTCCACTATATGAAATGGCCCTTTTGCTGCATCTTTTTTGGGCTGATTTGCTTGGGAGTCACTGAGTCATCAAAATTTTTTTTTTTTTTTTTTTTTTTTTTTTTTTTTTTTTTTTAGCTCTATGGGAGTTATTGAGTGTATTTTGAAAGCATATTTACCAGACTCCTCCGTCTTGGCCTAAAATGGCTGTCATCTCTCTTCAAAGTTGACCCCGTGTATATTTGTAGGATCTGGGGCAGTGTGTGTCTGTGCACATGTGAACGTGTACATGTGAATGTGTGCAGTGGCCCTGTCCTTCATGCTTGACAGTGATACTACAGACCGTGGTAGAGATAGAAGCATATTTGGCTTCTAGGAAAGGAGAATGTGTTTTGTGATCATGGACTGCACTCAAGACCTAATGTCTTCATCGCCAAGGAGGACCATTCTTGCTAAGTGGACCAAGTAGAGTGACTTACCACTATGTTCAACCACGAATAGGAGAACTCATGGTAAATGTAGCTAACCAGCCTGCAGAATAGTGAAAACAACATTTCAGTAACTACACTATTCTGTCCCTGATGTTATAAGCCAGGATAGGGACCATTTTATATGATTCTCCCCAAAGCTCTATAGGGTCATAATCGCACATCCTATTGAATGGATGAGACTGAGGCTCAATGGCATGAGGTGATAAAGCTGGGATTTATATTCATAACATCAGTCATCCTATAGTGTCCTAGCCCTGCCATTGACCTCACTGGAACTGTGAGCTGAACTCTGGGCTAACTCATGTTCATTGGAGCATGGGTATCCATTAGGGCTATTACTTATAGTCACTTATAGTGATCTCATCTGCTCTAGTTTAGTTGTTGGGCTTTGTCCTAGTGGATCCAATTTGTCCTCACCGTGGAATAGATGAGCTAAAGTCCTACTCTACTGCCATATTTCAACTTGCCAAGTTAAGTAATTGCCTGTTCTGTGATATTCCCTAAATGAGTTGACAAAACCTTATATTCCTCTCCTTGATTTGTATAGCTCCTGAGCTCCTGCAGGGCTTGAATGATGTGGACCAATTTACATATGGGGCTAGAAACCTGTGGTAATTTCAGACCGGTTTTACTAGTAGTGGCAAAATGCTTGCTCTCAGAAGGAGACAGAAATGATCTTTTCCTTGGCGTTCTGTGATGAGAAGTGAGCTCAAGTTTGCAGCATTTCTGGCTCATGAGTGTCAAATGTCTGCAAGGTCCTGAGAGCAGGAAGACTGTGAACTTTATCTTAGTGTCTCCAAACCCCTATCCTTTGCTTCTCCTTTCTGGTGCTATTTTCCCCTTTCACTGCCCGCCTCATCTTCAGTCCAACACATTAGAATATGCATTCAAGTTGTATAAAGTTTCCATCCAAATATTTTGGATGTAGAAACCGTCTTATAAATATATTTTAAAATCAGGTAAAATAAAATTAGTTAATTGAAAACTTTGAAAACAACACAGCCACTTTTAGTGATTTCAGAAAATACAGTTTAAATGAATGAAAACAAACATCATATCCAGCCACGTGCATTTTCAACTTTGACTTTCAAAGCAGAGAAAGAATAAAAACCTAATGTGAAGAACATTTCCATTAAAGAAACTTTTTTTTTTAAACTGAAAAATAAAGCCCAGAAAACCTTTTATTAAGGGAAATAAACTAGGGTATAAAACTATTGTAGTAATTTCAGAAGAGCAAAATATTCACTAGTTTTCATAGCTCTTGTTTATTTTACAAAACAGAGTCTAAAGAGGTGAGTCTTTGGAGTAGGATCAGAAGGGACCAAGAGCCTGCACAGGCTGTCCCTGGCTCAGTGGAGCTGCTGGTGGTGGTGGGTGCTGTAGTGACAGGCACAAGTTTAGCAGGAACCTTGTCCATGGCCCAGAAGCTCTGGCCCGTAGCCTCCTTCCCTCTCCCTTAGTCTCTGCTGTCCCTAGCTGGGCTCAGTGTTTGCATTTCATTTGCATCCCCCATCACATTGGCTGGTGGTGGGTGGTGCATGATGAATTGCTTGTGTCCTTCTTTGACCTTGGGCCTTGAAAATGTCAGTTTTCCCACCTTATTCTCTGCAGGCCGATCTTTTGTCACCTTCATTCAGACTTTAACTCCTGCTGGCTCTCATACCGGTTCTGGCCTGGTGATAGTCACGCCTGGGCCCTGGAACCTGGCGATTGCGACTGCCTGCCTGCAGTTGGCCTGGGCTTGTGCAGCAGTGCCATCTGCCGGCCGCGTTGCTGCATAGCCTGGCCAGGCCTGGAGAGCCACTACGGTTGCTTTTAGAAGCTTGGCCTTAGCTTGTTTTTTAAATTTTTAATTTTTATTCTTTTCCCTGCCTTGGGCAGGCCTTAAGCTTCCTGGGAAATGAAAATCCCCAGCGGAGGAGGTTGGACACCTGCTTTTGGTCATCTGTTGTGTGTTACCCATTCTCAGGATAGTTGGAAAATTGTGTGATTTATTCTTGAGTTTAAATATCTGAGGTCTGCGTTTAAAAGGAGAGAAAAAAGAACACTGAAACATATACAGAACATGACTCTCTCCTTCCGCATCCCCTCATGTCTGCCAATTCGACCCCCTGCCCCAGCCCTCCGAGGCCAGCGCCCTGGGCCCCTCCCTCCACCTTCCCAGCTGGAGTGGCAGCCGCTGTGTCTTTTCTGGTTTTTATTCCTAGTCCTTCCCTTTTCCGTCCTGCATGCTGTCGCCAGGGTTGTCTTTATTTAGCTCTTCTCTGTGAGGCAGGGCCTCCTCCATTGTCTTCAGCCACCTGCCTCACCTGTGATGCCGGGCACTGCGGGAGTGTTCCTTCGTCTGTGCCTTTGTTAGCTGTTTCCCACCTGGAATTCCTCCTCCTTTCCCCTTTGCCCAAGTCTTCCTGTGCTTCATAGGTGCACCCTTGTGAGACTCTCTGGAGTGCCCAATCTTAGTGGACTCTCCTTTTGCACTCTTACTGCTCTTTTATTTTTTATTTTTACAAATAGCTTTATTGAGATATAATTTACATGCCACAAACAGCACATATTTAAAGTGTACAATTTGATAGGTTTTGACATATGTACACACCTATAAAACCATTGACATAACCAAGATAATGAATTTCCATCCCCCAAAGGTTAGCTTATGCCCTTTTAAATATATCCCTCAACCCTAGACAACTACTGGTCTGCTTTCTGTCACTATAGATTCGTTTACATTTTCTGGAATTTCACATAAATGGAATCATGCCTACGCACTTCTTTTCTGCCTGGCTTCCTTCACCCAGCATAACGCTTTTGGGATTCATCCATGATGCTGTCTGTTTTGATAGTTTTCTCCTTCTCATTGCTAGGTGGTATTCCACGGTGTGTGTGTATCACAATTTATTTTTCTCATTCAGATTTTCACGAATGAGTCTTATTTCCTCAACCTGACTGTCAGCCATTCGAGGGCTAGGATGGTGTGTTCAGACCTGCCCACGATGGGCACTGTGTCTGTTGATGAGAAGCAGTTGTGCTGCAAGAGGCTAGGCCTGTGGTGTCTGGGGCCAGAATGCTAAGTTCGAAGCCTGGATGTGCCACTTGGTCAAATTTCTTAACTTCTTGGTGTCTCAGTTTCATTATTTGTAAATATAGATACTACTACTTATCTGGTAGTGTTATTATTAGGAAAATAAAGTACATAAATGTAAAACTCTTAGAAAAATATCTTGAACATATTTATTATTAGTTACCTGTGGGAGGCAGCAGAGCATGGTGGTTTAAAACCATGGATTTGGGCCGGGCATAGTGGCTCACACCTGTAATCCCAGCACTTTGGGAGGCTGAGGCAGGTGGATCACTTGAGGTCAGGAATTCGAGACCCAGCCTGGCCAACATGGTGAAATCCTGTCTCTACTAAAATACAAAAATTAGCTGGGTATGGTGGCACATGCCTATAGTCCCAACTATTTGGGAGGCTGAGGCAGGAGAATCACTTAAACTCGGGAGGCAGAGGTTGCAATGAGCCGAGATCATGCCACTGCACTGCAGTCTAGGCGAGAGAGTGCGACTCTGTCTCAAAACAAACAAACAAACAAACAAACAAAAACCAAAACATAAAATAACAAAGAAACAAACCATGGATTTGGATTCAAATCCTCACTCTGTCGCTGTGCCTGTGGGAACCTAGCAGGTGCCTTAGCTTTCTCATTGGAAAAGTGAGGGCAGTGGTAAAACATATCCTCACCGTAGGACTGCAGTGAGGATTACATGAGTGATTTAAATAAAGTCCTCAACACAGTGGCACACAGCAGGTGGCATCTGAATGTTAGCTGCTATCATTTATTGAGTGAGTGAAAGGTGTCAAGGGCAGGACCAGAGGGGTTAATCCTGAAGGAGGGCAGGGCACTTTGGGGGAAGGGGGCCTTACTTGTGGGTATTTGATCTTCCTTCTTAGCTGACTGATTGCTGACTGTGGAAGTAATAAGTAAGACCTTCTTGACCTGGGAACTTCTTAGAGGCCTTTGAGCTACTGGATAAGAATGTGTTTCTTCAGGGGCAATTTCACTTGAATTTAATTTTAAGTTTAAATTTAACTTTATGGCTGAATCCAGAGGGAGACTGAGTCCTGGCTCTGCTTCTTATTAGTGGAGCTCTTTGCTGTGTACCCTGTGCTAATCACAGTTTCTCACTCCTTACAACAGTCCTGCAAGGCAGGCTTGAGTACGCTCATTTTACAGGTGAGGAAACTGAGGCACAGCGGAATGCAGCCTTTGTTAGAGTTCAGGAGTTCCTGACTTCAAAGCCTTGTGCTGTGGGGCTGTGTGTACCTTCGAGAAGGCTGCTCTCTGCCCTGGGCCGTCTCCCATTTGAAAAATCAGAGAACTGCACTCAGGCCTCTAAAGTCACTGCGGGCATCAAGAATGTGATGCTTTCAAGAGTTTTGCTGTCCTCCCCACCGCTCTTCCTACCCTATTGTCTGAAGTCAATTTCAGAAATAAATGGATTTTTTTCCCCAAGCAACAACCCAATTTCTCCTTTGGCTTGAGAAATGACTAGCAGTGCGATCCAAGAACTCTCATTTTTCTTTCTTTGCTTGGTTTTAGCACTGCCAACAGAGAAGGCTGTAGTGAAAATTTCCGCATGTTAGTTTACAAAGCAATGTGGCAACCACCTTTCTGAAAGCCATTAGAACCTCACAACCTCCTTTCAGCCTGCTTTTGTTTGCCTGTGAGGCTCTGTCAGAGGGCTGGGTCAGGGACTGGCCCTTGCCGGAGGCAGGGAGAGCTGACCTCTGTGAATTCTGGGCTTCGTACCTAGAATGTCCTGTGCCCTTTCTGAACCTCGCTTTGCCCTCAGTTCCTGGAAGCCTGGGTCCCGGACCACCAGCCCTGTCAGATCTGCACATGCCTCAGCGGGCGGAAGGTCAACTGCACAACGCAGCCCTGCCCCACGGCCAAAGGTGAGAGTCCTCCCCTCCCTGGTGCCTTCATGGAGGAACAAGGGCCCCTGCAAGGCCCCCCAGCCACCCATCTTCACCTCTGGCAGAGCAGACTCAAACACTGGCACCTAGAGTCCTAGAGTGGGTGGGCTTCCTTGCCCAGCCTGCATTTCCCATCACTGGGCCTGGGAGCCCCATTCTGCACCTGGGGTCGACATTCTCAGATTAACCCTCGCCTCTGGTCCCCAGCAACGGTCAGACTTAAGAGTCCCCTGGAGGGTAAATGTGAGGGTGTCAACAGGAACATGGGGACACTCATCTGTCAGAGGTCCCGTGGCCTGGATCCTTGTGGGATGACCGTACAGAACTCCTACTAGTTTTCAGTGAGCAAGAACATTTCAAATCCCTCTGAGGCTGTCCCACCACTAATTTCTCTGACTTTTGTGGCCGTTCCTCTCCTCTAGCTCCCACGTGTGGCCTGTGTGAAGTAGCCCGCCTCCGCCAGAATGCAGACCAGTGCTGCCCCGAGTATGAGTGTGGTATGTGTCCCACCAGGGGGATGTCTCCAGGGCCCAACCCTAGCCCCAGGGGGCACCACGTTGAAGGTGCTGAAAGGTGTCTCTGTTCTCAGGCACAGGGTGTGTGAAAGGAGGTGGGTAAGGACCGACTGGATACTCCAAAAAAGTGGAAAGGGTTACCTCTGGAGAATAGGATTTGCTTCCTAGAAGAATCTACTGTAAATTACTAAACACAGGTTTGACAGGATTAATACAAGAATGGGGTGATTACTGGGGACTATGGAGATATACTGAAGAAAAGGTCATGCCAAAGCAACCCATTTTCATTTTCAATAAGATTTTGAGGCTGCTAGATATAGAGAAGACCACACACTGGGCACCTTGAGTTCAGCAGGTTGTTTGCTAGAGGTTTTCATGCTAGCCTTGCAGGCTGCTCTGTGAATAGTGGGCTGAATAATGGTATAAGTCCGTGAATTCAGAGCTGATGGAATTACGGTTAGCATGGCAGGAAATCATTAGTGCCTTTGTCCCAGTCCTGTCCAGTGTGTTTATTGCTTGTACAGATGAAGACCTAAAGCACAGGCTTGTACAATTTGCAGTGATGCAGATATTGAAGGGAGAGCAGATAGATCAGGGGACAGTCCAAGGAACTAAAAGAAAATCATATAATCGGAGAAACTTATTTGTACTCATGAAATTGATCAGAAATAAATAGAAGTCCTGTAGGGGAGGGAGATGTGGCTTGAGAACAATTAATGTAAAGGAGGTCTTAGAATGTTAGCAGTAGAGAGAACTAGAGGGATCATTTACTTCAAGCCCCTCATTTTATAGACATTACTAGTCTCCTACAATGTGCCGGGCACTTTGCCCTTATTATTTTGTGAACTCCTCAGACTGATCCTATAAGGTAGAGTTCCCACCTTCCAGAAGAAGAAACAGGTCTAGAGGATCCAAGTTGACTTGGCTGAGATGTGAAAGCCCTAGTGGATGATAAGAATAATCAGTATGTGACTTGGATTGATCTATCTGTCTGTCTGTCTGTCTGTCTATCTATCTATCTATCTATCTATCTATCTATCTATCTATCTATCCATCTATCCATCCATCCTATGTATTTATCATCTGTCCTATCTCTATCTAACCTATGTATCTATTTATCATCTATCCTGTCTCTATCTATCCTATGTATCTATCATCTATCCTATCTCTATCTAAGCTATATATCTATTTATCATCTATCCTCTATCATCTATCTATCTATCTATCTATCTCTATTGTATCTAGTTATCTATCCTATATCTATGTATGTATCTATCTGTCTGTCTAATCTATCTAACCTGTGTATCTATTTATAATCTATCCTATCTCTATCTAACCTATGTATCTATCATCTATCCTATCTCTGTCTAACATATGTATCTATCATCTATTCTATATCTATCTGTCTATCTACCCTATGTTTTATCATCTATCCTATCTCTCTCTAAGCTGTGTATCTATCATCTATCCTCTATCTATCATCCATCTATCTATCTATCTATCTAATGTACCTAGTTATCTATCCTGTATGTATGTATGTATGTATGTATCTATCTATCTATCAAATCTATCTCATGTATCTAGTTATCATTCTATCTATCTATCTATCTATCTATCTATCTATCCTAACCCATGTAATCTCTGTCTCCATCATCATCACTTACCTAAAACAGTAGAAGTCTGCATGAATAGGAATGTAGCATCCCACTCACAGGTAATAAAAGAGTAACCTTTCTGAACTCTGCATGGACGTCTCTCTTTCTGGCCCTCAGTGTGTGACCCAGTGAGCTGTGACCTGCCCCCAGTGCCTCACTGTGAACGTGGCCTCCAGCCCACACTGACCAACCCTGGCGAGTGCAGACCCAACTTCACCTGCGGTAAGGCCTCTGTGGATGAGGAGGGGTGGTGTGGCCTCTCTCTGCTGGTGTGAGGGAGGCCATCCTCCTCAGGGACCTCTTCCAAGATCACGTCATTTCCTGTTTTCTACCTAGCTGAATCTGGGTTGGGAGTACATCTGGAACAGAGGGGTTAGGGTCACACCTGCACGGAATCCTTCCGGCTGCACGCTGCTGAAGGATACCAGGTGTGGGCACAGCCACAGGCACCTCCGTCTTGGGTTTATGAAGAAGCAGCTGGGGCTGAGATGAGGAGGCCTCCGAATCTAATCTTTATTTCTGCCCATCCTCCTGTATGTCATCAAGGGGAGGGAATGTTTCCTTGACTTCCCCTCATCATTGGATCTTATTCCCAAACAAATTTATAGTTTTTCGCCTCTGAAGGTGTATATATGTAATCACTATATACTGTAACTTAAACATAGCGATGGACTAAAATAAGACACGACAAGAAACCAAATTCTGTATTTACCTCCCGAGAATCCCCACTCTAACTCCGTTGGCGTTCTTGTCCTGCTGATGTGGACACTCACCCGACTTCCTAGATGTGAGACTTCAAGGTGGGAGGAGAGCACATTGTGTTTGAAGGGAGCTGGAAACAGGCAAAGGACACAGGGACAGGATTTGGTCTTTTAAAAGTGACATTGTGGCTTTGACAAGATTGCTGGCAATCTTTCATTCCACACTGATTGCTGGCGGACCTAAAGTGTAGGGTATTGTTCTAGGTACTGAGGTGGGGATAGGATCACAGAAGCTCCTGGCATAGAACAGTGCTTAGCAGGGCGTGGTGTACCCAGACCTACTGGACTTAGAGATTCTACATCTGACACCTCTGAGAATGAAGGAACCCGCCCCTTCCAGATGTATGTGGGAAAGTGATAGAGCAGGGATTGAGCAGCCTTCACTTCTCCTCCATTAGAGTTCCTAGCTTCACATTTCCCTTTTTGATTAATGTTCATATTTTTCTGCAGATGGACTGCTTTTGGTAACATTGAATAACTCCCAGCCCGTGAGCTTGGCCCTCACACATTTCTGACTTAATCTTCTGAGTCTAAAGCTCCCTGGCACCCTATAGCATAGCTGAATACTTACGAGCCCTGGCTGGGCGCAGTGCTCAGTGTGGCCTTGTCCTACCCTCAGCCTGCAGGAAGGAGGAGTGCAAAAGAGTGTCCCCACCCTCCTGCCCCCCGCACCGTTTGCCCACCCTTCGGAAGACCCAGTGCTGTGATGAGTATGAGTGTGCCTGCAACTGTGTCAACTCCACAGTGAGCTGTCCCCTTGGGTACTTGGCCTCAACTGCCACCAATGACTGTGGCTGTACCACAACCACCTGCCTTCCCGACAAGGTAAGGACTGCTTGGCTATTAACTATCAGTTAATAGTTTACTCATTTATTTATTGCTGTCAGTTTATCCTTCTATCCACCCATCCATTCATCCATCCACCTACCCATCCAATATTTGCTAAGCAACATGTGCTCCTCATGGAAGATTTGCATCCTACCCAGCATTCCCTTCTTGCCCAAACCAAGTGCTACAAGGCTTGGTTGGGGGGCAGTCAGCATTCCAGCTCAGCCTGAGTGGAAATTTAGTTAACTCAGGAGGCATTTCTTGTGAGCCTACTATGTACTAAGCATGGCTAGGTGCTGAGGTTACAAATAATGTGCAGGACATGGTCTTTACCTTTATAAGCTTATTTTAGGTTAGCTAAGGAAATAACATGATTGCATGGATTATTTAGAGATCAGTTAATAGTTATACATACATGTTGAGATGAGGTCTTGCTATGTTGCCTAGGCTGGTCTTGGACTCCTGGGCTCAAGTGATCCTCCCACCTCTGCCTCACGAGTAGGTGAGATTACAAGTGCACACCACCACACCTGGCTACGAGCAGTTAATAGTTTACTCATTTATTTATTGCTGTCAGTTTATCCATCTATCCACCCATCCATTCATCCATCCATCTGCCCATCCAATATTTACTAAGCAACTACTATGTTCTAACAGAATTGGCACTGTGCTAGGTGCTATGGGAGAAATGTTAAGATGAAGTTCCTATGTATGCCCTTGTTAGTATATATGACAATAGTCTATAAACTGAATATAATAAAGTGTCAACGAATGGTACAGATTTTCATTACAAACAGCAGTCTTATAGGTGAAAGAGCCACCAAGATTAGCTATCATTAAAGATTTAATTGATGGAGTGGGAAAGTGAAGGGCGCGAAAGTGGCGGAGTGAGAACTGAAATGAGCCAGAACTGCAGCAGGAAGACCTGAGCATAGTTATAGCTGCTGCATTGAGGGGAGTCCTGACATGAATGACAGACAAGCTGCAGTCATCTCTCCTTGGAGCCTGTTAGGGCTGGAACAGATCTTTATTTGTCTGGAATGCTTAAGACCTCTCTTCCCCTCTGGACGCTCTTCCAGCTCAGGGATTCTAAGCACGCAGTTTTGGAGAAGCGGGAACAAGTCTAGGAGGCTACAGTTGCTGCTGCTGCTTTCTTATATCTCTGTTCTCCTTCTCGTCTTCCTGCCCACCCCTCCTGCCTTGCTGTTTTTCTATTAATGTTTCTTGTGTGTCTTTAATCTATAGTAATGCCACTCCCCATTTTTATGCCTTTGATTTGTTGGGGAAGCTGGGTCATTTGTCCTGTAGAATGTCATGAATTCTGGATTTGACTAGCAGCCACCTTATGGTATTGCATAATGTGTTCCTCTATCCCCTGTATTTCCAGTAGACTAGAAGTTAGACCCAGGGGATTCATTACATTCAAGGTCAATGCAGTAGGGAGGCAAGAATACCTGATCAAGGGTGCCATGTGCATCACACCCAGAGGCACATAATGTCCAGCTGTCCTCCTCCCTCCCTCCCTACGTCACTTCCTTCCTTCCCTCCCTCCCTCCCTCCCTCCCTCCCTACCTACCTACGTCACTTCCTTCCTTCCCTCCCTCCCTCCCTCCCTCCCTCCCTCACTCCCTCCCTCACTCCTTTCTTCCTTCCTTCCTTCCTTCCTTCCTTCCTTCCTTCCTTCCTTCCTTTCTTTCTTTTCTTTCTTTCTTTCTTTTCATTCGTTCTTCTTTTTTTTTTTTGAGATGGAGTCTCGCTCTGTCGCCCAGGCTGGAGTGCAGTGGCGCAGTCTCGGCTCACTGCAAGCTCCACCTCCCGGGTTCACACCATTCTCCTACCTCAGCCTCCCGAGTAGCTGGGACTACAGGCGCCCGCCACCACGCCCGGCTAATTTTTTGTATTTTTAGTAGAGACACGGTTTCACTGTGTTAGCCAGGATGGTCTCGATCTCCTGACCTTGTGATCCACCCGCCTCTGCCTCCCAAGGTGCTGGGATTACTGGCATGAACCACCGTGCCTGGCCTCGTTTTTCTTTTTTTTTTGAGTCGCTCTGTGGCCAGGTTGGAGTGCAGTGGCACGATCTTGGCTGATTGTAGCCTCGTACTCCCTGGTTCAAGCGATTCTCTTGCCTCAGCCTCCTGAGTAGCTGGGATTGCAGGCGCACACCACCACACCCAGCTAATTTTTGTATTATTAGTAGAGACGGGATTTCACCATGTTGGCCAGGATGGTCTCAATCTCTTGACCTTGTGATCCACCCGCCTCGACCTCCCAAAGTGCTGGGATTACAGGCGTCAGCCACCATGCCTGGCCCAGCTATCCCACTTTGAGAGATAGGACTGATTATGTGTTCAGATGAAGCAACCTATTTCTGCATTGTGAAGTTTACCCCATCAACAATTTATAGTTTTACTATTTATAAGTGTTTGTTGTCTAAGATTTATTATGTCATTAGGAGTTTCAAAATTGTGACTTTTCTCTACTTCTATCATACTGATTGCATTTATTAACTGGAATTCTCCCGTAAGAAAGAACTTTCTCCCAACTGCTTTCAGTTACCCTGAAATAAAATTACTTTAGACAAAGTAGAATAAGTGCTTGATTTTTTCTTTTCCAGTTTTCATAGCCATGAGTTGATGCTCTAGCAACTGTCAAGGACAGCGAAAGAGGTTTTTTGTTTTTAGCTTCATTATGAACTCATGGATTCTTATGTGTTTGATGTGTGTTGATTCATTGTAAACTTTATTTTTTTTTGATATTCAAGTTGTCCTCCCTGGGGTAAATGGGGGCTCTTTTAAGTTGGCTCTGGAGCCTGTTGGCATGGCCTCATGAGTCTTTCGTAGCTTTCTTGCTTTCTGAAACAATAAGGCGTGCTGGGCTCACCCTGGGCATTTCCTGCCCTAGTCCTTGGATCTGCCATTTTGACAAAAGTCCCCCTACCTTTTAGTGAAAGTGGTATTTAGGCGGTATGATCTGGGTGCCAAGAATATTTATGGCTCTGGGTTGCCATTGCCTTCAGACCTTTTTGGTGAACAGAGCTTAGAAATGCATATTTTAAGAGAGGATAAAAACTCGTAAATTTGTAGTGGTATTTCTGATTCAAATGAAATTACAGGACTTTACTTCCTTGATTTTTTGCTTGTATCATTTCTCTTCTAAGTTGAAAATTCTGGTTTCCTAACATAATTAACTACTTATTTGCTTTATCTTGCAATATACCTGTAATAGTTTCAAAACTAACCTGTAATCCTAGCACTTTGGGAGGCCAAGGTGGGCGGGTTACCTGAAGTTGGGAGTTCAAGACCAGCTGGCCAACATGGTGAAACCCCATCTCTACTAAAAAATACAAAAAATTAGTTGGGTGTGGTGGTGTGCACCTGTAATTCCAGCTACTCTGTAGGCTGAAGCAGGAGAATCACTTGAATCCGGGAGGTGGAGGTTGCAGTGAGCCGAGATTGTGCCATTGCACTCTGGCCTGGGCTACAGAGTGAGACTTTGTCTCAAAAAATAAATAAATACATAAAATTTCCTTTCAGTTCTTCTAGTCCTAAAAAAAAAACCTCATTGGGGGATATTTGTGTAAATACTAGGTTTTGAAGTCATTTGAAATAACTATTATAATTATATTATGATGTAATATATCATATAATTATTATAAATAATAATTATGTGCCACTGACGATATCTAGTTAATATTTCAATTTGTTTTCCATTTTTAGGGATTGCTTTTTATTTCTTTTAAATTTTAAAATTACTATGGTGTAAAACACTTAAATGATTTTAAACCCCAAATTATAAAACAAGACATATTCCCAGGAGTCTTACTCTGTGTTTTCTCTACCTTATTCCTTCCTCCACCCTATAATTTATATATGTGAATATATATAATATATAATATATATATATAGAGAGAGAGATAGGGTCTTGCTCTGTCACCCAGGCACAAGTGCAGTTATGCGACCTCAACTAACTTCAGCCTCCACCCCCTAGGCTCAGACGATCCTCCCCCTCAGCCTCCTGAGTAGCTGGAACTACAGACATATGCCACCACATCCGGCTAATTTTTGTATGTTTTTGTAGAGACAAGGTTTCATCATGTTACCCATGCCGGTCTGGAGCTTCTGAACTCAACCAATCTGCCCGCCTCAGCCTCCCAAAGTGCTGAGATTACAGACATCAGCCACCGTGCCCAGCCTTTATAATTTTTATTAGTTTTTCTCTTTTTGAAAATATAACTGAATTTTATACATGTATATTTCTTCCCATTTCTCATAGAAAGGAAGCATATTATGAATTATATTTTAAATTGTTCTTTCTCATTTAACAATATTTGATGGAGATTATTCTGTATCAGTGTGTAGAGATCTGCCTTATTCTTTCTTATAGCTGCATAGTACTCCATTGCATGGCAGCACCATAGTTTTGTTTCAACAAGTCCCTTATTGGTGGACATTTGAGTTGCTTCAGCCTTTTGCTATTACAAATTGCAGTAACAAACAGCCGTGTGCATCTGTCATTTTGTGGTCTTGCCAGTGTGTCTTTGGGATAGATTCCTGGAAGTGAGATTCTGGGTCAAATTATAAATACACATTTACTTTTGCTAAGTATTGCTAAACAATTCTTCTCCATAGGGATGGTAACATTTTCCTGCAGGCCTTTTAATAGAACAAGGGGTCTCATTCAATAAGTTCATTATACAGAAGCTAGAAGACTGAGAAGATAAATGATAATGGTTTCAAAATGTTTGAACTGCTATTATGACATTCACAGGGTGGAGACCCGTTTTGCATAACTTTGGAGGGCATACTTGGGATTAATTTCAAAACTGTCATTAAGTCCCGTGATCAAACAGCTTCCTTAGCTCCTCATTCCAACAAAAGGATGTCCGAGCATTGTCTGTGGCGTGCATCCCAGACTTTCCACGTTTCCCTTTCAACCAGCCTTTTTCATCTGTTTTCCCACATCTCTACCAGAGCCTATTGTTCTTCCCAATAGGATCCCTTGTCTCTCAAACATATCCCCTGCTCTGTGTCCCAGAGTCTTTACTTGTTATGTTCCTAGTCACTCGTGGGCAAGGGGACATGCATTCATAGCCCCTGCCCAATTTGCTCGTAAGTGGGCAGAGGGCTCGATGAGGATGGGCTCCAAGTCCAAGGACATTACTGGGTCTGGGCATGTGGGTACAGCTTCTCGGTGACATAGGAAGGAGTGAAGTGCAGTTAAGGCAGGAAGAAGGGAGACCAAGGCAGCCAGTGTGTTGTATTCAAGTCTGTGGGACCATGAAGGCCTCACGAGGGGCCACCCCTGAGAGACTGGTCATAGCTTTTCTAAGGCTGGTGGGCAGGGAAAGGAGGAGGACGAAATCTGCTTTATAAGCAGCCCTGCATATGGGCGGAGACCACATTTGGTTTTATTTATTGCCACATTCTCAGCACTTAGAGCGGCTTCTGTGTAGTAGGTGCTAACTCACCGCTTGTTTCAATGAAACAAATGAGTTCACTCACGAAAACTTATGTCTACAGGTGTGTGTCCACCGAAGCACCATCTACCCTGTGGGCCAGTTCTGGGAGGAGGGCTGCGATGTGTGCACCTGCACCGACATGGAGGATGCCGTGATGGGCCTCCGCGTGGCCCAGTGCTCCCAGAAGCCCTGTGAGGACAGCTGTCGGTCGGTGAGTGGGGCAGGGGCTGGGCATGCCTGCAGCTATCAGAGCGGGAAAGTAGAGGAGGGCATCTTAGGAAGGGTAAGAAAGGTTCTTTTTTTTTTGAAATGGAGACTCGCTCTGTCGCCCAGGCTGGAGTGCAGTGGCACAATCTCGGCTCACTGCAAGCTCTGCCTCCCGGGTTCACGAGGAAGGGCAAGAAAGGTTCTTTAGTGACCTCTGGTTCAAGGCTAGGGGTGAGGAAGAGGGAGGGGGTTAGGGCTGGGTAAGAAGAAAAAGCATGAGCAAAGGATTTCTGCGTCATCCTTCTGCAGTTCAGTCCTTGGCTAATGGTCACGTCTGTTGTATGGCCTTAAGTCTAAAGTACTGGTGGAGTAGGTTTGAGCAGAGACATGGGGAGGACTAAATGCCTAGAAAAGAGAACTTGAAGTTTTCCTTTTTCTTCCACCCTCATGTATCACCTTCGCCTGTCCCTAGAACAAATGTATGCTCTGAATTTTCTAGGATCGTCCTTGTTTCAGTTTACTCTGGTGTTTCCACATAGACTGTTGATTTTCAGACCATGTTTATAACTTGAGGTACGGAAAACATGATCCCTGTTTCCCAAATCCAGTTCGTGGTGGCTGCCCCTGAGGCTCCTGTGTGTGCTGGGGTGCCCTATTCTTGCATGTTTAGGATGGATCAGACTGGAGAAAAAGGGAGCAACAATCTGCAGGGAGGACTGTGGGTAAAATTCTGCTTGCTGGTTTAATGCGATTATTATTACTACATTATTATCAGCAGATAATGATGTTAAGAGAAGAGGTGCCAGGGCAGGCGAGCACATCCATCTTGTGGTTGCTTTTGCAAATGTCAATGGCAGTGAAGGCAGAGTTCCTGAAGGTGTTTTCGAGGTGAATGGTTTGACGGAGGAGGGCCTGAGGGCAAATCCCGAAACCCAGGCCCTTCACCTGCTATTCTACTTGCATTTGGGTACTGAGAGTGAGCGGAGGTGCTCAGTACCTTTGGGAGAGGATGACGCTGTGGTATCCAGGTGTTCCTGTGGGAAACACTAAGTTTTGGAAACCCTTTGGTTTTCTTCTCCTCTCACAGGCCATCTGAGGCCAGGGAAATAACTTGCTGTCAAATAAAGAGAGTGCTGCTTAGAGGTCATTTTTAGAAAATTGACAACCAATATATTTCGTGTTTCAGTGGGGAGTTTTGCTTGCAAAGAATAGAACCCATTCAGGCTAGCTACAATAAAAGGGGATTTGTAGAAAAGATACAGGAGGATCTTTCAGACAGGAAGTGCAGGATTTGTAGGTGGGCACCGTGGTCCTACAGCATGTCTCTCCATTTGTCCTAAGAGCCGGTATTTCTGTCCGTCTGCTCCAGCTCCTCACTGCAGGCCAGCTTCCTCTGTGCAGAAGTTTTGCTTTCTCACACATTTTGTTTACACACAGCTTTGTTAAATCTCACTTCAACTCCACACAGCTTTTCAGATCCGTGGTTCATCCCTGTCCAGTCTGACTTAGTTGGTCTTTGTGTTTCATGGATCAACTTCTCAAGAGGAAAGTTGACAGGCCCAGCTCAGCCCTTGGATCGGGTCCGCTGTCCAGTTCATGCTCTGGTCCAGTCAACTATTGGGGGAGCTGCAGGTCCTGGGGTATAATCCTGGCTGCGTAGAAAAGCTGGGGGAAGTTTCAAAAAGAAGATGAGTAGGGAGGTCAGGGCAGGAGTGGAGGAGGAACCATGTCTAGAACTCTTGACCGTGTGATTGCTCTAGGGAATCGAGTGCCCTGTCTTAGAGGCTGAATGTTCACATCTTCTGGGGAGGAGAAGGGAGCCTCATGGTTTAAAATCTCAGGGGACGTGGGAGGCTGGGCTTCGATCTGTACTGTGTTGAGTGAGGTGGGAGCTTAAGTAAGTTACAGATGGTCTCAGACTTCATTCTGCAAAGAGGGTAGTATTGTTAGCATTATTAGCTCTGGTCCGACCTCAGAGGCACTTGGGCTCATATATGCCGGTCCATGTGTTGTCTAGGTTGTGACAGAAAAGAAAGAACAACACTACCATCATCACCCTGAAGCCACAGTCTGCAGAAACACACTTTCCCCAAGCTCCTCCATAGTTCTCTGCTCTTCGTGTCAGAGGAATGGTGGCAGGCAAGCAGGGGCATTGGCGGCTTCTCAGGAATGTTCTAAGCGGGCCTCAGGCGATGGCCTTGCTTCCATGTCCATAGTGAGAGGAGGCCTGCACCTCTGTACAAGCCTTTGAGGGGATTTTCCATGAAGCCTGATGGCCATCTGACTCCTCACCCGTAGGCTCCTGAATGAGGCTCAGTCAAGGTGTAGGAACTGTATTCTGAGAAGCCAAAGGAAGTCCATTAGATATTATTTACTCTGTGATACTCCTCAGGAAGAAGAAGAGGGAGGGCTGTTCTTCTCAGTATCAGACAGGAAACAGGGCCACCCCAGGGAATGGGGTTGGCCAGAACCTCTGTAGCTTATATGAAGCCTGTGGACACTGGAGGGTCCTGACCCGAGCCCAGAGCTCGTCCTGTTAGGCTGGTACAACCCGCAACTCCAGTGTTGCAAGGGCCAGTCTGACCCAGGAAGTCAGCTTTTCAAACTGTGCTCCTCAGATTGCCTCAGAGGGGACAAGTGACCAGAGCTTGGCATCTACCACCTCCATTTCAGTTATAGCAATTGTGCTTAAAGGATTGTGCTGCTAGATACATTCATAATTTATTTTTCAGTGCATATGTTTTCAGGTTGGGTGGCTAGTAGACCTACTTAGTTTCATTCTTATTTGGGAAACCAATGAAAACAGGGTGGAGAAGAGAGCCAGGAGAAGGGCCTGGGATGTGTATTTTGATACAAGATATCAAATGTCGATATAAGCGAGGGAATTTGTTGGAGGAAGGGAAAATAAAGAATTGAAAAATATAGGTTGGACCCTGGTTGTGCAGCCAGAAAACAGGGTTGCTGTGGGGTATGGAGGGGAATCTTAGAAAGATGGAAATTTGGAGGGATGGCTAAAAGTGTCTGGGTTTGAGAAGCTAGTGGGGCTGTGGGAACAGACATCTGGCCTGGGAGCCATCCGTAATATTGACACTGTTTGCCCATGGTGAGAGGCAACAGGAAACAAAAATAATATGCGAATCTCGATCATTCAGCCTTCTAGAGAGGCGTACGAGAATGACAGCAGATCCCTAAAGGTATTAATTACTGTCTTCTGTGTTCTTTGAGTCTTTGTTTCTGACCCCCTGAGACCTTGTTTTTTTTCTTTAATGGCATTTTGAATGTTCTGCTGTATCTTGGAGGGTGTGTACACAGATTGAGGCATCCTAATTTGTTGTCTCCTCCGTAGTACCTAGTACATCATAGGTGCACAGTAAATGACTAGAATCTTGGCTGATAAAAGCCTGGAGACAGCTCACTGCACACTGCTGGGAGGTGGGCGGTGATATCAGTAGGTCTCGTGGAGACTGGGTGGGGTTGAGCCAAGTCTCAGGAGTGTTGAGACCGTCCAGAGAGAGGCACACGTGTTGTGCATCTTCAGATTCGGCCCTGCTGGGGAGAGTGCTTGGGGAGCAGAGCAGGCTGCCATCCACACCCGTCCTGAACAGCTGTGGTTACTCTTTCTCTCTTAAGGACACAGCTCCAAGATGGAACGTAGTCCTGGGTTCTTTTCTCTTGGCTCCTGGGACAAACACACTGTCATTGCTTTGACTATTCTTTCTATAGACTTTTCAGAGGAGGGTTTCAGTCCATGTTCATGATGCTTTAGCCAGATTGGAGGACCTTCTAGAGGCAAGATGGGCTGACAAACTTCCAGGATGCTGGTCTCCCTGGCATGCTTTCTGGGGAAGCTTTGTCTGTTGCTCTCTCATCTCACTTTTCTTTTGTAAAGAACACCGTACCCTATAAATTACTAGGTAAATGTCAAGTAACCTCTTGGGGAAGCCCAAATCTGCACGTTGGTGAGCAGTATTGGGATCGAGTGTTCGTCTTGTATGGGAGGCTAGCCCTGCGAGAGTGGAGACTGGATCCCAGTCATCCTGAGTGTGCCTCCCGGTCAGTGAGGGTCCCTAGAGTTGGCCATGATAAGGGCCAGATTAGTAAGCTGCTGCTAAGGGAACTCTGGGCTGTCTTTAATGCTCCTATGGACTGGATCATGGTCTCTCTCAAAGTGGGATCTTTCAGGGGGCAGAATTATATCTCTGCAGCTGATGTAAGACTTCGTTTAGTGACCTGGTGGTTGCTGCTTCTTGGCATGGCCCTGAGGCTGGTTGACAACAAAGATGAAAATGCCCAGACCAGTGATCACTTGGCACAACCCCAGGGCTCAGTACGCAGGAGGCGTAGGTAAGAGCCCCTGTGTCTTTGCTGCTGGCCTGTCCTTACTCTGTTTTTTCTGCTTTTCCAGGGCTTCACTTACGTTCTGCATGAAGGCGAGTGCTGTGGAAGGTGCCTGCCATCTGCCTGTGAGGTGGTGACTGGCTCACCGCGGGGGGACTCCCAGTCTTCCTGGAAGAGTGTAGGTCCAGGCCCCCGGGACGGGGAGGAGGGCAGATTGGGGCCACTCCAGGGACCAGCGTTGACCTTGGTTTCATCTCATTCCCTGCCCTTTGCTTTCCCCACTGGGCATTTCACCCAGCTGTTGGTGTTATCCAGATGCCAGCTGGGATGACCTGCCCCTTAGGAACCAGTTAAGACGGCCTCAGCCTTCCCATTTTGTAGATTTTGGGAGAAGCCCAGGGCCCTCCCAGGGGGATTCATGCTCTCTCATTCACCTGTGAATCTGAGGTGCTGTGGCTGAGGGGCTGGTTTTGGGATGGCCTCACCACCCCTCCAAAGTGCCACAGGCTGCAAGTACTGTTCTGGACCACATCAACCCAGGCAGGGTCCTCAGACCTTTTCACTGATTTCTACTGAAACCTCCTTGGTGGTTTTAGGGAGGTGGAAACCTTTACAACCCAGAAAAGGAACAGTATTTCCCACAGTCCCTCTGCTATTTCTGCAGGTCTGGCTGGGGCATCTTGCCAGCCCCCCATTGCCCCACTCTTGTCCTCTCCTGGCTGGCTCACCCCCGCCAGTCCCTTCTTCTAACACAGAGCAGTTCAGCTGTCCCCCATGTGCTGCCAGGTTCTCTCTTAGACTCTGATGCTCATCAAGCCATTTTCTTAAACACAGAGGATTCCGTCTTTGGCGGTTTTAGTCCAGATGCTAGGAGAATCACAGTTCTTTCAGTCTGGTCAGAAGGATAAGGTGGGTGGTGCCAAGTCCTGGCAGCCTTGGGAGCTGGTGCTGGGAACAGGTGAACTGCCCATATGGGCCTTGCCTCTGTCTTCCCCAGCAAGACCAATGCGCTTCCCTTCGAGAGGAAGGCCAAAGGTCTGCTATCTTGTCCTGAGCCTTTCCCATCTCCTACCCAGGCCCATTGCCTTTCTCCTCCCCAGTGATAACAGAATGACTCACTGGGCTTTTTCAGGTGAGTTTCCACCTCCCCCTCTAGTCCGAGTTGCCTATGGGTTCTCTTCCCTGTGTTCTCCCCTCCCCACCTTTTAGTGCTTCTGCTCCCATGTGCCCTGGATGGAGGCAGGTTTTGTTTCTTCTCCCCAGGGTCAAGGTCCAGCTCAGATCAGGGGCTGCCCCATCCTGGTGGGGCTGAGAGCTGGTCCCTTTGCGCTCAGTATTCCTGCCCCTTTCCCCATCTCTCATCTCCCTTCAAGGCCTACCCCACCCTGCCCCTCATCAGTGTTTGCAAAGCATAAGGTGACCTGGGCTTCTCTCCTCTACCTCAAGTCTCCATCTTACCTAAAAGACTTGGGTGTTGGCAATGGCTTTGCTGCTGAACCATGTCAGGGGTCAGCGGGGGGTGGTGGCAATGGGTCCTCTTAATGAGCCAGTGGCCAAGGCTCAGTGAGTGA
The DNA here is from genome assembly GCF_000001405.40 of Homo sapiens. Lineage (NCBI taxonomy): Eukaryota > Metazoa > Chordata > Mammalia > Primates > Hominidae > Homo > Homo sapiens. Next base: position 5,970,205 of record NC_000012.12, on the reverse strand, counting down.
GTAATCAGAGGAGGGAGAAGTCTGGAGGGTGGAATCAGGCCTGCAGTGGGAAGATTTGGCCACAGGGAGTCAGGAGTGGGGGGTGAAGAGAATGGCTGCAAGTGTTTGGCATTTTCTACACCTCATCTGGAAGGAGAAGAAATAAGCAGGCACCAGGAGAAGTAGGTCAGGGCCTGAGATGGCGGCAGAGGGCACCTAGTTACATATCTGGGTGCTGGCCGACACAGAGGGCACTCGGAGTGACATTTTCTGGGGAAGATCCTCCTGGTGACTTTTCTGAACCATGGTCTTGGGCCCTTTCAGCTTCTTGCCCGTGGTGACAACCCTTGGGGTCAGGCTACCCATGTGCAGTCTTCGTGGACAGATTGCAGGGCTGCAGGGGTCCCAGGCCAGCCTTCCCGGGCTTCTGCCAGCTCCCTGTCTCCCCTTACCATGGGAAGTGGCACCAGCCTGGGAAATGGGTTGAGCTTCCCGGCTGCACCTTCCCACTGATGGCCCACAGTGCTGCTTCTTGGCCGGAGTATCTGAGCTCAGCTCAAACCAATGCTGAGGAAGGGAGGGTGAGTCCCCTGGCTTCTCCAAGGTGCTTGCCTGGGTGCCTCAGTCAGGTGATTTTGACCCAAACTGTTTGAGTGGTGCTCACTGAGACGAGCCCCACTCATCCCCTCCGTGGGCCCTACCCTGTGGTGGGACTTACATGTTAAGCCAGGCTTCACGTCTAGAAACCACCTTCCTGAGAGAAGAGCACATTCCCAATGGGACCCTGGGCTCCAGCCCTGCCCCAGCTTGTTGGACTAACTCTGGTGCCCTGCAGGTCGGCTCCCAGTGGGCCTCCCCGGAGAACCCCTGCCTCATCAATGAGTGTGTCCGAGTGAAGGAGGAGGTCTTTATACAACAAAGGAACGTCTCCTGCCCCCAGCTGGAGGTCCCTGTCTGCCCCTCGGGCTTTCAGCTGAGCTGTAAGACCTCAGCGTGCTGCCCAAGCTGTCGCTGTGGTAAGGCATGCAGGCTGGGGCTGGGCTGGACCGGGCACCACCTTTAAGCCTCTCTTTCCACTTTTGGCTCCTGAATTCTTTGCCTTTTTAGCAACTTAGGGAAATGGATAGGACCGAAATCTTCCCATCTGCTCCTACTGCTTTTATGAGAAAGCAAATTAAATGGGAAAACCATAGGAATTTCCTGAAGATCACTACATGGCAAGACTGGGATTCGGCCCTAGGCTTCTCTGATTTGGAGACCACCTTTGAAATGCTGTGACGTTTCACCCAGGGGAAGGCGTTCAACTTGCCACCCCAACGCTGCCAACAAACAGAAAAATGGCAACAACAACAAAAACTAGTTCTTTCTACCATATCCTGCTCTGAATTTTATTTATTTGTTTGTTTGTTTGTTTGAGGCAGATTCTCACTCTGGAGTGACTGGCGCTATCTCTGGATAGGCTAGAGTGCAGTGGCACTATTTTGGCTCACTGCAACCTTGGCCTCCTGGGTTCAAGCACTTTTCCTGCCTCAGCCTCCAAGTAGCTGGGATTACAGGCGTGCGCCACCACACTCGGCTAATTTTTGTATTTCTAGTAGAGATGTGGTTTTGCTATGTTGGCTGGGCTGGTCTTGAACTCCTGACCTCAAGTGATCTGCCCACCTCGGCCTCCCAGAGTGCTGGGATTACAGGCATGAGCCACTGTGCCTGGCCACTGAATTCTTGAAACTGAAATTTTCAAGAGTAGCGTTTCATTGTTTCATAAACCCAAACATCCTCCCATTCATCCCATCTCTTAAATGTAAATTCACATAAGCAAGCGCTGTCACTTGGAGAACGTACGGGGCTCTTCTCATTGTGGGCTGCATGGGGAAGGGAGGCCGCTGTGGGCTCCAGCAGTAGGACCCCCAGCGCTGGGTTGTGGGGTGGGGGGAAAGGGCCGACCGATACAGGAGGGAGGCCCAGACACGGAGGAGGAGCCCCAAAGAGAGCAGCCTGCTCGCCGGTCTCACCAGGGTGTGTTTTGCCCACTCTCACTCTGCACTTTTCTCTCCCCCAGAGCGCATGGAGGCCTGCATGCTCAATGGCACTGTCATTGGGGTGAGCCGCTGTCCTCTTCTCCAGAGCAAGTGGTGGGGACAGGGAAGGGGGTACTGTGGGAAGGGGAGCAGGCAAGTCATTGTAAAGCAGAAATGAAGGAAACCAGAGAGACCCAACCCCAGCTTTCCACTGCCTGTGGGACGTGCCTGGCATCATGGAGCCCAGGCTAGGACCATCTTCCTGACTCTCCGGGCCTGTCTCACACTCACTTCCTGGCCCCCACCTCAGGCACCTGTGCATTTCTTCTGTGTGCAGAGAAGCACTCTGAAGTCATTGTGCACGTTTTAGTTTGTCCCCTCTGCCACTACCTGGGCTGCCTCTTTGGCATGAAAGTTCTCACTCTTACCATCTTGATACTGGAGGTGGGAGGACGGGAAGGCAGTGGGCCATAGGAGACAGGAGGAGCAGCAGAGCGATGGCTCATGGGAGCTATGGGTGGGTGGGCAGGAGACAGGGTATGAGAGTGAGGTGAGTGGGGGGTTGGGGGATGCTGGGGGGCCTGACCCTGGTGCCTCTGCTTCCAGCCCGGGAAGACTGTGATGATCGATGTGTGCACGACCTGCCGCTGCATGGTGCAGGTGGGGGTCATCTCTGGATTCAAGCTGGAGTGCAGGAAGACCACCTGCAACCCCTGCCCCCTGGTAAGAGAGGCTCAATGGGGACCGAGGGCATGGACTGGACGCGTGTGGGACCCAGGCAGTGGGACCTCACTGCGGTCTTTAAATAAATAAATCTCTCATTATTTTCTGATTATAAACAATAATTGACAATAATAAAGAAGAGACTAAAAATCACCCACCCAAACTGCATGCCTCAGAAATAATTATAATTTTAGTTTTATAAGTTGCAAACATTTTCTTCCTGAGTTTTCAGAATAAACACAGTATTTGCCAGGCTTATGATACTATGTTTACAATTCTGTATCCCTTTATGTATTTTAAGAAACAGCACCACCGTTCTTTGAAAATATTAAAAATTAGTCAACAAATATTTATCAGACACCTCCTATGTGCAAGGCTCTACACAACATTCCTTTGAATGGATGTGCCTCGTGTATACAACCAAGCTATTATTGCGGGACATTTGGATGGTTTCAAATATTTCACCCTGTTTTTGCCAGGCCATGCTGACGATGCTTGTTCTGAATACTTCCTTGAGGTGGTTCTGAGAGGTGGACTCCTCGTTCCTAGTTTGGGAGATGAAACTGGCATTCCGTGGGTTTCAGCTGTGACTTTTAGTAACACCTCACTGGGAAGTTTTGAGCCCATGGCGGCAGGGCAGGGCCTGCAAGCTCAGGAGGGGCCTTGGCTTCTTCCTCAAGCTCCCTTCTGGATGTGGGGCTTCTGCTGTTTTAGAAAATGCCATTGGTCAGAGGAGTCTCTTGTGAGCTAGATGCATGAACTATGGCGATGGCTTTCTCAGAGGGTACAGGGAAGTGCTTGTCTCCCTCAGCTCGGTGAGACAGTCGGGGCTGCAGCAAGGTGGAGAGGAGCCTCTTATAAGCAGGCAGCACAGTGGCCAGAGGGGAGGGGGTGGGGGCCAAGAGGTCGTGCAGGTGCGTTTTACACTGTTGAGGACAAGGGACAGGTAGATGTTCTACATCTGTGTTCTTCATGGCAATTAGAGGTATCATGCTCAAAGTATGGGCTTAATAAAAGAAGTATGGAGCGGATGGGTCTGTAGGAGACACAGCTGTTTCTGAGAGAATGATTCAGAGAGAGCATTCCTTAATTAGGAAGAAGGTAAGTATGTGGTTTTCCTTTTGCTTATTTTTTAAAAATCCCAGTTGATGTTTTAGGATTTGGGGCCCAGTTGTGTGCACACGTGTGTGTGTGCGTGTGTGTGTGTGTATTGTGTAACAACCCTCCTAGAACACATCTGGGCTTCCATATGGAACGAAACAATGCTGCCTGGAGTCGTGTGGCATCCCTTTTTCCTGGGATGTCCACTGAAGTCCAATCAGGGCAGTCAGGAGACAGCAGGCCGCCCACCTCAATGCCAGCCTGTGGAGACGGCACTGCAGCCTGCTCTCTGGAGGGCAGGCCCGCTCACTCCCTGCAGTGCCCTCTGGTGTTCAGAGGGAGCCACAGCCGCTTCCTCCGTATCTGGAGAAATCCACCTTTAGAATCCAGTCTCAGATGTAGGTTTCCAAATACTCAAAAATCCATGGCCCCATTTGGCCTGTGTATTCTTCTTCTTTTTCTCCAGAATTCTGGTATCTCCCAGGGGAGTGCAAGCCACCTCCTCTCTCTTGAGATCCCTTAGATTCGCCCTCCCTCTATGCATCTCTCAAGCCTTGCTGAATCCGGCCTCTGCTGATCCCGTTCTAGCTCAGCGTCCTCCGCTAGTCTTACTACGTCTTCTGCCACGAAGGGTCTCTGGGACACCTCCTGGGTTGGGGGTAGCTGTGGTGAATTAGGTCTAGGTAGGTCGGCTTGAACTGCCCACGTTGGGCTGAAGTGCCAGTGTTGCCCGAGATGTGAGTCTTCCGTTGCCTCCCAGGGAAGCCAGTGCTCTTACCTAAAGGGAGAGCAGCAGGAGGCAGTTTGTGCTGACAAGTGGTTGAGATGAGGCTTGACAGCTGACTGCTCAAAGAAAGCATGAGGAAGAGAGGTCACTCTGCTGTGGAACCCTGGAAAGGCGTCCCGGAGGAGGGCAACCCTGAGTGGACCTTGAGCAATGAATGGGTTGAATGTCGAATAGACCTTCCAGGGAAGGGCATGGTGAATGAATAACCGGCAGCCAGAAGCCGGGGTGAGAAAAGGGAAACACGGGGAGATGGATGGAAGGGCTGCGAGCCGTCGATGAAATACATGGAAAGGGGCCCTGAGGGGTGTGCAAGGCAGTTTTAGGAGGACAACTGTGTGAGGAAAGCAGGACTAATTGGCTGCTCAGACCTAAACAAGTGAACTCTGGGGCTGGCTGGGAACTTGCTCAGCAGGAGGAGGAAGAGGCTGCTCCTGAGAAGGATGTTTCCTGCGGTGATCAAATGTTCTGGGGAAAACCCAAAGGGCAGCTCTGCCCTCCCCTTGAACGGGGAAATGTGGAACACATACCCCCAGCCAGCAGCAGCCAGGAAATCCAGCAGTGCCCAAACAAGTCCTGTCCATCGTGTGCAGCTGTGGTCTGGCCCTGCCGGGTAGGAGACATGCTGCAGAGCAGGCTGTTCCCTCCATTCACTTCCATGCTCTCTCCTCCCTCCCTTGCTTCTTCCAAGCCCCTGCCACACCCTTAACACTGTTGCCCCCTTCGGCTTATTTTCTGCCTCCTTTCCCTTTTCTTCCAAATCTTTCTTCTCGCATAACTGCCCTCCACCTTTCCTTTTCTTGGCCTAACTTTGCCCTCTGCCTCCTGCTGTGGGGATTTTGCCTCCCTGACTGCCCTGTCCTCACTGGCTTTTCCTTCTGCCTGCTCCTGAAGACACGCCAAGTTCATGGCTTGATTTATGAGAGCAAATGGTTTAAATTAATCTCTGAGCAAGCTTACTGACTCCTAACCTTGACCTTGGGACAGGTCGTCTGTCTGGGTGCTCCAAATTGACTTGGTGATTCATAATAGAAAAGCCTCAGGACCCCAATGAATGGATCTCTGAATGGTGATCACTAAATGTGGCAAAATGAGAAAAAGAATGACAACAGAGTTGGTTTCTCACAAAGCTAAATTGATTCTTTAAAAAATTCTGGGATTATGTGATTACGTTCTTTCTGTTTTTTGGGGGTACGAAGGTGGAAAGGGTCAAAAGAACTATAATTTGTTTTTCTTCTGAAAGCAAAGCTAATAATTTTTAGGGAATGATGAGACAGTAGATGGTAGCTTGGTAGCTTTTTGTATGTATGTATGCATGTATGTATGCATGTATGTATGTATGTATGTATGCATGTATGTATGTATGTATGTATGTATGTATTTTTAGACAGAGTCTCTCTCTGTCGCCCAGGCTGGAGTGCAGTGGTGAGATCTCGGCTCACTGCAAGCCCCGCCTCCCAGGTTCACGCCATTCTCCTGCCTCAGCCTCCTGAGTAGCTGGGACTACAGGCGCCCACCGCCATGCCCAGCTAATTTTTTTCTTTTTTTTGTATTTTTAGTAGAGACGGGGTTTCACCGTGTTAACCAGAATGGTCTCAATCTCCTGACCTCGTGATCTGCCCACCTTGGCCTCCCAAAGTGCTGGGATTACAGGCGTGAGCCACTGCGCCTGGCTGCTTTTTGGTTTTTATTTTATTAAAATTGTTTAAAACACTCTTACTTTGCAAAATAAAAAGTTGCCAGCCCTGTTTTTCTCCCAGTCCTGTGTCTCGAAGCTGCTTCTTTGTCCGATGCAGATATAAATAAGGCGCTCTTACCTTATGCCGCTTCAACAAGTCCCTAGCTGCGCTGAGCTATGATTGCACCACTTGCCCTCCAGCCTGGGTGACAGAGCGAGACCTTGTCTCAAAAACGAAACAAAACAAACAGGAAAACAAGTTCCTAGCTGAACTTACCTCCTCTGTGAGTGTAGGGGTGCCAAGTAGGGGCCAGATGCTGGGGATACAAGAGAACAGCAGAGACACAATTTGCAACTTACCATGCTTCTCAGGGAGAAGTTTTTTCCAGCATTCTATGGGAGTTCCAGTTACTTCCTCACCAATGCTTGGTATTGTCATGCTTTTCAATTTTAGCCATTGTGAAGTGATATCTTCTAGCATTTTTTCCTTACTGCTTCTCTAATTTCAGAATCTTCTAGTATTTTAAATTTGCATTTCTCTGTTGGCTAATGATGTGGAGCATCTTACATACTTATTGGCCATATCATCTTTTGTGATGTGTTTGTTCAAGCTTTTGGCCATTTTTAAATTGGGTTGTTTGCCCTTTAATGATTGATTATGAGTTTTTTTCTGTATTTTGGATACTAGTCCTTTATAAGGTATCTAATGAAATATTTTCTTTCAGCCAGTGGCTCAGCTTTTATTTTTCTTAATTGTGTCTTTTGAAGATCAGAAGTTTAATTTCGATAAAATTCAGTTTATAGATGTTTTTCTTTTATGGTTAGTGCTTTTTATGTCCTGTTTAAGAAGTTTTTGTCCATTCTAAGGTCATGAAGATAGTATCCTATGTTTTCTTTTAGAAGCATTATAGTTTAGTTTTACTTTTAGGTCTATGATCCATGAGGAATAAATTTTAAATGTGGTATAAAGTAGGGGTCTCCCATGTGGCTATCCAGTGGGTCCAGCACCATTTGTTGAAAGATGATCCTTTCCTCATTAAATTATGTCGGTGCCTTTGTAAAAAATGAATTGCTGGCCGGGCGTGCTGGCTCACGCCTGTAATCCCAGCACTTTGGGAGGCTGAGGCAGGTGGATCACCAGGTCAAGAGATCAAGACCATCGTGGCTAACATGGTGAAACCCCTTCTCTACTAAAAATACAAAAATTAGCTGGGGGTGGTGGCAGGTGCCTGTAATCCCAGCTACTCAGGAGGCTGAGGCAGGAGAATCACTTGAACACTTGAACCCAGGGGGCAGAGGTTGCAGTGAGCCGAGATTGTACCACTGCACTCCAGCCTGGTGACAGAGCGAGACTCTGTCTCAAAAAAAAAAAAAAAAAAAAAAAGAATTGCCTGTGTATGTATGGACCAATCGCTAGGCTCCTTTTTTTCTGATCCTTTGTCTATCCTTATGGTCTCACCACTGTCTTGATTACTGTAACTTTATGGTTAGCCTTGAAATTAGATAATTTAAGTTTTTCAACTTTGCTGTTTTTCAAGATTGTTTTGGGTATTTAATGTCCTTTCAATTTCTATATAAATTTAGAGTCATCCTGTTAATTTTTATTAAAAAAATGTTTAAAGTGTGCCGGATTATATTGAATCTATAGGTTAATCTGGAGAGAAGGGATGTCTAGACAAGGTTGAGTTTTTCAATTTATGAACATAGTATATCTCTTCGATTATTTAGGTCTTGCTCTCAGTCTGTGCTGCTGTAACACAATACCTGAGACTGGGTAATTTGTAAAGAACAGAAATTAATTTTTTCACTGTTCTGGAGGTTCAAGATTGAGGTACCAGCAGATTTGATGTCTGATGATGGCCTGTTCCTCATAGGCAGTGCTTTCTCATGGCATCCACATGTGGCAGAAGGTGGAAAGGCAAAAGGCACTAGGGCATTCCCTTTGACTTTTTTTTTTTTTAAATAACAGCACAAATTCACTCAGGAGAGTGGAGCCCTCATGACTTAAATCACTTAGGCCCCATCTCTTAATATCATCAGTTGGGAGTTTAAATCCCAACATAGGAATTTTGTAGGGACACACACATTCACATCTTAGCAGTCTCCTTTAATTTTTCTCTGCAATGATTTTTTTTGTGTAGATGCACAAATTTTGTTACACTTATTACCTAGTATTTAAAGTTTTTGGACGATATTGCAAATGGAAGTTTTTTTTAAATTTTATGTTTTGTTTGTTGCTTTTATAAAATCAGTTTTTATATTTTGATCTTGTATTCTTCAGCCTTGCTAAATTCACTTATTAGTTGTAGTAATAGTGTTTTTTTTTTTTTTTTGAGGGGGCAGATTCCTAAGGATTTTCTTCATAAGCAGTTATGACACCTTCAAATAAAGACAGCTTTTACTTCTTCCTTTGAAATCTTTATACATTCTGTTTTGTTTTTCTTGTTATCAAACTGGCTAATATAATCAGTACAATATTGAATAGAACTGATGGGAATATTTTCTTTCTGATCTTAGAGGGAATTAATTCATTAAGTATGATATAGTTGTGTGTTCAACAGCAGCAGTGCCCAACCTTTTTGGCACCAGGGACCAGTTTCGTGGAAGACAGTTTTTCCATCGACTAGGGTCAGGGGGATTGTTTTGGGATGAGTCAGATGCATTATGTTTATTATGCACCTTATTTCTATTATTATTGTATTGTAATATATAATGAAATAATTATATAACTCCCATAAGGTAGAATCAGTGGGAGCCCTGAGCTTGTTTTCCTGCAGCTAGATAGTCCCATCTAGGGGCGATGGGAGACAGTGACAGATCATCAGGCATTAGATTCCCATAAGGAGCACGCAACCTGGATCCCTCACATGTGCAGTTCACGGTAGGGTTTGGGCTCCTGTGAGAATCTAATGCTGGCTGCTGATCTGACAGGAGGCAGAGCTCAGTTGGTAATGTGAGTGATGGGGAGTGGCTGTAGATACAGATGAAGCTTCACTCATTGGCCCACTGCTCACCTCCTGCTGTGCAGCCCAGTTCCTAACAGGCCACTGACCGGACTGGTACTGGGGCCCCCTGTCCTATAGCATATTGAAGAAGTTCTCATCTATTTTTTTAGTGCTGAGAGTTTCTACAATGAATTGGTTTAAATTTTGTCAGACAGTTTTGCTGTATATTTTAAGATGACCATATGGTTCCCCCTTAATTCTGTTAACATGAGGAATTGCATGGATTGATTTCAAATGGTGAGCCAACCTTTCATTCGTTTGATGAATCCCCTTTCTTCATGACGTGTTATCCTGTTTCACATCCAGTGCTAGATCTATTTGCTCATATTTTGTTAAAGATTTTAATGTTTATGTTAAGAGTGTTAGGTTTCTAATTTTCTTCTCTTTAATGCTTTTGTTAGATTTTGATGTCAGGGTTATGCTAGATCCAACAAAATATGGTGGTGTTTTCTAAAGAGCTTATATAAAATTGGTATTATTTCTTCCTAAAATGTTTGGCAGATTTCATCAGTGAAGCTTACTAGACTTGAAGCTTTTCATGTGGAAAAGATTTATATATAAAATTCAACTTTTAAAATAAAAAAACGGATTTTCTATTTCTTCTTGAATTAGTTTGGTAAATCAGTTTTTCATGGAACTTATCCGTGTATTTAAGTTGGTCAAATTTAGTTACACAAAGTTGTTTATAACATTTCCTTATTATACTTTTAATATCTGTGGAATCTGTAGTTGTAAACCTTCTATTATTTCTAATATTGATAATTTGTTTCTTTTTATTTTCTTGATTAATCTAGCTAGAGATTTTCTTATTTTGACTAATTTGTCTATTATATATTAATTATTATTATATTATATATTATTATATTATTAATCTTTCAAAGATCCAACTTTTGCCTTTGTTGTTTTACTTTTTATATTTTTCTTTTCTATTTTATTGATTTCTGCCCTTATTTTTATTATGTCTTGTCATTTAATGACTGGGTCTAATTTGCTCTTCTTTTACTAGCATCTTAATATGGAAGCTTAGCTCATGATTTTCTAATACAAAATTTAAAATATAAATTTTCCTTCAAGAACTGTTTTTGCTGTACTCCTCAGATTTTGATATATTGTTTTTTATTACCGCTAGTTAAAAATATTTATTTTTTGATCCATGGGTTATTTAAAAGTATTTTATTTAATTTCCAAATATGGTGGTGTGTTTTTCAATACTTTATTGTTGCTAATTTCAATATAATTTCATTATATTGAAATTGGTCATAGAATATAATCTCTAAGATTTCAAAATCTTGACATTTATTTACTTTTTTATCCAGTCTCTGTTTATCCATGTTTACATTTTTATGGCCCACAATTTGGTCTGTCTTTGTGAATATTCTGTGTGCATTTGAGAAGAATGTATGCTCTGCAGTTCTGGAATGTAATAGTTTATTATTTCCAACTAGGTCATATTGGTTCTTACAGTTTTCCAAATCCTCTATATCTTCATTTGTCTTTTTCCTACTTGTTTTTATCAATTACTGAGAGAACATAAAAATCACTGACTAAGATTGTGGATTAGCCTATTTCTCCCTTTAGTTCTATCCATTTTTGCTTCATATATTATGAAGTTCTGTAGATGCATCCCTCTTAAGCATTCTTATGTCTTGATGAATCTATTCTTTTGTCATTATCAAATAACCTCCTTTATTTTTTATTTATTTATTTTTTGAGATAGGATCTCACTGTGTCGCCCAGGCCTGGAGTGAAGTGGCACAATCATGGCTCACTACAGCCTTGGCCTCCTAGGCTCAGGTGATTCTCCCACCTCAGCCTCCCACCTAGCTGAGACTAGAGGTGTGTGCCACCATGTCCAACTAATTTTTGTGGAGATGGAGTTTTGCTATGTTGCCCAGGCTGGTCATGAATTCCTGGGCTCAAGCGATCCTCCCACCTCAGCCTCCCAAAATGCTGGGATTACAGGTGTGAGCCACCGCACCCAGCCACCTCCTTTATTTTTGGTAACATTCCTCATCTTAGGCTGTCTCTAGTCCTATCTAAGCTTGGCAACAATGGACCAAGATAACAAACTAAGAATTACAGTCAGTTATTCACTCATTCAACATATATGGTATCTACTATCATTTATCCAAGCAGAGGGATCAAATTAGTGAAAGAAAACAGGTAAAAATCCTTTCCCTGCTTCCCCTAAGTGAAGAGTAATCTTTTATGTTTATTTATTTATTTTTTGAGACAGGGTCTCACTCTGTCTTCCAGGCTGGAGTGCAGCGGTATGATCATGGCTCATTGCAGCCTTGACTTCCTGGGCTCAGGTGATCCTCCCATCTCAGCCTTCCAGGTAGCTGAGACTACAGTTGTGCACCACCATGCCTAACTGATTTTTTGTATTTTTTGTAGAGATGGGGTTTTGCCATGTTTCACAGGCTGGTCACAAACTCTTGGGCTCAAGCGATCTTCCTATCTGGGCTTCCCAAAGTGCTGATATTACGGGCATGAAGCCACCTCACTGGCCTTGTTTGGTATTAATACACCTATATCAACTTTCTTATTTTGACTAATTTGTCTATTACATCTTTCTTCTCAACCTATCTATCTAAATTAAAAGTGCGTCTCTTGAAAACAACATACTAATTGAATTTTGCTTTTTAAAATCTAAAGGTGACAATCTCCATTTAATGTAATTATTGATATGGTTGGGGTTAAAGCTATTCTTCTGTTATTCATTTTATCTGCTGTCTTCTTTGTTACTTGTTCTGTTGTTAATTCTTTTTTGTCTTTTGGTTCAACTGAGTTTTTCTTTTTTTTCTTTTTTTTAGTACTATATCTCTTTATTGGCCTTTTCACTGTATTTCTTCATATTACTATTTTAGTGGTTGCTCTAGACTTATCACAGTACACTTTGATTGAATAATATAACATTTCATGTACAACGTACTTTTTCCATAATTTGTACATTTGTTGTCATACAGTTTACTTCTACATAAGAAGAGAGAAATTCCACAAGGTATTGCTATTATTTTTGCTTTAAACAGTCATTTGTCTTATATGGAATTTAAAAAGTGAACTGAAAGTGGTGATTTATATTTACCTACATATTTATAATTTTCAGTGCTCTTCCTTCTTATATATCTGAATTTCCATATTATATCATTTCCCTTCAGCCTAAAGAACTTCTTTTAGTGCAGGGCTGGATGACAACACATTTCTAAGATTTCATTTATCTGAAAATGTCTCTATTCTGCCTTCATTTACTGAATATAGAATTCTAGGTTGACGGGTTTGTTTTTAAATTTCATCACTTTAAGTATGTTTCTTAGTCTTTGGCTTGTGTTATTTCTGATGACCAGTCAGCCGCCATTTTTATTGTTGTTTTCCTGTATGCATTTCCCCCCTTCTATTGGATGCTTTAACAGTTTTTCTTTAGTTTTCAGAAGCTTGAGTATATGCTTTTGTGTAATTTTCTTCCTACCTTTTCTATTTTGGATTCATAGTTTCCTGGATTTGTGGGTTGATTTTCTGATCAAATTGAGAAAAATTTCAGTTATTATTTCCTTAATTTTTTTCTGTTTCATTTTGTTTTACTGTCTTTCTGAAACTCTAATTACACGTACATTCACGTGTTGCTTAACAATGGGGATATGTTCTAAGAAATGCATCGTTAGGTGATTTTTGTTGTGCAAAGATCGTGGAGTGCACATACGCAAATCCAGATGGTATGGTCTACTATACAACTAGGTTATGTGGTATAACCTGTTACTCCCAGGTGACAAACCTGTATGGCATGTTACTGTGCTGAATACTGTAGGCAACTGTAACACAATGATTAGCATTTGTATATCTAAACACATGTAAACATAGAAAAGGTACAGTAAAAAATATATAAAGGATAAAAATGACATACTGTATAGGGCACTTACCAAGAATGGAGCTTATAGGACTGGAAGTTGCTCTTGGTGAGTCAGAGAGTGAGTGGTGGGTCAATGCGAAGACCTAGGACATTGCTATAGTCTATAAACATTGTACACTTAGGCTACCCTAAATTTACTACAAAATATTTTTCTTTCTTCAATAATAAATTAACTTTAGCTCACTGTAACTTTTTTACTTATAAAGTTTTAAAATTTTAAAAGCTTTTTGATTCTTGTAATAACACTTAGCTTAAAACACAAACACATTGTACAGCTGTACAAAAATATTTTTTCTTTATATCCTCATTCTAAAAGCTTTTTCCTATTTTTGAAATTTTTAATTTGTTTAACTTCTTTTTTTTTTTTTTCGAGACAGGGTCTCATTCGTCACCCAGGCTGGAGTGCAGAGGCATTATCATAGCTCATTGCAGCTTAAACTCCTGGGATCAACTGATCCTCCTGCCTCAGCCTCCCAAACAGGTGGAACTATAGGCATTTTTTTATCTTTAAACTTTTTTGTTAAAAATGAAAACTCAGCACGCACAGTAGTCTAGGCCTACGCAGGGCTGGAATAATCAATATCAGTCTTCTGCCTCCACATCTTGTTCCACTGGAAAGTCTTCAGGGGAAATAACACTCATGGAGATGTCGTCTTCTGTGATAACAATGCCTTCTTCTGGAATACTCCTGCAGGACCTACCCGAGGCTGTTTTACAGTTAACTTTTTATATTTTTAATAAGTAGAAGGAGTATCTCTAAAGTATTCATAAACCAGTAACATACATTATCATCAAGTACATAATTGCATGTGCTATACTTTTACATGACTGGCAGCACAGTAGGTTTGTTTACACCTGCATCACCACAAACATGGGAGTAATGTGTTGTGCTATGAAGTCACCAGGTGATAGGAATTTTTCTGTTCCATTATAATTTTATGGGACTGTTGTCATACATGCAGTCTGTTGTTGACTGAAACATTGTTTTTTGGCCCATGACTGTTTATTATTAAACCATTGATACTGTTCCACTGGTCCCTGGGGCTCCCTATTTATATTTTTTACATCTTTATTCCTCTCTATGCTTCAGTTTGGGTAATTTCTATTGATCTGTCTTAAAATTCAAGGATCTTTTCTTTTCTTGTGTCCTGTCTGCAGTTAATCCAATCCAGTGAGTTTTTGATTTAGAGTATTGTGTTTTCTAGTTCTAAGATTTCCATTTGATTTTTTTCCTAAAGTTTCCAGATTGTTCCTAAAATTCCCTGTCTATTTTTCCATTATATCTGTCATTTCCTCTAGACTCTTTAACATATTTATCATAGTTATTTTAAAGTTCCTGCCTGCTACACTAGTCACAATAGCAAAGACTTGGAACCAACCCATATGTCCAACAATGATAGACTGGATTAAGAAAATGTGGCACATATACACCATGGAATACTATGCAGCCATAAAAAATGATGAGTTCTTGTCCTTTGTAGGGACATGGATGAAACTGGAAATCATCATTCTCAGTAAACTATCGCAAGGACAAAAAACCAAACACCGCATGTTCTCACTCATAGATGGGAATTGAACAATGAGAACACATGGACACAGGAAGGGGAACATCACACTCTGGGGACTGGTGTGGGGTGGGGGGAGTGGGGAGGGATAGCATTAGGAGATATACGTAATGCTAAATGACGAGTTAATGGGTGCAGCACACCAGCATGGCACATGTATACATACGTAACTAACCTGCACATTGTGCACATGTACCCTAAAACTTAAAGTATAATAAAAAAAAAATTCCTGCCTGCTAATTGCAATACTGGGGCCATTTCTGTGTCTGTTTATATTAAGTGATAATTCTCTTGGTATAGATCAAATTTTTCTATTTCTTTGCATGAAATTTTTTTTTACTGTGTATTAGACATTGGTGGAAGATATGTTGAAGAGACTCTTAATTCTGTTGTTTCTTTATAATAAAGGTTAAGTTTGGTTCTAGAATGTGGTTAGATTATTGGTGGTTCATTTTGAACTATAGAAGTCTTGATTTTTAAACTACATTAGGGAAGGTCTATTTCAGCATTTTTCTTAGCCCTAGGCTGAATATTTTAGTCCTGAGACACAGTGTTTACTGTGAAGGCTTGTCCCTTATGAAGTTCCAGTAGAAACCCAGGTGTTTACCCAGCCCCTCCAACTCGTTAGAATTCAGACAGCAAACTCTCTCCCGTGTGGTGTGTGGTAACTGAAATTTCTGCTCAGGTGTTTGAGCTTTCCAGCTGTCGTTTTGTCTCTGGGCTCCTTGTAGGCTCTCCTATAGATGTATAATTAAGGGATCAACCAAAGAGTTCAGAGGAGTTTATTTGCAGATTTAGGGGCTTCTTGTTTCTGACTTCCTCTTTTCTGACATTTTCCCTTTAGTTTCCAGCTATTCTAGCAGTTCCAAACTGTCTGCTGAGTCCTCAGGCAGATACAACTACAGTTTTCTGCTTGAGTTCTGGCTGTCCAGTGCCATACAGACGGCCCTCATGGGAAAAGCCATTTAAACATGAATCTTGTCCATTATGGTTCCTTTTTTCAAGGATCAAATAATCTAGACTTTATTCTTGATTTTGGTCTTCTTCCAGTGCTTTTGAACAGTTGGCTTTAAATATTTCGTTAATTGTTTATAATCATCATCTGCAGGAAGGTTAGTCCAATACAAGCCACTGTGCCGTAACTACAGCCAGAACCTCATCAAAAGTTTCTAAGCTGAGGAGTCACAAGAGTAGACGTAGGCTTTAAGAAGGTCATTCTGGCAGATGTGTGGTAACCTGTAGCAGGGGAGCAAGAATGAAGGTAGGAAGACAAAATAAGACTATTACCAGAGTCCCTGGTAGATGATGGTTATTTAGACTCAATGATGAAAGAGGAGACTGGTCATGACAAGCAATGGATGAGTTTGAGATACATTTTTGGCAAGATTTGGTGATAAGCAGGGGATGAGAAAAAAGGGGAAGTCAAGGATAACTCTCAGATTTCTTGTTTGAAAGACTGGGTGATTAACGCCACTTACCAAAATAGGGAATACCAGAGAAAGATGAGATTTGGGACAAAAATCAAATTTCCTTTTGGATGCAAGTCTCAAGATGACAATAGAATAATTGTCCAGTAAACAATTGAATTTGTAAGTCTGAAGCTCAGGGAAAAGGTCTCATTTAATAGGACTGGCTGCTACAACTTGAGTGAGATGTGCACATGCAGAGTGAAGGAATGCTACCTAGGGGACTGAGAACTGACAAAAGCTGGTTGGAGTTGGATGTTGACTTTCCGAATTCTAGGTGAAACTACTGGATGAGAGAGATGAGAGGCCAGCAAAATCAGCCTACTTACAATTGGGATGTTTTAAGGAGGTTAACTATGGCTGCTTTTTCCCCCTCTGGATGCAGGGTTACAAGGAAGAAAATAACACAGGTGAATGTTGTGGGAGATGTTTGCCTACGGCTTGCACCATTCAGCTAAGAGGAGGACAGATCATGACACTGAAGGTAGGAGCAAGCTGAATGCAGGGCTCCCTCACATATCACCATCTTGCTTCCTTTTTTGGAAATTTTTCTTCAAGGAAGAGGGGCTAAGTTTGGTTCAGTATTGGCTTCTTTTTCTATTTCTTTCTGATTATATAAAGAAAAGATAGATGACTTATTGCAGGCACAGAATTTTCTCTTTTATTTAGTTATTTTGTTGCTCTTCTTGACAAGAGTGTACTTGGTGTAGGGCCTCACAATTTGGAGTTGATTGATCTTTTTTTTTTCTTTCTTGAGATGGAGTCTTGCTCTGTTGCCAGGCTGGAGTGCAATGTCACGATCTCGGCTCACTGCAACCTCCGCCTCCTGGGTTCAAGCGATTTCCCTGTCTCAGCCTCCCGAGTAGCTGGGACTGCAGGCACGTGCCACCACACCCAGCTAATTTTTGTAGTTTTAGTAGAGATGGGATTTCATCATGTTGGCCAGGATGGTCTCGATCTCTTGACCTCGTGATCCGCCCACCTCGGCCTCCCAAAGTGCTGGGATTACAGGTGTGAGCCACCGTGCCTGGCCTGGAGGTGGTTGATCTTTAAGATTTTCTCTACCCTTGGGCGTCTGTAAGACTGGACAGGCCATCAGCGTGAAACAAACTCTGGTCTATGAAGTCCGGACTAGCTGGTGGGGCTGGGAGGTAGTTCCCTTCGTTCATCTCTAGTTCAGTTATCAGCTAGCCAGTTTACTGTTGCTATATCTCAATCCTTCAAGCATTTAACTGGTCGGAAGAGTCTACATAGCAGCCCTGTTCATAGGATACAAGCTGTAAAACTGGGACTCCACTTCTGGTCTGTGTTCTGGGTGTGGGGGCTTTATTATACACTGTCTTCTTGTTTCATGGTTCTGCAGATTGTTTCGTCATCTCCATGGAGTCAAGCTCATGGTTTGAAGTGGCTTTGTGAACCAAACACTGTCTCTGACTTTACCCACTCCTCTTTCCTTCCAGCGTGATGAGACGCTCCAGGATGGCTGTGATACTCACTTCTGCAAGGTCAATGAGAGAGGAGAGTACTTCTGGGAGAAGAGGGTCACAGGCTGCCCACCCTTTGATGAACACAAGTGTCTGGCTGAGGGAGTGAGTACTCATTCTGCTTTCCTCTTTACTGTCTCAATCTCTAAGAACAAGATTCTTCTGAATAGTGTGCATCCCAGCTCCGGCATAATTTCTCAGTGTCTGAGGCACATCTCTGGCCTAGTTGAAGAATCAGTGAGATTACGAAATCAAAGCCTACGGAGAGATAAAATTCTCTGCAATATAGGATGTTTTAAAAAAATATTTTCCTTAAGGGAGGCTGAGTGTGTGATTCTTGAATAAAATGTGAGATCAAACTGATTTTTAGTCTCCCTGGGAATGAAGATCCTGATGACTCAACTGGAAGAGAATTCAGAATCATCAAAATTGTTTCAGCCTGGTCAGGTAGGGTGGTCAAGCTGCTCACATTTATGATAGGAAAGCATAGTTTACATCTGGGCACTTAAGCACAGGGCTGTGAGTTCGGAGCTAAAAATTGGCCCGGAGTGACCTGAAAGCTGTCTACTCTGTACTGTTTGTGCCTAACCTGAAATTTTGCTGTTTTCTTAGGGTAAAATTATGAAAATTCCAGGCACCTGCTGTGACACATGTGAGTGCGTTACTAATATCTTGTCCCTTGAAACCCATCAGAGCAAGTCCAGGGGCTCTTTGCAGCTTGCTCCTTGAAACCCATTAGCAAGCCGCATGACTGTTCTTTGGAGTAAGCTTTATTTCAGAAAGATATTTCGTGACCACTGGTCAGTCATTATGTTCAGTCTTGCAGGGAGCAGCCTCCCCTCCTTGGATGTCATCAGACTGCCCTCTTGAACTCCCTTTTAGATCCCATGGAGCAATCTCTTTCCCCTTTTCCTGCAAACTCCCTCCTGTCTCCAGCTTCTTATGTGCCTTTTCCCTCATAGGATCTTTGATTGCTCATAGTCCTATCCTGGGACGATATGTTCCCTCTCTAACCAAAGCTTCTTGAAGACAGGCACCTTGGATCTATGATCCTGACAGAGTAGACTCTCAACACATATCTATTCATGAGTGTGCTAAAGCTATCTCAAAGAGAAAGCGAAGCCACCAGCTGGCTGACAACAGCCCACATGTGCTGTGGGGGCTGGTCTAAGTTTATCACCCCCTCTTCTTCACTCTGAGCTCCTCTTTACCTCGTAGTTATGTCCTACTGATTGGTTCTCATTGCTCACAGCAGCAGCTTTGGAGACGAGACACAAATCTGCACATCAGACAGTGTTCTTCCCATACATGCTTGTGTTTGTGAGCACAAATAACTTTCAGGATCCCAATGCTAATGCCATAATTTCTGAATATAGAATTACTTGCCTGGACTAAGATTTTTTGTTTTAGATTAGGGTATTTCTTTTCTGCCCTGGGTTCACAGGTCCATGCTTGTTTACAGATAGAGAAAGGAAGAGTGAAAACATGAATACTTTCAGTGTTCAATCATTCATTCTTGACAGCCCCTGCAATTGCTGTAACCAAATCTCAGATCGAGGAAGCACTCTGAAAGCATGTCTTTCTATGATTCCCATTTGAATGGTTTAAGAATGTGAAGTCAGGAAACCATCAGAGAAGAAGAATTCTCTCTAGGCACACTGCACGTGGAATTTGATTAGGAGACTGTTACCTACAAAACCACCACAAAGGGTCTTTGTTGGTCAACTCATTCAAGAGGCTTCGAGATCTTTAATAAGGACAATAAGCCAGGCTCAGGGCCTTAAATCCACAGCAACATAGTATAGTATGCTGGTCTAAATGTTTTTTTTTTTTAATTCATCCTCTTAATGTAATTGGCAGGCTTTCCCTTTACAATGAAATTATCTAGAAATTAGGAGGCAGACTAATATGTAGTTAGGGTTGATTTAGATTTCGAGCCATCTAAGGACAGAAAACTCCCAGTGTTCAGACTGGAATGGTGAGCTGGGATTAAATTTTTGAATTCCCAGTGGGCCAAGTAGAGATTCAGATCTGAATGCCACTAACCCCTGTGTGAAAGGAAACCCCCATGTCAGCAACCTGGAGTCAGCAGTACCCGAAGAGAGGCCTTCACAAAGGTGCCTAGGGATCTTCTCGGTCCCCAGAGAGGCAGGGTATGCCCTTACATCACCATGACTTCGCCTTTCCTCTTACCCCAAGGCAGGAATGAAGAGATAGTAATTATACTTATTGACTACTTCATTGCCCATTAGCTTCTGAATGTAGTTACAAGCACAAGAGGGTTGCTTTAGCCATGTGGTTTTTAGAGTCTACAATGATACAAAGGCAAGTCTTCCTCATTTTACATCACCATAGCACAGTGAATTTAGGCTCTTCCTGCAATTAAAATTGTACCATTAAGTGAGTTAAGTCCAGCAATAACTATATCTCTGCATATTTCGGGCCAGGAACAGCTGAGGTGAACCAGGATAACTGAATTCCCTCCCTGTGGCTGGCTTTATTTGGTTACTGTGAAAGGGACCTATTTCCAGCCCAGTGAGGGCACTGGGGCTGAAGAGTGTTCTCTAGAACCCCAGCCAGTCCTCAAGTTTCATCTCTCACCTGTCCTGTAGGTGAGGAGCCTGAGTGCAACGACATCACTGCCAGGCTGCAGTATGTCAAGGTGGGAAGCTGTAAGTCTGAAGTAGAGGTGGATATCCACTACTGCCAGGTAAGGGCTCTGCTTCAATAAGGGCTGGGTGTGGAGGGCTGAGCCTCCGTGTTCGGATACCTATCCTTAGTTACATTCTAGAAGGATCTGGAAAATTCGCAGGGAAGAGAAGGGAAATAAACTGGAAGCATTTTTTTTTAAGCAAATGTTTTATTGAAGTAACTGGAAATTTTTGACTCCAGGAAAAAAACAAAAATGGAGGAAAGACTCAGCAAATCCTTTACAGAAAATGGAGAGTTATTTATGCAAGATGGGGGCCACAATTCTTGAAGATCAGTCAAACATATATAAAATTTTCCTGCATAAAACATGCATAATCAGGCATAAAACATTTTATGCATTAACATGCATAAAAATTGCAGCTAGAGGGGTGTGGGTATGATATTATTACCATAGAGAAGAGGACATGTCAGACCTATGATCTTCCTTTACAAATTGCCTAGCTGTCCTGGGTGCTTCTGGGTGAGATCAGACCTGCCTTGCTTGGAGGGGGTCAGGGAGAAAGCAGGCTGCCCCAGAGCCCTGCCTAAGCCAGGACTTCCCACCATTGTGAAGCTCCCATCTTCCTCTGCTTTCTTGCAGGGCAAATGTGCCAGCAAAGCCATGTACTCCATTGACATCAACGATGTGCAGGACCAGTGCTCCTGCTGCTCTCCGACACGGACGGAGCCCATGCAGGTGGCCCTGCACTGCACCAATGGCTCTGTTGTGTACCATGAGGTTCTCAATGCCATGGAGTGCAAATGCTCCCCCAGGAAGTGCAGCAAGTGAGGCTGCTGCAGCTGCATGGGTGCCTGCTGCTGCCTGCCTTGGCCTGATGGCCAGGCCAGAGTGCTGCCAGTCCTCTGCATGTTCTGCTCTTGTGCCCTTCTGAGCCCACAATAAAGGCTGAGCTCTTATCTTGCAAAAGGCTGCTGGTGCACTGTGTCGTAGGGCTGAGATGGCAACGGTGGGCAGGGGCTGAGTTCTGAGACCGGTTCTGAGGAAGGAAGCACAGGCCCCATCTGCAAGCCTCAGTGTCAGTGTGAGATACTGCCAACTTCTGGGGAAGAGTGATGTCTTTGCCTCCAGGGGTGGGAAAGGCATAGCATGGGGTAGGCCTCTTCTGAAACTCAGCACAAAGTAAAAGGGATTTTCCCAGCAACACTGGATTCTCCAGTCTCTGAATGGAGGGGCTTCTGAACATAGCAGAGGGGTGGGTCCTGGAGCCAGGCTCCTGCTGAGATAGATACTATTGTTGTCACATGGCTGGCAGTGTGGAGAAGGTGTCTGACCAGGTGTGCAAGGATTTCTCTGAGCCCGTGGCTCACAGGGTTCCTGTGTACCCATAGTGGCCCCTGTGGGAGGGAGAGGTGCTGACGACTGATGGGGACCTGGAAACAGGGTGCTGGCAGGTGCAGTAGTGTGGTCACCCAACTCAGCCTGAGGCCATGAGCCCCAGATTTGGAGGCAGACCTGGGCTCCACACATGGCCCTCGCTCAGCTGTGTGGCCTCAAACAAGCCCCTTGGTGGTTCTCAGACTCAGTTTCCTCATCTGGAAAACAGGAGTGTTGTTCTCACTCATAAGGTGGTAAGGATAAACAACCTCAGCCTAAAATAGGGCCTGCAAGTCCTTAGGTAACTGTAAATTGCTCTGTAATCATGTAAGAAGTGGCGAGAATAACAATGGGGAGATCAAGGCTTTCGGTAGGGAATAAGAGACTCTAATGTTAACAGCAGAGCATTAGAGATTTCCTTTGTGGTGAGGGCTGGACCGGCTGGGTTTCTATCAGGCTTTATGCTTGATGCCAAGGTCCTACATACTCCAGACATCCTTCAGTGGAAGAGGAAGTGGTGTAGATAACACCAAACATCATCCAGTCCCCAAATCACTAACTGGTACTGTCACTTGCAGTTAGAGATGGTCCTTCCTTAAAATGTATGGAAGAATTTTCATGTACATGCTGGCAAGATGGTGGGGACTCTTGCTGGGGAGAATACCCATGAGAAAGAAGGGGATGTCCTGGATTACAAGAATTTGATGAAGAATTGATTTTCATTCCAAATACTTTTGACACAGGAGAGACTCAGCTCATTGAAAGTACTGGATAATGGAATCAAAAGGGACTTAGACATCATCTAGTCCACTGTCCCTCCTCCACTCCTTTACAAGTGATGAAAGCAGCTCAGAGAATTCAAGTGACTTGCCAAAGGTCATAACTGCTGGGTGGCAGGGCCAGGTTCAGAACCCAGGTGACTTGACACCTGCATAAGAACTCCCAGGCCACCCCATCAGAGCCACACCATCCCTGTTGCTTACACTCCTCCCGTGCTGACATGGGGACCAGTGACTGCTGCACCCTTAAGTTCCCACCACTTCTGTTACTGCCTGAGCTTAACCTTAAGAGAAGCCACATTACAGGAAAATGGCATAGATTATGCTGAGTAGGCTTGGTGGGGAGTTTAGTGGGGCAGAAGGAAGGAAGAATGGATAGAAGTTTTATGTAACTACTCAGTAATTCAAAGGTTACTGTCTCTCCATCCATCACCCCACTCCCAACTTTGGGTAGCCTCTAAGGTCTCTCTTGGTAGGAAACCAGATCCAGGGACAGGGAATTAACTGTCACTCTTCTGACTGATCGCCTAACACTCTAGCTGGGGACAAGGTGTTATTGGAGGCATCAGCTCTGGAGAAATTCAGCAGGAAGGCTAGGCTACCACTGCAGCATAGGTGGTTGATTTTCCAACTGCCTGTGTCTTGCTAGCTTGAACTTCTCATGTTTACTGATATGTCATTTTACCGTCAAGAAAAAAGCTGAATCGGAAAACTGCATGTTTTGATTATTTTAAAAAAACCCAAAACGATGGAAGAGAGCTGGGTAAAAAGGATGCAAGAAGAGAAACTTGTGGGGCTAGTGTGTGCGGAGCGGTGTCTCGGCAGTCTTCTTTTATTTACAGGTATTCCAAAGGCACTATCTGTACCTGGTTTCAGGGACCCTCTTTTTTACTCACCCTCAGACCAGGCAAGACAGAGTGCCCCAAAGTGGATGTTTTAAGGGGAGTCTCAAGGAAGGAGTATATAGACACTAAGAAACTGCTGGAGGGAAAGAAGAAAGGGAATGAATGAAAGAGCAATGGTGACCATTTTTCAATCGTTTGGGGATTGAAAAGACATGATAACGGTCCCTGGAAGTAGACAGGGAGAAAGGGGTTGTTAGGGACAGAAAGGAGCAGAATAGCAGAGTGTTATGCCACAGACTCCAGGGCAGGCTGCCTGCTTTGGAATCCTAGGATCCTCTTAGAGGCAAGTTACTTGCCATTTAACACTGCAGTTCTCTCATCTGTAAAATGGGCACACTGCAGTGATTGCCTCATATACTTATTGTTAGGATTAAAATAACTACCATAGGGAAAGCACTGAGAAGGGTGTTGGGTGGAGAGGAAGTCCTGTAGAAGCATTAGCTGGTAGTACTTGCAGTGGATGGAATAAAGGCCTGGGTTGGGACATCACATCTTGTGGTTTTCCTTCTGCTCTGCCCTCGACTGTGGTGTCACTTACTCCCCTTTGCTTCCCCAGGCTCCTTCTCTATAAAGTGGGATCTATCATGACCAGCCTACCTTATCAATATAGGAGAGAAAATCTTCATGCCTGAAGGTCAGTGATCACAAATGGCATACTTGACCTTAACATAGTACTTCTTCATTTTGGGGGTCCATGGTATTAATGAACTTGTTTTACTTCTGTGCATCTTGGAGTTGCAGATTCCATCGTGCAGAAGGGCCCTTTGGAGGTCTTCCCTCCCATCCCCCTGCCCAGGTCCGTGAACTGTCCCGGGGAGATGGCACTCCTCTTCCCCTCTGGGGATGGAGCTTCCATCATCTACTCCCTCAACCTTCCTTAACCCTCCTAGCGTCTCATGGGAGAGCTCTTGTAAAATGGACCCCTCCTCCTGCCTCTGGCAGCCCCTCCTGTTTTGCGGTCCCTTGTGCACTTACTACCTGCCTCTTCTCCCTTTTGTTCTGCTTAACCTAGGGGAAGGTGAGGACAGCTGGTCTCCACCTAGTATGGAGACAGGTGTGGGAGATCCGCCGTCCAGGGGCTCGCCCCCACTCCCGCCCCAGGGCTAACTCTTGGGCAGTGGATGACCCTTTGGGGCGGCGGGAAGAAGGTTTTGCTGGCAGGATTGGAAACTAATCAGCCAGACAGTTCATGAGATAATCCGACTGAATTTTTACACTCGAAGCAGGTTGTGGGGCGTTGCCCCGGCTCTGGGGGAGCAGGGAGCGTTTACTGTCTCGCCCCTCAGCCCCACGGACCCGAGTGTGTCCTGGACTCAACCCGGCCGCGGGACCGCGCTCCATTCTCGACGCCCCGCTCCCAGCACCCGGGCGCCCAGGGCGCAGCGGGGAGAGCTGGGCTGTGGCTGCGCGGCGCCGGCGGCCGGGAGGGATGGGGGAGGAGGAGGCGGCAGCCGGCGAGGGGCGGGCGCGCCGGGACGGAGCTGAGCCGCGATGGAATTAGCCCCGCGGCGGCATAAGCCTGCCCAGAAGCGCGCGGCCGCGGGCCGGCGGGGTCTGCGTCCACATCATGGCGACTCCCGGGCCGCGCGGTGAGTTTTCCGGCTGGACCTGGTCCTGGTCTCCTACAGGTGGTAGGAGGGAGGGAGTGAAGGAGGCGGCATCCGAACTCCCACCCTTCGGGATTGGGGACCCCCAAGGGAGCCTGGGCAGGGTGGTGCGGGAAGTTGACCCCGTTTTTCCAGGGTAGGGACTCTGAGGGACGTCTATGTAATTTCCGAGACGTTTTTTGTTTTTTGTTTTGTTTTGTTTTTTTTTTAACTCAAGGAGAGGGAAGGTAGGACAACAGAGGTTTGGGCGGCCGCTTCTCTGTGATTGGTTACCAATCCCCACCTCTGTGATGTTGCCTCTCCTTGTTACAAGTCCTGGGGACGTTTAGCCTACAGCATCTGAAGGTAAGTAAACAATAAGTAAACAACCAGCCGGACTGGGTTTAACTCAGCAACGGTCCGCTGAGGACAGAGCAAATTTGACTTTGGCATCCCTGGAGTGGCCTCTCAGTTTCAGAAGTTTTTTCCAGTGTCTTACCCAAAACCGCATTCAGGAAGGGTTCCAAGATCAGGCATTTACACCCCAGGCTGCAGGGAAACACAGCTATACCTTCCCGAGGGACTTTTCTTAGAAGAAAAGCAAATTGAGGTGGAGTATGGAGAAGAAAGACGTTATTTTATTGCTTTTGGGCAGGACTGACTTTGCCTGGGACAGGGACTTTGTCGGCTGTTGTGTTTCTGGTAATTCTTGAGACAGGCATGAAGAGGGAGGTGCCCGCTCCTTTGGCATGAACAATGAGCTGAGTGCACTGGGAGGTGGTGTCAGTCACAGTCCTGATACTTTGTGAGCAGATGTGGAGAAATACCACCCCGGGACCATGTGGAACCTCGTCTGGGACAGAAGGTCCCACTGAGCAAGGTCGGGTCTCAGCCCAAAGGCAGGTGGCAGGTGGAGGGAGGATCTTAGACAAGGTGAAGGTGCTTCCAGAGGACTGTGGTCCTCTTGGCCCTCCACCTGCCGAGCCTTTGTCCTTGGAACCTGGCATCAGAGCCCCTGCCCAGTCTCTCTGTCACCCTGGCTCAGCTGCTGGGCATCCAGGGCTCATTTGCTCCTCTCAGTGTGTCTTAACGTGCACCCGTCATTTCCGGAGCCAAGCACCTGATTCGATCCTTTCCAGCAACTGCTTCTGCTGTCTGAGTTGCCTCTATGTGGGTACCAGAGCCACTCTGCTGGTTGACTGTAGAGACTGTGTGAGGGGTAAGGGTGGGATCCAAACACACACCTCAAGTTCTAGTCCAGTTTCCAGGTGTGCCATCTCTTCATCTTCCATTGTGGGGCAAGGCTGCAGGGTGAGAGGCATTTGGGCCTACTGGGGAGTGTGTCTATAATTTTCTGTAACAAAGACCTAATTTTCTGGAAAGCTACCCATTCTGTGGGCTGAGAGAAGCCCATCCCACCCTATGTATGACGTTGCTAGAGCACATGCATAGCAGGTATTTGGCTGCTAGGGACGGTGTTATTGTCTCTAGTACACGGTATAATCCATCTGTATTGTTTAAAAATTGTTTTAAAAATGTCAGTAGTTTTTAGGGTACGGGGTTTTGCTTTTGGTTACATGGGTAAGTTCTTTGGTGGTGAATTCTGAGATTTTAGTGCCTCCTCACCCGAGCAGTGTACATTGTACCCAGTATGTAATCTTTTATCCCTTATCCCTCCTCCCACCCTTACCCGCTGAGTCCCCAAAGTCCATGATATCATTCTTATGTCTTTGCATCCTCATAGCATAACTCCCACTTATGAATGAGAACATATGATATTTAGTTACCCATTCCTGAGTTACTTCACTTACAATAATGGCCTCTAGCTCCATCCAATTTGCTGCAAAAGACTTATTTTGTTTCTTTTCATGGCCGAGTAGTATTACACACACACACACACACACACACACACACACACACAAACACACACTCAAACACAGACATCCCACATTTTCTTTATTCACTTTTTAGTTAATGGGCATTTAAGTTGGTTCCCTATCTTTGCAATTGTGAATTGAGCTGCTATAAACATACATGTGCATGTGTCTTTTTTATATAATGACTTCATTTTCTTTAGGTAGATGCCCAGTAGTGGGATTGCTGGATCTAATGGTGTTCTACTTTTAGTTCTTTAAAGACTCTCCATACTGTTTTTCTATAGTGGTTGTACTAGTTTACATTCTCAGCAGCAGTGTTAAAGTGTTCCCTTTTCATCACATCCATGCCGACATCTAGTAAAATTTTTGACTTCTTAGTTATAGCCATTCTTGCAGCAGTAAGGTGGGTTATCTCATTGTGGTTTTAATTTGCATTTCCCTGATGATTAGTGATGCTGAACATTTTTTCATATGTTTGTTGGCTATTTATATATCTTCTTTTGAGAAACGTCTATTCTCCATCACTATTCGTAACTAAGTGGTTAGCGAAGGCCTCTCTTAGGAGATGAATTTGAACAGAGATTGCATTAAATGAAGGAACAAGCCATGCAGATATCTGGAGGATTGTCTAGCAAAGGAAGTAAAGGCAAAAGAACCCATGGCAAGGAGATGCTTGGGCTGTGGAGCTTCCCCTGTGGGGAAGCTAAGGGCTGCAGCAGAGGGATCAAGAGGGAGAGAGGTAAGAGCCAGCCAGGTTGTGTGCGGTCTTGTGGCTCAGGCCACGTGTTCCTGGCATTCAAAGGGAAAGGGAAGACAGTAAGTAACATGGCTGTCATTATGTAATGAAAGGAGACTGGTTTATCTACACTAAAATATCACGAGTTCATGGTGATATTGATGTAAGACATTGCCCAACATAACGAGCTGTATTTTCATTAGTAGGTTTTTAAAATGAGTATTATTTATCACGTGGGCATTTATCATATTATTTTTAATTTTAAAAGAGGAACGTTTTTGCCTTATTCTTTTCTGGTCCATTCTACCCCATTACACTTTAAAAAATGCTATTTGAAAACCATGAAATTTATATCATAACTAATTAATAGGTTAAACCTGTTATCCTAAAAGTAGTGACTTAGTCATAGGGAACAGTCAATGGCTAGTAGTCTATTTGGAGCAGTGACACTGAGTCTCTTTTTCCTTCTCTGTGTAAGAAAGGGATACGCGGCACTCCATCAGGAAGTTCTTAGGAAGAATTCTTAATCGCATTTCCATTTGTTATCCTTTCCCTTCAGCCTGCAGAACATCCTGTAGCATTGTTAGAGGTGCAGTTCTGCTGGTGACATTCTCTCAACTTGTGTTTTTATGAAAAATGTCTTTATTTCATCCTTATTTTTGAAGGATACTTCATTGGATATAGATGAATGGTTTGATAGCTTTTTTTCCACCCCCAGCCCCAGCCCTCTGGGTATCACTCTTTTGGTCTCCATTGTTTTGACGAGAAGCTAGCCTAAATTCATATTTAAATATTCTTCATTATCTTATTAATGTATAATCTCTTTTGAATTTGGTAGTGTTCAAGATTTGATATTCAGTTTTGGTTTTCAGTATTTTGACTCTGATGTATCTAGGTGTGGTTTTCTTTTTTTTTTTAACTTGAGTTTGCTGGACTTCTTAAATCTGTTATTACAAGTTATTGTATTTTATCAAATTTTGAGACAATTTCAGCCACTATTTATTCAACTATTTTTATTTTATTTTTTTTCTTCTTCAACTATTTTTGATCTGCTTTTCTTTTCTTCTTTTTGTGGAACTCCAGTCACATGAACGTTAGCTTGTTTGGTATCGCCCTACTAGTTTCTGAGGTGCTGTTAAATTTTTCCAATCTTTATCCTCTGCTCTCTAGATTTGATTACTTTTGTTGGATCCATCTTTAACTTCACTGATCCTTTCTCTGCCGTCTCCAGTTTGCTGTTAATCCCACCCAATGGATTTTTCTTTTCCATAATTGTAATTTTTAATTCTAGGAATTCCATTGAAAAACAGCTTTATTGAGATACAATTCACATACCATAAAATGTACCCTTTAAAGGTGTCCAGTTCAGTGGCTGTTGGTATATTCACAGAGTTGTTCAACCATCACCGCAATCTAGTTTAAAGCATTTGCATCATCCTAAAGAGAAACTTCACACTCAATGGCAGTTGCTCATTTTTCCTCCCTCCCCCTAGCCCTTGGCAACCGCGAATCCACTTTCTGTCTCCATGGATATGCCTATTCTACACATTTTATGTAAATGGAACCATACAATGTGTGGCATTTTGTGTCTGTGTTCTTTCACTTAGCATAATGCTTTCAAGGTTAATGTGTATTGTTACACATATCGGTACTTCATTCTTTTTTATAGCTGAAATCTATTTCCTTGGGTGGATAGGCTACATTTTGTTTATCCATTTGCCAGTTCATGGGCATTTGTGTGTCCTAGTTTTTGTTACTATAAATGATACTGCTATGAACTTTCAAGTACAAGTCTTTGTGTGTACATGTTTTTTAGTTCTCTTGGTCATATACCTAGGAGAAGAATTGCTGGGTCATATGTTTAACTTTGATTGTCAGACTATTTTCCAAAGTGGCTGTACCATTTTACATTCCCACCAGCAATTTATGAGGGTTCTGATTTCTCCACAAACTCACCAGCAGTTGTTATTATTCATCTTTTTATTATAGCCATCCTCATGGACGTGAAGTAGTGTGTTACTGTGGTTTTGCCTGAACCTAGGAGCAAGACAAGCCTGTCACTGGAGAAGGAAAAGCTCCTCTGCCTGCAAATCCCCAAGCATGCTTAGGCTTCCTGGTCTTAGAAGTGTGTGCCTCAATGATGGGGAGGACCCTCCACTTGGACGGCTTCTGTGTGGCTCTTCGACTTCTAAAACATACGTTAGAGAACTGATGATAATACCAGTTTAAGAATCAGAGGGTGCAGGAATGGGTTCTATACAATCTATCTAAATTCAAATGCTAAATTTTGCTAAATGTAGTTAACTTGTGCCTAAATGATTTGATCCAGTTTATAGGTGTACTGGAGGCATGCCCACCTTCCATATCAAACGGGAAGGCAAGCATCTTTCTCTAAATTGACAACATCGATATGTGGCATTCCAGGAGGAGCCTCAAGAAGCAACAGAATCTGTTGGCCAACTACTGTCACACAAGCTCACCATCCATCCATC
Organism: Homo sapiens; assembly: GCF_000001405.40. NCBI lineage: Eukaryota > Metazoa > Chordata > Mammalia > Primates > Hominidae > Homo > Homo sapiens. Next base: position 5,940,093 of record NC_000012.12, on the reverse strand, counting down.
TATCCATCCATCCATCCATCCATCCATCCATTGATTTAAAAACCATTTAATAAGCATTTACCATATCCCTGCCTTGTCCTGGGTGCTGAACTGGATCTGAGAGCCTACTTGGGGAGATAAATGTGGAAATGTATAACTTTAACACAATATAAGGTGTGAACATGCTACACCAAGCTTTTCATTTTTGGTAGGCCTCTGTGACAGAGACTACTAGCTGCTTACCAAAATCCATGTTCTCCTCTTCTTCCTGAACACACAGCTCGACCTTATTTCCTAGCCTCCCTTACAGTTAGTTATGACACTGAATTTTAGCCAAAGGAATCTGAACAGTGACATGTGCTACTTCTGGCCCTGGCCCCTGGAAGCCTTCCATGCCTGTTCTTCCATGCGCTTTCTACCTTTCGGAAAACAGGAATGGCATTACTGTGACTCATATAGTATCCTTCACCATCGGTGTGGATAATAATAAATTACTTATAAGAGCGTTAACCCAGTCCACTGAGTGACTGTTCATGTCAAATCTCCATATTTCTAAGCCTTGCTCAACAGAGCCTTTCCCAAATTTCCACCAACCTAACAGATTTAACCCACCTCACACTTCTGCATACCACAGGTGGGGAGAGATACTCAAAGGCAGGGATGGAGGATGGATCTAACTCATCTTTGATCCTTACTGCAGCCTGACACACGGTAGGTGCTCAATGAGTGGGTGTTTCATTGAGCAGGTGCTCAAATTGAAATGTTGAAAAGAAGAGCAGGGAGAAACTTCTAGGCAAAGTCATCTCTTCTGTGCTTTGTGGTTTAGAATTCTGGAGCTTTTGATTATGTTGAATCAAGTGTTCTTGAGGAAACACAAAGTTTTTTTTTTTTTTTTTTTTTTGTTGGAGTCTTGCTCTGTCACTAGGCTGGAGTGCAGTGGTGCCATCTCAGCTCACTGCAACCTCTGCCTCCCGGGTTCAAACGATTCTCCTGTCTCAGCCTCCCGAGTAGCTGGGACTACAGGCGCGCACCACTACGCCCAGCTAATTTTTGTATTTTTAGTAGAGACGGGGTTTTACTCTCTTGGCCAGGATGGTCTTGATCTCTTGACCTCATCATCCGCCTGCCTCGGCCTCTCAAAGTGCTAGGATTACAGGCCTGAGCCACCTTGCCTGGCCACAAAATTATTTTTAAAAAAAAATATTGGCCTTGGTTACAGGTGCTCCTGTGGCCTACCTCAGGACAAGAAAAAAGGTTGGGATCTTAGCTTATCTTGTTTTTTTCTTTTTGAGACAGAGTTTTGCTCTTGTCGCCCAGGCTGAAGTGCAATGGTGCAATCTTGGCTCACTGCAACCTCTGCCTCCCGGGTTCAAGCAATTCTCCTGCCTCAGCCTCCTGAGTAGCTGGGATTACAGGTGCCTGCCACCACACCCAGCTAATTTTTGTATTTTTTTTCAGTAGAGACGGAGTTTCACCATGTTGGCCAGGCTGGTCTTGAACTCCTGACCTCAGGTAATCCATTTGCTTCGATCTCCCAAAGTGCTGGGATTATAGGCGTGAGCCACCATGCCTGGCCCTTAGCTTATCTTAATAAGTAAATAAAATAGACTGGGTGCAGTGGCTCATGCCTATAATCACAGCACTTTGGGAGGCTGAGGCCATAATGGAATAACTGGTCCTGGGATAGACATTCTGTCATAAATTATAATACTGGAAAAAAATATGTAGATCAGTTATTTTCAGGTACTGAACAAGCACCAGCATAGAAGTACAATCCCTGAAAGAAGAGAAATTTAGCCCTCTGAGTGCAGGCTATTTACCAGGGGTCAGGGATCTGGAGTCCACATGGAGGAAAGGATCCCACTGAACTGAGAAGACAGAGATAAAAATTTGGAGCAGCAAAATGCCTGGAAATGCTTACTAAATGCCTGGAAATTATGGGGAAGAACACAGAGAGGAGGAATGTGTGTGAAAGGAGGTGCCCAGAGGGCTCTTTGGGGACCCTTCGTGAGTCCTTGGCTAAGAGTGAGGCTTCACATGCACAGGGTGAGGCATATGAAGTTTGCCAGAGAGAAGCTGCTGCAGCATTGAGATCAGAACAGAAATGGTAGAAGTCGAACGGTACTGGGAGATGTTGAAAGTCCATCCCAGCCAGAGTGGCAAGACCTCATGAGCATGTCCTAACATTCCAGACATGTAGCTGAGACCCCCAGGGGCTTTGTTTTAGGAGTAAGAAGCACACGGTAGAGAAAAATTTACTCTGGATGGTCCCTGAAGAACACTAAGGCCAAGCCTAGAAAGATCAATAGGGAAGACAAGAGTTTAGAGGCTGAACCCTTCCAGATTAGAGCCTCTTGAGAAACACCTTGGATTTTCCACAGCATACCCTGGCAACAACAGCAAACTCCTACATAAGCTCAAAGTGATCAGCTCATAGTTGAACTTCCTGCTAGAAAGTTAAAAAAAAAAATTCCAACCCCCTCGATAGGAAGATAATGTTTTATCATTCACAATGTCCAGTATACCATAAAACTTACTAGACATGCAAATAAATAGAAATAAGTGATCCATGAAAAAGAGACAAAGGAAACAAAATGAAAAGGCAGCCAATGAAGTGGAAGGAAATATTTGGCAACTGTGTATCAGATAAGAAGTTAATATTCACAATATATAAGGAACTCACACAATCCAATAGCAAAAATACAAATAACCTAATTAAAAAATAGGCAAATGACCTGGATAGACATTTCTCCAAAGAAGACATAAAAGTGGCCAACAGGTATATGAAAAAGTCCTCGACGTCACCAGTCATTAGGGAAATGCAAATCAAAACTACAGTGAGATATCATCGCATACCTGTTAGGATAGCTAATATAAAAAAGTCAGGAGATAACTCTTTTGGAAGGAATGTGGAGAAAAAGGAGCCCTTATACACTGTTGGTGGAATGCAGTTTCATGCAGTCATTGTGGAAAACAGTTTGAAGTTGCTAAAGAAATAAAAAAATGGAACCACCATATGACCCAGAAATTCCTATTCTGGGTATATACTGAAAGAAGTAAAATCACTACCTGGTAAAGGTATCTGCACTGCCATGTTCATTGAAACATTATTCACAGTGGTCAAGATATGGAAACAACCTAAGTGCCTGTCACTTTATGGTATAGAATTTTGGAGCTTTGATGATGTTGCATCCAAGTAAATATTCTATAAAAATAAAATTCTATAAAAATTCTGGAGCTTTGATTATGCTGAATTCAACTAGAGAGTCATGTACAAAGAATGAAGTTGGACCCTTTCCTCACTCATACATAAAAATTAACTCAAAGTGAATCGTAGATGTAAATGTAGTAGTTAAATTGATAAAACTAGAAGACAACATAGAAGTAAATCTTCGCAACCTTGGTTTAGGTGATGTTTTCTTAATGTTACACCAAAACCATAAGCATTCTGTCTCAGTTTGCTCACTCTAACAAAATGCCAGAGACTGGCTTGTTTATAAAGCACAGAAATTTATTTCTTACAGTTCTCCAGGCTGGGAAGTCCAGGATCAAGGTGTCAGCATTCAGTATCTGGTGACAGCTGCTCTCTGCTTCCAAGATGGCACTTTGTTTTTGTGTCCTTACTTGGGGGGAGAAGGGCAAAAAGAGGGTCTAGCCTGTTCCTTTGAGCCCTTTTATAAGGGTACTAACCCATTTGTAAAGGCAGAGCCCTTATGACTTAATCCTTCCCAGAGGGACCCACTTCTTAATTCTGCTGCATTGAGGGTTAAGTTTCAATATGAATTTTGGAAGAGACACCGATAGTCAAACCGTGACACATCAGATAAAAAATAGACAAAATGGACTTCATAAAAATTAAAAATGCTCCAAAAGAGCATTTTTGGTTGCAGGTGCTTCTCTTGACTCCATCAAGAAAATTGAACAGACAACCTACAGAATGGGAGAAAATATTTGTGAGTCATATATCAGACAAAGGACTTATATCTGGAATATAGAAATAACTCTTATAACTCAACAATAAAAAGATGAACCTGATTTTAAAATGAGCAAAAGCTCTGAATAGACATTTCTCCAAAGAAGATATGCAAATTGCTAGTAAGCACGTAAAAAGATGTTCAACATTATTGGTCATTAGGGAAATGTAAATCCACCCAAATAGTGGTGCTTCTTTCTTCTAATATTTCAAGATCTGTGACTAGATCTGTGCTCCCTGTTTTGACTCTGTTAGTGATTCTCTAGACTAATGGTCTCAACCCTGGTTGTACCATAGAATCACCCCAGATAAATTAAGTCCAAATCTGTGGAGGTGAAACCCAGACATCAATATTTTAACCTTCTTGGGTGATTCTAATGAATATCCAAGGTTGAGAACCCCTCTGTGTTCCCATTTGTCTTTTTCCAGTTGCGGAATCCTAATATTTTAAGTCTGGCTTCCCATGACAGGCTCCTTCTCCACACAGAATAGGTCTTGTATGCTTCTGTGCCCCTTCTCCAGAACTTTTTTTCTCCCAGTTTTGTCCTTTGGGATATGGTGGCCATAATTTCACAGATGCTCAAATGAGGACATATCCTGGTTTTGAATAAGAGCGATCTGCATTTGGCTAGACCACAGTAGCCTGGTGGAGGAGAAGTTATGAGAAAATAAAAAATGTATTTCTCAAAATTTTCCCCCACTAGTTATTATGCTATCTCCAGTCACCCTTAAAGTCTGACCCAGTAATGATGGGAGTCCCTAGGTGTGTCTCCAGTGCCTTCATGAACAATCCTCTCGACTTTCACATGGTGTTACCATTGTGGTGGATGTTTGCTATTGAACCTCCTTTTCTCACACTCTGCCCTCAAAGATTATTATGTACCAGGTCATATGCTCAGGGCTTAGGATACAGAGGTGAATAAGATAGGTACTATGCCTATCCTCAAGCAGTGTGCAACTAGCCCATTAAGCTCACTGTCTATACAATATGAATTCACTCATACCAGTTAAAAAAGCTGTAACAGAGGCATTTTCTGAGCACTTTCCTACAGACTATAAATAAATATATTTGGGATATTTTATAAAATTCTCAGGATTGTTCCTATCCCTCATGTCTGCTGCATCCTTCCATAACCCCCAGCATCTCACCCAGTTCCAAAGTCCTCAGTAGCCTGAGAGTGGGAGCTATGATTGGAAGAGCTGTTTTAGGCTTTAACCTCAGTCCCAGTCCATTTTGGGTAGGAGAAACCTATTCCTACTTTGGAGAGATGAGAATAAGAATGATATCTTTAATCTTGGTTACACCCAGGAGGAAGAGATGGGAGATGTTTATGGGTGGTGGAGAATGATGAGGGACACGGAGGGAGCCCATTGAATATACCCAGGATGTCAATGGAAGAGCAAACAGAGCAAATCTGTTGCAAAACAGGTTATAATTAATGAGCCAACAGACCAGTTTTGACCAATTTTATGTTGTACACTGGCTACTTCCTCATGACATGTAAGGAGGGGCATTTATACCTTAATCTCATCAGCCATACTCCAAACCAAAGTGTAGGATGGGCTGCCAATGAGTAGGTTTCATTTAGGCAACTCATCCAAGTCCCAATTTGTAAATTTTGTCATTGAGAGAAGCACTTCCTGAAATGAATTTCTCATTCGATTACATTCTCAATAAGATAATTCTCTCTTATTCTTATTCTCTTGGTCTTAACTGTTAGGATCTTGGGTCTGATCATTGACTATAAATGCTATTTGTAAAAAGACCTTTTTAAAGGGTGAGGGATGTTAAGAATGTCCAGCCAGGAAGGGATTTACCAAGTAATGTTGGCCATTTATCTTCCTTTTGCACAGCATTGCTTAGTGGAGAAAAGTGTGGACTGAGTGTGCTGGTGATCTTGGACAACTTACCTGGCCTCTCTGTGCTTCAGTTTCCTCATCAGTAAAATGGTGACAACAATGGTACCTACCTCAGGGTTATCGTGAAGATTACATAAATTGATACATGTAAAGTGTTTAAAACAGTGTCTGACACATGTAAAGTGTTAGCGATTAGTGTTGTAGTTGTTACTAGTAGGGCAGTTCTATGTTCAGTTCAGCACAGGGGAATCCATCCTGTTTCAAAATTCACTCACAAGAAAGGATTCCTCAGTTCCCTACATCGTTACCTCCAAAAGCTTTTAGAGCTCTTATTGCATCCAGAGTCCTGTGCTAGGAATACAGAGATAAAAAAGGCAAATCTGAACTTCTAGAGGACTTCCTTCAGTGGTTAGGGAAGGCGTGGTATAGGAGTAGGACTTTACCTGGGTATGACTTAGCTTAGTGGAGAGGACATGCCAAACAGAAGTAACAGCCTAGGCAGAGGCACAGAGTGAGCATCAGTCTGGGGACAGGTTTGACTAAAGAGGAATGTTCTTGTCTGATGGAGGGATTTGGCAGCAGAGACATGTAACAGTCAGCTGTGTAAGTCTTTGGATGCCAAGTTGTTTGTAAGCCTCAAGACAGTGGAAGTTTTGAGTAGCAGTGTGACCAGTGAAATAAAATTTTGTGAATTTTATAAAGGGTACGTGTATCAGAAAAACAGTTAGGAATCTGTCCATCCATTTATTCACCTACCCACCTGTCCATCCACCCACCCACCCATCCATTTATCCATCCTTCTCCTGGCACCTCATTTATCCTCACTACAGCCAGGGCCATCTTTCTAATGTAATCTAATTATGTTGTTCTCTTGCTTAAAATCTTTTAACATTATAATAAATTGTGAACCTCGTTAACAGAGTGGAATTTGGGGTGGTTGTATGGTTGGGGAGAGAAGTTTAGAGACAGAAGGGCAAATAAAAAAGCAGATCACCTTCTGGGAGCTGCAGGCAGTTCATTCTCTGGAGTTTCTGTGCATGTGTGGCTGTGTGTGCACAAGAGGAGAGTCACTAGCAGGAGATGACAGTGGGAAGGTTGACAAGAAAGATGGTAAAGGGCCTTGTAGGCCATGTTAAGAAGTGTGCACTATACACCAGATAGGGCCCTTTCTGTGCCCCTCAAATCTCACCACGTAGCTGGCCCCTTGTGGGGACTCCGCAGGCAGAAAATGAGGGTGAGGAGGCTAGCAGTCATTGCTCTCAGGAGGGCCATAATCTCAACCAGCCAGGCCCGAGGCCCATTGCAATGGATCATACAAATCACTGCCTTTCTTCCTGGAGTCTCCTTTCCTCCTTTGCCCATTGGTAGATGCCTAGTTAATTCTTCTAGTTGCATGCAAAAGCCGTGTCCTCTGGGAGCCTCCCTGACAGCTCTAGGGAGAGCTGAGGGCTTCTGCTTCCATGGATCCTTCTTCATACTTTCATGTTGACTCTCCTCCCATTCTGGAGATTATCTCCTTGTTAGTCTTCCTTCCTCACTAGTCTACTTTCCTTCCTCACTGGTCTACTTTCCTTCCTCTCTAGTCTACCTTCCTTCCTTACTCGTCTACCTTCTTTCCTTATTAGTCACTTTCTTACCAGTCTTCCTTCCTTACTAGTCTATCTTCTTTCCTCACTCGTCTACCTTCTTTCCTTATTAGTCACTTTCTTACCAGTCTTCCTTCCTTACTAGTCTACCTTCTTTCCTCACTCGTCTACCTTCTTTCCTTATTAGTCACTTTCTTACCAGTCTTCCTTCCTTACTAGTCTACCTTCTTTCCTCACTCGTCTACCTTCTTTCCTTATTAGTCACTTTCTTACCAGTCTTCCTTCCTTACTAGTCTATCTTCTTTCCTCACTCGTCTGCCTTCTTTCCTTTTTAGTCACTTTGTTACCAGTCTTCCTTCCTTACTAGTCTATCTTCTTTCCTCACTCGTCTGCCTTCTTTCCTTATTAGTCACTTTCTTACCAGTCTTCCTTCCTTACTAGTCTACCTTCTTTCCTCACTCGTCTACCTTCTTTCCTTATTAGTCACTTTCTTACCAGTCTTCCTTCCTTTTCTGTCTTCTTTCCTTACTCGTCTGCCTTCTTTCCTTATTAGTCACTTTCTTACCAGTCTTCCTTCCTTACTAGTCTATCTTCTTTCCTCACTCGTCTACCTTCTTTCCTTATTAGTCACTTTCTTACCAGTCTTCCTTCCTTTTCTGTCTTCTTTCCTCACTCGTCTGCCTTCTTTCCTTATTAGTCACTTTCTTACCAGTCTTCCTTCCTTACTAGTCTATCTTCTTTCCTCACTCGTCTACCTTCTTTCCTTATTAGTCACTTTCTTACCAGTCTTCCTTCCTTACTAGTCTATCTTCTTTCCTCACTCGTCTGCCTTCTTTCCTTATTAGTCACTTTCTTACCAGTCTTCCTTCCTTACTAGTCTATCTTCTTTCCTCACTCGTCTGCCTTCTTTCCTTATTAGTCACTTTCTTACCAGTCTTCCTTCCTTACTAGTCTGTCTTCTTTCCTCACTCGTCTACCTTCTTTCCTTATTAGTCACTTTCTTACCAGTCTTCCTTCCTTACTAGTCTATCTTCTTTCCTCACTCGTCTACCTTCTTTCCTTATTAGTCACTTTCTTACCAGTCTTCCTTCCTTACTAGTCTATCTTCTTTCCTCACTCGTCTGCCTTCTTTCCTTATTAGTCACTTTCTTACCAGTCTTCCTTCCTTACTAGTCTGTCTTCTTTCCTCACTCGTCTGCCTTCTTTCCTTATAGGCCTTCCTTCCTTGTGATTACCCAGGGCTTGATGGAAGGAGCCACATTCTGTTTAGCTTTAATTCCCAATGTTTTATACAATACGTGGGAAGTTAAATGGGTCTGCAATGAATGAACAGAGATGTGAAATACTGCACGTATATCATCCCCACCCCAACCTCCCAAAGAATGGTCATTTGCTGTGCTTGGAGCCTGGCATGATGGTGTGGGTAATGGGGGTATAGGGGGAAGGCCAGCAGTGGATGAGTGTTGGGAGATGAAGTGGTCCAGACGGGTAGGTGCGGACTCGATCATGAAAGACCCTGTATGTCATATATGACAATTTGGTCTTCATCCTAAGAAGAGTAGGCAACCACAGAGTGGGACTAACTTGGTGAGATTGTTTCAAAATGGTAATAGTAGCTGTGGTGTGAGCCCAGGATGAGAGAGAAGCAAGATAAGCAGTAGGAAGGCCAGCTTACTTCTATCAGAGGGGAACAAGGCAAGGATGCAAACTGTGGTGGTGGCATCATCAGGAAAGGGGGGCATGTGCATTGGAGAGAGAGGGCTAATTCTGAGCCAAGGCTATAAGACAAGCAGAGCCCAGGAGGCGGATATGCAAATGGATTTTATGTGTGTGTGAGTATGGAGGGAACTGGAGAGCAGTCCTGTTACTGTGGCTGCATATAGAGACTGAGGGAAGTGCTGTTCTGCAGGACCTCTGGGGCAAGGGGTGGGGTAATCAGGAGGGCCATTGGGCCCAAATTTTAAGCCTGGAGCTTCAAATTTTGGCTGTTGTCCTGGGTCCAATTCATGCAAGAAGCAGGATGAGACCTGGGTGTAAATGTTGATTCTAACTGAAATGAAGTGCCCAGGGCACTTGAGGAGGGGTCCAGGGGGAGGGTCTTCAATCTGAAAGCACCCAGGTCTCTCTGAGGCTTCTACCAGGGCATGCCTTCAGCAGGACCATGGTTGCCTACTCTTCTTAGGATGAAGACCAAATTGTCATATATGACATACAGGGTCTTTCCTGATCGAGTCCGCACCTACCCGTCTGGACCACTTCATCTCCCAACACTCATCCACTGCTGGCCTTCCCCCTATACCCCCATTACCCACACCATCATGCCAGGCTCCAAGCACAGCAAATGACCATTCTTTGGGAGGTTGGGGTGGGGATGATATACGTGCAGTATTTCACATCTCTGTTCGTTCATTGCAGACCCATTTAACTTCCCAGGTATTGTATAAAACATTGGGAATTAAAGCTAAACAGAATGTGGCTCCTTCCATCAAACCCTGGGTAATCACAAGGAAGGAAGGCCTATAAGGAAAGAAGGCAGACGAGTGAGGAAAGAAGACAGACTAGTAAGGAAGGAAGACTGGTAAGAAAGTGACTAATAAGGAAAGAAGGTAGACGAGTGAGGAAAGAAGGTAGACTAGTAAGGAAGGAAGACTGGTAAGAAAGTGACTAATAAGGAAAGAAGGTAGACGAGTGAGGAAAGAAGGTAGACTAGTAAGGAAGGAAGACTGGTAAGAAAGTGACTAATAAGGAAAGAAGGCAGACGAGAGAGGAAAGAAGGTAGACTAGTAAGGAAGGAAGACTGGTAAGAAAGTGACTAATAAGGAAAGAAGGCAGACGAGTGAGGAAAGAAGGTAGACTAGTAAGGAAGGAAGACTGGTAAGAAAGTGACTAATAAGGAAAGAAGGTAGACGAGTAAGGAAGGAAGGTAGACTCGTAAGGAAGGAAGACTGGTAAGAAAGTGACTAATAAGGAAAGAAGGCAGACGAGTAAGGAAAGAAGATAGACTAGTAAGGAAGGAAGACTGGTAAGAAAGTGACTAATAAAGAAGGTAGACTAGTAAGGAAGGAAGGTAGACTAGTAAGGAAGGAAGACTGGTAAGAAAGTGACTAATAAGGAAAGAAGGCAGACGAGTGAGGAAAGAAGGTAGACTAGTAAGGAAGGAAGACTGGTAAGAAAGTGACTAATAAGGAAAGAAGGTAGACGAGTAAGGAAAGAAGATAGACTAGTAAGGAAGGAAGACTGGTAAGAGAGTGACTAATAAGGAAAGAAGGTAGACGAGTGAGGAAAGAAGATAGACTAGTAAGGAAGGAAGACTGGTAAGAGAGTGACTAATAAGGAAAGAAGGCAGACGAGTGAGGAAAGAAGATAGACTAGTAAGGAAGGAAGACTGGTAAGAAAGTGACTAATAAGGAAAGAAGGCAGACGAGTAAGGAAAGAAGATAGAAAAGGAAGGAAGACTGGTAAGAAAGTGACTAATAAGGAAAGAAGGTAGACGAGTGAGGAAAGAAGGTAGACTAGTAAGGAAGGAAGACTGGTAAGAAAGTGACTAATAAGGAAAGAAGGTAGACGAGTAAGGAAAGAAGACAGACTAGTAAGGAAGGAAGACTGGTAAGAAAGTGACTAATGAGGAAAGAAGGTAGACGAGTAAGGAAAGAAGATAGACTAGTAAGGAAGGAAGACTGGTAAGAAAGTGACTAATGAGGAAAGAAGGTAGACGAGTGAGGAAAGAAGATAGACTAGTAAGGAAGGAAGACTGGTAAGAAAGTGACTAATGAGGAAATAAGGTAGACGAGTAAGGAAAGAAGATAGACTAGTAAGGAAGGAAGACTGGTAAGAAAGTGACTAATAAGGAAAGAAGGTAGACGAGTAAGGAAAGAAGATAGACTAGTAAGGAAGGAAGACTGGTAAGAAAGTGACTAATAAGGAAAGAAGGCAGACGAGTAAGGAAAGAAGACAGACTAGTAAGGAAGGAAGACTGGTAAGAAAGTGACTAATAAGGAAAGAAGGTAGACGAGTAAGGAAAGAAGATAGACTAGTAAGGAAGGAAGACTGGTAAGAAAGTGACTAATAAGGAAAGAAGGTAGACGAGTAAGGAAAGAAGATAGACTAGTAAGGAAGGAAGACTGGTAAGAAAGTGACTAATAAGGAAAGAAGGTAGACGAGTAAGGAAGGAAGGTAGACTAGAGAGGAAGGAAAGTAGACCAGTGAGGAAGGAAAGTAGACTAGTGACGAAGGAAAGTAGACTACGGAGGAAGGAAAGTAGACTAGTGAGGAAGGAAAGTAGACTAGTGAGGAAGGAAAGTAGACTAGTGCAGAAGCCTGGGAGAGTGCGGATGCTCTGTCTCCCACAGGGCAGCCCTGGGCCTGTCTGGTTTTGCTGGAAGCAGTGGCTTTGGGAGGTTGGGGATGGAGGTGGCCCCTCATTTCAGGGCCCTTCATACTTCAGCCACCAGGAGTTAGGAATGAGACAGTAATGATGCCAAGAGGGAAACTCAGAGGAAAAGCCCAACTGCCCAGAAGTCCAGTTCCCTCAGGACACCTCCTCCTCCTGCTGCTGGTCTCTCTTGGAGGCTCTGGAAGTTGCCTAGGTCCCTGCTGACTCACCTTGCCCCCTATTCCATGCTTAGTGAACTCACTTTCTGCCCTTTCTCTGCACAATCTGGCCCTGTCTTGCTCCTGACTGTGTCTCCTGGTCTCCTTGGCTTTGGTGTTTCCCCTGTCAGCTACATGCCCAAGCTTCTCTCACTCTTACCAGCTCTCCACATTCTGTGCCTGCCCCTCCCCCCTGTTCAGAAGGGCCTTTCTAGCTCTCGGCCTATGCAGTGACCTTGAAGGTTCCTGCCAGACTGTCTGGGGATATAGCATTATTTGGAGGTCCCAGCCAGAACTTCTGCCTCTCAGCCATCTTCCTCTCACCCCATTAGAGATGATGCCTTCAGGCTATGACCTCTGCCCCATCAGCATGTGGGCTTATGCCTTCTGCAGAACCTTTTAATGTTTTCAAAATGCTTTTTACCAATATCAGGACGTAGCATGGGCTGTTTGTACTTTGGTGTAAATTAGCTGATTAGCAAAAGAGCCAGAGGTTAAATGAGGAAATGGTCGTTGGAAGCCCTGATGGTAGATGGACAGTGGAGGGTGGAATACAGGGCACAGAAGCTGGGGAGGGGCTTTGGGCAGGCCCAGAAAGGAGATTTCGGAAGGACTGGTTTGGGGAGACTCTGAAAACAGGCTTCACCTGTTTTTTCATTGAGATTTGGGCCTCTCCATCCTTCAGTCTCTGTTCTTTTCTCTCAATGTCTCTGATCCTACCCCTTCTTCATCTGCCTCTGTAGAGTGACCTAAGGTACCTGCAGTCCTGCGAGTGGTGAGGTTGGCTCCAATGAGAAGGGACAGAGGTCTCACCTGAGGCCACTGATATGAAACAGCCAAGACTGTACCGAAAGGATTAAAAAATGTGTGGTCATCCCTGATGAGTAAACCCACTTGTACTAATAATGGTGGGGACAGACAGCCAGTGCTTCTCCTGCTTAGTCTGGGGAAGCTTCCAGGAGGAAGTGGCAGGTGAGCAGGCAGTGGGCTGGGAGAGAAAGGGAATTCCAGGGACTTGAAGCAGAGCAGCTGGAATGAAGTGGAGAAGAGACGGATGAAGGAGGCAGCATGGACGTCCTGAAGTAGGGTTTGATAATTATCCTGTGCATTTTTCATAGCTCATGTACTTCCAAGGAATGTTAATCTTTTCTCTTACTGTATCATCACACTCACTTTATGAGGAAAAGATATAATAATGACACCTTCTCCCAAATCACCGAAGTAAAAACTAAGCTCAGAGAAAGGGTTTGTCTTGGGGCAGGGTGCTGGTGGTGAGGCCTTCCTCCGGCAACATCACATGGGTCCTCGTGGCCTGCACCTCCTCCCAATCCTGCACAACCCAACTTGTGGAACCTTACTCATGTCTAGGTTGGAAGGAAATTAGCTTTCTTAGTAGTATCTGAATATTCCAGTCTTACACCTTGATTAGCAGCTTTTTGAAGCAAGAATGGATTGCTTTGGATTTTCTGGGTCCCTAAGGACCAAAATAGTAGGTGGCCCACAACTAGATGAAGAGTGTGTAGGGAAGCATGGTCCAGGCAGCGGGAAGAATGCATGTAGGATGCTGGGCTGGGGAGCTGGTGTGCTAGAGCAGAGGTGTATGGCGGGACCCCAGGGAGCCAGCAGGAGAGAGGGGGTGGAGACTGGCGGGGCAGAATGCAGAGTCCCAGCCCGAGAGCCATGGGAGCCCCATAAGTTTGTGCTCTTGAGGGTGTCCTGGCCAGATGGATGTTTGTAAGGACCCCTGGCTGCCTTGTGGGGAACAGGGACAGGGAGCAGGGAGATCTGTTAGGAGGGCATCGCCGTCCTCCAGGGGAAGGAGGCTGACAGCTGGCACTAGGGTGGGACTCATGGAAGGGTGAAGAACAGAGGGGTTTGGCAGACATTTCAGGGGTAAAGTTTATAGGATCGGTACCAAATTGGACATGGGGCATGAGGAAGAACAGCTATCAAGGCTGCTTCTAGATTTCCAGCTCGTTGACTGTTTGGTGGAGCATTTGCAGGAGCAGGAAATGCTGAAAAAGAATCCTGTTTTGGAGAAGATCGTATGTTTGGATTTGGGCATGTTGACTTTGAGGGGCTGGGAAACATCCAAGTGTAGATGCTGAGCAGGCAGGGGAATGTGTGGACCTGGTGCCTGCAGGAGAGCAAGAGTTAGAGTGAAACTTAAGTGTCGTCAGCAATAGGTGACAATGAAGGTCTCTGGAGTGGATGAGAGTGCCCAGGGAGAGAGCTGGAACGTGGAGAAAGGCCCAGGCCCCAGCCTTACGACATCCATCTCCTCAACCCAGACGTGGGTAAGCCATGCCCCCACCCTCACGGCATTGCAGTTATGAACACCCAAGGATCTGTTGTTCAAGGCAGCGTGGAAGGAGAGCCAAGGCAACGGTGAAGGAAGGAAAGATTCTTTCCAAATGGGTGACATGTTCCACGGGCTGTGTACGATGGCCTTTCCTTCTAATTGACCTCATTCACCTCTTCTAAGCTTCTTAGGGAGTTCTCAAGGTGTGTGCTCACCTGCCTCACCCTTCCCCTTCCTGAGGGCAGGCGTCACTCGCGTTCCCCTTGGCCTTCCTCTCACGTCTGAAGGTGGCTCCCTTGTGTCTTTATTGCCTGGAGTGCCTCTCCAGAGCTGGGACGGCTGGGATGGCTGAACCGTGTGCTGTGCTCTAATCACTTGTGGGGAGAGGGAGAGAAGGGAAGCAGAGTTCCCAGGCAGCCGGATCCGTGTGTCAGAGAGCGAGCCGGGGGAGCAACTGCGATGGCTAGTGAGGGCCCTGAATGTCAGCCTCAAACTCCAGGTGGCACCTTTAGGGGATGGTGGTTCCTGGACAGCAGCTGGACCAAAGCTTTGCATTGCCCTTGAATCTGAGCTACTCTGAGCCACAGGTGCAAATCTGAATGTAGCTGCCAGGGTAGGGTGGCCCTTGAGTGAACATCATCTTTATCATGTTCCCCAGTGATGTATCCAGTGGTCTTGGGCTTTTTAGACATGCATCTAGAGGTTTCCAGGTCTTCTCTGGGGTAGAGTCCTTCTGTTCCAAGTTCTGTTCTCAGGCACTTGTGGGGCAGGCATGCAGGAAGGCACAAGGGAAGTGGGAGGAGGCGAGATTGGGCACAAGGGAGGAAGCCCCTTTTTTAGAGCCCTGAGCCTGAGCCCCATCACATGTAAACCAAAAAATATCTGAGACAGGCCTCAATCAATTCCGTTTATTTTGCCAACGTTAAGAATGTGGTTGGAAGAGAGGTCTGTGTCTTTCTCCAAAGATCATTTTGAGGGCTTCAATATTTAACGGGGAAAAGCAGGCTGTGGGGGAAAGAGGGAGGCTGTGGGAATCTGCATGTTGCAAGAGAAAAGGAGCAGTTAGGGAATTATCAATGATGTATTCATCTTGCGCTTTGGACAAGGTGAATATAGAGTAGCTGCCTGTGGAGCTATCTAGCCTTTTATCTGTAGCTGTCTGCTTAGGAACAAAAGGAAAGGCAGCGTCTTGCCTGACTCAGCTTTCGGCTTAATATTTTCCTTTCGGCAGAGTGATATGGGGTCCTGAGTTTTCATTTTCCTCCCACAAGGTGTGCCCACGCCTGCCCTTCTGTGCTGTCTCCCTAGGGAGTGCCTCCCGTGCCTCCTGGCCTTTCAGAAGCTACCCACCCTCCAGGACCCAGCTCTGGCTCAGTTACCCCAGAAGCCGACTTTGACTTAGTCTTTCTGGTCTCCCACAGTGTGGACTAGAACCCACAGTATAGAAAGGAATGATGAAAGCTTTCCTCTGCTGGTCACAGTTGTGTTTCCTGCATGTCAGCTCTGTCTTCATAAAGAGATTATGTTTCTCAAGTGCAGGGACCGAATGTTCTAGGACCCCTGAAACTGCGCTGGAGGGCTGAGCACCTAAGGGGCTGCTCCACAAGTTGGCAAAGGGCCGGGAGTTCTGTTTCAACAGACTGGAAGAGTTGCTTTTGTTCATTCATTCACTGAGCAGGTGCTTAGGGCTGAGTTGGAGACATAAGGTGTTACTTCTGCTCACTTGGAGGTTAAAATGCAAACACTAACGATTCTAATCACAGCCTTTGATCACATGCCGTCAGGCTAATCACTGCTCTGGGTGCTTTGCAGGCATTATCTTATTCTCATTCTCACTGCAATCCTGCAAGTTTGAGATTCTCATTTTACAGCTAGAGAACAAGCACAAAGAGGTCTTAGAGCTGGCAAGTGGCAGAGCTGAGGTTTAAGCCTGGGCACTGGCTGTGTTGCTTTTCTAGGAAGTGTTTCTCAGAGGAGAGAATAGATTGAGTCTGACCTGCGCTGAGACCTTGGCAACTCGCGGTTCCAGTGGGGTCTGTACAAAGTGCAGCTGGACTATCTACTCTCTCAGTTCCCTCCAATTCTAGCATGCAGTCATTCCATCACCTACTGGGGACTTTTCCCTTCAGGGGAGACACTGGAATTTTTCTGAAGTGGTCCTGCATTCCTGCCGAGAAGGGGCTGCAGACCTCTGGGGCCTGGGTAGAGGCAGCAGGTGCGTGAGGACCCTGAAAGGACACTGGAGGACAGTCCTTTGTTCAGTTGTTCAGAGGACCCCCTTGGTCTGTCCTTGCTCTCTCCCCGAGGGAGGTGGGGGCTGGCCAGGGTGCCAGCTGGTGCTGCTGCCACGGGAGAGGCCCAAAGCCTAAGCCTTTGGTATTAATTCAAGGTGTCTCTCCAGGCAGTGCCCCCCCACCACCCTGACTTGCTCAATGCCACCCCTTTCTTATCTGGGAATTATGAGAGATTATGACAGCCATGATCCGAAGGAGCTCCTGCTGGTGGCTCCACGCTGTGTGTGTGCGTGTGTGTGTGTGTGTGTGTGTATGTGTGTGTATGCGTGTGTGTATGTGTGCATGTGTGTGTGTATGTGGGTGTGTGTGCGTGCGTGTGTGTGTATGTGTGTGTGCGTGTGTGTGTATGCGTGTGTGTATGTGTGCATGTGTGTGTATGTGGGTGTGTGTGCGTGCATGTGTGTGTATGTGTGTGCGTGTGTGTGTGTATGTGTGCATGTGTGTGTGTATGTGGGTGTGTGTGCGTGCATGTGTGTGTATGTGTGTGTGCGTGTGTGTATGCAGTCGGGGGGCCGCACTTCCTTTTCCATGCTCCCTTCCTTGTGGTCAGTGTGAACCTGGGCTTTAGGGACTAACCAAGGAGGCAGCTGTGAAGCAAAATGGGCCATTTTCTCAGGGCTAGTGTCTGAGTACACTCAGTACCTCAGTGTCTTGGATTTCCTTCACCTGAGGCTGTTTTGCCTCCCTTGTCTTTCCCTCTCACAGATATACCCCTGCTCCCTGGCTCCCCACGCCGGCTGAGCCCTCAGGCAGGGTCCAGAGGGGGCCAGGGCCCCAAACATGGACAGCAGTGTCTCAAGATGCCAGGTCCCCGGGCCCCAGGTCTGCAGGGCGGTTCCAACAGAGATCCTGGCCAGCCCTGCGGTGGAGAGAGCACCCGCAGCAGCTCTGTGAGTACTGGGCGGGGGTGGGGTGGGGGGATAGGCCAGCCCTGTTGCAGGCCACCAAGGAGCCTCTGGTCTGGGGGATCCTCCAGTTGGGAGCACATGTGTGCGTGAAAGAGAGAGACCTAGGTTTGGGTAGGGCCTTTTCTCTTCTCTGTCTCCAAGTCAGGCACACTTTCCCAGTGCCCTGTTCTGGTCAGAGGAGGGTCAGGAAAGGAGGAGGCGTGGGAGGCCAGTCGATGCTGCCAGTTGGTCTGCAGGCCCCCTGGTTCCCCTCCTGCAAGCCTGAGCAACTGTCTTCTCTGCTATGGTGGCTCTGAGTCTCTCCCTTGTGCCTGGAGCTTCATCTGGTTGCCCAGGTGACCTCTCAGGTGGCTGCAGAGGCAGCTGGGTTTCAAACCAGTAATAAACAGGGAAACACCCACGGGGAGAGGCCGGTCCCTCCCCTGCTTCATCGTGTTCTCTCTCCTCCTCTTCTTTCCACCTCCCCACCTCTGGAGTGGAAGACAGCAGAAGTCAGTTCCCTGCTGCTGTCTTTGAAAGGGCCCTCACCAGTGGCTGGAGAGGAGGATGTGGGGCTGTGAATAGTGCCTGGTGAATTCCCGTGGGTGGGAGGGTAGGGGTCGGGTCTGGTGACTAGAAATTGGTCTTTGTTCCAATGGATCCAGAGAACCTGCCTGTGAGTATTCTGTGTTTAAATATATAGTGTATCTGCAGGCAGAGGTGCAGATCTGCAAGGAGGTGAGCGTGTGTGGGCCATGGTGCCTGTGGAAGGGGGTGTGTGTGTTAGAGCGCACTCGGGTAGATACGCGTGTACACAGGCCCCTTCACCTGTATGGTGCAGGAGTGCTGGTGCAGGGAGACAAGGGTAGAGGTGGCTGCGTGTGCATCTGCAGGTGCTTGCATGTGTGTGTGCAGGCGTGGGCGTGTGGTTCTGTGTGTGGAGGCAGGAGTGCGGTTGTGAGGGGTTTGCTGCTGCAGGTACAGTCTGTGTGTGAGTGTGTGTGTGCATGGATGCTGGAGCATGTGTGAAGGCACCGATGCCCAGACTGTCAACAGGTGGGTGGAGGGCCTCGCAAGCTGGCATGACAGATTAACTTAGGCCATTCGGTCCTTTTACTGGGGGCACTGGGGGCCTTTGGGCCTGAGAGGCTTGCTTCTGAGTCCGTTTCCCTGAGCCCAGAGCATAGATCAGCCTCCTCTGTTTCTCACCCCTTACTCACCAGACCTTGCCCTGCCTCTCCTCTCTCTCTGGCCAGGTCATCAACAACTATCTGGATGCCAATGAGCCTGTGTCCTTGGAGGCCCGTCTTAGCCGCATGCACTTCCATGACAGTCAGAGGAAGGTCGACTATGTACTTGCCTACCACTACCGGAAACGCGGGGTGCACCTGGCCCAAGGCTTCCCTGGCCACTCGCTGGCTATCGTCTCCAATGGGGAGACAGGCAAGGAGCCTCATGCTGGGGGCCCAGGTGACATTGAGCTGGGACCGCTCGATGCCCTGGAGGAGGAGAGGAAGGAGCAGCGGGAGGAATTTGAGCACAATCTGATGGAGGCTGGACTGGAGCTTGAGAAGGACTTGGAGGTGAGTCAGGCGGGTGGCCAGGGACTTGGAGATGGAATGGCACCACAGAACCGGGCTCCTAGTGAGCAGTGCCACCTGACAGAGAGCCTAGGCTTTATTCTGGCAGGTGGACTTTTTTTTCTGCTGGAGAAACCAGATTTTGTTTCTTTCTTTTTTTAAAAAAAATTTTTTTTGAGACGGAGTCTTGCTCTGTCACCAAGGCTGGAGTGCAGTGGTGTGATCTTGGCTCACTTCAAGCTCTGCCTCCTGGGTTCCTGCCATTCTCCTACCTCAGTCTCCCGAGTAGCTGGGACTATAGGCGCCCGCCACCAGACCCAGCTAATTTTTTGTATTTTTTTAGTAGAGACGGGGTTTCACCGTGTTAGCCAGGATGGTCTCGATCTCCCGACCTTCTGATCTGGCATCCTCGGCCTCCCAAAGTGCTGGGATTACAGGTGTGAGCCACCGTGCCTGGCCTGGAGAAACCAGATTTTCTTGCCCAAGGGCTTGAGAAAGAGTCTTGTGTTGCTAGTGGTCCTGATTAGGGGATTCCAGGTAGTAGTGGTGGGGTGGTGGTGTGCCAATCTGTTCTTTGGGAGTTGGGAGTTAGCCTAGTTAGACATTAAAGGCAAGAAATTTCTTCTTGACATTCTCAGGCCACATCTAGTGGCCTTCTCCATATGGTTTCCTTGGGAGGAAGACCTAGTTTCCTTGTTGAATTTTGGAATAAAATTCCTCTATATGAATCTCATTCACTAAGGAATGCGCTTGTCTGGGGTCCCCTGAGGGAGCTGATTTGAGATGTATTTGGAAACTGAGTTGGGACATACATAGGACATATTTTATCAACCTATAAGCTATAGATACTCTCACCTCTGGTCAGTGCAAGGGAATCCATGGAAATCCATTCATACACATATCCACCTATCCATCCATTCATCCACCCATCTGTCCACCCACCCATGCATGCATGCATGCATCCATCCATCCATCCATCCATCCATCCATCCATCCATCCATCCATTTATCCACACCACAGTGATCCTTTAAAAATGACCTTCCCTTGCCAGGCGCGGTGACTCACGCCTGTAATCCCAGCACTTTGGGAGGCTGAGGCGGGCGGATCACAAGGTCAGGAGATCGAGATCATTCTGGCTAACATGGTGAAACCCTGTCTCTACTAAATACACAAAAAATTAGCTGGGCCTGGTGTTGGGCGCCTGTAGTCCCAGCTACTCGGGAGGCTGAGGCAGGAGAATGGCATGAACCTGGGAGGCAGAGCTTGCAGTGAGCCGAGATCGCGCCACTGCACTCCAGCCTGCGTGACAGAGCGAGACTCCGTCTCAAAAAAGAAAAAAAAATGACCTTCCCTTGCCATCTCCCCCAAACTCATTCCTACCCTTCCCACCCTCCCTACCTTCCTGCAGGTCACGGGCCTCATCTTGGGTGTGGGCTGATCACCTTGACCTCAGGTCTTTGTGCTATTGCCCTCTCTGCTTTGGGCACCTTGACCTCAGGTCTTTGTGCTATTGCCCTCTCTGCTTTGGGCACCTTGACCTCAGGTCTTTGTGCTGTTGCCCTCTCTGCTTTGGGCACCTTGACCTCAGGTCTTTGTGCTGTTGCCCTCTCTGCTTTGGGCACCTTGACCTCAGGTCTTTGTGCTATTGCCCTTTCTGCTTTGGGCACCTTGACCTCAGGTCTTTGTGCCGTTGCCCTCTCTGCTTTGGGCACCTTGACCTCAGGTCTTTGTGCTGTTGCCCTCTGTGCTTTGGGCACTCTTCCTCAGACCTGTGCATCACATTCCCTCTCTTCAGCTCTCTGCTCAAATGTCACCTCCTTCCTGACATCTTCCCTGACCATCCTAGCCAAAATACCCCCACCCCGTCCCTCTCTGTCCCTCGATCCTGCCTTACTTTTCTTCATCACACTCAGCATTGCCACCTGGAATAACAATGATAGACTTTTTTTGTTTGTTTTTTATCTGTGCTCCCACTAGCTCCATGAAGGCAGAGATCTTGTTTGGCTCGCTGCACATCCCCAGCACCCAGGACAGACTCTGGCACATATAGGTGCTTAATAAGTGTCAGCTGAGTATATGAGTGACCTCCCTGAACCTCAGGTCCCTTATCTGCAAAGTAATAGATGCCTTGCTGGATTATACTTAAACATGCCTCATCATTAGATGGAGCAATGAAAATTTCAGCACAATGTCTGGTACATAATAGGTGCTCAATAAATGCTCATCATGATGATTTTAAAAGGTGTCATGCTGAGGCTTGAGGTGCCATTTTCATCAGAAGTTTGCCTGATAAGATTTAAGTTGGCTGGGTGTGGTGGCTCATGCCTGTAATCCAAGCACTTTGGGAGGCTGAGGCTGGAGGATTATGAGGTCAAGAGATCAAGACCAGCCTGGCCAATATGGTGAAACACTGTCTCTACTAAAAATACAAAAAGTTAGCCAGGCGTGATGGTGCTTGCCTGTAGTCCCAGCTACTTGGGAGGCTGAGGCAGAAGAATCGCTTGAACCCGGGAGGTGGAGGTTGCAGTGAGCTGAGATTGTGCCACTGCACTCCAGCCTGGGCGACAGAGGGAGACTCTGTCTCAAAAAAAAAAAAAAAAAAAGATTCAAGTTAATGCTTTCCTCAAACTGGAAGGGATCCCCAGAGGTCATTCATCCTTTCCTTTCCCCTGTCCCTAGGCAGAATGGCATGTGGCCTGGCTCATGCCTCATGGTGCTGGCCTGTGCTGCTTTGCCAGACCCTTAAGGCAGAAGACATTCTTCCTGGGTTAGTCTTTCCACCCATGTAGGAAGAGGGAGCTCTCTTAGGGATGCGTTAGGCTTCCTTGCTGTGGGAGTGCTGATTTTCACTTTTTGAAACCCAGAGCTCACTTGGTGGCTCCAGCTGGGGTCTGCTGAGATGGTCTCTCCAAGGTGAAGATGCATTCTCGCTCCAGGAACTTACCAATGTGGGAGCTGTGGTGCGTACCTCTGTTGTTGGGTCTTAGGGAGCAGAGGCCAGGGCTTCACTCAGCTGCCTGGTTGGGAAGCAGTATGTCTGTGCTCAAGAGAGTGAGCTCTTAAGGCCAATTACATATGTTCACATTCCAGGCCTGACTTACTAGCTCATGACCTTGCTTAGCTTACCTCATCCTTTTGGTAAAGCTTCCTGGTCTATAAAAAGGAAATAACAGGTCTGGTTGCAGTGGCTCACATCTGTAATCTCAGCACTTTGGGACGGTGAGTTGGATGGATTGCTTGAGGTCAGGAGTTTGAGACCAGCCTGGCCAACACGGTGAAAACCTGTCTCTACTAAAAATACAAAAAATTAGCTGGGTGTGGTGGTGCGCATCTGTAGTCGCAGCTACTCTGGAGGCTGAGGCAGGAGGATTGCCTGAACTCTGGAGGTGGAAGTTGCAGTGAGCTGAGATGGCACCACTACACTCCAGCCTGGGTGACAGAGCAAGACCCTGTCTCCAAAAAAAAAAAAAAAAAAAGAAAAAAGAGAATAATAATAACAGTACTTTCTTCACTGGGTTATTATGAAGATGAAACAAGGTAACTAAATAAAGTACCTAGAACACTAACAAAGAATATTACTGCTATTATTATTATTTACTGTTGCCAGGTTTAGCAAACAAAAATGCAGCATGCCTAGTTAAATTTGAGTTTCAGTTCAACAGTGAATACTTTTTTTTTTCTTAGCATGTACAATGAAATATTGGGGACATACACTAAAAATTATTCACTATGGATCTGAAATTAAAATGTAATGGTCCTGGCCACCCTTAATGCTACTATCAACACCACTGCCCATCTTGGCTGCCCCCGTCTCCCCACCATGCTTCATTCTGGTTTCTGTCAGATGTTCCCCGCTTTGGCTGGGAATTTGGAGGGCAAAGAGATGGCTCTTGCGACTGACCAGTGTTAGACTGGGGTCCTGGATTGTTGTTCCTGTTGTATAACCACCCAGACTCCTCCCTCTCAGCCCCCACCCATGGCTTCAAGGCCACTCAGCACTTCTTCATGAGGCTACTCCAGGTGACACAGCCTCCCCCAGCGTCCCTGTCATCAGACTTCCACCTCTCATTGTGGCCTACTGTCTTGCAGCGTTGTCTCTGTCTTCCAAAAGGTAGTTATTATGATCTGTGCTGGGACCTCGCGTGTAAAGCGTTGAGTTTACTTTTCAGCCATGGCACATTACTATCACTGATCTGCACAATAACTTGGGTTATTTATTTAAATCTCCCCCTGACTCTGCACTGCCTGCTACCTCGCAGGCAGTCATTCCAAGGCATCGTCGTTCTGGAAAAGATACAGTGTTTTGTTTTTTTTTTTAAATTAAAAAAAAGACTTTATTGTGTAGAACAGTTTTAGATGTACAGAAAAATTGGAAGATTGTACAGAGTTTCCATCTACCCCATTCCCAGTTTCCTGTATTATTAACACCTTACATTAATAGGATACATTTGTTACAGTTAATGAACTAATACTGACACATTATCATTAACTAAAATTCACACTTTATTCAGATTTCCTTACTGCTGCCTTTTTTTTTTTTTTTTTTTTTAACCTGCTGCGATTTTTCTATTCAGAGTTGTCAGGTCTCCTAAGACTTCTCTTGGTGGTGACAGTTTCTCAGAACTGTATGCATTCTTAATTTACATAGAAGGTACTGTTTTATAGCCCATTCTGTTTTTTACTTTTTTCTCTAGCACTTTATTTTTCAGATCCATTCACGTTCTGCATGTACATTGATTCCATTATTTTATTTTTATTTATTTTTGAGACCAGGCCTCACTCTGTCACCCAGGCTGGATTGCAGCAGTGTGATTTCAGCTCACTGCAGGCTCAACTCCCCAGGTGCCGGTGATCCTCCTGCCTCAGCCTCCTGAGTAGCTGGGACCAGCGGTGTGTGCCACCATGCCCAGCTAATTTTTGTATTTTTTGTAGAGACGGGGCTTCACCATGTTGCCCAGGCTGTTCTTGAACTCCTGACCTCAAGAGATCCACCCACCTCAGCCTCCCAAAGTGCTGGGATTAGAGGGGTGATCCACAGTGCCTGGCCAGACTCCATTATTTTAATGAATGAGCAGTTTGCAGCCACCACAGTGTACCTAGTCACTCCCCTAGTAATAATGAACACTTAGGTTGCTTCCAGTTGTGTGCCACTGAAAAAAAGGATCGAGAATGAATCGTCGCCTCCTTTGGGGCAGCATTCTGTGATATCCCCTGCTCCCTCCATGCCATGTTGGTGTTAAACTGTGCTTGGAGATTCATCAGCTAGAGGCTGTGAGGTTCTGAACAACTTTTCACCATGTTAAGATGCTTGGCCTTGGCTGTGAGCAGCAGCCTGGAATGGGGGCTTCACAGGAGAGGGAGACTTGCTTGACTGCACCTGGTGGCAGTTTGAACAGTAGGTGCGGTGGCCCCACCTGCTCAGCTGTCCCACCCTTCTGAGCTGGGCAATCTTTTAGGCTCTGGGTTCATTGACTTTAAGGCAAATGGAGAGCAAATGGGTTCCTATCAGAGACCCATTAAAAATGATTCACTTAGCCTTACAGATCAAAAGAACTTCGCATCCACTGAACTCTGTTTGAATAGCAGATAATTCACTTCCCACCCTCCTTGATACCTGGGCATGCTTTTGACAGGATGATAATTGGCACATACCTTCCATTTGGCATTTCACTTTTTCATTTTTTGTGCATATTTCCATGTATTGATATTGTCCATGTTCATATTTTAAAGACAATTCAGCATTTTATCAAATGTCTTTATATGTCATTTGATAAAATACTAAATTTTCTTTCAAGTATGAACATTTGCTTTCTTAGTTTGACCGTTTGATTAGAATTTCATTTAAAGACGTCGTTGGAGATGCTTATGGGTGACAGAGACGTCTGCACCCTACCAATTCATATAAATGAGGGCCACCTGTTGGTGCTGTGCATTGTGTCAGAGTTGGGGGCTAATTTAAGCAGTTCAGGAGACTGCCCCAGCCTTGAGCGTCCAGAGAGTTTCCTGTAGTCCTGGCGGGACTGCGAGTGGGTGAGCTGAACAGGCTCTGACACAGCTCTGGGGAGGTCTGGTCGGCCCACCTCCTCCCACTCTCTCTTAAAGAAACCTCCTGCTTTGACCCAGAGAGCGAGCAGGGCAGAGGCAGAGACTCACATGCATGGGTGTCACCAGGGGCACCTGAGGGAGGGGTCTGAGAACCAGGCACAGTACAATCCTGTGGAAGCCAGGAGGGCATGTTTGTAGACTTTTAGCTAAAGACCTCTCACCTTGCAGGCCCTGAAATCCTAGCAGACATGGCCCCAAGCTTCATCCTTGTGGGCAGCTAGATAGCTGAAATTGGAAATGGAGAATGGCATGACAGGGAGGCCAGGTGCCCCCTTACTAGGGGCTGGCTTTCTTGAGATTGAGGGACCACCAGGGAACTGATAGCAGAAGTTGGCTTTAAAATTCAGCGTGGCCTGGCATCGCCAGCAGGTCTACGGGCTGTTCTTGGAAGGGACAGCGTACCATCAGGGAAGTCTGGGGGCCCACAGCTGCTTTCGGGAGGTGGAGCCCTACTCTGTCTCGGTATCAGGTGTGAATCCAGGAATTTCCCAAATCCTTTCTCTGCAGAGAGGAGACTCCCTCCTCCTATGCCATGAGATGTCTCTGACCCCTGACTCCTCACCCTGTAGGTCTGGCAGAGCCTGGATGTCTGGCATCTCAACCTGAATTGCAGCACTGAGTCAAAGGGGGATATCTTGGGTGTGTGACATCGTGCCCTCCCAGGGAGGCCCATTTAGCAGAGAGGACTGAGAAAATCAGAATGTCGCCTCACTTTCTTTTTTCTTTTTTTCTTTTTTGAGATGGAGTCTCACTCTGTCACCTAGGCTGGAGTGCAGTAGCGCAATCTTGGCTCACTGCAACCTCCGCCTCCCGGGTTCAAGTGATTCTCCTGCCTCAGCCTCCTGAGTAGCTGGGATTACAGGTGCACAACACCATGCCCAGCTAATTTTTGTATTTTTAGTAGAGACAGGGTTTCACCATGTTGCTGAGGCTGGTCTCCAACTCCTGACTGTGTGATCCGCCTGTCTCGGCGTCCCAAAGGCTTCACTTTCTTAAAACCAGCTGCCACTGTTTCTCAGGCTCTGTCGCCATCCCACTTTCCACCTCCTTTTCAGGAAGAGGTCGGGGTGACTTTCAGAAATTCTGTCTTTAGAGTGAGATTTAATCTATGGTTTTAAGGAAGAAAACGGACTTTTCTGAGTGCCTTTTGTGAGCCTCATCACGTGTGGTTTTGCTTTCACTTGTGCTCATTTAGTCTTCATGAATACCCTGCAAGGGGCTGTTATTCCCATCTTGGAGGAGACAGGCCAAGTGGCTTGGCCAAGGTCACGCTGCCACTAAGGGGTCCTGCTGGGATTTGGACCCTGTCTGAGCTTTGGAGCTTCTGGGATCCTTGTCATCCCGAGGAGAACCAACCAAGCACTTTATAGTAGTTTTCTCTTCCTCCCTCCCCAGAATTCACAGAGATTCTCTGCAGAGGTCAGCAGTTACGTATTCAAAGCGGGACTGATTTACGGAGTACCTATTCTTCCTTTCCAGAAGGAGCGTGTGGCGCCAGGGCCGTGAGCCCACTGGACTCTGGGCTTTTTGCCCTCCCTGGAGGCTGCTCTGTGGCCTCTGAAGCACAGGTTGGCCCTGGGTGACCATTTTTTGGGACCCAGATCAGTCCATCACCTCACAGGGCGAACACTCAGACTTGCCGCTGTCTTCCTCACTCTTACCTATATAAAACTTGTCTTGAAGCAGTTCTCCTCTTATAATTCTCAAGTCTGGCTTGGTTTTGCTTTGCTGGGGAAACTAGGGCTTAGAATCCTTAGGAAAACCTTGCTGTTTGGTTTTCTAGGGTGACAGCGTCCCCTGGAGGCCTTCCTGCCCGTTGCTCCGTCTTGGACATCCACAGAGGGCAGGCTGCTGGTGCTGGATCGGGGCGTGGTGTATTTCTATGGGATGGGGATCTCCAGGCCCCCATTGACTCCATTATAAAATGAGGCTATTTTCTCCTCTGGAGTGGGATGGTTGCTTGTGTTCCTAGGAAAGGATATAGCAAACGCAGGGAAAATGCAAATATGGGTTTTAATGATGCCCTCGTCTCTACTGTTTATTCGTGACGCTGCCATGCTCTCCTGAGTGTAGGAACAGTCGTGCCGCTGCTGCTCACACTAATGACTGGGGAAGATGCGATGATTTCCCTCTGGCTTTGGCTGTGTTCCTGTCCTGCTTGTCCCACCCTGAGGCAGCAGGCTGGGACCTTGGGCTTCTCCCTTGCCTCTTTCCTACCCCGAGGGATCTTTGGGGAACACAACAAAGAACTCTGCAGCCCCTGCCCCTGGGACCGCACAGCTGAGACAGGGAGGCACAGTAGGGCTGGCTGGATTTGATCTCAGAGGGGACGCCTCCGGGCAGCCTGGGGTGGGGATGCACAGGGAAAGCAGGGAGGGGCAAGGCAAGCCTCCAAGCCCCCAAATCCAGGTACATGTCTATTTCCATCTCCAAAGACTCTATAATGAAAACATTAACCTTCAGCATTCTCCTCTGATGCTCGTTTTAGCCTCCCCCCACCCCAACCTCCCCAACCCTGAGGAGGTTAGAGCAGCTAATGTCCCTTCTCACCGACTAGGAAACGTAAAGCACCTTGTCAAGTGGGTGAGTAGCAGGGCTGGGCCTTGAAATAAGGTCTTCTTGCTTCTGCTCCTCTTGTTCTTTATTCTCTCATACTCCCCAGGAGGTGGCACTCACCCAGCCACAGAGATGAGCAGTGTCCAGGTTTTGCACAAAGCTGGGCAGTGGGTCTAGTGAAAAGCAGGCTGAGGGTTTACACGGAGGAGGAAGGGAGCTGGGTGTGGCTCTTTACCAAGTCCTTTATGTCTGGAGTCTTTTACCAACTGACAGGGTGCTTCTGGAGATCTCTAGGATTCCTCAGAAGGGGTTGGAAGGAGGTTTCTGGGCTTTGATCTGCCATATCCCAAACTGCAGTACCAGATGCTATGGCTCAACGAATGTCACGGTTGTCCTTGTCAAGGGTTTCTGGTCTGTGCATCACCTTAGCCAGCTGTGTGCTTTGCTGATTTTCTTTGTTACTGGGTGCCACCTGTGATGTGTGAGAAGATGGGATCATAGGACATTATAGTTGTAACAACAGCTTGGATAATTTCTTTCAATTTCATCTTAGAGCGGGAACTGAAGCCCAGAGAGAATATGTGACTGGCACAAGGTCAGACTGCTGGTTAATGCCTTAATCAGATTAAATACTGACATTATAGAGTCTATGCAGACAAATAAGCTAAGGGAGTCTGGCTTCCTTGCGTTAGTCTGTCTTCCTCCTAGCAAAGTTATTATCTCCCTATCTGACTGGTATTCCTGGTACGACTGTACTTGGTGTTCGTGGCTGGTGCCTGCCCTGATTCGCAATGTGTTATGCTGGTTGTTAAATATCTTGAGTATCACCCGTGCTTCCTACTGTCATTCACATCAATGTCTGCATTTGGTGAAGAGAGACTCGGGGGACAGTTGGTTTCTATCTTGCTAATCGTCCCTCTTCATGGCACTGCTAGATGTTTTGGGCTCTGAGACACACATTGAGAAGGAAAGCCCTTCTGCATTTGTCACTTGATAAGTTCAGGGTCTTTATCGGTCTGGGGCTGGTTGGGCAGTCACAGCAGCTGTAAAGCAACTGCCAGGAGGGACCTGCCAGGCTCAGTCTCTGGCCCCTCTCTCCTGCTTTTCATGTAGCAGACATTTACTGAGCACCTACTAGGTGCTGGGTCCTGGGTGGGCTGGGAGCTGAGGATGCTGAGGTGAATAAGACATGGCCCCTGCTTTCAAGGGAAGCAGACCTGACCTGGGAGAATCAAATAGGGTCTAAAAGTGCAGTAACAGAGGTGAGAAAAGAGTCCTGGGAGAGTGACCGATGGTCTGATGGACTGGGAAGGCTTAACTCTGTTGTGAAGGTCTGGGTGAAATCAACTTCCCTCTCCCTGCCCGCAGATGCTGGGGTCCAGCAGGAGTGGGTGAGCTCTGTTTCCTACCCTTGTCAGATCTCCAGGAAGAACTCACCCTCAGGATGCTGAGATGCTGGCGTGGACTGTGCAAGTGTGAAAGGTTTAGCTGAAGTGGGTGGTGTACGTGGTAGACAGAGTCTTTAAGGCTTTGAGGTCTGAGGATACAGAATGGTTATATCTGGGCTTGACAGATGATGAGGGTGGTTCTTGGGGCCACTTCAGCCTTAAGTGTCCTCCTTCACTGAAGACAGAGTCTCCCTGCTACCCCTGGACAGCTTCTTAGGGTGCTTATATCTGATGACTCCTGGGGCCATATGACAGCATCAAGGGTTCTTGAATCTTGAGGGTTTTGTGGATAGAATTCAGGGGTAGAATCCACAAACTTGAATGATAGAAAATTACATCTTTATTTTCATCAACATTTAACTGACATTTAGTATTTACTTCAATTAATAATATAGGCAAAAACCTACATTAAGATGAGTTCCTGTGACTGTCACTAATAGAAGTAACACATAGAGGCCAGGTTCTGTGGCTCACACCTGTAATCCCAATACTTTGGGAGGCCTAAATGGGTGGATCCACTGAGGTCAGGAGTTCAAGACCAGCCTGGCCAACATGGTGAAACCCTGTCTCTACTAAAAATACAAAAATTAGCCAGGCTTGGTGGCACGTGCCTGTAATCCAGCTACTCCAGAGGCTGAGGCACGAGAATCGCTGGAACCCAGGAGGCAGAGATTGCAGTCAGCCGAGATTGTGCCACTGCACTCCAGCCTGGGTGACAGAGTGAGACTGTCTCAAAAAACAAAACAACAAGAACAAACACATAGATTTGTATCATATCAAATTTGTTGCACAAATCTCGAAAACAAATTATACTCATTTGTACTTAGAAATTATGCCAATTTTTAGATGTGTCTCTAGGTCTCATTATTTCATGTGTTAATAGAGAAGGAAGTCTATTACTATATCACAAATTTATGTTTAACTATTTGGATAACTCTGTTTCTATACATTTAGTCTCCTTGTTGCCTCGGATAATTATTTTATACATTTAAAAACATTCTGAGTAGGGTCCATAGATTTCATCTGACTGTCCTGAGGTTCCATTCCATGGCCCCAAAATGCCTACATGCCCTTGAACATATTCCCCAAAGCCTAGGAGAAGCCTTAGGTAGAGCATGGCAGTCCTGCCTGGCTGCTGTATGAAGGGAGATCAAATAGGAACGCCCACCGCCTGCTCTCTGGGCACGCACTGCCCAGAGAGGGCTCCTGAAGAGTCCTGCTGCAGGTGCACTTGTGGGGCACGGGATGATGCTGGGCTCCTGTGTGCTGCTGTGCAGCTGCCTCTCCGTGTGCACAGCTAACTGCACTTTGGAAGCATGTTGTTTAGTCCATGGTGTGCCTGAACCCAAGAAGGGAGCTGAGCACTGGAAGACCTGGGTTCTAGGACCTTGTCTGCTGCCAACTGGCTTCTCTCTGGATCTCGACTTCTATTCTGGAAAAAGGGAAGGTTGGGTGTGAAATCAGGGATTCTCCAGCTATGTATCTGACAGTACTGTCTTCCCATGACTTGGAGTAAGGTAGTCTATACCAAAATAAAAAAATTGATAAAGTTTTTGCAATTTACTAAAAAGTAACATGAATAAAGATAGTTTTCTCAATTTACAGTTGTTCTAACATATCTTTTTGTTAAACCTTTGGAAGCTGTTACCCCTTGCCTGCCAGTAAGTACTTGTTGAGGGCAAAAGGAGTGGGTGAGAAGTGAGAGAATATTAATGGGAGCATGTGGAATTGGCCAATCATGTTTAATTTCTAGGCTTAGTTTGGGTTGTGGGTTTTTCTACAGAATTATTCCTAGTTTTAATGGTGGAATTAAGCATGCTGGTACGTTAAGAACCTTTGTAAAGGATCTTGCAAACAGCATCATGATCTGTGCATGTTCTCCTAGCTCCCACCAGTCTCCAGGGCCCCTTCCTGCTCTGCTATTTTGTGGACCTACAGCGTGTAATGATGCATTCTGCTCAAAAGGCGGATGACCCTTGTTCTGAGTGGACTCATGATTCTGTGTGGAGTGAAGGCCATTCTCCAGAGGAGATAATGCTCCTGTTTACATTCAGGCACCAATACAAGCAATGGTGCACCCCACTTATTCCCTGCCTTCCCTATTCTGTGCACACAATTGTAAGGGAAAACAAAGCGACAGTTACAATGGAAGCAAAAGGAAGAGCAGCTGTTGGGGATGTTAGCTGTGTCACTGTCTGCTGAGCGGGACAGATGCACTTAGGAGGCCTCATCTTCTCTTACCTCTCTTGGCTTGCCCAGGAGCTTAGCTAAAGTCAGAGGGTTCCATGATGATTCATGGAAATTGCCATTTATGGCCTAATGCCTCCTAGGGAACCCTGGGTCCATTCTGATGTCTCCCAGAATGTGTTTACCATTCCTTGAGCATCACTGGGTTGGGAGTCTCGGCTACTGCAAACCACTCCACTGTGGCCAGCAGTTGGACTTTCTGTCCAGCCCAGCACCCTGGGCAGTCGGACTCTCGGCTTGGATAGGGTGACTGCTGGTGTTCGTATTACTGCCTTGTTGAGTTTCCACTCAGGAATTGATTATTCTCAGGTGGTAAGGGCTGAGGTCTGTTTGACCGTGGATATTTTAGCCCATGCTGTTGATCCGTTCTTTCTGGGCTCTTCCAGCCCAGGGAACTTACACTTAGCTCATCCACAGGCCGTTGGAGGGTGAAGGCTTCTCAGGCCTCAGAGAGGACCTGTGAGTCTTAGCAGCTTTTCAGGAACAGGAAACAGAAGGAGTGGAATTTGATGGGTGTGCTTTTCTGTTGTTCTCTGCAGACACGGGAACCCCCAAAGGCTTCAGAGTGGAAGCCCCAGGGTCCTCGGAGCTGGTGTGGGTTTGCTGCTGGCTCCCTGCACACGCTGCCCGTGCGTGGTTACGAGTTTGTGTGTGTTGCTATGTACTGCTCTCACGGTGCATTGTGGAGTTGGGGAGGTTGCATTCAGACCAACTCAGGCCACGCCTGTGAGCAGGGTCTGGCATCCCAGCTCTGCCTGCTGAAGGCTGAGAGCATCAGTGGTATGCGTGGGAGCTGCCTTCCCCACTGGGCTCCCCAGGAGCACGATGTAGCAAGAAGAACTTAGGGTATGGAGAGTGAAGGGCCAGGTTCACTGATGTGTGTCTTTGTGCAAGGTTCTTAGCCATGCCGGGTCTATTTTCTTATCTGGGATCTGTAGCCCACACCGTTCATGGGCGAAATACTTCATGAATTGTAATGTGTCATAAAATAAGCCAAAGTTGGCTCTCCCACCCTGTCTACCTTTGTGCTTCAATTTTCCTTTTTTTTTCCCCCTCTTTATGGGCTGAGTTGAATTCCCTTCCTATTTTCTGAATGAATGAAACTGCTTGATGAGTGGATTAGGCATCCCCAAAGGGAGAAGGTGCAGGGAGTTTACTGTCTTGTTAGGAAATTAGAAAATTCATGAACAGAGAGTTAACAGTTCAAGGCATATGTGCCAATTGCCTCTTTTCTGGGCTCCCAGAGTAAAAGGTTTCACAAATACTGGTTATTTGAATACCATGATTATGAGTTTGAATACCACTACTTACTAGATTCCTAATTTTAGGCGTAGCCATTTACTATCTGGACTATTATTTGCTGAATATTTTTGTTAAATTGGCTCACTTTTGAAACTTAAATTTATTTTAAAGGGAAACATTCTATCATTATCAGAAATGGAGAACCAATATCACTGGCCAACAGATAGACAATAATTATAAAAATAGGCACAACCGAAACAAAACGACATCATTCATTTCTAGCTGGATACTGTTGGCTGCAGGAGATCCGAGACCGGGGCCTGCTTACTCTTTGTTGAGAAGGAAGCTTAGCTAGCATCAGAGAGGTTAAAGACATATTGGAAACAAACGGAGACTTTATTTTTGCAGGATAATTGAAAACGGACTTTCTTGTTATTTAAAAATGTTATTTGATGCTATGTTGCATCCATCCATCATCTAATGCCTCTCATTCTGTACTTGGGCAACATTACCAAAGCACCTAGTACACCTTCTAGAGCTATGCTTGCCGCTGAATGGATTGAAGACTTTTAGAACAGAGACTGTGTCTTTCTAATTTATTTTTATTTCTATTTATTTTATTTTTATTTATTTATTTATTTATTTATTTTGAGACAGAGTCTCACTCTGTCACCAGGCTGGAGTGCAGTGGTGCGATCTTGGCTCACTGCAACCTCCACCTCCCAGGTTCAAGTGATTCTCCTGCCTCAGCCTCCTGAGTAGCTGGGACTACAGGTGCGCACCACCATGCCCAGCTAATTTTTGTATTTTTAGTAGAGACTGGGTTTCACTGTGTTGGCCAGGATGGTCTCAATCTCTTGACCTCGTGATCTGCCCGCCTTGGCCTCCCAAAGTGCTGGGATTACAGGCATGAGCCACTGCGCCTGGCCTTTATTTTATTTTTGAAAAATAGGGATGGGGTCTTGCTATGCTGTTGACCAGGCTGCTCTTGAACTCCTGGCCTCAAGTGATCCTACCATCTCCCAAAGTACTGGGATTACAGGTGTGAGTCACCATGGATGGCCTCTTTTTTTCTTTTTCTTTTTTTTTTTTTTTTAACAATGTGTGACATATTGATAATATAATAGCCTTTAGTGCTGTTTGTTGAATGATTCAAAGCATAATGCCTAGCAAAGATAATACATTGTAGAGTTGCTCCAGGAGGCAGAGATGCCCAGGAGCTTGAGTTGACAGGGAAGGCCAACTGGAGAGGAAGCCCTTGGTGCCTTCTCCTAGCCCTGCCCCCAATTATAGCAGCCTGGGATCTCTGTGTGTCAGCTCCTATCCTTTTCCTGCACTGAAACCTTCTCCAATTCCTGCCTCTCATTCAATAGCAGTATTGCCTTTGGTTCTCCCATCTCCTTCCTCAGTCTGGGAAGAAAACACCACAGCAATCTGCAGCCCGCTCAGAGCCACCCACCCTGAGGAGACGCCCGAAGAGAGAAAGCTAGAAGCCGGGGTGGGATGAAGGGATAGGGGAGAGAAGGTGAGAGAGAGGAGACCTGTAGGGTGAACCTGAGTCCCTGAACAGGCTGTCATCTGGTCCAGTGTTTTGGGGATTTGGTGACCTGTTGGGGAAAGAGGTTGAGCCCTGGGGTGTTAGCAGATTTTTTTTGTATCTTTCCACCCTTCCTTCTTTTCTAGTTCTGGCCTTCTCTTCTTTCTTTCAACCCTCTCTGGCTCTGTGCCATTGGGCAGATTCCAAGGTCATAATGATTACTTTGTCATGGACTTGGATTTGTCATGGGCTCTTCAGAAAAAAGACGCAGACATGATTTCCTAGGGACAGTATGTCAGGCACTGTCTCCTTGTCCTGAAAGCTTCTCTGGTGGTGGGATCTTTTCCAGTCATCAGGAACTTCCTATTCAGTGTTGCCAGGAATACCTGCTCTCTCTTTCCTGCCACTGGGGCCTCATGAATCTTGGGCCCCTCCCTCTCTGATCCCTGTACTTCTGCTTTTGAAGTTATTAGTAATAAGAGATGCTTCTACTGTGCTAGGAACATAAAGTAACTCATTTAATCTTTAAAACCACTCCATGAAGCGTATACTACCACTGCCCCTATTTTGCAGATAAGAAAACCAAAGTTACATAACTTGATCAGGGTCATCCCAGCACTGCCCCCAGGGTGATGGGGGAGCTGACATTCCACACCGTCCTCCCTGCCAGAGCCCCAGGTGGCTCCAGGTGCCACACGGCCCTAACACGCAACAGCACCTGGTGCTCCCTTCAATTCTTTCAGCGTTATCCCCCAGCCTCACCCCCCTGGGAACCCTTGCTGCCAGTGAGGGATTCAAACCCTGAGCCTGAGCTCTCAGTCACTGCCGTGTCCTCCCTCTCCAGGGATGAGGTTCCTGCTGTCTGAGCTTGGCATGGGGAAAGGGGAGTCCTAGAGTCCACTGTTTGGATTGTCAGCCACTTAAGAAAGTTCAGGGGAGGAGAAGAACACCTCTGAACTTGAGAGTATCCTCTTCTTATCATTTTGTTCCCTGTTCCCTTTGTTCTGCTGATCCTGTCTTCCCTCCTGTCAGCCTAGGTGGGAGCTTGTGGGTTGGGAAAGAGCTGGATCCCTGCAGATACCTTTTAATTACCCTTGGGCTGTGTTTGTGGTGAGAATCAGTCTGCTCAGGACTGCCCCTGAGACAGGTGTATGGGTCTGGAGCCAGCAGGCAGGGGTGAGAGGTGGCAAGGCTTCCCAGGGGGAGCAAGGCTAGAGGATGACACTGCAAAATTTGAAGATCGAGAAGGAGCATCGGGTGCTGTGGCATGTCGGGGCCGTGTGGTACCAGGGTCACCTGGGGCTCTGGCAGGGAGGACAGGACGATGTGGAGTGTCAGCTGCCCCCGGAAGCAGTACTGGGATAAACCCACAGGTGTGTGCGCCGCTCATTCGTGCTACAGGCATCAGGAGAGGTGATGGTGGGCCTGCGAGGCGTCTGCCCTGGGCACACTCAGCCTTCCTCTTCTGTGGCTTCCCTTCCATGTGGTTTTCCCATCACTCTCCCTCCTTCCAATCCCACTCATTCAGACCCTTCAGTGTAACCCTGCTTTGCGGCAGCTGCATTTTTCTCAGGGATCAAAGCCTTAGGTGAATGGTGGTGTATTGGGCACCAGCAGGTGGAGCAGGTTCTGGAAATCACATCATATTGGCTCTTTCCTTTTTCAAGGACCATGGTCCCAGATGGGAGTCCCCCCTTCTTTACTACAGCTTCCATAAGCTGCTTACATTGGAGACTAATGCTGCAGCAGCCAGGCAACATTTGGGCTGGAACACTCTTCAAGCACAGAGGCCTGCATTGCTCTGGGATGAAGAAAGAGGGGATGATCATGTGGTGGGCACATTTGGGGAGGTCAGTGTTTAATGAAGAAAGCAGAAGGCAGGAAATTGCCCAGGGTCATGCAGGATGACCCATGTACATGTGTGGGTTTCCTCCATGTGGGGGCTACTCACGGAGGGTGAGTGCTTAATCTGCTCACCACCTCTTGCATTCTGGGTCACCCCTTCCTGCTGCTAGGATGCTCAGAAGTGGGAGCTAATTCAGTCATTAATCTTAGCCTAAACCAGGCTGAATTACACAGATATGCTGGGATCTTCCACTCTCAAATGCAGAGTACAAATCCCTCCAGGACCAAAGGACCAAAGGGCTGCGGTTTATCTGTGCTACCACTCATCATCTCTGCCAGTTTGGATAATTGTGAATTGTCTGCACAGACCTTGCTGTCTACACCCACACACACACACACACACACACACACACATCTTTGCACATCCTAGCTGTCTTACTGTAATGCTTGGAACCAAGAGTGGCAGAGCTGGGAAGGTTTCTTGAAGAAGAAGGTTCTGGTGTAAAGCACAGTGAGAATGCCAGCCAGAATCTGAATTTCAGCTGAGCCACTAGAGGACATATAACCGTGGGGAAATTATATGATACTTCACATCACTTCAGTTTTCTTCTCTGTATAAGTAATCTGGCTGAATTGTTTTGAAGAAGGATGGCACATAGTGGGTGCTTAATATTTGTCCAGGAAACAAATAATTAAATGATATAATGTATGTTAAAGAGCCCAGTGCAGTGCCTGGCATATATCAGAAGCTCAGGATTAGCTGTTCTTAGAGTTTCTTAATATCAGGTCCAAAGATCCCTCAAACTCTTTTGTCTTTTTCTGGCCTCTGGGATGACCTACCTGTAAGTTGGATGTAATCTCCCATCCTAATTATTCCCAGTTCCTCTTCTGGCCTGGCTTTACAGACCAGCATGAGACTTCAACACTGCGCAATTGTCCGGTGCTGTGGAGAGTCTGCATTCAGAAAGACAGAAGCCTTTGTCCTTCCTTCTTTCTAGAGTCTCTAAAGCTCTTCCAAGAGCTAAGACCCCCATGTCATATACCTCACCAGGAAGCTGGATGGTCCCTAGGAAGACTCAGCTAAAATCATAGAGACCTTTGCATTCCTGGGTCCATCAATAAGTCACCCACCTTTGTGCCCTGGTTTGAGCTAGAACTCCCCTCCCCTCCCCTCCCCTCCTCTCCCCTCCCCTCCCCTCTCCTCCCCTCCCCTCCCCTCCCCTCCCCTCCCATCCCATCCCCTCCCCTCCCTTCCCATCCCATCCCATCCCCTCCCCTCTCCTCCCCTCCCTTCCCCTCCCCTCCCCTCCCTTCCCCTCCCCTCCCCTCCCCTCCCCTCCCCTCCCCCTCCTCCCCTCCCCTCCCCCCTCCTCCCCTCCCCTCCCCCCTCCTCCCCTCCCCTCCCTTCCCTTCCTCTTCCCTCCCCTCCCCTCCCCTCCCCTCCCCTCCCATTCCCTTCCCTTCCCTTCTTTTGTGATTGAGTCTTGTTCTGTTGGCCAGGCTGGAGTGCAGTGGTGCGATCATGGCTCACTGAAACCTCTAACTCCTGGGCTCAAGTCTTCCTCCGCCTTGGCCTCCTGGGTAGCTGGAACTATAGGCACATGTCACCATGCCTAGCTAATTTTTAAATTTTTCTTTTGTAGAGATGGGGGTCTCACTATATTGCCAAGGCTGATTGCAAACTCCTGGCTCCAAGCCATCCTCCTGCCTCAGCCACCCAAAGTGCTGGGATTAAAGGCATGAACCATCTTGTCCAGCCTAGCTATTTTGAATGCCATTCTTAAATCTCACATCCAAATTTAAGTGTATTAATATAGCTTGTTATCGTGAGTTTTTTAAAAAAGTGAATAAGCAACCTAATTGGTCTGCTTTTTAATCCTGGACTTTCAGATATCAAGTTTGTTCGAAGTGAGGTGCACTGTAGCTTTCTCACTATGCTGTAGTGGAAGGGGATATTTCCTCTCTATACATCTCTGAGTGTAATCTAGCCTATAAACTGACTGTAGGAAGAGAGAATATAAACTGCCTCTTTTGCTCGCTCATGCAGTATCTCAAATCTCAGGAGGAAGTTCTTCCTAAGATCTAACCGAAATCCCTCCAGAGCAACTGTATGTTGGCAAAGGAATAAGTCAAATAGCATCTGTGTGATTGGCCCCTCGGAGTCTAATGTACATGGGGAATTGTCTCTGGAGCCTCATTTTGATGCTCTTATGTCCTAGGCAATGGAGCAACAGGATTGGAAAATATCTTCCTTGTGGGCCTGAGGAGGAGGGATTCTGTGTATCTGCAAATAGGAGTTCCTTTCCCAGCTTTGTCTCCAACTCAGAACAGGTCATGTGGTTTTTCCCAGCTCTTGAATTTCCATTCCATTTTTGGCTGGTTTGAGTTCCTCCATCTCTCGTCTCCTGCAACACCTACCGAGCAGGTCCACTCACCGTATTCTGCAGAATCATGCAGTCGTGTGCATCAGATGCTTGAAGGTCACCTCATCCATGCCCCCAGCTCTGGACAGGCTGTGCATGTCAGGGTCCTTCAGACTTCTTCCCAGGGGGCTTGCCCATGCTCTTACGTAATATCTCCCTATGTTTCTAGAGTCTGACCCGAACCTTTCTTGCTGCCATCTCAAACCCTTGGTCCACATAGTGGTGGCCTCCAGGGAGGCAAAGAACAGCTGCTTGTCCTCCCCCTTGTTCCTTCCTTGTTCTTGTTGGGGTATCACCTCCATGCATCCAGCTCATGAATCCCCCAGCAATTTCTTTGTCACCAGATCACATTGCAAGCTCCTGTCCAAATGCTGTCTGGCTGCTTCCTGTTCCAAGCATCTCCCTCCCACCTGAGTATTTGTGTTTCTGATTATTTATCCCCAGATGCAAAGGCCGCATTTTTCCAGGTTGAATCTGCTCATTGTTACTTCCTGCCTGGGTTTGCTAACATCTCCAGGTCCCTCTTGCAGCCACCGCTGCAGCCTTGCTCGGTATGGAAACGTGTATTTCCAGGCTTCAGAAAGCAAAGCGTGTCGGGAATGGGACGAGGAGAATCAGTGACCCTGCTGAGAGTGGCCCCACCTCATCTGAAGTCAAGGCCCTCCCCAGGAGAACGTCTGAATTGATGAATACAAAAAGCCATCAAAGTGCTGCCGGCAGGGGAATGACCTAGACTGAGACCTGTCCCAGCTGTTGGGCTTTCTCTGAGTCTCCTGAGCCGAGAACAAGGAGACGCCTTCCTGCCCTCTTGGCCTTGACTCTTTCCAAACAGCCATCACCAGTTCTAATTAAATACTCAGCAGATGAAGTGACTGAGCACCAGAGGGGAGGTTGGGAAGATGCTGTGTGCTTGGCCATTTCCTGTCCCGGCCCCACCCATGGGGAAGGGGATTGTGGTCAGGCTGTGCCAGGATGGCAGGGACCACACGTTAAATGCGGAGGTAGAGCAAATGCTCCCCCATGTTTTTTTTTTAAAGGGAGAGTTCACTTTAGTTTTTTGTTGTTGTTGTTGTTGTTTTCCATTTTATTTTATGGTAAGCCCTCGATGACTCAGAAAGAGTTGGAAGGGACCTTTGAGAGTCTTTAATTAGCGTCTCATTTTACAGATGGAGGTCCATGGAAGTTCAGTAACATACTCAAATTCACAAATGCATTTTTAAATTGTCCTCTGCCCTCTAGATGGGTGCTAAACACTGGGCATGGAAAGTGAAATCTCTCGTGACTAGGAGGGGCTCAGAAACGGATGCCTGATCCAAACAACCATGTGTTCCAGGGAGTAAGTCTCAGCCTGCCTGCATTTTTCCTCACTCTTTACCTTGAGCCAGAGCTAGAAGATGAAGCTGGGCATAGTGGTGCCTCTCCATCCTCTCAGGGCTCTTGGTTGTCCGTGATTACATTGAAATCCAGGGCTGTGATGTGGGTTGAGTTGGATACTGCTTATGAGAGACCATCAGAACTTGGGTGACAGGGGAACTGCTGAAAAACGGAACTCATGCATCCTGTCCCCCTTCCCAATTCTCTTGCTTCCTATCCACTGCAGCTTTGGAGTATTGAACATGTTGCTAGTTAGGAGGGCTCCTCAGAAGATGCTGATGAATTTGGAATGATTTTTAAATTCATCTGGGGAAATAAACAGCTGCAGCTTGAAACACAAACACAGACACTTGTGCTGCTGTGTGTTCCCCCTCCCACCATCCCTCCTCCCTGATCTGGGAAAAGCGCACACACCCAAACCATGTAGAAACGCAGAAACCCATGTGCATAAACTGAACAACCACTGTGCAAAGGAAAAGGGATGAGCTGTCCTAGAGACTGGCAGACTCTGTGCTAGACCAGCAGATGACATGGTTCTAAGAACAGTTATCTGGAATCCGAGGGACCTTTGCATCCCTGGTTTGCAGAGCTCTTTGCAAAATGGAGCTGTTTCTGTCTTCTAAGAATCTTCAGTTTCCCTAGGGAAAGGAGAGGAGAAAGGGAACAAACATTTGTTGGTCACCTGAGTCCATGCCAAATGTATATATTAACAAAATTGTTGTGAAGTAGCAATTGTTGTTAGATTATTATTCCCATTTTACAGAAACAGAGGCTTGCGGAGGTGAAGCTGGGGCTCCAGTTGAGATCTGTGACTTTGCATGACACAGGACTGCTTTCTTATTCCCCTGGCTCTGCGGAGTTGCCTGAGTGAGCATCTCAGAATCCAAAGTCTCTGAGGGACCGTGTGATTTTAGGGGACAGCTGCTAACCCACTAAGTGTGTCTGTTTCCTCTCTGAAGATGGGAATCATGCACTTTGGCTATTTGGCTGAGTTGCTAGAATTCTTAATAAGATGAAGTCTCTAGTCCTCTGAGGTGTGATTAGGAATGACAATGAAAGAGATGTTTGCCAGTCCTCTAAGCTGGAAGCATCACCCAGAGGCGACTGTCTCAATCAATGAGTTTACTGTGCACTTACTATGCATGGCCAAGGTGTTGGCGGACTCCGGAGTCCTGGCTCAGGTGAACAGCAGGGGGAGTCTCTTCCATCTTAATGAGAGATGAGCTGCTTCTTGGGCTGCAGCTTGGTTTTACAGGCTCAACTTTTTTCCTTGAGAAACTCCTCTTTCTAAACCCCATTAACCCCTCTAGCTATGGCCTTCTCATTCTCCTCTCCTTTATAGCTAGGCTTTTAAAAAAGCCTCTTTTGGAAGTATAGCATATATCAGAATAGTACACAAATTTTTATTGTACAACTTGGTGAATTATCACTGAGTGGACAAACTAGAGGAACTGCCATCCAGATGAAGAAATAGAACATTTCCAGCTTTCTGGAAGTCCCCCTTGGGCCTCCTTCCAGTCGTGACCCTACCCCCACCACCCAAAGGTCGTGACTATTCTGACTTCTAGCATCACAGATGAGTTTTGCCTGTTTTTCAACTTTGTATAAATGGAATCGTATAATATGTATTTTGTGTCTGGCTTTTGTTTTTGCCCAACATTAAGTGTGTGCGATTAATCTATATGGTTGTGTGTAGTAGTGGTTTATGCGTTACTGGATAGTATTTCATCGTTTGAATGTACCACATTTTCCTTGTCTGTTGTACTGTTGATGGACGTTAGGGTTGTTTTCTGTTTTAGGATATTATGAATAGTATTGCTATGACTATTCTTTTACAGGTCTTTTGGTAAATGCATTTCTAAAGGGTACACACCTAGGAGTGGAATTGCTGGGTCATATGGCAGGTGATGACCAGCTTTAGTAGACACTATTGGAAAGTTTCCAAAGTGTTTGCATCAATTTATATTCCCCATTAGTAGTGTAGGAGAGTTCCAGTTTCCCTACATCCTACCAACACTTAATATTGTCAGTCATCTTAATTTTAGCCATTCTGATACATGTGTAGTGGTATGTCAGGGTGGTTTTAATTTGCAATATCTGGTGACTGCTAATGAGATAAAAACCTTTTCATATATTTTTTTTCCAGCCATTTGGATATCCTCTTTTTTAAAGTGCCTGTTTGAGTCTTATAGCCATTAAAAAAATGGGTTGTCTCCCTTTTTCATATTGACATGAAGGGATTCTTCATCTATACTTGGTACATCTTTTGTTGAGTATATATTTTGCAAATATCTTCTTCTCACTCAGTGGTTTTTCTTTTCACTCTTTTGGTGGATAAATGTTCTCAATTTTATTTTACGTCATTTTATTGATCTTTTCCTTT
The DNA here is from genome assembly GCF_000001405.40 of Homo sapiens. Lineage (NCBI taxonomy): Eukaryota > Metazoa > Chordata > Mammalia > Primates > Hominidae > Homo > Homo sapiens. Next base: position 5,897,881 of record NC_000012.12, on the reverse strand, counting down.
ATGTCAGTGCTTTTTGTATTCTGTTTAAGAAATTATCACCTATCCAAGCTAAGAATATATTCTTTGTTATCTTCCATAACATTTATTTGTTAACTTTTCACATTTAAGTCCACAGTCCACATAGAATTGATTTTTTTTTTTTTTGGTCTGTATGTGGCATGAGGTGTGAGTCAAAATTAATTTTTCCCCACTTTGATATCCCATTAACCCAACGTCATTTATTGAACGGACCATTCTTCCTCATTGCTCTGCTGGATTATTGAAGCCAGGAATCAAGACTTTGTCTTTGTATGGGATCTGCTTCTGGACTTTATTTTATTCTCTTAGTCTGTTTGACTATCCTTGTGCCAATATCTCATTATCTTAATCACTGCATCTCTCACAGACTTTTTTTGGAAGTTATTTCTACTTACTATGCCCATTTCTTTACCTGTCACTCAGCCTACTCCAATCTGCCTCTGCTTCCCACTGCTGTGCCCCAGATGCTCTTGTATGGGTGGCCAGGGTTTCTAGTAGGTGCTAACCTGAGCAGTTTTTTTTTCTTTTTTTAGTTCTTAGCTTCCTTAACCCTTGAGCAATATTCAGCACAGTAGGACATTCCTTCCTGTTGGAAACACCATTTTCCCTGATGCTATCCATACTTTTCTGACTTCCTTCCTGCTTCTCTGGCTGCTTCCTCTAAGTCTTCTTGGCTGGGTCTTTCTGCTGTAATGAATTCTTTTTTATTTATTTTTTTCTTTTTTTACACCTCTCATGTCTCTGCATCTATCTGATGATTAAATATTGAAACTTTTCAAAGCTCATCCCTAGGTTCTCTTCAAAAAAGGGAGATTTAAGACCCTAAAAATCTTAAGGAGTGACTTTACAGTCAGTCTTAAGATGATTTATTTTATGTTCAACATTTCTGTTGCCATCTTTATCGTAAGAGAACTCCAAAATTTATATTTCCAATTAGAATTGTCTTCAAAAGTTTAAACTATGGATTATCTCAACTGGAATTTTTTTCTTCCAAAACTCTTCCCGAATTACCCTTTTAATCCAGTTTTAAATCCTTTTTAAAAAAACCTTTCTACCTATTCTCTGTGCACTCAGATCCCAACCAGTTGGGGCTTCAAATAAAATATTTAATTTCTTTGAGATTCAGTTGCCAAAAATCATTAATAGGGAGAATTATTTCTCTCCTTCATGAGGAAATTTAGAGAATTATCAAAATTATTTCTGTAAATTTATTTCCTATCTTTAGAGACAGATAATATCTCTACACAGTGTTAGTTACCATCCCATTTAGGTTCCTATGAAGCACCCATTATCTTCAATGGTACTGTTTTCATCTTCATTCTGACCATCTAGAAGGTGGGGCTTAAAAGGAGGGGAAAATTGAAGGCACTGTATGTATTAAAGCTGGAGTTTCAATGTTATAAGTGAATACTAATCAGGATTTTAATAAGATTTAAAGTTCTTTTGTGTAGTCTACTGGTTCTCAATTTGAGCATTATCAGAATTATCTGGAGAACTTGTTTATGAATACATCTTTATGTGTGATTTTATTAGTTGTTGATCTAGGGATTACAACAGATATACTTTTTTTGTTTTTGTTTTGATTAATATTTTTATTTCAATAGTTTTGGTGGTACAGGTGGTTTTTGGCTACATGGATAAGTTCTTTAGTGGTTATTTCTGAGATTTTAGTGGACCTGTCACTGAGCAGTGTACACTGTACCCAATATGTAGTCTTTTATACCTCACCCCCCTTCCAGTCCCCAAAGTCCATTATATGATTCCTATGTCTTTGTGTCCTCATAGCTTAGCTCCCACTTATAAGTGAGAGGATAGAATATTTGGTTTTCCATTCCTGAGTTACTTCACTTAGAATAATGGCCTCCAGCTCCATCCAATTTGCTGCAAAATAAATTATTTCATTCCTTTTTATGGCTGAGTAGTATCCCATGGTATATATGCCACATTTTCTTTATTCGCTCATTGGTTGATGGGCACTTAGGTTGGCTCCATCTTTGCAGTTGTGAATTGTGCTGCTGTAAACATATGCATGCGTGTGTGTTTTTCATATAATGACTTTTTTTTTTTCCTTTGGGTAGCTACCCAGAAGTGGGATTGCTGGATCAAATGGTAGTTCTACTTTTAGTTCTTTAAGGAATCTCCATACTGTTTTTCATAGTGATTGTACTAATTTACATCCCACCAGCAGTGTAAAAGTGTTCCTTTTCACCACATCCATGCTGACATCTATTGTTTTATGACTTTTTAATTATGGCCATTCTTGCAGGAGTGAGGTGGTATCTCATTGTGGTTTTAATTTGCATTTCCCTGATGATTAGTGATGTTGAACATTTTTTCATATGTTTGTTGGCTATTTGTTTATCTTCTCTTAAGAAATGTCTCTTCATTTCTTCACTGGTTCTGTTTATGTGATGGAGTATGTCTCTGTTTGCAAATGACATGATTGTATATTTAGAAAACCCCATCGTTTCAGCCCCAAATCTCCTTAAGCTGATATGCAACTTCAGCAAAATCTCAGAATATAAAATCAATGTGCAAAAATCACAAGCATTTCTATACACCAATAATAGACAAACAGAGAGCCAAATCATGAGTGAACTCCCATTCACAATTGCTTCAGAAAATAAAATACCTAAGGAATACAACTTACAAGGGATGTGAAGGACCTCTTCATGGACAACTACAAACCACTGCTGAAGGAAATAAGAGAGGACACAAACAAATGGAAAAACATTCCATGCTCATGGATAGGTAGAATCAATATCATGAAAATGGCCATACTGCCCAAAGTAATTTATAGATTCAGTGCTATCCCCATTAAGCTACCATTGACCTTCCTCACAGAATTAGAAAAAACTACTTTAAATTTCATATGGAACCAAAAGAGAGCCCATATATCCAAGACAATCCTAGACAAAAAGAACAAAGCTAGAGGCATCACACTACCTGACTTCAAACTATACTACAAGCCTACAGGAACCAAAACAGCATGGTATTGGTACCAAAACAGATATATAGACCAATGGAACAGAACAGAGCCCTCAGAAATAACGCCACCCATCTACAACCATCTGGTCTTTGACAAACCTGACAAAAACAAGCAATGGGGAAAGGATTCCCTATTTAATAAATGGTGTTGGGAAAACTGGCTAGCCATATGCAGAAAACTGAAACTGGATCCCTTCCTTACACCTTATACAAAAATTAACTCAAGATGGACTAAAGACTTAAACGTAAGATCTAAAACTATAAAAACCCTAGAAGAAAACCTAGGCAATACCATTCAGGACATAGGCATGGGCAAAGACTTCATGACTAAAACACCAAAAGCTTTTGGCCACAAAAGCCAGAATTGACAAAGGGGATCTAATTAAACTAAAGAGCTTCTGCACAGCAAAATAAACTATCATCAGAGTGAACAGGCAACCTACAGAATGGGAGAAAAGTTTTGAAACCTATCCATCTGACAAAGGGCTAATATCCAGAATCTACCAAGAACTTAAACAAATTTGCAAGAAAAAAACAAACAACCCCATCAAAAAGTGGGTGAAGGATATGAACAGACACTTCTCAAAAGAAGACATTTATGTGGCCAACAAACAGATGAAAAAAAACTCATCACCACTGGTCATTAGAGAAATGCAAATGAAAACCACAATGAGATACCATCTCACACCAGTTAGAATGGTGATTATTAAAAAGTCAGGAAACAACAGATGCTGGAGAGGAAGTGGAGGAATAGGAACACTTTTACACTGTTGGTGGGAGTGTAAATTACTTCAATCATTATGGAAGACAGTGTGTGATTCCTCAAGGATCTAGAGCCAGAAATATCATTTGACCCAGCAATCCTATTACTGGGTATATACTCAGAGGATTATAAATTGTTCTACTATAAAGACACATGCACATGTATGTTTATTGCAGCACTATTGACAATAGCAAAGACTTGGAACCAACCCAAATGCCCATAAAGGTAGACTGGATAAAGAAAATGTGGCACATATACACCGTGGAATACTATGCAGCCATAAAAAAGGATGAGTTCATGTCCTTTGCACAGACACAGATGAAGTTTGAAACCATCATTCTCAGCAAACTAACACAGGAACAGAAAACCAAACACCACGTGTTCTCACTCACAAGTGGGAGTTGAACAATGAGAATACATGGGCACAGGGAGGGGAACATCACACACTGGGGCCTGTTGTGGGGTGGGGGGCTAGGGGAGGGATAGCATTAGGCGAAATACCTAATGTAGATGATGAGTTGATGGGTACAGCAAACCACCATGGCTTGTGTATACCTATGTAACAAACCTCCACGTTCTGCACATGTATCCCAGAACTTAAAGTATAATTAAAAAAAAAAAAAGAAAAAAAGGGAAAAAAAACTACATACAAAATAAAGAAAAGAAATGTCTCTTCAGATTCTTTGCCCACTTTTTGATGGAATTATGTGTTTTCTTTCTTTTTGATTTGTTTGAGTTCCTTCTAGATTCTGGATACTAGTCCTTTGTTGGATGCATCATTTGTGAATATTTTCTCCCACTCTATATGTTGTCTATTTACTCTGCTGATGATTTGTTTTGCTGTGAGGAAGCTTTTAAACTTAATTAGGTCCCATTTATTTATTTTTGTTATTGTTGCATTTGCTTTTGGGGTCTTAGTATGAATTCTTTGCCTAAGCCAATGTCCAGAAGAGTTTTCTGATATTATATTCTAGAAATGTTATGGTTTCTTAGATTTCAGTCTTTGATCCATCTTGAGTTGATTTTTGGATATACTTGTTTTCTTTCAGTCTACTTAGAATAAATATTTTACCACTTCAAATGCAGTAAAGAAGCCTTACCATCTTAGAAGTTCCTTTGCCTTTCCTCCTTTGTATTTGTCTTATGTATTATAGTTACACAAATTGAAAACTCTATGAGAAAGTGTTATAATTTTTGTTTTCAGTTGTCAAACATTTCAAAGAATTTAAGAAGTGAGAATAGTCTATTTGCACAGACAGTTAACATTTTTCTGGTTCTTTATTCCTGATGTTCTAAGTTTCCTTTTGGTACATTTTCCTTTTTTCTGAAGAATTTCCTTTAGCAATTCTTTGAACCAAGTCTGTTGGCAATAAATTACCTTAGTTTTCCTCACAGAGGAGTCTTTACTTTCATTCCTGAATGGTATTTTCACAGGTTATAGAATTCTTGATTGACAATTCTTTTCTTTAAGCATTTTCAAAATGTTGCTCCACTACCTTCTGACCTTCATGGCTCCTCATGAGAAATCTGTGGTCATTCAAATCACTATTTTCCTGTAAGTAATGCATTGTTTATCTCTGGCTGCTTTCAAAACTTTTTCCTTTGTCGTTTTCAATACTTTGATTATGATGTGTCTAGGTGTGAATTTCTTTGAGTTTATCTTATTTGGGGTTTGCTGAACTTCATAAATCTGTTTCTGGTTTATACCTCTCACCAAATTTGGAAAGTCTGTAGCTATTATATTTTCAAATTTTTTTCTATGCTGTACTCATTCTTCTGACCTTCTGGAGCTTCAGTGGCATTAATGTTAGATGTTTTTGGTTTGCCTTATAGGTCTCCAATATTTTGTTCATTGTTTTCAACATGTTTTTTTGTCTCTGTTGTTCAGGTTGGTTAATTTCTATTGATTTCTTCAAGTATACTGACTCCTCTGTCACTTCAATTCTGTTATTGAGTTCATTCAGTGAGTTTTTTAATTCAGTTATTTTATTTTTTAATTATAAAATTCCCATTTGGTTCATTTTTATGTCTTCTATTTTTTTTTTCTGAAAATGTCTCTTTCTATTCATTTCAAGAGTGTTTGCTCTTTCTTGGGCCTTTTTTGTAATGACTACTTTAAAGCATTGGTCAGATAAGTCCAATATCTTTGTCATCGGCATTTGTCTATTGTCATTTCTCACAAAAGATTTCCTTGTTCTTTGTATGTTCAGTAATTTTAAATTGTATCCTGGACACTTTCAATATTATGTTATGGAAATCTGGGTTTTATTAAATCCTATTTGTGTTTTATCAGGCAATTGATCTGGTTGGGTTGAAGTTGCAAGTTCTGACCAGAATTCTGTAGGTAGTTTCAAAATCAGTTTCATTTTCACAGCCTTATGCTATTTGAGTCTATCCTATGGATGCTATCAAGTGGCCAGGTTGAGACCTGGTTAGTGATGTATTATGTAGCTCAGTCTTTACTGTCTTAGGGTATATAGTGTGCTATTTAGGATCAGATCCATGCACATGCAGCTTTAGGGTAAGCCAAAGGGTTCATGAACAGCTTATGGGGGCATTTTGCTGAGCTCTTGCCTCTCCGTGATCTTTGCAGAACCTTCCTGTCCCCTGAGACCCTCTTTGCCATCCTTCAGCCAGAAATCTTGGAATCTACTTACCCTCCTCTGCCACATACTTCCCAAAACTGCACCTGTGTCTGGGGCCAAGTGGTGAAAGGACGCACACAGAGAAAAAAGCAACAGGGGTTTGCTCCAACCTCTTGGGAGCAAAGAGGAATGTTCCTCTCACTCTCCTTCTAGGGGCCTGTGGTCTAGCATGTGAAAGAATGGAGAAAAGAAAACAATGGGGGCTTCCTTCCACTCTTTCTGAGTGTTAAGAGATGACTTTCTTTTTCTAAAGCCAGAAATAGAGGGCTTCTCCTCGGCTCTCTCTGTCCATGCTAATGACCCCTTCTGGGTTTTGGACTGCTTGAGTCTAAGCTGACTCAAAAAGAAAGTAATTTTGAGGTGGCATAGAAGGAGAACGTGTCTGAAGAGAAATGTGTGATCTCTACACAGTCTATCAGGATTGTAAATGGACATACCCCAAAGGTGGAGAGAGTGGAATGTGATGAGGTCTGAATGCAAGTAAAAAGGCAAACTCAATGAAGTGAGTTTGGGAGATTCAAGTTCTATATGAGCTGTGACTTGTAAAATATGGGAAAGGCAAACAATGTTTTCTGTGTCACTGCAAGGGAAAGAAGACAGCAGGTGACCAATCCTGTAAGTGAATGGCAGATATTCCACTGTGCTGGGGAGGAAGGCAGTCACTGGAGGAAAAGATGTCAGCCCAGGTTTTTGCAGAAGGCCATGCAAGATATTTATCCATCAGTAAACATGAACTGATTGTGTACCAACTCAGATATTGTACCTTTGTGAATTCTTCCCCTGCTGCCTCCTCAGGGATGCCCCTGTTTCCTATGCATGCCTTTATGATGGGCCTCACTGACTTGCGCTGTAAACTGCATGTTCATCTCTACCTTGAGGATGGGGACTGCATCTTTTTCAATCTCTAAGTTCCTAACACAGGGCTTGGCAAGAAATTATTAGGCTGAATTCTTTCTATCTCACAATTTAATGTGTGCCTTTAGGAAAATCCTAGAAGACAGAGTTGCCTAAGAATATTTAACTTCAGATTAAGGTATTTATAAAGACAAAGCAGTCTCTTGACATATTCTGACATGTGAACCTCTGCTCTGAGCTGTGAGTAGAAGGACCTCTTCTGACAGGGTCCCAAAGGGCTTAAGACAGGGGTCTGTTCCATTGTCTAATGTGCTCCAGTGTGATAAGTTGGAGGCACATTCTGCATTGACCTGAATGTGCCAGTGGGTTGGCAATGAGGCTGCAAGCACCTCCAAGCAGCTGCCATAGTAGAGAAATGGACTCTGGCCATGGGAGGCCTTGTCATCTTCCCCAGGCCCCTGGAAGAATTTTCCATGCAGCCAAGGGCTCAATACTCGTGGGAATTAATCACTTCTGGGCAGTGCTGGTTTTCCCAAGATGCAGGTCTGGACAGAAAAAAAAAAAAAATGGAATTTTAAGCCCCAGGGCCACAGACTGGAGGGGACCTGGTGAGTCCTATTTCCCATCTGTGAACCTGCTTTTGCTTGTCTACAGACACATTGCCTCTGATTGTCTTTCCTTTCTGGACTTTTAGCCTTAAGGGCCTGCCTTATTTGTGCAACTCACATGAGTCCTCCAGGCCACCAGGAGGTGGTAAAGGGTCTTGGACGGGGTGCTTCATTGAGCGAAGCTCTATGATCAGTAGGAAGTTAATACCTCCTTTAAGAAAGAGTTGACTTCTCAGTCAGGCACTGACCTAAAAGCTTTCATTTCCCCTCTACCTGAGAGCCCTACTTTGGCATTCCTGGGTTAATGGCCTGTCTGGTGGCCAGCATATCACAGCTGTTACCAGCACAGGGGCTGTGTAAAGAGGAAACCCAGTCCTGGCTCCAAGAGACTGGCAGTCTGGGGAAGGAGATGGGACACGTGTAAGACAGGGGTCGTTTAAGAGTCCCACCTTTGTGGAGTTGTCCTGATTTCCTCACCTGCGCTCCTGGACACTTATTATGCTGACCCATGTTTTACCAAGTGTCTTTTTGTAATGTAATGTAATTGCTTTTTGTCCAACTGTCCCTCAGCAGCATGTAAACTCTCTGAGGGCAGGGGCCATGTGGAATTGAGAGGTGACAGCGTGCTGGCAGTCCTTGCAGCCCTCGCTCGCTCTCGGCTCCCACTTTGGTGGCACTTGAAGAGCCCTTCAGCCTGCTGCTGCACTGTGGGAGCCCCTACCTGGGCTGGCCGAGGCCGGAGTCGGCTCCCTCAGCTTGCAGGGAGGTGTAGAGGGAGAGGCATGGTCGGGAACCAGGGCTGCGCGTGGCGCTTGGGGGCCAGCGCGAGTTCTGGGTGGGCGTGGGCTTGGCAGGCCCCGCACTTGGAGCAACCAGCCGGCCCGCCGGCCGTGGGCAGTGAGAGGCTTAGCACCTGGGCCAGCAGCTGCTGTGCTCGACTTCTCGTGGGGCCTTAGCTGCCTCCCCACGGGGCGGGGTTTGGGACCTGCAGCCTGCCATGCCTGAGCCTCCCCAGCTGTGGGCTCCTGCGTGGCCCCAGCCTCCCCAACGAGCACAGCTCCCTGCTCCAAGGCACCCAGTCCCTTCGACCACCCAAGGGCTGAGGAGTGTGGGCGCACGGCGTGGGACTGGCAGGCAGCTCCACCTGCGGCCCCAGTGTGGGATCCACTGGGTGGAGCCAGCTGGGTTCCTGAGTCTGGTGGGGACTTGGAGAACCTTTATGTCCAGCTAAGGGATTGTAAATACACCAATTGGCACTCTGTATCTAGCTCAAGGTTTGTAAACACACCAATCAGCACCCTGTGTCTAGCTCAGGGTTTGTGAATGCACCAGTCGGCACTCTGTATCTAGCTAATCTAGTGGGGACGTGGAGAACTTTTGTGTCCACACTCTGTGTCTAGCTAATCTAGTGGGGAGGTGGAGAACTTCTCTGTCTAGCTCAGGGATTGTAAACACACCAGTCAGCACCCTGTCAAAATGGACCATTCAGCTCTCTGTAAAATAGACCAATTGGCTCTCTGTAAAATGGACCAATCAGCAGGATGTGGGTGGGGCCAGATAAGAGAATAAAAGCAGGCTGCTGGAGCCAGCGGTGGCAATCCGCTGGCGTCCCCTTCCACACTGTGGAAGGTTTGTTCTTTCGCTTTTTGCAATAAATCTTGCTGCTGCTCACTCTTTGGGTCCACACTGTTTTTATGAGCTGTAACGCTCACCGCGAAGGTCTGCAGCTTCACTCCTGAAGCCAGTGAGACCACGAACCCACCGGGAGGAAAGAACAACTCCAGACGCGCCGCCTTAAGAGCTGTAACACTCACCGCGAAGGTCTGCAGCTTCACTCCTGATCCAGCGAGACCACAAACCCACCAGGAGGAAGAAACTCCGAACACATCCGAACGTCAGAAGGAACAGACTCCGGACACCCCGCCTTTAAGAACTGTAACACTCACTGCGAGGGTCCGCGGCTTCATTCTTGAAGTCAGTGAGACCAAGAACCCACCAATTGCGGACACAGAATCAACCTCTGTATGTCTGTCCCGGAACAATGTAACTTAGTGGTTAAGCACTCATGCTTTGTGAGCAGACAAACCTGAATTCAAATCCCTGTGCACCACCAAAGGTTTCTTCTCTCTCTCATAAAACTTCATGTTTCCACTAAAAAAAAAAAAGAAAAAAAAAACCGGGGGGCATGTTAGTATCTACCCCATAGAGCTTATGTGAGGGGCACAGAGGATAACGCTTGTAAAAAGCTCAGAGCTGTGCTTGGCGCATTGCAAGTGCTCAAAAAAAGAGTTAGCTTCTCTGCTTCCTTCCCAAGGGTCTCCATCCTTCTCTCTCTCCTTCCTTCTTTATTTCGAAAGCCGTATACAGTGCTCAGAAACAACTGATGTCTGAAAACATTAGTTGGATGACTGAGAAAATGATGGAAGTGAGAAAACAAGTTGTGACCCAGTGATAAGGCTAGTTGAGCCTCCCAGGGCTAGCCAGTCCTCATTTGCTTGGACGCTGTTGGCAGGCTCTGCTGAGGAGCAGGGAAACATGGGCAACCCTGAGGAGCAACATCCCCCACAGTGGAAGTGGTTTATCCCCAGGGCTGGGCTCAGGGGCCCTTCTTGAGTGATCTCTAATCACACATTTTTACTGAGGGTGCTGCTGTATTAGGTAAGGTTACTTACTTAAATAATTTAATATCAAAAGATTTAACTTTCACTTTCCTATATTTCAGTGAACCCATCATTACATTTCATTGGGGTTTGGGGCCAGTGAATGTATCTCCTCTTTATGTGTGGATTTTATGAATTTCTTATTCCTCTCTGCTTTAAAAAAAATCCTAGCCTAAGTTTTAATTATGATCACTTTCAAGAGACATAATATTTACTGTAAATGTTTCCTTTTATTGTGGTTAAATGTACATTACATAAATTTACCATTTTAGCCGTTTCAAAATGTATAGTTTTGTGGCATTAAGTACATTCACATTGTAGCGCAACCACCACTACCATCCATCTCCACAGCTTTTTTGTCTTCCTCAACTGAAACTCTGTACCCGTCACACACTAATGCTCCGGCCACCCTCAACCCAGCCTTGGAAACCACCATTATACTTTCTGTCTCTGTGAATTTGACTGAGGACCTCATATAAGTGGAATCATGCAATGTTTGTCCTTTCACGTCCTTTTATTTCACTTAACATAATGTCTTCAAAGTGTATCCATGTTGTAGCATATATCAGAATTTCCTTAAAAAAAAGCTATATTAAGGTGTAATTAATATGCAAAGAAATACATTAATATGTACAATTTGTTGAGTTTGAACACATGCAAACACCCTTGATACCATCACCATAATCAAGGTAATAGACATATCCAACATCTACCAAAGTTTCTTTGTGTCCCTCTATTTTTTAATTCTTTAAATTTCATTTTGTATTTGTGGTAAGAACATTTAACATGAGATCTAGCCTCTTACATTTTGAAGTGCATGATACTATTTTGTTGACTGTAGCCACTATGTTGTACAGCAGAACTCTAGAACTTACTCATCTAACATAACCTAAACTTTATGCCCATTCAACAACTCTCCATTTCCCCTCAGCCCCAGGCAAACACTATTATATTTTCTGCTTCTATGAGTCTGACTACTTATTTCACATAGCATAATGTCCTCCAGGCTCATCGATGTCACAAATGGCAGGATTTCCTTCCTTTTTAAGGCTGAATAGTATTCCATTGTGTGTATATACCACATTTTGTTTATCCATTCGTTCATTTACAGACGCTTGCTTCCATTTGCCTTGGCTATTGTGAACCATGCTGCTTTAAACATGGGTGTACACATATCTGTTCAAATCTCTACTTTTCCTCTCTGCTTTTAAACTTGCTTAGGATGGTCTGGGAAGCTTAGATTTATGGGCTGGGAAGGGTCTGTTCAGGGTCTTTCCTCCTAAAACACAGTTCCGGAGTCCCAGGCCAGGACTCTATTCGGATTCCTTTTGGCCTACTCCGGACACCTCCTGGGCATCATTGGCAGTAGGGTGTGCAGTTAGCACTGGTTTCCTATGCCCATGGAGAAGAGCAGTGGTGCAGATCTCCAGGAAGACAGATGAGATAAAGTTTGTGTTGGCTTTGAGTGGAGTCAGCCTTAATGGACTAAGGACCCCTTTCTTGAGTAGGTGTTGATTCATGGTCAGGGTCTGTCTTCCAGAAGGAGGCAGAAATATACTAGCTCAGGAATCTTAATTAGCCATGGACAGTCCTCAATATCCCCATCATGGCTCATTAAGGATTGCAAGGTGTTGAGGGGCATTTCAAAGAACTCGGGGCTAGCTAGTAACGTTGCACAGTGGTTAAGGGCTTGAACTCTGGATTTGGACTGCCTGGATTCAAATCTTGACTCTGCCACTCTGGGAAAACCTTTCTTAGGTTCACTCTTTTTTCATCTTTAAAGTGGGAAAAAGAATAGTGTCTACTTGTTGAGTTTATTGAGATGATTTGTGATATAGTGCATTAGAAGCCCTTAGTACAGTGCCTAATATATGGTAATCTGCGCATTTAAAGTGAGTTATTATTGTTATCATCTGGTTTTATTCTTGCAGCCACCTTTCTTTGGCCAGCTTTGGTCACTGGACAGTAAGCATGAACCTCAGACATAGCCTGGGCTGAATCTTTAGTGCAATTTTGATTCAGTTGCTCTTTTCTCTGCAAAACTTTGAGATCAGCTCACCCAACTTGAAAGCTTGGTGAAAGCTCTGACACCTTGTAAAGCCTCACTCCTTCCTAATAACTTTCTATATGAGTCAGGGGCCACCCAGTGTGTTTATACTTCCAGACCCCAGGAGTGGGGACGGGGTGGTGGCTGCCACTGGCTTCATAGCTTCCAGGCAGCCAGGGCCAATTGGAGAGGTCAACTCCACCAAAGGAAATTTTGTTCGGCTTCCACGGAATAGGAATATTAATCTGACATGAGGCCAGGGAAGGCTGGACCACAGGGAGATGAAATAGTGGAGTAAGAATGTTGTAGTGCTTTCTGGTAGAATCAGGCAGTGGATGGCTGCAGCAAATCAGAACCAGATTTCTGTACATGGTTCTGATGGTGGTGGGTGGGCAGGGGGTGTTCTTGCTTTAGGGTCCCCTCTGCTCTCCATTAGAAGTCCTGGCTGGGGGCTGTGTTTGCCCTTCTTCATCATGCTGTGGGAGGAGAGTGGGTTTGCCTGCTGGCTTCCTTTTACTTTTGTTTGGTCCATTTTCTGTTCAGATGGTCTAGAGCAATCTGCAGGTCCAGCATATTGTCCTAGGTCATGAGTTGAACAAAAGGATCTCAATGGTTGTTGTTTCCTTCCAATGCACACTCTCAGGCAAGGTGGAACCATCTTCCCAAGGCAGGCTGGCACCTTTGCCTGGGCACCAGGAAGGGCTTCCTGGTGTTTCAGTTACTGTTGCCTGCTCACCACCTCTGGAATGGTGCAGAAAGTGCCGGCTGTCCTGGGTCAGTACAAAGATGGCCATGGGGCCCTATCAAATCCTGCCTTCAGGCCACCTTGCCATGATGCAGTGATTGCTTTTCCTCAGGAGTGATTTGCAGGTATAGCAGTGATAGGGCCATGGGGGAAGGGGACGAAAGGACAGACTTTAAATTATGGGCTTGGCATTCATATCAGCCCACATCTGAGGCTGGCCAGGTGGACAGAGGAAGAAGGATGACACCTCTGAAACTGAAGCTGCCCTTGTCCTTTGAATGGAGGCTAGTAATTTCATCCTCTTCTCATGAATTTTGCAATGTCCTGGTGGTGGCAGCTAGAATCACTGCCCACAGTGGCTGTTATCTGGTATTGCCTTGCACCTTGACTGGTGAGAGGCCCAGATTCCAAATGTTCTTCCCTTTATAATGGGGCCATATAATGTCATAGTTAAGTGTGCAGGGTCTGGAGGAAGACTGTCCCTCTATAGGTTTCCCAACTCTGTTATTCATTACCTGTGTGACCTTGGGCCACATTTTTAACTTTTCTGTGACTTGGTTTTTTCAATCTGTAAAACAGGAATTTTAATATATACCTGACAATGCTGGGATTAGGTTTAAGTTAGATAATGCACAGAAAAGGCTTAGAGAAATTCCTGCCACACATGGCTCAATCAATCAATGTTAGCAATTATAACAATTAATTCTAATTACATGGTGCTATTTAAAGTGGATTTAAGAAATCCAGAAAATGTCAGAGCTAGAAATGACCTATGAGATCAGTCATCTCAGCAAAGTCCTCATTTCATAGATGGGGAAATCGAGGTCTAAGAAGGCAAAGTGTCTTGCCAAGCCCCAGTTCCTGGTGGTAGAGGAGCAGGGACTTGAAGTGAAGACCTGGGCTCCCGGCCTAGAGCCCCTCCACACCCTGCTTCTCCATGGGGGCCACCTCTCAAAGCTTGAAGAAAGTCATGCAGAACGTCCAGAGACCCTGGCAGCTGGGCAGACACCACACACACACACACACACACACACACACACACACACACACCACCCTAATGTCAAACACGCACACATGCACAGACCACCCTAGGATTTGTGCTATTTCCAATCAGTGGCATAAATGACTGAGCAAGAGAAGTTTACTCAGGATGCATATTAAACAGCTAAATGACATTTCCATGAGTGTTTCTACAGAGTGGTTGTGTATTTATGAGAAGGCATCTCTAGGTCTGGCTCAGCAGTAGAGTAGGTGGTCCAAACCCTGGGGGACATGTGTCCTCTACCTCAGGTGAACCTGAGTTCTAATGGAGGGGGTGTATGCTCTGCACTTGGGCCTCAGATATTTAATTGCTCAGTTTTCAGCATGCTAGGCGGGGAGTGACGGGAAGCCCGGAAAGGGAAAATGGAGCCACTCATGAGATTTTAGGCTGACACGGGCTGTGTGTGTTAATGGTGCTGGGGGTGGGGGTTTCCAATGGGGCACGTGGTGGGTGGTGAATGCTCCCTACTGATAAGGAGCTCAGGCTCACTTGGAACCCTGGCAGGGAAGCCACAGGAAGCATCTCTGCTCATGCAGCAGCCGTCTTTGCTCTCATATCTCCCCATTCAGTTCTTAACCTCATCCTCATAATTTCCCCTCTGTTTCTTCCTCTGCCCTCCTGTCCAGCATATCTCCCCTTTGTGGCTCTGAGGACCCCCAAGTGGTCTATGCAATGCCCTCTGGCCCCAGTTTGATCAAGATCTCTGCCTTTTTTCCTGGGGCTTTAGTCTGCTGCTGTGTCCTTTGCATCAGGAAAACAAAGGCAGCTCTGTTTGGGGATGTGGGCGACTTGGCTGTGTCCTGTTCTCCATTCCTTTTGCTCCCTCCTAATTGCTCTTTCAGACCACCCCAGCTGATGCCTCTCCCACCTTTGACGTTTCCTCCAAAGCTTGGAAAAGAAGACCCATCACATGACCCCAGTCCTTTGGCCAGTTGTCCCTCTGATGTCTGACCAAGCTATGAATGTCCTCTGTCTAGCCAGCAGGCCAGGACCTGAAGCTGGCTCTGTCCCTACTCTATGCCTGTGGGAGGGGAAGAGCAGGTCCCAGCCTTTCTGTTTGAAGGTACCATTAAAGTCCATGCCTCTCAAAATTCTCTTCCTCAAGTAGAGAAGATAGAGCAGCATAGAAACTTCTCAAGAGGAAGAAAGTCTCATTCTGGAAAATAACTCCAAACTGTTTCTCATTTGCAGCATGAAGACCACAAACCCAGTGTTTTTTATATCCACCTCCTTCTAGTGTACCTGGGGCCCTGATGGGAGCTTGAGTTAGAGGGAGGCATTATTTCTTTAGACTGTAGGATAGGTCTTTAGACTTCAGTGACTGAGTTGATGAAGGTCAGATAAAATCTCAGTGTGAACCTAGAAATGCTTTTGACTGTTCCTTTCCTTGCTGTTCTTAATGACTCTTGAAGAAAAAAAATACTTGTCTGTTTTCAGTGTCATTCAGCCCTGCCTTTATCTTGCCATAGTTATTTACATTTGAATTCTCTTTCTTTGCCTTCTCTAGCCACCCACCCACTCATCTCTAACCTTTGCCTGAAAGAGTTAATTCTCTTCTTCAGCCCCAGCCAGGAAGTTTCCATGTGCCAGTAGGATCAGTCCAGGATGAGCATGATTGAAATCACTAATTTATTTCTATAGCTTCAGTCTCTGTCCTGGAATGGAACAATGGACCAAAAAGTGTTCCAGACACATTGTTTGTTTAACAAAGGAACATTCTTCCAGCTGAACTGTATGGCTATTGGATTTTATGGTTTGATTGGTTAGCCCTCATAAGGGGTTTATATTTCTCCTGTTGGAGCTGGAGGGAGTGATGGGGGGCTGGGGGTCCATAAACCCCTTTAATTGTTGTATTGTGACTCACCTGAACCTGGTCTCTCACCTAGTCAAAAACCTTGACTTCTTAGCATGATGCCTTGCATCCAGAGGATTGGTTAAAGGCTGTAAATCTCAAAAATGAGCATGCTGTATAGCCCCAGGAGAAATTACAATATTGCCCCTTCTGAATTTCAACCCCTTTGGCTTTGAGAAGGCTGTTGATTTTATTATTGATCATTGAGTTTGATCTGATGCATTTCACAGAGACTTGGCTCTGTGGCTGTGCCCTTGGCTCCAGGGGCAGCAGCTATACTGATGATGAGTTTTTCCATTCCCCCAGCCAGAAGGCAAGAGGTGGTAGGGTAGATGCACATGTACTCCTCCCTTTCTTCTGGAAAGTCTGATTTGGATGCATGCATATGTGGGTTTCTTTAGATTAGATGGTGTGTGTTAAAAATTGCTCTTGACATTCTGCCACAGAGAGGGGGATAGATGGAGTGACCTTTGGAAGGCCCCTCTCAATAGAATAGTTATAAAGTGTTTTCTTGCTTTTCTGTAGACTGCACATTTCTTTTTTTCTGTAGACATACGTAGAATACTAGACAACTTATTCTGGAAGGGATGCTCTGAGGTCATCTTTGTCCATTGCTCTGGTTCTGGAAAGAATCATCATAAATCCAGTCCATCATGAGGATAGTAGATTCATTTTGGGGTAGCCAATATAGTTGCGCTTCCATCCATCCACCCACCCATTCCACCCCTCAATCCACTCATCCATCCATCCATCCATCCCCCACCTACCCATCCACTCATCCACCCATCCACTCATCCATCTATCCACCCACCCACCCACCCATCTATCCATCCATCCACCCACCCATCTATTCATCCATCCACCTATCCATCTCTTCATCCATCTGTCCTTTCATCCATTCACCCATCATTTATCAAATATCTACTAAATTCTAGGAACACTCCTAATCTGCTCCTTATTATTTAATTTATTTTGGTATTTCTATTAATTGAGAAGATCCATTCAATCCTTGCTTGACTTGATTTTTCTATTGCATTTGAAACAGTTGACTCCTTCCTCCTGCTTGACATTTTCCCTCCCTTGGGTGTCCAGGAGCCCATGATTCTTTCCTGAATCTCCTCTGCCTCTATGGGCTTCCTCTTATTCTCTTTCATGTGTTCTTTCTTCCTTATCTGTCATTGAAGTATCAGTGTTCTCAGAGTTCTGTCTTCAGATGTTTTTCTCTCCTTTTTCCTTTCCTTTGCTCTTCTTACACACACTTTTCTGGGCAATTTCATACATTTATGTGGCCTAAGTTACTATCTAACTACCTACGATGACTCTCAAATGCTCTTCTTTAACCTGCACTTATCCTGCGTTCCCCAGGCTCTTATGTCTGTCTCCTGAACATAAATGCCTGGATTTATGTTTTGGAAACATCTCAAGTTTAAGGTCTTCATAAAAAAACTCAGTATCTTCTCTGTAAAACCTGCGACTTCTTTATTCCTTGTCTTGCTGGTTGTCTTAACCATTCTCCCTGTCAACTACAACAGAATCTGGAAGCCTCCTTAGATTCTCTCTCCTCTCGTGTTCTGGTGGACACCAGGTCATGTCAATTCCATTTCCCGTATCTGTTTCTACCTTACCTTCCCCATTGCCACAATCTAATTCCAGCACTCACTATCTACCCTTGTGTGATTGAACTTCTTTCTAGATTTGCCCCTCCAAACCATCTTCATGCTCTATCAGAGTGATCTTTCCAAATGCAAATCTGATTAAGCCATTTCCTCATTAAAATCTTTCAATGGCTTCTAAGCACCTCAGAACGAGTTCACACTTCTTAAGCATGTTGTCCCAGGCTTTCACAATTAGTCTCTTGGCTACCTCTTTGCTTTTACTTGACCCCAAATGCACACCCTAGGCTGGAGTCAAACCAAACCACTTGTCATGCTGCTTCTTGCCTTCAGCCCCTGCCCCTGCTCCTCTCTCCATCTGAAATGCTCTTTCTTCTCTTAATATGTTGGTCTTAGCTCAAGCATTGTCTCTTCTATGAAGTCTTCTTTGACCCCTTAGGTTTCCTCTTCCCCACTTGTATTGCACCCTGCAAATATTGTAATAATTTGTTTTCATGTCTGTTTCCCTCCTAGATATTGAGCTTCTTGACAATGAGAATAGTGTCTTTTGTCCTGGTAACCCTAGTGCTTCACACAGGTCTTGTATCGAGAGAGAGAGCTTACTTAGCACGTGCTTATGACTATACCGTTCCCTAAGATTATTTTTCCTCTTCTGATCTGTATCTGAGCTATAATAACTTGTTTATTTAGACTTTTCCTTTTATCTTATCATGTCAGAAGTTCACCAAGAAACTGAAGGGCTTCTGAAATTGGCTTTGTTTCTTGGGCTTGAGTACAGTCCCTTCTTATTTACCTGCCTGCGGCTTCATCTGCTGATTATTGATGATTTGAAGAAAAAATTGTTTATGTGGAATCAGCTTCACGTGGCTCCTTAGCTCTGACCCTGCTTCTGCTTCCTTTCCCTTTTCCCCATCCTTATACCTGGGGAGCAGGAAATGCAGACAGCTTCAGTGTCAAGCCATGTTTTAAGTGGAGAAGGATGAAGAACACTGTCATGTTCTCGCAGGCCTTCCACACTTGTAGACGCACCAACTGTCCCACTTTTAGTGTTCCTGATGGTCAATTTCTCTTTCTTTCTTCAAACCAAATGTTAAGCCTGAGCAGGACATGATTAGCAATCTGCTTGAGGATAAAATGTTATAAGGTATGCGTTTGTTCCCTGCTCCATCTCCTATGGAAAACCACACCCTCAGTGAAGGTACTACTGGACAGTGTGTTTCTTCAGGGAGTCTCACATCTCAGTGCTGCCTTTCCTGGCATCTCTAAGTCACAACAGATCCTGTTTCCAGCAAGTTTGTATGGCCACATAAAATGCTGTGTAAATCAGTGTGGGAATGTGATGTTCCCAGTAATCTGTTGGCTCATTGAGGGATCGATGATCTCTAGCTTTATTGGTATTGGGTACTATGTTATTTGTTTGTCTATGTTATTTGTCTGTGTTTGTCTATGTTGTCTATGTTTGTCTATGTTATTTGAATCCAGCTTAAGAGAAAAATCAATAATGCCAATGTCAGGGGCATGCATCTATCTTATAATTAGTGAATCAATGAATTTATCAAGTGTTTTGGACATACTTGTTATGACCCAGGCATTGTGCCAGGGCTGGTAACACAGTGGGGGACAGAACTGGTGCCCGCCCAAGGGGGCAGCGTGGTATTATGGAAAAGCACTTAAGTGCTATAGACCTGAGCATGAATCTCGATTCCACCACTCCTTAATGTGTGATCCTCACCAGATGAGTCAACCTCTCTGAGCCTCAGTTTCTTCATCTATAAAATGAAGATTATTCTACTTCCCTTACAGCATTATCGTAAGAATTGGAGATAAAATACATCACGCACAATCTGGTTTGTACAGTGCCTCACATTTAATAGACAGAGAGTCATAATTATTATTCCCATTCATAGTAGTGATTGTAGTAAAATGGAAAACCAGAACTTTGTGTGCCTTGGCTTACTGCAATAGCTGAAATTTATAGTGGTACATTCCCTGATAACAGACATGACTCTTAGTGCTGCATAGGTATTAATGCTTTAAACCAGGGGTCTCCAACCCCCCGGCCGTGGGCCGGTAGTGGAGGTGAGCTGCATGTGAACAAGTGAAGCTTCATCTGTATTTACAGCCACTCCCCATCACTCACATTACTGCCTGAGCTCCACCTCCTGTCAGATCAGCGGCGGCATTCGATTCTCATAGGAGGGTGAACCTTATTGTGAAATGCACATGCTAGGAATCTAGGTTGTGCGTTCCTTATGAGAATTTAACTAATGCCTGAAGATCTGAGGCGGAACAGTTTCATCCTGATCCCCCCACCCCAGGTCCATGCAAAAATGGTCTTCCAAGAAACTAGTCCCTGGTGCCAAAAAGGTTGGGGACCACTGCTTTAAACAAACATCTTATGAGCTAGATACTTTTATTATTTTGTAGCAGGGGAAACTGAGGCAGAGGAAAGTTAAATAGCTTGCCCAAGATCACATAATTGGTAATGGTTGGCTGGGGATGTGAGCCCAGCCTGGGCCCCTCATGTTATGTTCTTCTAGCCACCATATCACACTGCCTCTTCATGAAATGCTCAACCCAATCATATTTCTAAGTTGCTAACTCTCTTAAGACTCCCAGAACAACTACCTCAAATTTCTTGGCTTAAAACAATCAAAATCCAGAAGTCCAAAATGAAAGTGCCAGCAGGGTGGGTTCCTCCTGGAGGCTCTGAGGGAGAATCGTCACATGGCCGTCTCCTCGCTTCCTATGGCTACTGGCAGTCCTTCACTCCAATCTCTGCCTCCATCTTTACATTGCCTTCTTCTCTCTGTGTGTCTCTGTGTATCCTTTCCTCTACTTATAAGGACCTCAGTCATTAGGTTTAGGGCCACCTTAATCCACTATGACCTCATCTAAACAAATTCTATCTGCAAAACCTCTTCCATAAATAAGGTCACATTATGAGGTTCTGCATGGACATGAATTTTTCAGGGTAAGGGCGCTACTCAACCCACTTCAATAACCATTTGCTCTTTACTTTAAAGTGGGAATTGATGAAAGAATGTTTATTTACTGTCTTTTTTAAAAATTATACTTTAAGTTCTGGGATACATGTGCAGAATCTGCAGATTCGTTACATAGGTATACATGTGCCATGGTGGTTTGCTGCACCTATCAACCCGTCATCTACATTAGGTATTTCTCCTAATGCTATCCCTCCCCTAACCCCCTACCCCTGACAGGTCCCAGAGTGTGATGTTCCCCTCCCTGTGTCTATGTGTTCTCGTTGTTCAGCTCCCACTTATGAGTGAGAACATGCAGTGTTTAGTTTTCTGTTCCTGTGTTAGTTGGCTAAGAATGATGTTTCCAGCTTCATCCATGTCTCTGCAAACGATATTAACTCATCTTTTTTATGGCTGCATAGTGTTCCATGGTGTATATGTGCCACAATTTCTTTATCCAGTCTATCATTGATGGGCATTTGGGTTGGATCCAAATCTTTGCTATTGTGAATAGTGCTGCAATAAACATAAAAGTACATGTGTCTTTATAGTAGAATGGTTTGTAATCCTTTGCGTTTATACCCAGTAATAGGATTGCTGCGTCAAATGATGTTTCTGGTTCTAGATCCTTGAGGAATTGCCACACTGTCTTCCACAATGGTTGAACTAATTTACACTCCCACCAACAGTGTAAAAGCATTCATATTTCTCCACATCTGTTGGAATTATGTCCTAGAATATGATGCGGTTCTAAGAGCACTATTTTAATTACTTCATCTGCCTTTTTGGAATAAGACAGATGTGGAGAAATACGGTCTTATAAGAAGATGTGGAGAAATACTGTCTTATTCCAAAAAGGCAGGTGAAGTAATTAAAATAATGCTCTAAGAACCCCATCATATTCTAGGACTTAATTTCAATGGGTATTTGGGCCATGGCCAGAATAGCAGACTGAGGGGGATGCTTCCTTCCTCCTCAGCTGGGCTGGCCCTGCCCCTTGGCACCACAGCGACTAAGTCTGCAGTGGCAGTTTGAAGCCAGATACCATCCTTCTTCTCTCACATCTTTGCCCTGGCCTTCTCTCTACCCGGTAAAATACCTCAAGTTCCTTCATTCGTTTTTCATTGGCTATGGGCTTGAGTTCTTTAGCTTTCTCATCTCTCTTCTCTGAATGAGCTCTGATTTTCCTGACCTCTTGAAATGAACCAGTCATAGAGGGGCTGTTCCTCTCCGTCATTCTAGATGTAGCCTAGGACTTATCATCTTTTTCTAGTGGCCACGTTGTGCTGCTCACTGCAGTGATTTTGAACAATTCATAGCCTCTCTGAGCTCAGTCTGCTCTTGTGTATACTGGAGATCATTGCACTTAATCACAAGAATACTGAGAGAGCCAAGCGGCCTGATGTGTTTGATGGTGACCGTCACCGGTGCAGCATGATGAATGCGTTAGTGGTAGTTATTAGGCATCTGCTACAGGTTCAAGGTTAAAGAGCCTGGAAGCTCCCACAGATGGCTGCCTTCTTTGGTTGATCCCAGTCCTTGGAGGGCCATCAGTCGGGGATGGTTAGTGTGGGAGGAGATGGAGGAATGGATCCAGGAGCTGGAGTGTCTGGTCCAAACTTTTGATCAGTTCATGTGCCTTTTGATGTAGCAGGAAGGAGTACCCTTTAAGAGCAGTGCTGAGGCCAGCAGGCCAGCTTGCGTTCCCCTGCAATCTCTGGCAGGTATCATCCAAACTTGTGTGGGTGGATCTTCTTGCTGTGCTTCTTAGTATCTCATGGTCTGTCCTAGTGATGATCTCCTTAGGTTGTGAGACGTGAAACAGGTACTATCAGATCAGGGCATTAAGAGGACAAGCATTTATTGGACACCTATTATATATAAGGCACAGTATCAGACACTGGGGTTCAACAGGTAAAAGACACAGAGCTGGCCTTCAGGAAGTCCAGTATAGCAGACAGACATGTAAACAATTTCAGTGATGAGAGAGGGGCCAGGTGCAGATATGTCTATCAGTAAAGCCTGTCCTAGAGCAGGAGTTAGCAAACTGTGGCCTGCAAGCCAAATCCAGCTTCCCACCTACTTTTGTAAATAAAATTTTACCAGAATTCACCTACACTTATTCACTTATATATTGTTTATGACTTCTTTTGTGACTCAACATCAGAGTTGAGTAGCTGTGACAGAAACCACGTGGCCTGCACTTTACAGAAAAAGTGTGCTGAGTCCTGTCCTTGATGATGGGTCGGCAGGTAAGAGTTCCAAATAAAAAAAGACGTGGACTCTAATCCTTGGAGGCTCTCTGGATTTCCATATGTACAACTAACACAGTTCAGAGGAAGATGAGCTGGAGGATCTGGCTGGGGGGAGCTTTGCAGACATGTGTGAGGTTTCTGATTGGGAAGCGGATGCCAGAAGGCACAGCAAGTCGCATGAGGCACGGGGTGCTTGGAGAGAGCTGAGAGCCCAGAGGTGCACGCTCGCAGCTGCACAGAAAGGCAGAGTGGGGACAGAGTCAAGCAAGGAGCAAGAGGCTGTGACAACAGAGAGGCTTGTATGGATTTGAGGCCCTGTTGAGGTGATAAAAGTGATTGAATATGAAGCACCAAAGAAGCCTGCAGCTCTGGAGTTGGGAAGGCCCTCAGGGTTCCTCTAATCCAAGCTCTTGCCTGCATAGGGCAAGAGAAGGGAGAGGAAGGGACGTGACTTCCCCAAGCTCACTCAGCTAGTGAATTGGGCAGATTAGGTCTCAGTCCTGTCCTGACCTAAGCCAGGGTGCTCTTCCCTGGTTGTGAACTGAGCCCTGGGACTCTTACCTTGTGGCCTAGCTCTTTAGGAGAAAGAGCTGGGAAGCTCAAGCTCCATCCCTCACAGCCTCTCTTTTGTAAATTTTCTGTAGCTGTCAGCCTCCTGGTCTTTTTTCCTAGCCTCTTTTATGATTCCCCAGTCTAAAAGCTGTTTGAGGGCAAAGTCTGTGTCTGGTCCAGCTCTTTGAGTTCCTCCTTGTTCATACTGAGGACTCCACAGATGTGTGTAAAAGCACTGAGCATTGAGGCCTCTATCCTGGTCTGCCCAAGTATGCAGATGGGAGGTCTGGGCTTCTCTGCGCGTCTCTTGGTTGGGTTGGGGTACATCAGCTCTGGCTGGTGTCCCTAGAGCTGAGAGGCTCCTCTAAAGGACTGCGAGGCTGCCACTAGCCCTGGAGGGGCTTTGCAGCTCCCAGGTGCAGTTGTCACATTCTTTGTGGCCACCTGCTGAGGCTTTCCTGCAAAACACTTCACCACCCCTGCACAAAGAGCTTCTTTCAATGCTGAATGTCTCCCAAGCAGCCCCATTAGCTCAGGGAGGATTCAGTCGGGGTGCCATGCATCTTCAGTGATTGACAGAAACACCTCATTTGTCCTGACGTGTTGACGGAAAGACTGCAAGAGCAGCCAGAGAGGACTCTCCAGTTCAGCCCATCCTTAATCGCCAGGACATGCTCCTCCCAGCCTCTTTCAGGCTTTAAGCAGGCTCTCCTTGGCTTCCTCTAGCCTGCTGGATGGGCCCCAGCCCAAATTCCTCCAGCGAGGCAGGGACGGGTTGGGGATGTGGACGGGTCCTGGAGTGTAGTAGGGCATAGAGTGTGAAGTGAGTTGGATGCTATTTGCCCACAGAGTCCCAGATTCATTTGTCATCTGCACAGCAACCCATGGGTTGTCCTGAGTCAGTGGCTTCGCCGGCCTAGTGAC
The DNA here is from genome assembly GCF_000001405.40 of Homo sapiens. Classification (NCBI taxonomy): domain Eukaryota; kingdom Metazoa; phylum Chordata; class Mammalia; order Primates; family Hominidae; genus Homo; species Homo sapiens. The sequence goes on along the minus strand of NC_000012.12, from coordinate 5,873,330 downwards.
AGTGCCAGAGAGCAACATGAGGCCAGAGTTCAAGAGCCTGGGGACACCAGGTGCAGAGAAAGAGAGAAAGGGAGAGAGACAGACAGAGAGAGAGAGAGAGAGAGAGAGAGAGAGAGAGAGAGAGAGAGAGAGAGCTGCTTTAGGCAAAAGTAACAAAGTTATAATTCTGGTAGGGCTTATAAACTGCTCAGCCCTCACTCCGTCTTTATCTGGTTTTATTTACAACAATATGGAAATTAGTGATTTACAGTAGCCTTGCAAATAAGGATGGAGTGCTATCTAGCCCAGGTTACCAAATGTTGAAACAAAGAGAGCCCCCAGTGCAAACAGTCCCCTATTGCTGAAGGAAACTAACATATATGTGCACCTGCCACATGTACACCAGGGAGCAGTGTTTCCCACATCTCTGCACGCTGGATCTTCACAATGGTCCCATGAAAGGTGTTATTTTTCCTTTCTGTGGACCAGGGCTCAGCCTGGTTAAGTAACTCTGTAGGTGACAAAGATAGGAACTTGGAGGGCTGACAGGTTCCAGAGCCCATTCCTTTGCATTACACCATGTCTCCTCCCGGAACCGTGGGCATATCTTTTTCCTAGAAAAAGGACTATTTAGAAAGATTTTCTAGACCTCTAGTAGGGCTGGCTCTCTTAGTGGGCTGAAATGGAGGTCCAGGTAGCATATTTAAAAAAAATTAAGATGTAATTTTCGATACTATTAAGTGCACTCTTCTAAAACGTAGAACTGAGTGGTTTGTGCAAACAGCATGTAGGTAGCATGATTTGAGGCTCTTCAGAAAGGCCCCTAGACCTCCTAGTGGGCCTGATATCTGCTGTTAGTCACTGATTTGAGGTGAAGCCTTCGAAGCCCCTGTCACAGTAGAGCTGGGTGGGGTCAGATATTCATCAGCCTCCAGTACCTTAAAAGGGTTGCTCATCATAGATTGAAAAACAGCCATGTGGTATTCCCTGAGTGAGGGACCCTGGGTTAGACTATGAGCTCCTTGGGGCCATCCCAAGGACTTCTTTACCTGGAAAGGATGTGGGTTGAATGACAGGTAAGCCAGGATGAAGATGAGTTTTTGGTACTTGCTCTCTGGATGCCCAGGACATAGACTGGTCAAAGTGAGACCAGAGCAGGTGCGCGATCCTATGGAGAGCTCTGGGGAAAAGCTGGGGGTCACGAGAGGGAAAAAGGACAATGGAAAATACATTTTGCTCCTGTCTTGTTTACCTGTCCCCATTAAGAGCTGGCTGACATCCTAGAGCTAGTTTCTGGACTGCTTCTCTGACTCTGTGGGTTGCAGGATGAGTAAAAAGAAGTTAGAAGATTGTACATTTCCAGTTTTCTCTGGTCTCAGAAACATTCATGCAGCTTTCCTGAGCATGTGCTGTGGGAAGGCCTGTGAAAGATTCTGAGTAGGACAAGCTGGACTTTCCAGCCCAACCACAGAGGGTCTCTTTCTGGGCTATGAGTTTAGGAGACATGGATGGTTGCACTCCCCACCAGTAGGTTTCTGACATAAGCAAAAACAGCAGAGTTTGTATCCATTGGTTTTGCTTATCCCATCAAACCGTTTAGAGTAGTGGTCCCCAACCTTTTTGGCACCAGGGACTGGTTTCATGGAAGACAATTTTTCCATGGACTGGTGGGTAGGGGGATGGTTTTGAGATGAAACTTCTACCTCAGATCATCAGGCATTAAATTCTCATAAGGAGCATGCAACCTAGATCCCTTGCGTGCACAGATCACAATAGGGTCGGTGCTCCTGTGAGTTATAATACTGCTGCTTATCTGACAGGAGGTGGCACTCACGTGGTGATGCTTGCTTCCCTGCCATTTACCTCCTGCTATGCAGCCCAGTTCCTGACAGGCCTCAGACTGGTACCAGTTTGGGAACCCCTTGTTTAGAGTGCATACTCTATTCTAGGTATAGAATGTCATGTGGACACTTGGACACTGTGTGAGGTGTCCAAGTGCTTGGGACTTAGTGATGAGCAAAATAAGGACCCAGTTTTTAAGAAATTATTCTTTTATTTGACCTTCAAAAAATATAAATATCCCCAGGAGGGATTCTGCTTGGGCCTATGTGTCCGATTTACAACCTATGTAGATGACTTTTGTAGATTCCATTTTTGACTGTAGGTTTTGCTTTGGGGCAGTAGAGAGACCATTAAGTGCTCCCATCTCTCTATGGCCGTTTTCCTGTGAGTCGGCATCCAGGCTAACGACTGGGGCCGTGGAGAGCCCATGTGGTGCCTTTATGCCAATTAGAAAAAGGCCTCCCTTCCTCAAGTTGCTTTTTTAATAAAAAAATCAGTTTTTTTGAAATTACTTAATATACTGATTCTGTTAGATCAAAACACTTTGCCATCTTCCAGAAAACGATCATAGTAAATATGCTATTGAATATAAACTATCTTCTCCATGGTAGTGCCCCCCTGAAATAGCACCTTTGTGCAGTGCATGACCTGCGCCACTGCATGTGGCCACCTTGTTTAGGATAGCAAGTACCAAACTTCAATAAATACTGGCATTCAGCAGCTGGGATGTGCTGCATTTCTCTTTCAGCAGGGAGGTACCTCATCCTGAGTAGGACCTTTGATCCCTTCAAGTTTTAGAATATGAGAAGAAGGGAGGGACCTTTAAGGAAAGAAGACAAGAAAAGATGCAGTTCTATTTAGATGGTGGAAATCTCTGTGACTCTGTGTTCTAGCTCATTTCTGGGTTCTCCCAGGAGGCTGGAGCTTTGCAGCCCATCAAAGTACATTTGCAGTAGAATGATTAAGGCTAGTTCTTCATGCTAAGGTGCTGAGAGAATTCCTGCCCTTTGTGAAGTCACAGGATCTTTCAGCGGGAGGGAACCTTCATAGTTCAATGCTGTCATTGTATAGGGAAGCAGAAGGCAGAGCCCTGGGGTGACTCAGGTGTGACGTTGCCAAGGTGCCAAAGATGAGAAGTGGCAGAGCTGGCACCAGGACCTGGTCTCCGTGTTTCCCCCACTGCCCTGGGCTGGGGGAAAGCACCTCTGGAAGGGCAGGGATCCAGATGAGCAGGAAACACTGTGGACTTCCTTTCTCTAGAGGCCTCTCAGAATGGTCAGAGTCCTGTTGGCTTGGGGTGTAATGAACCTGCCATGCACAGCAGGTACCCTAAAGACACCTTCCTCCCCAGGCTTCTCTGCAGATGGATTGCTCTGCACATTTGCCTTTTTACTTTCCCCTCTGTTGTCCCTGGTGCCATGGTGGGCTGAGTGTCAAAACAAGTCTTTGGTACTTACTCTCTTCATCTCCTGAGACACACACGTTTAGTGAGAGTGACAGTATTCTTGGGCTGATGGTGTGGGGAGGGCTCCTGCCTTTCTTCAGAGGAGCTTGATTTCACAGTGGTTCAAGGCAGTAGTTATGTTTCTTCCTAGGGCCAGGTAAGCCTTACTCAAGTTTCCTGAGAACGAGTTATACCTTATTGTCCTGATTATTTTTATCATGATTATTGGTTTTGAAGTTATCAGCTGAAAGGGGGCAGGTGTCTCAGGGAAGCCACTCTCGTCTTGCAGAAAACACTCTCAGCACCATGGCTATGTGAGGACAGTCCCCGTCACATGAGGGACACATCCGCCTCATCATTTCCCCTCTACTTGTGATTTGTCTTCTTTCCCCCGGCCCCTCAGTGATCTCTGGTTTGTGTCCTGGCCTGAGTAACGGTTAAACAAGCAGTTGACTGAGGGGTGCCATGCATGAGGCATCGGGATAGGGCCGAGGCCTAGAGATAAGGACAGAGAGATCTCAGACAGAATTTTGACCCAGCAGGGGTTGGAGAGGGAAATTCTTCTCTTTGTCATGTTATTGGAGATGATGCCCACCCTCATTTTTATTGAAGATTTACCCTGGGCTTTGCTTTGAGTTGGATGCAGGAAGGAGCACAGTGAGTCACAGGGCCTGGATCCTTGTCCCCATGGAGCTCAGAGTCTGGTTGAAGCTAAAAGAGTCAGATGTGGAATGATGCCCATGGTCAAACATGACCCTGCCGAGCACAGAAGAGTAATGAGCAGGGAGACTGGTAGGGCTCGCTGTGGAAGTCCAGAAAGGCTTCTTGGAGGAGGTGCTACTCGGACTGGTGCTGGAGTGGAGGATGGACTTTGGAAGCGAGCCTTGGAGAGTGCGAATGGCCCTGCTGGATGGGACCCACAGTTTCCATTTGGACTTCCTGCAGGCTTCTCGACCCCTACTTCCTGTTCACCTCCTGCGCCCATTCTCTCATTTGCCACCTGTCTTCCATCTGCTCCAAGCCCTCATCACCTCTGCCTTTTTCCAGCTTCCCCTTCCCCTCCAGGGTCTATGTTTCTGATTATTCCCCACAGTTGGAGTTCCTTGCATTCTTCTGCATTGAATCTCATTTTGTGATTTCCTGTCCCATATTTTGTAAACTCCCTAGGTCCCTTCTCATTTATATCCCTGTCCTCTCTGGTGCTGTTTGCAGAGCCGCCCAGTTTGTTATCATCTGCAGATTTAATTAGCAGGGCTGATGACCCCTTCTCTTCCAGACCTGCGGTCTCAGGCAGGACTGGTTCCATGTGGTGTGCATGCAGGGTCATGGCTGTGGAAAAGCATGTTTGGGCTGCATAGAGAGGACACGATCCAGACTGGGCTTTCGCCTCATAGAGGGGGAGAAAATGCCCCAGGAGCCAGCTTTTTCTAGGAAAAAAGGGAGGATGCTGGAAACTCAATTGCACAAACCCCCTTAATTCAAATTATTCTGGCCAGAAGACACCATCTGCAGAATCTAATTATTATTAGCATTGAGCACCTACTATGTGCCAGACATTGTGCTAGGTGTCTTTCTTACATTATTGCTGATATTCACAAGCACTCTATGAGGTCACTATTGCTTCCAGATTCTTATTTTTCTGCTTGATCAGAAAGGAGGCTGAGACTCAGAGAGATCATGTTACATATCAACGTCACACAGGGAGTAAGTGGCAGAGCTGGGATTTTCAGCAGGGTCTCTCTGAGCTCTTCTTTAATGTGCCCTGCTTCTAGAGACCACATGACCTTCATCCCCTGGCCTCCAGAACACTCTAAGCTAATGGATTATTATTATTTTTTATTTTAAAAACATTTTTAACTTTTGTGGGTACCTAGTACATGTATATATTAATGGTGTACACTAGATACCCTGATACAGGCATGTAATTCGTAATAATCACATTGTGGACAATGGGGTATCTGTCCCTTCAAACATTTATCCTTTGTGTAACAAACAATCCAATTGTACTCTTTTAGTTATTTTAAAATATACAATTAAATTATTATTGACTGTAGTTATCCATTGTGCTATTGAATACTATGTCTTATTTTTTCTATTTTTATTTTGTACTCATTAACCATTCCCACTTCCTGCCCACTCCCCTACTGTCCTTCCCAGGCTCTGGTAACCACCCTTTTACTCTTAAAGGATTATTTTCATAGTGCTCTTGACAGCTGGGTTGATCTGGATATTTTTGGAAGCTCACGAAGTAATCAAATCCACTGGTTTTTTTTTTTTTTTTTTTTTTCATTATAGTGCTAGGTCTTTTTCTGTGTCCCTGATTAGTTTATCAACATCACATCCAAGATCTAGATTTTAGCTAATTCGATAGCCTTTATTCATAATCCAAGTTCTTTAAGCTCTACCTTAATATCTCTCAAGGCTGAGTCTGCTGGAGCCAGAGCCATGGGACTTGTGTGATAATTGCTAATCCTGCCTTCTATGTCAGGTCGGACAGATGTGCGGGGCAGCACAGTAATTTTCAACTTCACTTACCTGAGCCCTAGGGAAGTCTCAGTGGAGCACTGTATATTCCAGGAAGGTTAATTTTTCCTAGGACTTTCTAGTACATCGAAGCATGTTTGGTGTCTCTCACTTCATCCATTAAATATGAGTGGTGTTTCCCTGTCATTGTGACAGTCAAAAACCTCATCCATTTCTAAGGACTACAGTTCTTGGGGTTTGCATACAAGTGCCACAGAAACCACTTGGAGCCCAAGTTGGGGCTGAGCAGGTGGGGCTGTAGTTCTCTGGAACACAACCAGGTAGCCCCTTGAAATATTTGGAGAAAGAGTTCTTTAGCTGAAGAAAGCTTGTGATCAATGTTGTAGAAGGTTTTATAGCTTCTTTGTACATGTTCAAAGTCTACACTGCCTCTTTGTGTAAGATCTCTGCTATGAAGGAGTAATGGCTCCTAGAAGGAAGGCCAGAGCCTGTCTTCAGAAAACTGCCTCCTCCGAAGGTCACAGCCTGGATCTGTGCCACATGGGAGGCTTGTTCTGTCATTCTGTTTGATCACAGCCTAGACCAACCCAGACCAACCCCTAGACCAACTCCCTGCTATCACTTGTATTTGTTGGTCTCACTGGAGAGTGGGAAGAAGTTTCTAATTTGAGCTCCACTGGGAAAAGAGGAAGGCATTTTCTTAAAGGTTCCTTGACTAGGCGGACTCTCTCATCTTTTATCTTGTTGAAAATATAACGAACCTGGGTGAAAGTATGGGGTTGATCTGTCAAGGTCACTGTTGCAAAATGCACTGGCAGCAGCATTGTAGTGGGCAGTACAGCCAGCACAGGCCAGTCTCAGCCCCCTGGATCCCCAGGCTCCATTCAGTTTCAGGCCGGCTGGTCTCTACATGCTGCACATTCCTCTCTGCACCTGTGTTCATCCACTTCTTCTCTTCCATGCCGCTCACAACGGCATGTGCAAATCTCATCATGTAGTGGTCAAAGTACAACTCAAGGTCCCTCTCCTCCACAACATGCCCTCTGGCTCTAGCCCAGAGTCAGCTCTTTCCAGTAGTTTCTTATATCAGTGAGAATGCTTGTTCATATTGGCAGAACATCCAACTCAAACCAGCTCAAACAACAAAGGGAATTTATAAGCTCGTGTGATCAGGAAGCCCATAAGCAGATCTGGTGAGGCTTGATCCCTCAGCTCCCATGATGTCCCTAAAGACAACCAATTTCTCTATCTTTCTGCTCAACCATCTGCAGGGTCCACTTCATCTTTTATTTTCTCACTGATCCCCCTTGCTGACCCAGGACTTCCCTTTATGGAGTGAATCGATGGCCACTGTTATCCCCCAGAGTCTGACGGAAGGAGAAAGCTGCTTTCCCTAGAAATCCTGGCCATTATTTCCTCACATCTTATTGATTTTGACCACATTACAAGCATATTCCAGAAGCAGTCGTTGTGGCAGAGGGTTGGATATGCTGATTGGTTCAAACTAATTGGGCATAGGCTTGGATTTGGGATGGGATCAATTCTGCTAAAAACATATGGCTGAGCTCCAGTAGGGGTGTTTCTCTCAGAGCAAAACTTGGCAACTATTGGTGAGTGAAAGGGGAGATGACAAACAAATGATCGTTCATTGTCGTCCTGTCCCTTTGGACGTTAATTGCCCTGGTCGTGATCTGTCCCAGGTATTAGATATCATTTATCTGGTTTCCAAAGAGAATGAAAATGGTGTGACTGCATGATGGTATGGTGGCATGATGGTGTGAATGAATGATTGTGTGAATGCATGATGGTGTGAATGCATGATGGTGTGATTGCATGATGGTGTGAATGCATAATGGTGTGATGGCCTGATGATATGGTGGCATAATGCTGTGGTGGCATGATAGTGTGAATGCACGATAGCGTGAATGCATGATGGTGTGATGGTATGATGGTGTGATGGCATGATGGTGTGGTGGCATGATGGTGTGGTGGCATGATGGTATGAATGCATGATGGTGTGAATTCTTGATGGTATGAATGCATGATGGTGTGAATGTATGATGGTGTGATGGCATGCTGGTGTAAATGTATGATGGTGTGAATGCATGATGGTGTGATGAAATGGTAGTGTGGTGGCATGATGGTGTGAATTCTTGATGGTATGAATTCATGATGGTGTGAATGCATGGTGATGTGATGGCATGATGGTTTGAATGCATGATGGTGTCATGGCATGATGGTGTGGTGGCATGATGGTGTGAATGCATGGTGATGTGATGGCATGATGGTGTGATGGCATGATGGCTTAGATTTCTTTCATATGCCCTAACTCTTAGCACATTGCCAAGCACACAGTCGTTGCCCAATAAATACTTGTTGAATTGAACTTTGTTAGGATGATTGAATCATAGGAAAATAGTGTAAAGATTCTTTAAGGGAGAGATGAGTCACTGCTAAGAGAAGGCAGGGGCATATCCTTGTGGGGGAGGGGAGTTAATTACTGATAACATAAAGGGTTTAGGGAGGTGTCTTGAGGTTGGAAGAAAAGTAGCAAAATCAAGGAATCATGCAAATTTTAAGTCAGGAGAGACATTAGAGATAATGAAGAGATAGGGCTTTCAGAGTTAATATGACCAGCTTTTAAATGCCTGGGAATGCTTCTCTCTGAGTGGGATATTTTTCACATGGGCCAAATAAATGAAAGACAGGAAGGGGATACTGGGCATTCTTGCTCAAAGGTTTGATGGCTATTAAGTGTAGTGGTGCTCACAGGTTGATCCTGTGATTTGCTTGTCTAGCCTGGGACATTTTTGAGAATGCTAAAATCCTAAACTTGATGGGATGATGAGGCAAGGGGAATAAACAGAGACTGTTCCAGGCCAGCCAGGACCTACTGATCATCTGTGGTCTGAGTATTTACTAATGACCAGCTAGGGCACCCCTTTGCCCATTGCTCTCTTGCCTTCCATTCCTCAGGCACTGAAGTGCTCTCCGTGTCCTGGTGGGGGTGAGGGAGAGGCACACCCATTGCTGAGAGTTAGCATCCACAGCATCTGATTCCACTTGCAGGATGGCGACTGTCCAGAACAATTTCACTGTGATGAATAGGAAACAGCAGCATTTTCCTTGGGTCTTTCCTCACAGTTCATCCAGGATCCCCTGTTTGGGCTGGTTCTGTGTGCTGGAAGCCCAGGCGCCAGCCTACTGGCCTCCCTGAGTTTTGGGAGAGGCCCTGTTCTTTCTGCCAACATCTTTGGGGCTTATGGATTGTCATTCTCTCATTTTTGGTAGAAATGTTGCATCTGGCTACTTTCAGCCTGTTATCTTTGAGCATCATAAACTCCCAAGAGAAATGTTCACTTTTATCTTCATCCTCACTTGGTGGTGTTCAGTTACATGCCAGGGGCTACTGCCTCGGTGGGCTCAGCTATGATTTTTTTTATGTGGGATCCAAGAAACATGGTGGGATTCCCACAGGGGTCAAGGACATGTGTTTTTTTGGCCCTAGGAACATGGGTATGCCCTGTGCTTTGAGTACCAAGGCAGAGATTTCACAGTGCCTATCCCTGCACTTGCTCTTTAAAAAATCCTTTTGTAGACACTTCATAGTTTACAAAATACCTTCATATGTACAACCTTATTTGATTCTGAGATACCATGAAATCATTATTCACTTTTGAATATTTATTATTAATTAAAAGCTAACGAATATATAACATATTGTTAAGTAAATAATGTTTATTTAACATAAAACATTATAATTAAAAATAATGATTTTTTAAAACAAAAAAAGTTACAAGAAGTGTTGCATTGTTTTACATTTTTGCATATCTTTTCCCTCTAGCCTTTTTGAGGTATAACTGATGTATAATAAACTGCACATATTTAAAGTATCCAATCTGTTGAGTTTTGACATGTGTTCAAAACCATCACTGTGAAACCATCACTGTCTTGTAATCAAGAAAATGAACATATCTACCACCCCCAAACATTTCCACAGGTCCTTTTGTAAAGTCTATCCTTCTCTCCTCCAAGTGGTATTATTATTAATTATTACAATTATTTAACATTGCCTGTCAATCCGAGAGAGCTTTGGTGGCTTGTTGGAAATGGTGCAGCTGGTAAGTGACAGAGCTGGGGCCCAAGGCCTGGTCCTCAGGCTCCAGAACCCATGGCCTTCCCGGGGCCTATCTTACATGGTGAGGATTATTCCCTATTTCTTCCACCTGTAGGATTTCTGAAGTAGAATAACACCTAGAGAAGCCTGAGTCACACTCTGTTGCTGACTCCCCATAGGTTAGGTCTTTCAAGGTGCCGTGCTGCCTTTGGGGTCCTCTGCAGCTCAGGGGTTGAGTGGGGAAGAGGTTCTCTCACCCTTGATATGTTGGAGGGTGTATTAGTCTGTTCTCACGCTGCTAAAAAAGACATACCAGAGACTGGGTAATTTATAAAGAAAAAGAGGTTTAATGGACTCACAGTTCCACGTGGGTGGGAAGGCCTCCCAATCACGGTGGAAGGTGAAAGGCATGTGTTTACATGGCAGCAGACAAGAGAGAATTGAGAACCAAATGAAAGGGGTTTCCCCTCACCGTCTCTACTAAAAAAAAGAAAAAAATACAAAAAATTAGCTGGGTGTGGTGGTGGGTGCCTGTAATCCCAGCTACTCAGGAGGCTGAGGCTGGAGGATTGCTTGAACCTGGGAGGTGGAGGTTGCAGTGAGCCAAGATTGCGCCATTGCACTCCAGCCTGGGTAACAAGAGCGAAATTTTGTCTCAAAAAAAGAAAGAAAGAAAGAAAGAGGTTTTCCCTTATAAAACCATCAGATCTTGTGAGCTTATTCACTACCACGAGAACAGTATGGGGGAAACCGCCCCCATGATTCAGTTACCTCCCACCAGGTCCCTCCCGCAACATGTGGGAATTATGGGAGCTACAATTCAAGATGAGATTTGGGCAGGGACAGAGTCAGACCCTATCAGAGGGTTGGACTCCTCAGTCTCCCTGGGCTCCCCTCACTGCTTCCTCTTCACTTGGGCTTTGAGGAGTTGTTCCTGGGCTGCCTCTGGTTGGAGTGCAATGATGTGTGATACACGGAGTGGAGACTGTGGTGATAGGTCCAGAGATCACCCGTTCTGCGTGTCTGTCCAGGTTGGCACCCAGAAATACGACAAAAGTGGCTGAGTTTTCATGTCCATAGGACCCTGGGTTGTCCCTGGTCGTTGGTTGGGAACCAGGTGAAGTCTTTTCCATAAGAAGGAAGGGTCTTGCTGCTGGTCTTAGTGGGTCTCTGGGATGGGGCTTGGTGGGCATTTGGCTCTGTCTTCTGCCTCTGCTGATTATTGGCCACCTTCACCTTGGCCTATGCAGGACAGGGTTGGAGAGGAGATTCCAGTACTCTCATCCAGGAGCTCCCAGCAGAGCAGATTTCCACCTTTCCTTCCCTAGGCAGGAACTTCTTCCCTTTGCTTAATCCCAAATCCCTGTGTCTCAGGAGGACCAGGCAGAGCCTGCTCCGAATCAGAGGCTGTACATTCTTGAGAGCCAAAAGGAAGTTAAGGCTTTGATCTTCACGATGACACAGGTAGACTATGGTGTTCCTCAAATGGAGCAGATGGGAGGCCTGTCTCAGATGAATTCCTGCTCTTATTTCAAAAGCCCTCTGTCTCAAGGCTACACCTCACTCTCCTCCTTCGCCTGTGACGATGGCTGCCCTGGCCACCATCTCAGCACCCCTGTCCTCCAGCTGTGTGAGCTTCAATCTTGATGATCTGAGAGTGTGGGGCTCCCAGCAGGTGTGGTGGGGGCGCTGGTGATGTCTTAGGGGAGTCCAAGGGAGTCTGTCTCCTCTCTGCTCCTCCATCATCGACAGGCTCATCCCCCCACCCTTCCTTACAGCGCCATTCCCGGGCGCCGATGTGCTGCAGCTGACGTTCTTGCCTCACAGCAGGGCCCGGGACCAGAGTACACTCAGGCCCCTTGGGTCAGCATGGAGGTGGCTTGGCAGGGCTGTGGGGAAGGAGGCCTGAGGAGTATCAGTTTCCAGTGTTTGGCTGGGGCTGCCTCCCGCTCACTATTGTCTCTCTAGAGAGAGGACGTTGTCTTGTTTATCCACATGCAAGCTTTGGATAACAACAACAAGACAAAAACAATGAGGATAACTTCACCAGGAGCGCGACCTCCAGTCCCTGCTAGGGGCCTGGAGTGCGGGAGAGAGGTGGCTGGGGGTACGAACCCCTTCTTCCCTCACTCCCTAGCCCATTCCTCCTTCCCCTGCCTCCCTAATTTCTTGTGAAGGGAGGGGCTGCAGGATTGCCGTGGATGGTTGGCAGCCCTCAGGATGGAAGGGTGGGATGAATGCTGGTGCCAGGAGACCTGGATCTGCTTGTAATTAGCTGTATGTCTATGCTTATGCAGCACAGACTCTTGGGCTGCAGGTCTTCCTTTGTTACTGGAGAAAGATATGTTAGGTGTGCTTGGAGGTGTTTCCAACTCTAGAGTCCTATGGCCAAATCAGTTCATCATTCTGAAATTCCTCTGTGTCCCTAAGCTGGCCCTGCCTTGAACTGTCAGCATGGGGTGTTGACTAGCATCATGGCAGTCTAATGCTTGCTGAGTGAAGACGTCAAAGACTGACATTTGAAGCCTTGTCTATTTTCCAGAGTATTCCTGATTCTTCTCCTTAATGCTATAACACCCCCAGAAGCCTATGAGGCAGAAAAGTTTCTGATATATCCAGTTCAGGTTGTGTTTTGTGAGCACGAGTGAGGCTGTGTCAATTCCTTTGGCCTCTAGGAAAGGGAACGGCGGTCTGCAAATGTGGTGAGCATCTGGGGCTACCAACAGGATGGAGAGGCCCTCCACGATCTTTAGATGGTTCCTGGTCAGGTGGAAAGTTTAGTAACTTTAGCTGTCAATATGAGAGACACATTCAAGAATGACACTTAAGGGTAATTGAATTATTTTCTCAAAACTGAATTAGATTTAAATTCTGTTGGCCAAAGGTCACCAATTACTTTGTGGGCCATGGTAGCTAATTTTTAGAGATTGGTCACAGGATCCAAATGGAATCCACTAGGAATACAGTATATGTGTACTGAAGTTGCCAGAAATATTTACTGAGCACTTACTATACGTCAGGTACTGTGGTGGCTGCTGAGGACAAAGCAAACAACAAGACAGACTCATTCTTTGTCCTCATGGAGCTACAGATCTAGCAGAGAAGAAGGGTATGAGATGCTTAGTGACACAATGATTGTGATAGTGGGTCCGTGCTGTGAAGGAGAAAGACAAGGAATTGCACAAGCAAGAGGAAGGGACCAGGCATAATCCACGGCTCAGGAAGAGGCTTCCTGAGGAAGGAATGTTTAAGCTGAGACCCAAATAGGAGTTGGTTGGGATGGGGGATGATGAGAGCTTTGCAATGGAGGGATAGAATGTGAGGAGGCTTGAGCGTAGGAAGCTGGTGGAACAGCCAGATGACAGTGAGAAGGGCTGGGTGCTGGAGCCTGGGGAGGAGGGTGAGAGGGGCTGGTACCTTAGACCATGTGCAAATTATCGGGCTTGCTGTTGAGTTAACTTTAGAGAGGAAGCGGGGTAGGGAGGGAGTGAGACGTCAGCAGACTGGGCAGGGCACAGGTTCAAGATGAGACGTAACTTAGCCTCTTTGTGAATTCAGTTCTCTACCAGTTTACTTAGTGGAGGACAGGTCTGGGAAACCAGTGGACATCATGAGTTAAAAGAAATGGACAGGTCAGATGTGGTGACTCACGTCTGTAATTCTAGCACTTTGGGAGGCCAAGGCAGGTGGATCGCTTGAGTTCAAGAGTTTGAGACCAGGCTGGGGAAAATGGCAAAACTCCATCTTTAAAAAAGTATTTAAAAATTAGCTGGGTATGGTGGTGCACACCTGTAGTCCGAGCTTCTTGGGAGGCTGAGGTGGGAGGATTGCTTGAACCTGGGAGGTGGTTGCAGTGAGCCAAGATGGTGCCACTGCACTCCAGCCTGGGAGACAAAGCAAGACCCCATCTTGGAAAAAAAAAAAGAGAGAGAGACCGGTGAACTCAGAAGTCAGGCTCTGATTGAGGAGTATTCATTTCCTTTGGCCACAGTACTCACACCGTCTTCTTGGGTAACTCTCCCTGATAACAAGAACTAGAGAAGTAGGGTTTGTAGGGCTTTATGAAAATGGAGTCACAGTGAAAGGATTGCATAGTTTTTTTGAGACATTTCAACTAAGCTAGAGACATTTCCTGCTCTGTTATATATTTCACATTGCTTGTCCCTGGAAAAATTACCTACCTTAGACTGACAGGCCTGGGACTTCCTACAGAAATATCTGTGCCCTGGTTCTCCCTTCTGTGATGACAAGGACCAAATTATGTGTTACAGCTCATTTTACACGAACTGAAGTTTTAGTTGCCTGTTGAGATTTGGGAGCCCCTCCAGTCATATTGATTACTTATTTATAACATCTTCTTTAGGGATGGATTGTATCCTCTGACGGCTAATCTCTTCATGTTGTGTTAAATTTCCTGTCGATTTCAGCAACTTATATTTTCTGACCTTGTCCCCAAATTCTGGAGATGCACTGTATTTTGAACCTGTGATTTCCTTTAGGACATGTGGGACATTTTGAAAATCTTGTAGATAATTTTAAAAGTGCAAGGCAATAAAGGAACCAGGATTACTCACTCACAATTTTAATCTAACGGGAACTGGTTTTCCCCAGCAAGGACCTGCTGTGTGTGCAGTCTCGTGCTAGGTGCTTGAAGAATACAGAAGAAGTTTCAGATACTGTCCCGCAGTCAAGAAGCAGTCATTTTACCTGGGTAGAGCTAATCGCTATAGTAATGCCTGATGTTTATTGAACACTCCACATTTCAGGCACACTAGCAGGGACTTCACCTACTTCATCTGCAGTTCTCACAACAGCCATGCAACATTTCTCATCCTCCTTATTCAGATAAAGAAGGTGAGGCTCATTTGGTTAAGTGACTTGCCTAAGCTCCCACAGCTGCAAAATTCTGGAGGCAAATAATTTTTTTTTTAAATAATTGAGGCATAGGTCTCCGTTTATTTTCAGGTGGTGAAGATTCCAGAATTAGTGGGAAATACTGATTCTATTTGAATCTCTAAACTATGAGGGAAGCTATACACCTAGATAGTCTTTTTCCCTTTCTAATCTTGTTCCATAATTAATTTTGGTTGTTTTCAGTATTTTGCTATTAGAAATAATGCTGTCACAAACATATTTTTTCCTTTTACTTTTAGTTGATGTAACTGTACATACTTATGGGATACAGAGTGGTATTTTGATACATATATGCAATGTGTAATGATTAAATCAGGGTAGTTAGCGTATCTGTCACCCCTAATATATCATTTCTTTGTGTTGTAAATATTCACAATCCTCTCTTCTAACTTTTTGGAAACATACAATAAATTATATTAATCCTATTCACCCTGCAGTGCTGCAGAACACTGGAAGGTATTCCTCCTATCTAGCTTAACTTTGGATCCATTAACCAACCTCTCCCCATCCTCCCCTCTCCACATTTTGCCCAGCCTCTAATAACCACAATTCTATGCTCTACTTCCATAAGCTCAAATATTCTTTAGTTTCCACATATGAGGGAGAACATGTGGTATTTGTCTTTCTGTGTCTGGCCTATTTCACTTAACATGATGTCCTCCAGGCTCATCCATATTGCTGTGAATAGCAGGATATCATTCTTTTTATGGCTGAGTACTATTCCAGTGGGCATCTATCTATCTATCTATCTATCTATCTATCTATCTATCTATCTATCACATTTCTTTTATCCATTCCTCTCTTGATGGACATTTAGGTTGATTCAACAAATAATCTAATTAAAAACTGGGCAAAGGATCTAAATAAACACTTCATAAAAGAAGACATAGAAATGGACAACAGGTATATGAAAAAATGCTTAACATCACTGATCATCGAGGAATGCAAATCAAAATCACAATTAGATATCATCTCACCCCAGTTAGAATGGCTATTATAAAAAAGACCAAAAAAATAAAGGCTGGCAAGGACGCAGTGAAAAGGGAACTCTCACATACTGCTGGTAGGAATGTAAATTGGTATAGCCATTATGGAAAGCAGAATGGAGGTCCCTCAAAAACGAAAAATGGGACTGGCATATGACCTAGCAATCCCATTCTTGGGTATGTACCCAAAGGAAAAGAAATCAATATATCAAGGGGATACCTGCACCCCCATGTTTATTGCAGGACTATTCACAATAACTAAGGATTCAGATCTTGTTCTGTCTAACTTGGAAGCTCCAAGCTCTTCCACTCCCCTACTATGCCTAAAAGAACCCACATCCACAGGCAGGGCAGAATGGATGTCGGAGTGGCCTGGGGGACAAGGAAAAAATTATTTTAAAGTCAATACATGTTAACCTTCAGGTTTAGATTCCTGGGGGATGCATTCGGTGATGGTTGTGCTCCGGAGCTTTCAAGGAGTTACTTTTTTTCTTTGGAGACACAACCAGTCACATCAGCTAATATTTCACAATGGTGGGTATGTTTTCCTTTTTATGAGAAGGTAACAATATTGCACAGCATGAAAGGAACATGACTAGATCCACAAAACTGCATTCCTGCTTTTGTTTTCATTTTAAACAAGTTCCTTTTGAGGAGAGTGGAGATGCATGCTTTGCTGGAGGAAGTTAACAACCCCATACTGGGAAACGATTTTGCATTCGTTAGTGTAAGATTAGGCTGCAATGGATAGAGCCTCTAAAATCACCGTGGATAAACAAGGTAGAATTCTATCTTTCACGTAAAAATCTAAAGGCATCCCAGGGCTGCTATGACACTCTCTAGAGCCAGAGCCAGCTTCTCTCTTGACACTTTGCTGTTTCTGGCCCGGACTTTAACCTTAAGGTCTAAAATGTCTGTGTCCATCTTCCAGGCAGCGGGTTAAGGGGACGGAAGAAAATGACGGGGCAAAAAGCACCTACTTGCTGTATTTGAAGAAGGTTACCAGATACTTCCACCTTGCGACATTGGCCAGAAATACTGTTTATGGAAACACCTCATTGCAAGGGAGATGTGGTCTTAATGCTGGATGGCCATGTGCTTTGTTAAAAATGAAGAACATGAGAACAGCTGTCGGGACAGCTAGCAGTCTGCCACCAAGATCTTGGAATTTGACCCTTGCCCTCCCAACCCTACCTCAAACTTAGAACATCTGCACCCACTTAATGGACATCTGTTACACACTTGAGCCAACGACCCTAAAGAAAGTTAAAACAGCATTCATCACAGTTTGAAAATAAAGACAAAGGGTAATGTGTTAACATTCATAATCATTGTGATCTCCTCTTAGCGAGAGGGATGATGCTGTTTGCCATCTTTCACCAAAAACATAATTTCTGGGGCCGTGATGGAGAGCTGGGCTTGCAGGTCAGCTTCACAGATGGTTTCTTTTCTTACCCTTTATTTTCACTTAGTTGGAAAAGCTTAAATTACAGTTAGAAGTAGTAGCAAGTGATTGATGATTCTATCTAGCAGTCCTGCATAACCAAAGATAAAATTGGGGAGATTTCTTGCTGAAGGCCACTTTCAGTATTTTGTCAGAACGATGTCACACTTGGGATTGGGAAGGTTTCATTTTAGGGCTGCCACATAGGTTCCTTATCAACCCTTGGATTTGATTTTAGCCTAAACACATGTCTTTGTGTTGTGTTACAGTCCTTGGGTGTGTTTCTTAATTATCCTGAGTGACCATGTCATGTCTGAACACTATCTTTATTGCACTATCTGTGTAACTTTGGGCAAATCATTTACATTTTCCCTGCCTTGCTTTCCTCAGCTGTGGAATAGAGATTGTGGTAGTACTGGCCTTACAGCATAGTTGCAAATATTGTGTGAGCTAATGCACGTGACCACCTAACTCAGTTCTGGCGCATAATACACAGTCAATAAATATGCATTGTGGTAATTGTTATTTTCAGATATTGTCAAACTCTAGACTACCCAAGGCTTTCACACCATAGTCCAATCTCCTTTTGAAATCGTGGTTTATTCTTCATTTTTCTGCCTTGTAAGTCATGAGCTTTCTTCCTCAAAGTGAGGTTTGGTTCTGGATGTTTGAATTACTGAACATATTTTGGAGCTGCCATTGAAGAATAATAGAAATAGTTTTCACTTGCATTAATAAGTGCCATAAAATATCTTTTTATTTTGTTCATCATTTCAAAAGCACATGTGAGCACCTCCTCCATAGACAGTGTTCTTCAGTGGGGGGACGTAGTCTTCTATTTGCCATCTATCTCTCTGCCAGGCACACTGAAAATGCAGACAGTCAGAGCCTGTGAGTTGAAGATTTTCTATATAGTCTTCAACACTAAACCAAGATCAGAGGGCGGAATGAAGGATTGTGCTATCAGCTCGTTCCTTCTCTCTGAACACAGTGAAGGAGTTTAAACACAATGCTTGTGCTTAATTTTGCAGGTAGTTTTAGAAACTTCTCACCAATAATGAGACTTCTGCCAGTTTTTCCTACTTGGTTTTGGTCCTCTTTAGTTCTTTAGTGACAAAATTAATTAAATTCATATCAGAAAGTATTTTTTCCCCTGTGCGTGCTTGTTTTGAAAAAAAAAAAAAAGTGAATGTTTATTTGAAGATGAGGTGCCTTCCTCTCATAATCTGACACCTATTTGTAACAGTCATAGTGACAAGGGCCAGATGAATTGCTGGGTCAATGAAACCTGACTTTCAAATACTTATCACTGCATTTTCTGTCCTTATTTTTCATGTTTTGAGAGAAATCAACACACAACACAGTCACTTATCCTGAGACATAGATTCATGTTCTGTATTCATATAGGAGCCCTGTTTATATTATTCTGCATTGTACCATTGTCATTATGATTTATAGTATTACTTCTAGGCTCTAGTAGATCACTTTTGTGGTTTGGGGCTATAACAGCATGACAGTAGAACAAAAATACAAACTTGAACAATAAACAATGAAAACATGTGAATGGAGACAAGTTGCAGGCTATTCACTGAGTGTGAGCAGTGCAAAACCAACCACTTGTTATTAAGAGTGTAATGAGATTTCCGTGAAAATCATGATTGCTTATATTTCAAATCTGTGACCAAAATTGTTTTAACTTGTTTTTTTTTTTTTTTTTTTTTTGCTCTGAAGCTACCAAACTTCCAGGGGCCACACTTTGGGAACACTATCCTACTGTTTTCGATGAGAACATTTTTGGAATAGACTGATGAACTGGGTACAGGTGGGAAGGGACTGGTCCCTGGTGAATTTTAAAGAGAACGAAAACGAGAAACTGAAGAACAACGGGTTGGGCTCCTTGTGTGGAACAGTTGAAGAACCAGGAGTTTAAGCTATGTCCTTACAAGTGTTTCCATTTGTTCTTTCTTTGTACCTTGCAGAATAAAAGCCAGGGATCCATCTTTGTCCGGATACACGCCCCGTGGCAGGTGCTGGCCAGAGAGGCAGAATTCTTGAAGATCAAAGTTCCTACCAAGAAAGTATGAGCATGTTTCTCCTGGGTTCTGGGCCTCCTGAGGGCTGGATGGATGCAAATAATTTGGGAATAGGGCCAGGTGGGATGTGGGTTTTGTGGAATTGAAATCACACTTGCTTCCCCAGGGACCCATGATGCCGGGGTGGGGGGTGGGGGGTGGGGACGGGGACGGGGACGGGGAAGAGTTGGGGTGGGGAGGGAGATCCTCCCACCTCAGAGCACTGGCTGGGTTTGCTCCATGAGAAGCAACACATTGTCCCTGTCCGTGTTCTTCATTTTTCTGTTTCACCTCCTTTCTCTCTTCTCGGGGTCCTAGTACAGCCAGACACTTCTTTAGTGAATAGAGTAATGAGAGAAGGCTGCAAGCCACGCTGACTGTGTCAGCAGTGGGCAGGGGAAACAACACCAATTTGCTGTGGAGAAACCTATTCTGGTTATGATTCTGCCACTAAATATTGTGTTTGGTGGGTTTCACTTATCTCTTCTGTAAATCAGAAGGTTCTTAATCAGGTGAATTGATTAAGATCACCTGGTAAGTGTTTTCAAACTGTTCATGCCAGTGTCCCATCTCTGGGAATTTGACCTACTTGGTTGGTATGGAATGACGTTCTCATCAGTGTTAGGCAAAAAATCCCCAGGATGATGCACATCTGGGTTGACAGCCACACAGTTTAGATGATGTTTGAGGTAGTTTTTTTTTTTTTAATCCAGGATAGTCTATACATAATTTAAAAATCTACCCAGAGGCCAGGAACGGTGGCTCACACCTGTAATCCCAGCACTTTGTTGGGGAGAAGTGGAAGGATCTCTTGAAGTCAGAAGTTTGAGACCAGCCTGGGCAACATAGCAAAACCCCACCTCTACCAAAAAAAAAAAAAAATCTACCCAGGGAATTTCTAGGTGACATGTCTCCTTGCATAACAAAATCTAGCAAATAGCTCCAAAGAGAAAGGAAGCATGTGCTCACAGATACTCCATTCTTTATTCATAGGTATTTTAGGGGAAAGGGGTGGCTATTGACTTTGACCATCTGCCATGTCTCTTAGGGAGGGTCCTGTGGCAGATGGCACTCTAGTTTAACCATGGGTGAACTGTGGGTGGTCTCTCTTTCTTTCCCTCCACCCCCTCTTCTCTCTCTCTCTCTCTCATATACACCACACACACACACACACACACACACACACACACACACACACACGTCCCTTTCCATAGTGTAGTTGTATACATGCTACCATGGCAAAGATCATCTTGCTGTTTGTAACTACCATCATCATAGTTTTCATGCTGCCCACTGTGAACAGAATTCCATATTTGTTGCCTTCTGTACCACCACTGTGATCACCTGCCCCCTCGTTACCATGCCGACTCTCAGTGCTATCATTATAGTCAGCAACACCATTCTGATTTACATTGTTGGCCAACACCATTTTCACTACCAACAGATCTGCTATCTCCATCAAAAATCACTCATCAAATACCAGCACATGACTGATACCATCATGAATCCTCTACTTGAGAAGAATAAAGTCTATGGGTTCTGTTCTTATAGATTTATTACAATGGACAATAACTCCACGGCAGGTGGACAAATGCTTATTAAACAATGAACAAACACAAACATTAATATTAGCTACAAACATTTTGCCAACAAAAGGTGATTTTTGGTGTCGGGGAGGGGGGTCACATGCCTGAAGTGTCTTAGTTTCACAAGGAATACGCTGTGTCTTTCCCCTTCAATTGCACTGCTGCGTTTTTTGTCTCCTAGTTTCAGTCCTCTCACTCCTAATACCGCAGCCCTCAAATGCGGGTGCCATCTTTGTTTTGGATCTCTGCTTCTCTTTAGCTCATGTTCTCTGGAGTTCCTGGCAACATGATACTAGTTTCAGCTTTGGGTGGAGGCTTCTGCTTCCTTCTGGTGGGGTCCTGTTTTGGCCAACCCTATCTCCTCTTTCTTCTGTCTTCCTTCTAACTCCAATATATTATTCTCCTTTCTCTCTGGTTTATCTGAATGTGTAATGTTCTCTTAACCTCATTCTATTTGTGTCTTGTTTCCTATGTTTTAATCTCTGCTGCTGATCCTTGGAAAGGAGGTGAGCAAAACTCTAATGCCCATGTTATGATTTCCATCCCCCAGGGTAACCCTTTTAGGGGAAACCTAGAGACACAGGAAAAGTGTGTCCTTTTTCAACCTCCGCTTGCTTATTTTCCCTCTTTGCTTTCCTTCCCGTCTTTCTACTCTCATTCTTTTCCTTCTCTTCTCTCTTCCTTCCACCCCCCACCTCTGATGCCTCCTCTTAGCCTCTCTCTCTGTTCTTTGCACACTCTATGACACCTCCACATCTCTCTTTTTTTTTTTTTTTTTGAGATGGAGTCTTGCTCTGTTGCCCAGGCTGGAGTGCAGTGGTGTGATCTCGGCTCACTGCAATCTCCGTCCCCCAGGTTCAAGCAATTCTCCTGCCTCAACTTCCCGATTAGCTGGGATTACAGGTGCTCATCACCATGCCCAGCTAATTTTTGTATTTTTAGTAGAGACAGGGTTTCTCCATGTTGGCCAGCTGGTCTCGAATTTCTGATCTCATGATCTGCCCGCCTCGGCTTCCCAAAGTGTTGGGATTACAAGCGTGAGCCACCACACCCAGCCAGACACCTCTACATCTCTTGTCTTTCTGCCACCTTCTCCTCCTCACTCCCAGACTTGGCTTCCCCAGTAGTGCTTGCCTTTGGTCCCTCTGGTATCTCCTTTATCTTTTCACATGCTTATGCTTTTTAGAGCATAGTTTTGCATAAATGACATATTGGCTTTCAGAGTTTCAGTGCCCCTATACATTAACTGTTTGGAACTTACATCTGTAGTTTTTAGGTGGTACCTGCATTTGAACTTGTAGATGAGTTGGCGAGGGTGAGAACATAGTATAAAGCAGCCATCTCTGGGTTTCTCTCCCCACTTTGCATTTTGGTAGACACAGCACTAGTCGAGTCCTCAGAAGAAGAGACTTCTAACCTTGGTTCTGCAGTTATT
Source organism: Homo sapiens (assembly GCF_000001405.40). Classification (NCBI taxonomy): domain Eukaryota; kingdom Metazoa; phylum Chordata; class Mammalia; order Primates; family Hominidae; genus Homo; species Homo sapiens. The sequence continues at coordinate 5,851,027 of NC_000012.12, read as the reverse complement.
CGTTGTGTGGTTTGGGGACGTCATCCCATCTCTCAGAGCCTCAGTTGCCTCATCTATGATATGGGCATACTCATACCTGTCCTATTTTTCTTAGAAGGTTTTTGTAAGGATCTGATTCTTAACCAGTGCTGTGTAAATGCAGGACTTTGTTGTGTCTGCTTTCTGAGATATTTTAATGTGTATTCTCAATTCTTAGTCCCCCAGTCAACTTCCTTTCTGACCAAAGAAGCAGCCAGCACTGATAGTGCTCCCTCTGTAAGAAAGTCCTTGGAGAGGCACTGAGGGAGCAGAAACAACCCATGCCCTCAGGGTGCCGACAATCACAGGGCAGCATAGGGGGAGTGCAGGTGCCCAGACATCAATGCAGTGATGGGATACTGTGTCAAGTAGTAACTCATTAGCCCAGCACCAATTCTGTTTGTCAATGTGGTGGGTTAGGGAGTAGGGAGAGGCAAAGCATGTGATTGCCCCCCAAGGCTGCAGATAAAACAGAAAGAACTTTTTCCCAAAGTTTCTTGGTCCCAGACTCGACTCAGGGGGACTGTTTTGGCTTCCTTTTACCACATGGCCCCAGATCTTCCTTTTCTTTCTTTCTTTTTTTTTTTTTTTTTTGAGATGGAGTGTCCCTCTGTCACCCAGGCTGGAGTGCAGTGGTGCAATCTCGGCTCACTGCAACCTCTGCCTCCTGGGCTGAAGCAATTCTCTTGCCTCAGCCTCCCAAGTAGCTGGGACTATAAGTACGCGCCACCACGCCCGGCTATTTTTTGTATTTTTAGTAGAGACAGGGTTTCAACATGTTGGCCAGGCTGGTCTCGAACTCCTGACCTCAAGTGATCCATCTGCCTCAGCCTCCCAAAGTGTTGGGCTTACAGGCATGAGCCACTGCACCCGGCCCCAGATCTTCTTTTTATCATAGAAGGCAATGGCTTGTAGTGGAGCTCACGGAGGGTGTTATACACAGATGAGGGGGGATATAACTTGGTATGCTGGGTAGGATGCTATGTTTGTAAAAATTAATCTGAGGCTCTGATCCCAGGGGTGGGGGTCTGGGTTAAACCCAGTTCCTGAGTTGAGAGAGGAGCATGGAAAATGGAAGACGAGACTCGCTGTCTGTGGAGGGCTAGTGTTGAGGCTGGTGGCATGCTCTCTTTTTAAAATGAGAAAAAAACCACATTTGCTGAGAGCCACATCCTGGCGGCGAGGGGAGCGTGGAGGAAGAATGAGGCATGGCGCGGGATCAGTTAAGCATCCTCCAGGCAGTGGAGGTTTGGATCATAACTCGGTGGGGTCCAGAGAGACTGGGAAGATGGGGAGGAAATCACAAAATCGAGATCTCAAACCTGGACAAATCCATTGTAATGTGTCCAGGGACTCCAAGTCCTGAGCACAGATATTAACTGGGAGGGGGAATCTTGGAAGGAAGCATTTGTTTTCCAAAAACAACAACAGAAGAGCCAGCATTTTGTGAGGGACACTCAAGATCCATGCACAGAAGGGTGTGGGAAGGCCTGGCCTTTGGCCCCGAGCAGCCTGAGAAGGTTTGAAATGGCGGTATGGAAGCAGGTGCTTTCTTACGTCTGCTCATTACCAAGATGGCTCTTCTAGAGATCGTGGTCAACATTTCTGTTGATTTCTCATTTGCTTTTTTTGTATATATGAATGAACACTCCGTTTCTCATCCTTTACATTCTCTTATTCCTCAAGCCTCTAGCAGAGACAAGGTCGATGCAGGCTATTAGGGACGACTTTCATGTCAGTGAAATCATATTAATCCAGCCAGAGTCCACTAAATTTGGAAGAAGTGACATGCCTGGGATGGGTGAAAAATCCCTTTTGTCCAATCGTCAGAGCTTTTGTAGCTATTGTTAATAGAGTGACTGATATTGAAGGGGTCTCATTTGCTGTCCCTCAGAGCATGCCAGAACTTCAGCTTATGTGTCCTTTGCACGCAAGTAGATGCTGTTAACTTCCAGCAAGTCATGCCTTTTTAGGAAAGCAGGCTCAGAGCTCCATGCATCTCCAAAACGGGAGTAATACACATTGTGGAGGGAAGAGGTGATGATGTTCTCTGAATGCCTGGCAGAGAGGCACACACAACACATGAGAATTGCCGTTGTTACTGCTGTTGGTATTGTTATTCATAGCAAGGTGTGCAGGCAGCGCAATTGGTACAAGACTAGGGCTGTTTCTGCTCTTTGACTCTCTTCTCTCTTCTCTGCAATGTTGGGGGAAGCAGGCCCAGTCCCTCAACTCTGCCAAGGCAGCCAGAAATCCAGACATGAAATCTGTGGAGATGCAGGAACAGATGGCCTTTGGACTATGTGCTGGGGACTTCCACTTCCTAGAGCGCGGGTCCTTGGGGCGTCTGTAAACACGACGGCTCCACCTGTGAGGTCTGCGGTGCAGTTGCTGGGAAAGCCAGTGAGAAGACTGCTGGGGCCCCGTGGTGCAGGAGGCAGAGCTTGAAGGCACCCATTTTAAGGGAGAGACAGCAAACGTGACAAGTGGTCCACCTTGAGTTCCACTATTGGCTCTGCCACCATTAACCTGGGGTTACTTGATTCATGTCTTAGTCTGTTTCCTAAAATGGACTTGAGATGGATGACAACCAAAAGAATTTTGGTTGTAAAAGGACAGATAAAAAGAATCATGTAACTGGGGAGGGGGGGAAGTAGGGAAGTGCAAGGGAAATGATGATAGTGGAAACTAAAAATAAGGGTGATGGATGCAGGAGAGACAGAGTTGCATTCTGGGCTTTCTGGTAGCCAAGACAGAAAGGACTGTGGCTCACAGTCGTCTATAGGAATCAGCATCTGTTTTGCCAAAGGAGGCAAATTTTTCCTGTTGTAAATGACATGAACAATACAAGGGACTATGTTTTCAATAATAAGTTCACACAAGCTTCTGCAATGTTCTTCATGTGACCATTGTTTGCACTGATTCTGGATAAAACTGAGGATGTAATGTTAAAGTGTAGTTGAGGGAGGGTTGAATACAGAGTAATGTGTGAAAATTTCTGAGGGGCTAACTGGGTTCAAAGATAACGGTTCGAGCAGAAATGCCACTGACACTTTAATTCTTTTCGGTTGAACCCATGTTTTGAAATGTTTATGTCTACTAAACTGCATTTATTAAAGAATAAGTTATCTTCTTTTCCTGAAGAGAAAACATATGTAATTGCTATTAAGCATTATTTATCAGTGTGAAAAAAATTGGTGTTTCCACACTGAGCTGATAGAATTCCAGTTAGAAAGCAAAGAAACTTGGCATTTTAGTTAGCTTCAGTGGCCCTTTAGGAGGGAAAGGTAATTCCATTTAGCTTTGGAAATGATTGGAAATTGTTCTCAGGTACTTGTTATTGTCTCTGTAGAGACTCTGATTTGGTAGCCCTGGCTTTTGCAAAAGCTTCACAGGAGGACTTCTTCCTGGTTCATGGTGCTCGCCCGGCCTGAGGGACTCTACTCAGCCAGGACTGCAGCACCTCTTATTTCTCAGTTATCCAGATTTGAGGCTTGTATTAGGGTTCTCCAGAGAAACAGAACCAACAGGACACACACACACACACACACACACACACACACAGAGGTGTTATGAGGAATTGATTAATACAATTATGGTGGCTGGGAAGTCTCAAGATCTGCAGTTCATGCGATGGAGACCCAGGAGAGCTGATGGTGTAGTTCCAGTCTATGTCCAAAGACCTGAGAACTAGGAAAGCCAATGAAGAAGCTCCAGCAGCCTCAAGACCCAAGAACTGATGTTTCAGTTCAAGTTTGAAGGCAGGAAAAGACTGATGTCCCAGCTCATGCAGTCAGGCAGAAAGAGTTTCCCCTTACCTGTGGGAAGGTCAGCCTTTTTGTTCTATTCCGGCCTTCAACTGATTGGATGAGGCCCACCACATTAGGGAGGGTAATCTGCTCTACTCAGCCTACTGACTCAAATGCTCATTTCATCCCAAAACACTCTCATAGATACACCCAGAATGTTTGACCAAATATCTGGGCACCCAATGGTCCAGTCAAGTTGACACATAAAATGAACCATCACAAGGCTTGTACTTTCCAAGTCAATAATCCTCTTTGTTAGGGAATGAATAGTGGCATTCAAAAAGATATGTCCAAGTCCTAGCCCTGGAACCTGTAAATATAATCTTATTTGGAAAAAAGATCTTTGCAGATATAATTAGTTAAGGATCTCAGGATGAGATCATCCTGGATTTAGAATAGAACTTAAATCCAATGACAGGTATCCCTATAAGAGAAAGGCAGAAGGAGATTTGAGAGGGGAGAAGATTATGTGAAGAAGGCAGAGACTGGAGTTATGCAGGCTCAAAGTGAAGAACACCTGGGGCCATCCAAAGCTGGAAGAGTCAAGAAATAATTTTTCCCTTACAGCCTTCAGAGGGAGTGCAGCCCCACTGATACCTTGATTTCAGGCTTGTGACCTTCACAACTGTGACAGAATAAATTTATGTTGTGATAATTTGTTATGGCAGCACTATGAAACTAATACACTCTTCTTCTGGGCAGGAAGCAGTAAGCAGACAATTGAAGACCTAGGTCTCTGGTAGGCTTGTTGGCTTTCTCTGTATTCCAAGAATCCACTTTGCAGATTCTAAGATAACTTGGAGTAGTCTTGTTTATTTGTTGTCATTGGGTTTGGGAGTTTTATGGAAGAGACTTGGTGCATGGATCTTCCTACGTGACCTTGGCATGTCTATGATGACTTTTTCATGTTCCATTCCTGTTTGATGAAATAGAAGTAGAGGCTCACGTTGTTATGAATGGTGGAAGGAGACCCAATGTGGCTCATGTCAAGAAGAGCTTACTCCACTCAAGAATTATTTTCCTATTTATACTTCTATATCCAAATACAGTAATTGGCTTAAGTAACAGCTTCTGCCTCAGTAAGAGGTGTCTGCAAAGAAGGATATTAGCATCTTTTAAAGCTTGTCCATATTTCATAATTCTTACATTTGACTTTGAGGAAAAAGATTCATAAAACCGCTTTGAATTATGCCACTCAAAACAAATTATCTTGAGATCAAAAGTCTTATAAGTATAAGTTGATAAATAAATTAATTGAGTTTTAAATATAGTTAATACTGCATCCCATGTGCTAGACCATTTCGTAAGAGCCTTATGTACGTGATTTGTTTTCACCTTCACAACAACGACATGAGGTAGATATGACCGTTAGCTTCATTTTATAGATGAGAAAATTGAAACTCAGAGAGGTTAATAAACTTATCCAAGGGCACACACCTTGAAGGAGATAGTCAGGGACTCAAAATCATGTCTGTCTGACTCCAAAGCCACGCTCCTGCTCTCTCACTTTACTGAAAAATCCATAACTGGACTTGAGGTAGTGGATAGTGTGGTCTAGAATGGCATTTCTCAAAGTATATTTTTTAGAATGAAAGTCTTTGTTCTTCTTTTGGATTTTTTTTTTTTTTTTTTTTGAGATGTAGTCTTACTCTGTCGCCCAGGCTGGAGTGCAGTGGAGCGATCTCGGCTCACTGCAAGCTCCGCCTCCTGAGTTGATGCCATTCTCCGGCCTCAGCCTCCTGAGTAGCTGGGACTACAGGTGCCTGCCACCACGCCCAGCTAATTTTTTGTATTTTTAGTAGAGATGGAGTTTCACCGTGTTAGACAGGATGGTCTCGGTCTCCTGACCTTGTGATCCAACTGCCTCGGCCTCCCAAAGTTCTGGGATTACAGGCGTGAGCCACAGTGCCAGGCCATTTTTTTTTTCTTTTTTGAGACAAAGTTTCAAAAAAGTCTTGCCCAGGCTGGAGTGCAGTGGTACAGTCACGGTTTATTGCAACCTTGACTTCCTGGGCTCAGGTGTTTCTCCCACCTCAGCCTCCTGAGTAGCTGGGACTATAGGCACACACCTCCATGCCTGGCTAATTTTTGGTAGAGACGGGGTTTCCCCCATGTTGCCCAGGCTGGTCTCGAACTCCTGGGCTCAAGTTATCCACCCACCTCTGCCTCCCAAAGTGCTGGGATTACAGCTGTGAGGTGCCATGCCCAGCCTAGTCTTTGGTTTTACTAAAAAAAAAAAAAAAAAAATTTCATGGTTGAACAAATTCAGAAAACACTAATGATTACAATTTACCAGGACAGTCAAAGTTTTGAGAAGCCTTGTAGTAAAAACAAACAAACAAACAAACAAACAAACAAACACACAAAAACTGGTTCAATTTTTTTCAGGCCTTTTTCTGCTGAACACTTGAACACCTATGAATATCCTGAGGAACCAATGTTCTGCAGAACATACTCTGGGGAATTCCATCCTAGATTAAAGAATCCTGGTCTGGGAGAGGCAACAGATTTCAATGGTCATTTTTAAAAATGATATTGTCTTGCTCAGTGAGTTATTCCACATTCCTGGATGACAGCTTTCTCACCCGTACAGTAAGAAGATTAGCTCCTGAATTATCTACCATAGCTTTAAAATGCTGTGGTCTACATGTAAAGCAAATGACAATTTGTGAATGTATTTTTTCCTCTGTTATTGATGTTGGCTGAGGGGCCTTAGGACAGTTACCTTTTGGGGTCAGTTACATTCTGATTGTTCACAGATATCTAAGAGTAAAAGTGTCGTACGTCTGTCACCTCTTCAAGCTTTGCTCTAAATACAGTAGTACACTTTGCCTGTGGTGCCTATTCTGAAACTGCCCTGTGTCCCCAAGCCTGGTAATGTCACCGGGCTTTCTCTGGGTTTACCCATGCTGGACTGCTCTTCTCCAAACCACACCTCTCTGTGTAGCCTAGATGGAGCTCCCTGATTTAGACTCTCGTCCAAGCAGAGTACTTTACTCTTTCCTCCATGGGCTGGAGCCTTTCCAAATGCTTTAAGTATTTGTCCTTAGTCCTAGAATATTCTGCCCATTCCTGTCTGAATAAACATATACTACTCATCCTTTGCTGCCCAGCCTAAATCTCACCTCCTTCATAGACCTTTCTTTATTCCTTCAGCCCGAGCTGATATTACCTTTTCCGGACTCTTAGTCAACAGTCAGTATTTATCTTACCTGTTAGTTTTTCTTCAGCTGCTTCAGGTCCTAACTCTTGTGTTTCCAAATATATCATAAGCCCCCTGAGAGCAAGTACTATGGTTTATATCTCTTACGTGTTCCCTGCAAACTCTAGTATGGTGTTCCTCAAACAATATTTGCTCAATAAACACCAGGTTGATTAACCCATTGATGCTTCCTCTGCCCAGCATCTTGTTTGGGTTGTGATCCCTAGCAGAGTCGCTCAGGATGATAAGAGATGTTTCAGCTCACAGCTGTACACTGGCCCTATGAAATTCGGCAACAGGAATTGCCCCGCGTTCCCTCCTCACCCTGACCAACTCCTTCCTTTATCGGAACTGTTTTTGATAGTTCAGTACATCCAGAAAGAAAAATCAGGAGAAATTCTCTGAGTTTGTTGTTGTTTATTTATTTTATTTTATTTTATTTTTTTTTTGAGATGGAATCTCGCTCTGTCACCCAGGCTGGAGTGCAGTGGCGCAATCTCGGCTCACTGCAAACTCTGTCGCTCAGGTTCAAGCAATTCTCATACCGCAGCCTCCCAAGTAGCTGGGATTATAGGTGTGCGCCACTATGCCTGGCTCATTTTTGTATTTTTACTAGAGACAGGGTTTCACCATGTTGGCCAGGCTGGTCTCAAACTCCTGACCGCAAGTGATCCGCCCACCTTGGCCTCCCAAAGTTCTGGGATTACAGGTGTGAGCCACCGCGCCTGGCCTGAGTTTTATTAAGGATGGAGAACTTGCAGATCCTCGGTCGTGGGAAGGAGGTTCGCTGCCAACTCAGTCTTCAACATGACTTTCTGGACAGATTCTTGTTATTATTATTGTCAGTAACTTTTTAAATGAGCTAGAACTGATGCCGTTTACATAGGGTTGGTTGGCTATAGGTGGGGTCTTTCTCTTGCTGTCATTACCTGTTCTCTAACATTTGTTTTCAATAGAGGGACAGCTGGGAGGGTAGGGTTTATATTTAATACCTTTATGGGCTTTTCAGTGCATGCTCTTTGATTGCTTTGATTGCTGTTTAAATAGACTGGAAAGAGTGCAGAATGCTTTTTATTCATTTTGTTTTCTGTAATGCTTCTCACTGTCAAAAATAAGAAAAAATAATTGGTGGTACCTAAGTGCTGCAGTTCCTGTGAGGAACCTGAGATGGTCACGGCCGTGTGGCGGATGTGCGTATGAGCCTGGGAAGACCCCAGGCCCGGTTGACTACGTGGAGGCCTTTCAGTGGACAAGTGTGACTCAGGGCCCAGAAACAGTGACGTTAAAAATATGAAAATGTGTTACAATAGCAAGTTAATCTAAACCGTTTTATCAGCAGCACCCACAACAGTGCCTGGTGTACAGCAGGCACTAAATAAATGCTGGTAGCGAACGAAAGAGTGAGTCATGCACACCAGATCTCACCCAGTGGTGGTGGCGTGCTGGAGGGTGATGCTGAGATGGATTCGGAGGCTCCATCCAAGGGCAATAGGCAGGAATCCTGTGCTCCCTGAGGGCTGCCTGCGAGAAAAGGGCAGGGCATCATGGTGGCACATGTAGCATTATAGCTGCCCTGATCTGCGTCCTTTGCTAAAGGACTCCTTCAGTTAATGGGGACAGACTGTGTGTAAGAGATCCTGTGGAAAGTTACGTTTTCCATCCACCCCTCCGACCATCCAATGAATATTTATTGAGTATTACCATACACCAGGTACTTTGCTGAGGGCTGGTGATATAGTGGTGCTAATAACTGTTCCCTGGCCCCACTGGTGTGGGGAGGATTCAGATGTTGTATGGCTAGTTATAAATTGGGAGGCAAGGCTGGCCATGGTGGCTTACACCTGTAATCCCAGCACTTTGGGAGGCAAAGGCAGGAGGATCACTTGAGGCCAGGAGTTCAAGACCAACCTGGCCAACAAAGCAAGACCTCATCTCTACTAAAACTAAAAAAAATTTAAGAAGTTAGCTGGGTATGGTGGCATGCACCTGTGGTCCCAGCAACTCAGGAGGCCGAGGTGGGAAAATCACTTGAGCCCAGGAGGTTGAGGCTGCAGCGAGCTATAATCATACTACTGCACTCCAGCCTGGGTGACAGAGTGAGATCTTGTCTCAAAAAAATAAAAAATAAAAAGTAAAATAAATTAGGAGGCACCAACAGAAGAAAAAGACTGGGTTATGACAAGAGAGCCAACCAGAGGAGAATCATTTAGATGAAAGTGGGGGAGAGGAAGAGAAGACGCCATTTAAGCTGAAATGTGAGCACTGGGTAGGAGTCTGTGGGTGGGAAGATCAGGTGAGAACCTTCCAGAAGAGGGAAGGACATGCCCACAGGCCCCAAGGTAAGAAAACCCTGGACTGCGTGTGGAACCAAGGGGAGCCAGGGTGGGAGCAGCTCAGAGAGAGGGGCAGGGGCTGAGGCTGCCGAGGGAGGCAGCAGGCATGGCGCCTAAGAGGCCTTGTCAGCCATGTAATTTTAAAAGTTTGGTTTTAATCCCAACTTTTATAAGTCAGCAAACATTCATTCATGTGTAGAGGACCTACTGACAACAGAATCAAAAACCATAAACAAATACAGAACTAGACACTAGAGAATGTGCATTGTGTAAGTGTATCACTGTCTGTCTACACTCAGTGTTGTTGCTGAGGGGAAACTTACCTGTGGACACAGGTGGGGTGGAGGGGAATGGGCAGCCCCTGTTCTCGCTGTTCTTGGTGTGCACAGAGAAAGTCTTCCTTTGGCTCCAGGTTGTAGCTGACCTTGGCTGCTCCTGGCGCTGTTTCCCTTTTGATCGCTGAAAGGCTTAATGCTCTCTTGCATGCGTGAATGTGCAGCAAGCGAGCAGGGACAGATTTCAGCAGCATGGAACCCCTCAGGTCCTGGCTCAGCGTGTGCCTGTGTGCCTCTCGCAGGCACCACCTGGCGGGGAGAGCAGTGGGTGAACTCCATGGCATTTTTGGCTTCTCTTGCTCCTCCCTTCTTCAGCTCCAGAATCTTCCATCCTTGCCCAGCTGGTGACTTGCACCCCTTTCCTATTGTTCGGCTTCTCTGTGTGTCTGAGCCTTTAGGGTGAGTAGAAAGGTATAATGATCGTCTTCAGCCCAGCCCTACCTCTCAAGATGAGTGAGATACCATAAGTAATAACTATGGAACTTCGATGATCCAGCGACTGGAGGAGGAGCAGAGGAAAGCATCAATAAATAAAAAGAGGCGGACGATGGGTGTTAATTTCTGTCAACACGTGTGCTCCCAGCTGCAGCACACGTTCTGTTCTTAGGTCTGGTCTGCATTCCTCCTGGGTGACCTTTCCTGCCTGTTGCTGGGAGAGACACTCTTAGGCCTCTGCAGATATTAGTGACTCATGGGTCATTAAGATTATGTTGTTTTTATCTTATACTGTTAGACCTTTTCCTTGATCTTCGGGGTCATTGGATCTCCCAATGTTTGTGCACCTTGGGCATGTTAGTAAAACTTTCTGTGCCTCAGTGTTTTTTAATCTGTAAAATGGGGACAGTGCCTTGTATACTGTCCAATATATGCAGCTTCATTCCCCGCACCCCAGGAAAGCACATGATTTTAATATAAAAAGGAAACAAATCAGCCCTCAGACCACACTGCTGTGCCCCTCTGCAGAGGAGAGGCTGAGGGAGACAAGAAGGAAAAAAGAAGTAAGAAAAGACAGTAAACCCCTTAGACTGTAACAGTGAGGCCCAAGTGAGCTTTTATGAGAACCACATTTGAGCCCTGGAATAAAAAATAACAGCAACATATTTTAAAAATTATTTATGATTTTAAGCACATGAAAGGCGTATCATGTACCCAGGGAGGGCATAATGGGGAACAGCTGGCTAACATGTGTCTCGCCATTTCTGAGGTTGTTCATAATTCTCTGATATCCAAGAATGACAGTAATAATGATGCCACTGCTGATTGTATTAATAATAATAAAGAGGATTGGGGTGTCTTTCCTGAATCCTGCCGAAGTAAAGAGGAGAGCCTGGGCTGCTGGGTTTGGCCAGGGTGGAAAGGGGCACTACAGCCTACTTTCTTCTCAGGGGCAGTCCATGGAGCCCAGCCAAGGATCAAAGGATGTTAGGTTGAAGTAAAGGGCTCCAGAAGGGGAAGGCAGGAAGCCTGGGCTCCTGGCATGATTTTACCACTGACTGTGGCCATTCCCAGCCCCTCTGAGTCTCAGTGTTCTCATCTATAAGGTAGAGATGCTAATCCTACCTGGCAGGCACACCTGACAGAGTTTGTATGGACCGTGGATGAAATGATGCTCAGGGAAGTGCTGGGTACACTGCAAAACATTCCATACATGGAAGGGTTTGTTATCATCCTTGTGTTTCTCCAGGGCTTACCACAATCAACCACCAAGCTCAGGACTGGACATCTAGGAGGTACCCAGAGATGCTTGTGCCATGAATGAATGTTTCTTTTTCATTAAATGTTCAGAGCCATGGAGTGGTAGCCTTGGACAATACTTTTTAAAGTATTTAGTCCAGTTCTCTCTTTTATAATTTGTTAGGTGAGTCTGGAGTAGCGCTCAGTCTAAGGCAGATTATCCTCCATTGCCGAGTCATCTGAGCACACTACCCAGTGCCCTGTGAATCAGGGAATTTTCCTGTACAGCTGGTGGGCATAAGTGCTGTTCCCTTTCAGACAGTTCTCTCTCCAGTCTTGGGTACTTTCCTCACACTCATGGGCTAAATACTCACAGGGGACCTTCTGTAGCTCTCTGGGGTGCTCTGTCCTGTGAACTCTAGTTGTCTTGCTCTCCCCAGACTTAGAGCTCAGTCTTCTCAACTCAGGGAGTTTCTTGGGCTCCACCTCTCTCCCCTCCTCTCCCAAGGCAGCGAGCTGGACTCACAGGGCTCCCCTTGTCTGTCTCCCATCTCTCAGGGATCACTGCCTTTCATTGCCTGATGTCCAGTATCTTGAAAATCATTATTTCATGTATTTTGTTTGGGTGTTTTGGTTGTTTTAGGCAGGAGAGTAAATGGGTCCCTGTTACTCCATCATGGTAGGAAGTAGAGTTTCCCTTGTTTTCCCTTCGGAGATGAAGAAGCTGGGAGAAGGGTATGACTTGCTCAAAGCTGCACATCTCATTGGTGTCAGCAAAGAGGCAGCCTCCTGTCCCCACTGTGTGCCAGCACACAGGCAGGGTCCCTGCTCTCCGTAAGTCCATGGTTTGTTGGGCAGACAGACAAATCAACTGAGAATTTGAGACAGATGCTTAAGTCAAGGAAAGCAAACCACAATGTATTTTATGAGGCGGGTATTCATCCACAGGGTACCAAGGAAGCATGGAAGGAAGTGAGAGGGCAAGGAAGGGCTCCTGGGAGGGTTGGCACATGAGCCTTGCGGTGAAGGAGAGGCAGGAGTCATCCAGGCGGGAGAGGAGGGAAGAAGTCTCAGGAACAGGTAACACACACAACAGCTCGGAGACAGGAAGCAGGTCCCTCGCCTCAAGACCAGTGTGTATGGTGTGTACTACGGGGGAGACCTATGTGTGTTTTATTGTGGATATGAACCTGCTCCATCCCCCGACAGAGTCCCTGAAGTCTGGAAATTTCTTCCAACACAAGTCTGCTGTGGTGTTTCAGCCTGGGGATGTTTGTGTAGGGTCTTGTTCAGGGCTATGCAGTTGATGTTACCATGAGGTTTCTGGTGGGACTCTGGCCTTCCACACTCTTGAAGGCAGCCAACAATATTCCTTTCAGTGATATGGAGCATCCTCCATCAAGAAACAGTTGAAACTTACCCCAGTCCCACTCCTGGTCCCAGTAAAAACAGCGTGGGAGCCCACTCCCTTTAGCCCGTTTCTCTAGGTGAGCCCTAGCAGATCTATTGCCAAGGTGAGGCTCAGGAACTGCCTGGAGGTTCTCAGCTGAACGTCTGCCAGAGCCAGACCCTGAAACAATTGATGGGTTAGAAATCTGCATCAACTTCTGTGGGATCGGTGGTGATATCCCCTTTATCATTTTTTATTGCGTCTATTTGATTCTTCTCTCTTTTTTTCTTTATTAGTCTTGCTAGCGGTCTATCAATTTTGTTGATCCTTTCAAAAAACCAGCTCCTGGATTCATTAATTTTTTGAAGGGTTTTTTGTGTCTCTATTTCCTTCAGTTCTGCTCTGATTTTAGTTATTTCTTGCCTTCTGCTAGCTTCTGAATGTGTTTGCTCTTCCTTTTCTAGTTCTTTTAATTGTGATGTTAGGGTGTCAATTTTGGATCTTTCCTGCTTTCTCTTGTGGGCATTTAGTGCTATAAATTTCCCTCTACACACTGCTTTGAATGCGTCCCAGAGATTCTGGTATGTTGTGTCTTTGTTCTTGTTGGTTTCAAAGAACATCTTTATTTCTGCCTTCATTTCGTCATGTACCATCATTCTCAGTAAACTATCGCAAGAACAAAAAAGCAAACACTGCATATTCTCACTCATAGGTGGGAATTGAACAATGAATCACATGGACACAGGAAAGGGAACATCACACTCTGGGGACTGTTGTGGGGTGGGGGGAGGGGGGAGGGATAGCATCGGGAGATATACCTAATGCTAGATGACGAGTTAGTGGGTGCAGCGCACCAGCATGGCACATGTATACATATGTAACTAACGCACAATGTGCACATGTACCCTAAAACTTAAAGTATAATTTAAAAAAAAAAAAAAAGGCAGGAATCATAAAAAAAAAAAAAAAAAAAGAAATCTGCATCAACTAAATGCAGGCATTCCTGGCCCCGTGGGTGCTGCACTCCTGGCCCCGTGGTTGCTGCACTCCTGGCCCCGTGGATGCTGCACTCCTGGGTGCCTTTGCACTTGGTAGGGGCAGGAGGGGGAGGCTTTTGGCCTATCAGAGGCCTTAGGCTTTTGGCTCACCTCTAGCCTGGTTTATTTCTACCAAAACCAGACCAGTTGTCTTATGACTGTTTGGATCCCAGTCTGGGCTCCTCCAGTGACAGCAACTGCTGTCATCAATGCTGGTTCTCCAGAGATTTCTCATTCATTCATTCATAAAACAATAGGGAACATTTTGGACAGTATCCTGTCCTCATGGGATTATGGTTTGGTAGGGATGGCTGGACATTCATCAATCACTCAAATAAGTATAAAATTACAACTGTGATAAGTGTTATAAAAAAAGGAATTAGGGCTTATGAAATACAGTGAAGGTGGGACTTGCCATTGTTTGGAAGCCAAAAAAGGCTTTTTCCCAGGAAGTGACAATAACACGAGACCTCAGTGTGAACAGAGCTTGGTGAGCCAGCGGGTAGGGGGTGGTGAGGTGGGAGCCATAGGGGCGAGATGTGCCCAGCTCAGCCAGTGTCTGGGTGCAGTCAGCAGGAACTACACGGAAAGGTCAATATGGAGACTTCTACAGGTTCCATGGGATGTGTTAAGAGTTTTGGTCTTTTTCCTAAGAGCAGTGGGTGACTGTTGAAGGCTTTTTAATGAGGAGGCAAGAAGATTAGATTTTTGCTTCAGAAACCTCACTTGGGCTCCAGTGTAGAGACTGAATTGGAGGTGGGCAAGAGTAGAAATGTCAGATAGAACACAGGATGCCTAGTTAAATTTCAATTTCAGATAAACAATGCATACTTTGTTAGTATATGTCCCAAATACCACATGGGATATAATTACATTTAAAATTTATTGTTTTAACTGTATTTTTAAAAAGTTTTAAGTAGGTTGCAAATATTGCATGGGACCTAATTATGCTAAAGATTATTCATTGTTTATCTGAAATTCACATTTAATTTGACATCTTGTATTTTTATTTGTTCGATCTGGCAACCCTTAGCAAGAGAAAATGTGGAGAGACTGGTTATAGACCAGTTATTGTTGTAAACTACTAAAAGATGTTTAGGTTAGGTAGCAGAGGTGGAGACGGAGAGGAGTGGACAGAAAAGGAATAGTCCTGGTTGGTCCAAATCTGCCATTGAAAGGCATCTGGAGGACAGAGTCCATCAGCTTCCCTCCCACTCTGAAACTAATTACCGCACACATGCCATTTAAAGACACGTGGGTATGGTATGGTGAACTCCATAGTCTCAGTGCAGGTCAGGTGCCTGGTCAGAACCTGCACTGAATGGCCTATAAGAGGTGTGCTGTGACAGTGTGAGGTGGTCTTCTTTCTGTCTCCATCCCTCCAGGCCAGAGACACCTGAGAGGTGAGTTCTGTGCATTGCAGTGACTAATGTGTGTGAAGGAGAGGTTTGGTAGAAAGGTCAAGACCTTACGACAATAGAGGCAATATTGTAAGTTGTACACTGCTTTTCCCATGACAACTCACATTTTACAAATCAAACAGTGGAGTAAAGCAGTCAAGAACACGGGCTTTGCCAGGGGTTTTAAACCCCATCGGTTATTAGCTTGTCTACACTATCTGTGTGATCTTGGCTGAGATACTTAACTCTCTTGGCTTTGCAACATATTTTAAGATTAGCACTAAAGTACATTGAAAGCCAGGCCCACAGGAGATGCTTAGTAAATCGTATATGCTACTAGAATCAACAGTCTCCTTGTTTCGGAAGGCAGGCTTACTCTTCGTCTTCTTACACAACTCACTTGATTATCTTCTTAATTCACAGCTCTGGTTTTGTCACTGTTCACACTGTTCAGTGTCTTCCACTGCCTTGTGTAGCAGATCTCCATGCACTCATCTCAGTTTGCCCCAACTGAGTTTCATGGAGATCTGCTGCACAAGGCAACAGAAGATTGTTGCACATGAAGATTGTCACTATTGCCCGTCAGAACCCCTTTGTCCAAGCAAACCAGCCCGTGTAAACCTCCTTAAACATAGCTTGAACTTTCCACTTTTTTGTTTGCCTAGAATATCTTTTCCTGTATCTGTTTAAGCCTTATTAATCAAAACTATTTATAAGTGAATGTTAACAGAAATATGAACCAAAACAAGATATAAAACTTATATATAAAATGAGATAAATGCCTGTCACTGGGGAAATGGCTAAACAAATTAGTATTCATGTCTACTGTGTAATACTACGCATCCATTACAGTAGCTGTATGGAAACTGTCCTGGAAAGATATCTATGATATGATGCTAAATGAAAAAAAAGCAAATTATAGAGGAATATGTGAAGTAGGGTCACAGTTGCTTAGGAAGGAACCTAGTTCTATCTATATGGAAAGAGTAGGGATTAAATATATTCCAAACGGTTAAGTGAGGTTCCTTTTGGAGAGGAGGGTGGGAATTGAGTTGGAAGTCAAAGGAAACTCCTAACGTTTAGTTAATATACTTTAATGTTTTAAGCTTGTTCGTTTACCTGAACTGTGTTAATTTTGTAATTGAAATTAAATCAAAATGCATAGAAAAAGGTTTAGAAGAACTAAATAAACTGTGGTTATGTTTCAGTTGTTAGACTGGGGAGGCTCTTGCCCTGTCCTTACTTATCATTATTTTATTAAAGAACAAAATGGTAATGGAAGAAGATTACCCTTCTGCCAAATCCAACTGAAATGCTACTCCCTCAACGAATATGTTTCTAATTCCTCAACTGAATGTGCTGCCTCCTTTCTTTGAACCCTCAAAGTACTTTATATATCTTTTGTGGCATTTTCTCATCCTATCTTAGTGAGTATTTCAGGTGCCCAAGTATGAAGACAAGTATTTCATACCAGTCTTACTGCCCCTCTGCATTGAAGTAACGTGAAGCTATCATGGTAGAGAAGGAAATAGGATTTTGAGTCAGAGCGTCTGGATGTTGCCTCTTATTCTGGATGTCTATTGCAGCCTGACAGATTAGCCCACACTTAGTAGCCTAAAGCAACAGTCATTTCATTTTATCTCATGATTTTTTGTTCAGGAACTTGGGCAGAGCTGGGCTGGGTGATTATTCTGCTTCATGTGGTGTTGACTGGGGTCACTTGGTGGTAGCCAGCTTGGAGGTGGGATGGACGGGAGGGTTCAGGAAGGCTTTAGTTGTATGCCTGCTGCTTGGCAGGGCAGCTGGAAGACTGGGCTCAGCTGAGTGCCTTTCCCTTACTGGGTACTCTCAGGACGCCTCCGTAGACTTCTTATGGTGTGATTCAGGGCTTCAAGGGATAAGGCGGACCAAGGCTGAGGCTGCCTGTCTTCTAAAGCAGTGGTCCCCAACCTTTTTGGCACCAGGGACTGGTTTCACGGAAGACAATATTTCCATGGACCAAGGGTAGGGGTGGTGGTGGCAGGGATGGTTTCAGGATGAAACTGTTCCACTTCAGATCATCAGGCATTAGATTCTCATAAATAACACGCAACCTAGATCCCTCACATGTGCAGTTCACAATAGGGTTCACGCTCCTATGAGAATCTAATGCCATCACTGATCTGACAAGAGGCAGAGCTCAGGCGGTAATGCTTGCTCACCCACCACGCACCTCCTGTTGTGTGGTCCAGTTCCTAACAGGCCATGGACCAGTACCGGTCAGTTTGTGGCCCCGGGGATTGGGGACCCCTGTTCTAAAGGATGGAACTGGCATAGTATCACTCCTGCTATACTCCACTGGTTAAACATCCACAGATCCAATGCAGATTCAAGGGGGGTGGGAACAGAGATGCTACCTCTTAAAAGAATATGTGTGAAAAATCTGTGGCCATCATCAATTTATCACAGCTTTGCTATGAGAAATACAACTTCTGTGTCTCAATGACTCCATTTGCAGGTTATAAAGATCCAAAGCTATAATGTGTGCAAAGCATGCTATGCATTATAAAAAAAACAGTATGCACTATAAATATTAACAATTACCTTGGTACTAAATCTATGCCTTACTCAAGGCAGGTACTCATTAAATGTTTAATACTTTGAAAGCAAACTCATTTAAACACAGATATTTCCTAAGAAAAACATAAAGAACGGGATGCTGGATGATCACATAGAAGCGTGGCGCAGTTTTAGAGTATAGACTTTGGATTAGGTTGACATGAGTTAAATCCAAGCTCTGTCACCCAGTTCCTATCTATGTGGCCTTTGTTAATTCGCCTCACCTCTCTGAGCCTTAATTGCCTCATCATATGGAAATAGTATTACCTACCCAGCAGGGTTGCTGTAAGCATTGGAGTTAATTTGTGTCAAGCACCTACTAGGGTCACATTGTAGGTGTGCAGTTTTTCTAAGATGATATCGAGTCATATAGAAAGTTTGTACTCCTCACTTATTTCTCTACACTGCTCACCTCCATGAGCTCAAAGGATTGAGAGGAGTCAGGAGTCCAGGTCCTTGTGAGAGCACTGGGGAAAAGGGAAAGGCCCTCCTTCTTGTTTCTCCCAGTCTCTTCCTCTCTCCAATGTTCACCTCTGGGAATCTGTGTCCATGCAGCTTTTTTTTGTGAAGCCATTCCTCTCTGCTGGAAGTGGCCCCCTTTTCAGACCTGTGGCTCTTCCTTTCATAGATGTACGAGATCAAAGCAGGAGGCAGCATTGCAAAGAAGTTCAGCGCGGCTCTGCAGAAGCTGAGCTCGCACCTGCAGCCCCGAGTTCCAGAACACAGCAACAACAAGATGAAAAACCTCTCCTACCCATTCTCCAGGGAGAAGATGTACCTGTGAGTATTGAAGCTGCTGGAGCAGAGATGTGGGAAGGGATAGGAAGGAAAATTGAATACTGTTCTATGACTCAGCCCTGGGGCTCCCAAAGTGGGTGCCCCAGTGCCTGGGAGAGAGAGTAGGAAGCATGCTCTCATGGTGACATTGTCCCTGTGCCTGCTTTGTGAACCCCCTCCCCATGTGAGATTGTCCCAAACAGCCAAGGGTGCTTGTCCAGCAGGAAATCCACCATTTCACCATTTTGCAGGATGGAGGGCAAACCAGGGAGCAGCCAACAATAAACTTTGGAACTGTGTGAGAAAGTGGTCAGACACCTGTGTATCTTCTGTAGGAAAACCTTCTGCCCAATTGCCAGTCTAATAGGGTTTCAACAGGATATGATAAACCAGAAAGAAGGTGGATGAAGCTTCTGGGTTTCTGGATTCCAGCTGCCTACTTGTACACTCATTGACTCTCAGGGGTCTTTCCCTGTCCCTGCACCCTGCCTAGGAAGAGTGAATAAAAGCTCTTCACAGAGATAGCCACTTGGAAACGTTTGGAAGGGGGAGCCACAGCTGGGAAGTGGGAGATGCAGCCGCCAAGCATCAACTTTGCTCTAGGAGCTAAGGAGAAAATAAACAACCATCGAGGGTGATGAGAAAATGGAGCAAGAGAGGGAAAGGCCGGGGCATGGAAGGGCAGAGAGGACAGAAAGAAGGACCTTCTCATTTTAGGAGGTGGAAGTTGTGGAGCAGTGTTTCTGCTGTCCATAAGAGACCATCTCCTATCCATCTCTGCTGTGTTTGATATTATCCTACACACATGAATATGCTGTTTCATTTGCATATATTTACCCTCTCATTGAGTCCTCATGTCCCCTTGCGTGGTGGCGGGCCAGATCTAACTATCTTCTATTATAGATACCAAAGTCTAGGTCCATCCAGGGTCATACCGCCCTAAGTGGCTGAGCTGGGCCTTGCATGGTGACTGGTGGCTTGCTGCTCTTTCTGTGTCCTGTGGTGCTTCCCTGCATCCCCTTCCCTGGGCCTTCATTTATGCTGGTGCTGGCATCTGAATGGTCACTTCACATGCACCTCCGTTCGTTTTACTTCTGTTGTCCTTCAAGACTGGTTCATCAACACCTTCCTTTTGAAGGATATTCTGCTCTTCCCAACCAGAAGCACGCGCTTCACCCTCTGAACTTTCATAGCAATGGTCTGCATGTTACTATGTTCTACTCTGTGTCAGTTACTTGGAGAAATGTACCTTCCAGTGACTGGGGCTCCTGGGGTGCTGGGAGCGTATTTCCTTCCTTCATCAGTGCATCCTCTAGCACAGCTTCCTCAGCATGACAAACATGCCCCATGTGCTATTTTCTGAGTGAAAGCTCAGTATATGAAGTTAAAAACAGACCCAGCCCTTGCATAATTAAGATTTTTCTAATGGATGAGATGACAGTGACATTAAATCAAATTTTGAAGAATCAGAGTGATAATCCAACACCCTGAAATGATACCCTTTTTGTTTTGTATTTTTCACTGTCTTTGTTCATGCACCAGTATCTTTTCTACATACTTTCCATTTGGAACCTTATCATCATATAATATTTTTCTAACATGGTGTAATCTTTTTCTTTACACAAAGTTTTCATAATTATAAATTTCAATGACTGCATGATACCCTATCCTATAGATTTGGGCATTGCATCTTATTGCTATAATCTTTGTTATAAATACCTTTTCAATAAGCATTTTTATTTATGTTATTTTTCTTTCCTTGTGTTGAGTTTCTTCCCTAAGATAAATTTCTAGAATACGTTTTTAGAATTACTGAGTCAAGAAGGGCATAAACATCGTGTGTGTGTGCACCTCATAAGTCTTGCTATGTTGCTTTCTAAAGATTTGTTGTGGGTCTGGGGTGGCAGTGGTCTCAGGGCAAGGGTAATGAAATGAATTTGCCATCTGCTCTCTTGGTGTCTCCAGGTACAACATCCAGGAAAAGGACACCTTCTTTGATAATGCCACCCGCAGCCGCATTGTAAGTAAATGGATGTACTGTGTTAGGAAAGAGGATGGGGAAAGGGCTGAGTTCCTAGTTGGCAGGGCATTCTCTTACCCTCCCTGCCACCTCACACCGTTATTTGCTTGGAGTTGCCTAGCAACAGAGAAGAGTATGCAAGAGCTTCCCCATTCCCCAAAAGAAACAGCAAATAACTGCCCTCACTCGTGGTTTAAGAGGAGCGTCTTCTCTTTATGGGTTCTCCATTAAAGTTCTTCTTAGAAAAAAAAGAAAAACAGAGAAGGTCATAGTTGGTGCGGGTGTTAGTTAGGTGAACCCCTTGATTTACAATTGAGGAAACTGAGGCTCTGAGAAGCAATGCATTGAAAAAAAATTATATAGATCGTTAGCGTCAGAACAAGGATCGTTAGCGTTAGAACTAGTCCTTCTGATTGTTGGGCCACTGTGTTTGTTTATGCATTTTCCCTTCTTTCAACTCCCATGACAGAGTCATGTGAATTTCTATAACAAGGAATGCTAGTTAGCCAATTTGCGCAAGAATAATATCACCAGCCCATTCAATAGAAAGCCAACGCTTGTGACCGTAGCTCTTCTTCTACAGTCGTTTTGCCTTCATGTCAAGTGTTTGAATTTTGTAGGATGATTGGTTCTAATAAAAATCTGCATATGGCCTGTGTTTCTGTGGCCTCTGCATGAGCTGTAGAACATCTTCATTCACCGATCAGTTTATTCTCTATCACCCTAGAGGTCACATAGCCTATGGGCAGAAGAGAGAAAGAGGGGCCCAAGGAATGCCAGAAACTTACACATGCCCACATGGGACGTATGGAAGTGCATTTCCATTGATCCTTACCAAAGAACTGAAGTTTCCACAGGAGGAATGAGGATTAGATACCTAGAAGGATCTCCCAGCTAATAGGGTGGTAAGAAAATATATGAATAAGAAGGGACAGGTGATTAGAGGAGGCTAGGCTATTTCCCAGGCACACTGCAAACATGGCGTTAACTCTTACTTGCAGGATGGGCAAGGACATCTCAGATCCCTTAGCCTAGTGTTTTAGGCAGAGTTAAAATGGGCATAGATCTCTTTTTTTTTCCAATGGAAAAAGGCATTAACGTCCCATTTTCTTGGTTGATGCTATTACAAACCAATTAAATCTCACTGTGGCTTGGGTCCCACGACTGTGGGGGAGTTATAAGGTGTTGTGGAGATTACTCGATAATTGCAAAGTACTCGTAAAATAATACAATGCCATATAAGTGCTGTTCCTAATTATTATTGCTGTTGAATTACTGCACTATATTAGGAGCAGAATTAAACACTCTTGGGCCCCGTAGTTATTTATTTACCACTCCCTTTAGGCTGTGGCTGGAATATGGGAATGTAAATAATGATGGAATAACACTTCTTCTAGCATTCATCTCTCCTTCTGGAAGCATCTTCCTTTCCTCAGTCCACCCCACATTGAGAACAGGGGAAAAGAGCCTTGAGTTTTTTCCTGGGGTCTATTCTGCCCTGGACTTTGGTTGGAGGACCTCACCCACATCTGTGGATGTCTCCTCTGTGCCTGCTTCTTTGTGGGTGTCTGAGCACCTCAGCTGTTTGTTGCAAAGCAGACTTCATTGCTGGGCATCTCTTTATAGACTGGCATAGGCTGGGAACTCAGGAGGTCACTCGTTGGCCAGCAGGTTTACACTGACCCACCTTTGTCCCTCCCTGATTCTTTTGTGGGAAGCACCCCTTTCCTCCCATGTAAGAAACACAGTCCCCTGCAGGCCCCATAGGCCAGGGGATTCTGTAGGCTGTTTTGGGCATGTAGGGCTTCAGGCAGGCAAAGCCACTGAGTCGGCAGCTGCTGTGTGCCTAGGACTGTGCTCTAAGACATGAATCTTCAAGGAAGTGTATGATATGCTCTGATCAGGGAGGCAAGATGAGGACCCAGGAAAAAACCAGAGAAATAAAGACATCAATGACCAACATAGAGGTAGCTCCTTTGCTGTTGCAGAGCACTTTCCTGTGCACGGTCTGGCTGGCGTCCCCGAGCAGGTGGGCGAGATGGCCCCATTACAGATGCAAGCTGACCCTCTTGGCGTTTGCTCAGGACCCTCTGCACCTACCTCCACGTTCGGAGCTTTCTGCTACCACACTGGCTCTCCCTGTCAGCCGGGCTCCAGGCTGGGGGAGGGGGCCCGCCCCTCCCCGGGACCCGCCAGACAGAACCCCGCCTTCCCTGAGGTTCCCCGACGTGGGCGGCAGACACTGTGCCCTACTCCACAGACCCAGGGCTTCCTCCCAGCCCTCCCGAGGCTATGTGGTCTGGGGTGGGCTCCTCTGTTTTCCTTACTTCCTGTGACTGCCGTCCATTTCTAGCCTTTTATTCATTTGTTTTTCTCAGGGTGGGGCGAAGGGGCGGGGGATGTGTGCGCGGGCCTTACATCCCTTGTTTCCTCAAAGTCCTCAAGTCTGAGTGGGGTTGATGTGCGGGCCATGAGCCAGGCACATGCTTGGCTTCGTCCTGGCTCCAAATGAGCCCGGGCGCCTCCCGCCCCTGCCAGGCAGTGGTGAGGGTGACACACGGTGGAGGGCGGGGGGGAACTAGGAGCTCACAGCTCTGCTGTCGTCCCCTTTTAGGTGCACGAGATCCTGAAGCGCACAGCCTGCTCCCGAGCCAACAACACGATGGGTAAGGACCCCAGCCCGCGGGCAGGGTGCTGACGGGCGCTGAGGCGGCTCCCGCCCCGTGCTTTCAACAGCTCCCTTGGTCGGCAGCAAAGAACAAAACAAGCAAATGCCCCCCACGGAGAGGCTGCTTAGCTTGGGCTGAGAAGCCTGCCTTGGCCCCAGGAGCAGCGGGGGTCCCATTTCTCAGTGGGGCTGCCCCCAGGCTGTTGTAACTTCTCCCAGGCCCTCCTCCCAGGTCTCCGGGCTTTCTCTTTCTCTTTTCCCTGTACCGCCCACACCTGCCACTTTATCCGGATAATTCTGCGGCTCCTCTGTTTTTCACCATTTCCAATAGTTTCTAATAACCCAAGAAAAGCGTCTTAGAGGTCCTTTAGTCCAGCCTTCTCATATTATGTAAGAAGAGACGAACCTCCAGAGAGGGGTCATGACTGTCCTAAGCCCACACAGCACGTGATAGCTGAGTCTGAGTGAGCCTCTTCTAACTTCAGCATTCTTCTCACCATATCCGGCTGAATCTGTTTGCCCTGTGGTTTGTTTCTTAAATATTAGGGTAATTGTCTTGGAAGCATTTGGGACCAAGTATAAGGCAGGCAGTATAAGGCAGGCAGTCCAGATCCTGACGGATTGTGTGGAAGACATCTGTGATGGCCCAGGTACAATGTGAGCTGTGCCCATAACCCCATGAGACTGCTTTTTCGAAAAATGTGCCAAAAAGTCACGCACAAACACCTTTTGCACAGGAGTCATTCTTGCATGTTGAACCCTTGTTCCCAAGGTGCTGCCATCTCCAAGTGGCATCTGACAGCTTTGGGAGAGCTGCCTTCAGAATGCGCTCTGGGATGGCAAATCTTTGGCTTTTGAGGCAGCTTTAGGTTGAAAAGAGTTCAGAGTCATTTGGAGTCCTGTCTACTGAATAGAGGAGGTGATCAGGCTCAGGAATAACAATGATAATGATGATGTTAGCTAGCTAATATTTGAGAGTGTGTTGTGGGGCTTGTAAGCTGCCTGGGTACCCAGGGCACAGTGCTGGAGAAGGAATCAGAATGGGTTTTATGCCATGATAGTCTTTTTAGAATAGTGCTTAACCTCTCAACAGGGCAATTATGTTTGCTTGAATTTGCTTTGCTATATTCATCTTGCTACAAGATTCCAAATAACAATGCACTTTTTAAAAATCAGACCTTCCATGTTATGTTATTTGTCTGGAACACGGTGCTGATGAGGCGAGGCTGAGTAAGTGGGTGAGAGAATTAGCTTAAAAAACAGAGAAATTTTATATATACATATCAAGGATATATATATATATATATATATATATATATATATATATATGAGTTTATTAAGCATTAGCCCACCGACTCAAATGTTAATCTCCTTTGGCAACACCCTCTCAGACACACCCAGGATCAATAGTTTGCATCTTTCAGTCCAATCAAGTCGACACTCAGTATTAACCATCACGAATCCACCCATTGTCAACTTGAACCCATACACATCTCCTGAGATCATACATAATCTTCAAATAAAAGCAATAATAAGGTCATAATTACACCTAACGTAATACAACTATCCTTCGTACAACCGGAAATGCACTCATCCCCAATCCAAATACTATTACATAAAGTTAACAATACCTAAATGCTGATATGAGGTCAATAAATCTTATGTCACTTGATAAAGGAAAAAGGAAATAAAATGAAGATATTTCTTAGTGCAAGTGTATACATGCACAAACATGTTTTTAACAAAAGAAGGAAATACTCATGACAATTGGCAGTCCTCGTTTCTGCAGCTGGTCATGTGGTCGTAGCTGGTGTTGATGACTACCTTCTTCACTAAACATTCTGTATTCCCTTTGCCTTCAGGAAGCACCTCAGCAGGTCGTGGTTTTCTTCCTGGTGGAGTGACCCAAACCATTCCTGAGGGGTCTGGGCCATTTGTATTCCTGCCTGGATTGGGCTGTTGTGGTTTCCCATTGACCTTAATCACAGGGCATGATAATACTAAGAGATGCCCTAACGAATCTCCTGTATTGCATGTACACTCTTCCTTACCTCTGTTGTGGAGTAGTAGACTGATTTCATCTTGATGGTCTGGGTCAATCACCCCAGCCAACACTGTAATTCCCTCCTTAGCCTGTTGACTTAAAGGTAGGAGGAGCCCAAAGTGTCCAGGTGGCAATCTTAACTTCCAGTTTAATGGAATTGTTGTTGTGTCTCCTGGTGGCAGCATTCCTCCCTCTGAAACTAAGATCTCTAGGCCAGCAGAACGTAATGCTGTGGGAACAGGAAGCAAAAATTTTGCTAGTGGATCACTAGGGGCGATGGTGAGTGGTGCCACTTCCACTTCAGTGCCTTGATTCTTGGACCCGTGAATCCTGGCTATGGGAGAAACAGTACCATATATTGGATGGTGATTCAGAGCATACATGGCCTTCTGGGGAACTTTGTCCCAGCCCAGCAAAGTATTGTCACCTAGTTGGTGTTGCAATTGTGACTTCAAAAGGCCATTCCACCATTCTGTCAATCCAGCTGCTTCAGGATGATGGGGAACATGGTAAGACCAGTGAATTCCATGAGCATGAGTCCACTGCCACACTTCTTTAGCTGTAAAGTGAGTGCCTTGGTCAGATGCAATGCTGTATGGAATACCATGATAGTGGATAAGACATTCTATGAGTCCACGGATGGTAGTTGATATGGTTTGGCTGTGTCCCCCTGCCAAAACTCAACTTGAATTGTATCTCCCAGAATTTCCACATGTTGTGGCAGGTACCCAGGGGGAGGTAATTCAATCATGGGGGCTGTTCTTTCCCATGCTATTCTTGTGATAGTGAATAAGTCTCACGAGATCTGATGGGTTTATCAGGGGTTTCCACTTTTGCTTCTTCCTCATTCTCTCTTGCTGCCACCATGTAAGAAGTGCCTTTCCCCTCCCACCATGATTCTGAGGCCTCCCAGCCATGTGTAACTGTAAGTCCTTTTTCTTCCCAGTCTCGGGTATGTCTCTATCAGCAGCATGAAAATGGACTATTACAGTAAATTGGTACCAATAGAGTGGGGCATTGCTGAAAAGATACCCCAAAAATGTGGAAGCAACATTGGAACTGGGTAACAGGTGGAGGTTGGAACAGTTTGGAGGGCTCAGAAGAAGGAAAATGTGGGAAAGTTTGGAACTTCCTAGAGACTTGTTGAATGGCTTTGCTCAAAATGCTGATAGCAATATGGACAATAAGGTCCAGGCTGAGGTGGTCTCAGATGGAGGGGAGGAACTTGTTGGGAACTGGTGTGAAGGTGACTCTTGTTATGTTTTAGCAAAGAGACTGGTAGCATTTTGCCCCTGCCCTAGATATCAGTAGAACTATGAACTTGACAAAGATGGTTTAGGGTATCTGGCAGAAGAAATTTCTAAGCAGCAAAGCATTCAAGAGGCGACTTGGGTGCTGTTAAAAGCATTCAGTTTTATAAGGGAAGCAGAACATAAAAGTTTGGAAAATTTGCAGCCTGACTATATGATAGAAAAGAAAAACCCATTTTTCTGGGGAGAAATTCAAGCTGGCTGCAGAAATTTGCATAAGTAGCAAGGAGCCTAATGTTAATCCCCAAGACCATGGGGAAAATGTCTCCAGGCCATGTCAGGGACCTTCACAGCAGCTTCTCCCATCACAGACCCAGAGGCCCAGGAGGAAAAAATGGTTTCATGGGCTGGGCCCAGGGTCCCTGTGTTGTGTGCAGCCTAGGGACTTGCTGCCCTGTGTTCCAGCCGCTCCAGCTGTGGCTGAAAGGGGCCAACATACAGCTCAGGCTGTGGCTTCAGAGGACGGAAGCCCCAAGCCTTGGCAGCTTCCATGTAGTGTTGAGCCTGCAGGTGCACAGAAGTCAAGAATTGAGGTTTGGGAACCTCTGCCTAGATTTCAGAAGATGTATGGAAACGCCTGGATGTGCAGGCGAAAGTTTGCTGCAGGGGTGGGGCCCTCATGGAGAACCTCTGCTAGGGCAGTGTGCAGGGGAAATGTGGGGTTGAAGCTTCCACACAGAGTCCCTACTGGGGCACTGCCTAGTGGAGCTATGAGAAGAGGGCCACCCTCCTCCAGAACCCAGAATAGTAGATCCACTGACAGCTTGCGCTGTGTGCCTGGAAAAGCTGCAGACACTCAGTGCCAGTCCATGAAAGCAGCCAGGAGGGAGGCTGTACCCTGCAAAGCCACAGGGGTGCAGCTGCCCAAGACCATGGGAACCAACATCTTGCATCAGCGTGACCCAGAGTCAAAGGAGATCATTTTGGAGCTTTAAAATTTTACTGCCCTGCTTGATTTCAGATGTGCATTGGCCCTGTAACCCCTTTGTTTTGGTCAATTTCTCCCATGTGGAATGGCTGTATTTACCAAATACCTGTACCCCCATTTTATCTCGGAAGTAACTAGCATGCTTTTGATTTTACAGGCTCATAGGCAGAAGGGACTTGCCTTATCTCAGATGAGACTTTGGACTGTGGACTTTTGGGTTAATTCTGAAATGAGTTAAGACTTTGGAGGGAAGGCATGATTGTGGACTTTTGGGTTAATTCTGAAATGAGTTAAGACTCTGTTGGGAAGGCATGATTGGTTTTGAAATGTGAGGACATGAGATTTGGAAGAGCCAGAGGTGGAATGATATGGTTTGGCTGTGTCCCCCTGCAAATCTCAACTTGAATTGTATCTCCCAGAATTCCCATGTGTTGTGGGAGGGACACAGGGTGGGTAATTGAATCATGGGGCCTGTTCTTTCCCATGCTATTCTCATGATAGTGAATAAGTCTCATGAGATCTGATGGGTTTATCAGGGGTTTCTGCTTTTGCTTCTTCCTCTTTCTCTCTTGCCCTCTTGCCACTGCCATGTAAGAAGTGCCTCCCTCCATGATTCTTGGGCCTCCCCAACCATGTGGAACTGTAAGTCTAATTAAACCTCTTTTTCTTCCCAGTCTGAGGTATATCTTTATCAGCAGTGTGAAAATGGACTAATACAGTAGTCTTGGCAGAAGCATTGCGTACAGGATAGGAAAACCCATACCCTGAGTAAGTGTCTGTTCTAGTGAGGACAAACCTCTGCCCTTTCCATGATGGAAGAGGTCCAAAATAATCAACCTGCCATCATGTAGCTGGTTGATCACCCCCAGGAATGGTGCCATATTTAGGGCTCAGTGTTGGTCTCTGCTGCTGGCAAATTGGGAAGTCAGCAGTGGCTGTAGCCAGGTCAGCCTTGGTGAGTGGAAGTCCATGTTGCTAAGCCCATGTGTAACCTCCATCCCTGCCACCATGGCCACTTTGTTCATGGGCCCATTGAGCAATGACAGGGGTGGCTGGGGAAAGAGGTTGAGTAGTGTCCACAGAATAGGTCATCCTGTCCACTCCACTGCTGAGGTCACCCGCTGGTGAACACTCACATGGGATACAAATATCTTCACAGTTTTTGACCACTCAGAGAGGTCCATCTACATACCTCTTCCCCAGATTTGTTTGTCACCAATTTTCCAATCATGCTTCTTCCAAGTCCCTGACCATCCAACCAAACCATTGGCTACAGCCCGTGAATCAGTATATAATTGCACATCTGGCCATTTCTCCTTGCTTGCAAAGTGCACAACCAGGTGCACTACTCGAAGTGCCCACTGGGAAGATTTCCCTTCACTGCTGTCCTTAGGGATGTCCTAGAAAGGGGCTGTAGTGCTGCTGCAGCTGTCCACTTTTGGGTGGTGCCTGCGTATTGTGCAGACCCATCTGTGAACCAGGCCTGAGTCTTCTCTTCCTCTGTCAACTGATCATAGGGAGCTCCCCACGAGACCATTGGTGTAGACTGGGGAAGAGACGGCAGGGTGGCAGGAATGAAGACCATGAGCATTTGAGCCACTTTCTCATGTAACTTACTTGTGCTTTCAGGACCTGCTTGAGCCCAATCACATATATACCACTTACGTTTGATGATGGAATGCTGCTGTTCATGACCCACTTTATGGTTAGATGGGTCAGAAGGCACCCAGTTCATTATAGGCAGTTCAGGTGCCATGGTGACTTTATGACCCATAGTCAAACGTTCAGTTTCCATCAAAGTCCTGTAACAGGCCAAGAGCTGTCTCTCAAAAGGAGAGCAGTTATCTGCAGAAGATGGCAGGGCCTTGCTCCAATATCCTAGAGGCCTGCGCTGTGATTCACTTGCCAGAGGCTCCAAACAGCATCCCTATCTGTGACTGACACCTCAAGCACCATTGGATCTGCTGGGTCATGTGACCCAAGTGACAGAACAGCTTGCACAGCAGCCTGGACCTGTTGCAGAGCCTTCTCCTATTCTGGATCCCACTCAAAACTGGCAGCCTTTCATATCACTTGATAAACGGGCCGGAGTAACACATCCAAATGAGAAATGTGTTGCCTCCAAAATCCAAATAGGCCCACTATGTGTTGTGCCTCTTTCTTGGTTGTAAAAGGGGCTAAATGCAGCAGCTGATCCTTCACCTTAGAAGGAATATCTTGACAGGCCCCACAGCACTGGACCCCTAGAAATTTTACTGAGGTAGAAGTTCCCTGAATTTTAGTCAGATTTTTTTCCCATCCCCTGGCATGCAAATGTCTCACCCATAAGTCTGGTGTGTTTGCTACTTCTTGCTCACTGGATCCAGTCAGCATAATGTCATCAATGTAATGGACCAGTGTGATATCTTGTGGAAGCGAAAAACGATCAAGGTCTCTCCAAATAAGATTATGACACAAAGCTGGAGAGTTGATATAACCCTGAGGGAGGACAGTAAAAGTGTATTAATGGCCTTGCCAGCTGAAGGGAAATTGCTTCTGGTGGGCCTAATGGACAGGAATGGAGGAAAAGGCATTTGCCAAGTCAGTGGCTGCATACCAGGTACCAGGAGATGTGTTAATTTGCTCAAGCAATGAAACCACATCTGGTACAGAAGCTGCAATTGAAGTTACCACTTGGTTAAGCTTACAGTAATCCCCTGTTATTCTCCAAGATCCATCTGTCTTCTGCACAGGCCAAATGGGAGAGTTGAAGAGGGATGTGGTGGGAATCACCACCCCTGTGTCTTTCAGTCCTTGATGGTGGCACTAATCTCTGCACACCCTCCAGGGATGCGATATTGTTTCTGATTTACTATTTTTCTAGGTAGAGCCAGCTCTAATGGCTTCCATTTGACCTTTCCCACCATAGTAGCTCTCACCCTACCAGTCAGGGAGCCGATGTGGGGGTTCTGCCAGCTGCTAAGTATGTCTATGCTAATTATGCATTCTGGCACTGGGGAAATGACCACAGGATTAGTCTGGGGACCCTCTGGACCCACTGTAAGTCAGACCTGACCTGAAACTCCATTAATTATCTGACCTCCATAAGTCCTTACTTTAACTTGAGGATCACAATGACGTTTTGGGTCCCCTGGAATCAACGTCATCTCAGAGCCAATGACCAGTAGTCCCCAAAAATCTGATCATATCCCTTTCCCCAATGCACAGTTACCCCAATGCACAGTTACCCTGATAAAAGGCTGGAGGTCTCCTTGGGGAAGGATGGGAGAAAGATTAACAGCATAAATTGTCAGTAGTATAGTGGGGTCCTTCCTCAAGGGGACCCAACCTCCCCTTCAATCAAGGGGTTCTGGGTCTGTAAACTGGCTCAAGTCCGGAAATTGATTGATGGGCCATGATTCTCTGTTTTTATAATTCAAATTAGTCTTTTGTCCATTTGACCTAGAAGTTTTCTGCTTATATAAATTAAGTAGGAATGCAGTAGGCTTCCTATAAATTTCACTTCTAGGAACACTGTGATTAATAAGCCAATGCCAGAGCTCTACATAAGTCAGATTATTCTGATTGCTGCTTTGCCTCTGCTGTCCATTACAGTAGGTACACCCACCTTGCCTTTGATGGTTGAGTGCTGCCACTTGGCCCCTGCCACTTCAGGATCCAATTATTCCCATTGTATTTAAATTTTATAGTTGAGTGACTGTGGTTCCCACTGTTAGATCTGACATACAGAGAAGAGTGATTATAGGGCC
Organism: Homo sapiens; assembly: GCF_000001405.40. NCBI lineage: Eukaryota > Metazoa > Chordata > Mammalia > Primates > Hominidae > Homo > Homo sapiens. Next base: position 5,819,735 of record NC_000012.12, on the reverse strand, counting down.
CTTCAAAGATGCAGGTGCTGCCCTCACAAATCTGTTTTACAAGGCATTGGTCAAGGGTATATCTTCTGGACTTCCCAACTAGGATGAGTAGGTCTAAAGTGACTAATCCACTCCACCATCCCAATCTCCCTAACCCTTTGGATCTCTTCCTCTACGTTAAACCAAGGGAGATCAGGCATTTTCAGCTCACCACAGTGGGCCATGTTTTAATCCATATTTCAGCTAACCAAGCAAATAAACTATTAGAACCCCTTTTAACTCCCCAGGCTGCAACATTAAATGCAGAGTCCCTACTTAATGAGCCCAAATCAATAAATTTAGCCTGATCCAACTCTATGTTCCTTCCACCATTATCCCATATCCTTAATATCCATTCCCATGCCTGTTATCCAGATTTCTGTTTATATAAATTAGAAAACTCAAGCAGTTCTTTTCTAATGTAGTGCACCTTCTCGTGGGTCATACTGTCAACCTCACATCTAAGGGCCCACTGGGGCTTCAGTCTATTTATAGGTCTAGAAGCAAACAGGGGTGTTGGGGGTGGCTCCTGAGGAGAATCAACATTATTTTGCCTGGCAACTGCCTCAGGGGAGGCCATCACTGTTGCATCTCATTCTTTTGCAATCAATGCCCTGACTTTAACAGTAGATACCTGGAGAGGCTGTGAATGCACCTTTCACTGCAGGTCAGCCACTCGCATGATAAGAGCTTGTGTCTGTTTTTCCACAATTTCAGCTCTTTGTCTTCAGGAGATAAGACTGTCACTCAGGGCCATCTTAGCAGATTTGATGCTCAGAATCTGCTTTTGAAGTTGGGAGTTAGAATCCCTGAGTTCATCATTTTCTTTCATCACTTTGTCCACTGAACTTAGGAGCAACCAACCGCTTCATTATGTTCCTTGGTTCCCTGCATATGGTCAAAGGTATTATGTACAGAGTCACTAATCTCCTTGCCTGTCATGAGCAGTGAATCAGGAGTGTCAAATGCATTTATTTTGCATAACTCTCTAAACAGTTCATGCCAAGGACTATCAGTGTTCTCCATACTATTAGAAGTAGAGTCCTTAGCATTTTGGGGTCTAATCATATTAAGCAGCCAACTCCAGAAACCCCAAAACCAATGAAAGAACTCCATCCTTAATATTCTGTTCCTCTAGAACCACTCCTGGTAGAAAATCTGTATTAGTGTTCTCTAGAGGGACAGAACTAATAGGATATATATATATATCCTATTACATATCCATATATATATATATATATATATATATATATATATATATATATATATAATATGAGTTTATTAAGTATTAACTCACATGATCACAAGCTCCCATGAGCTGAGGAGCAAGGAAACCCAGTCTGAGTCCCAAAACTGAAGAACTTGGAGTCCGATGTTTGAGGGCAGGAAGGGTCCAGCGCAGGAGAAAGATGTAGGCCAGTATAGTCTTTTCATGTTTTTCTGTCTGCTTTATATTGTAGCTGCACTGGCAGCTGATTAGATGGTGCCCACCAGATTAAACGGTGGGTCTGCCTTTCCCAGCCCACTGACTCAAATGTTAATCTTTGGCAACACCCTCACAGACACACCCAGGATTAATACTTTGCATCCTGCGATCCAATCAAGTTGACACTCAGTATTAACCATCACACCTCCCATAGTTCATGTTTTTTTCTTCTCAGTCTTCATCTTCCACAACTTCCTGCATCCTTCCAAGCCTTCTTTACTGCACCTCCATCTTCTGATAGTTGTTGGAAGGTGCTGTTGACCTACTCAACTGCTCTCCTTCTGTTTCTGCCTCATGGGCCACATTTTCCTTGATTTCTCTTCCTTCTTCCACATTTTAGATGTTGTCAGCTTCCAAGTTCCTTTGGCTTTTGCACTCTCTATTTTCTCTATATAGATGACTTGCAGCCATCTATTTTTGCTCCTGTTTCTCTCACCAATTGCAGCCCTGCATTTCCAGTTGCTGGATGGATACCACCACTTAGATGTTCACCAGAACCTCAAAATAGCATATCCACTTCTCTCCTCTCTCTCTCCTGCTCCTCTTCCTGTTAATATGACCACTTTTTTCTCTGTCTTTGCTCATGCTGTTTCCTTTTCCTGAATGTCCTGCCTGTGTTTTTCCCCAATCTCAGTGATGCCTATCCCCACATCAAACATCGCTGTCCTCCAGATTTTTCCTTAAAGCCCTTTCCTTGGAGCTCTTATCAAACCGAATCTCTTTCTTGCTTGTTTTCTACACCCGTGGCTTAGACTCCTAAGGCAGTGAGTCCTTGAGATATTTCTGAGTCATCTTCTATGCCCCAGTGCACCTCACTGCGTGTCTCACACATTCTACTCAGTTGATTTGATTGAATGGATTAATTTAAAAATGCCCAGCCTGCTAGTCCCACAGCAGTTTCTGGTCAGTTTCTGACTATGTGTGTTCATGGACAAATAACCTCTCTGCATCTCAGCTTACTTTTATGTAAAATGGGGATAATAATATCTATCTTGCAGAGTTTTTGTAAAGATGAAATAAGCGGCTGTTAGCTTGTTTTGTAAACTGGAAAGTCCTAAAAACAAAAGTTTATTTTGGGGGACAATCCCCAGGTTGTTGGAAGGCCACTAGAGACTAGACGCCCTCTGCTTTAACATTGAGGTTTTTTATTGTGTGTGTGAGAATCTGAGGGTTTTTTGGTGATGTCTCAAAGTCAAATGTCAGGATTTTGTTGTTGTTTTTGAGTTGTATTTATAATTTTGTCTTTCCTTTTTGACATTCAAAAAACATTTAATGAGCACCTGCTATGTGTCAAATGATGTTAGAGAAACGGAGGGATGCCAAGCTGAGTTTAGCATAATTTCTACCCTTGAGGGGCTCTTAGTTTAGCCATGCAGACAGACGTGGAAACAGATTGTGATGAGGCAATGTGGTAGGTGCTATAATAGAGATACATACAGAGTGCAGTTGGGACACAGGGGAGGAGGCAATTAATGTCCATGTGTATGTCTCTATATGTCTAAGTATCAATGTAAATCATTGCTCCCAGGAAACTTACGTATGTCAGGAGTGATCATCTCCAATTACAGATGGGCACAAAGAGGATACGTGACTTGCCCAGGGTTACATCTTGAGTCAGAAATGAGTCTAGAACTTGGGTACTCTTGCTCTAATCGTATTTCCAATACCTTTGGGATGCTACAGAGTAGGAGTGGAATTAGGCTGAGTCTTTAGAGTCTGTTAACTTCACAGTAGCCACTGAGGACTTACTAGCTTTGTAACAAGAGACATGTGACTGAACTCTACTTCTCAGCAGAGGAGAACCCAAAGGCCAGATTTCCAGTGGGTTGACTTCTGCCCATGAAGACCAAGTGCCCTCTAAGCTCTTTGGTGAACTTACCAATCTTATTTAGAAGATAAAAAAAAAATGAGGAATGTGATAACTCCATGAGGCCCCAAGATAATATGGAGGCCTGAGCCACAGGGTAAATTTAGATTTTATTGCCTTTCTTTCTGGCTTATAAGGGGTGGAAGAGAAGCATGAGTGACTAGAATCGGCTTATATTCCTCCAGAAGGTTGTTTCCTCATTAAAAAAAAAAAAGAGAGAGAGAGAAAGGGAGAACAGGACTGGATTTGGAATCGTAGGTGTTTTCATTGATCCTTCACCCTCAGATTATCTTTTGTATGGTCATTTCTTTTGCAACCAACTTACAAAGCTAATTCTCTTTCCCATTGTACCCAATTTAAATATTAGAAAATAGAAAAGATACTAAAGATAGTAATAACTTGGAAACACTCCTGTTTATCTAGTAATGTCTCTTTTTTCTTTGTAGACAATACGTTTTTATTGAATGCCTACTTTTACAAAGCTTTAACCTATATACAAGTAGTATGTAGTGATATATTTATATTCCTGCCTTGTTCCACAAAATTTCTGGGGTAGCTTACAAGAAAAACAATAAGACAGCATAGTATAAAAATAAATTGAAAAATAAGAACCAGAGAAAATAAATTAAAATAGAATGTCAAAACTAGGAGGAAGAAAATAGAACACATATGCAAACCATAATGTCTTCTAGTTTCTACAGTTGAACTGCAAATTTAACCTTGAACCAAAGTGAAAGGGGGAATATGGTCAGGGGTGTAGCTCTTGCTGCCTACAGCAATATCTTTCTGTACAGAAATCTTTCTAAAGTCTATCACACAATTTCCTGCTTGCTTATGTAGAACATGTCTACATATATTCTCCACATAAAGGCGTCTTATGTAGAACATGTCTACATATATTCTCCACATAAAGGCGTATGACAAATTTTCTGGATTATTCAAGATCATCATTAAGAACATAATGATTTTCATGTTCTCTCAAGAATTATCAAAGCATTATTAGGATTGTTTGCCCCACACTGCTCTGATTTCTTGAATTCTTGACTCTGGTAACCTCCCTCCCCGAGTTTTGCTATCTCAGTTTCACTTTGCAGTGTGGGAGATGGAAAAACAAGCTCATTAGAATTTTGGGTAAAGAGAGTGTAAAATGCATGGCAGGAGGTCTGAAGGATTCTGCTGTGGAAAAGGGACATCGCATTAGAAAGTAGGTTTTGTGAGATCTATTTTAGCTGCTCATTTATTTTTTTCTTGTTTCTGGGTTTTCTGTTGTGAGAGCTGAGATAACCAGATAAGAGGCCTCTGATAAATGAGGTGTTACTGTCACCAAAGTAATAAGGACTCCTTGCATGCTTGCAGTTGTATGTTTTTCAAAACACCTTAACGCTCATTATCTCATTTGATCCTTTAAACTGCCAGCAAAGTAGCTTCAGCAGATGTTAATTAACTTCACAACAGAGAGATTAACTGGCATACACACAGCTAGAACTTTGGAAATGGGTTTAGAACTTAGGTTTCTTGACTCTTTGTCATTGCTTTTTAACTAATTTAATTAGGAAATGGATAAAGTTATTGGAAAAAGTTTCCCAGAAGAGGTGGAAGCTGAGCCCTTCCCAGTATAACATCCATTCACTCATTCAACACGTATTTACTGAGCACTTACTATGTGACATTCATGTTGTGGACCTGGGGAATGGAGTAGTGAATCCAACAGACACAAATTCCTGCCCTTAAGGGGCTTACTTTCTAGTTACGGAAGACAGAAAATAAACCAAGAAGTAAATACAATGGATAGGATGTCGTGTAGGGATAAGGGTCAGGAGAAAGAATAGAGCAAATAAAGGAGATGAAAATGAAGTGGGAGTGGGAAGGTATTTTAAATAGAGTAGTCGGAGAAGGTCTTCCTGATGTAATATTTGAGGAAAACAGGGAGCAAGCCACATGGCTGTGAGAAGACAGATACATGCAAGGAAAGCAAATAACACAGAAGACATGGTGGTGGCAATTCCAGATAACCAGTTAGGGTCCCAATAGGAACAAATAGCACACCCCAATTAGGGTAATTCAAGGTGGGCATATGTATAGAGAAACCATTTACAAAGGGATTGGCAGGGAGTTGGGGAATGCCAGGGACGGCGTTGTAACCTGGAATTAACAATAGTAGAGCTCTTATCATCCCTAGACCTGCAGAAAGATAGAGAGGTCACTGCAACGTGGAATTGGGTAGAGGAGGTGACCTTGAGCAGGTGACTATTTAGGCAGAAGGCCAGGGGTCTCAATACTGCTGATGGCAGTAGGAAGCCAGAGAGCACAGCAGCCTGTTCATGTCAGATAGAGGACCGTAGAGAGTATATCTGGAAGGGGAAGATGGAAGATAGGCACACAGCTGGCAAGGCTGGAGAAGTGGGTGCCAGTTCCAGCTCTGGGATGAACAAGTTGTAAAACTTCGGTCAAGCCATGTTCCCTGTCTGGGCCAGTTTCTCCCCTCATAAAACAAATGGGGCCTCTCAGTGCTCTCTAAGCTTCTTTCTGACTCTAACATTTCCCAGACTCTGTGATTCAAAGGAGCCACATGATCTGTACATATGAGCCAACGAGGCCCAGGGAGGGAACTGGCTTTCCTGAAAGTTCACAGAGAGCAGGTACCAGGGGTGTGGCCAGGACTTGGGGTTGCGTGATGTCCGCAGGCCTCAGAGAGGTTGAGAGGAGACAATTGTAGTGAAAGGGAAGATGGAGAATAAGGAGCATCCAGAGCAGTTGGTGAGGATGGTTGGAAGAAGTTTGTACTCCTATAGCAATTCTTTGCATGTGATTATGGGCGACGGTGGTCAGGTGTGGTTGCATGTAATTGGCATCAGAATCACCTGGTGTGCTTGCTAAAACCCTGGCTGTCCAGGTCCCATGCCACATTTGCTGAATCAGAATCTGCAGGGGCAAGGTCCGAAGATCTGCATATTTAATAATCTACCCAGTGATTCTTAGGAACTCTAGAGTGAACAAAAGAAAAAGATAAAAATAAAGATAGGGTGCACTGTTGTAGTCTTCATGACCTACTTACACTTGGGAATATGAAGTGTATTGCAAAGTACTCTGCCTCCTGCCTCCTGGGGATTTGACCACTGGGGTTCTGACCCCCCAAAGATAACCAAGTCTATCTGTGAAGGGCCTAGTTTTTATTTTTCTAATATTGTATGAACATTTGGCATTCAGTCCCTTTTAATGCCCTAGCCACCAGCTAGGTCTCTGGAACTTCTTTTCCTTTCCTTCCTTCCTCTCTTCCTTTTTTCCTTCCTCTTTCGTCTTCCTTCCTTCCTCTTTCTTTCTTTGTTTCTTCTCTTTCTTTTTTTCTTTCTCTCTCTTTCTTTCTTGCTTGTTTGCTTACCCTTCCTTCCTTCCTCCCTCCCTCTCTTCCTTCTTTCCTTCCTTCCTTCCTCTCTTTCTCTCTCTTTCTTTTTCTTGCTTGCTTGTTTGCTTCTCCTTCCTTCCTTCTTTCCTTCTCCTTCCTTCCTTCTGTCCTTCTCCTTCCTTCCTTCTTTCCTTCCTCCCTTCCTTCCTTCCTTTTTTCCTTTCTTTCTTTCTTTTTCTTTCTTTCACTTGCCTGCCTTCCCTCCCTCCCCTCCTCCCTTCCCTCTTGCCTCCCTCCCTCCCTTCCTTCTTCTTCTTTTCTTTCTCTTTCTTTCTTTCTCTTGCCTGCCTTCCCTCCCTCTCTTCCTCCCTTCCTCCTTCCCTTCCTTCCTTCCTCTTTCCTTCCACCTTCCTTCCTTTTTCTTCTTCCTCTTTCTTTCTCTTTCTTTTTTTCTTTTTCTTTCTTTCTTTCTTCGCTTGCCTGCCTGCCCTCCCTCCCTCCCTTCCTCCTTCCCTCCCTCCCTTTCTTCCTTCCTTCCTTCCTTCCTCCCCCTTCCTTCCTTTCTTCCTTTCTTCCTTTCTCTCTTTCTTTTGCTTGCCTGCCTGCCCTCCCTCCCTCCTTCCTTCCTTCCCTTCTTTCTTTCTTTCTTTTTCTTTCTCTCTCCTTCCTCCTTCCTTCCTCCCTCCTTCCCTCCCTCCCTCCCTTCCTTCCTTCCTCTTCTTTCTTTCCCCTGCCCTGTGTTTCCCTCCCTTCTCCTTCCCTCCTTTCCCCTCTCTTCCCCTTCCCCTTCCCCCTTCCCTTCCCTTTCCTTCCCTTTTCTTCCCTCCCTTCCCCTTCTCTTTCCTGCTCTGCCCTGCCTCCCCTCCACTCCCCTGCCCTGCCCTGCACTATTTTCCCTGCCCTTCCCTGGCCTCGCCTCCCCTCCCCTCCCATCCCTTCCTCTCCCCTCTTCTCCCCTCCCCTCCCTTACCCTTCCCTTCCCTTTCTCTCTTTTGGGGGGTGGTGTTTAAAATTAGTATAAAATGGCAAAGCAGGAGGAGTTGACCTTGAAAAGGTATGGTTGGACTAATGATCAAACTTTTTAGAATTCTTTCATAACCTCAAGAGAAACAACTCAACCTTTCCCTCTTATTTTCTCTCTTATTTACCCCTGGAAGTGGGAGATTATGGATTAATGCCCATCACATTCAGAGACTGAAAATATTTGTGAGTTTGGGTACTGCATTGTGGTGGAAGTGTGGGAGTGATCATGATGCCTCCTTAATCAATATCATCTTTCCTAAGGTCAATTGTCAGGGCCCTGGGAGTTGACTTTACTATTGAATAACTTTTTAGTGCACTTTGCCATGGAAAGAAACTCAAGCCTCATTGACCATATCAGAGGAGGGTAAACACCTTTCTTGCTCCTTCATATGAAAGTTATTGTTGCTTTTTTATGGACAGAAAATTACAGGTTGATGGAACTATATTTTCGTGGACATTTTGGTGTCAGAGTCTTTAAACAAAATGTATTCTTTGGGAACCTCCCCTCCCCAATCAGGAGACGATGTCTTAATTATTTTGACCAAAGCCAGACCATGTTGTGTGTTGTAAACATCTGGTTTATCATTCATCCAGCTGAACTGGTTTACATTTTCTTAGAAGAAAAGGCTTGGGATTAAAGGCATTTAAGTAATTAAGCACACGTCAAGACAATTTGGTGATGGGTAAATATAGTCTCTGTTAAATGCACCGTCTGGGAGTTCTGGTTTAGATTTACGTCCGGCTGGAGTGCAGGGATGAAAGCACAATGCCGGGTGGACTGGGCCCTTTTCTGGGGAGAATCAAAACCAAATGGATTTTCAGGAGTATGGCACCATTCCTCTAAGTACCTGTCCCAATGGATAAAAGTTTCCTTTGAGTTTGGCCTGGAGGGAATGGCACTGCAGTCCCTGTCACCCAGCAGCACTTGTAGATTTAATGAGACTCTTTGGGAGGTAGACCATAAACTTCTGTGCTTTGGTTGTTCCTTTGTGTCCAGGAAACCAGATATGTCTATGAAGCTTAATGCTAGGTCTCAGGCTTTGTATGACAAGTATGTGTTTTCAGGTACCAATGCTGGGGCCTAAGCCTTCCCTGGTCATGTTTCTTGGCCCTGCCCCTGTGGATGTGGGACAGTGTTGCTAGGCCTGGTTGTGTCAGGCTGCACAGATGTGTGGTCCATGCTGGGCAGGGAGGAAACATGAGTCTTTTCCTTTGGAGGTTTTTAGTTCTAAGCACTAGGCATGAAGTACCTGGTGATTTGAAGGAGACATGGGCACGTTGACTTCGAGGATCAGTAAGGGGCTCCTCAGGGGCTATACTTTGAGCTGAGACGTTGTTCCTGTTAAGGGAGACAGGGAAAGGAAAATGTCCTCAGCACTTTCTTCTTCTCACTGTCTCCCATCCTGAAAGTAACAGGACAAAAGGTTGGGTCTCTCTGTCTCTCCCTGGGTCGAGAGCTGAGAGGAAAGAATATAGATGCAATCCTGAAGAAGAAAGCTTTGCCATTATGGCCAGATGGATGGCGCATGATGGAACCAATTAGCCCATTTTTTGCTGAAAAGAAAGAAAAAAATCAGAATTTCAATTTTCAAAGCAGGGACTCTTTTTTAAAAACGTTTGATTATTTTCTTCTTGTTTTAAACTGATTTCCATGCTTGTTTGGGGGTAGAATCTTGGTTTCTGAAGTCTGGGTGAACGGGGAGGCCAAAGCAAATCCCTGTTGTTGGGTAAAGTTGTGGATGGATGCTTACTTTTCAACATGCCTCTCCTGCCCCATTCCTCCTCCTCTAATGTACTTTCTCCTCCCTTCCCTTATCAGCCACTGATTGGGATCACCCATAGGATACCACCTGAAAAGTAGGGAGTACACAGCTAGAGGGAACAGAGAAACATCCAGTTGCGGCATTTTGGGGGCTCTGGTTATCTGAGTCAGGACAACTCTGGTTTTATAACTTGAATCTTTGCTCCAAAGCAAAGGACCTTTTACCTTGACTTTCTGTCTTAGGAGGCAGAACAATCAGCTGGAGTGTAAAAGTTTCTTCATGAGCATAGAATGCTCAACAAAGCAGTGAGGAAGGCGATGAACAAGAGGAGTACTGAGATAACTGCAGCCGTAGGGCCGGTGACTGTTAGGGCTGCCATCTCTTCTGTGTTTCCAGCTGTGAGCTAAGTGCGGTGAGACGCACAGGTGAGAGGAGTGCTCTCTGACGCAGGTCAGGCCTCTGGGGAACACAAAACAATGAGCAAACCTTGTCCTGGAAGTGAAGCAAGCTGCCCACTTCCAGCTGCACCGTGCACAGGAAGCTTTATTTAAGATGGGGGATAGGGCGCATGGCTTTAATGTCCCAATAATTTGAGGCATTTCTGAGGATCTGGCAGCTGGGACCAGGAGTTCAGGTTGTCGGTCTAATGGTCTGATGCTTCCAGACACTCGGCTACCGTGCAAAGTCCAGCTGAGAATTAGCAGATGAGCTAAGTCGGTGAAAACAACTGCTGGACTTTTCCACAGAGTTTTGGGACTGTCTTAAGGGTATATACAGCTGCCACAGCAACTGTGGGGTGTGACTGTATGGATTGGGTTGGGTAGGTTCTGGGGTGCGGTCTAGCTGGGGCCTTACCCGCCTGTGATGCTTCAACCTCTATCCATGCCTACAGCACTTTGTAGCTTTAGCTTTTAACTACAAACTCCCACAAACTCCCCTCCCGGCTTGGGACTCCTCCCTTTGATTATGGTAGGGTGGCTTCACATTGCTGTGGTTATGGCTCTTGAACTGAGTAATGATGCTCAGAGTGAAATTGTAGTCTTGTGAGTCAGACAAATCTGCAGCTTAGCGAACCTCCAGGCACCCTTCCCCCATCTGCACTCCCTCTCCCCACCCTCTGCTCCTCTCACCCCACAAAGTTATTTCTCATGTTTTATGTGCATGCCAAGGAAGAAACTTAAAATCAGGAAAGGACTGGCCCTTTGGTGACGCAGCAGTACCAAAACACTTAGCTTTCAACTCATTGGAAGAGCAGCCACTTCTACTGGGCACACCTGGCAGCCTGCCGCGGGCCTCTGCTCCCACGTGGGGCCTGGAGAATAGTCTTTGTGCCATCCAATGTCCTGGAACTGTGGCAAATGGGGGCGAGGTTTGAGGAAGAGGAGGCTGATGGAGGGGAGAGGATTGTCTGAGATCCTCTGCGGGTCTCTGAGCATGTGGGTGGGGCATTGGGTAAGAGCGGGAGGTGGGAAGCCATGAATTTTAATGAGTAAATGTTGTCTAGATTTGTTATCCAACCTCGGCGTTTATTCAGAGCCATGCAAATGCAGATTTCTTAGCATTTGGACATCATACATCTTTCCCTCCAAAACCAATTATCTCCTCATCTCACTACAGTCTACAGTCTCTTTGGAAAGAATGGTTCAGGGCAGAAAGTAAGTGCGAGACAAGGGAAATCATTGTGTACCAGAAATTCCCCCTCTCCTCCCCCTCCATGATTAAATGTGGATCCTCGTATGGCGGGATCCTTGGTACTACGAGTTGGTGAGACATAATCCCTCCCATCTGGAAGCCAGCGACCTAGGACAGACCATCCCGACTCAGACAGAACACACAGACCACTTTATAGTCTCTGAAAAAAACCAAGAATGAAACAAGTAAATAACGACGACTTTATGCTGCGCAGAAGGTTCTCTGTTGTGAGTATAATGGAGTTGGAGGGACAGAGCCATTTGTTCATTTCACATTTGTTTAGTAGGGTCTGCTATGTGCAAGTGGTGTGAGACACTGTTGGAATTAAAACATAAATCCCTTGTATAGTTTTCAAACTTTTTGGTCTCAGGGTAACTTCACACTTTTAAAAATTATTGGGAACACCCAAAGGGTGTTTGCATGACTATGTCGACCAATGTTTACTGCATGAGAAGTTAAGGCTGAGAAATTGTGAAAGTGCAAGAATACACAAACACACATGCCATTAGCCATAGGGGATGATGTCAGCATGTGCCACAACACCCCACTATGTACTTGTGAAGGAAGAGTGAGAAAGCAGTTAGAAACCGTTAGTGCTGTTAGAAAAATAGTTTTCCTCCAGGGACCCCCGAAAGCCTCATGAGGACTCCCAGGGCTCCCCAGACCACATTTTGAGAACCACTGCCCTGTTGCTTCCTGCCCACCTCAGGGATATTATGGTCCAGGCGGCAGATCAGTCACAGCGAACGCTGCCTTGTGAAACAGCAGGAAGGAGCTCAAAGTGCAGTCGGATGCTCTCATACACTTTTATAGATCATGATTAAAATGATCCATATAACCATTCCTATGCGGTCATGGAGCACAGAGATTCTCACCTGATGGTGGTGGAAGGTTATTGGAATGGAATGACTGGAATCTTTGAAGACAGGAGGAATGTGAACTTTGAGACAGCATATTTGATATTAAAACATAATTTTGTATTTAGAGAATGAAACAATATTGTTCTTATACTAAGAACCAGAGCTTGACAAAAAGTTCTAGCCTGGATGATATAGAGGAGGATGCAGTGATTCTCAACTGGGGGGGCATGTGAAAGCTTATTTATCAAAAAACAGGGGTTAAGTTGAGAAACGCTTGCCCCAGAGTTACTATTTTCATCTCCCTTTCTTCCGTAGGTATTAACTCTCTGATCGCAAACAATATCTATGAGGCTGCCTACCCTCTTCATGACGTAAGTACTATTTTCATCAGCGTGCTCTCTGTAGTCTTCAAAACTTTGAAAACCACAACTTTTCAGTGGCAGTGAGATGGGTGAATACCTGCAGGGTGAGGCAGGAGTGAATCATGACATTAAAATACCTTGACTGACCCTGGACCACTCATTGCTGACAATAATCCCCAGTTTGATTTTTGCCAATCATCTCAAACTGTCTCGGCAATGATTTCCCCAGATGACACAATAAACTGGGCTTTGTTTGAGCTTTTCTTGTACTCCCTAGCTTTATTTTTAGCAAAAGTGTAACTATACAGATGTGGCATGAGGTGATTAAAGGGAGGAGATATTGATGAGGGTGGTGGATGGTGGTGGAAGGAGACTGAAAGGCGTGAGTAATCCCTAACCTGGACTGTCAGACGTCTCCTTAGCTGCCTGAAAGTGATATTTTGTATGGGAGAGTTTTGTGCAGATGTGAAATTCCTCCTTAACATGCAGGTACATATTAACGAAAGATCATTATTTTAAAAAAAATTTTTTTTGAAGAAAATCTCTCAGAATTCCTTGTACAATGCTTTGGTTAAGTAAAGAAAACAGAATGACTGTAATGAAATCTCTCCTTGACTGGAGATAATGTTACGAACATACCATGATACAATGCAATGGTATTCTTCAAGACAGTTTACGAGAATGTAACTGGTCCTTGAGCTAAATGCTCCATGGCTTCACTATTCATCAGACTGGTCAGGTCTTGGGCACGTGCCATGCGGTAGTGCCATTTGAGACTGCTGAGGTGGGGCTCCCTGACTGCCAGCAGGAATTTTTCGGATGGCAGTCTTCTAATTCCTGACATATTTGCAGTGGCATATGCACTGCTAAGTTCTGCAGTTACGGACAGAGTGAGCATGTCATGGCACAGGTGCTTTTCACGTGATGGGCTAAACCATTTAAAGTCTGGAGCTCTGCCATTGCATTGCTACGAGGGGGCACAGGCTGATCTCTGAAGTGGATGAGGGGGCACATCTTCATGTGAGAAGTTATCCCAGGAAATGTGGCAAGTGTTGATGGCTCAGAAAATGGAATATCAGCCCCTTACCATGCCATGCTTTTGACCTTCCTTAAATGGGAATGAAAAAAAAGCAATGATATTAGAAAATAAAAAAGAAAATCCTTTCTCCTTTGGCACCTGCTTCTGGTAATTTCATTGGCTTTATCCAGCATCACTTTTTCTCCACAGGGTGAATACGATAGTCCAGAGGACGATATGAATGACAGGAAGGTAAGCCTGCCTCGTGCAGCATCCTGGACTTTGGGCATGCGAGACTACGGGTGGGTGTGGAAGTGGCTAGAAGTGTCTTAGATGTTCTCTTTACCTGCTTATCTACTTTCCAACAATTTTACCAGCTCCCCCCTTTCCCCCACCCAGGTATTTGGAAATGTGAGGGTGGTTGCTACTGTATTTAGTGCCTGGAGAGCCACAATGCCAACTGTTCTGAAATATATCCAATGGCCCTCCACACACAGCCCTCACCCCACCCTCCCATGGCAAGAGAGCACCAGTTGAGAAACATTGGCTGTCCAAATTCCTTAACTGATATATGCAGAAATGGAGGCACAGAAACTTGAGCACCTTGGCCTAGATCACACAGCCACAGGAAACAGAGATGGGGCTCGGAACACCTCTAGCCCTCAAATCCAGGGCTCTTGCTTAAAACATGTGATGATCCATGCCATTATAGCTTTTGGAGGGTCAACTTTAGGTGATTCTTCTTTCCTTTTAGGCAGGCAGGTGGAGTATAGCCACTCCCAAATTATAGATGAGCAATCTGAGTGTGAGGGAGGCTCAGTTGTGCTTTGTAGTTCAAGAAACTAGGAATTGGAGGTTACAGTTAGGGGAAGGAAAATGGCCCCACCTCTTCAGTGGGGATGCACCGATGATCCCCTTATGCCATCCTCCTGCTGGCTTCTCCCCACCTTCAACAACTCTAGTGAGCAGAGGAGGGTGGGCGATGGTGGGAGGGTTGAGGAGCTGAAGCTCAAGCAACTTCCCTCCCCCACTCTGTTGTCTGGAAAATCATTCATGCCCCAAGTTGCCTTTTGAGCAGGCTTCTTTTTATCCTGCCTATTAGTCCCTGTTATGAAGTGTTAAGTATTAAAAACATAAAAGGTCTTTTCCAGAAATACTGTGGTGATTGCTTACACATGTCCCCTCTCTGCCTGCCCAGGGAATCTGCTGTAGTATTGCGATGTCTTAACCTCATCTGTTTTCTATCCGATGCTAATAGTCTCGGTGTTTAATTTCCTGAAAAGTCCCGCATCAGATTTAAAGGAAAAGGAGGAAGCATGTCTCACCACATCTCACCTCTCTCGCCCAACCATTTTCTGTCCTCCCACTCTCTAATTTTTCCTTCCTTCCCTTTAAATGGTGATCACCATCCATTGCCTGTGTAAGAAAACAGGTGGTGACCCCAGCCTGTCTAGGATCATTACGGAGACCAGGAACACACAGCAAGTCATAGGAGAGATCAGTCAGCCTTCTGTTACCTGCACTAATGGAAGAAGTAAATTGTGGACTATTTACAATATATATGTTGTAGATATAAAAATATGTATTTGTCTTTGGAAAGATACGAAATTACTGTTAACCACAGCAATGCCTTTTAACAAAAAATTTTCCCATCAGAAAATGTTTCTCTTTGGCTGATATAATGAAGTCAGGGTCCACTCCACCTGGTAGAATAGGTGGGAACTAGGAGGCAGGGAGAGCCCAGCCAGGATGGAATTGCATCTCCATGGATAACTCCCAAAGTTGATGTCAGAAAGATGCTTCGTGAAGGTGAACAAGTCTTTGAAGGACAAGATGACCCTTTCTTGTGGCCTTTCCTTGGGCTTGCTGGCCAGTCTTGGTGATACCTAGCCAGGAGAGAAGACTGGTTTTAATGTCCCTGAATGTTCGTGAAGTCAGGACTAAAACCTTAGTGTCCAAATCCCAGCTAGTGCTGTGTGGTCATGTTGACACAGCTTCTTCTGTTAAGCAAGAGAGATTCTCACGGCAGGGCTAGATTTGTTTCTGTAGTTTTAGTGGTATGTGGGTGGTGCCTACAACATATCCTGAAGGAGAAAGAGCAAAAACGCCCAAGTGTGTGCTGCATATTTATTTGTTTTCATTATATTATAACTGTCAAGTGTTCTTCGAGGTGGTTGCAGGAAGCATTTTGCTTAGGTGCAAGGAAGGACCCCTGCATTTGGAGCTGAAGGACATGGAGAAGGCTTGGGAGCCGCAGTGTAGGGTGGCCTCTCTGGGGCCTGTAGGGATTATTTGCCATGGTGTCCCAACCTGCCCATCCTGCCAGCACCTGGATGTTCTCCTTCACTCTTCCTTACCATCTGTGGCTGTTCCCATGTTCTCCCCAAGGCCCAGGCTCATTGCAGGCAGATTCTAGGCAAGCCAAGAGGCGCTAGAGAATGTCAGTCTCCCTCTCCTGAAGCTCACCTGGTGCTATTGTGCAGCTTGCGTGACTCAGCCCCAGGTAGGGGCTGGAAGTCTCTTTCTTTCCCCTCCTGGAGGGTCGTTAAGAAGAGGCTTCCTCCGTCTTGAGAACAAGGAATTCCTGCCTTCCTAGAAGCCAGGACAACCGGAAGAGGGAGCAGCGTGGGGGTAGATGGGTCCCTCCTGGCTTCCAGCAGCTGCCTAGTTCCCCATTTGCCAAAGCTGCCTAGTGTCCTGGAAATTCCCAGAGAAGTGGCTGTCACCATCTGCTCAGGGCTGCCCGGCTCCCACTGGCTCTCTGTGGCTTCTTCACCCACTTACAGGGGAGAACCCAAAGTAGAACTTTGGATGTGACTTCCTTTAGCATTCTGGAAACCCTTAGTCCTGGATTTTCCAGCCTTTGCAGGTGGGTGTCTTCCCTAGTGGATAGTTAGTAAGTGACCCACTGAAAACTGTGGAGAGAGTCACTCCTGCATTTTAAGACTTGCCTTCCTCACAAGAAAGGCACTTTTCTTCTTGGTTCCAACTGAGGATTCATTTTGCCGTGCTGCACGACTTTCATGTTACTGTGTGGAGACGCTGAGACCTAGAGAGGTGGGGTTACTGGCTAAAATGTTCGAATAGGTCAGTGTGGCATCTGGGAGCAGAAGCTAAGTCTCTTCCATTCAGGATGCCCCGTCCCTTGAATGCCTCCAAGGTGGCTATAGCATCTTTCTGCCTGTCTCAGGTCTAGCTGCTCTCTGAGGAGCTTGTGGCCTCAGAGAGGGTCATGAGTCCCACACACCTTCATGTTATCTGGCATTGCAAAGGGTTGTTGCAAAGGGTTTTTAACACTTGAGTTCCTTCATAGTCTCGTGAAATTCTTAAATTGATGACCTCTGTCAAATGTGATCCCTGGGGAGCCAAACTTGCTGCTTCTATCTCTGATCCATCAGGTGGGATGGTTCCTGCTGTAAAGGCTTGGGGCAGACAGACACATCTGGGATTACATCCAGGGCTCTGGAATCAGGCACTGTCCATTAAGAAGGAGCAGTAGTCTCTCCCTGGTTTATTTGCTAGCTTTGCCAGTTGGTGAAGAGAGGACATGGTGAACCTGTAAGGGAGAAAGTGGATTCACTAAGAGCTGCATTAGAAGGCTCTAGACTCTGCAAGTTTAAAGGGATTGTTACGTGTCTGTGCTTTACTCACACCATGCTGGTCCATATGGGGCAGGACTCCAGAGTGTGCCTCCCTTCACCCTGAGTGCTGGTCCCTTCTGGGACCCTGCAAGCTGGAGTTCAGCATGATCCACTTGCTCTTAACTATGTGTGACTAAACCTTCTTAAAGATTGGGAAGGGTCTACAGCACTCTCCACCTCCCTCCCTGCCTCCCCTGCAGGTGACAGAAGGCGTGTGAGCTGGCCTGGGCATCCAGGCGTAATTGCTGCACCGCCTCCCAGCTTTGGTGCTCTGTAGCTCCAGCTGTCTGTTTCAGGGGCTGCCTGATCACGGCCTCCTCTGTATGCTTCTAGCTTTTCTGTATCAAGCCCAGATAGTTCTCTTGGCTCCTCCTCATCTATATCCACAAGCTGTGGATACATCTTTGTGCTTAGAAGAGACCATGGTGAGAGAGGGACTTTCTGGAAGTCTCTTTCAGCAGATCTGGGATTCAACCAGGGAAAAGGCTTCTGAGGTCAGCTCTCCGTTGAGGCCATACAGGGTTCCTGGGACATTTTTCGTTTTTGCCTTCAGGGCAGTGGCAGATAGGTGTTCTCAAGCTCAGGTTTTGCCTGGACATATGACTTGGGGAGGAATTTGCTCTGGAGGTCAGAGCCTATGAGGCAGACAGTGACGTCCCATAGCTCTCGAGGGGGTGCCCTGCCTGCATCTCCTGACGCAAGCATATCTCCCTTTGGGCAACAAATGATGTCACTATGACAACCAGGTGTTGGAGAGCCCAGGGTTTGCACTCAGGGGAGGGAGTAAAAACTCAGGCAGTAGAAGCACCCAAGATGTGGGAGGAGGAGATGTACTAATAAGAATAAGATTAGGTTAGCCACTGCCCTGGAGTGAGCAGGAGCAGTGCTCATGAATTCAGATGTTCCTCTGCCTTCATGCACTGAGTGACCCCTTTTGTATCTGGGTTTCCTCCATTGCGAGTGGTGGTAAATGCTGGTACAGTTTGCCCTTTCAGGGCCTGTGTAGTTTCTGCTCCTGTTTTGCAGTTGCTGGAAGACATTGTGACAATAAAAGTCTATCACCTTTAAGCAAGAACGCTGGTTCTCATTTCCATTTTAATATCATGTCTTTAAAGATTCTTAGGTAAACAGGATGGCTCTCTGTAGGGCTGATGTTCAGATGGGCTTCCGAAGTACCTGATTAAAGTAGGTTCTCCTTGACAGATTTCCTCGTGAAATGTGTGTGATGTGGTAGGAGAATAAATAATGTAACAAAATAGCAGCTGTATTATAAATCTGTCAATTCTAGACATATAATCTAATAAAATGCCGATATTGATTCAGCATGGATACCTAGATGAGGTCTAATGATGACCCTTTACTGAATGATTTTATTTACTGGGATTGATACACAGGTTTAGTGAGACACGTGTTAGTCCTGCTAAAGTTGCTGCAGAAATATTCCAAGATGGCCTGGCCTGATGTGTTTGGTTTTGCCCCTACCCCTCTCCTGGAGCCACTCTTGTCAAGGTGATCAGTGACCTCAAAGCCACTGAGTCCAGTGGTCACTGCTCATCTGACCTGACCCATTAGCAACATTTGACACAGCTTGTCATCTTCTTTTGTTTGAAATCCTTTCTTCCCTTAGCTTCCTGGATGCCACACACTTCTGGTTCTCCTCCACATCACTGGGCCTCTCCTTCTCTCTCCTTTACTCATTCTTCATCACCCTCTTGACCTCTAAATGGTGGCGTGCCCAGGGCCCAGACCTCAGGCATCTTCTATACTTACTATCTCTTCTTTGGCAATAACATCCATCATTTAATGACTTTACAAATTGCCTCCTCTTCAATAACTCTCGAATGTACTGGACTCTTCTTTGAACTTCAGATTTTCATATCTAGCTGCTCACCATGCCCCTGGATACCCAAAGAGCATCTCAAAAAATGCATCCCCAAGTGAGCTCTTAATTTCACCCCCACTAACCTGTCCTTCCCACATTTCAGTAAAAGGCATCACCATGACTCAGTGGCTCAGGCCAAGTTCTTATTTATTCTCATCCCACATCCAATCCAGCAGTAAATCTTACAGGCTTTACCTTTAAAATCTAAGCAGAATCAACTAGTTCTTACTGTATCTGCTGCTGCCCCCATGGTGCAAGCCATCATCATCTCTTCCCTGGACCATTCCAGTAACTTCCCTATGCCTCTGATCACTCTCAGTCTGTTCTCCACACAGCAGCCAGAGTGAGCCTTCTGCAATCTCAGTCAGATTGTTTCGCCCTCTACTGCAAATCTCCCAGTGGCTTCCTTCAAAACCCAAATTTCATCCAGTGTTGATACAAAGATTTTAGCATGACCTGCAAATCCCCAAGAGATCTGGCCATCCTGGTTCTTTCTGACTTTGTCTCCCACGTTCTCCCCGTGCTCACTCTGCCCCAGCCACACTGGTTCCCTGTTCTTCCTAGGATGTGCCATATGCACTTGCCTTGGGGCATTTGCACAAGAAGACTGTCCTGCCTGGGACACCCTCCCCCCTTCCTTTGTGTCTCAGCTCAATGTCACCTCCTCAGAGAGGCCTTCCCTGGCCATCCTGTCTACAACAGCACCCTACTCCTCTCCCTTCCTTCACATTCTACTCCCTGACCTTGATTAATTTTTCTTCATTAAGATTTCAAAATCTTATCTGTTTATATGTTTATGTTTATCTCTCCACACCAGGGTGTAAGCAGACTGTGGCTTACTGCTGTATCCAGTGTGGGGACAGTGCCTGGCACATAAGGAGATGTCAATAAATACTTGTTAAATGAGTGAATCATGAACATTAGGGCTCATTTTGCTGGACTAGGCAAGACGTGGGAATAAAGAAGACGGGGTTCTGCTAATCAGGTGCAGGACTGCCTCAGAGTGTGATAAAGTTCATCTCTGTTGTTTGAGGAAGGAGAAGCCAGTTTCCATAGCCTCCCGATTCTGAACATCTCCCCCTGGATGTCTCATGAGAATTTCTTAGAAGCTGGACTTTGGGGATAAAAATCTGACTTGTTAGGATGGACAAAATCAGGTGAAGTTTCCCATCTCTACCTCTAACCTGTTTCCTTATTTTCTTTGTTTAGCTGCTATATCAAGAATGGGCGCGCTATGGAGTGTTCTATAAGTTCCAACCTATTGACCTCATCAGGTAAGAGGTGGTAGGGAACTTTTGGAAGTATCCTGGAGATGCAAGTCCTGAAAGATGTATCATAAACCTTTTGACTCTGACAGTCCTTTGCTCAAGTGGAGGGATCTTCTTTTCTAGCTTCTATGATCCACTCCTCTGTGTCTCATGGGTGGGGAAGCAGCTGGGGACATGGGAGGGACATGGAGGCTGCGTGGGGCAAAAGATACTGTAGATTGATAGACCATGACCTGCACCTTGAGGTCTTCAACATTGGTCTCTTTCCCTGCCTGTTCTCTGGGAGGGGTGCATGGAGCTGTCTCATTTCTTTTCCTTAGTCTTGTCCTAGAGAAGAACCTGGATGAAGCTGATTGTTGGGTTATGCCCAAGTGCCAGTGTTGATCCAGGAAAGGGTGGATTTAGCAAATCACATGAGGAATATGCTGGTTGGCCTGACAGAATGTGGACTTTTTATGGCTTTTCCAAATTAGAAGGGAGGAGAGACTAGGCCCTGGGTTTCCTCCCTTCTGTGTTGTCACAGAATGATGTCCTGTTTTCTGGCACCTTGGACATTTCCCCAGCTTCTGTTGAACATTAGTGAAAAGTCCTTGGAAATAACTTACTGGAATGTCATAGGTCTGACTAGTTTAAAATGGCTTCAGGGCTCTAGAAACTCAATCTTCTGGCTGGAATGTTGGGCGGCAGCACTGTGTGACAGCACTGGGCTGAGAGTCTGGAGACGTGAGTTCTGGTCTGGGCCTGGCCACTAAGTGCTACCATTTCTTTGGGCAAGCCCCAATTCCTCTTTGATCTTCAGGGTCCTGGTTGTCCTAACTTGGGAGGCTGAGCTGAGGGATCTGTGAGTTCACATGGTAGAATGTGCTCATTTGGAAAAGATGGGCCGCTGGAGCCTGCAGGAGGAGGCTGCTCCATGGTGGACATGGTGGACTCACTGCCCTGAAGTCACCTAATGAGCTAATTCATCAGCCTGAGAATAGAGCGTGTTCCTGGCTGGTTGCCCTGGGCTGGGATTGTGAGAGGGGCAGCGGCCAGGAGAATCGAGTCTAGAGGGAGGAATTCCAGCTTCTGCTTGGAAAGAGAAAGCCGCGTGGAGGCCAGAGTTTGGGCAGCTCACCTCCTACACAGAGATGCAGCGGCCCTCCCAGCGGACAGAGCTTGGTTGGATGTCTCTTGGAAGCAGGTGTTTGTTCCAGCTGAGGACCGTGAACCAAGGTCTTGGGTGGGGGAGCAGGGACATGCGGGGCCTGTGACCAGGTGCCTTCACCCTGTCTCCCGTCCCCTGGCTGCCTTTCATGTGGCATGGGCCACCTAGACTGTTCTCTGGGCCACCCCAAGGCTGATCATTCCATTCTTGGTGGGCTTTGATCTTTCTCTCTGGATCTCAAGTGGCCACCCACTCTGTCGCCTGTTTTCTCCAACTACTCATTTGTTTTTGTTTTTTTTAAGTACGATTAAAAAATAAAAATTCTCCCTACCAGAGAGCCCTATCTTTTCCCGCAGAGACTTCAGGTGACTCGCTGCCAGCTAAGTGGCAAATGGCTCCAATATGCACTCGGTTTTGGCCACCAAAGCAGCCTCACCTGCAGGGGAAGTATTGCCTTTGGAGCGGAGCCCTGCTCTGGGGCCTGGCGGTTCCTGAGGATGGAGAGCTCAAATCTGTCTAGACAGGGCACGGTGTACTGGAGCAGGGCCGGAGGCTGTCTACAGCTCCTCACAGATCAGATGGCCTGGAACACTCCCACGGTCCCTGGGCAAAGCCAAGTCTTGGTCAGGAGGGAGAGGAGGAAGGAGCCTCAGGAGAATGGGACGCTGGGCAGCATGTGTGTGGGGAGCCAAGGCAGATGGTGATGGTGGTTGTCATCCCAGTGGCATAAGGAACTCTCTGACCTCAAGAAACTGCTGGAAAGAGAAGTGATGGAAGGGCTGGTGGTGGGGAGCACTAGGGTCAGAAGTGGGCGAGTACCTGGAGAACTTGTAGAGAGAAATGTGGGCTGGAGCATGCAGGGAGCAGCTACTTAGACTCAGTGAGCACACCAAACTCCTCATTTTACACTCTTTTACCAAATGGTCCCAACTTGCTTTCCCTGATTCTGTCCAAGTCCTCTCCTTCCTCTTCTTCATCATGACACAACCCGAGACCTCAGTAATCCCTGACTGGCGTCACTTTCACTTCCCACTCCCCAATCTAACTGTGAGTCTTGGGGATTCTTCTTCAGCACCATTTCTCTCTTTTGCCACTTCCTCTCCATCATTCCTCCCACCTCCTGTCGGGGCCCACCTGCCTGCAGAGTCCAGCCTGTGGTTCCCTTCCTGAGCCATCACAGGCCCCACACCATGACAGTTTTGCTCCATGACTACTTACTACCATGCATGGCACCCTCCGTGTGCCTCGCGGAGAAGTTGCCCTCATATGGTCTGTGCTGGAAGAGTGACGGAGCAGGGGAATCTGGCACAGGCGGAACGTGATAATTCATGCACAGGCCTGGCCAAGGTCTTTCCCACCCGTTTCTTTGGGTTTTCAGCTCCTCATTTTTAGCGCCAAGCTTCTGTTCCTCCTCTGGAGCCCTAGTGCTCCTCCTCTGTGCCAATTGTTTGGAAGATTCTAAAACCTCTGTGTGAGCCATTGAGAGCTCATGGGGCAGGAGACCTGTTTGTATGTGGAAGGCCCCGGAACTAGCTCTCCTTCCCCTTCCGCAGGCCTTCAGGCCTCATTTTGAGTCTTGGGGTTTGAGACACCGTTCCTGGATGTTGAAAGTCCACAGAGGGGAGGCAAGACACCCTTCCCTGCACCCCTGGCCCCTGCCTCCACCCGGCTGCAGTGTCGTTCGTGCCCAGCAGGCTGCACTGTGAGACTGCTGATGGCCTCCAGCCCCGCACGGCTCTCCTCCCGATCCTGCCTCTGCTCTGGAGACCTGGGGCCTGCAGGCCTGAGTGTGTGTGTGAGCCTGTATGAGAGTGTTTGTGTGTGTTAGTGTGTGTGAGTGTGAGAATGTGTTCGTGTGAGAGTGTGTCTCTGTGTGTTGTGAGTTTGTGTGTGTGTATGTGCAAGAGTGGGTGTGTGTGTGAGTGCATGTGTGTGAGTGTAAGAGTATGAGAGTGTGTGTGTGTGCCAGAGAATATGTGTGTTTGGGAGAGTGTATATGTGAGGGTGTGTGTGAGAGTGTGAGCGTGCATGAGTGTGTGAGTGTGAGCAGGGAGTGTATGTGTATGAGCGTGTGAATGAGTGTGTGTGCATGCGTGTGTCGGTGTGAGTGTATGTGTGTGAGTGGGTATGAGTGTGTTCATGTGTGTCAGTGTGAGAGTGTGAGTGTATGTGAGAGAGTGTGTGCATGAGTGTGTATGAATGAGCGATTGTGTGACTGTGTGTGTGTGAGTGTGTGTGTGAGAGCTCTCTGGAAAGTTCCCTAGAGAGGTATCCAGCAGGAACCTCGATGAGTGAGTGCACCCCAATCCAGAAGACCTCCTGGGCACTTCCAGCCAGCAGCACTTGTGCCTTGTCAGAAACATGGCTTGTGGCTGATAATATGAGGAATGACTCCTAAGCTAGAGTGAAATGACTCTTCTAGTCCTTTAGGGAGCTGGAAGAGGGTCCTCACAGCTGGAGAAGGACATTTCTGCCTGCACTTCTCTGGTTCAATGCTCTAAAACCCAGGAGGAAAACAGCCCTTATTTTCTGGGAAAACTTGGGGACTGGAGGCCTTTTCGATTTGTACAGGTCTGACCCAATACTAGTCAGGGCCGTAATCTGTCTTTTTACTAAAGTTAATATCTGCTCCCAGGCTGATTTTCTTAGCTTGGACGTTTTGATATGAATGAGACAAAACAATAGGTCTTAAGCATCTTCTGAGTTTGATTTCTCTTCTGACTATACTCTGCTGAAACTAATGTACAAAAAGTTTATTCTAAAGCAGCTGCCACTGCCTGCCTGTGACAGCATGGGAAAGAGAGGGTTCTAGAACTGTACTCAGCTCAGAGGGATTGCAGCCTGTTGACTTGTGGGAGTTCACCAAGGGGATAATGGATGGGGAGCTTCACTGTACCAAACCAGGCCTGCAGTCTGAAGAGGGGTAATGGTCCCTACTCACTCCCACCTGTTCCTGGGGTGCTCACTTCATGAGTGAGGCTTCCTGCACTTAAAGTCAGGCCCTGGGCATGAAGCCCACCCATGTGGAAGCTCTGGAGTTCTCTTAGAAATGTGCCAGCTTAGAGCCTTGAGATATGGAACAGCTTCCACGAGGATCTGAGAGTGATCTCTATGGGGTTACCATTTCAAGAGCCCTTGGGTGGCACTGTGCCCCAACGTTGCTACACATCTCTACCAGCCCTCTCTAGCCTGACATGCCACGAATGGGATCTCCCTCCTACTGCAAGGCACAGGTCACCGTCCTTGCCAGGGTTCCCCAGCACTGCCACCAGAGACTGTGTGGTTTGATCCATCCCTCCTTGTCTCTGGGCTCTGCTTCCACCCTCCTGAACTGTGAGCCATCTGAGCACCCCCGGAGGGAGACCGAGGAAGCCATGTTCTTAGGAGGCTTCTCAGCAGGCCAGGCTGGGGAAGGACTGGCCAGGCCACAGCTGGGTTAGAGGAGGAACTGGAGAGAGAAAAACGTTGATCAATCTGTGATTACTTATTTCCTTAGCCCTGCTGCTTTCTCCTTGATTTTTCTTTGGGATTGAGAAAGGCAATTCAGCTCGACACAATACACATTCACTGATGCTTACAGTGAGCAAGTCTCTTTGCTTGGCAGTATGGGGAGGCACAACAACGATGAAGGGAGAGCTTATGGCCTTTAAGATCTAGGAGTTATGTAGGGAGACAAATGTGTGCAAGACCGGATATAGCGAGGGCTCTCAGGACTATAATAATGTTCAAACCTATCAGTATGGGATCACATTTGAAGAGTAATTGCTGCTAGAGGAATAAGACAAGACTTCCTGGAAGAGGTGGCCCTTGAATCAGAAATGTTGCTTTCTGAAGGACGACTGAGGTGAAAGAGTGTGTCTTTGTAACCAGCCTGGACTGCCCTGTATAAGGATTTATAGTTTAGCCTGATACTAATGACTGAAAATCACATTGACTCAAAGCCAGATCTTTCCTCACTGTTGACTGGGAGTGGTGAGATCAAGAACTTGGCTTGCAGACCTTGTCTGTAAGGATTCCCTGCCAACCTGGCCCAAGTCCCTTGCTCTGCCCCACGAATTAGCAGGCAATCCAGGGTTGGAAGGAAATGAGGCTGGATGCATGAAGGGAAGCTAAGGAGAGATGACACGTGGGATCAGCACCATGGCATTTGCACGGGTCTTATCATTTGATGGTTGGGTTTAGCTGGAAAACATTTTGCAGCCTGGAAGGAAATAATACCTCATAGGCCTGAAGTCTATTCTTCCTTTACCTCTGAGGGTGTGAGAGAAGGGTAGACAGAGAAAAGCAGCAACAGCTGGTTGAGGTGAGGCAGAAACAAGGATGATTATGTTCCATGCCATTACATTCTGGTCCATTTTATAGATCAGGATATAAGTCATGCTGTTAATCCCATCATGCTGTGGAAAGGCTCTGCCCCAGTCTCCTTTCTCTCATTTCCTCCATGGAGTGCCACTCTCCTCCAGTTGTACCCTTTCGGAGGGAAGGCTGTTGGTCTTGTGGTTGACCAATGGAAACAGGAGTTGGAGTACAATGCTACCAGCTCCAGTTCAAAATGCTACCAGCTCCAGTTCAAGGTAGCAGCTAATGACTGTGTTGGTCTTCTGAGGGTGGCCTCCTAGCCTCACAACAGCCTTCCAGAGATGGTGGCTCCTGTTTTAAACTTTTCATCCTCCTTCCTGTCTTATCAGCCACATGGTATGGATGGTGGATCCCAAGGCACCAAGAGGCTCCACAAGTTCCCCATGGCCACCTGGAATTCCAGGGCAGAGCTGGGGAAGGAAGGAGCTGTCTGGCATCAGCTCATTGCCTCCTTGATCAGCTTATGTCATGCCCCAGGGAGGAAAAGCTGATATTAGTCTGAAAAATATGACAAGCTATATGTTTGTGCTGTCTTGGCCCTGTTGTACAATAAGCTTTCAATTATCCAGAACCTCTAGGAACAAACCATAGCCTCACAGAGGCAAATGAAGCTTAGAGGCCAGACAGTTGGATAGCTGTCCCTGGAAGGAAGGAATGAAGAATTTTTCTTGCGGCATATTCATCTAGCAAATGCCCAGCCTCTGCTTGATTTTTCTTGGAATAGGGAGCACCTTATCTCTGGGACAGTTTGTTTCTGTCTTGGGCATATCTAGCCCATAGGAAGTCATGAAACTAGAAGGAAAACTGCTGATTTCCCTTATTTTGGTCTTAGTTCTGCTTCCTGGAGCTGCACAGAACAAGTATACCCTGTTGTATAGGTCAACCCTTTAAATATTTGAAAACAACAATTGTGTCAACAACAGTGCTCATATACCTAAGCTTTCTTTCCCACACCCCAAATACTCCTAGGACTTTCTGCGTTTCCATATCAACGTGTGTTCCCCACACAGCCTTATCATCGTGATTGTCCTTCTTGGGACTCACTGGTGGGGTAACTTGGAAGAGGAGGAGCCTTACATACACCTCACTGAAGCAGTTAAGCCACCACATATTTTGCATTATCCAGACACTGGTCCTGGGGATACGGAGATGATGTAAGCATGACCCCACTCTCAAGGAGCTTGAGTTCAAAGTGGAATCTCCATGCTTGCAGATGACCACTGGGTTTTCTGGGAAATAAAGGGACAGGCTGATGGAGAAAATTTATAGAAAGTAGCTGTGAGGCTGTAGGAAAACAACATATGGAAAAGATCACGAGGGAAAATTGGCCTTCGACTAGCCATTTGTGATGGGCTCAGAGGTATCAGCTATGCATCAGGCAGAGATCTTTGGGGATGATTGTAACTCTTTCTAGAAACATCAGTGTGATGTGATGCAGCACCACAGACCCCTCGAATTCTCAGAATACATTTTAAAACCAAGCTAGGATTGCATCACTCAGTGATTTACTGAATCATGGTAAAACCTCACATGTGGCTGACTTAGGTCATCACACCTAAAGAAAACATAACCAGGCTGGAACTGTTTCACAGAAGGAAAAGTAATGTGATCAAGGATTTGGAGAGGCGTCTTTATAAAGTCGGACTTAAACAAGGAAGAGTTCCCTATTCTCAGAACAAAATGGAGAAGGAGTGAGGCTGACAGTCAAAAGATGGGTAATGTGCCTGTGTATGTGTTCATCAGACCCTGACGCACCTGCCCGGGGACATTCCTTTAGACCAGGAGCAGTGAGTTAAGAGTGAAAAGAACTCAGTTTTACCTCCAGATTTGTTTCCAGTTGATGTAATATTTGGGCAAGTCATTCTCTCTTGAGCCTCAGTTTTCTCAGCTATGAAATAGGGGTGATAGCACCTGTGCTACCTGCCCACAGTATTACTGGGAGGATTCAGATGAAGAGCTGTGCAAATACTGTGATGATGGCTGTAGGTCTAAATAAATACAAATAAATGTATTTATACATTTATTTATATTACAATAATTATTTCTATTACAATATAATACAAATAAAATAAATGGCTGTAGTTAAATAAATACGAATTTATTGACTCCCTGTGGGGGAAATTATAACATTCATTAAAGTGGTGGAATTTCATATGGTTCCTTAGCTTAAGAGCTTTGACAAATATAGTATAATCATATTGTATTACTGTAAATCAATCCACTGTATGCATTTTCTGTCTGTGACCTCTGTGCCTCACAGCAACCCTGTGAAGTGGGTATTCTTATCTTCATTTCACAGGCAAGGAGACTGAGTTCAGTGAAGTAAAGGCTTCCCAGAGCCACAGAGCAAGCTCATCTGGAATTCAAACCCAGGCCTGTCTAACTCTAGAAACTTTTATTTTTTTCACAGTACTCTGTAGCTGAAGGTGCCCCAGAGTTCCATTCAGTGGATGTCAGGCTAGCTGGGGTTCCAGCCCTCTAGTGTTAATCCCTTCAATTACCCATCTCCCAGGGAAAACCATGGTGTGGTCTTCTGGTACGGGCTGCATGCTGACCATAGTCGACCTTGGCTTATGATGGGGCCATCTTTATGAACATCCCTCTTTGTGCCTAGCAGGAGTAAAATATCACTCTCAGGGCCTCTGTTCAGCAACCCCAGAATGCCATGTTTTTGATTTTTCATTTCTATTTTTTATGATCTTTTTTTTTTCTGAGTCCTTCCATGTTGTCAGATTGTCAGCTGTCACTTCTTGCTTTTGTCAACTGAGTAGCTTCTGTTCCCAATTCTAATTTACTGCTTTGTCTCAGTTGCAGCTTCGGCAACCAGACACCCAAGCAAGTTAGCACTGTGTGCAAAGTAAGACGCTTCCACGGTTCATCCTGGAGTCTGGTTTCTGTTGGGTGGGGGAGCTTGTAGAGGGCCTGCTTTTGTGCTGGAAGTGACTGTTTTTGCTTCCCAGTGAGAGTGAAATGATGTTACTGAAGTTCAAGGGGCCTCAGCGATGGGACTAGAGTGAGGATGCTACAGCAGGGGGCCCTCACTATGAAAAGCTGTATTTTGGCCCTCCTTGCTTGTTTGGGGACGTCATGAAAAATCCACCCTATCAGATATTTTCCTTAAAAATAGAGCTCTGAGTCTGTTAACAGCGCAAGAGTCAGTCCCTGCATCAGGATCTGCTGAATGCAGAGCTTTGTACTGGATGTGGTGTTGAAGCCTCAAAGAAGGGGGAAAATGGGAGCTTGAAGGGTACTGATGGGACACAAGGTCCTCACAAAAGAAAACTTCTTGGGTCGGTCACAGAGCTATCAAGTAGCTTCCAGCAGGTAACTAATGCACAAAGCTTTGTGTGGCAGTGCTGGGCAAGGTAGGGAGAGGCTTCGAAGGGCTTAGTAACTGGCTTCAGGGTAGCAGATTACACAAAAATGAGACTTACGACATAGATGAGTTTTAAGCAGGAAGCAGAGATTTGAAGGAGAGAAGAAATATAGTTGGGGGATTTACAAGATTGGGATTTAAGCATTCTTGGTCAGGAAATGTTGAGAGAAGAGACTTGAGAAGGGGCTAAGGCAGATGAGTGGCTTGAGAAGAAAGCACCGGGGCTGAGCTAGACAAGGGACATGATGGTGGGGGAAATTCAGGAGAGGATCTCAGGTGGTTTCTCTGGAATTTAGGCAGGTGGAAAAACCTAGGCAGAGGGCTAAAGGAAGGGTTTCAGGTCTCGTATTCCCAGCTGGGCAGGTAAGAGTGGGCACAAGGAGTTTCAGTTCTTCTCTCATCTCTCCTGGGGAGTCTCTGGGAAGGTCATTCAGCCCCTGCAGATCTGTTGAAGTTTCTCTCCCTATAGTTGCATCTCTTCTACAAAATCTCTAGGCTGCATGATGGCAGGTGCAGTTCTGTCTGTGGGAATCAAGATCTCAGGTAGACCTGAGGGACTGATCTTGCCTTAGAAGGAGCAAGGGGACTGGCGTCCTGTGAGTTACCAGGGACACGGCTCAACTGTTTGATCCCGGGAGCCACTGTTTGACCACGTGTCCCTGGAACCCCTGAGCACCTCAGTCCTCCTAATAATATTCCCTGGAGTGATGTTCTCCACCCACACCACATGGCTATGTAACCAACATAAACAGAAAACGTCTTAACACACTGAATAACATCAGCAGAACACACGTTACAACAACAACCGCAAGATAGCTAAATTTAATTAGCCCGGCATGCCCAGGCTTTTTGTACAGGCACATGCCTCTGTTTTAGAAATGGAAAACCACAGCATTCTGTGGGTCTGGAAGTCACACACATAAGAAAGGAAAAAAAATACACAAACCTTCAAGATCCCTGCCTGGGAGACTGCTGTCTTCTAGTACCTACTTGGGATTATCTCAAGGTATTCAAAGATGTTGACAGTTGGGTGGCTGCCAGGAATTACTGCCTGCCTCTGGCAAATTGGTTGGCTCAGCCGTGAAGAGACTGGGGAGCTCAGCCTTAGTCACTCAGCCTGCGGCAGGGACTCGGGAAACCCTCAGAGATGTAGGCTCATCCTTACTGGTTTCTTTCATAGAGTCCACATTCAACTGAACCTAGTCAAGAGAGACAGAGAGGGGATTGGAGAACTGGGATTTTTAACTTTTCATTTGAGCATTTTAGTCTGGATGAGGGCAATGGTATGATTTCCAGCTGTCATCAACTCTAACAAAATGGCAGCAATTCCTTAGGCTGACATTCTGCCCAGTCCTCAGCCCTGGGGCAGGAAGGCAAGCTGCATGGCAGAGAGAAGCGAATCAGCCATGTACTAAGGGTGTCCCTGCCCTACTCAGAGGCACTGCATCTCCTGAAAGCCCAAGCTGGTGCCTCGAGTAGATCTCTCTTACTGTGCTTCTATCCCTCTCCTTTTGTTCATCCTGCGGTGATCTCTTCTTTGTCCAGTCCCGTGAGATCACATCCCTTTTAGAAAAACTAGCTCTTTTGACTTCTGTGGATTAAGAAGGTTAGGTCTCGGATGCTCTGACAGCCGGCTAGCAGCATCAGGATCATCTCTATGGGGATGATGCGAAAGAAAAAGAAGGCAGAGCCCCCAGACTCAGACCTCTCAGCATCCAGGTGGGACAAAGACTTGATGTTTTAGGAAAGAGATTTAAGAAATATGTAATTCAGGCTGGGCATGGTGGCTCACGCCTGTAATCCCAGCACTTTGAGAGGCCGAGGTGGGCGGATCACCTGAGGTCAGGAGTTTGAGACCAGCCTGGCCAACATGGTGAAACCCTGTCTCTACTAAAACTACAAAAATTAGCTGGGTGTGGTGGCGGGTGCCTGTAATCCCAGCTACTCAGGAAGCTGAGGCAAGAGAGTTGCTCGAACCCTGGAGGCAGAGGTTGCAGTGAGCCGAGATCGCACCACTGCACTCCAGCCTGGGTGACAGTTAGACTCCGTCTCCAAAAACAAAAACAAAAACAAAAGACAAACATATAATTCAGTTCAACTTAATCCAGTCTATTCATCGAGCACCTTCTCTGTGCCAGGTACTGTATTAGGTGCTGGAGTTAAAGTGATGAACGAGATAGATATGGACTGATGGTGGGCAGTTAGATAATTTATCATCCTACTGGGGACACTTTTTCTAGTGAAAGTGAGAGCTATTAATAATGATGTTGTGTGTACTAGTTAACTGTTATTACATTGATGTTGCATAACAAACCATCCGAAGGTCAGCAGATTATAACAAAGGTCATTTCTGTATTGTGTTCATGTGTCTTTGGGTTGAATGGGAAAGCTCTGTTTCAGGCTGAGAGTTAGTTGGTCCTGGCTCTGGGCTGTGGATTGTGTTTAGTTTGCCCCAGGTGTGCACATTTTGCTTAGATTCAACAGCTTCTGGGACACATTCTGCTCACAGAGACTCAGCAGAGCACAGGAAAGAAGGAAAACATGAAGTACTTCTTGCGGTACCTGCTGACATCACATTTGCTAGCATTCCATTGGCCAAAGCAAGTCATGTGGCCAAGCACAAATCCATGGAGCTGGGAAGGCTAGCATAGGAGTTAGTATTTACTGACAAATCCAGGCTGCCACAGTGCAACGACAGGTAAAAGGTGGGACTGTTTCGGGCACGTCTGGACCTATGGTCCAGCTGGGTCTGGCCTCACAGAGCTTATGACCTAGCAGGGGAGACAGTGCATAGTTAACCGGAAGTGTGACAGAGATGACTAGAGAGGAGGACAGAAGTGTAATGGGAATGGAGATATAAGGCCATCCAACCTAATTGGAGATCTCCCTGAGGAAGCGACATTTAAACTAGTATGATTTGCTGGATGGGTCAAAACAAAAATGATCCAGGCAAAGATGAGGAAAATAATGACAACAGCTAACAGTTAGATGTTTGCTGTGTGGCAGGCACTGTTCTACCCCTTGGCATTTGCTAACTCACAACACCCCGTCGAGATCGATACTATCATCCTCATTATACAGAAGAGGAAATTGAAGCACAAAGACATTATTAAGTGGCCCAAAGTCACAAGGTTGGTGAGAGAGGTAGGATCTGAACTCCTGAGTCTGGCTTCTCCACCATGTGTATGCCCCACTGCTGGGGGAAGGCACTGGGATGCTGGAGCTTCAGCTCTGTAGCGGAGATGCTTGTGGGGAGCCAGGTCACGGAGGAGCTTTTGGGCTGGTTAGGGATTTTGGACCGTACCCTAAGGAAAGGGTACATCATTGAAAGGTTTGGCTTATGTGAGTGCCTGTGTGTGGGTGGTGCTGGCATGGCCCATTGTCATCAGTTGAAGGATCAGGGGTTCTTCTGGCTGGGGCACTGGAAAGGAACTGGGATTGTGCTTTTTGTGTCTAACAGGATGGTTTCCTCCTATGTGCCCTTTGTCCTTCTGAAGGACTTGTGGGCAGCCTGGCCATCATGACTCTGAGCCCAGAGCCTCTTTTGTCTTCCTCTCCTCATCCCCCTGACATCATAACTAACCTATGGTCTCACCAGGTTGTGCTCCAGTGGACATGAAGCATCTCTCCCTGCTCACCTATGGTGGCTGTGTTAGTGGGAATGTGAATGACTGCTGTGAACATATCACTCAGCCTGCGCTCATCAAGGACCAGTTTACCATGCCCTTTGTGTGCATGATCTAATTGAATTGTCATGGTGACTCTATGAACTTGGCACAATCCTGGTCCCCATCATTTTCAAGATGAGACACAGAGTAGACAAGTCACTTGCCCCAAATCCCAGGCAGTTTGACACCAGAGCCTGTTATCTTAACTGCTTTGCTCCACTTTAAGGGAAGAGCACTGTGTTGATGAGACATGCAGACAACTCCCGGGGAGGTGGTGGGGAGGCGGAGAATATGATCGGATGTGCAGCGGTGATGGCAAAGGGACTCTAGGAGGTTTTGGAGCAAAACAGCCCTGTTTCCTTAAGTGAGGGGGGCTTGCCATAGATCTTGAAGGCTTAGGAATTTTAGGTCTGGGAGGGGTCTTAAAAGCCATCCAGGCTCATCCTCTCACTCTGTAAGGGACTAAAATCCTCCAATAGAGCTAAGGAGGCAAGGGGACAGGGATATCATGTCTGAGGCCTCTTTCAAATGAAGGGCCTTTAATGTGTGCCACTGTAACCCACTGAAGTTTAATACAGACAGTACTGACCCGGGAGTTAGAAGGATGTGTGGGGTCAGAGGTGGTGCATGACACTCTAGGTGGGTCTACTTACACATCACCTTCCTCACCTAAAAATGAAGGGTAGGCCAGGTGCTCTAGAGCATTCCTTCCAGGACTAACTTCCTATGGTTCTTCAGAGATAGAATCTCAATCCTAAAGCTGGTCTGGGGGCAGGGCCTAGGATCTCACAGGGGGGTCAAGTTGAACCAGGGATTGGAATCAAAGAGTCTGGACCTAGTTGTAGACTTCATCCATTGGAAGCACCACCCCAGGGGCACCGCCCCCTGTCCCCTAACCAAGTCCCTGGATTTCTCTCACCCCCAGCCTCTCCCCCTTCCTGAACACCCCCATCTCTGTTTTCTTTCGCCTCTCTGGCTTTGATCACATCTGGAGCATTTTGTAGAGTTGATGAGTATGTGTTTTCCTGTTGGGACACATGGTGTATATCAGAGGCACTTAAGGAGCTCTGGACGATGAATGGAAAAGTCTGCGTGGCATCTCAGGGGCTGCTGGCCTGGAGGGTAGATGGCAGCTGCATGGCAAGGGGACCTGGCATGAAGGCCAGGATACTCTCTGGGAAGGCCCGGGGGACCAGCATGGGGACTGCTGCTCCAAATGGCTTTGAGTTGTCACGTAGGGGTGGTGCATGGGAACTGTGTCTGTGTGCTTGTATGTGTGTGTATGTGTGTGTGTGTGTGTGTGTGTACAAGAGGACTGGAAGGGCTCCCTTGTCCTGTTGCCATTGGATACTGCCTTCAAGATTTGCTCTTCATGGTAACTGGGGCTCTTATCTGCACAACCAGTGACATAAACCAATGATGTGTCACCTACAGGTGGACAGTGAGTGATGAATTTAATATGGGGTGCTCTGTCTATGAGAAGTGATAGTAACCTCCAGCATGGGCTTGCAGGACCAGTGAGCAGTGAAGAAGGATGAGACACAAAGTGGGCTTCCTGTGGTGAATGAGCTGGGAACATGCCCAACCCTGTGACCCCTCTTTGCTGTCCCCCAGTATCCCCCTGAAGATTTATCCTCAGGCTTTGTAGCTGCGTGTTTCTCCCTCTAAGCCTCTCGCTGGTCCTCTTGAACTTTTTCCTTCTCCCTCCTCCAATAATCCTAAGTCTTCACCCCTTTTCCCTCTCATCCCCTGTCTTTACCAATCCATCCCAGCTACTCTCTTTCCATTCACTTCAAGTGACATCTTCCAGCCTTGGGGACAAGTTACCACTGTCTGGGCCTGCTGGAGGTGATCTTAGAAAGTGATAGATGGTATTTATAGGTCCAGGGTAGGGGTGGAGCTGGGGAATGCCATGCAGAGTTCAGTCTGGAAGGTTGTTTATGCTCTTGCAACTCCAACAAAGAGCAGCCCTGTCTATCCATGGCTCAAATTAAATTGCAGATGCCCCTGAACTCGGGGTTAGGAACATAAACAACTGGTGAGTTGCAGACTTCAAGCAATGAGCAAACTCGGCAGGGGAGAGGCCTGGTGAAGGGCTGGTTGGCAATGGATTTTTCCAGTTGATGTTTTTCCAGGAGGCTTCTCTGACTTCTTGGATTCCAGGGACCAGAGCACTTCTCTTGAACAGCACGTCTGGGGAGTGTGGCTCCTCCTTGGTTGTAAGGCATTGGTGGAGACTTCCCAGCCCTTCTTTCATTTAATTTGTCCTGCTCAGGGAGGAGGTTTAGGAAGAGGGTGGAGAACTCAGTGAAAGGCCCAGGGAGTCACATCAGGGAAGTCTCTGACATGTAGATTTTTGCTTTGAGGCAGAGTCCAAGAGGCCAAGCCTGAGCTCAGGATGCTCTGATGGGGACTTAAGTTTGCCTGGCTTGGCCCCTCCAGTGCAGGAAGTAAGCAGCCACCCATGTGGTATAACTGGCTCAGTCATTAACTCACTCATCATTCAGTCTACTCAACGATTCAACGAATACTTACACTGTGGCAGGAACCAGCTCAGACGGTGCTAACAAAAAATCCTGGCCCTCAAGGAGCTTATAGTCAAGTTGGAAAAGGTGATTGATAAGTCAGCCAACAGCATGATGAATGCTGAGACACAATATGTAGAGTGGCTCTTGGACAGAAACAAGAAGGGCTTCTGAATCCATCAGAGGAGGCCTCCTGGAAGGTTCAGTGGCTAAGCTGAGTTTTGAATAATGAATTGCTATGAGTTGGGTATAGAGAGGGGGATGGACATTCCAGATAGGGGGGAATAGCATGAATTAAGGCATGAAAGGTCGAAAAAGCACAATTGTTGAGGGGTTACAAGTAGCTGACTGTAGCTGGAATGAAGAGTGTGCATGAGTTTAGGGTGGGATGTAAGGCAGGAAAGGCAGGCAAGGTCAGATTGTGAGATTGTGGCTACTCAGCTAAAGTGATGTAGAAGGATTTTAAGTAGAAAACTGGTAAGATAAAACTTTAAGGATGTTGTTTGAGGGATAGGAAAAGTTGCCCCTAGTTACTTTTCCCAGAATTAGGTCGTAGCCAGTGCAAAGCAGGGCCTTGCGGAAGTGGGGCACAGGCTGGAGCCCTAGTGGGAGAAGGGGTTCCAGAGTGGGACAAGAATGATAGCTTCTTGAGAAGGAAACCTCAGATGAGGAAGGCAAGGCTCAGGAAAGGAAACTCTGTAGCCCAGGACCACATAGCTAATTAGCACCAGAGCTGGGCCTTCTGAGTGACAGCCAAACAGAAGTGATGACTTCACAGCCTTGCTCAAGGGTGGCCCCATCTTCTCCATTTTTAACATTACCTGTTACCTGGTGAAATGAGCGGCAGGAGTATTCATGGGAATGTTTATACAAAGTGCTCATGTAGACTATACATTCACCATCACCCTGGCAATTTGCCATGATACTTCCTAAGAGCTGGGTTGGCTTGTTTGTGTTTCATCTCTTTCTGTTCCCCGTTCCCCTAGGGGTAGAGATTATGAAGAACAAAGGTGGGACTGATTCATCAGTCAAGAGGGCTGTGTCATGGGCTCTAGTCACTTGCTCTGGGTCCTTGAGAATAGGAGGCATACCTACCAGATTTTCAACTGATGCCCATCTGGGTAAAGGTTACTTTGAGAGATAAGAGAATCAAGATTTGAAGTGTGCTTGACAAGATGAAACCCTGAGCCAAAACCAACAAGATAAAATGTAATCATGATAAATGTAAAGTCAGTTAGCAGCATGCGGGACAGAAAGGTCTGATTTGGCAGGCATTTGTGTGAGAGATGGGGAGTGTTAGGTGAGTTAAGCACCCCTGAGCATGAGCTCTCAGTGTGTTGCCAAAACATGAACTTGTCTCACACTGAAGTAAAGAACTTGTTGAATGTAGATTATAGGTAACTGTGGGTCATCACCTTTGAGCTGTCAGTCTACCATGGAGGATTGTGCTCTGTTCTGGGCACCCCATTTAAAGTGGTAGATTGGCAGTAGGGAAGATACACAGATGTGGCATTCTGTGATCTCAAGGAAGATTTCTGCTAGTAGACATTTTTAAGATTTGGCTCAAAAGATGTTTTAAAAACATTAAATGTGGATATTTTCCATTGGAGCCCATGCTCTCTAGCTCTCTTCAACTCCCAACATACCCTGTTGCCTTATAGCCAATCCAGTGGCTTACATTTCCACAATTCCATTTAAACTTGTGACCTTTGGGTTAAAGCAATGGCTCCCAGCTCCAGCAGCACACCAGAATCACCCGAAAAACCTATAAAATGTAGATTTCCTATGTCTACATCTGGCCATGATGGAGTAACTGGTGCAGGACTACCTTTTCTGCCATAACCAACTGGAAACATGGCTAAAAAATATAATAATTGTTTTCAGATGTTAGACAATAGGCAGGTAATCCCTGAAAAAAACAAGGTTAGTTCTACAGTGGCTCTGAACAAGTGCAAAATAAAATAGCGAGATAGGTAGGAAACTTAAATCCATAATGATAATTACATTAAGTATAAATGGTCTAAACATCAAAATTAAGGGGTAGAAATTGCCAGATTTAATAAAAATGCAATACCCAATTATATGCTGTTTACCAGAAACACACTTTAAATATACAGGCACAGATATGTTAAAAAGGTTGAAAAAAGCTCTACCATATAAACGCTAATTAAAAGAAAACTGAAGTGGCTATATTAATATCAGACAGTAGGGTCTGGGAAAAGAATATTATCAGACATATGGATAATATTTATATTGACAAAGGGGTTAATTCATTAAGAAGACATAAAAATCCTAAATATGTGTGTACCTAATAACAGAGCTTCAAAATAGATGGAGCAGTAGTTGACAAAACGAAAAGGAGAAATAGACAAATCAGTTACATATTGGTGATACCATCTTTTTCAGTACTTGATAGACCAAGTAGATGATCAGTAAGAATATAGTAGACTTGAACAATATTATGAATGAACTTGTCCTAATTGATGTTTATAGAATACTATACCCAAACTGCAGCAGAAACATTATTTTCACATGCACATGGACCATTTACCAAGACAGAACATATTCTAGCCTATAAAACAAGTTCCAATGATTTTAAAGAATTGAGATCATACAGCATATATCCTCAGACCACAGTGGAATTAAATTACAGATCATTAACAAAAAGGCCAACCAACAGGTCATCTTGCCTGCTGCCTTGCATTTATGCAGACCGTATACCTCTTTCATCTGTTGCAAGCTGACCTAAACCATTGCATTTATGTACAATTCTTTTTTGACAGACAATAGTGGTCCTTGAAGAAGTATTAAAATAAGTTATATTTATTGACTAAACATTTATTAGCAAGTATGAAAAAGAAGTAGTTCATATGACCTTTTTAAGGGTGCCCAAATTTACTGTTCTTTTATATTCTCTGATCATCTCTTTGCCTAAAAGATTTACTCCAGGCAAACATCTCAATCCTAGAGATAGAACTTTGTCAATCTTGTAACCAACATCAGAGAAACAGAATCCAGAGACTCAGCTAGGCACAGGGCCATTTAGTGGCTTAGCCTGGGGCACCACCCCTGAGTTCAAAGGGTACAGGCCTCATAGATATTAATTAGCAAGAGTGAGGAGTATGTATGGAATATGTCTGGCCAGTTCATATTATTTGAATGCGTCTGATTTCTCCAAATGAGAGCCCTTTTCTAACATTCATGATGCTAGTCAACAGGCCATTGTCTTCACCCATAAAAATCAATTTTTGACACTTTGCATGCTAATTAACCAAGTTCTGGTCATTGATAGTGATATGAGGGCAGCAATGCTCATAGCAGCCACCTCTGAGCTTGGGCTGTCTGAACACCTGGCCTTGAGCCTTCTCGATTGCTACCTGAGCCATATCTTCAGTTCAGTAAGACAAAACTCTCACACTTTCTATGATGAAATAGTTGAAAGAAAATTTTACACATTGTAACATTTTCCTAGATGGCTTTCTTATCTTTTAAAGATGTCTAGGGAAGGACGCCCGTTGGCTTCTCCTTGTAAGCCATCCCAATATCTCACAAAGTCATCAAGGTTTCCTTTTTTCCCTTCCAAAAGCTGTTTCCAGGAACAGATTTATTCTTGTATTCAGGGCCTCCTTCAAAATATACACAGCCCCACGGCCTGCCCTTCCTTGTAACTTTGATTTAAGACTCGCAGTTCCTGAGGGCAGAGGGGGTTTGGCTGAGTTTCCCAGCTGGTGTGTTTACAAGCGAAGGATCCTCCTGCGGCCACGTACACGGCCAGTGACTCTCTCTCTGTGGTTGTTGCACTAATTGTTTCATGCTCAGATAATTATTTCCAACTATCACTTTGTTTGCTTGTAGTCTCTACTGAAATCAAAGGAATGACTGAATGTGTTAAGAGCTAGGATGTGCTAATGGAAGTTTCTCTGTTTTCTTCTGTGATGGCTTTTGGAGCCTAAGAAATCAGACGTTGCTGTTTGGAGGCCAGGGCGCAGATCAAATGACTACTGTAAAAAATAAAGAGATACTGTTTTTATTTGTTTTTTTACTTTTTATTTTGAAACAATTTCAGATTTATAAGATGTGTTAGGTTGGTGCAAAATTTCGCCATTAAAAATTAATGATATTTCAAAAATAATGCAAAGAACTCCCTATTATCAGCACTCAGATTCATCAGTTGTTCACATCTGCCACATTTACTCTTCTGATGCATATGAATATATATGAATCTATAGGAATATATGCATAGAGGTATATTAATAATAATATGGACATGTTATTATTGAACCAATTAAGAGTATGTGGCAGACATCATGCCACTTTACTCTTGAAGTAATCTAATATATGTGTGTATTTTCTAAAAACAAAGACTTTTTCTTACATCTGATTTTCAAAATCAGGAAGTTTAACATTGATACAATACCATTACCTATTCTACAATCCATTTTGAAATCAGTTGTCCCAATTATTTCCTGTTTTAGCATTTACTTTTTTTTAGTCCGAGAATCAACCTAGGCTCACATGTCACATTTAGTTGTTATGTCTCTATATAGCCTCCTTCAATCTGGAATCCTTTCTTCGTCTTTCATGACATTGAAATTTTTGAGGACTAAAGGATCATTTTATAGAAGGTCTGTCAATTTGGCTTTGTCTGATGTTTCCTCATGACTGCATTCAGATGATGCACTTTTAGCAAGACACCTACATAAGTCACTTTGGTCCTTTCCAAAACATCCTGAGAGGAGGTGCGTGCCGTTGCTATGTCTCTTTTTTGGTGATGTTAGCTCTGGTCTGGATTATGACAGTCTCTGCCAGATTCCTCCACTGTGAGGCTACTGGTCTTCCTTTGTAATTATTAAGTAATTTATGAGGAGGGCCCTTGGGACTATGTGAATTTCCTGTTCCTCCGCAGATTTTCACCCATGACTTTTCGCATGGAGGAATTCTTTTTGGATGTTACATCTATTGTGATAGGGTTTAGAAAGAAGAGCGTTTGGAGGAAGTCCTTATTAAAGGCTTTTTGTCCCTGTTTCTAAAACCATGGCGTATTCCTGAAGAAAATAGGCATTTTAGATTATTTAAATTGAGAATGGAGAAGGGAGATTGATTTATGTTTAAATGGCAGTATTAGTATGTGTTGTGGAGGTTGGGAGAGAAGTGATTTAAAAGTGTAGAAATGGGAGAAAGAAGCTTGAGTTTGACCAAAGAAAAGGGAGTGAAAAAAGTCTTACTGAGTGTACTCTTGATTGGACACTGTGAATGCACACTAAATTTTCACAATTAATCAGATTAGCAACCAATCAGGTTTCACATTTTAGGTATAGAATCCTGGATGGATCTAGAAGGGTTCTCCAGAGGTCATTTGATTCAACTCTTTTTGCCCTTGGGCAGTAATAATCAGAAATGTTGGCTGGGTTGGGCTTTCCTTCCTTTTCAATACTTCCAGGAAGGAGTGACTCCCATTGTTTCTTGAATAATGCAGAACTGGGAACTTGGGAACCAAAAAATAAATCAGACAAGATCCATACCTTTAAGAAACTTACACTCTTCTGAGAGGGATGCCTCACATAATCATTCCACACCTCCATCAAAATTCTATAAGCCTTTAAATTTACAATTGATCCTACTGTTTTTGGACTGCTCTGGACTCAAAATTTTTTTCTTCTCACTTGATCTCCTATGACACATACCTTATTTGGCACTTAACATCCATTGCCCCATATTGTTCATTACACTTTCATGTGGAACTGGTCTTGGTTTGAGATGACCATATTTCATTGCTTCTAAGAGTCTGCTGATTGTAAGATATACATTTATTTCATGTAATACTAACACTAAAGAGCACTGCCAATTACATTATGCTATGCCATCTATTGGAATTGCATTTTGATTTCAGATATGTTAGATGTGGGGAAGTGCATATTTGCATTGAGGAAATATGGTATAAACATCAGCAGCAAGACCCATCATTTGTACTTGTTCATTTATTCTTTCATTTATTTATTCATTCAGATGTAAAATAATGTGACACTTTCTGCAGGATGGTACAAAGAACCCCTTTAGCACTGAGCCAAATTACAGTGAATAAAGAAAAAAATGGAATTAGATACACTTGAGTTTGAATCCTAGTTTTCCATTATTTCCTAGCTTTATAATACTCATTTAACTTCTCTGTTTTCTCAGTCCTCATCTATAAAATAGGGTTAATAATACTCATCTTGTAGTGCTATTGTGAAGATTGGAAATAATATTTGAAAACTACTTAGATTAGTGTCTGACACATAACACTAGTCTTATTAGAGTAGACACTCAATAAATATTAATAAATAGATTGGCTTGTAGGCATGCAATTAATCTGCTTTGTTATAACAGTGGATTACAACTGGGCATTCCTTTTGATGTCTAAATTGCATTCCCTTCTGTCTAATAGAAGCCGTTCTGTTCCATTTCCAGAGGAGATGGGGAACAGCTGGACACCATCCCTTTGATAAAGTCTGAGGACAGAGGTGGAGTCACCCTCACATGAGTCACCTTACCCATCCCAGTGTTTGACATTTGGGGGCTATTTCTTTTTTGTCCCCTTGGGCAGACCAAATGTCTGCTCCCACCTCCTTGCAGTCGCTTTTCTGGCTGTGAACGTTCATGACAGGGCTGGGTGCTGCTGCCATTTGGATTTGTTGACCAGCTACAGTGATTTTCCTAGCATGTTCCAAGCTCTCTGAAAACCATACTATGCATTTTGGTCCCTGGCCGTTCTTTTGTTTTTTTCCTTTTCATTTAAAAATCTGTATGTGTTTTTCTGGCATAAGGAGAGGAAGATGGGGGTGGGGAGGTGGAATCAAATCCATATGTTTGTGATGCAGTTGCCCTGAAATAATAAGAAAGCATTGCTGGGAAAGAGCCTTTGGATGTCTCAGGAACCATGTTTACAAGCCCCACATTGGCCTTTTGGTCCCCTCAGTTCATGCTGCCACTTGCCAGGCTTTGAAAGGACCAAGTTCACATGGGGACACTACTCTTCTTTCTTCTCCTGATTTTTTGCAGCCTTTGCTCCCAATGACCTTGTCTCTTTCTCTGTATCATCAACATGAGGTGAAGGACAAATGCTTGAATCTTTACTTCTCTGCAGAGCTCAATGAGGCATACTGCTTTTTGCCGCCCTATGACCTCACTATCTGAGCTAAATATCATTTCTTCTTGTCATCTGTAATGCTGACAACTCTTGGTTAAAG
Source organism: Homo sapiens (assembly GCF_000001405.40). Classification (NCBI taxonomy): domain Eukaryota; kingdom Metazoa; phylum Chordata; class Mammalia; order Primates; family Hominidae; genus Homo; species Homo sapiens. The sequence continues at coordinate 5,777,211 of NC_000012.12, read as the reverse complement.
CTGGTGCCTCACCTACAGCTAACTGGACCCTGTAAACTTCTTGTCTGTTAAAAAGTGGCTTTTAAATTTCCTCCAAGCTCAGGCTCATATCAGTTTCCACATTTAATTATTTTTAAGCTCATTGATTTTCTTGCCCCTCAATATTTATTCTTTGTGTATTTGCACATACACTGTCATATGTCCCAGGTTCTGAAAGAACTTCAGGTAGGTTTAAATGGAGGGTTCGTGACCCTTCCCTAAGATCTAGAAGCTGAGTTCTTTGGAGCCTGTCAAATGTAGAGGCTCCTCTCCTCGAACTTTGGAGTTGTCCTCCAGGTTATGGCATTGTTCTGCCCCCATACACCTCCAGAGTCAGGCCAAGGTTGAGAAAGTGTGTGACCACGGACTTAACCCTCAAGTTCTGCTGAAATTCTACATGTAGATTCCAATGAGAAGAAGTCAGTGAGACCCAGACTGTATCTAAGATCAAAGGAGCTTCTCATTCTCTAGTCCTTACGTTAAAATATGCTAAGAGAAAGCTCATGGCCGAGTCCAGGCAAAGGTTACTCACATTTAGATTCTTCCGGGTAACCAGGATCCTGGTGACAGAAACTGGTACCGTCCCTGAATGGCTTTCTTCCTAAATGTCTCTCATGCACATCAGCTGATGCATTCTTCCACTTGCCATTACTTGACACGTGGAAGATGCTCATGTCACACATTCATTTGTTCATGCATTCAATAGGCATTTGTCAAGTGCTTGGAAAGGACAGGGCCTTGTACAATGCCTGTGTGGGAATAAAAAGATGTATAAGTCCTTGAGGTACTTTCAATGAAGCCAAGTAGACAAGACACAACCAGTTACATAACAAGAGAGCAGGCAATGGTAGCCGAAGACCTGGTGTAAGTCTCCATATTCACCTATCACAGCTGCTTGGCTCTGAGTCAGTCGTCGAACACCTGTGACCTTCACTTTCTTTTACAAAGAGTGGTTGGGAAGATTGCATGGGATAGGGTGTGCACAAAGTCAGTACTGTGGATAGCAGTGATAAAAGAGTGGTACCATGCATCAGAAGTAGGTCCTAGAATGTGACAGGTGAGGTATGGGGACATATGTTCGCCAACAGTGCTCATTATTGATGCGTGGTCTGAGGAAGGACTGATTGGTTTGGAGATAGAGGGTGGACTTTTTTCATTAACTCTCGTGTAAATAGCCTTGGCAGGCCTAGATCTTCACCCTCAATCATGATACGTGAGGATGGGTTTTAGCTGGTGTTGGTATTGACAGCTTTTAGAGCTGCTTTTGTGTCAGTGTTTAACCCACACTCCTCTGTTTACTACTGCCCTTTACTGTCAGCACAGCAAAAACTGTAGTTGGTTCTGGGCAAGACTTCAGGTAGGAAGGGTTTCTGCACCAGTACACAGTCTCAGAGGCAAAAGAGGTCTATCATGGAGAAATTAGAAGGAGAAAATTGTTCTGACACACATCTAAATAAAAGATTGATGCACTTTGGGAGGCCGAGGCAGGTGGATCACGAGGTCAGAAGATCGAGACCATCCTGGCTAACATGGTGAAACCCTGTCTCTATTAAAAATACAAAAAATTAGCTGGGCGTGGTGGCAGACGCCTGTACTCCCAGCTACTCAGGAGGCTGAGGCAGGAGAATGACGTGAACCTGGGAGGCGGAGCTTGCAGTGAGCCAAGATCGCGCCACTGCACTCCAGCCTGGGCGACAGAGCGAGACTCCATCTCAAAAAAAAAAAAAAAAAAGGATTGATGGTGCTCAGGAGGATGCATCTTGATATTCAGAAAAATCATTGAGAAGTGTTTCATCTTTATTCTTGTATAATTTTTAACATGACTCATACGGGCATATGTGACCTTTTGGGTTAAGATGAGACAATGGAGATTGTTCTTGTTTTGTAGAATTTTTCTCTCTCTCTCTCTCTCTGTGTGTGTGCACGTAATTATTTCTATTCTCTTATCCGTTAGTAATATTCTAGTGGTAGAAAAGGGAGGTGAAATTAGCAGTGGAAAGAAAAAGTTTGGAATTGGCAAAAAGTAGGGCAATGGAATAGATCAGAGGCTCTCAAAATAGACTCGAGTTGGAAACCCAGATGTGTAGCTAACTGCATGTGTGACCTTGGGCAAGGGATTTAGCTTCTTTGAAAATGGTTTTCCTGATCTGCAAATTGGGGGAATAATTTCTGACGCATAGAGTGGGGATTAAACCATCTACGTATGTAAAAAACAGTGTAGGTGCTCAATAAATGTTCTTTTTCTTTCCTTGCTTGGTGGAGGAAAGGGCGACAAATTTTGGTTAAAAGAAAGTCATCAAGAAGAGATGCAATGCCTAGGTGCAGAACTGACAGGGTTATTTCTAAGGTGAGAAATGCACCTTGAATTTGAAAGAAGTATGAATGAGGGCTCAGTTGAAATTTCACATGGATGAACCTGGGGGCAGGACCTGGGCTTTGGAAGTTCAGGATGGGCACAGCCTGTCTCTGTGAAGAGCAGCCCTGTCCCTGGGAGGGCTGGGTCCTGACGCAGCTCTCCTAGAGGTTCCAACAAGGCATCAGGTGTCCTTCGGAAACATTAACACCAACATTGCCCGTGAGCTTTTAGCAGAGGATGTGCTTTGTACCAAGGCATTTCTTCATCAAACTTTTCCCATAAAATATAACTCTTTCCTTAGCACAATTGTTACACATCCTAGTGCTCTTCTTTCTTTCCCCTTGAAAACACTGAAGAAAAACTTTTTTATTTTTGAGATGGTCTCACACTGTTTCCCAGGCTGGAGTGTGGTGGTGTGATCTCAACTCACTGCAACCTCCCCATCTCAGGCTCAAGGCATCCTCCCACCTCAGCCTCTGAGTAGCTGGGACTGCAGGTGCATGCCACCACACCTGGCTAATTTTTATGGATTTTTTTGTTGTTGTTGTTGACGTGGGGTTTTGCAATTTTCCCTAGGCTGGTTTCAAACTCCTGGGCTCAAGCAATCCGCCCACCTTGCCCTCCCAAAGTGCTGGGATTATAGGTGTGAGCCACTGCGTCCTGCCCAAGAACAACTTTTTGTCATAAGGTGGAAAAGGTTTATTATTATTATTTTTTCTGCCATGCCCACACATTATGGAATAGCAAAGTCAAAGAATTCTTCAAGCTCTTCTCATTCTAGTCTCTGGCTGCTTTTCAGTTTGGAAGGATGTGGAGCAAGAAGGCCACAGTAATTCATCTTGGAATCCTCTGCTTTGGAGTTTTTAAAGCACTTTTCATATGCTGTCTTCGTGAATATTCACAGCAACTCAATGAGATAAGGTCATTTTCATTTAACAGTGACACTAACTTGCTGGGGGACCTGAACCAGGGCCATTGTATGACAGTTGTGCAGGTTGTGCACTGAACAAGGCACCTGACCAAGGGAGTGTGAGGGGTTAGAAGGCATCCCATGCTCACTCACCAAGTTGTGAGCCTTGGTGCCTCTTTCTCATTCCTGCTGTAGGGGGCGGTGGCTCAGCCTTGGAGAGAACCTTTCTGGGCTTTGGTTTCTCTCCATCTACCAAATAGGATTACTTTTTGAATTCTTAAGCTAGAAAGATTGTGAATTTTTGATCCATTTCCCCTTTTCTAATCCATAACTGAATTAGGAATTAGCACGATGATAAAGATGATGATGATGGTAGCTAACATTTCTGAGTATTTCCATGTGGCAAGTGCTGTTTCAAGCACTTAATTAACTCATATAAATCTTCTGATCTAAGATCCAGTTTCTAATTGCGGCTCTGTCTTGCTGTTGGTGGTGATTTTGGACAAGTCTTGTAATCTCCCTTAGGCTGAGTTCCCCAATCCATAAAATGAAACAATTATAACAGACAAGTAGTTTCTAACTCCCCTGACCCCTTTTTAGACTTTAGAATCTTGGATTATTTAGAGACTTGGCAAGGAAGAGGTGACATGCTCAAATGGGTAATTGAGGACTACAGGAAATCAACAAAAAATGGGGAAGCAACAATGGGAGGGCTGTTAACACCTCTGGCAGGAAGGGACAAGAGAAGGAGTGACTACAGAACCCAGAGAGGGCTGTAGCCGGAGCTGGTGCATGGGAGAAAAGCTCTGACAGAAGCTGTGGCACCCACTGCCAAGGCAGGACTTCATAGCCAGGGAACTGGGGAAATCAACACCCCACTCTCTTTACTCTCCCATCCGCTGACTCCTGCTCATGCCTGCTATTAGCCAGGGAGCCTGGTTGTTGCAGTCCACAGACATCAGCCTCCTGGGGCACAGGCCAGGTGGAGCAAGGCAGCGAATGGGTCAGCAGCTCCACACAAACCCCCTTCTTGACAGCACGTGTTTAATCCCCTGGACTCCCTTGGGAGTGGCTATTAACATCCATATTATGTGGTATATGATGAAGAAATGATTTTCAGCAAAAATATTTTAATTTAGATCTATATATTAGGGGATATTGTACTGTAAAGTTCACTTGCATACAGTCTTTTATAATATTCACTATACATAAAGGCGAGTCTATCCTTTTCTTTTTTGACAAGTGTGGCACATGCTGTTTATGCTATCACATTAAATTATGTAAGAAAAAAACAAGATGTTCCAACAAATACATTTTTAAATAGCAGAGTATATCATCTTTGGTTTGGGTAATGATGTATATAAAAACTTAGATTAAAATTTATCATCATATTACAGCGAAAAATTAGACAAAATCTACTATTTTCACATGAAATTTGATATGTTTGCCCCTTGAGTTAAACATTTAACTGGTTTTTAATCTAATAATTATCTTTTATTCCCAAAAGATAAGCTGAAAGAGAAGATTTAGGCGACTACGGCAAGGACTTCTGTGTAGATTACACTTGGTAGGTGGAGACAATCTTTACCAATAATGAAAAGCCAGTCGGATGTAATTGATGTAATAACTCCCTTCCCTTTTAACATTGGGTTTTCATAATGGAATTCTTTCTCTGTCATGTGATACTTTTCATCAGTTGTATGCAGTTTATGGATCTGTGTGAACATCATCTAGAGGAAAAATTTATTGATTTCTTTCATGTCATTTTTTTTTGCTCTGCATTAATATGATATTTTTCACCATCAGTGTTCTTTATGTTTTCCTCTTTATTAAAAAATCTGTTGTGGGTAAAAAGTAAAGCAATATTCAATAATGAGAATAAAAACAATGAAACCCAAACCACCAGGCTACAGATGATTGCAGGGCTAGCTGGGGCATGAACATGTGTCTCTAATCACTGTTTGACATGTACTTGGAAGCTCTCATGCTGTTTATTAATGAACAGATGATGTTTAAATAATTTCTTTTATTGCTTTTTAACAAATAAAAACTGGAACAGATACCATCGCTGTCTTTTCTGTTGTGAATCCCCTTTTGGAGGTCACAAGGTTTTATAAACCATTCAATGAAGAATTCTGTTTTATTTTTATTTTTTATTTTGAGACAGAATCTTGCTCTGGGGTGCCGTGGTGCAATCTCAGCTCACTGCAACCTCTGCCTCCCAGGTTCAAGCCATTCTCCTGCCTCAGCCTCCCGAGTAGCTGGGATTACAGGCACCCACCACCATGCCCAGCTAATTTTTGTATTTTTAGTAGAGAGGAGGTTTCATCTTGATGGCCAGGCTGGTCTTGAAATCTTGACCTCAAGTGATCCACCTGCCTTGGCCTCCCAAAGTGCTGGGATTACAGGCATAAGCCACGGCGCCCAGCCGAGAATTCTGTTTTAGATGAACCTTAGGGTTATCTTCCATTTTTTTATAAAATAGAAAATAAATGATAACACTTTTTAAGCTGGGAGGCTTAAATCTACATTATCATCTACACTGTTACTTAAAAGACACATGTCATGGGTAAGCATAGGTTGAAATTAGGTAGCTTTGAGTCTGAATTCTTCTCATTAGCTGTGTGACCTTACATAATTTACTCAATCTCTCTGAGCTGTGCTTGCCTCATGCACAGAACAGGGATAGGCTTTATAACCCACCTTATGGGGTTTTGATGAGGATTTAGTCATCCGTTGAACAAATGCTTATTAAGCCACTGCTATGCACCAAGCACATTCTAGGCACTAAGAATACAACAGTGAACAGGGCAGAACAAGTCTCTGCTCTCATGGAGCTTACATTCTAGCAGTGGAGAGGGACAAAAACACAAATTTAGAAAGCAATGTTAGGTAGTGATCATTGTCATGAGGAAAGACGAAGCAGGAAGAGAGGTTGGGGCCATTTGGGATGGGGTGATCACAGAAGGCCTCTCTGAGGAGGTGACATTGGAGCAGATGGAGGAGGTAGGGGAGTGAGCATGAGAAGAGGGCACAACCATGGCAGAGGCATGGAAGTGGGAGCAGGTGTGGTGTGTCTGAGGAATGGTAAGGTGCCTCATGTAGCTGGAGCAGAGCCAAAGAGGGGCCAGATGCAACAGGACCTTGTAGATCCTGAAAAGTATTTTGGGTTTTCTTCTACCTGTGATATAAAGTCAGAAAATCATCCTGAGCAGAGGAAGAAAGAATCTGACAGAAGTGTAGTGAAAAGATTGCATGGGGCAAGGGTAGAAGCAGGGAGGTCTTTGCAGGGACCGTGTTTGGCCAGGGTATTGGTGGTGGAGATGGTGACACATGGTTGGATTTGGTGTATTTTTGAAAGTAGCGTCTATAGGATTTACTGATGAATTGGAAGTGGAATTTGATTTTTTAAAAAAGCCAAAGATGATTACTTCCATGTTTTTGTCCTGAGCAACTAGATGTGGTTCTGTATGCTGAAATATGAAAGACTGGGGAGAAGAGGAATTGTTCCAGTGCAACAAGGAAACCAAGAGTTCCACTTTGATCTTGTTAACCTTGGGACCCTTGTTAGCCACTCACGGGGAAATGTCAAGTAGACTGGTGGGTTCATGAGATTGGAAACCAATGAGCTGGAAGAATATGATTCACTTTGCTTTTCTGTGGTTCCCATCCCGTGAACTGGGGCAAATCATATAACTGGCAAATGGGGTTTCTTGGCTATTTTAGGGTCATTGGGAATCTATTTCCAGTGCTATGAACTCCTGTAAGGCATTTCTCTCTGCTTCTGTCATGTGGCCTAGTAGTTAAGAGCAGGGGCTTTTCTCCCTCAACAGATTAGAGTTTGAATATTGGGTCTGCAACCTAAGGGCTTTGTCAACTTGGGCAAGATGTTTCACCTTTAAGCTTCCATTCTCTCATCTATTAAATGTAGACAGTATCTCTCCTTCTCGGGCTGCCACACAGGCTTGTGAATTTTGTACATTGCCCATAGGTGCCCAGCCGAGGGGTTAGTGGAGGCTCAAACATAGACCACACTGCTCTCCACGCTTTCTGCCCTTAGGTGGGGCTGTGTATAATACCCAGGGAAAGGACCCTTCACAAGCCATTTGTTTGCAAACACCTGTATCCACTTAGATTCTTGTGAGGATCCTAAGGGATCATGCGTGCAAAACATTCAGCAGAGTACCTAGAATGAAGGGTGCACGCAGAAATGGAGCGATTTTATTTTACTCTGAGATCTTCCTCTCCTTCTGGATGGGGAGGTGTGGCTGTTAATGGAGGTCCATCCACCACCCACGGATAGGAATGTACAGGTAGGTAGGGAGACCTGGAATCAGGACTTGCCTTTACCGTTTCTCTTGGATTCAGATGAGGATTCTGCCAATGCTGTGACTCGGTTTCTGCCTGCTTTGTTTTTCTTGCTGTAATTTACTTTCCTAGCTCTCATCTCTTGTATGCCTTACTTACTTACCTAAGTGTCACTTGCACCTCATTTCTCTGGTTCATCCTGAACTCAGTGTTTGCTCGTCTGGCCCCTGGCTCTCTTTCTTGGTCTTTGGGCCTGTTTGCTCCTCTGAATGCGTCTGCTGCTTGCAGAGCCAGTGACAGGCCACGCCAGGCCAGCCAGTCCTGGTTCCTGGTCCCACCTGTACCCCATCAGCCTGGCTCTGCAGCCTCCCTTGCTCCATACGATGGCTCTTTATTTGGAAACCTTCTTAAAGAGAGGATTGGTTGGAGAGAGGGAACCTCTTCTTAAAAGTGGCACAGCACAGGAGAGTGTCGTAAATCTAGGGTCCTCTCCTTGCAAATGGTGTGTTTTCTTCCTCTGCCTTTCTGGAATTTTTGAGCAGTTCTCATCCCATTTGCTGTGTTGTTTCCAGCTGTCAGGACATAAGCTAAGCCCAGCTTCCACAGCGCTGCCATCCCGAGCCCAGCCCTCTTGTTACTGTACTTTCTGAACTAGCTCCATAGCAGCAAAATGTGCTTTTTAGCAAGAGGCCTTTTCTTGTCCTTCCTGGGAGGATCAAGAACTCAGAGCCCTTGTGAGTTCTCAAGAATTCCCCAGTTCTTAAGAACTCCTCAGCCCACTGTTGATCTGAGGAGTGGCTACTGTGTCTGCTGGCCCGTACCCAGCTCAGGGGCAGACAGCCAGGGTCCTGCTGTTGGTTTTGGCAGAGTGGTGACAATCCAGCTGCTGTCGTTCCACAGCCAGTCAGGAGACCTACCGTACAGGCATGGGTCAGTCCCTCGGTGGCCAGGCTGGTGATGAGAAGGCAAGAGCTGGTAGTAGAGGGCTGAGGAGAGGGGCCCAGGTCTGAGGGGCTGTGGCTGTGAGTCCTCCGTGCACGTCTGTGCTCACTGGAGAGAAGGGCCATGATTCCTGAATTGTGGGTCTTGAGAAAGGAGACTGACTAGTGGCATTGTTTAATGAATATGAAATGTCTCTGCTCACAAAAATTTTGAAATCCCTTTTGATATAGACTCTCTTCTCTTCCAACAACACTTCTGCTCTTTTTCCTTTTGCCCCTAGGGAAAGGAAGAGAAGACAAACACTCCCTGGGAATGGGGTGGCGGGAATATGACCTGGTGAAATTCCCACCAGCCAGGAAGGGAGAACAAGCCTTTCCAATGAGGGAAGATCCTCAGAAGGAGAGGAAGAGAAGGGGAGGGTTGAGGACTGATTATTCTTGCCCTTGGGGTGAAACCATGCGGCTGTGAGAATGGGTTTGGAAGCAAGGGGAGGTAGGAACAAAGATATTTTGGGGTGAATCCTAGGGCACAGTGTTTGCAAGAGAACACCCTTAGAAAATTACAGGTCCTTTAGAAAAGCCCAGTGTCTGGCACGATGTTAGGGTGCCTTGGCACTGCCCAGATAGTAGGTCAGGAAGGGTGAGGGACACATCTCGGTACACAGACATGACATAGTAGCTGCACCCCCTACAGTCCACATATGGCGTCTGGAGGATCCTGAGGTTCTCATGAACAAGTGGACTGGAAGGGGCTGGGGTGGAACAAGGAAGGGACACCCCAGCTCAGCTTCAGAGCAGCAGAGACAAGCTTAGCCTCCAGGGTCTAGACAAGAAAATTCCCAGCCACAGCCTGTGGGCCAGAGAGGCCCTCCACTTTTCCATCAGAAGGATAAAATTTCAGTTCCACCTGCACCTAGCTGCTACCTTATAAAGCAGATGGGGGGGAAGGGCCCATGCGGACAAGTAGCTCGAGTCTTGAATTCACAGAATATTTATCCCAAAGAGTTTGTTTTTAAAGACTGAGATACCATCAACTGTTTCACCATCTGAATCTAATCCTAATTCTAACTTTTAACTTGCCTTAGAAAGTTTGGGAAGCATTAGATGAGATACTGTGTATAAAGCATTTCGCTTAAGGCTTGGCACATATAGATGCTGAATAAATGTTTCATTTCCTTTCTTTCTCTCCAATACTCACTCCTTATTCACCATAGTCCATTTATAGTATCTTGGAGGTTGAGGGTGGAGGACAGGAACATTTGTGATTTTGCATGCAGAAACCACGTTGGCCCTGTCTCTTAGGTTCACCAAGGAGAGACTTTTGCTGTCTTGCCTGGCTTCTTCTGTCATTGGGATTTTCCAGGCTGTCTTCCAGAGAAGCAAGCACTGTGAGCTTTAATTAAAGCCTCGGAACTTTCTCTCTGGCATCCCTGCACCTGCCCATGACACTACTAAGAACACCCACATTTGTTTGCCTTTCATCCGTCTCCTGAGGGACCAGGAAAGCCTGACATCTTTCTCTAAGTCCAGGGAGGAAGGGGCAGGGCCAGTGGTCAGCTTGGCAGAGTTGAGAGCAGAAATTAGCCCTCCAGCTGACAGGGCTGGCTCTCTAGGTACACGCCTTGTTGGCAACCTGCTCCATGGTAATCATCTCCTGCTCAACTCTGCTCTTCTGATCTCCTGAGAATTGTGCAGCCATTGTTAGGCCTCCATCCTGCCTTGGGCTGTGCTGCCGAATGCCAGCCTTGCTTTTCAAGGCTTACTGCCTTGTTTTTTGGAAGCCTTGTCTTTTGTTAGCTTGGCCTCCTGTGCTTCCTTCAGATGAGAACTCACCTCGCAGCTTAGTCTCCGACTGAGCCAGAGTGTTACATATGCTTGACCTGAACTGAATGTAGTCTGGCCTGAGAGCAGAGGGACAAACAAGATGACCTGCAGGGAATCTGCTGGTGTGCGTATTATGTGACTATGCTGCCTCTTTTAAAACTTTTAAAACCAAAGTATAATATACAGATAGAAAGGTGTGTGTGCCATAAATATACAGCTTCCTGCATCTTCCATGCAACCAATACCCAGATGAAGGAAAAACATTATCAGCACCCCAGGAAACTCCAGTCCCCATGCTCTCCATTAGTGCCTCCCTAGGGTTGGCCATGATCCAACTTCTAACGCAAGAATTATTTTATTTTTGAACTTAATATAAATAGAAGAATACAATACATATATACTCTGGTATCTGGCTTCCATTTTCAACATTATATTTGTGGGATTCACTTGTGTGGTCATGTGTAGTTGTAGTTTGTTCATTCTCATTGCTATATAATATTCCATTGGGTGACTATACCAAAATGCATTTATCCATTTTATTGCTTATAATCACTTGGGCAGCTTCCAGTTGAGGCTGTTATAAATAGTGTTGCTCTGAACCTCCCTGTATGTGTCTTTTGGTGCACATATGTGTGTTTCTGTTGGGCATAGACTTGGGAGTAGAGTTGCTGGGTCATACCGGATACCTATGCTCAGCTCTAGCAGATGCCACAAGCAGTTTTTCCAAAATACCTGTACCTGTTTATAGCTTACCAGAACTATGTGGGAGTTCTGGTTTCTCCACATTTTGGCCAATGCTTGGCATTTTCCATCTTTTTTCATTTTTGCCACTTTGATGGGTGTGTAGAGATACTGCATTATGGTTTAATTTGTATTTCCCTGATGATTAAGGGAGTTGAGCACTTTGGCTATTTATTGATTACTTGGATGTTGTTTTTCTTGAAGTATTCTAGTCTTCTGTTCATTTTTCTACTGGATTATCTATTTCTTAGCAACATGTAGAAGTTCTTTATGTATTCTGGGTACAAATCCCTTATTGGATATATGTATGCAAATATCTGTTCCCATTATGTGGCCTGTTTTTGTCACTCACAACAGTGGTGTTTGATAAACAAAAGTTCCATTTTCATGGATTTTCAGAATGAGATAACCAGAAGTGAACACTTATTACTTGCTTATTGTGTCCTTGTATACCTTGCTCATTCAATTTTCACATTAACGTGGTTTTAAATGGGAAAAATAAAGCTGAGAGAACTTGAGGAGAGACTTTCCAAAGTTAGGAAACAGCAGAGGCAAGATTCATGCCCAGGTTTTCCCACACCAGAGCTTGTGTTCTGTGATCTCTGTTATACCACAAAAGATACCAATACCGACTAATATCTCATAGACAATATCCAGTTATACAATTTTTTTTTTCAATTGAATTAGTTGCTAATGTTTAAAAATTAGAAGTAAAGATTTCTAACTTTTCTTAGCAAATTGTAGGATGTGGCAACGCTGGTCTCATTTTCCCACAAGTCACCCCGGACTGCTGGAGCTGAGTAGTTACTGTTCCCGGGTACCTGGGTTTCAGCTTTCCAATCGAGAGATGCTATGTACAGTTGGTTATGCCTGGTCGGCTTCAATCATTTTGTTATCTTCCTGGCTCCTGTGGGCATTGGAATTTTTAACCTTGCTACTGTTTCTCTTAAATGGTATAATTCTTTTTCTTTCTTTGTTTCTTGCATTCTTACTTTAATGCATTCTGCCCTTTCTTCCTTCCTTTTCCAGGTCTCTAGACTCTGTGCTCAGGCTCCTGGACTGCCTCTCTGGCTGATAGCATTTTTATGGGTAGACAGAATAGTCAACTGTTTATATGGATAGTTAGAAGAGTCTCTCACAATATCCTATTCCTTCCTTTAAGGGATGAGGCATTGTATCTCTGTAAATGTAAATGTTTTCCTGAAGGAAGTGACTAAGTACTCCAGTAAGCTTTAATTTATCATATGGGCTCCTTAAGCACAGGCCTAAGAGGCAAAGGGAGAATTTTGTAAATTGTGTGAGTGGAGAGAGTGCCGTTAGGGAAATCTGTCTCTGAACGATCGAATGCCTCAGATGAGATGCTGTGGTGGTACAGCTTCAGAGTTGGAAAAAAGCAGGAGAACAGGGGAGGGCGGGGCTGGGGGCGAATGGTGATGGCAGTGGTGGTGTTGGTAATGGATGGGTAGCCATATGTAGTCCTGTCCAATTAACAAATTTGCCATGGGCATGTCTCATGCCCAACATTTTCTTTTCTTCTCTAAATCCTTCCTGGAATTCATTATAATGTGGAGGTTGAAAGCTGGAATCTCATTAGACTTGTTGGATTTGAATCTCGTCTCTGCATCTTACCAGCTGTGCAACCTTGGGTTAGTGAATGTTTTTGTACATCAGTTTCCTCATCTGTAATTTAAGGATAATAGCATACTACCTTGTAGGGCTGTGAGAACTAAAAAGTAAGAGAATATTTGCAATTTCCTTAGAACACAGCTTGGCAATTAGTCCTCAATACACCTCAGTTACTATTGCTGCTATTACTGTATTGACATGGAAGGGTCAGATGAAAAGATAAAATTGTTGCTCTGCCACGTACTAGCTGTGTGACTTTGGACAAGTCGATTTGACCAGGGATCTTCAGTTGTCTCATCTCGAAAAGATGTTGTGAGAATTAGAAGTGAGGTTAAGCAAGATGATCAAGATGAAAGCATTAGGGAAGTTTGTGTTTGTTACCTCTTATGTCTCTCCTACCTTTTCTCATCATTTTTCCTCTTCCAGAGTTAGATAATGTGGAATAGTGGAGAACATAAGATGAGCCCATGAAAAGATAACTAGCATTAGCACATCATAATGAATAAACAAGAACTGTACTGATGTCCCTTCTTTCATTCCCAGTACTGGTAATTTCTATCTTATCTTTTATTTTCTTGATTAGTTTTACTGATCCTTTCAAACAACCAGTTTTTAGTTTCATTGACTTTTTTCTATTAATTTCATTGATTTATGCTCTAATCTTTATTATTTCTTTCTTTCTGCTTGCTTTGGGTTGAATTTTCACCTCTTCCCTAAAGTACAAACTTTGATTACTGTTTCAAAACTTTCTTGTTTTTTAATACTACAAATATCTCTCTACGCATAGCTTTAACAGTATCCTACAAATCTTGATACGCTGTTTTGTTATTTTCGCTGAATTGAAAATATTTTCTGATTTTCTTTGTGATTTCTTCTTTGATCCATAGGTTATTTAGAAGGATGTTGTTTAATTTCCAAATATTTAGGGATTGTTTCCAGACTCTTTCTGGTACTAATTATTAGTGTTGGGGGGAAATACAATTTTTCCTCAACCCTCATACATTTGTAGTTGAGACAGATCAGGTAACAGGAGACAAATTAAGAAGAGAAAAGCAAGGCATGATTGATAAGAAAATTTGCTTATTTCTATAGTATATACCATTTTAATATAATAACCAAAATTATGACTAATAGCATTATGCGAAGACATATCATATTTTTAGGAATTTCATACAATTTCTGGAACACATGTTAATATGCTCACATAATTCAAAGAAGGTTAAACATCATTTCTTATTTGACAGTACTTTCCATGTAATTTAACGTATTAAATAAGCCTATTTTAATAGTTATTTTTTATAGATCTTTTGAGAGTTCTTGGTCCCTGTGGGATGTCCCAAAGTTGGTTCAAGGTCAAAAATATTTAATTTTGAATTTGATTTTAGAAAATGTTTGTCAATATAACAAAAGTTTAAAACACTTGAGTAAATAGTATCAAAAGTTACTATATCATTCATTTAACCAGAGTGACAATTAAAAGACTTCAAGGCAAATGCAGAAATTGACATAGTTGTATGAAAAACCTTAGCTCTTTTCATATTGAAAAGACTCAGTTTTCTTAATTAAAGACCTAATAAAAGACAATATGAAGCACAATAAATTATTTTGGTAAGACACAAGTTTTTGTTTAACTTAAAAGGCGAAGAAAAAATTTTCGCTATCTCTTATCAATACTCCAAGAAAGTCTTGACAGTTTAAAGGAGAAGATCAAATTCTAGTTTTGTTTCAGTATACTTTTGATATTAAGGCTCATTTTAATACCTTTATAATAAATTCATTCAATTATAGTCAGTTTGAGCATAAGATTTTCTTTCACTTTCTATCTCTTCCCACCTTTCTATCATCATTAAGTTTTATCTATATCCTTTCTTCCTTCATTCTGAAACAACCTTTAAGTAATCTCTAAACTAGACAAAATTACTCTTCTTTAACAAAAAACTCCACATGTTCATACCATTTAACATCTTACTTTCCTTTTATATTTGCATATAGTGTTGTTTCTCTTATCATTTTATATACTTAGTTAGAAATTTTAACTCTTAGTAACCTTATTTTCTAGTGAAAACCTAAGAGGTAAATAGTTTCAAATTGTTATGTAACATTTTATAAATACACTTTTCATAATTTCTAGAAACATATGCTTCCTCTTAGAACAATTTTTCAGTGTCAAACAGGAAATATTTACTAACAGACCCAGGTATTTTAGTTCCTTTGTAATAAGAAGCCAAAAGTAGGTAAAGTTAAACCTTATGTTCAGCGATTAATGTTTCAGTATTTTACTTCACTTGGAAATGATCTAGATATGCAACGAATACCCATCATTTAATTTAACTTAGCAACACCCTAAGAATGTAGTTACCGAAGAGATTTGAGAAACATCTAAAGTAAACATATCATAAAACAAAATTCTTATTTAAAAATACAGTTATACAATTTTATTCTACTTACATCTATTTAATTTACTTGTTCTTAACAATTATGCTTGGATTACTCATGAAAATTTCATAAAACATCAAAGCTAGTCATTATCTCAAATTATTTTCCTGTTAACTATTTTTGCAGCACATACATGTGAGACAATTATTGCCAAAGCAAGAACTCTGAAGTTAAATACATATTTTTGTTTTGTTTTGTTTGCTGCTAACTCAGAAGACAGAGCTGTTTTCATTAATCTAACAATGTTAAAGTAATCTTATTTACCAAAGAGCACACAAGTCATGTAAACTTGAAAAACATTTGGGTTAGTTTCTATAGTTCTAGCAATTTTAGGAGTATTTGGTTTATATGAGTACTGATTTATCGCTATGCCCAACTTTAAAATAACTTTTTAAAAGGAGTTTTATACCATGTAAACATAGATGTACACATGGATAAACATATGTGAACATATAGACAGACACAAATAAATCTTATAGCTTTCATTTAAAAATTTTAACGATAAGACAGGTACAATAATATAAAGCTCACTAGTTTATAAAAGGGCAGTTGGATCCAAATTATGTTTTTGCACATGGGATAAGTTAAGGTTACCTGCTTAGATGGCCAATTTTTTTTTACCCATATCTGTGGAGAATACATTAAAAATTGCCATTTGCCCTTGCTAAGTAATCTTATGGGGGATGTGGACTAAATTTGGGGTATAGGACTTTTTATAGCAGTTGATATTTAAAATAAAGAGCCTTTTTCCCCCTTTCTTCTTTTTTTTAGTCTCATATGGGTGTAGACATTGTTTTAGTTAACTCCTTAGATATTTACATTTCAGAGACGTAGTAAGATTTACAATTCCAAGGGACTGGAAGAAAATGTAGGTTTTCTCTAAGAAGGAGTTTTGGATGAGTATTTGCTTATTAGAGATCTAGGGTAACTTTTAAAGCTTTTTTTCTCTTTAAGTGTAGGACAGTCTACGGAATTTTTTTTTTTTTTTTTTTTGCTGTGGGGGTCCAAAATTTGGGACGTCCTGGAGCTGATGAAGTTTTACTACAGAGCCCCACGGAAGTAAGAGGAGTTGTAAGGTAGAGCAGAGCCTGCCAGGCTGCAAGTCCCCTGAATCCGTGTTCGACTGATTTCCTGGCTGTCAACTTTTACACAAGTAACCTGTATGCCTGGAGATCAGGCAAGAGTGCTTTTTGTAAATCTTGCAGGGAAGTTAAAGCGAGCAGTTGAACGTTTAAAGGATTTTCTGGGAAAGTTGGAGGAGTTTTAGGTGTTAAAGGAATCTGTTGAGGGGATGGGACCAGATTTTGAGGAGAGGGTTAAGTTTAAGCTAGGGGTCCAGATATCCAGAAGACCTTCTGGAGGGCCAGGGACAGGGAATTGGAGATAAAGGGAGGTTAGAAGTAGGTGGAGAAGGAGGAATTATAGTGGATGTGTAATTTGGCTTTTGTTCTAATTTCTATTCTTTACATCTTTTTTAAGGAAACCCCTAAAAGCTAGCAGTTACACTCTTCTGTGTCCTCTTTTCAATTAGATCTTACCATAGGTACCATTAAGATAGTTGTTTGGGATGAGAGCTCTCTAAAAAAATTTCTTTTTAAAATATAAAAGTTGAAATAAGATTCTATTCACTGTTCTTACTCTTTAGTCCTTCCATTAAGGTGGACAGAGCTCTCATTTCCCTCTTGTGTTTTATCTCACAGGCTTTTGAGAAATGAAATATATTGCTCCTTGGTAGATTGCATTTTTCTCCTCAGACATCCATAATTAATATTATCTAAGGGGAAATTGCTTTTTAGAGGCTTAACTGGTAATTTACAAACTTTATAAACTTGGAATAAAAAATATAATGAATTGGTAAATTTTGTTTTCAAAAGAAATCGATTTTAATTTTAAAAGTGATTTATTAACAAAGTAGAAACATTTAAAATACAGAAAGAAATGCAGAAATAATGGTGATGGTGTTTCAGAAATGGTGATTGAGAAAGCATACTTTAAGTAGTGAATTGCCTTTTAAAGGAATTAATAGCAAAAATATCTCTTACTTGTCATTGTTTTCACCATTTCCGGTACTCTCTATTTCATTGTGTAGATCCAAATTTCTACTGAGATTATATTCCTTTTGCCCAAAGATCTTTCTTTAACATTTCTTACAGTTCACATTTGCTGGTAATAAATTCTCTTGGCTTTTACTCCCTAAAATAGACATTGTTTTGCCTTCATTTTTGAAAGATATTTAATTTATATATAGTACTCTAAGTTAATAGTTTTTTTTCTTTCCATACTTTAAGGCAGCAGTCCGCAACCTTTTTGGCACCAGGGATCAGTTTCGTGGAAGATAATTTTTCCACAGGCTGGGGACAGTGGGAGAATAGTTTTGGGATGAAATTGTTCTACCTCAGATCATCAGGCATTAGATTCTCATAAGAAGTGTGCATCCTAGATCCCTCCCATGCGCAGTTCACAATAGGGTTCATGCTCCTTTGAGAATCTAATGCTGCTGCTGATCTGATAGGAAGCAGAGCTCAGGCAGTAATGATGGTTCACTCTGCTGCTCACCTCCTGCTGTGTGGCCTGGTTCCTAACTGGACATGGACAGGTACCAGTCTGTGGTCTGGGGGTTGGGGACCCCTGCTCTAAGGTGTCACTTTATTAACTTTTGGCTTGCATAGTTTCTGCCAAAAAATTGGTTATAAATCCTATATAATGACTTTGATCTTCTGTTGTATCTGATTTCCTTCCCCCACAAGCTTAATTAAAATTTTTCTCTTTCAATCTTTGGTTTTCGGAAATTTGACTATGACGTATCTAAGTATGTGGGGTTTCATTTTTGTTTTTGTATTTATTCTTCATGGGTTCTCTGAACATTGTTGATTTGTGTTTTGTTGTTTTTTTTTTTTTTGTAACTTTTGGAAAATTCTTAGCCATAACATATTTAAATATTCTTCTCTGTTCTTTCTTTTATCCTTTTGGAACTCTAATTACATGTGTGATAGATCCTTTGATATTGTCCTGCAGCTCTCGAATGCTAGATTTGTTTTTCCTCACTCTTTTTTCCCTTTGTATTTTCTTTTGATACATCTTTTGTAGTAGATTCTGCTTTAATCTATTAATTAGAGTTATTTAAAAATCCCTATTGCATCATTCTGACATCTGAATCAAGCTTAGCTTCATTGATTGCCTTATTTCCTGACAATGGGATTTTATTTTATTTTATTTGTTTATTGAATGCCATACATTGTGTATAAAATGACAGTGGAAACTGAGGTAAGTAGTATTATGCCTACATGCCTCTTCCATTCCATCAGGTCAGTAGTGAGGAGAGTTGAGTCAATCTAGTTGAGTGAGGTTTTGTTGTTGCAAGAGTCACCTTCAGTGCACTGCACTACAAACTTCAGATTCCTTCAGTGATAGTACGCTATTACCTTATGCTTTGTGTGAGCCCTGGAGTGCTGAATTGGTCCTCATTGTTTCTTTACCACTCTCAGATTTCAGCAGTCCCTGCATGCCTGTGCCACAATGGGGTATTTCTCCATGCCCCTCCCGCTCCCCTAGAATCAGGCTGTTGATGTTTGTTGCTCAGTGATAAATGGAGCTTATCACTTGTTTACTATAAGTGGGGCTGTGGAGGGAAATAGGGCAGTTTTGTTCTCATGCCTATCTCAGTCTTAGGCAGGCTCTGTGCACTCAAGCCTCAGAAATGACGGTTTCTTAGAATTCATGTCCTCCCTCTGCCCCTCACAATTAAACTCTGTCCTTTACTGGTACAGATTCTTGGGTGGGAGACAGTTTCCTGCCCTTCCTCAGCAGTAACAGACTTCTAATTTGTAATTTTGCAGAATCTCGGGCCTAGGAGAGTTTCCACCCTTTCCACCAAGTACCATCGGCTGTATGTGCAACCCATCTCGGGCTTCAGAAGCAGTGGGTCTTTGCCTAGGTCCTTGGGTCAGGTCCCTTCTTCCGTTTAAGGCTTTCGATTTGAATAAGAGAAGATTCCAGGAAGTGCATGGTTTTTCATACCTGTGTGCAACTTAAGGGGACTGACTCTCTTTGGTCTCTTACCTTACCCATTATCTTCCTTATGAGGTCTATGGAAATGACCTTGTGCATAAGGGCAAACTGCTCTTGTGTTTGAAGCTTCCAGTTATTACACTCTGTCATGCTAACTTATACTCATCTTTCTGAATTTTTAAAATTTTAGCTATTTCTTCTTACTTTTACAGGGACTATCGCATCCTCCCATTCTCTGTCAAATGTAAAACTATTCACATATCCCAGTTTTCCCTGGACGGACTTGGCATTTAAAAAAAATTCAGTTCTCCTGGTTACCTTACAACTTCAGCTCTCTGATGAGCTCAAGCAAAGTTATAATTTCACAGATTATCCAGATTTCTCTTGTTGTTAGGCTGGGAACTATATTCTCTTGCAATTGTCTGCATCATAAGTGGAAGCAGAACCTGTGGTGGTGGGTAAATAGATCCTATTCACTGTTCTTCTTACCCTTTAGTTCTTCTATCAATGTGTGGACAGAGCTCTCATTTCCCTCTTGTGTTTTACGTCACAGGCTTTTGGGAAATTAAATATATTGCTCCTTGGTAGATTGTACTTTTCTCATCAGGCATCCATAGTCAATATTTATCTAAGGGGAAATTGTATTTTAGAGGCTTAACTGGTAATTTACAAACTTTATAAACTTGTAATAAAAATATATGAGTTGGTAAATTTTCTTTTTACAAGAAATCACTTTTCATTCTAAAAGTAATTTATTAACAAAGTAGAAAAATTTTAAGTGCAGAAAGATAGAAATAAAGAAATACAGTGACATCAGCAAGATGGCAAAATAGAAAGTCCCCAGGCCTCACCCTTCTACTGAAACACCTGTTTAGCAACCATCTATATACAAAATAGACCTTTATGAGAGCTCTGGTTTTCAGGTAAGAGGTTGCAGAACCCTGGTGGAGCTCAAGACCTAGAAAAACTTCACTGAGAATGCAGGCTCATGCTTTCTGGCAGCAGAACCACCAGCCATGGGCCTGGAAGCAGCCTTGCTCACTTGAACACCTAGTGACAGCACTGCCTGTTCACTGCTCATAAGGAACTCTGCCCATATACAGACCCTACAGGAAGCTGGCTTCCCATGTCCCCAATGGCATGACCACTTCCACAGAGCAGGGGACTTGGTGACAGACCCACCCACTTTCCCACAGACCCAGGGGCAGCCCTGCTCATCTGCCCGTGGACCCATCAGCAAACTTGACTGCTCATGGAAACCAAATGCAGCCCTACTCTCATGCAGATCTCAACAGAATCTCTGTCTGTGGCGCAGCAGCCCAGTCCTCTAGTGGACCTTGGAAGCAGGCCCACCTGCCCACATACCCAGCAGCAGGCCAGCCCACCCACAGACTCTGGCAACAGGCCCACCCACGGACCATGGCAGCAGATCCACCCTTGGACCCCACCCAGCTTAAGTCTGCCCGCAGGCACTGCCTGCTTACTCTGGCAGCTGATCCACCCATAATCTCTGACCAGCATGACTGATGAAGGTCTTTGCCTGCTGAAAGCAGTCAGTAAGAACTGGAAGAGGTGACTACTTCTCAAATACACAGACACCACTCTAAGGCTACAAGGATCACAAAGAATCAGGAATTCTCGATACTACCTTATTAGGAGCTGAAAAAGACTCCAGTAACTTACCCTAAATAAATTGATATCCATAATCTGCTTGACAAAGAACTCAAAATAATTGTCTTAAATGAGCTGCAAGAGAACAGACAGCTAAACACAATTAGGAGTATAACATGTCAACAAAATCAGAAGTTCAACAAACATATAGAAATAATAAAAAAGAGCCAAAGTGAAATCCTAGAACTGAAGAATACAATGACTGAACTAAAAAACTTAATACAGAACTTCAGTAGCATACTTGGTCAAGCAGAAGAAAGAATCATTGTACTTAAAGACAAGTCATTTGAAATTATCCAGTCGGAAGAACAGAAAAAACAGAAAGGTTGAAAAGTGAAGAAAGCCTAAGATCTTATGGGACACCATAGAGTGAACCAATATATGCATTCTGGGAGACTCAGAAGGAGACTAAAGAAAGAAAAAGAGGAAGAAAGCTTATTAAGGGAATAATTGCTAAAAACTTTCCAAATCTAGGAAGAGAAATGAACATCCAAATTCATGAAGTCTCAATGTACCCAAGTACATTGAACCCAAAGAGGTTAACACTGAGTCACCTTAAAATTGAATTTGATGGACTGGATTAAGAAAATGTGGCACATATACACCATGGAATACTATGCAGCCATACAAAATGATGAGTTCATGTCCTTTGTAGGGACATGGATGAAGCTGGAAACCATCATTCTCAGCAACCTATCAGAAGGACAAAAAACCAAACACCGCATGTTCTCACTCATTGGTGGGAATTGAACAATGAGAACACATGAACACAGGAAGGGGAACATCACACACCAGGGCCTGTTGTGGGGTGGGGAGAGGGGGGAGGGATAGCATTAAGAGATATACCTAATGTAAATGACGAGTTAATGGGTGCAGCACACGAACATGGCACATGTATACATACGTAACAAACCTGCACGTTGTGCACATGTACCCTAGAACTTAAAGTATAATAAAAATATAAATAAATAAATAAATAAATAAAATAAATAAAAATAAATAAATGTAAAAAAGAAAAAAATTGAATTCTCAAAAGTCAAGTAGAGAATTTTGAAAGCAACAAGAAAAAAGTGACTTATCACAAACAAGGGAACCATTATAAGGCTACTAGTGGACTTCTCAGCAGAAACCTTGCAGGTGAGGAGAGAGTAGGATGATATATTCAAAGTATTGAAATTTAAAAAACCTGCCAATCAAGAGTACTATATCTAGGTCAAAGAATAAATCAAAAAAGGAAATTAGAAAATATCTCAAGACAAATGAAAATGAAAGCACAACATATTAAAACTTATGAGAGGCAGCAAAAGCAATACTAAAAGGAAGTTTATAGTGGTAAATGGCTACATTTAAGAAGAAGAAAGATCTCAAATAATTAATTTTACATCTCAAGTAACTACAAAAGAAGAAAAAACTAAGCCCAAAATTAGCAGGAGGGAAGAAATAATATAGATTAGGGGATAAATAAATATAAGACAGGATATGAAAACAGAAAAACAAAAAATTGATGAAGCTAAGAGTTTGTTGACGAATCCTTAGTTAGACTAATGAAAAGGAAAGAAGTTGCAAATAAATAAAATTAGAAATGAAGGATGAGACTTTGCACCTGATGTTACAGAAATAAAAAGGAATTATTATGAACAATTATACACCAACAAATTGGACAATCTAGAATAAATGGATAAATGCTTAGAACCATATAATCAACAAGATTGAATCAAGGATAAATAGGAAGCCTGTACAGACCAATGACAAATAAGTAGATTCAAGCAATAATTGAAAACAAACAAACAAAATGAAACAAAACAAAACTCTCAGCAAAGAAAAGCCCAGGAACAGATAGTTTCATGGATGAATCCTTCCAAACATTCAAAGAAAAATTAATACCAATACTTCTTAAAGTCTTCCAAAAAACAGGAAAAGAGGAGAGACTTACAAATTCTTCCTGAGGCAAGCACCACCCTGATACCAAATCCAGACAGAGACACTACAAGAAGAGAACTATAGGTCAACATCCCTGATGAACGTAGATGCAAAACTATTCAACAAAATAGTAGTAAATCAAACTCAGCAGCACTTTAAAAGGATCAGACACCATGACCAAGAAGGGTTTTTTTCCTTGGGATACAAGGATGGTTCAACATATGCAAATCAATAAATGAAGATAAAAATCACATGAACATCTCAATAGATGGAGAAAAAAAATGGACAAAAGTCAGCACTGTTTCACGATTTAAAATTCTCAACAAATTAAAAATAGAAAGAACTTACAGCTCAACAAGTTAGGAATGGAAGGAACATGACTGTCAATGAATTAGGAATAGAAGGAACTAACATCAACACAATAGAAGTCATTCATGAAAATCTCATGGCTAACATCATATTCAATAGTAAAAAAAGTTTTTTTTCTAAGATCTGGAATAAGGCAAAAATGCCCATTCTTACCTCTCACATTCAACGTGGTATTTCTAGCAAGAGCAATTAGTCAAGAAAAAGAAATAAAAGCTATCAAATTGGAAAGGAAGAAGTAAAATTGCCTTAGTTTCCAGATGACATGATCTCATATGCAGAAAACCCTAAAGACTCTACCAAAAAACTTTTAGAAATAATAAATTCAGTATAGTTGCAGGATACTAAATCAACCTGCAAAAATCATTTTCATTTCTGTGCACTAACAACCTATCTAAAAAGAAAACTAAGAAGAAAAGTACCATTCACAATAGCACCAAAAAGAATAAAATACCTAGGAATAAGTTTAACTAAGAGGGTGAAAGATTTGCACATTGAAAACTATAAAACGTTGATAAAAGAAATTAAAGAGGATATAAATAAAAGGAAGGTGTGAAAGGAAAATAAAAACTTGGGACCCCAATTCACTCTGCCAAAATGAAAAAATTAAGCTGAAAGCTGAGTGATGCAAGAAGCTGCCCTCCCTTTTGTTCCTAAGCAGACAGCTACAGATAAAAGGCTAAATATCTCCACAGGCAGCTGCTCTATGTTCACCTTATATTAAGTGCCGATTTGCTGAGCACAAGATGAATACTTAATTGACTATTCTGCTACCTGCTCATTTTCTCCTGCAACATGTGGATGACCATACCATACCCTCCCTCTTTCCCCTCCAGCCCACTAGCCCAATATTTCCCCTTTAAATATTGAAGCCCTTAAATTCATCTTTGGAGAAAGGCACCGATGAATATTGAAACCCTTAAATTCATCTTTGGAGGAAGGCACAGACCACAGACTGTTTCTGTGACTCTGTGTTTTTTTCTTCCAGGCATGTCCTTAACCTTAGCAAAATAAACTTCTAAATTGATTGAGACCTGTCTCAGAATAAGTTTTGGTTTACAAAGTATACCTTGTGTTCATGGAGCTGAAGAATCAATATTGTTAAACTGTTCATACTACTTACTCTTCAATAAATGATATTGGGAAAACTGGATATCCACATGCATGAGAATGAAGTTGGACCCTTATTTTATACCATACAAAAACCCAACTTAAAATGGATTAAAGACTTAAATGTAAAACCTGAAACAATAGAACTCTTAAAAGAAAACAGGGGAAAAAAGCTTCTACACATTGGACTTGGATATGGCACAGAAAGCACAAGCAACAAAAGCAAAAATAGACAAATGGGAATATATCAAACTAAAATGCTTCTACACAGCAAAGGAAACAATCAACAGAGTGAAAGTCAATATGCAGAATGGGAGAAAATATTTGCAAACCATATATCTGGTAAGGGATTAATATCCAACATGTATAAGGAACTTCTACAATTCAGTGGCAAAACAAAGAAACACACAAAAAACCAAATAGCCTGATAAAAAAATTAAGTAAAGGACCTAAATAGACATTTCACCAAAGAAGACATACAAATGACCAACAGGTATAGGAGAAAGTGTTTAATGTCACAATTCATCAGGGAAATGCAAATCAAAACCACAGTGAGATATCACTTCACACTTATTAGAATGCTATTGTCCAACAACAAAAGATAAAAAGTGTTGGTGCAGATGTGGAGAAAAGGGAACCCTTGTTCACTGTTGGTGGCAATGCGGTCACTGTGGAAAACAGTATGGAGGTTCCTCAAAAAATTAAAATATAATTACCATTTGATTCAACAGTCTCCCTTTTGGATGTATATCTTAAGGAATTAAAGTCAACATCCTGAGGAGATGTCTGCACTCCTATATTCATAGCAGCATTATTCACAATTGCCAGAAGGTATAAGCCACCCAAGCATCCATTGACAGATGCATGGATAAAGAAAATGTGGACACACAATGGATATTATTCAGCCTTAAAAATAAGGAAATCCTGCCATTTGCTGCAACATGGATGGACCTGGAGGACGTTATGCTAAGTGAAATAAGCCAGGCACAGAAGCACAAATACTGCATGATCCCACCTCTATGAGGAATCTAAAACCGTCAAACTCATAGATCCAAAGAATAGAATAGTGGTTAACAGGGGCTGCAGAGAGGGGAAAATGAGGAGATATTGGTCAAAAGGTACAAAATTTCAGTTACACAATACATATATGCCCGGAGATCTACTGTATAATATAGAGCCTATAGTTAATGATACTGTATTGTATACTTAAAAATCTGCTAACAGGGTAGATCTCACATTAATTGCTCTTAACACAAGAGAAAATAATTTTTTAATTAAACAAAACAAGGGTGAGAGCAAAAGGAAACTTGGAGGTACTGGATAACTTTATGGAGTGATTGGTGATGTTCTCATGGGTGTATACTTATCTGCAAACTCATCAAGTTGTATATGTTCAACACGTACAGCTCTTTGTATGCCAACATACCTCAGTAAACTGGCTTAAAAATAAAGAAATAAAAACCACCCATAAGCCCATCATCCAAAGAAACCATTACTAATATTTTATTGGATTTCTTCTAGTCGTTTTTCAGTAAGTGTGTGTATGTTGGTTTGCATACCCAAGTATACATGCCCAAATATATGATCTGTGTGTTTTGTTTAAATAAGCTAGTTCCAAAAAGGTGTGTTTTCTTATGGGTTGAGTGCTATGGCACTTATGAAATGATGATGTGTTATTCATGTTTGGTAAAGGTGCCAAAATGTGTGGCATATTTTTAGTTTGCTGTTGGGGCTGGATTCTTTCTCTTGGCTAGCTATTTCACATGAACAGCCAAGACAGGTGTGTGAATGTGATTCCAATGGAATGCACGTCATTCCAGAAAAGCTCAGTTGTTGATTCTTTGTACTGAAGCCTCCCCTTCCCCGTGCAACCTCCATCCCTTTGTTTTCGTCACAAGAGGAATGAATATCTATGTTGACCCACCCTTAGGCATAGAACAAACAGAAATAAGGAAAGTATATGATGTTCTTAATATGTGTTTCATTTTCTTTTCTTTCTTTTCCAGAAAGTATTTTGGAGAAAAAATTGGACTGTATTTTGCCTGGCTGGGATTATATACATCATTCCTCATCCCATCTTCTGTAATTGGAGTGATTGTGTTTCTTTATGGATGTGCAACAATTGAAGAAGATATTCCCAGGTAAATCAGTTTTAAAGAAAAGGGCTCAGTTGCCATATGTTAATAATTTGGAGTTTCATCCCAGTACAAGTACATTTCACATGCCTCTTTCCAAAGCCCTCACCCTCTATCATTCTCCTTCGCTATGACACATGTAGCTTTCCTCCAGAGACAGATCTAGGAGCTACAGATTCTGGGAATGGCTTCAGAGCCATGCTAGGCGAGGCCTACTTCCTCTTCTAGTCAAGCTCTTCTCCAGGGCAGGGGGATGTGTCTGATGTGGGCAGGCAGATAATTCCTGGTAAGAAAAATCATGCCAGAGAAATACTTTTTTCCTCTCTCTCTCCACTTCATCACTTCTTTTACCTCTGGTTTCCCATAAGACCCAAGGCAAGGTGTGGGGAGTGACACTGAGTAGAAATCACATCTGTGTGGTCAGATGATGCTAGAATAAAGCAAGCTGAGAAAGCAAGCAGCTCTAATGCTGAGGAAGGCACAGCCTCTGTTTCAGGAAGTCAGAAACTGCAGGGAGGAATAGCCCCAAGGCGGGACTCTTGGAGCGCCAAGAGATAGAATCAAAGCTAGTTTTTATGAGGAAGAGAGAACCCACAAAGGAAATATGGGATGAGTATGGTGGCTCACACCTGTAATCCCAGTGCTTTGGGAGGCCAAGGAGGGAGTATTGTTGGAGCCCAGGAATTTGAGACCAGCCTGGGCAACACAGTGAGACCTCATCTCTAAAAAAAAAAAAAATTTAGCTGGGCTTGGTTTGGTGGCATGTACCTGTAGTCCCAGCTAATTGGGAGGCTGAGGCAGGAGAACTGCTTGAGCCCAGGAGCTTGAGCTTGCAGTGAGCTGTGATTGATTGTGCCACTGCACTCTAGCCTGGGCGAAAGAGCAAGACCCCTCTGAAAAAAAAAAAAAGGAAAAGGAAAGAAGCACTTAGACTGACAATGTTATATATTAGCCATGTGACTGGACAGTTTACTCCCTGAAGCTTAGTATTCTTGGCTGTAAAATGGTAATCGCGACGCCTAAGTCATAGTGTTGTAAGGATTAAAGGAGACTGTGTCTGGAACATAGCAGAAGATTAATAAATAATTGTTGAATAAATCAAAATATGTGGAAATAAAGTACAAGGAACAAAAGAGACACTTAGCTAATATTTAGAATTTAAACACTCTTGCCATCTTCAGAATTGTCTTTGCAAACTGAAGCATGGTTAGTATGTTTTAATATTCTTTTGGATGCAAGTGATAGAAATGCAGCTTGAACTAGATTAAGTGAAAAAGAAAATTTATTATAAGCATTCAAGGAGCACTGGAATAGGGACTCCATTTATCTCCTGCCTCTGACTCTTTCTAGCATTTGTTGGTTACACTACATATTTTCTCCATTTGGATTAAACATTGCTGCTAGTAGCTCATGGGTGTTACACCTTAGAGCTTTATACTCGATTGGTCTCAAGTGAAAAAGTACTATGACTCTGTTTGACTTAGGTGGAGGCCCCGGGCCAATTCATTGTGGCTAGGGGGCAGGATAGCTTTGTACCAACTTGATGTTCCCTCCATAGGCAGGTGGATGAGGACACTGGGCGGATCATTAGAGTTGGGGGTGGTAATGGGGAAAGTAGTGGCCATTCTGAAGAAAAAACCAGAAACTGTGCATTTTAGGAAGGGTATGCGTGCATCAGTGGGCAGAAACCTGCTTCCTGGCTCACCTGCTTCCTGCCTACTGGTGCATACTCTATAGAAATGGTCTCACAAATCAGATCACCTGGAGATGATGTTGTCAATATCTAGAATAAAACTAAATCAATGTCAATCTATGCAAATGGTTTGCAAATCAAATCAACTGAAGATTATATTGTCAATATCTAGAATAAAGCTAAATCACTTGATGTAAGAGACAAGAGTTTGGATTTTTTGGTATAAAACTCTAGTATCAATTGTCAAGTGTTTTGTTTTGTTTTTTTTTTTTTTTTTTGGAGGGTGAAGGGAAAAAGGAAGGGGGAGAGGGGAGGGAGGGAGGCCGAGGGCAAGTGCTCTTGATTGGGAGTTCTGGGTCCTTTATCACAGGAGATGGGTTATTAGGGCTGTGTTTTCCCCAGTGCATCTAGCATGAGGCATGAGGGAAGAGCTAATACTTATGAACTATCTACCTTGTGGGGGGCATAATGCTAGGTGATTGTTATAAACTAGTTTCTTTGATCCTGTAAGAGATCAATGTTATACACGCCGTAAACAGGCATTATTATTTCCACTGAACAGAGATTGAGAAACTTATGCTACATGAGGTCACATAAATTGTCCAATATCAACAACTAATAGTTGTCAGTGCTGGGAGTTGAACTCTGTTGCCTCCTGTTCCAAAGTCTTTGCTTTTTCTAATAAGCAGAGAAGTTTTCCGGAGGGCTCATATCCTCCTTCACAACTCAGTAGCTTCACGTGGGCTTGCCTGGGTGTGTTCTAAGAAAACATGGCTTTTGGGTTTCCCTTGCCAGTTGTGATCCCTAGACATCTGGCCTCAGGTTGACCAAGGGTGGAAAACCCCATACCGTGCCAGTGCAGTGGGTGGGGCACCAGTGGGCTGGTTTATATCAGGATTTAGAACTTGTGCCCCGGGTCCCCACATGGTAATACACGTGGCAGCAACCACTACAGCTGGAAAGGACGTGGTCTGCACATGCTGCAACGATAGACGTCTATGCACAGATGCACACAGCCCACGTTCACACACACTCATGCACGCGCACACAGATGTCTACACACAGACGCACACACCCACATTCACACACACTCATGCACGTGCAGATAGATGTCTGCACACAGATGCACGCAGCCACATTCACACACACTCATGCACGTGCACATAGATGTCTGCACACAGATGCACACAGCCACATTCACACACATTCTTGCATGTGCAGGGATATTCAAGTGTAAAATGCAGTCGTTACTGCGGATGTGTCACATTGCCTGTCAGAGTGGATGGTGTTCTACAACTGTGGATATGACAACAACCACTGGTGGGTTGTGGAATCAATTTAATGGGCTTTCAAGTGGACTAAAACAAGATGGGGTAAGATAAGCTAGAATGCAATAAATATTAGTATTCATTATAAGAAGGATGGGTAAGTGTTGCTTCATTAGATTTTGTTTCATTTTTATAAGTGTGTTTGTGAGAGTGAGGGTATGTATTTGCATACTGAAATCTGATGTAACAGATTGTTTTAACTGTAGGTCACAGTCAAAAACGTTTAAAATTACTACAAAATTGAGGTTTTGGATGTTGTTTTTTCAGACTCAGGATGGGGCCTGGCAAGTCAGGAAGGTGTAAATACTAGAAAAAAGTAAACATTTTAATAGATTTCTTTAAAAACAGAGGAACTGTTTTTTAAACATAATTGTAAATTCATCAGAAGTCCAACTTCTGTGGGTCTGATGGAAACTCAGAAAATGCCACTCCTTATAAACAAAGGGATATTCTCTAAAAACCAATATTGAATCTAAAGAAATGCATACTCTAAGGGTTTGTGTCTTTCAGCCACTCATAACTGTGATTAAAAACTTACAGTATTCCTGGGATTATTTTAGAGGTTGCTAATTTTGTCATCAAGCCTGAAATTCACTCTGTCTCACTTTTTAAAACCTTTTTATTTTGAAAAATTTTAGATTCACAGCGCAGGAACTTGCAAAGATAGTACAGAGGGGCCCAGCGTGCACTTCTTCTAGCTTCCTCCCGTGGTTTCGTCTTATGTAACTACGGCACAACATCAAAACCAGAAAACTGACATTGATGAGGTGGAGCTTTAAATGATACCTTTTATTCCCAGTAATTTAACTTTGATATGTGAGATATAAGCATAAGCCTGTAAGTAATACTTCCATGCGTGCATGATACCTCTATAGAACTTCCCTGTCTCTACTCACCAAGGGATTGATTTCATTTGTTAAGCACTTACATGAACAGAGAACACTAGGACATTTTTTAAAAAGCTGATTAATCTAAACCATATTGAAAAAAGATTGGTTACTTTAGGTCTGAGACCTTAATAGCAGCTGTTTAGTCTGAATTTCCTGAATGATTGCCTCTTTGTACCTTCTCCCGTTGTGCTAACAGGGCTCTGAATCACCTAATCCATGAGCAATGATTTACCCTGAAGAACATTGCTCACTTTAGGGTCTTGGTTCAATGGACTGTCAAGCCGTTTATCAAGCTTCTTAGGCTTTCTGGAGAAAATAATAAATCAAAGGAATACAGCATTGGATTTATAGCCACAGTTACTTCTCACTAGAAACCTGTGTATTGTACAGCTTAGTGAATACCCTAGACCTGATTTCCATTCTGGGCAGGCTTCCCTCATCTTTCAGCTTGTCTAGAGGCAGCCTCTCTCACAAAATACAAAGTCATTTCGATGTCATTCTTAGCCAGAATTCCTCTAGAATTCTGTTAAAATTGATTACATCAAAAACCCCCCAATACATATATAAAGCATTCTGACTTCACATTTAAATGATTTGAGGAGAATCCATACCATGGTGGCTGCCATCTTGTACAAATGATGGATAGTTGCCTGCACTCTAATTTAAAGACCAGCAATTTACACAGCACTTAGGTTTCAAAGTGCTTTGCACCCGCTTGGCTGCTAATACGTTTTTCATTCCTGACCTTTTAGCATTGA
Source organism: Homo sapiens (assembly GCF_000001405.40). Classification (NCBI taxonomy): domain Eukaryota; kingdom Metazoa; phylum Chordata; class Mammalia; order Primates; family Hominidae; genus Homo; species Homo sapiens. The sequence continues at coordinate 5,746,172 of NC_000012.12, read as the reverse complement.
CTAGTTCCAACTAGGATTCAGTTGACTAGGTTTCTGTCTCTCCTCAGTCCATGCTTAAAAGAAAAAACCGCTAAGTTAAATGAAGTCCCTAACACATATACTTGAAGAGCAGCATTGAGGAACTCATATGTTCTTGGACGTGACTTAAAAGCGAACGTCTTTTACTAGAATTTATACAGACAAGTGATTTTCTGTGTAAATCTGTTTTTTAAGGGGGTACTTTCCTCTCTGAAAATAGCAATTCCTTCTCAACTACATAGCAAACACAGGTCTGACCCAGAAGACATAAACTGGGCTCTCTAGTCACCCAGCAGAACATGCCCAGGTGAAACTAGCACAGCTGAATGTATTATTAAGATATGACTATTTAATATTTTCGACGTGGATGAGTCATTTTTATTGACCTTTGCCAGCGAGTCAGTGGAGGAACTGGGGTTTATCCTCAGGGACCGACAATTTCCATTCTCTCACACAGGAGGCCTTTCCTTCCTGTGGACTTAGTAGCTCATTAAAAACAGAAGCCTAGAAACTGGGGCTTGACAGCAAGTGGCAGCCCTCAGTAAATCTGCCACCCTTCAACTTCTTAATGAAGGGGGAAAGAGACCCAGGCATCCTTTGGCTTTGGAGGTTTCCTCTGAGCACTGGCTTTAGCACACAGGGCACCAGCTTGCTCTCCCTAGCAGTGGCTCCCACTTGTGAGCCATGCTCTCTAGCGCCCTCTGCTGCTTCTTTCTGTTGGAAACAGCTGTGGTTCTCAGTGCTGGATCCCCTGCCTCCCCATCATTGTCTCCAGCTGCCCTGTAAGAACAGCCAGTGCTTTGCTTTCGTGAAATCTTAAGTTCTCCACCCTTTCCCCCTGAACCATGAGCTTAACCATCCTCCCATCTCCCTGGGAGAATATTACACAACAGAGGGATGAGTTCATTCATTTTTCCTATCAGTGTATGGTATAGAGGGTTATTGGGAAAGTCAGTCAGGGCTGATTCTTTGGTTCTTATTTCCAAGCATTCATATGAGCCTAAATCTGTTGGATACAGCTAGTCAGCTAACGAATGAATGGAATTTCAAATATATTCCTCAGTCCATTAAATGGAAATACACTAAGAATAGGTTGGAATACAGGCCATTAGAGATTATTTGGTTCATGCTCCAAGTATCAAAGAATCTAGATCTTGGAAGAATTTGCCTTGCTCTTTCATTCTCCCTAATCTTATTTCATGGTTATAATAATTCTTATTAGGTTGAGGTTATTAATCTCCATTCTACAAGTGGCTCTCCAGCTCATGCTCTTAGAAAAGGGCTTTCCACCCAGATCTACTCCGTTCTTCCCCATGTAGAACTTCTCCTTCTGGAGGTGAGAGCATGCACAGGTCTAGCCACACACTCGTGTTTGTTTCTACTTGGGACCAGTATCACCTGTTTGTGAGACAGCCAGTAGGCTTTACAAAAACAGCCTAGACTGAAGAATGGATGATGAAATCCAGCTTCAGGCTGTGATTTATTCACAACTGTGGATGCATCCCATTCCACCAACCTCATGGACCCCAGATGTTCTGAAGGGACTTTATGAGGCATCATTTAATGCTCAATGTCTCTGACAGATCTCACTAACTTTCCAGGGCACTTGTAGTGACAGGGAGCTCCATATCCCATCTTTTCATTGTTGTTTTTGAACAAAGTATGAGTAACACTCTCCAGGTGAAGAATACAATGCTAACTTCTTTAACATTCCTTACTTATGGAGTTGAAAAACTCAACCATAGATTTGGAAATGGGAGCTATTTGGGGGATGTATTTTTCTTGGAGTGGACCATGCTTGAGCTCCACCTGACCCAACAACCTCCATCTATTGCAGCAGAGAGATGTGTGACCAGCAGAATGCCTTCACCATGTGTCCCCTGTGTGACAAGTCCTGTGATTACTGGAACCTCAGCTCAGCCTGTGGGACCGCGCAGGCCAGCCACCTGTTTGACAACCCTGCCACCGTCTTCTTCTCTATCTTCATGGCTCTGTGGGGTATGTGGCCATCACCAGGCTTGCTTATATGGGTGGTTCCTTTACATGGGCACAGTGACCAAGCTGTAAAGCTCATCCCCTTCAGGTTACTTACTTTCGCATTTTTTCTTCCCATCACAAGAAGTATTTTAAGGATGACACTTTTCTTTTCTTTACTCATATGTGTGAATAGAAACAGGAATATCCTTCATGTCTTTATCTGTTTTCTCTCAGATGTAGTCATGCTAACCATGTACTAGCCCCATGTGTGATTTATTCAGAATTTGAACCAATGCCTGTTTTGAAAACTCCTAGCACACCTGTAAGACTCCTGCAGGTGCACTGACTTAGGTAAGATTGTAGATATCGTGCAGCACAATACTTAGAATGGTGGAGTGACTGCCGTGGTCACAGAGTTAGCTCATGGGAAAGGTGGGCTGAGATTTGGTCTCCTGACTCCTGTTCAGTGCGATTGTTAGGGCATCATGAGTGTAGACTGTACTGTCCCTGCACTGTTTAATTTAATATTTAATGCCAGGGTAATGCTTTCAGTATTCCCACCAAAGGGATTAGTGGAGGAAAAAATAATTCCTTCATTTTTCTCCTCCTCCCTTCCTCCCAGAGTATGGGGTAATAAACTTGTTCTGAGCCATAGGTAGCTGACTGTAAACACACACAGATACACACACACACACACACACACACGCCTATTCTCACAAACTGGAATAACGCGGGATAACCACCCCATGGTAACTGAGCATTTCTAAGAAGACACACCCATGAGTATTAGAAAAGGGACCAAGTCAACCTGTGTCAGCCCATCTGAGTAGCCACCTGCTCCTTTACTCATCACCGAATGTGCAGGCCCTTGGTTTGCACATTGGATCACAGACCAGCAGGACCACAGTCCTGCTGCAGAGGCTGTTTGATTTATCACTGACTCCATGGCGCCCAGAGGATATGCCAGGATGGGCCCTGAGTCACACGTCCCTGAGCGTATGAGGAGAAGGAGGAGAGGGAGAGGCCTGTTCTCGGTGGTTCTTAGGAGAACTAGAACACAACCTTCCTCCATTCCCTGTGGGGACCTTCACTTGGGTGGAGACAGAACTTGATTGGAAAGATTCCCATATTGCTAGGCCACCAATAAAAATTTCCAGGGCACACTCTATTCTCTATTATCAGGGAGAGCAGCTGCGTCCCGGGAGCACACGGGCAGTGTTCAGCCCATCGAGAGCTGGAGCAGGGAGCAGGAGGAAATGGAATTGTGACCATAGACTCCTGGGACTGTTCACAGGCAGGGTTGGTAGAACACACTGAAGTTGGGGCTTGTTGCCTGGGAAGTCACTGGCAGCTCTGTGTCTCCTTATCAAACAGGAGCATTGTGGAATTACCCCAAGATCCACCTGAACTGATTTGGAACCCAGAATACGTATTCATTTTTTGCTATATTACAACTCTAATGCCCATAATTTGTCTTGCAGATATTACCACCATTGAGTTGCTGAAGCCTAATAACTCCAGGTCTATAATCCTTCAAGAACTTTCTTGGGACACATAATCCCCTGTTGTAGAGAAACTTGGTTTTCAATTGTACTTCCTAGTTTCAAGTTTCAACAACTGCCTCTTCTCTTCCTTTGATAGCTGTAATGAACAGCTACCTCCCACCCCTTCCGAGATCCTCAGTCATTTCCTACCCTACCCCTGGACCCACTGTCTTCCTTTCACATCACAGTGCAGGGAAAGTACTCAGGGGTGAGATTGCGCCAGAGCTTCCTGGCATAGGGTAGGATTTGGTTTTGTTTTTTGACAGTCTTGCTGTGCTTTATGTGATTGTGTATTCAGTTACAGCAGCCAAGAGCCTTTAGGCCAGATTGTCTACAAATTACAATTAAAAATAATAGTAATGCCTCTCATTACCATGATTATTATGATTAGTGGTGCTGTGCTGGGTGGGCCTGGTTCAGGGCCCAGGTCTGCTGGGAATAAGGCTGGGAAGAAATGGCTGTACATAGAGAGAGACTTGGGCTGCTGGTGGCAGCGGAAGGGGCGGTGTGGAGTCAGGAGGTCTTGGGGGATACTAGTCAGCAGGACCCAAGTCTGTTGGCTCACCTGTAGGTCGGACTTCAAACTCCAGGGTATGTTGGGAAAGAGAGTGAAGTCCTACTGAAAAGGGAAGGAAAGAGACAGGGTTTCAGAACTCTTTTCCGAATAGAGGTTAAGGACACTGACCTAGGCAGACCTAATGTGTGTCTCAGTTCTGCTCCTTACCAGCTAGGGATCCCATGGCAGGTAAATGTGAACCTAACTCTGTGTCACTAAAGTCAATACTCTTGACCAAGGTGCCCTGTTACCTTGGGCAGATTACTTAATCTTTGAGCATCGTTGTCCTCATCTGTAAATTGAGCGAAATAATACCTACCCCACAGTGCTCTTGTGACATGTGATTGAGTGTGCATGCAGAGCATGTAGCATAGTGCCTGGCACAGATGAGCACCCAGAACTGGGAGCTGCTCTCCATCAGTATGGTGGTCCTCCCTTGCCCTCACGACTCATCTATCCATGACTCTTTTGCCCCTCTCATCATTCCTTCAGTCTGACTTCCTCCCTTCATGGAGACACCAGTCGGTCAGCACTCTGGGCACTGTTGTGTGCACAGCCCTCCTCGGGAACCAAGGAAGGAGCGGTAGGAAGAGGAGGGACTTACTACCATTCTTAGTATCCCCAGACCAAAGCCAGTGTTAGGAGGGAATACACCCACTCGAGAAAGGCCTCAAATCCAAGGGAGAAAAACATGCAAATCAGTGTATGCAAAATGTCATGTCAGATGAAAACATGCACATCAGTGCACCATAATGTAGCTGCAAGTAAAACAAATGCAGCTTTAAGTAACTGTGTATTCAACCAGTGCATAGGTGTTTGATATTCTCAGTTCTGTGCTGTGACCGAGGTAGACATAGGCAGCTAAGAGCCAGGAAAAGTTTACAGTCCTGTTATTACATCACAAACATGAAGTGTCGGCCAATAGTCAGGCATGGCATGTAGTGAAGTGTGCTCAGGCTCCTGCTAGAGGTGGGGTGGATCTGTAGGGATGGCCTCAGGGAATGTCATGTCCCTCCCTTTCCAGGGTGCCATGAACATAGGGCAGTAGGAGTGAGGAGGACAGGGTGCCATGGGGACTGATGTTATGGAAGAGGGGGACTTGAGCTGGGTCAGGATAGGATGAGGGTAGAAGCTGGAGGATAGCACAGGAGAGAGGGACAACGTGCGCAAGTCGAGTATGGAGATGACGGTGAGGGGATGACCCAGCTGTAATGTGGGCATGGGATATATGTTGTCAAATGGCAGGATGAGCGATTCAGATAGATAGTTCGGGCTCGACATACATAGTCCTGGAATCCAGAGAGAAGAACTTAGACTGTAAGGAGCCATTGAACATGTAGGCAGGTAGTGTTGGCACCCTTCCTCTGCCCACTCCTTCAATGCCCAAATGCCATTGTCCTTCAAAAATCAGCTCGGATGCCTCCTCTGGCAGGTAGCACTTCTCTTCGCAGGCCCACAGCTTTTTCATCTGTGTCATTCTTAAGGCCCTGATCACTTTATGTCTTGTATTGTAGTTGTTTACAATCCCTTCTCACAGATTGTAAACAACTTGAGAAGAAAAATCCACATGAAGTTCACCCAATCTCCCTGACAATGCCTAGAATGGTGTTTTGTACATTGCAGATACCTTAGTTGGGACTGGTGCTTTTGCAGGATTAGAAATTCACTCCAACTTACTCAAATAACAAGAGATTTATTTTAAGAAAGCAAGAGACAAGCTCCTGGGTGTAGGAAATGAAATATAACCAGGCCTCTTGGGAACTGGAGCTAGAGATGCTGTGGGAAACGAAGGCCTTCCCTCCTTTCAGGTGCTGCGTGGTCTCTCCCATCCCTGCTCCTCTTTGTGTCTTTTAGTTTCAGTTTTCAAAGGAGGGAATCTGAGTGCTCTATCAGCAGGCCCTGCATCAGATGTTCAGCCCTGGTATAACAAACCATGGCTGTAGGGTTGTGCTCGTGGGGGTATCAGGTTCTTCCTAGAGCATGCTGAGAAAGGCGTGCTGGTCCTTCAAAGGGCCGTGGGTGGGGCAGGCAAACTGATGGATGTGTAGGTGTGGCAGGCATTCTACAACTATTTGCTAAGCAAATGGAAGAATGAATGCATACTACTTTACAGAGATTATTCTATCAGCTACATGCAGGATGGGTTGGAAGGCTGAAAGTCTGGAGTCAGGTAGAACTGTTAGGAGACTGTTATGTAACCTCAGAATGAGATGATTAGGGCCCAAATGAGGCAAGTGGCGCTGGGGACAGAAAGAAAGAAATGTAGGGAAAAAGTGACAGTGCTGATGAAGGTGAAGGAGGAAAGAATGTATGCGTAGGCAAGATGAGGCTTGTCAAAAAATCCTGCAGACCCCTCCCTTTTTATTTTCTTCATCCCGCCATCCTTACTTTACTTCTCCAGATCAGTGTTTACCCTCCTCTCATAACTTAGAAGTGGAGAAAGGAGCGTGTGTGTGTGTGTGTGTGTGTGTGTGTGTGTGTAACATATCTATTGGCTCTCAAGGATGTGGAGTATTTCTAGCAGTTTCACCTAGAAGTGGGAAAAAGAGGCTAAATGCATTAAAGAGAGCTCCTAAATTTAAAATAGCTTATCCCCCACCTCCACTGGTGAGCCCAAAGGGTACAGAATCCACTCTTCAAAAATAATCAAGGTTTTTGTTCTTGTTGTTCTTTTTAAGCTACCATGTTCCTGGAAAACTGGAAGAGGCTACAGATGCGACTGGGCTACTTTTGGGACCTGACTGGCATAGAAGAGGAAGAAGTGAGTTCTCTCACGTATTTCTCACATACTTCTGTGGGCTTTTGCTTTGTTTTGACCCTGGAAATGGACTCTCTTGAGTGAGATAACCATGTATGTTTGCTGTCACTGGCTGGATCTCACAGTGGCTGCCTGTGTAGCTTGGCTCCATGGACTTGGGCCATGGTTGACCTACTCTGAGGCCAAGAGTTCAAGTACCCCCTCTTCCCTTGAGCTGGAGGGCATTGAGCCTGGTGTTTGGGCAGATGTCCCAGTGCCCTCCTCTGGGGAAAGAGGTGGCAGAAGATGCAAGAACAAGAGGCAAGACGTAATCTTGAGATCATAAAGCCAGAGAGTCAGGGATATGTCAGAATGCCCTGGGGGCCTCCTGAGGGCCAAAGGAGAGGCAGGGTGTCAGGTGCTGGTTGTCTTTGATGTCTGTGAATGAAGAAAGAAACACTAAACCTCTGTGGTATAAGCCAGTGCACTATGTGTGAAACTGAGGAGTTGGGGAGGCGTGAGCTAAGGGAAAGGATAGGTTCTTCTAGAGCAGTGTTCTGGACAGATGATCTTTAAATAATGCAAATAAATCAGCCTTCCCTTATAGCTCTTCTGAGGACTAGCCCCCCATTCCCGATGCTGGTGAGCCGATGATGGGCAGTGTGTCGTGCTTGCTCCCATGATCTATTCCCACCATAATTCCTGCTCCTCCAAAAGCAACCCCACTGTCACTCAGCCCTCCTCCCCTCTTCTTTCACTTCCAAGCTCAGCAAGCCCCTCTGTTCTGACCATTAAAACCTTCAAGGCCTCCTGACACCAGGTGCCACCATGGATGGGATGTCAAGCAGGGACTCTCAATAGTGTGGATATCGTGGGTGAGGGGCTGAGGGCCGTCTAGAAGGGCCAGGAGGCACTTTCAGTTGCCTGAGTCCACTTGCAAGGACTGGCCACAGCAGTAAGGTGGCTGCATGGAACACAAGCCTGCTCATTACTCTCCTACAGTGATTGCCTTGGACTAGGGACCTGGGGCCTTGTGGCCCTGACACTTTATGAGAAAGAAGTGGAATCCCTAATTTAGTCTCTTCCTAAGCCTGTATGTCCCCACATCTGTGGCATGTCACCATTTCTTCTCCTTAATGCTCTAAGTAGTCTACTTGCCTTTGAGCAGGTGGGCTGAAGAATGGCAGGACCCGCAGGGCAGCAGCTTGGAATGGAATCTACCAGTGCAGGGTGTGCTGCCTGAAAGTGCTGGAAGGAGAGATGTAATGATATAGCCTTTCTCCACCTCCCATGGGTTCTCACTTAATTGCATCCCCATCCCACTCCACCCCACTGCATTACCATATATTGGGTACACACTCTACTCTAGTCCTAGGTATTTCGCATATACCCTGAGGCTAATACTATCATGAACTCTGTGGTGAAAGAGAGAATATACATATGCATTCTGCCTTCAGAGAGGATTCAAATTATTTAGGAAGATAAGCAACAGAGAATAGTAAAGACAGTTGCATTTCTTGCGGGAAAATTCCCAAACTGGTCCTTCCAATAGAAAGAACTCTAGAAGTTTGAATGTGGGTGATCTAGTGGGGAAATGTTTGTATTATTTGTCCCATTTGATTTAGCTGAAATACGTCTCATATATATGAGAGAGACAGAGAGAGAGGAGGCTGGGGGAGGTGGGTAGGGTAGAGTGCCTACTCCGCTAATGCCGTAGAATGTTTCCAAAAAAGAGAAGAAGATGCATTTTGGCCTCCAAGCCTGTGTGGGGCCAGAGACAAGTTAAGTGTGTCTGCTAAGTAGAGTTGAGGAAGCCCTCACGTCTTGCTGTTAGAGAGCAAGTGTAAACATAGTCTCTCCATCAGAAAAGCCTCAGTTATAACTCAATACCCTTGAAATCTCTGTAACAAGTCCCTGGCAGGGGTGAGATTATAATCCATTTTTCTTTCTGTAGCCAGGTTTCCTGTTTATCTGTTTAACCCAATGAGCCATGGTAACTTCCTGGGAGGTACATGATTTGAGGAGCTCATGTGCTGGCTGAGAGGGGCCTGGCCAAGACTGGGTTTACCCAGGGCCTAAGGAGACTTTCCGGATGGGATCTCCGTGTGAGGTTGCTGCAAGGCTGGTTGGTTCTGTAACGTGACTGGCGTGCCCCACATGTGCACAGGCCAGCCTCAACTTTTCCTTTAATGCATTTCTAGTTTGGATTAGCACACATCAATTTCAGTTCAATTCTGAACATGGCCATTAAGCATCTATTACATACTAGGTTTTTGTATGGAATATGGAATTATCTCAGGTGTAGTGTCTGATCTCCAAAGGGCTGCATCCAGCAGGGTGCTCTTTGGTCTATAAATATTTAGAATAGAATGGAGAGTGTGTGAGAGAAATTGCTCTGGCTAATGTAGAGAGGAAATTCTTAAAAAATCAGGGTTTTGAAGACTGGTTGGCTTTTAATGGGCAGCAAAGGGAAGAAGGGGTGCCCACGAGAAAGAAACAGCAGCAGCCTTGACCTGGGAAAGCGAGGCAACAACAAGATATCTTGAAAGCCAAGTTGGCTTCAGGGGACAGGGCTCAGTATGCAGTGGTGACAAGGAAAAAGTATAGTCTGGTGACCGGGTCAGGGAGGGTCCTGATTGCTAATCTGTATCTCCCAGGCCATGGGAAGGCATGAAGATCAGGATAACAAGGTACGAATGACTTGAACAAGGGTCCTAGGACTTATATGAAGCATTTAACCCACATTCAAAACGAGGAGTGAGTGGAAGGCAGATGTTACTTGGGCACTGGAGGGAGGGAGGCAGGGGTCCTTGAAAGCCATGATTAGAAGTTTTTTCTATTTTAACCAGACACCTCCCAGTATCAGGAATGCTTGCGAGTCTAGCTTTCTATAACCTTAAGACTTCTTTCTTCCCCATGGTATCCACTAGGAAACACTTGCTTCCCAGGGGAAAGGAGGGTGCCAACTGACATACACCAAAGCTTGTGCACCCTCTAGTCCTCCCACCTGGGTGCCTTCAGCAGGTGGGTCACCCCAGGAGGGGTAGAACAAGCAGTAGGGCTTAAGTCCGGCTTGGAAACCAGAGACAAGCCAGAAGAAGACTGGAGACTGCTTTCTTCTGAGGGTGGGGAAGGAAGGAAGCAACCAAGCCCAACGGCCCACCCCCCTGGGCCAGTGCAGGTCTGCCTGTGGGTGTCCCTGTGGACATCATCATGGGACTTATTGAAGGACTCCTCTGATCCTGTTTGTCCTTTTTGCAGGGAGATCTGTCAGACCTCCAGAGTTTTATACTCTAAAATGGGATAATCTTCAGCTCAGTGGGCCACTCTTGCCCATTACCTTCTGTCACATCAGGAATACCCTGGGCCTCTTAGAGAGTGTGGCCTTATCTGAACACAGATATCCTGCCCACCCATCTCTCTCCCACCCCTCGTGTATAACATCAAAGCTTAGATATCCTCAGTGACTTCTTTCTGGTTTCACAGGAAACCAAATCCTCTGCCTACCTTTCTAACCTCAGCTTGTGTCATTCTCCTCCTTGCTTAGACCTTCCAGCTACCCAGGCCTTCATTCTGTCTCGAGCTCATTCCAGCCTTTGCCCTGGTTATTCCTGTTGCACAGACTGCTTTTCCCCCAGACTCTGCAAGGCCTGTCTTCTCGGCTTTTGTGTCTCAGTGAAAACATTGCCGTCTTCAGATTGGCCTCCCCCAACTCCCCAATCTGAAGCAGCCATTCTGCTTTATTTCTTCTGCTATTCTTATCCTCATCTGCTAGTTTCTCATTCGTGTGCTGGTTTACTCACTGTACCTTTTCTCTACTTGGAGAAAAGTTCCAGGGAAGGAGGGATCTTGTGTCTAGGACTGGCAGTATAGCCTCAGTGCCTGGAAAGAGCTCAGAGTATAGCAGGTGCTTGATGACTCCTGGTTGAAGACATTTGTTGGATGTATCTCTGGACTTACCTCTTTACATCAGACAAATGTGGTCCTGAGCAGGCTTGGGTTCTTCCTCCCAGCTGGCTCCTGGGGAGACTGACCACGTGGAAACAGTTCCCAGAGTCTCGATGGGAGGGGTGATGATCTGTGATGACTTGGTATCAGATAACCCATCCAGTGCTGTTGTGTTTGGGGAACATCAGGAGTATCAGGCTGATCTGCCCGTGGCTGGGTGTGTCAAAGCAGCCCTCCCGGGGGCTGGATTCTGCTCTGGCCAGGAGCTCAGTTGTCCAATTTGAGGGATTCCATAACCTCACCCCACTTGCTTGGCTGCAAAGAGGGAGGTCCTTGTCAGGCCTGCTTCAGCTGAGTGCAGCGCAGCCTGTCTCTTCTTTGAGTTTCGGATTCTTGTCTGAGTGCTTAGGAAGCTAGGCTTGCTTTAAAAAGTTAAGGGTTATGGCCGGGTGCAGTGGTTCACGCCTGTAATCCCAGCACTTTGGGAGGCCGAGGCGGGTGGATCACCTGAGGTTAGGAGTTCAAGACCAGCTTGGTCAACATGGTGAAACCCCATCTCTACTAAAAGTACAAAAAAATCAGCTGGGCCTGGTGGCATGTGCCTGCAGTCCCAGCTACTCCGGAGGCTGAGGCAGGAGAATTGCTTGAGCCTGGAAGGCAGAGGTTTCGGTGAGCCGAGATCATGCCACAGCACTCCAGCCTGGGCGACAGAGTGAGACTCTGTCTCAAAAAAAAAAAAAAGAAAGAAAAAAAAGATGAGGGAGCTTTGAACTGGGGCCCAGCATGGGGGGAGGTGAGCCACAGCCACACCTAGAGGGATTCAAGCAAACTCCTCTGTGTGCTGCCACATCATGTCCTGGAAAGCCAGAGATAATCAGAAACATCCTGTCGGTCAGCTGAGGGTGCCTCCCTTAGCCCCTGTGCAGGGTCTGGAAGGGGAGAGGCTCCTCTGGCTTGAAGAGATGTAGAACCCATGTTCTGGAACTCACTGAAAGATACTGCTAAGTTTTTAATTAAAATCTCCCATTGGAATAATGTAGAAGAAAAGCAACCAAATTTCAGAGGCCATGGGGGAGAACCTCAAACCATACTTCTCTAAGTATTCCTGCAGGTTATTAATTGTTACAGGCAAAAGTTGCTCTGCGGGAAATGATGTGCTTAGGAAAATTAAGCAAGCTTCTTGACAGTAGTACTTTTCAGAGTTTTGAATGTGCTCACTGTGACTCTCAGAAAGTCGATACGTTCTAGTGTTTTCCAGTCTTTTAGACCTTGGAATCCTTTTTTAGCTGAAATTCTCTTGGCACACACATTAGGAAATGCTGTGTTGGAGAACGGATGAAGGTGAGAGACAAAATCAAGTGCACTTTACAAGCGTTCAGAGATTTCTGTGTGTTCTGCATGGTGCCAAGTACTGTGCAAAACATAGAATAATACAGAGCAGGTAGCTGATCTTTATGTTAGGATAAGAAGACTCTCACATGCAAAACAGCGAGGAAAAAATAAAAGAAAAATATGTAATGAAGATCTACAGTGTGTGGTATAAGCTATAAAAGTTTCGGAATTCAGAGAGGGAGGAGACCCCACCTGGTAGGTATGTTGCAACAGTTGGAGAAGTCCTCCTGGAAGGGGTGGGACTGACGTCCCCTCGGAGAATGGGTGAGGATAGAATGGCACCGCCTGCAGTTGTTTTAGTTATGCTTGTTAGTCACTTACATGGTCTGTCCTCTCCTGCATCATGGCGTGTCTTGGGAAAGCCAGAGACAGGTCAAAAGCCTGGCCCGTTGACCTTTGGAATCTCTGACATATGGACAGGGATAAGGACATGTGTGTTCCCTGAATGGCAGAGCCCATTGTGAGCCAGTACCTGAATCCCTGCCCAGGAGTTATCGATAAACGATGCAGGAACATGAAGTCCTCACACCTGTAGATGTTTGTTCTTGAGCTGGAAACCGTAAGGAAGACCTGCCAATGAGGCCAGGTGTACACAGTTAAATTTTCTTTGAAGTGAGTTATGCATTTTCCTACCCCGGCATCTGCACTGATTTGACCATGGTCCTCTGGATTAGTTAGGTGCTCTTTCCCATGCCTGGTGACTCACAACTCAGGTTTGTGTTGCTGAATGGCCCAGTGAGGTCTCTTGAGCATTGCTGTTACTTGCCAATGAGTTACTCACCGAGGCTGCACAGGAAACAGGTCCAGGCAAGTGAGTTTTAAGATTCCCTATGGCCACCCTTGACTTTGATGTTTATTGGTCGCCATTTTAGCTCAGAGAATAATGGAGCAGGGAAGGAGTTTTGTTGTTGCCCTCACTCCCAGCTGTGGGGCACATCTGTTTCTCCAGCTGGGAGTTGGCTTGTTGAAAGTTAAAGTTTGAGGTCTGACGATAGTTGGTGGGATGACCAGGGATATCCCTCTGCCTCTGGTGAAACTGCTCTGCAAAGCACTGGGCCCCTCTTCGTATCAGCCATCCAGTTAACATTTCCTCTCTTTTTCTCAACACCGGCGCTATCCCCAGGAACGTGCCCAGGTTTGGTTTTCAGTGTGATAACGAGTGTTGTGTGTCCCTTGTCTCTTCCTCACGTTGTGTTCTTATGTTAGGATGTGATGTCTAGATGCCTTGTGATTGTGTGTGGTGGGGCAGTTCATATCCAATAGCATCCAATCCTAAACGCTGACGTTAATGTACATGTGTCTGGTTATAACCCTAAGGCCAAGGTCATTCTTCCTTTTGTTTACTAACCACTCACTGCTCTTTGGTTTAGGAACATTCCAGGCCTGAGTATGAAACCAAAGTTCGAGAGAAAATGCTAAAGGAGAGCAACCAGTCTGCTGTCCAGAAATTGGAAACAAACACGACGGAGTGTGGCGATGAGGTATGAAGCTGGACTTGCTGCTCACGGTCCTCTTTACTTGTTGAGATCCTGTTGTCATTTTGTTTGGCACGCCTTAGTGAAGGGAGACTGGGCTTGAGAAGGGGTTGATGTGGGGCAGGATGAGATGAGAGCATGACATCTCGCATTGTCCTGCAGCCAGAGATCATGGGCAATGGGCTTTCTCTATGACTTGACCTCTCTTTCCAGATAGCGGTGCTATCTGGTCAAAATGGGAGGGCAGGTTAGAGGAGAAACAGTTTCAGGCCTGATTCCTACCATCATCTAAATATTGAATAATAATAACATTCAATACCCCACCAGACCAACCACCACCACGGCTAATCCTTATCGAACGCTTGCTCTATGTTAGACACTGTTCTAAGTGTATTACATTATCTCACAATAAGTCTGTGAGGCTGGTACTATTGCTATGTAAATGAAGGCTCATGAAAAAAGTTATGTCCACAGATTAAGTCATTTGCCAGAGGTCACACAGCCAGTAAATGGTAGGTGGATCTGGGATTCCACTGCAGGTCTATTAGTCTGTGCCTCTAACCGCTATGCCATACAGCCTTCAACTGCAATGGGAAAATCAAAGGATAGAACAAGAAATGGCTCTTAGGGCCTGCAGTGGCAAATACATGCCTGTATTTGCTCAAGCTACTTGTGCAATGTTCCTTACATTTCATTTTATCTTGGTGGACCTCCAAACGTGGAAACATGATGGTGACCATGTCCTCTGAGTCATGTCTCTCAGTTTCATGGTGGCATGCAGTCATTAAAACAGAGCTTCAGAATTTGTGCTGTGGTTCGTAAAAAAACTCAGAGTATGTATGTTGGGGGGACATGGGGATGCTCTTTGGGATACCTGTCTCTGTGTGCCACCTGTCTTTGAAAGCGAGGAGGGGTGGGGAGAGAGAGAGAGAGAGGAGAGTTTATGTCTTTCTTAATCTGGTTCTTGAAAAAAAATTCCACTAGATTGAAAATCTGTTGCTTTTAGATGTGTCTTTTCTCCATCTTGGATTTGAATTCAAATTTCATTTCATTTCACATTCTTTAAGTTGGAACCATTCATGTTAACATGCAAATTTATGCAAGCATCAAAACAGAAGAATGTGGTGTTTTCGAGCCCAAAATGCTGGCATTTTTTTTTTTTTAAGAAAACAGAACTTAAACAGAACAGAGAGGGTGGCCCTCTGAGTTATTTTTTTTCCTAGACGAAGACCAAGTCCAAGACCACCAATTATTCAGGGAAATAATGAATTCATTCTTAGGAAAGACTAATCATCACCGCCACCCTCATCAGAAAGCAAGCATTCTGTGTTCTGTCAGCTTCGGCAACGCCGTGCAAACTTCTTTCTCCACCCCATAGCAATATACAATGGATAATTTTATGGAAATCACATGTAACTTTTATTGACCACTGACTCATTGAATTTTAATTCCATAGACGGGAATGCCAAGGAACCGGAATTGTGTACACTGAGGCTGTGGTTCTAATATAAACATTGCTTGGGTATATATGCATGATTGGTCAAATAACTTTCAGGAACCATGAATAATTAAAAAACATCTGAATGCATTATGAATGATACATATGTTTATGTTTTAGCATTCAACATCTATTTTCATTACACTGTTGAGAATGCAAAGCTCAAAGCATCTAATGCCTTATGGGCACTGGGGGGAAATGACCTTCTCAAATGAGTAGTGTAAGATAAAAATGGTCTAGAATTTGATTGTCAGGATCCTTCTTGTGTTTCCTCAGTTTCTTTAACATTGTTAATGCTTCTGTTCTTGCCAAATCCAGCCATAGGTGGGAGATAAAGGTGGATGCTGCTCTTGTCTGCAGGAAGAGTTGTAGTCAATACCCACCGCATAGCATTGCTGCAGGGGCATCATTGCATGTGGAATGTTTAGGAAAGGCACCTGCTTCTGAGGAATAGACAGGGACTAAAGAATCAAATTCTAGCTGGTGGTCTTGGATGTGCTTGTCTCACCCCAGAAGATCACCTTGGTTCTGCCTTCACTGTAATCCTGATGCTGCATATCCTCACCTCTCCTTACTTTCCTTCCTGTTGAATGGTAAAAAGCTACCATTTACTGAGGCCCAGAGTGGTGCGCGAATTTGCTTAAGACCACGTAGCTGGTTGTGGGGAAGCTGGTAATCAAACCCAGCTCTGCCTGATCCCCAAGGCCTGTTTGCTTTTCTTTTTCCTTTTTAATTTTAAAGATACCAAGTCCGTTTACTTTTTAAACATGTTTATTGAGATTTAATTTTATACACTAAAATTCACCCATTTAAAGTGCACAATTCAATATGCATATTTTTATATATGCACAATTCAATATGCATATTTTTATATATGCACAATTCAATATGCATATTTTTATATATGCACAATTCAATATGCATATATATGAATAATTTTTAGCTTATTCACAGATGTGTGCAATTATCTACACAATTTATATTTAAAACATTTTTATTATCCGAAAAAGAAACCCTGTACCCAATAGTTGCCAAGCCGTGGGTAACAACTAATCTACTTTCTGTCTCTATAGATTTGCCTATTCTGGACTTTCACGTAAATGGTATTATAGAATATGCGGTCCTTAGCTTCTTTCACTTCGCAACATTTTTTTAGGATTCATTCATATTGTAGCATATATCAGTACTTCGTTCTTTTATATTGCCAAATAATATTCTATATTGTGGATCTGCTTCATTTTATTTATCGATGCAGTTGATGGTCATTTGGGTGGTCTCTACTTTTGGGCTATTAGGAATAATGCTGCAATGGACATTTGGGTACAAGTTTTTTTTTTTTGCCGTATGCTTTCATTTTTCTTGGGTATATACGTAGGAGTAGAATTGCTGGGTCATATGGTAACTCTATGTTTAACATTTTAAAGAACTGCCATGCTATTTTTCCAAAGTGGCTATATTGTTTTACATTCCAACCAGCTATTTAGGAGGTTTCCAGCATCTCCACATCCTCACCAACACTTAGTATCTGTTTTTTACATTTTATCCATCCCAGTGGTGTGAAGTGATATTTCATTGTAGTTTTAACTTGCATTTCCCTAATGATTAATGATGTGAACTTCATTAGTGGTCATTAATGGTCATTTGCATGTCTTCTTTGGAAAAATATCTATTCAAATCCTTTGCCTCTTAAAAATATTGGGTTAATTGGCTTTTGGTTATCAGGTTGTAAGAGTTGTTTTTATATTTGGAATATATGAAGTTCTTTATATATTTGGGATATAAGAAATTCTTTATATATTTGGATTACCAGTCTTATCAAATAATATGATGTAGAAATAGTTTCTTTAATTCTGTAGATTGTCTTTTCACTTTATTGAAATTTTGAATTTTGAAATAGTTCAATTTATCTAATTTTGTTACTTATGCTTTTGTGTTATATCTAAGAAACCATTGCCTAATCCAATGTCATTAAGATATTTCTAATTTTTCTTCTAAGAATTTTATAGTTTTAACACTTGCAGTTAGGCCTATGATCCATTTTGAGTTAATTTTTGTGTATGATTTAAGGAGGGTATTCAAATGTATTTTTCTGCATGTAGATATTCAGTTGTCCCAGCAACATTTGTTGAACAGACTGTTTCCTCACTGAATTATCTTGACACCCTTATCAAAAGTCAATTGACCATAAATGTAAGAGTTTATTTCTGGACATCAATTAGATTCCATTGATCTATATGTCTGTTCTTATGTAGTACCACCCTATCTTGACTGCTGTGCCTATATAGTAAGTTTTGAAATTGGGGGTATGAGTCCTCTGACTTTGTACTTTTTTTTCAAAATTGTTTTGACCATTCTGGGTGTTTTGCATTTCCATATGAACTTCATGACTAACTTGTCAATGTCTATAAGAAAGCAAGCTGGGATTTTGCTAGGGATTGAGTTGAATCTATAGACTAATTTTGGAAGAATTGCCATCTTAGCAATAGTAAGTCTTCTATGAATGTGGTATATCTTTCTATTTACGTAGACCTTTTATTTTTTCAACAATGTTTTATAGTTTTCAGTGTACAAGTCTTGTACATATTTTGTTAAATTTATTGATAATTATTTTATTTTTTTGATGCTATTGAAAATATAGTTTTCTTGATTTTATTTTTGGACTGTTCACTGCCAGTATATAGAAATATAATTGATTTTTCTATATTGATCTGGTATCCCATAACTTTTCTGAACTCATTTATTAGTTCTAATAATTTTTAATGGATTCCTTAGGATTTTCTATTTGTGAGATCATGTTATCTGTGAATAGTGATAGTTTTACTTCTTTTTTCCAATCTGGATATATTTTATCCCTGCTTGCTCCACCCATTTCCTAATTGCCCTGATTGGAATCTCCTGTACAATGCTGAATAGAAGTGGTGAGGCCGGGTGCGGTGGCTCACGCCTGTAATCCCAGCACCTTGAGAGGCCGAGGTGGGCGGATCATGAGGTCAAGAGATGGAGACCATCCTGGCTAACATGGTGAAACCCCATCTCTACTAAAAATACAAAAAATTAGCTGGGCGTGGTGGCGGGCGCCTGTAGTCCCAGCTGTTTGGGAGGCTGAGGCAGGAGAATGGCGTGAACCCGGGAGGCAGAGCTTGCAGTGAGCCGAGATTGCACGACTGCACTCCAGCCTGGGGGACAGAGCAAGACTCTGTCTCGAAAAAAAAAAAAGAAAAAAGTAGCCGGGCGTGGTGGCAAGCACCTGTAGTCCCAGCTACTGGGGAGGCTGAGGCAGGAGAATGACATGAACCTGGGAGGCAGAGCTGGCAGTGAGCCGAGACTGCGCCACTGCACTCCAGCCTGGGTGGCAGAGTGAGACTCCGTCTCAAAAAAAAAAAAAAAAAAAAGGAAGTGGTGAGAATGGACTTCCTTGCTTTGTTTTTGACCATAGGAGAAAAAAATTTAGTTTTTCACCATTAAGTCACTGTAAGTCTCATGTTAGCTGTAGGCCATTGCTTTTTTTTTTTTTTGGTTTGTTTAAAACTCTCTCTATAAGGTTTCCCTCTAAGGCCATTCTTGCATTGCTATAAATACCCGAGACTGAGTAATTTATTAAAAAAGAGAGGTTTAATTGGCTCATGGTTCTGTAGGGTTTAGAAAAGGCATGGTGCTGGTATCTTCTTGACTTCTAAGGAGGCCTCAGGAAGTTTATAATCATTGTGGAAGGCGAAGGGGGAGCAGGCACGTCACATACTGAAAGCAGGAGAGAGAAAAAGGAGTGAGTTATAGGGGAGGTGGTGCCACACACTTTTAAATGACCAGATCTCACAGGAACTCACTCACTTTTGCAAAGACAGCACCAAGCCATGAGGGATCCACCCCCATGATCCAAACACCTCCCGCCAGTCTCCACCTCCAGCACCGAGGATTACAATTCAACATGAGATTTGGGTGGGAACAAATATCCAAACTGTATCAGCTTCCCTGAAAACAATTCACATCTCATGTACATGACACTGATCTGTAATGAAATGCTCTGTACTGTAATGAGGTGATAACCATATATAAGGACCCCGGGGTAGGAGTTATGGTACCATTACCAGGCAGCTGAGCCTTCTGGGTCTCTTCCACCTCAGCTGTCATGCAGGTAGATTAGATTACACAGCCTCTCCAGTTCTGAGAGTCAGTCTTTGCTGATGTGCAGAGATGATGTTGGTCATCAACCCATTGGTTTGGGGGATTGGACTGTCTCTTATTTATTTATATGGTAGTAACTTAGCTCTTATACCTTCTCTTATTGATTTTCAAGGATGTGGGCATAGGAGGATGTTAATAATGATAAAATTATAAGTAACATTTATGGAGTGCTTATTGTATGTAATGTGCAAAGCTTTACAGGTATTATTTCCTTTATTATTTCCATTATGATCCCCAACTCACAGATGAGAAGACTGAGGTCTATAGGGGAACATAAGTTGATCAATGATAATACATGGCAGAGCCAGAGTCGAAGCCAGGCAGTCTGACTCAAAAGCAATGCTTTTAACCTCTTGCTCCTGTGTCTGCTGAAAGTTTTCCTTCAATAGATCCTCAAACACTCCTAAAAAGTCATGTTTGATTCTTCTTTCCTAAACTAAAGGCAGAAAGGACTGTGGTATTCACTGGAAAGATGGGTGAGAGACAAATTCGCTACCCCACATTAGTGGTTTTGTGTAAATTTTAGTGGGGTGATGTTCTATTTCCACTGAGGACAACAGTGGGGAGAATTAGCTCAGTTTACTGCTAGAGTTCAACAGACAGTAGGGAAAATTCAGGAATATAAATATAGGTATAGATTGTGTTTTCAAGAAAGAATACTGAGTCCGGAACTTTTAATAAAAGAATAGCGTGGATTTTTTTTTTTTTTCCTAAATCAGTTTGAATCTTTTCTAGACTGCTGTATCCCGGACACGTTTGGAGGTTTTCTTAAGTTTCCCTGCAGGTCACCAATTCTCTCTGTTCCTACAAGATGGTAAAGCTCTAAGTTGAGTGCAGATGGCAAGGTGCTGGAGCTGGCAGGTTGAGGAGCAGTGCTGTTCTTTGCCTCTCATCCCTGTAACCATTCACTCAGCACTTTCTCAGCTCATGCCTCCTTTGCTTCCAATAAACTTTCTATTAGAGTACAGTAAGAAGACAAAACTCATTCTACGTGGGTCAGCAGAGACAATACGAAGAGCTAATTCTAAAGGTGTTAGAAGAAGGGATGTTGAGGCAAGCAGGACAGTGAGGCAGTAGAGAGATTAGCATGGCAGGAAGTGGGCACCACCTTAGGGCTGCAAGGACAGGAGCAGAGCTGGCCTTACCAGAGCCCAGGAGCCAGGACCACCCAGTGGGAGCTGGAATCCCAGAGGAGATGCCATCTGAAGCAGATAGAAGAAGTAAAGGAGAAATACCCTGGATTTCCCTTTTCTGCCCCCCAGGCTCCCATCATTACTTCCCATTGGCCAGACCTAACCAAAAGTCAGTTGATGAGTTATTCAAGGAAATATAGTTTTTGGGGTCAGCACAGAGCAGAGGAAAGGAACAGCAGAATCTATCTGAAAGCAACCGGCAAAGCGCTGGCACGAAAGTCCAGGCAATAAGTCTATGTAACTTTAGAACCCACTAGCCACAAATCATTTACAAGTGGGGTCCTTGGTTGGAGGTTGGAGAGGCTATCGGGGAAGAGAAATAAAAATTTGACAAGAAGCACAGGAATGCTCACCCCTGACATAATGAATAAATACACCAATGGTCAGTTTTTCAGACCATCCCTGAACTGTTGAGAGTGTTTGAGCGGGTGTGTGAGAGTGAGTCAGTGGCATGAGCATGTGTGAGATTGTGTTAGTATGTATGTGTGTGGATGGGTGAGTGTGCCAGTGGTGTGAGATTGTGTTTGCGTGTGTGTGTGTGTGTGTGTGTGTGTGAGAGGGAGACAAGGAGAGGGACCATGTCTGAGTGATGGTGTCATTGGAGTGACACAGATGGGCTCAGATAACAGAAAGCTTCAAAGAGGAGCAAAGATATATTTTTGTGTCAAGATGCAAAGAACATGAACAAGTAGAGATGGGGGGCTAATGGCAAATGTAGGTTTCATACTTCTATGAAACATATCACTGAAAGGACTTTAAAACAAAATCCTATTTAACTAGTCCTGGGAGATTCTTCATGGAACTTGTCACCTACATATTGATTTAGCCAGTGCGCAGGCCCCGGGGCCCCCATCCCTACCTAAGCCACCTGCAGTGCTCATTTAATGAATGTTTTATGTTGAGCACTGCAGCTAGAAGGGGACAGGAGCCTAGAGGAGGCCGTGGATAGAGGGGTGTTAATTTACTGCTCAGTTCATCACCCTGGGGACAATTATTTCAAAAGAAAACTCATCTAAAGTTAAAGCACTGAAACATTTACGACAGACGCCTCTGGCAGGCACAATAAACAAACACGTGGAATAAATTATGCATAATTGTTGGGCCTTTGCGGAGGCTGTGACAACAGCAACAGGAAGCTGGGACATTGTTGGAGCATGCGCGTGGGTGGAGAAGGGAGTCCCATTGAGCAGGGGATGAGGGTCCCTCTTGCCTCTTACTCTGGGCCCAGGGAGACATGGTCCAGGCTTTCCACGCAGGCTTCGGGTGGTTTATCAGTTCTTTGAGTAGATGAAGTTCCCTCGTGCCCTCTTTTGAGGCACTAAATGACCGAATAACCACTTGAGGGTCAAAAACATAAAGAATCAAAATAATTATCGCAGCCTCTTCTTAGGGTTTCTCGTTGGCAAAGGGAAACACTGAGGCACAGAAAGAGCCTTATTTTGCCAGAGATTCTTGTAGTAAAAGAGAAGCTGAGGTGAGATGTGAGCCTGGTTATGTTTCTGAAATCTGTTTATGGCCTGGTGGTTAAGGGCCCTAAGCATCCTTATTATATGGGCATTTCATGGACTCTGGCTATTAAGGGCTGAATTAGGATACCTGGGACCTTTGTTCTCTCCTGTACGCCTGCATGAGCTGAGGAAGAATTGGCAGAAAATGGCCTGGGTTCTGTCCCAAGCTGAAGGGCGGTTGGGGAGTCAAGCCCCTGTGCTCTCAGACCAGTCCCTGAGCCGGTCTGATAAGGGCTGAGAAGCTGCGGGTTGGTTCAGCTCTGCAGTCCTGTGCTTCAGAGGATCTGTGCACACTGCCCCTTGGCCTTCTCATATTTGGTAATAAGGACACTTCATTTCAGGGGACATGTAGCTCCCTGGAACCTGTGTCACAAAAGTGGAATTGTTGCTGAAGGCTGCCCCCTGACAATTTTATGTACTATTTTTTAAACTTTAGCTTTAATTTTTTATTTTTGACAGTGCATGGTTTCTGTCTCTGGCTCCTCTCTCTCTCTTTCTTTCTCTACCCGCGCCCCCGCCCCCCACCCGCCCTGCCCCTTCTCTGTAATTTCTCATGGAGTGGCCTCCTTTTTCACCTCTGGTCCCAGTCACATCCCCAGTCACTCCCTGGGGCACCCCAGCCAAGAGAAATGGGTGAGTAGGAGAAGAGAAATGGATGTAGCAAGGAAATGTATGGGTAGAGATGTGGGCAGTCTAGGATGTGGATCTCCTTAGGGGTACTTTAGGACTTCAATTTAGAACTGGATCCTGCCTCCCTTCCCCTCATTGGCGGAAACCAGCCACAAGGCTCCACCTGGATGAGCAGAAGGCAGGGAAATACAGTCCTTGCCTAGCAGCCTCCAAGCAGCAGCTCCAAACCACCAAAGGGAGAGCCAGCCTTCACGGCCACCACATCACACCGCAATGTGAGTGGACTGTGAGCAGCTGGACTCTGGGGAGGTGGTAGCAGAGGCAGTTAGGGAATGGCTACTGGTGATTCTGATTGACTACCACCTCCGGAGAATTGCTGCCTTGGGAAATGAGAAAGGAAGAAAGGCTCTTGAAAAAAATGCCGTAAGGAATTTCAGTGAGTGAGCCAGAAGCGCTCATCCACAGTGTACCCACAGTGTGTTGGAGTTTGGGACTGACCCTTTCTAAACAGAATTTAGCACTCTCTTACATGGCAAGGTTGTTTGTTGTTGTCGTTGTTGTTGTTTATAATTACACAAGTTATACATGAAAGCATCTTCAGAAAAATTCTGACAAACGCCTCCCTGGACCTACCTCTTTTCCTCCCAATGTTGTCTCCTTAAAAGCAGCCGGAGCTAGCAGTTTGGTTTGTGCCCTTCCAGGTCTTTTCTCATGCATTTTTATTCACGTATAAATTCATATTTGTTCTGGGCTCTGGTTGTGGGTTTATTTACGTGTGCACACACACACACATACGAAAGTCATGGACAAATGATTTCATCAGATCGTGGTTCCCAATAACCCGAGACACCCCAGGGTGCCATAGGAAACTCACAGAAGTGACATGGAATTACTAAACATTTCTTAGGGAAGCCCAGCAATGCTTGACATCCGTACACCGCCACACAGTATTACCTCAGCAGTGTCAATGTTCTATAGTACTGTTTTTAGTTTTTATTTTTTATTTTTTTGAGAGAGTCTCGTTCTGTCGCCCAGGCTGGAGTGCAGTGGCGCGATCTCAGCTCACTGCAAGTTCTGCCTCCCAGGTTCACGCCATTCTCCTGCCTCAGCCTCCTGAGTAGCTGGGACTACAGGCGCCCGCCACTGCGCCCGGCTAATTTTTTTGTATTTTTAATAGAGACGGGGTTTCACCGTGTTAGCCAGGATGGTCTCAATCTCCTGACCTCGTGATCCACCCGTCTCAGCCTCCCAAAGTGCTGGGATTACAGGCGTGAGCCCCCGTGCCCGGCCAGTACTTTGTTTTTTAATGTCATCATGTTTTAGTGAAGCTGACTTTTCTGTGGTTGCAGCCAGTGAGAACTGCACAAAATCATTGTGGAACAGGAAGCATGAGTGTTGCTGTTCAATCTGATACCAAGATTAGAAAAGTTGGAAGTTCTCTAACAGGTGCACACATCCTGTTAGCTAGTAATTAGGTTTAAGAATGAAATAAATTATTATTGTTTATTTCAATTTACGCATATTTTCCCCAATGGCTATTAATTTGTTAGGACATAAATATTTATTAAGTTATTTGGACTTAACTACTTAACACATGGAACTGTTAAGTATTTCTTTTAGCCTAAGAGCATTGCATAAAAGTTGCTGGGACCTTAAGGGTACTGTGAACCAAGAAAGTTTGGGAACAGCTGCATAACGAACTTCCTAAGTTGGGCGCAGTGGCTCACGCCTGTAATCCCAGCACTTTGGGAGGCTGAGGCGGGCAGACTGCTTGAGCTCAGGAGTTTGAGACCAGCGTGGGCAACGTAGTAAGACCGTGTCTCTACAAAATAATTAAAAAATATAGCTATGCATGGTGGCATGGGCCTGTAGTTCCAGCTACTCGGGAGCCTGAGGCAGGAGGATGGCTTGAGCCCAGGAGTTAGAGGCAGCAGTTAGCTGTGATTGTGCCACTGCACTGAAACCTGGGTGACAAAGCGAGTCTCTGCCTCTTAAAAAAAAACAAAAAAAAAAAACCCAAAACCAAAAACCAAAAAAACTTTTATGTTCAACAGAGATTTAAGAGTAAAGCAGACAGCCAAGAGCAGAAAGCTTAAAAAGATAAATAGTGAGTTTTAAAGTTGCAGGAATTTATTTGGGGATGGCAACAGCCTGTGGAAACTGTGGGCTAGGAAAGTGCCAGGTGGGCTGGCTTCCTCCACACTTGCTCTTTGGGCCTCCCACGGACTTCTCTCTTGGGCCTTACAGTGCATCTGCCCCAGTGTGTATATTCTCTCTCTCTTAT
The DNA here is from genome assembly GCF_000001405.40 of Homo sapiens. Classification (NCBI taxonomy): domain Eukaryota; kingdom Metazoa; phylum Chordata; class Mammalia; order Primates; family Hominidae; genus Homo; species Homo sapiens. The sequence continues at coordinate 5,721,230 of NC_000012.12, read as the reverse complement.
TGCCGTCTCTGCATGTTTGTGCACACGTGTGTATGTGAGTGTGCATGGTAGGAGGGCACTGAGGGTTTCTCATCATGGGCACCCTTGTAAATCCTTGGTATTTAAAAATAAACCCTACAACTTCTAATCCAGGAGACGTTGCTTTACTTACAATCTCCAGCGTGGTTCGGGCTTCATGGAGAAGGATGCCAGAGATGTGTAGAATGCGTCCATAAACATCTCCCTGCACGGAGCCTGTGAATTACGCATCCCAAGTAGACTCCTCGGGTGGCCCAGGCCATCAGATGGGGGGCCCTGGTCCACTTCAACTGAGAGTTGATTCTTAGCATCAGGAGTTCTGGCTAAAATAAGACCTTCTCCTCTGCTCACTGTATACATTTCTACTGGCCAGGGTCTAAATTAGGAAGTTACAAATAAGGAGAGCCCTGAGGCCTGGGTTATGGAAGCAAAGCTATAGAGAGAGACAGGGCAGCCTGTGAAATGAGAGAGCAGTGGGGGAGGAGAAGCTGTGGATCCAGACTCGGAGCTAAGGCTGGGCAGATTCAGGATGGTATTTCAGACCAGACCCTCATGGCTTCTGGGAAAACACAAGACCCAAATATGTGCAATGATTGGGAATGTTGGAATAGCGTAGTTGCTAGGAGAGGCCAGCACATACCATTGGGATGTGAGATGTTAGGCACAATTGACTTGTAGTTTGGACTTTTCTTTTTTTGGTTTAAATGATTTTTCCATATATGGCCAGAAGCACGTAAATTAAATTTGTCTTTTGCTGTCTGGGCCAAGGTCGTTATTTCACTTCCTTAGAATTCACTGGAAACACACACATGCCCTCCAGGTTCCCTTGCTCTTTCTCCCTTAATGTGCCAGAAACTCAAAAGTGCTGGTTTAAAAAATTCCTCCAGGGTCAAAATGTGTTCTGGCTCCCTGCGATTCTTTTGATATGATGGTCAAAAGGAGCTTTCAAAGAAAACTGACGGGATTGCCCTTTTGTGGATGGAGACACAGAGGCTTTGAGACTATGCGCTTCTGACAATCATTGCCCAGCTAGAGGTTGCAAAAACCTCCTTCTCCATCCACCACCACAGCCTGCTCAGCCATGCTCTAGCTGGTGAGAAGGGGCTTACTGTCCAAATCATTGCAGTCCTGTCACTGAATGGACCCCACATTATTTCCAAGCATTACTTTAACTTTCATAAAGAATAAAGAACTAGCTTGAAAAAAAAAATGTCCTTACTTTGGATTCTCCCAGATGCAGACCCTGAGCCAGTGATTCAACTGCAAAATTCTGGGGGAGGTAGACTCTCCAGTAGTGGAGTGAGCAAGTGAGAGAGACAAGGGAAGGCAGCCCAGAAGGGGTGCTTGGTCAATCAGGTTACCACCGTGGACAACTCAACCGGAGCTTAGTTCTCCTGGGAATTCTGGGAGCTGATTCAGAACGTGCACTTTAGAGTGGTATTGCATGAGGGGTGAGTGTCTCAGTTGGTTTCTGCTGCTACAGTGAAATACCTTAGACTGGGTAATTTCTAGACAACAGAAACTTATTTCTCACAGTTCTGGAGGCTGGGAAGGCTAAGATCAAGACACTGGCAGATTCAATATTTGATAAGGGCTGTTGTCTGCTTCCAAGATGGTGCCTTGTTGCTGCATTCTCACATGGCAGAAGACCAAACAGCAAAAGGACACTAGAGTGCTTCCTTCTTTTTTCAGATCATGAATCCATTCATGAGGGCAGAGCTCCTCAGGACTTAAGCACTTCTTAAAGACCCTGTCTCTTAACACCATCACCTTGGGGTTTAAGTTCCAACATATGAATTCTTCAGGGACTCATATATTCAAACCAGAACAGTGAGAGAGCTGAGTTTATGTGAGGTCCTGTCAGTCACTGTTATGGGCAGCTCCAACTGTGAGTGTGTGAGTGTGTGAGTGTGTGTGTCTTAATTCTCCTGCACTTCTAGTCTGCCTTGAACGTGCACATGGGAAGAGAAGGCTCAGGCCACCAAAAAGAAACCTTTAGGCAAAGAAGTGAAGGCGCTGGCAGTTGGAAGTTGGACTCAAAATTATCCTGGTAAGCTTTTAGGGAATTTGGAGCAGACACTAACGGTATCAGGGTCTCCTAAGTCCTAAAGTGCATGAGTTAAGATCTAGTCAGACAATCAGCAATCCTGGAGTTCAGTGGAGGGAATTTAATACACGGAGCTAGCTAGGAAGGTGTCAGAAGGGCTGACAAGCTAAATAAGGATGGGCAAGCAACCCAGAGACAGCATCAGCAGGAAGCTGCGGTACCTCCCATCAGTAGGAGGTGGCCCAGCGCCAGGTCCTCTAGTGGGAACTGGAACCATGCAGGAAACTGCACGGTGGAAATTGGGGCCGCCAAGGGAAGGGCAGTCCAGCAAGTAATGGAAGTATGAAGAGTTACAGCCACTGCATGAAGCACATAGAGAGAGGAGAGGGAAGCTCTGGGTTCCCCTTCCATCTATCTACCTGCCAATCTGGCACCAGTACCTTCCATTGACTGAATCTAGCCGGAAGCCAGTTGGCAAGGGATTCTGAGAAGTGTCCCTTCGGAGATCCACTCTGCTTACATTATGTATTAGACCAGGAAATGGCAGATGTGGGGGTAAACAGGAAAATGATTGGCACTAATTTTAATCCTTTACCTCGCATAAACATGTGCTTTCCTCCCCCCACCTCCTTTGTTCTTTCTACTACTCGACTGTTGGCTTTGTCATCTCCAAAGCAGACTCCAGGAATTTCTATGGACGTTGGGTGAACTACGTTTTTGGGAAGTGACAGATGATAGAATGGGGAACATGCTCCAAACCCTTGTTCACCCCTGTTCTGAAGTATCCCAGGGGCTGTTCCTGTGCCTTGGGCACTTCTGTTCAGCAGCAGAAGGACCATAAACTTCCTGCCTTGATCATGTGGGGTCTTTGAGGAGGCACCACATCTAAAAGATGCCCTTTGGCAGTTTCCCCCTTACTTAGGCTTGCTAACGTTTGATGTTTTTGCTCTGTTTCAGTGAGGGACATGTCCTTACATTCTGAAGAATATGTTTCAGAACGTGGAGCACATTTGTGTTCTTTCCCTCTCGAGCTATTGCCATTTAGACATGTTGGCTTTTTATTTATTCCATAAACCCAAATGCCAAGATGACAAGAAATAGCAATCTGAATCTGTGCTAACATTCAGCTCCCCCATCCCGGACTTCCATGTGTTTAGTGGTTTCCTTACTGATTCTCCAAACCTTACTGGAAAGAAAGAAGCCTGCCCATGTGGTCCGCTCTTCTTTCAGATGGGGCAGCCCAAGTGAGATTGTCATGAATAATTGGGAACAAAGTCCAGAGGAAAGCTGATGTAAGTCAACAGTTCCCTGGGTTACTTCTTTAGAGTTGGCTCCATTTGGGAGCCAACTTAATCCGTAATATTCCCCAAGAACACAGGATCTGTATTTCCACTTTTGTTTTTTTGAACATCCAAGATCAGATCAATGGATGTATTTAATATTCCTAGGCTCCTGCCTACAGTGAGAATGATGCGCTGTCATTCCATCCAGGCCAGATCTGGAGTACAAGGTGAAATACACACTGAAAATAGGGTCAGTGGAGGTGCTAACTCTGGAGGCAAGAGGATTGGGTGCTTTCATGGGAAGGGTAAGCTCAGGATGTTAAGTTACTTACGTATCTTACAGAGCCTTCAAGTTTGGGGAACTGGATCAGGGTGTTGCAGGGAGGGAGGTGATCTGTAATTTAACTAGGCTTCTACATCTCTAATCTCTTTAGAACAAACCTCTGAGACAAGATGTCCAAAACCAACTCCCTTGGGGTCTTCCTTATTTCTGTTACCTTGGCTTTCAGGGGAAATCCCTGAGGTACGATTAGAAGAGAACCTCTGCTATGCAATTCCATACCCTCTGGGTCAATTTGGGCATTCCATTTTCTCTGACAAATGCGCACCAGCTTGTCCCCAGCTTGTCCTCCAACTGGTAGGAGGTGTGGGAAGGAAGAGCAATCCAAGGGCTTGCTCTGTGCTGGGCTTCTGCACAGTTCCCACATACTCTTCATGCCTGTTGTTTCTCCCTGTCAGAAGCTGGCTGCAGCACAGCCTGAGCTGAATGCTGGCCTTTGCGGTGGGATGGTTTGCTTTACCAGTCATTCTTTATCCACAGATTGTCCAAAGTCAATTCCACATCTGGGAGCTGATGCTGGTGCTTTTCCTAAAAAATACTTCTCAGGTTTTTCCAGCATTCTGATGCCACATTCATGCTTTTCTGCATCATGGTTTCATTTATGCTTGGTCTAGGGCCGTGGGCCTGTATTGATTTCCACAGCACCTTTGGGCCATTTATGCAACTGTGGTGGGAGATATTTTACATAAGCTTGGAAGAGTTACTGCCCAACCAGGGCCAAGAAATTCTTCTGCCCATCAATGGCCCAGAGTTTGTCCACCTCTGGGCCTGTTGGATACAGCTTCGTGATTCTCCAGGAAGGCTAGACATGGTAGTGTTCAGTTGCCTGTAGACATTTGACATCCAATTCATTTTTATTATAATGGTGCATGGTCTATCGGCCAGCTTACATAAATTTTCTCCTGAATTTGGGCATCTGCACTGAGTTTAGAGAATTTGTGGCAGGAAATTTGCCCTGGAAATGTACTCAGCTGAATACTTGCACTTCTCAGCATGGAAAGACTCCCATCCAAGAATCTCAGCATGCTTATCTATAAACATGAATGAATTAATCCTCCTAGCACCACTGTGTGCTCTTTGCCAGCTGGGTTATTTTAAGGGAAGTGACCAACCCAGCAGCCTGTAGTGAGTCATGAAACAGCGTGCTGACAACCAGAGAGACTGGACTGCAGGATGGAAAGAGCCAGGGGCCACACTGCAGCCTCCCACCTCCAGTGCTTGAGTGTGAGGAAGGGGTCAATGATTAACACAATAACTCTGGGATCTGGCCACCTTTTGGCTCAGCACATCCTCCTTCAAGGAGTTTATCACCTGCCCCCTAGACCATGGCTTAGTCAAATTAAATAGCTTTTATTTTTTGGAGTATAAAAATAATATGTGCTAAGTGTGGAAAACCTAAGAAGGGAAGTAAAGAATAAAGAAGAAAAGTAAATCAGCTATTATTTCATCTCCTAGGCAGACCACTATAACCCTTTTTTAATGTAAATTGTAATATTGTTGAATACTTAACTTTGTATCATGATTTTAAAAATTAGTCTCAGAACATAGGAAGTTGTCAATCTTATTAAATATGGTTTATTAATATTATTTCAATAGTTGCCCAATATTTTATCATGTGGATTTATTAGTCCTTACCCAATGGTTAAACATGTCACGAACATACTTGTGCTTATGTTTTTCTCCTGAATTCTGGGCTATTTCAGGAGCATTATATCAGGTGGATAGATTACCAGAAGCTCAAGATCTTTATTCGGTTTCTGGGTTCCTCTTTGCCCATGCTTTTGTGCTGTCTGCAGGAATTACACAGATATGACCCTCAACACATCACCAGCATAGAGGGGCAGCTTTCGTAGAATTGCCTTTTTGTCACCGCTTAATCACGAGTGAAGTCAGGTCACTTAATCCATGTCCAAGAGCTCTCCCATTGACAGTTGCCTTTCCTGGACAGCAGGAGGCTGTTGCTCTTCTTGCATGTGTCACTGAGAGAACAGATGTCCTGGAGCATAGATGGGTCATCATCTTAGATGTTGGGGTCCAATTCTGGCTAGGGAGAAATTTATCTCATCCTGGGAATGGGTGGGTTACTTGTATCAAATCCTGGAACTGTCCACATCTTCTGAACCCATCACTAATGAAGAAAGAGAATTCTGGGGCAATGGATGGATCAAGAGCTCTTCAATGAAGGTATTTTATCAGTTGGACTAAGGCCAGGTTTTGGCAGGGGAGTCAATGGGACAAAGGGTGAGCTGTGGCTTTATGGCTTTAGCTCCAAGAAGAAATGTGTCCCGGTTGGTAAATGATTGACCGAAAAATGTATGAAACCCCCTTCAGTAACTTTAACTTCTGGAAACAATTTAGAGGACAAGTAGGGTCAGTCTGACTTCCGAGAAAGGGAACATTTTTCTTATTGTTTGGATGCCGATTTTTTTTTTCAACTTTACAACATGTACACACAAACAGTGTTGACCTATGGAAAATATTATTAATCCACAGAAGAGCACTTAATACATGCTTTAATATGATGTTCTTTACTTTAGTACCATTCTTCATTTGACAGTGAACTCCCATCGATAGTCACTTTATCTCCCCACAGAACCTAGGGTATGCCTTCACACCCTTTTGTTGAATCATGAAAATGCAGCATAAACCCCCAAACAAATCTGATAGGGCTCTTTGAATTTGGAATGTGTTTTATGCTTTTCCTTACCTGCTTTCCCGGTTGTATATAGTTTAGGACGGTGGCTCTGCACATTCTTAACTATCGCACGTTGTGAATCCAAACTGGGCACCTTTGAAATTCTGAAAATGTAAATTCTTAATCGTGTCTAAAATAAGTAGATCTTATTAAAAGGGAAGAAGAGGAGGAAGAAGAAGGAGGAGGAGAAGAATAAAGAGAAAGAATAGGAGGAGAAAGAGGAGCAGAAGGAGCAGCAATAACTACTATTACAACAATAGCAATAACTATGGACCACAGCGAGCACCATATTGAAACCCAGTTGTGCATATTTTTTAGCCTTTATCCCATAACTGGAGTGTTCCATGCTATTTCTAGCTCTCTGGAGACACAGGCAGGAAACAAAGGTGGCAGTGGCACCCAGCTTGTCAGTCGTGGTGCTTGGCTGGTGTTTCTTGTGCGTGGTGTATAACCTGCCACGGCCTTAGTTCCAGCTAGAGATGCTGGGGCCAGTCTCCCTGCTTTCTCTGTTCTAATTTAATCCATGTTTGGAGGATAGGAAGGGGAACGCATTCCATCTGAGTTTCCTCCTTGACCTTCCTTTAGACTCAGAGACTCGGACACATAAGCAGAGATTGAGGTCTAATGTGAATTTGGCTAAAATGATTCTGTGTCCTTCAAGCCTTTGCCAGACAAAGTTAACTCTGGAGTGATCCGGTAGAGTGGCAGATAATCTACTTGTAGGAAAGTGAAAAGAATGGGCCAGAACTTTAGACAATTGGCAGTGTAAGAGAATATAGGCAGGCCGAGGAGAAGCGGGGAAGTTACTCAGAGTCACAGGCTTTGGGCCAGATCCCGATACTGGATTTTGTTTCTTCCAGTTTTAACATCTCTCCTTCTGTCTCCTTTCTCTGGCAGAAGTGGAGACCTGGCAGATAGAGGGAGGGCCTGAGGTGGATCACCAGAAAAATGAGGTTAGCATCTTTGGGCCAGCTGAGTCCTGAGGGGAAGGGTGGAGATGGGAACACTCGTTCCCCTCAGTCCTTTCAGCCTATTGGGTAGACAGAGGATTCAAGATTAACTGAGTTTCCCTTGTTTTGGATTCAGCAGAAAGGTCTGGCAACTTGAAATCTGGAAGGTGGTTGGACTGCCAGTGTGAGTCTTGGTAACAACAGTTCTATAAACAAGCCAGGAGTTCCCAGTTCCCCAGAGCCCACCGTGTGTCATCGTCCAGCTTTCTTCCAGGAAGGTCTATAAACTTTCTGTTTTTACACTGACCCCTCTTGGCTATTTAATTCCTGTGTTGTCACAATGCCGATGACAATGTTGGCACCCAGGGTAGGGGGGATTTAGCATTGCCCTTAGCCACCTGCCAAAGTTCCTCCAAACAGGAACCATCACTTAGCCCTCTGCTTTCTGGAAGGGAATGTTTAAAGAACTTCGAGACCCACAGAGAACTTTAAACACTAAAGTTTATCTCATATCTATATACGTGGAGTAAAAATAATGTTAAAGAAGTAAAACAAGAATAAATGCATGTGGTTCATTCTTGTTAAATGACACCACTTTTGAACAACCCAGTTGTCTACACCAGAAACTTTGGAGCTGTTTTGAATTGCTCCTTTCCTCTTACTTGCCACACCCGACGAGCACCATGGCAGGGTTGAACCACTCACCATCTCTGGTATTTACCCCTTCCTGCTCATCCCCTGAGTTCAGGGCCTCATCACCACTTGCCTGGCCTACTTCAGTGACCCTCTAACTGGTCTCTCCTCCTTTGTCAGGCCCCCTTCCAGTCCATTCTCCACACTGTGTCAGAGGTATCCATCCAGAATGCAGATCTGATTATGTGACTCCCTTGATTAAAATCCTCTCATGCTCTCCAGAGTTTAGGAGATTATTTTCAAATTTCTTGGCTTTACCCACAAGGCTCTATGTGGCCCACCTCTCCAACTTCACCTCCCACTCCCTGACATGAGCCTCTTCTGCCGAACATTTCCCAGCTCCTGGCAGCTCTCTGAGCGTCTCTTGGTGTGTCATGCGTTGGTGGCTGTGCACATGCAAAAGCCTCTTTGCTTGGAACCTGCTTTCCCTCTCTCTATCCAGCACACTCCTTCTTGTCCTAGAAAACTTAGGGCTAATGACATCTGCTCTGGGAGGTCATCTCTCACTCTCTGGGCAGGCTTAGCTCTTGGCTCTTGTATTCATCTCCCATGGCTGCTGCAACAAGTGACTGCAAACGGGAGGGCTTAAAACAACACAAGTTCATTCTCTCATAGTTCTGGAGGCCAGAAGTCCAAGGTCAAGGTGTCATCAGGCCCACGTTCCCTCTGAAGTCTCTAGGAGAGAATCCATCTTTGCCTCTTCCAGCCCTTGGTGGCTCCAGGCATTTCTTAAATTGTGGCTAAACCACTCCAATCGCTGCTTCCATCTTTACATGGCTCTCTCCTGTATCTGTCTCTTCTCCCCTCTGTCACTTACAAGGACACTGGGAAGTAGACTCAGGGCCTACCCTAAATCCATGATGATCTCATCTTGAGATCCTTAACTTGGTTACATTTGCAAAGACTTTTTTTTTTTTTCCAAGTCAGGTCGTATTCACAGGTTCCTGGGGTTAGAACCCGGGCCTATCATTTAGTGGGTGGAGCACAATTCAACTGCTTACTACCCTGTAGCAACCTGTATATTCCTTTTAGGAGAAATTTTACTATAGATGTTTTAAAGCATTAATTGATACTCCTATCTTTCCTTCAAGATGAACTATCTTTGAGAGCTTCTGTTTGACCTTGTTTCTTTGGCTTCTAGCACAGGGCCTCACTGCAGCTCGGCACAACATTTTGGTTAAATGTAAGAAATAACTACCTAAGGGCCGTTAGTAGGTCCTTATCATTAACTTGGGCTGATATACGTGTGCTTGGAGATAGGATTTGGACACCATGACCTCTGAAAAGCCTGTTCAGTCAAGAAGTCTGTTTCTGCAGTTTTGTTTGCTTCAGAAGTACATTTTTAGGCTAATTGATTTCAAGGAATATCCAAAGGAGGGCCTTGGAATATTACAAATCATGGGGAGGAACCCAAACTCGTTAATCTACATTCTAGTCTGTATTGTCTAATGTATGATGATTGCGTGCACATTATTTTTAAAGTTCCCAAGTGGCTGAAAGGGAGCAGTTTCACATTTTTGAGCATGTACAGGCACTGTCTGGATTCCCCATATTTCAAATGAGAGCTTGGATTTCAAAAAGAGGAGCAGGTCTTGGGGAACTGGTCAGTAAATTAAAGTGTCTTACGTATATGAGACCTGCAATTTTTATTCTCTGGGCCTCTGTATGAATTAGTTTTGCATTGCCATACAGGAATATCTGAGACCGGGTAATTTATAAAGAAAAGAGATTCATGTGGCTTATGGTTCTGCAGGCTGTACAAGCATGGCACCAGCATCTGCTTGGCCGCTGGGGAGGCCTCAGGAAGCTTTCATGGTGGAAGGTGAAGAGGGAGCGGGCTTGTTACATGGCAAGAGAGGAAGCAAGAGAGGGCAGAGGGAGGTCCCAGTCTCTTTAACCAGCTCTCACATGAACTAATAGAGTGAGAACTTGCTGATCACCATGAGAATGGCACCAAGACATTCCTGAGGGATCTGCCCCTATGACTTATACACCTCCCACCAGGCTCTACCTCCAACATTAGGGATCAATTTTTTTTTTTTTTTTTGAGACAGAGTCTCGCTCTGTCGCCCAGGCTGGAGTACAGTGGCGCGATCTCTGCTCACTGCAAGCTCTGCCTCCCAGGTTCATGCCATTCTCCTGCCTCAGCCTCCTGAGTAGCTGGGACTACAGGCACATGCCACCACGCCCGGCTAATTTTTTGTATTTTTAGTAGAGACGGGGTTTCACCGTGTTAGCCAGGATGGTCTCGATCTCCTGACCTCGTGATCCCGCCTCGGCCTCCCAAAGTGCTGGGATTACAGGTGTGAGCCACCGCGCCCGGCCCAGGGATCAATTTCAAAATGAGATTTGGAGGAGACAAACATTCATACTCTATCAGCCTCAGTTTATTTTTTTTCTTTAAACAGAATTGATAGGAACATGACTCCCAACTTCTTGATTCTCTCTCTCTACTTGTGGTTAGCATTTTCCCTAGAAGTCAGAACTCCCATGTACCAGTCAGTCTCCAAATGATTCATGTGGCCCTACTGTGTGCTATTTCCTTATCCATAGGCCTGGATAAATAAAGCCGTCCTTTGAAGATCTCATAGTACTTTGGAACATGAAGTTTACATTACTCAGAGGGTTTTCATCTTTGTTTACAGAAGGCAAATGTGAAAAGCATTTGGCAAGAGACTTCCAGCTCCTGTTTAACCACTGCCTCCATTCTTTGAGGTCTCCCCATCCCAACTGACATTAACAAGCCTGTTTATATGAAACAATCTATTAAATCAAATATTCTTTTGGAAATGTGGGGGTGGGGGATGCAAACTAATTCTCAGTGCTTGGTAAACTATTTACAAGAGGCTTAAGTGTTCTTGGTCATCTCTGCCCTGCATCACTGACAAGAGGGAGACCTTAGTGTCAGGCCTCAGGCCTCTTTCTCTTTGTAGATCTGAATACACCATTAGTGTCTCTGAGCTGCTCTTGCAGCAGCCAGGGCCTGTCCCCTCTCTCCACAGCAATCACCTCTTACCAATTGGCCCAGCTTTCTGGAAGCAAAGTCTCTACATTCTTGGGCTTTCACAGGGGTCTTCCCATCTGCAGGAATAACTTGTAATTACACTAATCTCACTTTTAAGTTCTCGTCACTTCTTAACACTTTTCTTCACTCACGAGCCTCCTGGCTAGCATTTCTCCTCTCCTATTGAATCCTCAACTCCAACTACCTAACTCAGCTCACTCACCCAAAGCGTGTTCAAGGCCCTGCCCTCTCACTCCATTTTCACTTTCATTTTGTATTTTTTCTATTTCCCACCACTGTCCTGGATCCCTGGGCCATCTCCCAGCGCCTATCCGTTTCCTCTTGCAGTTTCATCTATGACCCCAAGACCTTCTGGCCTAAGATGCTCTGTCCTTACAGAACAGCTGATGAGGAGAAGGTAAGGAGAGGAGAGCAGGAGTGAGGCTAATGGACACACTCATTTGTCCTAAAAGTGTCGCTTGTAGAAAATATGAATAGACTCTCAAAGGGATTGACCAGACTGCGAATGAACACAGAGCTGGGTATGGTAACCTAAAGAGCTGGGGAAGCCTAAGGGGCGAGGATGCCAAGGAGGAAGATTCCTGCTTCCCGTGGCTTACCTGGAAGGCCTCTGGTTGGTACCAAGCCCAGGGGCAAATGGAACCTGAGTCCAGTCCAGGATTTGATTTCTTTCTGATTGTAGTAGAGATGAGGTTTAAGTACTTAGAAGGAGTTGAGCTAGAAATATTTTGGGAAAAAATACACTGAGGAGAAGGGAGATCATTGAAGGGGAGGGCACACTCCTTCCTCTCAAAGGCATGATCTGGAATTTGCACATCTCGTGTTCCATAGCCCAGAACTTAGGCAATGGCCGCTCCTAACAGGAAGAAAGGCTGGAGAGTATAGTGGAGAGTATAGTTTTTCTTCTGGACAGCTATGGACCCTGTTAAAACCAGGAGCTCTAACACCATGAGGGAGGAAACTGGATAGAGGGGAACAACTATCGAGCTCTGTGGGACAGCACATTTAGTTGATCGTGTACTCGGTGTAGTACATAAGGGGCGGCTTTTGGAAAAGTGAACCTGAAGGGAATTTGCAAATGGTCTCAGGTGATGTTTTATTTAATAATGTATTTAAAAAGTGCTTATTGAGCACCTACTATGTGCCAGCCACTGTGCTAGCAGCTGTGGATGCGAAAGTGAATAAGACAGATATGTTTTCACCGTCATGAAGCTTACAGTCCATGGGAAAGACTGGCATTAAACAAGGAAGTAATTATTTATATCATCATTTTATTCAGTGACACAAATGGTGTGGGACTGTGTAACAGGAGAAGCTAGGCTAGTCTAAAGGGTTGAGGAAGGCTGTGCTGATGAACTGACATTTAACTAAGACTTAGTAGGAGCTGGCAAGGCAGAAGAGAGGACTTGAGAGGACCTAGCATATGCTGCATGTCTTACCAAGTGCTGGGCCCTGTTTGAAGCAGTTTTAATCTTTATAACATGGGGCTTATGAGGTAGGTGCCTTTATTATCCCTATCTTGCAGATAAGGAAATTGATTAAACAATGGCTCTAAGGTCACAGGGCATTAGGTGGTAGAGCCTGGCTTGGCACCAAGGCAGCTCCACTTTGAGGCACATTCCCTGAACCACTTTGCTGTGTCACTCTTAACAGAGAGTGCATTTAGCAGGTGGAGGAGGTGAGAGAATGCCTTCATGGTAGAAGGAAGTGTTGGGAGAGTTCCTCCAGATGAGGTTGAAGGTCAAAGAGGAGCTAGATCATGCAGAGATGCAGAGCTTGGTAGCCCTGACTAAGAATTTGACCTTTTTCTTAAGGCCAGTGGAAAGTTACTGGAGGATTTTAGCAACAGGGGCACTACGTAATCAGATTTGCATTGTAAAATGTTCTGTGGAGAGTGTTGGGGGATATAACACCATATTCAGAGACATTAGTGGGGAGTCCATCAGCAGATGATGACAGTGTCTTCTAGGATAAGAAGGAGGTGTAGATACGACTGAAGATTACTCAGGAGAGCGTTCACTGGGTTTGGTGAAGGGAAAAGAACCACGTGTAGGTGTCTAGTTTGAACAACTGGTAGGTAGTGATTTTATTTACTAAGGCGTGGGAAGACTGGAAAAGAAGCAGCCTGGGGGAAAGATAATGAGTTCAATTTTGGATGTGTTGAATCCAGGTGTTTATAAAATATCCATGTGGAGAAGTCATTTAGGCAGTTGGGTCCAGAGCTCAGAAGAGAAGTCTGGGCCAGAAATAGAAATTTGGCATTCAGATGGCACTGGACACATGGGAGTGGACAATATTGGGATGTCTTGTCTGTCAACAAATATTGTTTAGAACATATCATTTAGAAAAAATGAACACAAGACAGTTTACCAACGTCAGATAGACTGGTGCAAATTCCACATACACCATCTGTTCAGAGGAAGGAGAGACCAGGGGAAAGCTGAGCCGGCTTCAAATGTTGGAAATGTTTCAAAGATAAACTCGGAAGGTATGTTTAACTTGGAGAATTGGATTGATGTTCTAGAAAGTTGATTGGGTATCCTCTGGGGGTGGGGAAAGCTGGGAACACATTAGATCTGGAGAGGACTTCAGAGTCCTGAATTGGGTCAGAAAACTTGCTTCTGATGCTTTCTAAATGCACCACCTTGAGTCCTCTGAACTTCTCCTCTCTATAAAGGATACTATGGACCCATCCTACCTAACTCACCGAGTGGTAATGACTATAAAGAACAGACATGATATAGACCTAAAGGAATTATGTAAATTGTAAAGCTGTGCACATTTGAAAAGCTGTATTGTATTAGTTTGTTTTCACACTACTATAAAGAACTGCCCGAAACTGAGTAGTTTATAAAGGAAAGGGATTTAGTTGGCTCAGTTCCACATGGCTGGGGAGGCCTCAGGAAACTTACAATCATGGCAGAAGGTGAAAGGGAGGCAAAGCACATCTTATATGGCGGCAGGAGAGAGAGAGAGTGCAGGGGAGACTGTCAATTTTCAATTATCAAATCTCATGAGAACTCCTCACTGTCATGAGAACAACATGGGGGAAACCGTCCCCATGATTCAGTCACCTTCCACCAGGTCCCTCCCTCGACATGTGGGGATTACAATTCGAATGAGATTTGGGTGGGGACACAGAGACAAACCATATCATATATTGTTAAATACAATTCAAGATTCAGAGTGATGTCATTGTCCCAAGGTCACCTGGCTGGCAAGTGCAGAAGTTGGGAGTAGAATCCCGGTCTTACAAGTTTCAGTGAGAAGCATGAGCATTGGCTGTGAATTAGTAGCTCTATGTCCTTGGGAAAGTTATTTAACCTCCATGACTCCCAATTTATTCACATATAACTTAGGAGGTAACACCATTAACTCAAATGTCACAACTATTTGTTGAGTATTTACTATATACCAGGTGCTGCTCTAGACCATGGGGTTATAGCAGTGAGCAAAGCCAAGTGCCTATTCTCAAGGAGCTTATATTCCAGTGGCAGGAGGACAGACAGTGACAGAGATAAAGAAATGAATACATAATGTATCAGGATGTGATAAGTACTCTGAGGAAAGATGAAGCAAAGTAAGGGGACAGAGAGAAATGGGGCAGTGGCTGGAGGGAAAGGCAATACTTTTTAGTAAGGTGGACAGGGAAGATCTCTCTGATAAGGGCATGTTTGAGCAGACAGCATCACAAAGTATGCATATCTGGGGAAAGAGTGCACAGACAGAGAGATAGCAAGTGCAAAGGCCCCGGGGCAGGTATATTCCTGATGTGTTAGAGGAGCAGTCAGGCGTCCAGTGTGACAGGATGGGAAAGAGCAAAAGGGAGTGGGGAGGGGATGAGATCTGAGAGGCAGCTGGAGACAGGGTCATGTAGGGCCTCATCAGCCTCCGTCAGAACTTTGGATTTTAGTCTGAGCGAGATGGACAGCTACTTCAGAGTTTTATACAGAAACATAAGTGATTGTATTTGTTCTGTTGGTGGAGGTTTTGCGAGGAGAAAATAAGGTAATGTGCATGAAATTGCTTTGTGAAGCGGGAAGTTAGGTTAAAGAATATTGCCACGGTCATATAACAGGCCAGGCAGTTGCAAAGCCAGCGTACAATGCACTTTCTCTGACCCTCGGCCACCCTTCTTTCCATGGCATCCCGAATCTCCCCCAGAAGGGCACCGTGTCAACCTAGAAAGAGCTTGAACCCTTAAGCAAGGTCAAAGACTCTTCCTCATTCCCAAGCCACAGGGCTTTGTGAACCTTGTCGACCTGGCAGCATTTGGCTTTTGGAAAGAACCACGGGAGCTTGTGATCTTAAATGGGTAGAAAGAAGGGAGTTGGAACAGTCTGAGGCAGTTTGAAGCTGGGTAGAGGAGATTGTCATAAATTAAATACAGACCTTGTCTGCTGAAGGCTGGACTAGAGAAGCAAAAACATCAGGATTTAAGAGGCAAAACCAACAGTTATGATATGTTTTGGAGAACTCCATTAATGTCTAGTTAGGAAGCCATAGTGTGGCCAAAAGCAATAGTATTGGGGTTTGTAAGAATTCATAGTTGTTTGTATAGTATTAGACGTGGATTAAGGAGATGTAATAGTGCATGCATTGAGGTACCCAGAAGTGACCTTGTATTGCATTCCCTTTGGAGGACCAGCTCCTATGGATGAGTACATCTGGCAGAGGGTGCAGCCTGGCCTTCCCTGTGTGTGGATAGATTCACGTGATCCTGGTGGGTGACGAGGGGAAGTGTACCTGTGATTCTTGGCCTGAGAGCCCATGGACAGAAGTCTGCTGCCCTTGTATCTTTGCTGTTTGTTTAAAGTGGATAGCATTCATGCTCTTCCCCCCTTTTCTTTCTCTCCTTTTTTCTTCTTTCTCTTTCAATTTTTTCTTCTTTTTTCTCCTCTCTTGCCGTGAGCAGATGAGCAATGTTTGATTTGCTCTCTATTAGGTTTGTAATTGTTTATAAGTTAACTACCCACATAGCTAACACCCAGCATAAACCCCCTAAAAGACAATGTTATCATGGAATCTCCATTCCCCATAAAACATATCCTATATGCCGACTAAGCGGTCTTCATAAATTATCAGCTCTTAAGAAAATAAAGTGTCATAATTTTTTTCAGTGAAACCTTGTTGGATTCCAACTATATAGATAAACCATAATAATGTACAATCTGTTAGTGAAATTATGTTTCTGACCCTAAGGTACAATTTTCCCAGAAGTGACAGACAATTGATATATCAGTTTTAATTACTTAAAGTAGGTTATGTTTTTAAAAATATAACCACCTTAAGGTCTATGTATTTTTCAGATAATTCTTGTTATAATCTGTGATTTCTTTGCATGCAGTTCCTTCATATCTGAATCTTGGCAGGCTCAGAAATTAAAACATTTCGTCAGAAAGCTTAGAAAATATGGGGCACAATTGGGAATATGTATAGGATGTCTGTGTTTTGGATACACACACACACACACACACACACATACACACACCAAGCACTTACTCTTGCTAAAGAAGCTCACGGTGGGGACTTCCAAGGGCAGAATCAGGTCCAAATGCCTTCAGGGAAGACAGATTTCAGATTCTTTGGGGAAGAACTTTTTTAACTGTCAAATCTGCCCACCAACAGAATTGCTGCATTACAAAGTTCAGTAAAAGGCTATTCTCCCTCTCCCCACCGCCATCTCCCCAGGATTTTGAGAATACCAGAAGCTTCCAATGACAGGATTGTTATAAAAACAGCATTCTTTTATGCCCACCCATTTAAAAGCTATGCTATTATAAAAAGTAAAGAACGAGTTGCTCTCACCAGGGCGCATGGTGGGTATGTGACCTGTTGAGCTGTGAATGACTGGTTAGTGATGCTGCAGAAGCCACATGGGCGGGGTGGATGCAGATTCTAATAGATATTATGGCAGCCTTCATAATGCAGGAGTCGTGAGGGTTCCCATACATTTCTCCATTTTGTCAAGTAGCTAAGGCTTTGAAATATTTAATTGCAATTCTACAAATGTATTATATGCTGAAGAGTCCCTCTTCCCCACCCCCACACCCAATCTTTTTGTTCTTTTGATCTAAGCGTGAAAAACCTCAAAAATAGCACTCATCCTTTTCAGATCAGATCCTGGACATTCTGAATAAGTAATCTTCTATTGTAGTGAGCTCCCCAATTCTGGAAATGATCAAATAGACCACTATTTGTCACACAGGTGAATGGATATTGTCAGAAACATTAAGTGAGGAATTTCTGCATTGGGTGGTTAGAGGAAACTGATACTATTTTTTTTTAAGTTGGGAAATATTTTGTATACACAGAAAAGTCTAAGGAATAAGCTGCCAGGCACGGTGGCTCACACCTGTAATCCCAGCATTTTGGGAGGTTGAAGGGCTGATGGCCTGAGCCTGGGATTTTGAGACCAGCCTGGGCAACATAAGGAGACCCTGTCTCTACAAAAAAATTTTAAAAACTAGCCAGGTGTTGTGGTGCACACCTGTAGTCCCAGCTACTCGGGAGGCTGAGTTGGGAGGATCACTTGAGCCTAGGGCCTAGGAGTTAGAGGCTGCAGTGAGCCATGATTGTGCCACTGCACTCCAGCCTGGGTGACAGTAGAGTGAGACCCTGTCTCAAAAAAAATAAAAATAAAAATGCTAATGAATACCCATGGAACCATGACACAGCTTTGCCCATAAAATACATTTTATCCTATTAGCTTCAGATCATTTATAAAGAAAAATGCCGTTACAAATATAATTGAAGCATGTGGGCGCCCCTTACTTTCTCACCCTGTTCCTTCCCTTCCTTGACGTTACCACTGCTCTTAACGTTGTGTTTACCATTTTCATATTTTTGTACTTATATTGTGCATACATACACTAAATACTGTATGATATTTTTGCAGTTTGTAAACTTCATCTAAATTGTATTATACTATACATATTATTTAGCATTTTGCTCTTTTTCTTAATGTTGTTTCTTAGATGTATCCACTTTGATATATGTAGGCCTCCTGCATTCATCTCAACTGAATTACCATATTCTATGGATTAATATGCCATCATTTATTTACCCAGTTTCCTGTTTAAGGGCATTGAGGTTGATTCCTTATTTTCTACTACCAGGGATGCAGTTATGAATCCTCTTACATATGTGTTTTGGAGGCGTCTATGTTAGAATTTCTCTAGGAATGGAATTACTCATGGAGTACACACATATTTACAGGATATAATCAAATTATTCTCTAAAATAATTGAGCAAATTTATAACCCCATCAGCACTGTCTGAAAATTCTTCTTATTCTATATCCCTACCAGTTCTTGCTGATAGTAGATTTTAATTTTTTGTCAATTGATGATTATGAAGTGATATTTCATTTTAACTTAAATGCAGTCAAATATACTGATCTTTTCTCTTCGATTTGTATGTTTTTGTGTCTTAAGAAATGTCTCTCTATCCAGCAAGATCATAAAGCTATTCTATTATTTTCCTAAAATGTTGGAAGATTGCTTTTCCACATGAATCTTGGAAATACTTGGAATTTATTTTTGTGTATAGAGTGCGGAAGAGATCAATTTCATTGTTTTCGGTATGATGGTCTTTTTTTTTTTTTGCATTTTTTGGGTTGCCAGTAAGAATGAGCATTTTCTCCATGTTTGTTGGCCATGTGAGTTGTTGTTCTCTTTTGCTCATTTTGCTGTTGCATCATTTGCTTATTGGTTTATAGGAGCTCTTTATATATTATGGATATTATCCATTGTTAATCATATGAATGGCAAATATTTTCTCCCAGTCTGTGGCTTGTTTTTACTATGACTGTGGTATCATATGTTGAATCAAATTGATATTCTTTTGATTTTTTTAATGGAATTTACTTGTAAAACATGGGCTTGATATGCATTCTGCAGCAGTCAGTGTAGTGTTATTGGTTTTTTAGATCAAGTTTGCTAATTGTGGTTTCACATCTTCTGTATACCTGCTGATTTTTTGTCTTCTTACATTATCAATTACTGAATGTGTTGTGCTGAAATCTCCCCTATGAGGGAACATTTATGAAAGTTGACCATACACCAAGCCAGAAGTTCTGAACATGTTTCACAGAATTTACGTTATAAAAATCACATTCTTTAACCTCCAATTCTATTATTTTTTTATTTTTTATTTTTTTCTGTCTTTAGGAATATTTTAATTCGGTTGGAAATTAAAACAAACAATGCTTTGAAAAATTAAGAAGGAATAATCAATTATCCATAATCGAGTTTTAGCTGCTGTTGTATTTGGGTGAGAAGAAAGTTGAACAGAGACTTGAGATGCTAGAGAAAGCTCTAAATAGGTGGAATTTTAGTTGGTCCTTGAAAAATGTGCATCTTTGGGAAAAAAGAGGAAGAGACCGTTTTAGTTTGAGGAATTAGCATGAATAAAGGCTTAGAAGCTGGAGTTTAGGTACATGTGACTTCAATGACACCCGTTTCAATGCAGTTTAAGTGCTAAGGAGTGGTGAGAAAGCTGGAGAGATCAGTCACATGGAGTCATGGAGGGTCTTAAACTAGCCAGAGATACTGGAATTGCTTTAGTAGATAGCACAGAATTAAATAAGAATGCTCTTAAGTGGATGTGACAATTTTTATTAGATTTTCATGAATAATCTAGAAGTGGTGTATCAGAGGACTTGAATGAAGGAGGGGACAGGAAGCAGGAAAGCCTGTCTGGACACCTTTCAAGGAATCTAAGTCTAAACTTATTAGGTCCAGGACTAAGGGAAAACCAAGGAAATGGATAAAATGGGGTAAATTTGAGAGACATTTCAATAAGAAAAATGGCAAAATTTGGCATCAGATTAGGAATCAGCACACAAAAATAGAAATAAGTCAAAGATAAGCCTAGAATAATAGTGATATCCTGGACAAATAGCTAATGTCAAGAAGAGTCAATAATTCATGAATTCATAGAAATTTAGAAACAGCTTGGAAATGATATCTGTAGACCCCGCTTTTCAGAGATGAGGAAATTAACAGAGAGCTTGAGTGACTAGTTCCTGGTCACCCTGCCCGGGCGACAGAGTGAGACTTCGTCTCAAAAAAAAAAAAAAAAAAAAAAAATTGAAAATGACTAGAATCCTAGAGGATTTACCCTGTAAGAAGTTGGTTTAATGCTACATCAGTGTTGGACGGATGGATTTGGGAGCATCTGAAAGGCAATTGGAGCCATGGGAGTGGCTGTGCTCTTCCAGTGAGAGATTATATAGGGAAGAAAAACGAGGAGCAAAGATAAAGTCACAGGAAATATCTATAATTAGGGATTCAAACTAGAAGGAAGATGGTTCCTAAGTAAGTCAGGTAAGGATCAAACAGACGTGAGGAGTCCTCGTGCAGTGGTTACAGGCACTTTGTGGGGTTGAGTGGGTGGATCACTTGAGGCCAGCAGTCTGATAACCCCTTTATCATTTTTTATTGCTTCTATTTGATTCTTCTCTCTTTTCTTCTTTATTAGTCTTGCTGGTGCTCTATCAATTTTGTTGATCTTTTCAAAAACCAGCTCCTGGATTCATTGCTTTTTGAAGGTTTTTTTGTATCTCTATCTCCTTCAGTTCTGCTCTGATATTAGTTATTTCTGGCCTTCTGCTAGCTTTTGAATTTGTTTGCTCTTGCTTCTCTAGTTCTTTTAATTGTGATGTTAGGGTATTGATTTTAGATCTTTCCTGCTTTCTCTTGTGGGCATTTAGTGCTATAAATTTCCCTTTACATACTGCTTTAAATGTCTCCCAGAGATTCTGGTATGTTGTGTCTTTGTTCTCATTGGTTTCAAAGAACATCTTTATTTCTGCCTTCATTTCGTTTTGTACCCAGTAGTCATTCAGGAGCAGGTTGTTCAGTTTCCATGTAGTTGAGCAGTTTTGAGTGAATTTCTTAATCCTGAGTTCTAGTTTGATTGCACTGTGGTCTGAGAGACAGTTTGTTATAATTTCTGTTCTTTTACATTTGTTGAGGAGTGCTTTACTTCCAACTATGTGGTCAATTTTGGAATAAGTACAATGTGGTGCTGAGAAGAATGTATATTCTGTTGATTTGGGGTGGAGAGTTCTGTAGATGTCTATTAGGTCCGCTTGGTGCAGAGCTGAGTTCAATTCCTGGATATCCTTGTTAATTTTCTGTCTCATTGATCTGTCTAATGTTGACAGTGGGGTGTTAAAGTCTCCCATTATGACTGTGTGGGAGTCTAAGTCTTTTTGTAGGTCTTTAAGGACTTGCTTTATGAATCTGAGTGCTCCTGTATTGGGTGCATATATATTTAGGATAGTTAGCTCTTCTTGTTGAATTGATCCCTTTACCATTAGGTAATGGCCTTCTTTGTCTCTTTTGATCTTTGTTGGTTTAAAGTCTGTTTTATCCGAGACTAGGATTGCAACCCCTGCCTTTTTTTGTTTTCCATTTGCTTGGTAGATCTTCCTCCATCCCTTTATTTTGAGCCTAGGTGTGTCTCTGCATGTGAGATGGGTCTCCTGAATACAGCACACTGATGGGTCTTGACTCTATCCAATTTGCCAGTCTGTGTCTTTTAACTGGAGCATTTAGCCTATTTACATTTAAGATTAATATGTTACGTGTGAATTTGATCCTGTCATTATGATGTTAGCTGGTTATTTTGCTCGTTAGTTGATGCAGTTTCTTCCTAGTCTCGATGGTCTTTACAGTTTGGCATGTCTTTGCAGTGGCTGGTATGGGTTGTTCCTTTCCATGTTTAGTGCTTCCTTCAGGAGCTCTTGTAAGGCAGGCCTGGTGGTGACAAAATCTCTCAGCATTTGCTTGTTTGTAAAGGATTTTATGTCTCCTTCCCTTATGAAGCTTAGTTTGGCTGGATATGAAATTCTGGGTTGAAAATTCTTTTCTTTAAGAATGTTAAATATTGGCCCCCACTCTCTTCTGGCTTGTAGAGTTTCTGCTGAGAGATCTGCTGTTAGTCTGATGGGCTGCCCTTTGTGGGTAACCCAACCTTTCTCTCTGGCTGTCCTTAACATTTTTTCCTTCACTTCAACTTTGGTGAATCTGACAATTATGTGTCTTGGAGTTGCTCTTCTCGAGGAGTACCTTTGTGGCATTCTCTGTATTTCCTGAATTTGAATGTTGGCTTGCCTTGCTAGGTTGGGGAAGTTCTCCTGGATAATATCCTGAAGAGTGTTTTCCAGCTTGGTTCCATTCTCCCCGTCACTTTCAGGTACACCAATCAGATGTAGATTTGGTCTTTTCACATAGTCCCATATTTCTTGGAGGCTTTGTTTCTTTTTACTCTTTTTTCTCTAAACTTCTCTTCTCACTTCATTTCATTCATTTGATCTTCAATCACTGATACCCTGTCTTCCAGTTGATCGAATCAGCTACTGAAGCTTGTGCATGTGTCACATAGTTCTCGTGCCATGGTTTTCAGCTCCATCAGGTCATTTAAGGACTTCTCTACACTGGTTATTCTAGTTAGCCATTCGTCTAGTCTTTTTTCAAGGTTTTTAGCTTCTTTGCGACGGGTTCGAACATCCTCCTTTAGCTCGGAGAAATTTGATTGTCTGAAGCCTTCTTCTCTCAACTCGTCAAAGTCATTCTCCATCCAGCTTTTTTCCATTGCTGGCAAGGAGCTGCGTTCCTTTGGAGGAGAAGAGGTACTCTGATTTTTAGAATTTTCAGCTTTTCTGGTCTGGTTTCTCCTCATCTTTGTGGTTTTATCTACCTTTGGTCTTTGATGATGGTGACGTACAGATGGGGTTTTGGTGTGGATGTCCTTTCTGTTTGTTAGTTTTCCTTCTAACAGTCAGAACCCTCAGCTGCAGGTCTGTTGGACTTTGCTGGAGGTCCACTCCAGACCCTGTTTGCCTGGGTATCACCAGCGGAGCCTGCAGAACAGCGAATATTGCAGAATAGCAAATGTTGCTGCCTGATCGTTCCTCTGGAAGCTTCATCTCAGAGGGGGACCCAGCCATGTGAGGTGTCAGTCGGCCCCTACTGGGAGGTGCCTCCCAGTTAGGCTACTCGGGAGTCCGGGACCCACTTGAGGAGGCAGTCTGTCTGTTCTCAGATCTCAAACTCTGTGTTGAGAGAACCACTACTCTCTTCAAAGCTGTCAGACAGGGACATTTAAGTCTGCAGAAATTTCTGCTGCCTCTATGCCCTGCCCCCAGAGGTGGAGTCTACAGAGGCAGGCAGGCCTCCTTGAGCTGTGGTGAGCTCCACCCAGTTTGAGCTTCCTGGCTGCTTTGTTTACCTACTCAAGCCTCAGCAATGGTGGGGGCCCCTCCCCCAGCCTTGCTGCCACCTTGCAGTTCAATCTCAGACTGCTGTGCTAGCAATGAGCGAGGCTCCATGGGCGTGGGACCCTCCGAGCCAGGTGCGGGATATAATCTCCTGGTGTGCCATTTGCTAGGACCGTTGGATAAAGCGCAGTATTAGGGTGAGAGTGACCCGATTTTCCAGGTGCTGTCTGTCTCAGCTTCCCTTGGCTAGGAAAGGGAATTCCCTGACCCCTTGCGTTTCCCGGGTGAGGGGATGCCTCGCCCTGCTTTGGCTCATGCTTGGTGCGCTGCACCCACTGTCCTGCACCCACTGTCTGACAAGCCCCAGTGAGATGAACCCGGTACCTCAGTTGGAAATGCAGAAATCATCCGTCTTCTGCATCGCTCATGCTGGGAGCTGTAGACTGGAGCTGTTCCTATTCAGCCATCTTGGAACCTCTATTTTTTTTAATTTTTTAATTTTATTTATTTATTTTTTTTGAGACTGAGTCTTGCTCTGTTGCCCAGGCTGGAGTGCAGTGGTGGGATCTCGGCTCACTGCAAGTTCCACCTCCTGGGTTCATGCCATTCTCCTGCTTCAGCCTCCTGAGTAGCTGGGACTACAGACTCCCACCACCACGCCCGGCTAATTTTTCGTATTTTCAGTAGAGACAGGTTTCACCATGTTGGCCAGGATGGTCTTGATCTCCTGATCTTGTGATCTGCCTGCCTCGGCCTCCCAGAGTGCTGGGATTACAGGTGTGAGCCACCATGCCCAGCCTCCTTTTCAATTCTTACATTTTGTTTCCTTTTCTAGTTCTACTGTATGACCAGTGGCTTTAGTACAGTGTTGAATAAAAATGTAGGTGCTAGGTATCTTTATTTTATTCCTGTTTTTAAATGGACTGCTTTTAGTATTTTACTGGTACATAGGATATTTACTATAGTTTTTCTGTTGATACCATTTATCAGATTACAGAAAGTTTCCATCTGTTCCTATTTTGCTAGCATAATTTAAATTAAACTAAACTATGAAATGCTTTTTCTGCATCAATTTAAATAATCATGTAGCTTTTCTCCTTTAACCTGCAAAGGTACTGAACTTCACTAATGCAAATCTTAAACTCTTCATGTACTCCTGACAGAAGCCAACTTGGTCGTTATGTACTTATTTTAATATATTGCTATGTTTGGTATGCTTATATTTCATTTAGGATTTTTGCATCTCTCTTTATTAGTGATGTTGAGCTAGAGTTTTTCTTTCTTACATTTTGTGTCTGGTTTAAGGGCCAAGATTGTACAAGCCACACAGTATGAGTTTGGAGTGCTCCTTCTTTTTCTGTTCTCTGGAATACATTATAGAAAGGCAGGGTTATGTGTTGCTTGAGAGTTTGATAAAACTCATTTAAAAAAAATGTGTGCCAACTTCTGGGTTTTGTGAGCAGATTTTTAATTTCAGGCTTTTTTTTAGTGGTTTTGTTATATTCATGTTTTCATTTTCTTCTTGATTCCATATTGTTATATTTTCCTATTTATGTATTTTCAAGTTATTGGTATGAAATTTTTCATAGAATTGTCTTTTGAAGAATTGCTACATCTTTGCTGCATCTGCAATTATGTTGCCTTTGTGATTTTAAATGTTGTTTGCGTTTCTTTTTAAAGGTCTGATCAATGTGTTAGATATTTATCTATTTTCTCTCTTTTGTCAGTCTTTTCAAGAAGCCAGTGTTTGGTTTTGTTCATTCTTCCTATTGTTTGTCTTCTATTTCCTTCATTCAGGCTCTTCTATTTATTATGTCCTTCCTTTTTCTTTCTTTGGACTGAACTCTGTTTTTCTTTGTTGTTGGATGTTTAACTCATTAATTTGCAGACACTAAAAAAAAAGCATGTAAACTTTTTATCATTTAGTTTTTTCATTTACTATTTTTTCCCCCTGTAACTCAACACATATTTATGTGCCAGGCACTGTTTTAGGTTCTGTGGATTCATCAGTGAGCAAAATAGTCAAAAAGCCTGCCCTCATATCTTAAAAATTCAATTATGAATTCTTTATTCTATGGGTTATTTTATTAATTAATTAATTTATTTATTAGAGATGGAGTCTTGCTCTGTCACCCAGGCTGAAGTGCAATGGTGAGATCTCGGCTCAACAAAACCTCCGCCTCCCAGGTTCAAGCGATGCTCCTACCTCAGCCTCCCAAGTAGCTGGGGTTACAGGCACGCGCCACCAGGCCCAACTAATTTTTGTATTTTTAGTAGAGATGGGGTTTTGCCATGTAGGCCAGGCTGGTTTCGAACTCCTGACCTCAGGTGATCTGCCTGCCTCAGCCTCCCAAAGTGCTGGGATTGCAGGCATGAGCCACTGGGCCCAGCCCTCTGTGAGTTATTTAGAAGTGTGTTTTGCATTTCTATTGATGTAGGGGTGGATAGGTTTGTATCCTGGCTATTTCTAATTTACTTGCATTTTGTTTGGAGAATGTGGCATGTATGATGTTGATTTTTTTGGTACTTTTGAGATTTGCTTTGTGACCTGGAATGTGCTTTTTTTTTTTTTTTTAAGTTCCATGTGTACTTGAAAAGAATGCTGACCAATGATCTTAAAGATTCTTTTCAACTTGGTGAGTCAGTCGTTCCATATCAATGTCAAATAACCCTGCCTGATCTGGCATGTTGTTCAAAGTCGTAGTTAAAAGGGCCTAATTCCTGTTGAGGCCAATTCGGTATTGAGTCAGGAGTGGTGCTTGGAGTGCTCTCTACTCTAACACAAAAATTTAATGAGGACCATTTCCTTTTTCTTCTAGGGAGCAGTAGGGCAGAGAATCATGGAATATCAGAAAAATCTGTTGAAAGTTGTCCACAGCCAGCAGCAAACTAGCGGCTTGAGGAACTATTCAGCAGACACTTATGTAGCACTTAAGTATGCACCAGACACGGTTCTGAGTGGTTTTACAAGTGCCAACTCACTTCATCTTCATACCAGGTCTTGACAGAGTTAGTTACTATCCCTGTTTCTCTAATGAGGAAACTGGACCACAGAGAGGTTAGGGACTAAGGGCTCACAAACGGTAAGTGGCATCATCAGCACTGAATTCAGGCCATCTCTGACCCAGGGCCATGCTCTCAGCCCTGCCACCAATGCTGCCTCCCACATGAAAATTAATGCTAGTTAAAAAACAAACAAACAAACAAACAAACAAAACAAAGAAAACCAGAAACCTACTCCTTTGCTCCACTGCAAACTTCCAGAATTAAATTCTTTCCAGGGGCAAAATTTTGAAATCGATATTCTGATGAATAGCCAGATTTTAGAACTACTCTCAGGCTACCCTCTTCATTTTATACATGGGGAAACTGAGGCCGAGAGGGGGAAGGGATTTGTTCACTAGTTAGTGGCATATGAAGGAAAAATCTGGTTCCTTGAAACTTGCTTCTCTGTAAACTCTTTGTGGGGACACTCGGGAGCTGGTGATCCTAGCGTGGGTCTTAGGAGGCCTGGCTCACCACTCGCTAGTGGGTCTGAACTGCTCATCCTTCCCCAAAGAGGACCCATGTTGGCTGCCTGTATCTGACACTCTTTCTCTCTCCTGTGGCTTTCTCCTTCTCTCTCCTCTAGCTTTCTCCTTCTGTCCCTATTTGTGTCTGTTTTATTCTCTCTCTCTCTCTCTCTCTCTCTCTCTCTCTGTCTCTGGTAAACCCTTCTGCTAAGGAACTGAAGCAGAGATCCTCGAAGCTTTGGGGACTGGCGCAGGTTGGTGGTGCACATTTTTTTATAGTGGAGAGTTTTGGAATCAAACAGAGCTGGTAAATTGGCCACCTTCTAGTTTTGCTATGTTGATGGAGGCCTCACTCTGTTGCAGGCACAAACTCTGGGGCTGCAGCATTGAAAACAAATCCCTGCTCTCAAGGGGTTTGCAGTCTAGTAAGAAGATACAGACCACAAATGAATAGATAAATACCAGATAATATGTTCACTAGCAATATGTACCATGAAGGAAAACAAAGCAGAGTGAAGCAGTAGAAAGTGAAGAGGCTGGTAGGGCTGCTCCGGGAATGGTCTCTCTGGCACATGGCAGCTGAGCAAACCCAGATGCAAGTGGAGGAGCTGGTCATGTGGCAGTGAGGGGAAAGGAATCCGGGCAGAGGAAGCAGCAAATGCAAAGGTCCTGATGTAGAGCAAACTCGTGCAAGGAACAGCAAAGAGGTCAGTGTGGCCGGACCAGCCTTGAGAGAGGCAGTGGCTGGAGAAGAAGGAAGGAGAGGGTCTGGGCCAGGGTATTGAGGGGGTCTCTGGATATTTTGAGGACTTTGGATTGACTCCGAATGAGATGGGAAGTCACCAGGGCTCTGAGCAGAAGACCACAGGATGAGTCTAATATTTCTGAATGCTCACTCTGGTTGCTTAGTGGAGACTAGACCGTGGGGGCGGGGACAGAGTGGGGAGCCAGTGGAGGCAGTTGCAGTGGTCCAAGGGGAGGTGACAGTGGCGCAAACTAGGGTAGGAGCCACGGAGATGGTGAGACAGGTTCAGGTGCTGACTACGTTTCAAAGGCAAATCATTCAATATTTGTTCATGGAGTGAGTGTGAGGCATGAAAGAAAGAGGTCAAGGATGACGCCAAGATTTTGATATGAACTTGAAGAATATCGGTGAGGGAAGACATCAGGTATTTACTTATGAACATGTGACATTTGTGACAGCTGCTGCATATCCATGTAGAAACGTGCAACATTCAAGGGAATCTCTTAGCTGGAGAGTCACTGACATTTAGATGATTTTTCAGCCATGAGACCTTGTCAGCTCACCCAATGGGTAGATGCAGATAAAGAAGAGAGATGTCCCTAAATGAACCCTATGTCTGTTTGAAGTTTAGAGATGGGATGATGATGGATGCGCCGAAGTAACTGAGCAGAAGCGGCTAGTGAGATAAGAAGAAAACCAACAAAAAGTGGAGTCCCAGGGGGTCATGCGAGGAACATGTCTCAGGATGAAAGGAGTTATTAACGTCTCCCATTATTGTTAATAAACAAGGATTTTTACAACAAGGTGATTGGCCCTCGGAAACAATACTTTTCAATCTTCTTTGTTCTCAGTCTCTCTTTTCCTTTGCCTGGCGGAAGCGTTCCCTCACACTGTCTGCCTCATGAACTTCAGGCCCTACTACGGGGCGCAGGGGACAGCTTCGTGCCATCACACCTCCAGACCACCTAGGCTACTGACATCTCACTACAAAATCAGGCTGTTTCTTGATGCAGGGGTTTCACAGGAAAACTGCATGGCAGGTACATGGCAGCCCACACTTGGGCACTGTGAATTGCCGCCAGGACCTGAACTTAGATTCTTGCCATTTTCTGAGCCTGAATATGGCCTAAGACAAGACCTGGATGTAGGATCTTTAAGCCCTTGGCCATAGGGGAAGGGCTTAGGTGAAGCCAAGAATTTGTGGCAACAAATTCAGGAGTATATACATATTCTTGAATTTAACATTCACTAACATCCTGACATCAACCAACGAAGAAGTCAGTGGCTTAAAGAACTTAAGTATCTTACTTAAGTTCATCCAAATCTCCAGCTTAAACATAGATCTTCCTTGAATATCTTACATAAAGAAAATGAGGAGGACGAAAACGTAGGAGTCATCCTAGATTCTCTGTGTTCCCTCAAACCCCATAGTTAATCCACTGGTAAGTGCCTTTAACTCTACTACTAAAATCTATCCTTGCTCTGAACATCTTTCACTCTGTTCATACTGCGAACCTAGTCCAGATCCCCAGCAGTTCTTGCCAGGGGTATTGCATCATCCGCCTGCCTGCTGTATCTGGAGCCTCATTCCCTTAGAGTCTAGTCTCCATACGTTAGCTGAAGTGAGCTTTCTGGACTGTAAATCAGATCACATCACTCGCCCACATAAAACCCACCAGAGACTTTCCCCATTATAGCCCACCAGGCCTCACAAGATCTGGCTGCCATCTTTCTTCCCTTCCATGCTTCACCTTATTCACCACTCTTGAACTACATTCACTTTTTTTTTTTTAAGATAGTCTCGCTCTGTCACCCAGGCTGGAGTGCAGTGGCACATGATCTCGGCCCACCGCAGGCTCTGCTCCTGGGTTCAAGGGATTCTCCTGCCTCAGCCTCCCAAGTAGCTGAAATTACAGGCATGCACCACCATGCCTGGCTAATTTTGTATTTTTAGTAGAGACGGGGTTTTGCCATGTTGCCCAGGCTGGTCTTGAACTCCTGGGCTCAAGGGATCTGCCTGTCTCAGCCTCCCAAAATGCCAGAATTATAGGTGTGAGCCACTGTGCCTGGCCTGCATTCACTCTTCTTTCTGTTCCTCCCACACACCAGTGCATATCCACCCCAGGGTCTTTGAGTGGCTCTTCCTTCTTCTGGAAGGCTCTTACTCAATGATGGCTTTGGCTACCTGCTCCTCACTCTGCCCTCTCCTCATCACCATCTCAGCCCTGGCTGCAGTGATCTGTCTTCCTGCCTTCATCTGTGGAATTTGCTTTATTCCACCTACCAGGACCTGCAATGGTCTTTTTCATTTGCTTATTTCTTTTTTTCTTTTTCTTCTTCTTCTTCTTTTTTTTTTTTTTTTTTTTGAGATGGAGTCTTGCTCTGTTGCCCAGGCTGGAGTGCAATGGTGCGATCTCGGCTCACTGCAACCTCCGCCTCCCAAGTTCAAGTGATTCTCATGCCTCAGCCTCCTGAGTAGCTGGGATTACAAGCATGTGCCACCACGCCTGGCTAATTTTTGTATTTGTAGTAGAGACGAGGTTTCACCACGTTGGTCAGGCTGGTCTCAAGCTCCTGACCTCGTGATCTGCCTGCCTCAGCCTCCCAAAGTGCTGGGATTACAGGCGTGAGCCACCGCACCTGGCCTTATTTGCTTATTTCTTTGCCGGCCGTCTCTCCATTTTAATATGTAAGCTCCTGTGAGATGGGGGCTCTGTTGGACTTGTCATTGTCATATGCTCCCTATATGTGTCAGTGCATAGCACTTAGTAGGTGTTCAATAAATGCCTGATGACTGACAATCTGAAATTGAAAAATTATTTTAGGCGTAATTCCTGATTTTTATTAGATTTCTGTTTTTGTTGGTGTTCATTTTTATGCTCAGGATGGGGTGACATTCTAAATGTGATGAAAGGAGGTGATTCTTCCTGAGCTTAGGAGTTAGCTGAGACCTAGATCGTGAGACTGTCTTTCTCAAGGGAAGAGTCATAGGCTGCACCCACCCTCCACTCCCAGCCTATGTGTTCTTGCCAACCCATGCCGCATTACGAGGTGATACTTGGGATGCTTAAGGTGCCCCTGGGAAGCCTTGGACAATCACTCTTTGGAACTCTTGCCCCAGGGTGACTTGGCTGATGCCTTAGCTGGAATCAGAAGAGCCCAGGCCCAGAGCAAAGGAGGCATTCACTGTGCTGAGGATGCTGACTTTCAGGAATCCATAGCTGGCCAAGTTGTGTTAACGTGAAGCTGGCCAAGAGCTTTGGTTGCCTCATTTCCTCCTGAAGATCCAAAGTCAGTAGCAGCTGTGGCTCCCCCAGTGTCAGGGCACCCAATCTTATTTGGCTTTGTTTTTTTAAGAGTATGTTTCTTCAGGGGAATCCAGAGTGAGAAAATATTGAGGCTCAGAGGAGGGAAATTTCAAAGCCAGATGTTTTGGTGCTGACTTTGGGACTGGATTCTGAGTTTTCTTTTGAGAACTTTGCCACTTTCCCTGTAGTGTGTTGGTGTCCGCCTTCAATCCCATAAGCTCGGTTGAGAATGCCTGTATTAGGGAGTGACTTCATCATTAACTCCAGCCAGTCAACTGTTTCTCAGCACCAAAATCTGCTTGAATCACTGGAGAATTGACTTTGCCCTGCTGTGCCTGCTTGTACAGGGTCTGTGGAGAGCCAGTTTCTGCAAGTGGTCTGAGACTTACACATGTCACTGCTGCTCTCACACTGCCCACATGGGGCAGTCACTATAGGAGTTTGTCTTATGTCAGCATCTTGCATAAGAAACATTTTATCCACCTTGCTTTGGGAAACATCCTTTCCCATTAGAAGACTCAAAGAAGGGAAGTCAAATGCAACTATTTCTTGAGTGCTTACTATGTGCCAGACACTTGGCTGGGGACTCAATAAGGCCACATCTTAAGCTGAGCCACAGGGAAGATCAAAGACTGTGGGAGGGCAGATGTCACTTCTTAAGCCTATCCAGTGCTGTAGGCTTCCCCTACAGGAGTCCGTGTCCACCTACTTGTGTGTTATGCTGGGATGGAAGAAAAGCACACCAAATTCAGAGAACCTAGGTGAGTTTGGAAGGAAAGATAGAACCCGTCACAGCGGTGAGCCAGTGTCAGTGAGAGCTTGGAAGCAGGATCTCGTTCACCAGGTTACCATCAATGAACCAGGAAACCTGTCCTGGATGTCACATCTAGGAGGAGCTGAGAGGCCAGGCCCACATTTAGAATAGCAGATCCTAGATTTCACCAAGAAGGCACTGAAATGAAGCCAATTTATGCCTCCCATAAAAAGCCTGTCTCTGTGCTAACAACCTCATCTCTCCTTGTCTACTCCTGGGCTTTTACTCTAAAATGATCTCTTTTCTTTTGCATTGATGATCTCTAACTCCTCGTATCTCCTGTTCTCTAACCAA
Organism: Homo sapiens; assembly: GCF_000001405.40. NCBI lineage: Eukaryota > Metazoa > Chordata > Mammalia > Primates > Hominidae > Homo > Homo sapiens. Next base: position 5,689,277 of record NC_000012.12, on the reverse strand, counting down.
AATTAGGTCAAAGATTCTGCCCTCCTAATTAAACTCTCCCTCAGATATGTACCTGCCTCAAGTTCCCTTGCTTTTGGTACCAACCTCTCCCTTTTCTCAAGACCATTCTTCTTGAAATTCCCACTTTGGTTTCCTTACATTCCTTTGGCTTCTTTAGTAACCTCACAATTTGTTTTTTTCCTCAAATCTCCTGAAACTGGTCTCTCTAGTGATCACTAGTTACCTTCTTAATTAATAATTAGTTATCTTCCTAATCAATACATCCTGTGGCTTTCACCTTCTCTTTCCTCATTCCTCCATGCCTCTCCATTTCACACCTAGTGAGATCATAAGACTTGCACTTCTTGTGCACAACAGCAGGAAAAGGACATAGGAGGCAGGTGTGCTGATCCTCCTGTGTTAGGTAGGAGACATAGAGTCTTCCTTGGCACTTGAGAAGCTCCGACCAAAAAAAAAAAAAAAAAAAAGGATACTCCCATGGGTCAGGGTTTTGTCTTTAACAAAGTGAAGGAACAGGAAGGCCTGAGTTAGAGGCACCCTAGACTTGGATGAACTGGATGCTGCCCAGGCCCTATTACATTTTGACCTGTTTTCAGAGTAATAGGCAAATTTGGATTAAACTGTGTGCCATTGTTTCTAGGTTTAGATAAAGCAGCATGCCTAATTGAGATTTTCACCTTTTGGGTCTCAGCTCATTATATCTAGGTTCCCAAGGATTTGAGTAGATGCAGATAGGATTAGTCAATATTTTAAGCCTCCCTCATAAGGGAGTACAAGAGTCAAACCTTTGTTTGGAGACAGCTGGGGCTTTAAGGATTGACTGGAAGAAAATCCTTTGTGAGGGTTATAGCTGGGGCTTTGGATTAATTAAGAAAGCCCTCTGATTAGAGTAGAGAGGGGTGACCAGTCCTGCTGGTGATGGGTTGTCCTTGCTTCGGCCTCTTGTAGCACTCAACCAGCCTTTGCCTCCCGTTCTCCAGTTCAGGCCAGGCTTCCTTCCCTTTGCTAATTTCCCAAAGCACTGCACATTCCAAAGCCATCCCCATTCCCCAAGAGAATGGGTGAGCTCAGCCCCACTGCTCAGGTCCCGATTTGGAGTACGGTTTTGGCATATTTTCCATCACAGTTGTTGTTTCTAGGTTTCATTTTATTCTTTGTTTCTGTTCCCCCCACAAGGTCTTAAAGACTGAACTAGGAACCTGTAAGAAGAAGAGAGCGTGGGGTGATGATTAATACAATTTTTCAATGGTCTTGTCAGATTTTACAGGATGTTCATGATGCTAATTCAGCAGTCCTTATAATATATACCTTTCTTTAATGCTTTTAAATCTCAACACAAGGTCAAGGCAAAGTCAGGAGAGGGAACCAGTGTGGGACATTGGACCTGACCTCCTGGTGTTGTTGTTGTTGTTTTGGCAGTCCTGTATTTGCTGTGTAACCTTGAGAAACTTTCTTTCCATCTCTGGGCCTTGTTCCCCCACATACTGAACAGAAGTAATCATGCTGGTCCCCTCCCTGCCTCAGAGGGAATGAGAGGATGAATGAGATCATGTCTGTAAGCATGTTGAATTCCTTGGAGAAAGGTGTTGTGGAAATGCACAGATGTTGGGTATTTGTGCAGCACTCCAAGTTCTTGGAAACAGGGCCTCATGCAGAGGACACCTTGCACGCTGCTAGCATCTGGCCTAGAGCCAAATCATCCATAACGTGCAAGAGGGACTGGGTGTCCCCAAGCCTCCATCAGGACCCCACCTGACCAGCCCAGACTGATGGATGCCAACTCTATCCATAGAGTTTCTTAAGCAAGGAAATTGCACATGCTTCGTTGGAAGTATATCCAGGGTTTCAAGAATCCTCCCTTTAGGGAAGTCTTCTCAGTGTGGAGTTGCACTCACTTTCACTTCGTTTTGTCCTGTATGCAGTGGGGTGAAAGAACTGCAGGGCGTTCATTCGTATTTACTTACTTTTCTCACCAGGCACAGGACGAGGTGGTGAACAGTGCAATCCTTATGGAGTTGTGGGGCTGGTGGAAAATAACTCAAGAGAGTAGAACAGGAAATGTGTGTAATTCTAATAAGTGGAGGCAGCGCCTTGTCCGATCATTTGGTAACCTAGCTTAACTCAGTTGGTTAAAACACTGTTCCTCAACTATTCTCAGTCCAAGATGTGCCAAGTGCTTAACTCAGTTGGTTAAAATGATTTTCTATATTTCCTAGATGGCATCCCTCTTTCTCTTTCATCCAGGGGGTGTCTGTCACCCTTTCCCTCCATCCAGATAAGGGCATGTGCATGCACACCCATATGTCCTCTGCTAGGGCTGAGATCTTTCACCTTTGCTGTCAAGTCTGTTTTGCAAAACCTACCCAGGTTTCCAGAAGCACTAAGTGGGACTTGATGGATGCACTTGAGGCTTAAGTGACAAGGTGGGCTCATAGTGTTTCCATTGTCTGTGTGAGGAAGGAACTAAGGGCATTGATGGAACTGGTGTTGCGAGTCCTCAGGACAGCACGGCTCCCACCACTGCTGTGATCCAGCCTGTGAACGTCAGCGCAGCTGGTGTCCTTGGGTGGGCGCTTGCTGCCTGCTTTGGTGCCACATGCCCGCTTCCCAGAGGGGCCCATGGAGGGGATGGTGGCCTCTAGAGTAAAGGCCCCTCCAGCCTTCTCTTAACATGTCCCCACACTTTCACTGGGATTAATCGCTCCCCTGTGTGCTTCTGTGGTCCTTAAATATACCTCTATTTTATGATGAGTGACAGCCAACTATGGTTTGTGGCACTCCTTAACAGTAGGAGTCTGTTTCCCCTCATTGAGGGAGGGAATTGAGTCAGCTTTATCTTTGTCTCCCTATTAACCCAGCACATAGTATGTGCTTAATAAATATTTGGGAGGGAAAGAGGAATATAGGAATTTTATACACTGAGGTTCATCTAAGGGGAGCTCTGGAAATTCCTGTCCATGGTATCTAGTTAGCACCACAGAAAATAGGGGTTAAAGAAAGATGCTGATGATGTGGGTAGTGGTCCTGCAGGGTTGACAGGTTTGGCTGACAGCCTGTAAGAGCACAAGTATGCTTTTCATGTTGTGGGGGTGCAGAGGGAAGTGGAGAGAGTGGGGAGGGGAAGGGGACTTTACTGTTCTCGAGAGCTACCCGGGACTTGCCCCTGGGGGAGTTTCCCACCTGCTTGCTAGGTGGAGGTTATCCCCCTTGCCTGGGGGCTGGCTTGTCTCTGCTGCCTGATACCAAAGCTGATCCTTTTCAGGATGGGAAGCAGCCAGCTGGTTTTAAGAGAATGCTCTCTTCTGCCCTTGAGGGGAGTGCTGCTCCAGCGGTGGGACTGGGGAAATGGCCAGCCCTCTGTGGGCAGATCAGCTATTTCCAGAAGCCAGGCAGGCAGGAGAAGCCTACGTCACCATTCTGTTGGACGAGCCAGGCAGTCGACAGGCAGTCGTCCCGGTTTTGTGTTTTTTGTGTTTTTTGTTTTGTTTTGTTGTTGTTGTTGAGACAGGGTCTCACTTTGTTGCCCAGGCTGGAGTGCAGTGGCATGATCACAGCTCATTGCAGCCTCAACCTCCTAGACTCAAGTGACTCAGCTCCCCACATAGCTGGACTGTGGGTGGCATGCACCACCATGCCCAGCTACTTTTTGTATTTTTTGTAGAGGCAGCATTTCGCCATGTTGCCCGGGCTGGTCTTAAACTCCTGGGCTCAACTGATCTACCAGCCTCTGCCTCCCAAATGTTGGGATTATAGGCCTGAGCCACTGTGCCCAGCCCCAGGCTCTTCCTGTGGCTTCTCTTCTCTGTTCCAGTTGGGCAGAGGTGGCATGGTGAGGGCAGTGCTGGGAGTGAAGGAAAGGACTTGATCTGACTGGGAGGGCCAAGCTGTCTTGGGACCTTGCCCCTCCCATCCTTCCCCACCATGGAGACTCGTGGAGACCCCTGGGGCCATGCCAAGAGTCTTATTGCTACCCTGTAAGCCCCCACTTCCCTAGCACTCTTCCCCAGTCCTCTGAGAATGGCCAGGTTCAGAGACAGCCCATTGAGCCTGATGACCTGAGGACCAAGCCCTTCTCCAAGTGGCTGAGCAAATACTTGGAGCTTTCTTGGCCTTTCCTGCCACTCACCAGCCCAGGAGTGGACAGGACTCGTGCCTCATACCTGAGCCAAGGTGGGCATAGGATGTTGCTGGGTCACATGAGTCTCTGCTGTGTCTGGAACAAAAAGAACTCTGACTTCTTGAGAACCTACTATGTGCCTAGGAACTAGACCATTTACCTACATTAGGTCATTACAGTAGGTTAATGACATACATTGCATAGAGGAAAAACAGCAGCTCACCAAAACAGGTCATGTGCTTGAGTCTCCCAGGCTAATAAGCAGTAGAGCCAGAATTTGCACCCAGGACCCCTGACTCCAGCACCTGTGCTGTGAACCACTGTTTTAGCACCAGCTTCTCTCTGGGATCTCTATAGGGAAGATGAAAACAAGTAAACAATGTGGGCTGCATTCTCAAGGGAGTCGTGATCAGAATGGGAGTCAATATAGCACATAGGAAAGAGGCACCAGCAACATCTGCAGAGGGGTGTGGCATGCCGTGTCCCATATGCTCAGAGGTTTAGAGTGGAATATGGCTAGTTGGGGTGGGTTTCCTAGGTGAAGTGATGTTTTTGAGCAAGACTTTGAAGGCTCGCTCAAAGACAAGTAGAGTTGCTGAGAAGAAGTTGTACTCTGTGGAGGACTGACATTTCTAGATGGACAGCCACTCACTTTCAGCCAAGACCACTTGTCCTCCCACTGCCCCCAGAGAAGGGCAGCTCCCCACAGAGTGTCCGAGGTCCATGCACTGACTTCTTGTACTCATCTGTTTCCCCCACTGCATGATCGACTTCTCCATGGCAGAGACCTTCTCCTGCTCATTAGTAGATTGCCTGTGTCAAGCCCATGGCAGGGACTCAATGAATATTTTTGAATTGGAGCCCTGATCCCTATCCCTCTGAGGAGCAGCAGTCCTGGTGTTAGCTGTGACCCAGGCTGTGAAAAACCAGAGAGCAGCTGGCATTTCTGGTGGGGCTGCTTGCTGACAGATCTTGGTGCCACATGGCGAGCAGAGGAGCCCCAGGGCTTGGTGGAGGTGTGGGAGGGACACCTGGCATGAAGGGTCCCAGGGCATATACTTGGCCTGCCTATGCCTTGCCTGTGACTGCAGTGGTGGTAGGGAGGGAAGTGGATTACAGTCACCCCTGCACTCCCTCCTGTCCCTGCACACATCTGCCATGGTGAATTATAGATGTTGGGACACTGTGCTACCCAGGAAGGACCCAAATGGAGTAGACTCAAGAGAGAGATGAAAGTAGGAGGGGAGACAAGACAGCTTGGAGGCTGAGCCTTGGAAGAGCCAGGCTACCTGGTCAGCCCAGTGTGCTCACTGCTCCATCCTTCAAGCCCTGCCCTGCCTCCTCCAGGAAGCCCTCCCTACCCTGCCCTGTCCTCACTGAGTTCTCTCTCCTCCCTCCTCTAAAGTTCTCTTACACCGATCATCTGTTTGACTTTTTGGTGACTCTGTAGTCTACCACGGTTTCAGCACCAGGTTTCCTCTAAGATTTCTTTAAAAAATTAAAATAAGTAAACGGTATGGCGACTCTGTTTTCTGAACTGAAAATTAGGACATGGACATGTGATGTGGCATGAGACTGGATGTGAAAGTTGATGCTGTTCAGAAAAATACGGTGTATGTGGCCAACACAGAGATGACTCCATGGCCCTCCTCCAAGGTCTGATTTGCCTATTTAAATCTGTTGTTTGCTTGTCTGTTTTTTAACTCACTTGTCTAAGCCTTGTCTCTTCATTTGGATTAAAGTTCCTTGGGGGCTTTTTGTGTATCAAAGGGTGTACATTGCATTTCCTTGATATTTTTGAATCTCCTAAAGACCTCTGCCACTTCATCCCTGCTTTTGATGGTGGGAGAGAGACACGTCAATCTTTTTCCTGTTTCTTGATTTTTCTTTTTCCCTAAAATAAGATAATTTAGGCTCTTACCTGAGCTCTTATTTTCTACCTTTAATTGTGGAGTTAAATAGAGAGAAGGAGATGGAAGACTTATGATGATAATAGGGGGCAGAGCTGGAGGTAGGTTGTCTTACAATCCAGGATTGGCATCTACTTCAGAGTGCACAGGGTACACAGAGTGCACAGTATACAGTCTCTACTGGGTCAAGGGTGTGGCAGAGAAGAGGCAGGCTTGGGGTTTTGGTGACATCATCACAGTCCCCAGTACTCAAGGGGTCCACGGTCCCCAGTACTCATGGTCACCACCACTCCTCTGTGCTTTCTCTTGAGTGTGGAAAAGAACAACTCAGCATCATCTTGTCCTTCCGTCTGCTTCCAAATAAGATCAAGCTTTACCCATTCCACCCAGATGAGCATCTGTTTTGAATGCTCATAGATATCTGCTAGATGGTTAGCTCCTTAAAGGTTCAGATCCACAGTTTATCCCTTCATTTCTCACTTTAGTTGGCATGGCGGTAGACATGTAGCAGCAGCTCAAAATATCCTTAACACATAGGGAAAGAGATGGCTGAGTTCTTCTCTGTCACTTGTTTCTGAGCTTAACTGTCTTCACATACAGGGCTCTTCCAATGCCTAACGTGGTATTTCTTGGCTTGCAGGGCATGACCTGAGCTGGGGGGCAGAAAGTTCCCAGGACATTGGAACTGAACAGCATGAACTGCAGGAGCTCTTAGCCTTGCCTGCAGCCCGAACCCTTGACTGCCATAAGCACAGTTCTTTTTATCTCAGACCCATTACTACCCAGGCCTCCAGCCCCATTGTCACCACTGACCTCCCATATTCCCCACCCTTTGCCTAGCCCTCCAGCCTGAGAGAGCTGGGGTGGAGGAGTAGGAGAGAGAGACAGACAGAGAGAGAGAGAGAGAGAGAGAAAGAGAAAGAGAGAGATAGATAGATCAGAGAATATAGTTTATAACTCATCAAGAGTCTATAATTCAATCTAGTAGAAATGCTCATTTATCTCTTAAAATCTCAAAAGACCAGAATTCTTGGCCTACTTTTTGTTTTTGATAAATATAGGAGTTGGGAAAATTTAAGAATGCCAAACTGTGGGATAGGAAGCATAGAATGAGAGAAACAGATCTTAGGATAAAGAATTCAAGAGCCACTGATCTACATGGATCTCTATGCATTCATTTTTTTCCTTCTTCCTTGGCTAAAGGGAAACTTGATTAAAGAGAAGAAACTGGTACCATTTTTAAAGTAAGTTGAAAGGGAAAGAAATGGACCTCTTTTTTCCATGATTTTCCCCAATTATCCCTTCCACCCGTCTGTTTTCCAGCAGAATCTGTTCTTATCCTCTGGACCCATGAAAGGAACTTCCAAGAGACCGTCTGCTTTCTTGGGAGCCTAGTGAAAGGGAAATATAGATTTGTGGGTCAAATAGGGTAATGAGAGAAAAGTAGGGCCTTCAAGGAAAAGATGTAAGAGCTTAATAGCTTGTTGACTCAAAAAACAACCACAGGGGTCTATGAGTAGTAATGGACTCCAGGGAATAAGAAGAGGATATGAAACTGAATAAGGAAGGAAAAGGTTAGAGGAAGAGAGTACATTTCCTCCAGGGTGGAAGTGACCCAGAGAACAGTAGGGCATTTGTTCATTAACTTTTAATGCGACTTGCACTTTTAGCATTATTCCCAGGGATGTGAGTGGGAAAATGAATGGGGTCAGGATTTCTCAGCCATCAAGTCTCCTCCACGCCTGGCCCCAACTCCAAAAACTCCTTAAGGACCTTGTCTCCTGGGACACTCTGCTTTGGCCTCATCCTGGTGGGATATTGGCTGCACCTTGGGCACTCTGCCCTTCCCCAAATCTTCTGTCCAGTGACCTTGATGTCACTGAGACAAAAGTGAAATTCATGATTCATAAAAAATGTGAGTGGTAGAGGGACCAACCTTACATTTCACCAATCCTGCCTTCACTTTACAGAAGATAACACTGAGACCACATAGCGGAAGTGACTTCCTTGAAATCAGATGGCGGGCAAGCTGTTTTCGGCCCAGACTTTCACCTGAAATGCTGCCTGTTGCTCTGGGTTTACCTGGAGTCTCTTTCCTGCTTAGCAATCACCTCCCCACATGGAGCAGAAGGCAGTGCTCTGTGCAAATCCCTGTGTGCAGGTTGTGTGGCAGGAACCAATGTCGGGAGGAGAGAGGACACTGCTATTACCAGGGCCTGGAACTAGTACCCATGTTCCCCTTTATTCTGCTTTTGTCTCGCTTTGAGCTTGGGGCAGAGGAACTCTTCTGCTCTTCCCTGTACAACAGGTCTGTCATGCAGAGGCTGGTTCTTATAAAAGATTAACCTTGTCTCCCTCCTATAGCCTAAGACCACCTGTGAGTCACCTCCCATTAATCCACCTCTGACCAGAATTCCAGCAGGTGCCTAGCTGCCACTTATCCCCTATCTGATTCTTATTGTTCCCTGGGATCGTTTCTTTCATCATTGCATGACCCTGAATTTATAGAGTCCCAGTTGGAAGGGACAATTTAGGGGCTTTCAGTAATGTTTCTACATATTTCTGGCAGGTGCTCATTTAGTGTCTGTTTGAATACTTCTAGGGATGTCGAATTCACTACTTTATAATGCAGCTTGTTCCCCCTTTTGATCAGGGAGCCCACAATTTCCATGTCTCCTAAGGCAGCTCTCTGAGCCCACACAGAGGAGGCAGAGCCAGCTCCACACGGCCGTTCTTCAGATGTTTGAAGGCAGCCGTTCTGCCTTGCTTGAGTATCTTCCATTCCTACCAAAGCACTTGCATTTATTTTAGCCGTTCCTTACTTAACAATGTTTCCAGACCCTCTCCTAGTCTGGCCCCTCTTTCCTTTTTTTCAATATCCCTCTTAATTGTAGGTCCCAGATAGAAACTCCAAAAGTGGGTGCAGGTGGATTCTTTTTCTTTTCATTAACTTTTATTTTAAGTTCTGGGGCACATGTGCAGAATATACAGGTTTGTTACACAGGTAAAAGTGTGTCATGGTGGTTTGCTGCACAGATCATCCCATCAGCTAGGAATGAAGCCCAGCATCCATTAGCTATTCTTCCTGATGCTCTTCCTCCCACCATAACCACCACCAACAGGCCCCAGTGTGTGTTGTTCCCCCAGTGTGTCCATGTGTTCTCATCATTCAGCTTCCACTTATAAGTGAGAACATGCGGTGTTTGGTTTCTGTTTCTGTGTTAGTTTGCCGAGAATAATGGCTTCCAACTCCATCCATGTCCATGCAAAGGACATGATCTCATTCCTTTTTATGGCTGCATAGTGTTCTATGGCGTATCTGTACCACATTTTCTTTATCTAGTCTATCATTGATGGGCATTTAGGTTAATTCCATGTCTTTGCTATTGTGAATAGTGCTGCAATGAATATATGTGTGCATGTGTCTTTATAATAGAATGATTTATATTCCTTGCATTATACATCCCATAATGGGATTGCTGGGTCAAATGGTATTTCTGGTTCTAGGTCTTTGAGGAATCACCACGCTGTCTTCCACAACGGCTGAAGTAATTTACATTCCCATCAAAAGTGTAAAGCATTCCTATTTCTTCCTAACCTCACCAACATCTGTTGTTTTTTGACTTTTTAATGATAGCCATTCTGACGGGCATGTGATGGTATCTCATTGTGGTTTTTGATTTGCATTTTTATAATGATCAGTGATATTGAGCTTTTTTCATATATTTGTTGGCTGCATGTATGTCTTCTTTTGAGAAGTGTCTGTTTATGTCCTCTGCCCACTTTTTAATGGGGTTGTTTGTTTTCTTCTTGTAAATTTGCTTAAGTTGCTTGTAGATTCTGGATATTAGACCTTTGTCAGATGGATAGGTTGCAAAAATTTTCTCCCATTCTGCGGGTCATCTATTCACTCTGATGATAGTTTCTTTTGCTGTGCAGAAGCTCTTTAGCTTAATTAGATCTTATTTGTCAATTTTTGCTTTTGTTGCGATTGCTTTTGACATTTTCATCGTGAAATCTTTGTTTGTGTCTGTGTTCTGAATTGTATTGCCTAGATTTTCTTTTAGGGTTTTTATAGTTTGGGATTTTACATTTAAGTATTTAATCCATCTTGAGTTAATTTTTGTACAAAGTGTAAGGAAGGACTCTTACTTAATTTGCTCCAAATGTTACACATATGTCAATGCTGTCTGAGTTTTAGAGGTCGTGTCATACTTTTGGCTTATGCCGAGTTCAGATTCAACTGGCTCCCTGAATGCTTGTCCACCTGAGCTGGCATTGATGTGAGCTATACCCACTCGCATGCTTTTCTGAACCTAAATGTAGATCCTTACAGTTGACCAGTTCAAATGTCCCTTGTTAAGTTCAGCCAACCTTGCTAGGCACCTGAGATCTTCACGGATATACCTGCTGCCAAGCAGTGTTTTATCTGCTTTCCAACCTAGTGATATCTGCAAATTTTAAGCTGGATTTTTCTTTATCCAAATCACTGATAAAAAATGTTGATCAGGAGAAGGTGAAAGAGAGTGGCAGGAGAAGGAGAAAGAAAGTCAAGGATTTTCTTTCATCATTTCATTAATCAATACTCTTTAGATATGTTTACTTCACCAATTGCAAGCCCTTCTAATTCCACGTAGCACAGAAGACAGCATTCAGTCCCCCTCAGAAATGCGTTCCAGTAAATCCCTTGGAAAATTTTGAACTCAGTCCCCAGTCTTTGCCTTTATATATCTTTTTACATAAAAACTGTGGCCCCAAATGTGTCCATCTTTCCTCTGGCAAAGAGAAGGCCGAGAATTTGGCTTCCTAACCCAGAGCCTGGAGATACCCCTGCCACCCAGTTGGCGCCCTGAGGATCTCGGCTCAAGTGTGGGCAGGCTTGGAGCCAGTGTCCAGGCACTTGTCCAGATCTCTGGTTGGACAGCCCTTCAGAATTCCTAATGTAAATGATGCTGTCACATCTGGTGGAGGGTAGAGATATAGCCATCAAGCGTATGCAGCCCATGTTCCAAACTAAGTCTTTCTCAATCAGCGTCAGGACATCTTTAAGGCCACCCCAGGAACCTACATGTAAAAATCTGCCAGCATCAATTATCTAGCGACCACTACCTCTGAATCAGGACTGAAAAGTAGTGCTTCTCACAAAGAAGCGAGCTTGGTCCACATCAGACCTGAGGGGTTTGATGGCTTAAGGGTGGGAAGCTGGGTGCCCTCATTCTCACTCTTCCCTGGGTACATTTCTTCCCTACCTCTCTGATCTTCCCTCCTGCTTATCTTGTCCAAACTGCAGGTTTGTTTTCACAACCTTCCATTCATTGAAATGCCACTCTGCTGCTCGTCCCTTTCTAAGATGCTAAGAGGATGTGGCCTATGGGAGAAGGGGAGCCGTCTAAGGAAATTGCCCCCATGCTGGAAGTGGGAACGGCAGGGAAGAGGGCCCTATTTTCCATTGAAGAAAAGCCGGGACAAATGCTTCTTTTCTCTTTCCCAGGAATGAAGCACCTTTTGAAAGGTGTAAATCCTCACTGGTAGTCATTTCCTTTGGGTATGGTAGCTGAGCCTTCCTCTCTCCCAATGCTTGACCTCCAGTAGGCATGGGTGGTGCAGTGGTATGGTCAGGGATGGAGGTGGGTGGGATTCTCATGCTCCTCTCCACTCTGCTCCTCAGAGTGGAGAACAGCATAGAGAAGTTTCCCAACTCATCAGAGGCACTTACCCAGAGGTCTCAGCGGAATCAGAACGTCTGTTGCTCCCCTTTCTGCAAGTTTGTTTCTTCCTAAGATGGGAGAAGAATAGGGATAGAGAGGGGATTTGGGTGCTGTGAACTTTCTTTTTCCTTGAAGGAGGACATCAGCTCCACATGGATGGTAACACCACTTTACCTTTTTGGGTCTCTAGATTTTAGGGACAGAATAATTTCTTGCTTATATTCTGAAATAGTAAGTGGCTTGACACTGTGGCCTTTGGGGACATAATGGTTTGCATTTCCTGTTTGTGACAGCAATTTATGCTTCATGCTACCTTCTCCTTCCCCATGGGTGCCAAAGGCCTCCCCAGCACCACCCCACTGTTCCAGATGTGAATCATGGAGCCTCTTCCTTTTTCTGCATCATTCTCCCCCCCAATCCTGAGACCCCCGTCTCTTCTCTTATGCCTGAAGCTCCTATGTTTCCTTCTTCTTTATTTTTTTATTTTTTGAGACAGAGTCTTACTCTGTCACCCAGGCTGGAGTGTAGTGATATGATCTTGGCTTACTGCAACCTCCACCTGCCAGGTTCAAGTGATTCTCCTGTCTCAGCCTCCCAAGTAGCTGGGATTACAGGTGTGCACCACCACGCCTGGTTAATTTTTGTACTTTTAGTAGAGACAGGGTTTCACCGTGTTGGCCAGGCTGGTCTTGAAATCCCGACCTCAAGTGATCTGCCTGGCTCGGCCTCCCAAAGTGCTGGGATTATAGGAATGAGCCACCGGGCCCAGCCTGTTTCCTTCTTTTTGATTGTATGTCATCTTTACAGTACAGTTGTAAAGAGACAAACCTTTTATTTTTAGTATTCTACTTTCAAAAACTTAGGATGAGGGGCATTTAAAAATAAGTTACTATATTTTTTCTCTTTACAAAATAATCTTTGTTTACTGCAGGAAAAAAAAATGGAAACTCACATAAGTTCTTTAGAAAAAAAGCAAAGAACAATTATTCTGAATTTGACCACCGTTAACATTTTGGTATAGTTTCTCCTAATCCTTGCATGCATGTGTGTGCTTGTGGGTGTAAATAAAACGAGATGTACTGTACATTTTGTGACCTGAGTTTTCTACTCAATAATTATTGTGAACAGGGAGCCATACTTAGCCTGGCGTTTTGGCACGATGCTTCTAAAACCAAACAGAGGGGCATCTTTTTGTTGTTCATCCCCTGCCTGTTCAAGTGACTGCCCAGCATGTTTGCCTTTTATCTAAGCCATGGCTGAGTGTTCTTTTCATTTCTCTCCATATGTCCATGAGATCTTGTTTCTGTGGCTTGACGCCTTTCTAAACGCATATTTCTTGCTTTGGTATCTGGGTGCCCAGAGAACATCTTCCCCTCCAGGAGAGGCCATCAGTGACTTTTGCTGCAACTTTGTCTGCTCTTGATCCTGTGACTGGGAAGGTCAGCATATCTCATCCCTGGTGAGGAGCAGAAACCCAGATGAGGAAGGGGAACAAAGTGGTGCCCAGAATTGTCAGCCTGGAAGATGTGATGTGGCTCCGAGTCCAGAGCCCTGTGTCCAGGAGAGGCCTGGAGAGAAATAAGTGTGGAAACTCGTGGAAGGAGGAGGCTAGGGTGGGACCAAGACAGGCCTCCCAGTCTCAGAAGGGCCGTACAACTGGAAGTACATGTGTCCCACTCTCCGTGGCCCTGAGACTGGGGCAAGCACATGAGTTGCACAAATGGCCACAGCAGATGAGAATGCACAGATCATTGAGATCTTTATTTTACAGATGAAAAAACTGAATCCCAGAAGGAGAACATTCCTATAGCAAGTAATGACAGAGCTGGGTCTTGGAAGCACATCTCCTGTCTGTCAGGACAGAGTTATCCTGTATCCCAACCTTAGGGCAGATCTGAGAACTGACGACAGCAAGGCAAGGGAATGGGTTACGAGGCCAAGGACAAGTGTGGCTCCTCAGCGAAAAATGTCAAACGTAAAGTTGAGTTCCCTTCCTCTTTCCTATAAGAAAGGCTAGGGTTTGGAAATACGAGGGTCTGGAGGAGGTGACAATTGGCTCCCTTTCCCCCAAAAGAAGCCAGCCAACCAGAAAGTGCTTCTTAAGAGCCTGATTTAAGCTGAGACTGAGACTAAGAAGTCCAGTGGCTCAGAAGTGGTCTCTGCCCCCAGAGAGTTTGAGGTCTAATAAATTGTTATATTGTGTGGCAGAGACTGTGTGTATCATGGAAGCACGATGGGAAGAGATGGGTATGATGAGCTGCAGCTGGCAGAAAACTCTTGGAAGATGCTGGTTTTACAAGGACAAATAGGATATGTGTGTATATGTGTGTGTGTCTGTGGAAACGGAGCAGGAAGAGTGTAGCATCTGACCATGGAGTCACACTGACCTAGGCTCAAATTCCATCTTCTCAGTTACATTCATTCATCCATCCATCTATTCATTCATTCAGCTTGTATTGATGGAGGGTCAGGAACTGTTGTAGGTTTGGGGAACACAACAGGCAACCCCCCTATTCTATGGAGCTTTCATTCCAGTAAGGCTGCAGAGTGACCTTGGGCAACTCGACTGCCCATCCCTTAGCTTTCAAGCTGCAGTACTGCCTCCCACCTCACAGGCTGTGGGTTCCTAAGAGCCGTAATGATGATGATAAAATAAGTACTATTTACTCAGCACTAACAACCTACCAATACTCTGCTAAGCATTTTGCAAGGATAATTTCCTCTACTCTTCACAACTTCCCCAGGGGACAGGGTTTTACAGATGTGGAAACTGAGGCTTAGAGAATTGAAATAATGATCCAGAATCAAGTGACAGAGACAGGATTCAAACCCAGCAATCATAACCACTGCAGTCAAGGTGGCCCACCTGAAGTGTGTTGGGAGTGGCTGGAACTGACACCTGAGGAGCTCTGTGACCCAGCAGAATTCTGTGCTTTTCCTGGGGAGAGCTTCTTCTAAGAAGAGGTGGCCACGACAGCCGATAGAAGGCTGTGACCTGAGTGCAAGCCACGTGCCAGCCACTTTCTGTATGTGAGACCGTGCTGCTTGCCAAAAGCTGTTAGTTCCTTCCATTCTGGCTGGCTGGGAGAGATTTCTCATGGTTGTGCGTGGGGAGAGTTGACATGTTTATGTGGAGGTAATGACTGTGTTGGCTCCTTAAGGAAGAATTAGGATGAGAGCCCAGTTCCCTGTTTGGGGACTTGAACTTAGATTCTCTGGTGGCCTGGAAAAGGTGGATACCTTGCAGGTTAATGTAGGAAGTTACCATCCCATGACAATTTTATTTTACTCTTCTTTCCTTTGCCCATTAGCTACTGCAAACTTAAAATTACCTATAGTGGAGAGTGGTAATAGTCTACTTCAAAAACAGCAAATTCCCAGGGATTTGCCCTCACTTTTGGAATCTTAGCTAAATATTTTTTTCTCTATGGGATCACCCTCTTTTGCATGTGACTGAGGCAAGCCTTAAAGATCAAGCTGATGTTAGAGCAGAGGAACTGCTGGTTGGTAAGGATGCCTCAGAGATGAAAAGGAGAGGAGGGTGGTCTCAGAGAACCAGAAGAGGAGTGGGTAAGTTGGTCCTGGAAGAGGACTTCTCACTCCTTCCCCAAGCCTTGCCCTGTCTCTTGACCTCCCTTGACTCCCTGCTCTTCCAGCTCAGCTTTGTCCATGGGCTGGACTGAATATTGCCAGCAGGTAGTCATAAGGACCCATGCGATCCCCTAAATCAATACTGAATACAAAGGAAGCTGTTGTTTCTGCTTCTCTGGCAGGAGAATAGGAAGTGACCACTGGCTTGAGAAGGGCTGTGCTACCAAAGTAAACCATCACGGGACTGGTTCTGAAATGATCCAATTCCCTGTCTCTTTAGGATGAATCTCTTTAATCCAAGTACCATTAAAATGGAATGTAGTGATCATTCAGATTCAACTAATGTTTATTTTATGAAGTGGCTACTATGAACCAAGCACTGGGATAAAGCTTTAGTACAGTTAGGCCATTTTATTCACTTAAAGAGCAAAGGGCTCAAAGTTTACCTTTCCGTGATCTATGAGAAAAAAGGTTTACCAAGCAAATGAGTGCTATATGCAAGATTGCCAAGGGGAGATTTTAAACCACTTACAAGGACAAACTGCTTCCCAGAGGCCTGCCAATGCTTCTTAAGTACTCCCTTGTGTGGGCAAACACAGACCCAGGAGACAAGCGGGAAGGACCTAGGACAAAAAGTCAGCAGGCTAGATTCCACTTCTGGTTCTGCACTGAGCTAGCCACATGCCTGCTACTGCATGGTGTCATCTAGTCCCCATTTCTTGTCCACAAAACTAGCATGAGCCCTCCACAAAAGCCTTGCTGAGCAAGGGGTTCAGTGTGCCCCTTTTGCATAAAAAAGGGAGAAAATAAGAATGAACATGCACACACATTTGTATTTGCTTCCATGTTCACAATGACATCCATAAGCTTATTCAAGAAATTAATAATCATGGTTACCTATGGGGAGTGGAGAGGTAGGAGTGAGACCTGGGCAGATGGAGACATAGATGGGAGGAAGATTCCTCCCCATGGATATATTGGGTTTTGTTGAACCGTAGGAATACATTACCTATTTAAAAATTTAATTCGTGGGAAGGGCCTCCTAAAATCCAGACATAAGACTATGTAGAACTTCCAAACAAAAAGAAAGTCGTGTTGGCATTACCTGTTCTATTATACTGATGTTGGCTCTTCCTAATCATTAATTTTTTTTCTAAGTGCTCCCAAACTATCCTTAAATTGTTCATTTCTAGACTCTTGCCTGGGGTGGATGATATTCCTCAGTGCCAGGTCACTGGGCAGAGATTTTTCACTGTATTGGATCTCTTCTGCTTTGTCTACTTTCTTATTTGTGAAAATATGTGTGCATACACACAGAGACATACACACATGTGCACACACACATGCATGTGCACACACACACACACACACGAGCTGACTGCCTTAAACCAGGTAGCTGACCTCCATGGGTCCACACTCTGGGTCCAAACTCAACTGAAGGAAAGTGAACTGAAGGAGACATTTGTGAATTTGATTCTCCAACCTAAGGACTTTGCTTTTCAAACCAAGAGTGTTCAGAAGGGCACAGACTGCAGAACATGAAGACTTCTGTTACCATTAACATAGTTCCCCGGCTCCATGAGACATGAACAGCCTCTCTGAGAATGCACCGACAACTCAGCATGCCTTGTAAACAGACCACAATTATAGAGCTTGGTTTTGACTTTTTTTCCAGGGCCTTAAAGTTGATATATTTTTACATTTCCTGGATTGGAGGGTAGGGAGCATGGCTTTGGGTTTAGCTTTTGCTCTGCTGATTATCTCTTGGCTCTGTGAAAAACCTTGGCAGTGCTGTGGGGAATTGGTGCGGTGGGGAATGGAGGCTTGAAGAGTCAGTTGACCTGCAGACCGAGATAGAGCTTAAGGTGGAAACTTGGATGAAACCTTTAGGCTGTCCCTTCCAGTCCTCAGCGAGAACCTAGGGATCACCATGTGCAATGCTATGTGGATGTGGCGTGTGACACCACAGGCACCAGAGGGAGTTTCTGAGGTTGCAGAGGTGACTGAGCAATATCTTCCAAGCTCCCTGGTGTATTCTGGTTTGGCCAAGCAATGTGTTGCTGCAAGAGCTCAAGGAAAAGTTAACACATGGGAAGGGAAAGAAATCCATTAGGTGACTGCATTAATGGATGGGGAGAGACTTCCAGGACACAGACTTTGGCAAAATATGGTCATCATAAAGAAAATGGCTGAGTATATCTCTAGGCTTTCGAGTATTGTCATTTGCACTGTGTTATTTTTCCCTCCAAGGGGTTATTTGGGGAAAATTGTATACATCCCAGGATTGAACTTCCAAACAAATGCAAGCTGCAGCCAGCCCCAGAGCTGCAGATGGGCATGTCCCTAGGGTGGCTTTAGAAAAATGTAGTTCTCTCTGTGCTCAGCTCAACCTGCCCCCTCTGCCCTGAGATGCACACACACACACTCACACACACACGCCACTCCCCCCCGCCACCCCCCACACAGTTCCTTCCTTTGCAGAAGAGATGAGAAAACCTCTCTTTCTTTGTACTGTAGAGCAATTCCTTTGGAGGACAAAGACTGTTGCAATGAGCTTTTTGTCTCGGCAGAGTTTGCTAATACACTTTAAAATATTTATTGTGAATGGGTTGGAGGAGGTTGCTGTGGGAAGCCCTGTGTGTTATGTATACCTTTGCATGCTTCAGCAATGCCTGCCCAGTGCTTTGGGGACTCAGCAGATGTCCACAGATGATGATAGTGACTTTGAGGAACCCCCATATTTCTTGAATTTTTCATAATGAGTGTAGAAAGAGGTCCCAGCACTGGAAAGGAAGGTGGGGAGCTGTTCCCCTCATTGCTTACAGTGGTCTGCCTCTTGTAGACACAAACCTCTACCTTGAGGAGCCCCTTTCTGAGGGCAAGTGTGCTTCTGAGAGGGCAGATGCCAGCCATGCATCACAATCTAGGGAGGTGGGAAGTGTGAAGTTGCATGGAGGCAGGGAACCTGGGCTCTAGACACGACTCTGCCTCTAACATTCTGTGGAAACCTCAGGCTTCTGTCGCTTTGAGCCTTGGTTTTCCATGGGTAAAGTGAGACCATGGAGACCCACCTTACATAATTGTTGAGAGGATTGTTTAAAATACATATTTTGGCCAGGTGTGGTGGCTCACACCGGTAATCCCAGCGCTCTGGGAGGCTGAAGCAGGAGGATCACTTGAGACCAGGAGTTCGAGATCAACGTGGGCAACATGAAGAGACCTCATCTCTATAACATTTTTTAAAAAAAAATTAGCCAGGAATGGTGGTACAAGCCTCTAGTCCCAACTACTTGGGAGGGTGTGGTGGGAGGATTAACTGGCTCCAAAAGTTCAAGGCTGCAGTGAGCTATGATTGTGCCACTGTACTCCAGCCTGGGCAATAGAGTGAGACCCCATCTCTAAAATAAATAAATTTAAAAAATTAATACATGTGGAACATTTCAAAAACATGAAATAATAGGGAAAACAATGTAGTGAAACTTCACTTTCTTTCATCCAACTTCAGTAATTGTCAGCTCCCAGTTTTGTGTCATCTCTATTCCCACTCCCAGCCCCTTCCCATTATTTCCCCTTAATGCCAGAATATGAGGACTTCATGGCATGGAACAGTGGCATGGAAGTGCCCTCCAGAGTATCTAACACATAGCAGATGCTTAGAAAATGTTTGTGGAATCTGAACTATTTAATAGTACATGCTTTATAATTATTACCTACTGTAACATGGCCAGAGGGTACAATATTTCTCACTGCCTTATGGATGAGATGACCTAGTCTCAGGTCAAGTGACTTGCCTAAGATCATGCAGCCACATAGGAATATGGTGCTATCCTAGAACCATGGTTTCCAAATCCCACACGTGTGCTCTTGGCGGTATGCTCTGCTGCCTCTGTGTTGATTTTTCCTTTTGAATATCTTCTTAGAGAGGAACAGGAGACTTGTAAAGTTTTATGTGGGCTCACAGTTTAAAGAGAACCTGTTTATGGGGTTGTAATAACCATGTATTCATGGACACAACTGCTTATGTCTGTGAAGGATCAGCAATTCATCAGACACTTAGTGAGTTACTTTCTTCTCTGATTGTCAGAGTGAAAGGTGAGTAAGATCACTTCTCTCAGGGAGCTCACAGTCATATGCACTGAGTCACATGACATAGAGTGGAGAGTGATGAGCGTAATGGCAACAGCATGAACCAAGTACTGAGGGTGCATGGAGGAAGGTTGTTTAACTCCTAGCTTCTGTCTTCATTAAGAATTACCAATACTTCCAGCCATTTATGACAAACCCACAGCCAATATCATCCTGAATGGGCAAAAGCTGGAAGCATTCCCCTTGAAAACCAACACAAGGCAAGGATGCCCTCTTTCACCGCTCCTATTCAACATAGTATTGGAAGTTCTGGCTAGGACAATCAGGTAAGAGAAATAAACAAAGATATTCAAATAGGAAGAGAGGAAATTGAATTGTCTTTGCAGATGACATGCTCCTATATCTAGAAAACCCCATCATCTCAGCCCCAAAACTTCTTAAGCTGATAAGCAACTTCAGCAAAGTCTCAGGATACACAATCAATGTGCAAAAGTCACAAACATTCCTATACACCAACAACAGACAAGCAGAAAGCCAAATCATGAATGAACTCCCATTCACGATTGCTACAAAGAGAATAAAATACCTAGGAATACAGCTAACAAAGGGAAGTGAAGGACCTCTTCAAGGAGAACCACAAACCATTGCTCAAGGGAATAAGAGAGGACACAAACAAATGGAAAAACATTCCATTCTCATGGATAGGAAGAATCAATATTGTGAAAATGGCCCACAGTAATTTGTAGACTCAATGCTATTCTCATTAAGCTACCATTGAAATTCTTCACAGAATTAGAAGAAACGATTTTAAAATTCATATGGTACTAAAAAAAGAGCTTGTATAACCAAGACAATCCTAAGCAAAAAGAGCAAAGCTGGAGGCATCACGCTACCCAACTTCAAACTGTACTACAAGGCTACAGTAACCAAAACGCCATGGTGCTG